>NC_000005.10:15023698-16277123 GCF_000001405.40 Homo sapiens
TATGAGATTTGTTACAGGGAATTGGCTTATGAGATGTAGGAGCTGGTTGAGCAGCCTCTGTAAGGCTGATGCATTTGCAAGTCCACTGAGCAGGAGTGTCAGGAAGGGGAGATCATGAGTAGATTGCAACCTTGTGAGCATGAGCTGGAACCCTATGAGGATGAATGAAAACCTCTGGTCTTGATGACCCTTTATCATGGAGGTTATAAACACATATTCCTGGCCCCAAACTCAGAAAAGCTAAGGAAGGATGTAGGATAAGGTAGAGTATTTGCAGGTCCAGATGCCGCTTTATGCTAACAAGGTGAGTCAATGGATGAGCAACAACTGTACATGCACTGCAAATAGCTACATCTTCTTTTCAGCCTTCCAAGAATCCCAAGAATCTCGCTTTGGCTCACCATAACCAGAAACATACGAGAGAGGGATCTCAGGGAAATGTGGTTCAGTCTAACCCAGGTGACATGTTACGAAGCCATCGTGATACCATTCCCATATGTTGGTAGATTGCTTCTTAGCACAGTCTTGTGACTGGGAGGGTCAGACAACACCTGGCTTATGGTGGGAAACTCAGGATGCTGGGTCACCTGACACCCAAGGTGTGGTCTTCAGTCTTTCCTCAGGCCCAGTAGGAAGCCAGAAGCTGTTTTTCAAAAGGAGAGCAGTTACATCTCCAGATTTATCACATATCTCCATATGTAATATATTGGATCATGGGCTTTTTAATTAATTAATTTATTTATTTTACTTTAAGTTCTGGGATACATGTGCTGAATGTGCAGGTTTGTTACATAGGTATACATGCGCCATGGTGGTTTGCTGCACCTATCAACCTGTCATCTAGGTTTTAAGCCCTGCATGCATTAGATATTTGTCCTAATGCTCTCCCTCCCCTCACCCCCCACCCCACAACAGGCCCTGGTGTGTGATATTCCCCTCCCTGTGTCCATGTGTTCTCATTGTTCACCTCCCACTTATGAGTGAGAACATGCGGTGTTTGGTTTTCTGTTCCTGTGCTAGTTTGCTGAGGATGATGGTTTCCAGCTTCATTTATGTCCATGCAAAGGACATGAATTCATTCTTTTTTATGGCTGCATAGTATTCCGTGGTGTATATGTGCCACATTTTCTTTATCCAGCCTATCATTGATGGACATTTGGGTTGGCTCCAAGTCTTTGCTGTTGTGAACAGTGCTGCAATAAACATACGTGTGCATGTGTCTTTATAGTAGAATGATTTATAACATTTTGGGTATGGGCTTTTTATTTTTTTCAACTTACCTGTGGTTGTTGATGTACCAGGACCCAGTATATACGTGTTAGCTGCTAGAACTTTATAGCATGTTTTGATATTTATAGACTTTCATTTCATACTTTTTTTGCCCTTATGTATAGAGTTCCCAGGGAATTTTCCAACTCTGTCCTCCAATTTAGTAACTTATTCTTCAGTGGTGCCTATTTTGATATTTGGCTTATTTGAGGATTTTTGAAAGTTATGCTCCTTTATTCCAAGGTCTCTAATTGGCTATTTGTCAGATAACTCATTTTTATTTTGTAGATGAGATAGCTTCTCCTATAACACTGAGGTTATTACCATATTTCCTTTAAAATCCCCTTTTGTTTGCTGCATTAGCTTAATTTCATTGTGCATCAGTTTTTCCATTTGTTGTCTTTTGTGTCTAAGTGTTAGTTTTCCTGAAATGTTTTCTATTTCTTGCCCATGTACTCATTTTCAAACTGAGTCTCAGTTTGCACTTGTGTGATTGTGTTCCTGTTGACTGCAACCTGATTCTACTGACTTTGGAGAAAGGGATAGGATGTGCTTTCAGGTGGAGCATATGAGTGCTTTGTTTTTGAGTTTCCTGTTTCTCCTATTTGTCAGAAGTTACTATTGGCACAAACCAGTCTTTCCAACCCAAGCATTCAAACTAACTGCTAGAGTCTAGGGAAAAATCCTTCCTTCTGATTTGAGATAGGGAGTGAGGGAATGGTGAGGGCAGAATGGAACCCACTGGCTGCTCTAAATCCTCTAAATGTGTTTCCATAGCCCTGATGACTTTCCTAGTTCCATAGAACTGGACATCCAGGCTGAGAGTACAAAACCCAACTTTGCTCCTATTTTTCATAGTTCCCTTCACCTGGGGCGAGTTTTGGGCTGCTGTTTACTCTACCAAACCAACCTCATTTGCCTTCAATTTCTGGAGAATTAGCCAGATTTCTGGCCCACTGATAATTCTTTTATAATGCTGGTGAACAACTATTGTCCTGTACACACACACACACCTACACTCTTTCCCATCTTCCTGTATTTCTGGGCACTTGGGACAGAAGAAGAGGTCTATGTTCTCAGTCTGCCACCTTGATCTAATTTGATTCGACGTTTTTCAAGTGATTCAGATTGCTGTCTGTTATTCTATAATGACTCAAACCACAAGTTATCCTGGGCTTGTTCATGTCGGATGAAATATTCACAGTCTTGCAGCTTAAAGACATTAGAGATAAAGCTACCGGAACATAATGACTTATAGTAATGAGGTTTCATTTGAGGGTAATATGAACAACTGGGGACTCTTGTCTTTGCTCTCTGAATTTCAGAATACTTTCACATTGGGAAAACAGGAGGCAGTGGCTGGTTCCTTGGCTTTTGTTCGCAGACTCTGCAGTACTCTGTCGGCTTGATGGATGTATTTTCTCATTGCTGGTGATAATTCTGTAGGGGGTGATTCACCAGCAAATGGAGGCCAAATTAGTGCATTTTTCTCCCTCTACATACTCATGCTCATTGGCTTTGCTATTTACTCCTAATGTCCATTTCCTCTACTCAATAAATCACCTTTGATGAGAAAAAAAGTACAAAATATTAGTCATGTGAGGATTTGGATCATGTTTAATTTAACGCCAATGAAAAAGTTTTCTCCTTAATCCAGTAGCTCTCTGGAGCCACAGTCTGTGCTTGCCAATGGTTTTGTGTATGCACTGACTGAAACCCAGACAGCTTGCTCCCAAACCAGCCCAGAGCTCAGAGGATTTGTGCTACATTCCTACGCCGGCCTGAGACTCTGAGCCTGGGGGTTAAACTGTAAATCAGGAATGACTGAAAGCAATACTTTGCTAAATTCAATCATCTTCCTCTTTCAATTGACTTTTCTATTGTTCTATTTTTCTATTCTTTGATTATTGACCAGGACATTGTGGGTTCAATGTTACACTCATACCTAAGATTATGGGGCACAGGGGAGCTATGAGAATGCCCAGCTGCCCCATCACTTCTACAGAGAAGAGCTGGAGAGACTCCTCTCTGGGTTTAAATTAGATTCTTGCATATCAAGGACCAAGGGGCAGACTATGAGCTGCCACTTGCTCATCTCCGTCAGGTCTTGTTTACACACACAGTTAGCCAGAGAACAACAATTACACTGGTACACTGCTGTGTGTGTTTACTCTTAAACTTCAGTTACATAGTGAGGCGTGAAGCTGTGAACTGAGGGTGTATTCATATGTATGTTGACGAGGCTCACCTGCAGGGCTAAGCACCTGGAGCCTGTGGCAGCAGACTCTGAGTTAGAGTCACAGGTTGGATTCTCCAGAAGCAGCGGTTAACATGGAGTTCGAGGTGCAAGATTTTATCAGAAATCTGCAGCCGTGAATGGAAGGGTGAGATCTGAGCAGAGGAAGCTGTGAAATGATGCTGTAGGCCCAAGAAATCTGGCTAGAGTTGTCTTCCCTGGGCCAAAATGGTGGCATCTTCTTGCTCCTGCCTTGCTCAGTAGCTGGGTGTGGTTTGCGACCCAGGGTCAGGTGGCTCTGGTAGCTGAGGTGGAGGCAGAGAAAGCTTGCAGCTGGGGGCTGTCTGCTGATGGGGCTCCCTCAAATGAGGGCAAGTCCCTCCTCCGAGGGCGATCTGGTGAGTGTGTTCCTGCCTCAGGTAGAGCAGCTGATGAGAACATTTATCCTGGGAAGAAAGAAGGTAGCTTTTTTTGAGTAAGGGGTCCTAAGGGTAGGACAATTGTGAGCTCATGATACCTAAATTATTTCTCAGCTCAGCTTTCTTATCTGATCAGATTCTAAGGAAGAAAGAGGTTATAGTAGGAAGCAAGTCACATGCAGGAGCTGTATTGCTGTAAGCCTCATTAAAAAATGAAGATAAAAGGCACTTCTGATTTTGGCTTAAGAGCAGAATTCAGTACAGGAGGGAGAGACTGAATATACAGACTATGGCCAGAGCAGAGATGAAAATAGAACTATGACCTACAATGTGCCACAACCAGCCCAGGATACCAACCCATTATCCACAACTTAGGAAGTCAGTCTGCTATGTCAGACTTGTAGGAAGTCAGATTCCTATCTCCAGAAACAACTCAGGAAGCCAAACAACTTCTGTTACAATCAGCCCTAAATATCCAGGGCTTAATAACTGACAGTGTCCCCAATTTTGTCTTCCCTTCTAACTTAGGACCAACCAGAGAAAGCCAAAAATGCCCCCCTAACCAATCACATAGGATGTCCCACTTCTAGTTAATTCCACCTATGGCTTTCCATGACAACAGCCTCCAGTCAGGACATGTCTGAGCCTTTCCTTCTTTTTCCATCAAGCTTTCCACTCCTCTGCCTGCCTTTGAGTCTCTGTCAAAGCCCAAGTGACGGTGGTTACTCCCTTGCTATAGCAAGCTCAGATAAGTAGCCTTTGCTTGTTCTCATTTGGTTGGACTTTGTTTATTTCCACTGGAAGGAAGAGGGCTTTTCTGACCAATCCAATGTGCTAATTAAAGGTACCAGAGGAGGAACAACAGAGTCAGGATTTGGGGGAGGCCTGAGAAGCAGCCAGAGTGCCATCTACCTGTAGGGTCAGGGCAGAGGGAGGGGATTCTGGGTTCTCATGGGAAGCACCGAGGGGCCCCTTGGGTCCTAGCAGAGGACTTTAGGGCTGCCAGTCTAGCACTATGCTGCAGGAACTGAGCCCAACAGTCCATTCTTATTTTACTGTACCCACAAAATGCTTCTCTCTGAGAAAACTTGGGTGTATTAGTTCGTTTTCACACTGCTCTAAAGAACTGCCCAAGACCGGGTAATTTATAAAGGAAAGAGGTTTAATTGACTCACAGTTCAGCATGACTGGGGAGGCCTCAGGAAGGAAGCAAGGAACCTTCTTCACAAGGCAGCAGGAAGAAAAAGTGCCCACTGAAGGGGGAAAAGCCCCTTATAAAACCATCAGATCTCATTAGAACTCACTCACTATCACAAGAAGAGCATGGGGGAAACCACCTCCATGATTCAGTTACCTCTACTGGGTCTCTCCCTTGACATGTAGGAATTATGGGCTTTATGGGGATTATGGAGATTGCAATTCCAGATGAGATTCTGGGTGGGGACAGAGCCAAACCATATCAGTGGGACATACCTAGCAACAAACATCTGGTTAAATATTTGTCAAACAATTAACACTTGCCAGACCTAGTGCTCGGCACAGGGGACAAACCAATGAACCAAACAGTAATCTCACAAACTTTATTTTCCCTACATATGGTGCCTCTAGCACTAGTGAGCACTTAATACTATTTTTATCTTGTGAAAAATCAGCTAGAAATGGGGTGGCTAGTGTGGCTTTGAGAAGTTTCATTCCTGAAGGAAGGAATGGATTCAGAAACTCTAGTAGTAGCTCTGTCCTGTGTGTGTGTATGTGTGTGTGTGTGTGTATGTGTACACATTTGGATGTTATCTTGGGCTAACTGCTTAACATCTGTATACTTCAATGTCTTCGTACAAAGCATGATTAATAATAAGTCTCCTTCTCATAGATTTGAGTGAAATAATAAAAGAAATGTAGATGGAAAATGTAGATGCAATGTAGGTGCAAAAGATATTTTTATTTCTCTCCCTTCCTCCCATCACCAACTGGAGAGCTTGGAAAAGGGCAATACCTGTGAGCATTTCCAGGGTGGCCAACTCTTCTTAGATTTAAGAGTGTGACATTTGCAATTCTGGGATCCTATTTCCAGTCCAGTTCAGGTCTCTCTACCTCCATGAAGGTTTCTCTCCTTCTTGGCTTCTTTCTTTGCTGGGTTCCTATGTCTCTTCACCTCAATACAGGTAGGAAGGAGGGTGATGTGATTGAGATGGTATCACTGGACTGGTCTGGTTGGCTGGATGGGATCTGCTCCCTCTCTCGTTCCCGTAAGTCTTCCTCTACAGCTTTGCGAGGAGTTTGTGGAAGGAGACATGGTTTCCTGAAGAGGAGGGCCATACCTGGGTTGAGGATGGAGAGGTCCATGCAGTCCTCCACTGGAATCACAAGGCAGTCTCTCACCTGAAGTGCTGCAAGAGCCTCTGGCTGGTCTCTCTGAAGCCACTCTGACTCTTATTTTCCCCAGAGTTGCCAGAGTAGTATTTTGAAAATGTAATATTTTTCATATCACACCCCTGCTTCAATGACTTCTTACTGTTGTTGTCAGATAAAGCCATCAGGGCATCCCCAGATTGAATCTGATGTTACCTTAATATCTAAAAATTGTGGTTCTAAAAGATAGAAAGAATACGATAAAAATTGAGGATGAATGGAAACAGTAACTAGATTTGTTAACTTCAATCAAGTGGAGAAGCCACCTGGGTGGGAGGTAGAGACTAAACTGACATGCAAATTAGTCAATGCTGTGACTTTGATCTTAGCTACAAAAAGGACTACAAAATGCGATTTGGCTTGGCAGTCAGAGTGGGAAGAAGAATTGCCCTTGGATGTGTGTAGCTGCAGCTAGTATCACACCCAGAGATGAAGTCTGATTATTAAGCAGTTTCAGCATGCCAAGAAACTCTAAATATTCCCTTGGAAAAGCATGCTCAAAGTTGTTTGAGGCATTATAATTTTTCGCTTTGTGTAAGCCCCTTTAACTCCAGGGAGATTTTAGAATTCAGTATAGATATAAAGAAAATAAAAACATAATAGTTTTGACATAATTTGTGTACATTTGTTATGCTAATTACCTGTAGAGTATAAGAATACCTTACATATTATTGTGTCAATAAGTTAACCTTGTGATTTCAGCTTAGAAATACAAAAATCAGTACAATTAATTTAAATTTGCATTTCTTTGAAAGCATACTAAGTTTATACACATTACTGGGACATTTGAGAGACTACAAGAATCATTATATTTGTAATATATTTATTATAATTACTTAAGCATATACTCAGGAAAGTTCAAACAGTTGTAAAATTGGAAATAAAATCAAAAATTTATACATGCAGTGTAAAGTGCTTCAAGGAAATAAATTAATTGAGTTTTTAAATGGGGTCAAATATCAATCAGCCTCCTTGCTTATTAAAATGTGTTAATATTTGAAATTGAAGAATAAAGTTTCTTAAAAGCTTACAGTAGAGCTAAGTTTATGACTTGCAACTTTAATAAATACAATATTTATTTAAAAATGGAGTAAACTCTGAATTTTAATTTTGGTTCACCAAAAACCTTTCATTTCCTAGCTCCGAGAAAAAATCTAAATTTCTTAGCAATGCCTTCAAGGTCCTCCATAGTCTGGATGTGGTTTGCATGTCAATCTGCTTCTCATGTCCCTGCTCCTCCCTATAAATACACTCCAGGCAGACAGCTCCATTTATTAATTTACTTTTCAAACACAACAAATCCCTCCCTACCTTTTGGCCTTTGCACTTGTTTTTCCCTCTGTGTGAAGAGACTTCCCTTGGGCACAGAACGGGTATTTTTTTGTCCTCCTGCCAAGCTCAACTGAGCTATCTTTCCCAAGGTAAAGTCACAGCAAGGTCATCTTGCTTACCCTATTTGAGCTGGTCACTATATTCTGGATTCTACCACCCTATTTATTTCTTTCAGATGAATCATCTCCATGTTTAATGATTTAAAACACTTACATTATTTATTTGCTTTTAGCATTCTCCCCCAGTAGAACGTACTCATCATGAGGGCAGGGAGTTTGTCTCATTTGGCAAACAAATCATTGGCAATTAGTAGGTGCCAAACAAATATTTATTCAACAAATAATTAAATTGTATATTTATACTTAAAGCAAAGATGGGATCACACTATTCTCTCTCTTTAGTAACTTCCTTTTCTCAGCTAACATTACTGAATAATTTTTCCAAATTATATATACATAATAATTACTAAAGACTATAACACTCTATTATATGGATGCATTATAGATGGCAGAATGATGAGCAGAAGTTTTAAATTTTAATGAAGTCTAATTTATTATGAAGTAATGGATAGAGAAATAGAGAAAATAGTATCTTTAAACTAATAGAAACTCAAGGAAGAAGAAATAAGTACCTTAAAATCAGTTATTAAAAGAATCAGAAAAAAGATGTTAGAATATTCTTTTTCCAAAAGGATGTTAGAAGAATTTATCTTAATGTAACAGAAACAGTTAACTGTAAGGAAAAAGAAACAAAACAAAACAGGCTGAGACTGAAAAACAATAGGAGAATCTGAAAGTGGAAATGAGTGAGAAGAAGGAGTTTTAATAAATTAAACCTTTAATATTAGATTAAAATTCAAATGGACATAAAATGGCATTGTGGAAAATAAACTTGAGAAACTCTTAAGGAAAAGAACAAAGCTGAGAAAACAGTGACATGAAAAAGTGTAGAGAGAGACATCCAACATAAAAATTATAGTTGTAAATTAGAATAAATGTAACCAAAGCCCCCATATAAAAGAGAAGAATGAAGAGTTGATTATGCTTCTTAAACATTCTCATTCTTAAACCAAAGAGAAATACATACTTAGGGAAATGCTGGTTAAAATTTTGAAATGGGCTGATAAAAAAAATTACCCAAGATTTCAACAAAAAATATTCTGCTTCCGCAGATTCTGAAGACCAAAACACAATGGGGAAAAATCTGAGTATGGAGGGAAAACTTGGTTTGGTCAAAGAATTTGATGCATAGAGATGTCCTTCATGGGAAAGGCAACAGAAAGATATTATTAAGAATGCAAGTTTTCAGAATATAAATTAAGAACCAGAGAATGTGAATATCATATATTCCTGAGTTGTAAGTGAAAATGTTAAATCAGGAATTCTTTCTATTATTTGTTGGCTGGTTGACTCAGGAGGCCATTGATGAAATTAAAAACTTCTCTTCCTTTGTCTTTAACTCTTTTTTCTGTTTTTTTCTATATCAGAAAACATGTTACTAAATGCACGTATTTCAATGCACTGTTCTAATTAACTTCTTGACATATCTAATAATAACATAAAATTACTGTACTTTTCAGTTTCCAGCATTTGCTAAGGATGCAACAACTAAGAATACAGCAGAACATAGTGCAAGAATAATTGTTAAACAAAAAGCCTTTTTTTTTTTTTTTTTTTTGCTTTCACAAAAGCAGAATTGCATAGTGCTCCACAATGGCCATTCAGTTGCCAAGGAATTTAACCATTTTTGATATCTTATAGTAAATGGATTGAGTTACTTATAAAATCATCAAATAGCAGATATTTTTGCTTACAGAATGCTTGTCCAAATAATACTCCATTCTGGATCTGTACATATTACTCAGTTAACTATCATTAAAAGAATATCTGTATATCTATACCTCTCTATATATTTCATCAGCTATAATATCTGTAAAAAAGGCATTGAAAAAATAACTTTGGCCGGGCACGGTGGCTCACGCCTGCAATCCCAGCACTTTGGGAGGCTGAGGTGGGCAGATCACGAGGTCAGGAAATCGAGACCATCCTGGCCAACATGGTGAAACTCCGTGTCTACTAAAAATACAAAAACTAGCTGGGCGTGATGATGCGTTCCTGTAGTTCCAGTTACTCAGGAGGCTGAGGCAGGAGAATCACTTGAACCTGGGAGTCAGAGGTTGCAGTGAGCTGAGATCACATCACTGCACTCCAGCCTGGCCACAGAGCGAGACTCCATCTCAAAGAAAAAAAAAAATTAACTTAATGGAAATTCACTATACAATTACTATCTTGGCAGACATAGATGTAAAAAATTTAAAAATTTTTGTACATCATTTTGGCAGTTTTCCTCTTCACTTTTGTAATACATATTTTGTGTCATCTTGATCATTTCCATCAGCATATAAGCATGGTGTTGGAGATCTTCTCATCTTACAAAACTTGTCTTGACCTTATTTCCTGCAGAGCTGTCATCCCATCTCTGCTTTCTTCTCAAGACCTTGGGAGACTTGCCTATATACTTGCAGTCTCCAATTTCTCTCCCCAGTTCTGTTTTAAATCAACACAAATCAGGTTTTGCTTCACTGAAACATTTCTTGTCAAGGTCTCCAGTGACCTCCATGTTGCTAAATCCACTGGTCATTTCTTGTTCTTCATTCTATTGACTCCCAGCAGTGTCTGACCCATTGGCTCACCCTCTTTCCTCATATACTTCCAGGATACCATCCTTCCTGGCTTCCTCCCACAGCACCGCCCTTTCCTGAATCCTCCTCTTTTCCTCAGCTTTTTACAGCTGCAGGGCTCGGTCCTAAATCCTCTTCTCTTTTCTATTAGTATTCACTCCTTTGGTGATTTCATCCACTCTTAATGTTTTAAATGATATTGAACTAGCTTCCCAGTACTACAGTAGCAAACTACCACAAATTTGGTGATTTAAAACCACAGAAATTATTCTCTCTCAGTTCTGGAGGGTAGAAGTCTAAATTTGGCAGGCTTGGATATAGCGATTCTCTGAGGGGAAATATTCTCAGGTAATGACCAGAAAGAAATAAAATCTCCATTTGAGGGCAACTATAAACTCGGACTGTAAGGGTCTCCAGAAAAGTAAATGCAGTTCAAGAGCAAAAATTGGCTCCCATTTCTCCCCTTGGATCTGCAGGAGCGGAGGAGCCTGGAGTGTGAGGTCAGCAGGGCTGGAGGGGCGCTTTCTGTGGAGCTTGGAATGTGAGCAGGACAGGAGGGCGGGGGCTGTGGAGACTTTGCCTTCACTTGCCTGCTCTCCCCAGCTTCTCATTCTCTCAGAGCCTCCAGTCAATACTGATACAATCCCTTGGTTCTTTCATTATGGCTACTGTCTTAGTCTGTTTGTTGTTGCTATAACAGAATACCCGAGACTGGGTAATTTATAAAGAACAGAGATTTATTTCTTACAGTTCTGGAGCCTGGGAAGTCCAAGGCCGAGGGGCTGGCATCTGGTGAGGGCCTTCTTAAAGCGTCATCTCATGGTGGAAGGTAGAAGGGTAAGAAAGTGCAAGAGACCAATGGGGCAGAACTCACTTGTATGACAAAACCACTCTTTCAATAATGGCATTAATTCATTCATGACAGTAGAGCCCTCGTGACTGAATCGCTTCTTAAAGTTCCCACCTCTCAACACCATTGCATTGGGGATTCAATTTCTAACACATGGCAGGCCACGGTGGCTCATGCCTGTAATTCCAGCACTTTGGGAGACTGAGGCCAGATGATTGCTGGAAACCAGGAGTTTGAGACCAGCCTGGGAAACAGTGGGATTCCATCTCTAAAATAAATAAAGAAAGAAAGGAAGAAAGAAAAAAAGTTTCCTACACATGAGCCTTGGGAGACACATGCAGACCATAGCAGGTACTGTTTAAAACCTTTTCATCTGCATGATTTTCTTGAGTCTCATAATTGCTTTATCTTGTGGTTGGTAAGACTGAAGATTTCGACAACATTTTTCCCGATGGAAAATCTGATCTTTGGAAAGGTTAAGACTTCCACAGTGCCATGATAACAGATGAGTGGGGCCTCAAGTTCTGAACAAAAGATGCTGCTCCTCTCTGTCTTAGGATGCTTCTTTATTTTATGTTGAGTCTGAATGTCTTCGGTCCTATTTCCATGTTAGAATTGAGTTCTTTGTGAATTTTCAAAAAGTCAGAGTTGGGAAAATTTTCTTTTTCTCCCTTTGCCTGCCAATATTTTGAGTTGGCAATCCATCCATAACACATTTTACCCTTTATGAGCAGAAGCTGCTTTATTTCCTGCTTAAATCAAAAAGGGATCTTACCACAAGGGCCTGCAATAAGCACATTGTAAATAAACAGTTGTAAAAGATGCATTGAGTTGAGAACAGTGGGAAATTGATCTGACTGTATTTTATGAATTGTGTTAAGATTTTCAGCATGGATAATATAAATGATTTACAATTTCTTACACATTGGTATAGAATAAGTCATAGAAGCAAGTTATTTACTTGGATTTTCCAAAAAGTGATATTTCATCCCCTTCAGGTCAAAGAAACTAGGGACTTACGATTAAATCTTCTAGTAGTTACAGCATAGACTTTGGAGTGAGACTGAACCGAACTTGAAGTTCAGCTATACTATGAGGAAAAAACTATGACTCTCAAACATTTTACCTAATCATCAGTTTCTCCATCTGTATCATGGGGATAATATCAATACTTGTTAGGATTTAAAGGGAGAATTTTGGTGCAGTTAACGGTCTTGGAGCCATGGACTAAGGATGTTGATTTTTCACCCTGCTTGGGTTCTTCTCATGCCTACATGTTCCTAAGAGGTTTGTGACACCCGGAGCAATGGCAGACTGGGCTCCCCTCGTAATTAGTGACTATAAATGTAATTCCTTTTTTTATTTTTTAAACGGAGTCTCACTCTGGCTCACTGCAACCTCTGCCTCCTGGTTCAAGCTATTCTCCCACCTCAGCCTCCCAAGTAGCTGGGACTACAGGTGTGCGCCACCATGCCCAGCTAATTTTTGTATTTTTAGTAGAGACAGGGTTTCACCATGTTGGCCAGGCTGGTCTTAAACTCCTGACCTCAAGTGATCCACCTGCCTTGGCCTCCCAAAGTGCTGGGATTACATGTATGAGCCACCACATCCGCCCTGTATATGTAATCCTGACAGTTCAACAAAGAGCTCTGGTAAAAAGCTGAATTGGCACGTGCAATGCTTTAGGCTGAAGAGTGTCGTCTTAAACAGCCCCAGAATCTACGTTCTGGGATCTGCATACACACATCTACATGTGCATGTGAGAAAAGAGACCCTGGACTTTGGTTTAGCCTGTTATGTTCATGTTATGAAGCAGTGGAAGTCTAAGAAAGAGAAAAAGGCACAGGGCCATTAGTGAAATGTGTCCCCGTGAATATCCTAGGCTCTGAGTGATCACACTGGAAATCCTTCCTTCCTTGGGGTGGCAGGCAAGAGGAAAAAGGGTATGGTCAGATGTGCGCATCACATGAAGAGGGCCAAAGCAGCTACTGCCACAAGAGTTGTAGTGAAAAATGAATGAGAGAATGCATTAAAGCCCCTGGCATGAGCTGCCTATTGGAATTTATAAGGGGAGTGATAGATATCCCCCAAAATTCCCACCAAAGAATTTCTTTTAAACCCCGTTCCATTTTTTTGGGTCTTTTCCACCACTTTGTTGCTCTCTGTCTCTCTATGTACGTGTATGTTTGGACCTCACTGAAATTTTCCTAAATTGAATCTGTTTTTTCGTATTTGAGTGAAGCCAAATAAATTCCCAACTGCACACTAAAGGTGAAGGCCAACCTCTTAGCTTCTAGGTCTCTGTTCACACATCAGTTGAGAACTCATTGAATACATTTCAAAGAAGAATTTTATTTGGTTACTCAATTATTTTTCTAGCAGGTGGTATTTTCCTAGAAGACCATGTACTCTACTGTTCAAATTACTGAAATCTGTAAGTTAGACATTGTCAGCTCATGAAATGCGCTCAAACTAATGGAAAAATCCACTTGTTGAGCACTGCTCTCTTATTCTGTAATTTTCAGTAGCTTTGAGGACATTGTTGGAAGTGGTGGAGTGAAGCTTGGCACCTTTCCCCATTGTACAGCTTGTAGCCCATTTCAATGCCGTTTAATGCAGTAGTTCTCTAGGGGGATTTTTAGGTAATGATTAGGAAGAAAGAAAATCCCTTTTGAGGGCAACTATAACCTCTGATTTCATTTTATAAACAATTTTTAAGATAGTCATGGAGTGATAAAAGTATTATACTTTTTACTTTGTGTTTACTATGGTGTAGTCTATGAAACGATCCAAAGCAAATATTTACTTTTCACACTGCTTAGGATATAGTTCCACAATGTTCATGGGAAAGAGAGTAACTATGTGAGTCTATGTGAGTTTACTGCATTGCTTTCCTTCTTTTCTTTCTTTGTTTTCTCCTTGCACTAGGCTATAGCACGGGTAGATGTTTAGCTTCAAGTTTAAGTGAGTTACTTTTTGTGTCAGACACATATATCAATGCACTAATTAGAGGAAATTCTGCCAAAAATAAAAAAGGCCTAGCATAGTTTCCCTGTATAGGGGATTATATGTGGGGTGATTTACAGGGAGTCTTCAAAGCATCATAAGTCTAGTGCATTCCACCCCTTGATTGCCATGCACAGGGGCCCCTGTTCCTATTTATTCAGTTGTAAGGATGCCTCATTCAAACACATTCTATCATACATCTAGCCGTATAACACCACCCTTTCCCCAGTTTATTCTGCCCTCAGGTAGAGGTGCTGTTACGGGATTATTTTAAAGGCTTTTTGTTTTCCTTAAGAGTCTAGATCTCCAGGTTATCTCCACGTATATCTGTCTTCTAAATCAATTCCATTCTTATGTGTATTAGTTTACTATTGCTGCTGTAATAAATTACAAAAAAATTTAGAGGTTTAAAGCAACACAAATGTATTGTTTTACAGCTCTGGAGGTCTGAAGTCTGAAATGAGTCTTACAGGCTGAAGTCAAGGTGTCAGCAGAGCTGTGTTCTTTCTGGAAGCTCCAGGCAAGAGTCCATTTCCTGGCCTTTTCCAGCTGCTAGAGGCTGCCTGCATTCCTTGGCTTATGGCCCCATCACTCCTATCTCTATGTCCATTGTTACAGGTTCTTCTCTGACTCTGATCCTCCTACCTTCCTCTTATGAGGACCCTTGTAATTACATTGGGCCTTCTGGGGTAATCCAGGATAATCTCCCACCTGAAGATTTTTAACTTAATCACATCTTCAAAGTCCCTTTTACCATGTAAACTAGCATATTCACAGGTTCTAAGGATTAGAATGTGAACATCTTTAGGGAACGAACTATCATTTGGCCTATCATACTATGTAACTTCTTGATATTATCCAACTAATTGACAACATGAGAAATATATCCATCTCCAGAAAACCTCTTATAGACAGCAGGGAAGAAATTAAGTAATACACTAAAAACAACTACCATATTAAGAAAATACTGTTGGTATGCACTAGCCCTGTTTTCCCTGAGTTCTTTGTGTAGCAGATGATCCTGATCATCATTCCTGAGTGGACTACATCCTGGTAGTTCTGTTTGCGTAGGGTTGTAGAGGTTTATTGTTAACCTTTGCCACTGTGCACAGTTGTATCAGAAAATATCCTGAAAGTAGTGAATGGTTGGTACAAGCTAAGTTCCATCCTTACTGTTCCTGGCTCCCAAAACCTTAGTAACTAGGGTCAACTAGGGTCAAAATCTTAGTAACCAGGCAATCTGAAAAGCACCATTTCCACTTCTAGCCTCAGTCCAATGGGCTTTTAGCTTACATGTTAGTTACCTTGTCTATAGGATGGTATTGTTTTATAATCCCTATTTACTTTTATCTTTGGTGCTTTTAAGATTTTCTATTTGTCTTTGGTTTTTTACTTTCACTCTAATGTGTCTAGATGTGGATTTTTTAAAAAAAATTCTGTTTGAACTTTGTTAGGACTTATATTTTGGGGTTGGTGCCTTTCATCAGTTCTGATTCTCAGCTGTTGTTTCTTCCAATAGGTCCATGTTGATTCTCTCTCTCTCTTCCATCTGGGATTCCAATAAAATGTTACTAGACATTCTTAGTAAATATTCCATATCTCTTACTCTCTTTTCTGAATTATCTATTTTTAAGTCTCTTTGTGCTGCATTCTGCATAATTTATTTTGCTCTATCATCCAATTCATTAACTCTTTCTTCTATTATGTCCAGTCTGATGCTACATAAATCTATTTATTTTTAACTATGTGTTTTTATTTTGGCTATTGTTTTTTTCATTTCTACAACTTCTATTTGGTCCTTTTTAAGACTTTTATGTGACTTATTTCTGTTTGTAATCCCTGAAGATATTTTCAAACCTATGATTCATTTAATAGTTATTTTTCAATCTATGTTTGATCATTTCAATACTTGAAGTTTGTGAGAATCTGTTACCATTTATTTTCTCTGCTAATTCTTATTTATGTTTCCTTGTGTGCCTGGTTATTTTTGACTGTATTATGGTCATTTTCCTTGAAAAGATAATTTTGGGGATTCCCCAAGGGCTAGGAACAAAATGTCCTCCTCCAAAGAGCTTTTTGCTTTGAGACCAGGTGTCTGAAGCAGCTACCAACTTTAGTTGAGGCCTCTCCTCAAACTAAGTTCATAGTCTGAGGTTCTCTGGCTTGTCCAGGTAAAACCACAGAAAGACTAGTTATGAGGTCACCATTTCTCAAGAAGATTTTTTTTTCCTCCTTATTTTTCTTCTCCTGTCGTGCTCAGTGCCAAGGCAGAATTCTCTGCAGTCTCCTGGGGCACAGTAGGGGCAGGTTTAATCTTGGTTCATTACTACTCTGAGAACATAACCCTCTTGGAGTTTCAGCTTAATGTGGGGAGGGTATCCTGTAAGACTCCTCACCTTGGGAAAACTATGGGCTTTGACTTTTCCTCTTCTTACTCCTTCTGAGTCTTTAGAATTGAGAACCAAGTGGGTGGTATTGACTGATGTCCTCAGGACAAGAGTTGCTTTCACACTCCAGGATTCAGCGCATGTTGGATTCAGACTTTCTTCCAGATTTTGGCCTGATAATTGGTGTATTTGGTGTTTTTATCTTTTATCCAGATTATTTTTTTATTAGGGGAATTTGTCCAAATAACTCAGCCTGCAATTACTTGAAACATGTCTTAGTCATGGTTGCTTTGTTGTTGCACTTAATGACACTATTTATTTCTGGAAGATTGGGAGTAAAGTCAGCAGATCTCATATGTATCTGTTGATAGCTTTGTTTCTTTAGCTTCCAGGTAAATTCCTTGGCCAGAACCAGTGTTGCATAGAATACCATGTGATATACAAAGCCTCATAAGCCTTCAGATAATGATGCCATGGCAGAGAAGGTAAGAAAGGAAAATCCAAATAGCTCTCCTCTCCATGGCAGGAAAACCTCTATTTGTTTAACCTGCCACAAAGACTTGTCCCCTTGAGGTGTCTTGTCCCCTTGGGTCTTATCCTAGGGCTGGGTAGGTCACCATTGCTGGAATACAGGAACTTGCAGTGGTTGTAGCCACATTAATCTTTGAGAGGAGACTCTTTATTATCAAGATCATGTAGAGTCCGCTGTGCCAACATAGCTGCTTCATTCATGAGTCCATTGGACAGGAACTGACTGACTGCAGAAGGCAAATGGTTAACATTTGCAAATTGGTTCATCCTGGTAAATGATGGCAGTCTCCCTACAGTGGACTAATGGGAGAATGTTAGGTTAGCCTCTCCCACAGGTTTCTCAAAGATTTCTTAAGTCCTTTTATTTAGTCTGCTGGCCCAAGGAGGGTGAGAGATGTGTGGAGCAGAGCCACCCAGCCAATCGCAGCTTGGATCAGCAGACTCCCAGCTGATAGGGAGATGTATGAGTGATACCAATTGACTGTTGTTTTAAACCACTGAGTTTTACAAAAATAGCAAACACAAAAATTCATCAGACTCTTAGTGGGCATTATTTCTATTTTATTCTCACAAACCTCATGTGCTTGAGTGGGACCTCTTCAATCATCACAGGGATTCCCGTCTCACCTGACTGCCTCCATGTATGCATGAATGCATGTATATATGTAGGTATTTACTTTAGGCTGAAGCCTTCTATTATTTCTCCTTTGCTTTTTACAAATTGTATATACTTAAGGTGCACAACATGATGTTTTGATAGGCATATACTTAGTAAAGTGGTTACAACCGTCAAGCAAATTAACATCCACTATCTCACATAGTAACCTATTTTTTTTTTGCGTGGCAAGAGGACCTATAATCTACTCTTTTAACAAAAATCTCCAATACAATGCAATGCAATATTATTAACTGTAGTCCTCATGTTGTACCTATGATATCTAGACTTGCTCATCCTACATACCTGCAATTTTGTATCCTTTGACCTACATCTTCCTATTTCCTCTCCCTCCACCACCCTGATAACCATTTTATTTTCTACTTCTGTGTGTTCAACTTTTTTTCATGCTTTTTCTTTTTATTAGATTCCACATAAAAGTGAGATCATACAGTATTTTTATTTCTGTGTTTGGCTTATTTCACTCAGAATAATGTTCTCCTTCATCCATGTTGTGGCAAACGGCAGGATCTCCTTCCTTTTTTAAGGCTGAATAATATTCCATTGTACATACAGTTGCATTGTTTAACAGCAGGGATATGTTCTGAGAAATCACTGTTACGTGATTTTGTCATTGTGCAAACATCATAGTGTGTACTTACACAATCCTAGATGGCATAGCCTACTGTACACCTAGGCTATATGGTATAACCTATTGTCGCTAGGCTACAAACCTGCACAGCATGTTACTGTACTGATTGTAGGCAACTGTAACACAAGGGAAAGTATTGTGTATATAAATATGAAAAAGATATAGTGAAAGTACAGTATAAAAGATAAAAAATGGTAGACCTGTATAGAGCACTTACCATGAGTGAAGCTTGCAGGACTGGAAGTTGCTCTGGGTGAGTCAGTGGGTGAACGGTGAGTGAATGTGAAGTCCTGGACATTCACATTCTCTGTATAAACACTGTACAAGGAGGGCACACTAAATTTATTTTTAAAAATTGGGCCAGGTGTGGTGGCTCACACCTGTAATCTCAGCAATTTGGGAAGCTGAGGTGGGCAGATCATGAGGTCAGGAGTTCGAGACCAGCCTGGCCAACATGGTGAAACAACGTCTCTACTAAAAATACAAAAATTAGCTGGGCATGGTGGCGGGCACCTGTAATCCCAGCTACTCAGGAGGCTTAGGCAGGAGAATCACTTGAACCCGGGAAGTGGAGGTTGTAGTGAGCTGAGATTGTACTATTGCACTCCAGCTTGGGCGACAGAGTGAGACTCCGTCTTGGAAAAAAAAAATTATTTATTCAGTAATAAATTAACTTTAGCTTACTTTAACTTTTTTACCTTATAAACTTTTAAATTTTTTAAACATTTGATTCTTGCGGTAACAGCTTAAAACACAAACATACTGTAAAGCTATACAAAAATATTATTTTCATATCCTTATTCTATAAGCTTTTTAAAATTTTTACTTTTTAACCTTTTTTTGTTAAAAACAAAGATACAAACATGCATATTAGTTTCCTATATAGGGTCGGAATTATCAATATCACTGTCTTTCACCTTCATATCTTTGTCCCACCAGAAGTTTCTGGGGCAATAACACCTATAGAGCTGTCATCTCATGATAACACTGTTCCTTCTGGAATAATACCTGCTGAAGGACCTGCCTGAGTCAGCTTTACAACTAACTTAAAAAAGTAAGCAGAAGAAGTACACTCTAAAAGGGATAGCATTGTAAATACATAAACCAGTAACAGTTGTCCATTATCAAGCATTATGTACTGTTCATATTTGTATGCGCTCAACTTTTATGCAACTGGCAGTTCAGTAAGTTTCCTACACCAGCAGCACTACAAACATATGAGTAATGCATGTGCTACAATGTTATGACAACTACAACATCACTAGGTGACAGGAATTTTTCAGCTCCATTATAATGTTATGGACCACCATTTTATATGTGGTCCTTCATTGACTGCAAAGTCATTATGCAGCACATGACTGTATATATATATATATATATATATCTATATATATATATCTCACAGTTTCTTTATCCATTCATCCATCAGTGGACAGTGGCCTGTTTTCATACCTGGCTGTAGTGAATAATGCTGCAATGAATGGGAGTGCAAATCTCTTCACAAGGTAGCATTCTTTGCTTTTAATTACTGTCTCTTGGGATCAGTCAGCTCCAGTAACAACTATCTCCATTGCTGCTAATAATCTCGTTTTGGTTACTCTCTGCTATTTTTATATTCCAAGTCATGTCCAGAGAGTATCTGTTATCCATAGTCTCTTAATGGAAAAGGTAGGGCTGGTTGGCGTTCCTTCCTTTCAGTATTTGCTTTCTGTCTTCTGCAGGCATCAAAGGAATCAACATCAGTCATCATCATCCAGGGTTTGATTCAACCTCCAGTCACTAAATGTGCATCTTAAGTAAGCTGTCTTCATTGCAATGAATTTGAGTTGGTCTGAAGTTATATTTTGTCCTCCTTCCATAAGCTCCTGTAAATTTCTTAGCAACATATCCTCTCCCTAGTCTTCAACAGTCTTCCTGGCACAATACTTATAACTTCTGAGTAGAATTTCTCCATCCTATCTCTTCACATATTCCTAAGCCATATGACTCTTGGGCAGACTGACACACTTACTGTTCCTACCCTCTTGGGCAGACTGACACACTTGCTGATTTACGGGAAATGTCTAGAGCATTCCATAGTTTGGGGTTCTTCCATTGTGACTTCTCAGATCAAACTTTTTGCCAGTTAGAATATTAATGTTAACCAAAACCCTGAACATCTGTGAATCCAAAAGACTGCGATAATCAGCAGTGCTTGTCCTTAGCCTGTGGCTCTGGTTTGCCTCCTTGGATGTCTAACTGAGCAGAAAGTTTTCCCTACAGCGGAACCACACAATGGCCAGCCCTGTCTCCTTATGTGCTTCCCTCTGGGCAACTTGGAACCAGCTGTCTTCTTCATAGTGTAAACAGCCTGATGCTATGAGAAACTCTCTTCTACCCTTACTTGTGCTTCTTATTCCTTTTGAGTTGCCCTTTACCTCAAAGGATCCGAAGCAACAGCTATTATTTGCTTTGCATGGCAAGGCATGGACTGTTTGCTTTTAGTGTTGCAGTGGGGAGGATCTCTACCTCACAACCCTCATCTACTTCAGATGATAATGCTCATTTTGGAGGAGTTGTTGTTCAGAGTCTGCACCTTAGCAGTCTTCTCTGTCTTAGGGAATTGAAAGTGATACTCACAGACTGCTTCACTAATGGTTGTTTGTTTTGAGGATGCAAGTGGGCTCAGGTTAGAACATGAAACTCATCAGGACATCAGGAACTGTAACCCTCTCGGTCCCCTGCTGGTCTCCTTATCTTTCTCATGGTCCACGTGATCTCTCTTTCTGGTGGAGTCTCTGTTTTGTTCTGTGAGTCTACTCTGTTTCCATTTGTCACCAACTAGCCAATCCTCTCCTTAACCTCTAATGAAATATCTTGAGGAAACCAGTCAGTTGACTTGATTAATTACCATTGTCCTAGTTCCTTTTACACAAGGCCTCCGCTTTGGTATCTGGGTGCCGTGGGTCAGAGACTCACACCTGTCCTAGGCAGTTTAACCTAGAATGGGAACAGAAGTATGGTGGCCATCACAAGGGACATGCTATATAGCCTTATTTCCCAACATGTTCCCAGGGTCACATATTCCCTAAATGAAGTCTATGGATTAAGCATATTTTCCACATTGGTGTGCATCATGAACGATTCCTTCGGAGCCTGTCCACTAGCCTGGTGCTCAGTAGGGCCATTGGTCTCCAGGCCTGTCAGGCACTGTGACCACCTTTCCTGGGTACTAAAGGCTATCCCGTCTGGTAGAGCACCACTTTCCCTGACTCGATCTGGCCATTGATTCCCACACTCTCACTCTTCTGAGCTAGAGCTCATGACAATACCAATGAACCTATGAGATTTTTCTTGCTTCCCTTTATTACCTGAGGATGAGAGGCAAATCTAACATCAGGACAGGTTTTATGGATTATCAAAGTAGGAAGTTCATTCATTTATTTTTACTCAGTACATATTTAAAGAACACTTTGAAAGGCATTGGGGCTCACAGCAGTGAATGAAACAGCCATAATCTAGTAGCAAATAAAAATGTCAATTAAAAGGGCAATGAGTGGTATAAAGTGAAAATATAAGTACTCATCAGAGAGAGAGAGAGAGGGAGGGAGAGAGAGACAGTGCCTTTGACAGGTGTTGCTCGTTCATTCACTCATTTGTGCATTTATCAAAACATATTAATTGAACACCTACTATGTGCTAGGCACTGATCTGCTTACTAGAGCATAGCAATGAAGAAAACAAAATCTATACCCTACAGGTTTTTATTAAAACAAGAAAACCAATAACATGTGAAGGTGTTTTCAGTGGGATAAGCCATATAGGAAAGCAGGGTAAGGGGTAAGAAAGTGATGGAAAAAGAGGCATTACTTTTGATACAGTGGCCATGGCAGGCTTCTCTGAAGAGATGACAATTGATCTAAGCCCTGGTGGAAGCAAGGGAGGGTACTCTGTGAATACATGGTGGGAAGCATTCCAGAAAGAGGGATTAACAAGTACAAAATCCTGAGTCAGGAGTGCGCTTGGCACGTTTGAGGAATAGCAAGGGGTCCGGCAAGGAGTCAGGCACAGAGAAGAAGGGGCGAAGAGGCAAAGAGAATAACTGGAGACACAGCCTGGGACCAGAGCATGTGGGGCCTCCCACACCATGGAAAAGACCTTGGATTTTATTCTAGTGAGGTGGCTTTGTGCAGAGGAGTGACATGATCTGATGTACATCGTGAAAGAGTCAACATTGGCAACCTTGTGCAGAACAGATTATAGTTTTGAATGAATTACTGCTGTTTTTGGAAGAAATTATATGTAAGCCTATGTATTTATAGGCTTTCAAATACTACTCATGATCTAGGAACTGCAAAATAGGCTTAGTTCCATTTTTCTCTTAACCAGAAATGTTATAGATTGCTATGCCAAGGTGGAGGCAGATTTATTGGCATAAAGTAACTAAACCATGACACTTCCACTAGGAAGACCAAATAGCATCTTTATAATGGCTGGGACTTTATAGATACAAAAGTACAAAATGATATTACCCCCTTGTGAGGGTTAATACTGAGTGTCAACTTGATTGGATTGAAGGATGCAAAATATTCATCCTAGGTGTGTCTGTGAGGGTGTTGCCAAAGGAGATTAACATTTGAGTCAGTGGGCTGGGAAAGGCAGACCCACCCTTAATTTGGGTGGGCACCATCTAATCAGCTGCCAGCATGGCTAGAATATAAAGCAGGCAGAAAACCGTGAAAAGAGTAGACTGGCCTAGCCTCCCAGCCTACATCTTTCTCCCGTGCTGGATGCTTCCTGCCCTCGAACATCAGACTCCAAGTTCTTCACCTTTGGGAGTTGGACTGGCTGCCCTGCTCCTCAGCTTGCAGACAGCCTATTGTGGGACCTTGTGATCATGTGAGTTAATGCCCCTTATTAAACTCCCATATACATATATGTATACATATGTATAGATATATCTATCTATCTACATATATATCCATGGATACATATATATACATATCTATATCCATATATATGTATATCCTATTAGTTCTGTCCCTCTAGAGAACCCTGACTAATACATCCCCTTAATAATATCTCAAACCCTGTTCATATTCCATCTGTGAATGCTTTATTGCTTCTCTTGCTTTTGAGGGCATTATACGCAAGTCAAGTTCAGCCCTCCTTATTCCTCACAGCCATAGTCCACCTGGCAGTTTGTGAAAAAATGATAACAATGAACCCAGGAGAAAGGAAGACTTCTGCAGCATCTGCCCAAACTGGATATACTCTAGTTCAACATAAAAAATGGCTAAGTTCAGGGTTGAAGGTCTAGACTGGGTCTTGACCACGTGCTGGGAGAATTAGCAAAGTGATAGGAGCTTTTTGTTGAGTAATCAAGCACTTTGTCAAAACAGAAGTGCTTTATGAAAAGCAAGCTATGTTTTTTCTCCCCTCCAGCTATGCTTTTTTAAGAAGGGCTGTCAAATGGCATTTTGGGCAGAAACAGTTAATTTTCCTTTAAGTAACATACAAAAGGAAGAGTCTCACTGCCCCCAGCATGGGGGCAATTTAATAAAATCACAAGCAGCAAAGCCACAAACAACTAGGATCTATGATCTATAATCAATTGTTGTTGATTTAACAACTTGTGCATTTTCTTTGAGTTTGGGTTTAGCCTGGAGGCATGGCTTAGTTTTATTAATGATTTTCAAGCATGAGCTGGATTGCAATTTTGTAGAGTTTTTGAAGGGGCAATTGTAAATATGAAAAGAATGATTGAATGAGATAACCTCTAAGGTCCATTTCAACCCCGAGGTTCAATGATTACAGGAGAGAATCTTGAATTTTAAGTGCAGAGGCTTTGAGCTTTGCTTTCTGTAATTTAATCTGGTGATTCAAAATTGATCTGTAGGACCTTTTTAGGGTTTCTATATGAGTTTGAGGAAAGCAATTTTCCTCTTGGGAAAAGAATGTTTCAGCCCTTGAATGTCCAACTAAACCTTCATTTAATGATAGAAAAAAATGTGTTTGAAAAGAATGTTTCAGCCCTTGAATGTCCAACTAAACCTTCATTTAATGATAGAAAAAAATGTGTTTGAGAAAAAAATTCCATGACAGCAGCTGTCTAAAAGAACTGTGAGGATAAAGATGTTCTATATGCATGCTGTTATATTCAGTAGTTGCTAGATACACAGGAGTGCTTAGCATTTGAAATGTGGCTGGTTTGACAGGAATTTAATTTTAATTTTTATATAATTTTAATTAATTAAAATTTAAATTTACACAACCATTTGTGGCTGGTGGCTAATCTTTCAGACAGTACAGTTCCAAGATAACTTGAATTGTTCAGTATTAGATAATACAGAAGGATTGAAAATGTAAACATTTCTAATTTACCCTAAGTCAAATAAGCATAGTAATTTATCCACATTTTATCTCCAATCCTGGTATGTATAGATGCATGTACAAAAGCATTTTATATATCTCTAGCTATGTCTGCCTCTGTATCTATCTACCTATCTATCTATTATTTGTCTATCTATCCATCTACCTATTGTCTACCTGCCTATCCATCTATCTACCTATCAATCTATTGCCTATCTACTTGTATATCCATCTATCTATTCTCTCTCTCTATCCATCTATCTGTCCATCTATGTATTGAATGTTTTCAATAGTACATTTTGCAACGTGTAGGGGGAGGGGAAATGCAAACTATTGTAGGACAGAAAAAATATGATGAAAATTACTTGTGTGAATTTCAAAGATAGAATTATCATGATTTCTTCCAAAAAGAGGAATTTTAAAAAAGCGAACGTAAGAAAAGTGTGAGCAACCACCTTGTTTAGTTTTTGACACCTCATTAGGGCAAATTAGCTTCCATAGTGCTTCAGCATGCATTTGGAAAATTGAAATCATATGCTCTCTAGAAGCAATTATGCTTTCTCAAATTCGTGATTTCAAAATAATGATTTCTAGGTCCTTCAATCTTTGCTAACACTGTGCTTTGCAATATATAGACAAAGGTAAGAAAACAATGTTTGGGATAACTGAGTCCTGGGTTCACTTTTCATAACTCTGATGCTTTTCTTTTTTTGTAATGACATTGAATTGAGGGAAGAGAGCTTTTAAAGACAGAGTAGTAGGAAAGGATTGACGGGTAGACTGCAGTTTGGTAACAGCTTGTAAGAGGCTATGGTATTAGCTTAGTGGGCATACAGTAGAAATAAGATTATTAAAAAAATTTCATAGAGTAAAAGTTTAATTTCTTCTTTTATCGCCACCGAACATGCCATTATACAAGGAATCTTAATTATAAACTGAAATCATTGCAACTCCAGGATGTCTCTCCTCCAGTGGATTCTCCTCATAGGCTGATATAATTCTTCTACTTTGAATTTTAAGTGGCTCCTCTTTGCTTGCAAAATCAAGACACTTTCCAAAAACATCTGCTTCTCAGTTTCCAGTGAAGTATACCCAATAGTAGAGACATGAACTTGAACCCTGGAAAATCTGGGGAGTGGCTTGAAGCTGACAGCAGCAAGTGGGACACTCTTTAGAAGTCTTGTGTTTAATCTTAAAAATTCACATGATTGTCACATTCAATGTGTATTTCTCTGTATTAAATCTGTATTTCTCTGATTATACAAATATTTAAAAACACTATCAGGAAAAAACAGACATTGACAAAAAATTTTCCTGCCTAAATTCCTGTTTCATTGAGTGGTTGGTTGGTGTATAAAATATTGTACTGAATTTATCAATGTTAGAAAATTGTGCTGAATTCAAGAGCAACGTAACGATGCATTATTAATATATTTGCCAAGTAGGCTATTTCTTTGCTGCCTCTTGATGTCACAATATTTCAATAACTTAGACTTAAAAAGATACGTGAATATAGTTAGCATTTCCTCTTTTCATTCTGTAGAAATTTCATCAGTGTAATCCCTGGAGAGAGAGGCCCATATTTTGTCAGAGAGGTGGTGACAAGTAAGGATTTCAGTTGCTATTGGTAGGCATTTTGATGAGTACCTCCCTGAGAGGCACAAGGGTTGAACAATGTGCAGATGAAAACATTTCTGATTTATGATTTGAATCTCTTTTATTGCCTCAAGAAAGCATTTCTCAGAAGACTTTTTCAGAAGTGAATGTTTTTGATCTTGCATTTTATCAATGATAATTTTAATCAGATTAAATTGAACCAATAGTCTCAATTCTTAGTTCCCTTGATCTACTTTCTTATCTAAATCTCAAATTTTCTTTGTTAAAAAATTTTATATTAAAATCTATAACTTTAAAATTATTATTTTAATTGACATAATAATTGTATATATTTATGGGGATGGGGTACATTGTGATATTTTGATATATGGATACAATGTGTAATGATCAAATCAGGGTAATTAGCATATCCTCAACTCAAACATTTATCATTTCTTTTAGTGTTGGGAATATTCAAAATCTGCTCTTTTAGCTATTTGAAAATATACAACAAATTGTTGTAAATTATAGTCTCCCCTACAGTGCTACAAAACACTAGAAGTTATTTTTCCTTCGTAACTGTAATTTTGTATTCACTAACTAACCTCTGGCTATCTATTCCCTTATTCCCAAGCATTAGTAGCTACCATCCTACTTGCTACTTTTGTGAGATTTACTTTTTTTAGCTTTCACATATGTGTGAGAAAATGTGGTATTTGTTTTTCTGTGCCTGGCTTATTTCACTTAAGTTCATCCATGCTGTCACAAATTATAGGACTTTGTTCTTTTTTATGGATAAATAGTATTCCATTGAATATGTATATCTATTGAATATGTATATCACATACACAACATTTTCTTTATCCATTAATCCATTTATGGACACTTAGATTGATTTTATGGCTTAGGTATTGTGAACAGTGCTGCAATAAACACGGGGGTGCAGATGTCTCTTTAATGTACTGATTTCCTTTCCTTTGGATAAATGCCCAGTAGTGGGAATGCTGGATCACATGATAATTCTATTTGTAGTTTTTTGAGGAACCTCCATATTGTTCTCCATATTGGCTGTGCTAGTTTACATTCCCACCAAAAGTGTATAAGAATTTCCACTTCTCCACATCCTTACCAGTATTTGTTGTTTTTTATCTTTTGATAACAGCTATTCTAACTAGGACAAGGTGATATCTCTTTGATGATTAGTGATGTTGAGCATTTTCTTGTATACTTTTTGGCCATTTGTATGTCTTCTTTGAGAGATGTCTACCTGTTCATTTGTCGATTTAAAAATTGCATTTATTATTTTTTCCTGTTGAATTGTTTGAGTTCCTTGTGTATTCTGGATATAAATCCATAATGAATTATTTGTGGATGAACAGTTTGCAAATATTTTCATCCTTGGTGGATGACTAGTTTGTAAATATATTCTACCATTCCACTGGTTGTTCTACCATTCTCTTCACTCTGTTGTTTCCTTCACTGTGCAGAAACTTTTTAATTTGATGTAATCTCATTTGTCTATTTTTGTTTTTGTTGGCTGGGCTTTTAAAGTCTTATTCATAAAATCTTCTCCCAGACCAATGTCCTGAAGTGTTTCCCCTATGTTTTCTTCTAGTAATTTCATATTTTTGGGTCTTACATTTAATCTTTAATCCATTTTGAGTGATTTTTGTGTATGGTGAGAGGTGGGGGTCTGGTTTCATTCTTCCACATATGGATATCCAGTTTTCCCAGCACCGTTTAGTGAAGAGACTGCCGTTTCCCCGATGAATGTTCTCAGCACCTGTGTCAAAAATCAGTTGGTCGTAAATATATGGATCTGTTTCTGGTTTATCCTTTCTGTCCCATGGGCCTATGTATCTGTTTTTATACCAGTGCCATGCTGTTTGGTTACTATAACTTTGTAGTATATTTTGAAGTTGGGTACTGTGAAGTCTCTACCTTTGTTCTTTTTGCTCAGGTTTGTTTTGTCTATTTGGGGTCTTGTGGTTCATATGAATTTTAGTATTGTTTTTCACCTATTTCTATCATTGTTATTTTGGCAGGAATTGCATTGAATCTGTAGATTGTTTTTCTTACTATGGTCATTTTCATGGTATTGATTTTTCCAATCCATGATCATGGGATGTCTTTCCATTTGTTTCTATCCTCTTCAGTTTCTTTCATCAGTGTTTTACAGTTTTCCTTGTGGAGACCTTTCACTTCCTTGGTTAAATTTACTTCTAGGTATTTTTATTTTATTTTTGGTAGCTATTGTAAAGAGACTGATTTCTTGATTTCTTTTTCTGCAGTTTGTTATTCATGTATAGAAATGCTGCTGATTTTTTGTATGTTAATTGGTATCCTGTAAATTTACTTAATTTGTATATCAGTTCTAAGAGTTTTTTGGTGGAGCTTTTAGGTCTTTTTATATATAAGATCATATTTTCTGCAAACAGGGACAAATTGACTTCCTTCTTTCCAATCTGATGTCGTTTATTTGTTTTTCTGACTTAATTTTTCTGGATAGGACTTCTAGAACTATGTTGAATAGTAATGATGAGAGTGGACATCCTCATCTTGTTCTAATTCATAGAGAAAAAACTTTTAGCTTTCCCTCATTCAGTGTGATGTTAGCTGTGGGTTTGTCATATATGGCCTTTATTGTGTTGCAGTATGTTTCTTGTTGAGAATATTTATCATGTAGGAATGCTGAATTTTATCAAATGCTTTTTCCTGTGTCGATTTAGCTAATTATATGACTTTTGTCCTTCATTCTGTTGATGTGATATATCCCATTTATTGATTTGCATGTGTTAAAACATTTTTGCCTCTCTGGGATAAGCTCCACTTGGTTGTTGTGAATGATCTTTTTAATGTGCTGCCGGATTCAGTTTGCTAGTATTTTGTTGAGGATTTTCACATCTATGTTTATCAGGGATATTGGCCTGTGGTTTTTTTTTTTTTAATTTTTGTTGTTGTGTCCTTGTCTGGGTAATGCTGACCTCATAGGATGAATTTGAAAGAATTCCCTTGTCTTCAGTTTTCTGGGAGAGTTTGAGAAGAATTGATATTATCTTTAAATGTTTGGTAGAGTTAAGAAGCGAAGTCATCAGGTCCTAGGCTTTTCTTTGTTGAGAGACACTTTATTACTGATCCAGTCTTATTATTCTGAATTGGTCTATTCAGGCTTTCTATTTTTTCTTGGTTTAATCTTGATAGGTTGTATGTGTCCAGGCATTTATCCATTTCCACTTAGCTTTACAATTTTTTGGCATGTAGTTTTTTTGTAGTAGTTTCTAATGATCCTGGGTTTGTGTTTCTGTGGTATCAGTTGAAACGTCTCCCTTTTGTTTCTGAGTTTATTTGTGTCTTTTCTCTTTTCTTGGTTAGTGTAGCTAATAGTTTATTAATTTTGTTTATCTTTTCCAAAAGCCAATTTTGCATTTTCTTGGTCTTTTGTATTTTTTTTCAGCCTCTATTTTAAAAAATTCTACTCTGATCTTTATTGTTTTTTGCTTTGTACTAATTTTGGATTTGTTTTTTTATTGACTTTCTAGTTCCTTGGGAAGCATCATTATATTGTATACTTGAAATATTTTTTACTTTTGGGAATTTAGGCATTTATTGCTATATGCTTCCTTCTTAGTACTTCTTTTGATGTATCCTATAGGTTGTGGTATGTTGTGTTATTATTTTCTTTTGTTTCAATAAATTTTCAAATTTCCTTCTTAATACCTTTATTGACTCTTTAGTCATTCCGGAGCGTGTTTTGTAATTTTCATGCATTTGTACAGTTTTCAGTTTCTCTTATTATTAACATCTAGTTTTATTCCATTGTGGTCAGAAAATATACTTGATATAATTATAAGTTTTTAAATTCATTGAGACTTATTTTGTGGCCTAACATGTGGTCTCTCCTAGAGAATGTTCCATGTGCTGATGAAAAGAATGTGCATTTTGTACTTTTTGGATGAAAAGTTTTGTATATGTCTGTTAGGTCCATTTTATCTAAAGTGCACTTTAAATCCAGCATTTCTCTGTTGATTTCCCATTTAGATGATCTTTCCAGTCCTGAGAGGGGGGTGTTGAAGTCCCAGATATCATTGCATTGGAGTTTATCTCTCTCTTTACATCTAATAATATTTAGTTTGCATATCTGAGTGCTCCAGTGTTGGGTATATATATATTTACAATTGTTACATCCTCTTGCTGAATTGATTCCTGCATCATTATATAATGACATCTCTTTGTTTATGTTTTTTGATATAAAGTCATTTTATGTGATATAAGTATAGCTACTCCTGCTTCTTCTTGTTTTTTGTTAGTATGGAATATCTTTTTCCATCCCTTCACTTTGTGTGTGTCCTTGCAGGTGAAATGAGTTTCTTTTAGGCAGTATATGTTGGGTTATGTTTTTTTTAATCCATTCAGCCAGTCTATGATTTTTAAGTGGGGAATTGAATTCACTTATATTCAAGATTATTATTGATATGTGTGTACTTACTTCTGTGGTTTTGTTAGTTGCTTTGTGTATCCTGTGTTTTCTTCTTCCTCTCTTTTGTTTATCATTGCAGTTTGTTGGTTTTCTTTTGTGATAAAGTTTGATTTTTTTGTCTTTCTCCTTTGTGTATCTGCTCTATTAGTGAGCATTCTACTTTTGTGCATTTTCTTGATAGTTATTATTGTCATTCATTTCTAGATATAGGACTCCCTTGAGCATTTCTTGTAAGGCTGGCCTAGTGATGATGAATTTCCTCAGGTTTTGCTTGTCTGGGAAAGACTATTTTTCCTTCATTTCTGAAGAACAGCTATTCTTGGCTGGAAATTTTTTTCTTTCAGCACTTTTGAATATATTATCACATTCTCTCTTGGCCTATAAAGTTTCTGTTAGCCTACTGGAGGTTCTATTATATGTGGCTTGACACTTTTCTCTTGCTGTTTTTAGAATTCCCTCTTAGTCTCTTGACAATTTGACTTTAATGTGCCTCAGAGAGGACCTTTTTGAGTTGAATCCATTTGGGAACCTTTAAGCTTCTTGGGTCTGGATGTCCATATCTCTCTTAAAACTTGGGGAGTTTCAGCTGTTATTTCAATTAATAGGTTTTCTATGCCATTCTCCATCTCTTCTCTTTCTGGAATTCCCATAATATGAACTTTTGTTCACTTAATGGTGTCTCATAAGTCTTGTAGGCTTTCTTCACTCTTTTTCATTCTTATTTCTTGATTTTTATCCTTTGGGTAATTTCCAACAATGTGTCTTCAAATTCGGAGATCCTTTCATAGAGAAACTTTTACCTGCGTTTAGGTCTAAGTTTGCCAGTTGGGAAGGGTGTGGTGTCTCTTTTCTGGGTAGATGCAGTGGTATAGTCTTCATGCAGCTTTTCAACTGCCTTCAATATCAGCAATAACTGTGGGTGCCTCATAAAACAGGAAATAAGAATGAAAATGAGTGAAGAAAGCCTTCAAGAATTATGGGCCACCATTAAGTGAACAAAAGTTTATATTATGGGAATTCCAGGAGAAGACATTTGTGGCAGCAGTGAAGGGATTGTAGGTTGTTAGGGTCTGGTGGTGAGGGCTTTTGGGGTCCTCCTATTTTCAATTTCTCCATAATGGGCAAGCTTAGCTCAGGGGACTCCTCTTGCTGTCAGCTCTGACATGTCCAACAAGCAGCTGTAATGGTACTGGGTTCCAGGTGCAGGTGCTTGGGGAGGCTGTGGGGCTGGGTTCCTAGGCTCAGGGTCTCATGAACCTTGTGGCACCTGGATCTTGGGTGCAGGTTTGCTCTCTGGTATGGTTGGATGTAGGTTGCCCAAAGAGTTATGATCTGTGACTCTGAGCCACCCCCTAGCAGCTCAGGCCCAGGGGTCCAGGTTGTATCTGTGATTCTACCCATGGGGGCAGGGCACAACACTGACCTGACTCTGGGGAAGAAGGGGTGCTCTGGAGGTTTAGAAACAGAAGGTTATGGTTGCAATTTGGGAACCTCAGCCAATAGGACTCAGTGGAATCTCAGGTCCCAGGGTGTGAGGCACCTTGCAGTGGTGACTAGACCCTGGAATGATGGGGCTCAGCAGTATCCCATATTCTGTGAGACCAGGTGCAGTGGCAGCAAGTACTCCAGGATGGTTGAGCACTGCTGTCATTTACATCCTGAGGGGCAAGAAGCAGGCACGGCGATGATTTTACTACCCAGACAGAGGGGTGTCTTAGCAGCTCAGACCCTAGAGGGCTAGTCTAGCTCTAGGGGAGGAGTGTACTAGAGTGTTTGGTCTGTAAGGTGGAATGTCCCAGCTCAGCCACTGCTCTGTTTCCCTGAGATATGGAATACCACATCAACTAAGCCCCAGGATGTGTTGTTGCTCAGCCTGGTCAAGGTACCACCTCCCCAGGGGGTAATGTGCCTTTTCAGCTCAGGCCTAGGGGTGTGGCTGTTCTGGGCAGACCAGACATCATTTCCCTGGGAGGCAAGGCACCACTTCAGCTTAGGTAGTAGGGTACCTGACTGCTTTGGGCAGCCAAGGCAATGTTTCCCCAGGAGACAGGGTACTGCTTCAGCTCAGACCCAGAGGGGTGGGACTGACCTGGGCAGCCATAGCACCATTTCCCTTGGATGCCTGGCATTGTTTCTGCCCCAGCCCAAGGAAGCAAACTACAGCAGTGACTGGCAAGGGTTTTTGGAGCATATCTTCCAGGGCACTATTTTCTTGGCAGGCAGAGTGCAGCTTAAGTTCAGGCCCCTAGGCGCAGGGTGCAGCAATGCCTGGAGAAGGGCAAATGGAGTACCTCCACTGAAGCACCATTTCCAGGAGGGAGTGTACAGCTTTAGCTTGTGCCCAGGGACAGGGTTCTGCAGTACTAGGAGAGGTGGATGGAGCAGCTCTCTTTCAGCACTGTTTCCCCAGAAGGAAGTGCTCTGTTTTGGTTCTGGTCTCCAGTTGCAGGGTGCTATAGTAGCCAATGGGAGGGGTCATTAGAATAGTTCTGCCAAGGCACCATTTTCCCAGGAGGCAGCGCACAGCTTTAGCTCAGGCCCCTAGGTGCAGGATGCAGGTATGACTGGAGAGGTAGATGGAGTGGTTCTGCCAAAGCACTGTTTCCCCAGAAGCGAGTGTGCAGCTCCAGCTCGGACCTGAGGGGGCAAGGTGCCACCAGGGCCTGGGGCCTAGGATGGGTAAGTGGAGTGGCTCCAGTACCACTTGGCCTCACAGGGATGGGTGTAACAGCTGGTTGTAGCTGGGCTTGAGGATGTTGGGCCACAGGGTAGGCGGTGGTTCTGGGCATTCATCCTGGAACAAGACACACCCCAGCCATAGTTCCAGTTCTCAGATTGTATAGTGCAGTAGCCCCACAGGCCACGGGGTGAGTCACGTGTGGGTCCTTCTCTGGGGGACCACAGCTTTGTGGACTCCAGGCAGTTCTTTCAGCTGGGCTTAATGCCTGTGAGAACTGCAGGGGACTCCAATGGTGAGGACTGGAAGAGCCCAAGGTGTTGCCAGGGGCACTGAGATCCTCTTGCCTACCTTACCTTTTCCCTGCAGGAAGAAGTTCCCCCTGGTTCTCAGCTGATCTTGGCTGGGGGATGAGGTGGTGGAGGTCAGGTGTTCTCTATTCTGTTCTTCATGTTGTTAGCCTAAGTTTCTGTGGTCACCTAGGTTTGTGTTACTCATTTGATGTATTCCGGCACTGTCTTTTAGTTATTTTTGTTAAAGTGCGGTTGTTTATTTATTGCTTTGGTTGCCTTTGTTGGGGGGATGAGTGCTAGGGGCTTCTAGTTGGCCATCTTGCTGACATCACCTCTTAAAGTTTATAACTTTTATCAGGACAATGCATACATGCCATTAAAACATCCCTGCCATGCTCAGTCATTGGCTAGGAGAAGCCCATTGGAAATGTGACTTTATATGAAGATGGGATGAGGTTTTTGGAGCACAGAGCTTGGCTCTTTCAGTTAATGGCTCTCCCTCCACTTCAGAAAAACTATTATTGAACATGCCAGGAGAACTTATTCCCTTGAGCTGTGTGGTCTCTATTTCAGGTCTGGGTAGGTCACTGTCGTTGTTAATACTGAGTGTCAACTTGATTGTATTGAAGGATACAAAGTATTGACCCTGGGTATGTCTGTGAGGGTGTTGCCAAGGGAGATTAACATTTGAGTCAGTGGGCTGGGAAAGGCAGACCCACCCTTAATCTGGGTGGGCACTGTCTAATCAGCTGCCAGCATGGCTAGAATATAAGCAGGCAAAAAAATGTGAAAAGAGACTGGCCTAGCCTCCGGGCCTACATCTTTCTCCCATGCTGGATGCTTCCTGCCCTCGAATATCAGACTCTAAGTTCTTCAGTTTTGAAACTTGGACTTGCAGGAGTGGTTCTAGAGGAACAGAATATTAAGGATAGAGTTCTTTCATTGGTTTTGGGGTTTCTAGAGTTGGCTGCTTAATATGATTAGACCCAAAAAATGCTAAGGACTCTACTTCTAATGGTATGGAGAACATTGATAGTCCTTGGCGTGAACGTTTAGAGAGTTATGCAAAACAAATGCATTTGACACTCCTGATTCATCACTCACGAGAAGCAATGAGTTTAGTGACTCTATAATACTACCTTTGATCATATGTGGAGAACAAAGGAATATAATAAAGCTAGTTGGTTGCTCCTAAGTTCAGTGGACAAAGTGAGGAAAGAAAATGATGAACTCGGGAATTCTATCTCCTGGCTTCAGAAGAAGATACTGAGCCTCAAATCTGCTAATGTTGCCCTGAGTGAGAGTCTTACCTCCTGTAGAGAAAGAGCTGAAATTGTGGAAAAACAGACACAAGCTCTTATCATGTGAGTGGCTGACCTGCAATGAAAGGTGCATGCACAGCCTCGCCAGGTGTCTACTGTTAAAGTGAGGGCATTGATTGGAAAAGAAGGGGACCCTGAAACTTGGAATGGGGATGTGAGGGAGGACTCTGATGAAGTTGGAGACACTGAGTTTATAAACTCTGACGAACCTTTTTTGCCAGAAGGAACAGCTTCCCCATCCCCAGTATTGGCAACATCCCCTCCTCCACCCATGCTGCCACCAGCCTTTCCACCTTTGTCTGAGGAAATAAACCCTGCGCTGCCTGAGGCAACAGTGATGGCCTCCCCTCAGGCAGCTGCCAGGCAAGATAATGTTGATTTTCCTCAGGAGCCACCCCCAACACCCCATTTGCTTCTAGACCTGTAACTAGACTAAAGTCCAGGTGGGCCCCTAGAGGTGAGGGTAAGAGTGTGACCCATGAAGAGGTGTACTACACTTGAAAAGAACTGCTTGAGTTTTCTAATTTACATAAACAGAAATCTGGAGAACAGGCATGGGAATGGCTATTAAGGGTGTGGGATAATGGTGAAAGGAACATAGAGTAGGATCAGGCTGAATTTATTGATTTGGGCCCACTAAATAGGAACTCTATATTTAATGTTGCAGCTCAGGGAGTTAAAGGTTTATTTGCTTGGTTAGCGGACATTCGGACTAAAAGATGGCCCACTGTGAACAAGCTGGAAATGCCTGATCTCCCTTGGTTTAATGTAGAGGAAGGGATCAAAAGGCTTAGAGAGATTGGGATGGTGGAGTGGATTAGTCACTTTAGATGTACTCATCCCAGCTGGAAGGGTCCAGAAGATATACCCTTGACCAATGCCTTGCAAAATAGATTCGTGAGGGCAGCACCTGCATCTCTGAAGAGCCTTGTAATTGCTCTTCTCTGTATGTCAGATGCAACAGCGGGAACTGCAGTCACTCAATTACAAAATTTAAATACAATGGGAATAATTGGATCCCGAGGTGTCAGGGACCAAGTGGTAGCACTCAACCATCAAAGGCAAGGTGGGTGTAGCGACCGTAATGGACAGCAGAGGCAAAGTGGCAATCAGAATAGTCTGACTCGTGTAGAGCTCTGGCACTGGCTAATTAGTCACAGTGTTCCTAGAAGTGAAATTGATAGGAAGCCTATCGCATTCCTACTTTGTATAAGCAGAAAACTTCTAGTTCAAATGTATAAAAGACTAATTTGAATTATAAAAACAGAGAATCACGGACCCTCAGTCAATTTCCAGACTTGAGCCAGTTTACAGACCCAGAACCCCTTGAATGAAGGGGAGGACTGGTCCCCTTGAGGAAGGACCCCACTACATTACCGACAATTTATGCAGTGGATCTTTCTCCCATCCTTCCCCAAGGAGACTTCTGGCCTTTTACCAGGGTAACTGTGCCCTGGGGAAAGGGAAATGATCAGACATTTGGGGACTACTGGACACTGGCTCTGAGCTGATGTTAATTCCAGGAGACCCAAAACATCATTGTGTTCCTCCAGTTAAAGTAGGGGCTTATGGAGGTCAGGTAATTTATGGAGTTTTAGCTCAGTTCTGACTTACAGGGAGTCCAGTGCGTCCCTGGACTCATCCTGTGGTATTTCCCCAGTGCCAGAATGCATAATTGGCATAGACATACTTAGCAGCCGGCAGAACTCCCACATTGGCTCCCTGACTGGTAGGGTGAGGGATATTATGGTAGGAAAGGCCAAATGGAAGCCACTAGAGCTGCTTCTGCTTAGAAAAATAGTAAATCAAAAACAACGTTGCATCCCTGGAGGGATTGTGGAGATTAATGCCACCATGAAGGAATTGAAAGACGCAGGGGTGGTGATTCCCACCACATCCCCATTCAACTCTCCCATCCAGCCTGTGCTGAAGACAGATGCATCTTGGAAAATGACAGTGAATTATTGTAAGCTTAACCAAGTTGTAACTCCATTTGCAGCTGCTATACCAGATGTGGTTTCATTGCTTGAGCAAATTAACACATCTCCTAGTACCTGGTATGCAGCCATTGACTTGGCAAATGCCTTTTTCTCCATTCCTGTCCGTAAGGTCCACCAGAAGCAATTTGCCTTCAGCTGGCAAGGCCAGCAATATGCCTTTACTGTCCTACCTCAGGGGCATATCAACTCTCTGGCTTTGTGTCATAATCTTATTTGAAGAGACCTTGATTGCTTTTCACTTTTGCAAGATATCACATTGGTCCGTTACATTGATGACATTACGTTGATTTGATCCATTATGTGAGCAAGAAGTAGCAAACACACTGGACTTATTGGTTAGACATTTGTATGCCAGGGGATGGGAAATAAATCTGACTAAAATTCAGGGACCTTCTACCTCAGTAAAATTTCTAGGAGTCCAGTGGTGTGGCCTGTTGAGATATTCCTTCTAAGGTGAAGGATAAGATGCATTTAGCTCCTCCTACAACTAAGAAAGAGGCAAACAGTGAGCCCATCTGGATTTTGGAGACAAGACATTCCTTATCTGGGTGTGTTATTCTGGCCCATTTATTGAATGACCCGAAAGGCTGCCAGTTTTGAGTGGAGTCCAGAACAGGAGAAGGCTCTGCAACAGGTTCAGGCTGCTGTGCAAGCTGCTCTGCCACTTGGGCCATATGACCCAGCAGATCCAATGGTGCTTGAGGTGTCAGTGGCAGATAGGGATGCTGCTTGGAGCCTTTGCCAGTCCCCCATAGGTGAATCACAGCAGAGGCCTCTAGGATTTTGGAGCAAGGCCCTGCCATCTTCTGCAGATAACTACTCCCCTTTTGAGAAACAGCTCTTGGCCTGTTACTGGGCTTTGGTGGAAACTGAACGTTTGATTATGGGTCATCAAGTCACCATGCGATCTGAACTGCCTATCAAGAACTGGGTGCTTTCTGACCCATCTGGGCATAAAGTGAGTCATGTACAGCAGCTTTCCAACATCAAATGGAAGTGATATACACGTGACTGGGCTCGAGCAAGTCCTGAAGGCACAAGTAAGTTACATGAGGAAGTAGCTCAAATGCCCATGGTCTCCACTCCTGGCACCCTGCCTTCTGTCCCCGACCCTGCACCCATGGCCTCATGGGGAGTTCCCTATGACCAGTTGACAGAGAAAGATAAGACTAGGGCCTGGTTCGCAGATGGTTCTGCATGATATGCAGGCACCATCCAAAAGTGGTCAGCTGCAGCACTACATCCCCATTCTAGGACATCCCAGAAGGACAGTGGTGAAGGAAAATCTTCCTAGTGGGCAGAACTTTGAGCAATGCATTTGGTTGTGCACTTTGCGTGGAAGGAGAAATGGCCAGACGTGCAATTATATACTGATTCATGGGCTGTAGCCAATGGTTTGGCTGGATGTCAGGGACTTGGAAGAAGCATGATTGGAAAATTAATGACAAAGAAATCTGGGGAAGAGGTATGTGGATGGACCTCTCTGAGTGGTCAAAAAACTGTGAAGATATTTGTATCCCATGTGAATGCTCACCAGCGGGTGACCTCAGCAGAGGAGGATTTTAATAATCAAGTGGATAGGATGACCCAATCTGTGGATGCCACCCAGCCTCTTTCCCCGGCCACCCCTGTCATTGCCCAATGGGCCCATGAACAAAGTGGCCATGGTGGCAGGGATGGAGATTATGCATGGGCTCAGCAACAGGATTTCCACTCACCAAGGCTGACCTAGCTATGACAGCTGCTGGGTGCCCACTTTGCCAGCAGCAGAGATCAACAAAGCATTCTATATGGCACCATTCCTTGGGGTGATCAGCCAGCTACCTGGTGGCAGGTTGATTATATTGGACCTCTTCCATCATGGATATGGCAGAGGTTTGTCCTCACTGGACTAGACACTTACTCTGGATATGGGTTTGCCTATCCTGCACACAATGCTTCTGCCAAGACTACCAACTGTGGACTCATGGAATGCCTTATCCACCGTCATGTTAATCCACACAGCATTGCATCTGACAAAGGCACTCACTTTATGGCTAAAAAAGAGTGGCAGTGGGCTCATGCTCATGGAATTCACTGGTCTTATAATGTTCCCCATCATCCTGAAGCAGCTGGATTGATAGAACGGTGGAATGGCCTTTTGAAGTCACAATTACAATGCCAACTAGGTGACCATACTTGGCAGGGCTGGGGCAAAGTTCTGCAGAAGGCCATGTATGCCCTGAATCAGCGTCCAATATATGGTACCGTTTCTCCCATAGCAAGGATTCACAGGTCCAGGAATCATGGGGTGGAAGTAGAAGTGGCACCACTCACCATCACCCCTAGTTATCCACTAGCAAAATTTTTGCTTCCTTTTCCCTTGACATTACGTTCTGCTGGCCTAGAGGTCCTAGTTCCAGAGGGAGGAACACTGCCACCAGGAGACACAATTCCATTAAACTGGAAGTTAAGATTGCTACTTGTACACTTTGGGCTTCTCTTTCTTTAAGTCAACAGGCTAAGGGAGTTACAGTGTTTGCTGGGGTGCTTGACCTGGACTATTGAGATGAAATCAGTCTATTACTCCACATTGGAGGTAAGGAAGATTATGCATGGAATACAGGAGATTCATTAGGGCATCTTTTAGTATTACCATGCCCTGTGATTAAGGTCAATGGGAAACTACAACAGCCCAACCCAGGCAGGACTACAAATGACCCAGAGCCTTTAGGAATAAGGTTTGGGTCACTCCACCAGGAAAAAACCATGACCTGCTGGGGTGCTTGCTGAAGGCAAAGTGAACACAGAATGGGTAGTAGAAGAAGATAATCATCAATACCAGCTATGAACACTTGACCAGCTGCAGAAATAAGGACTGTAACTGTCATGAGTACTTCCTTCTTCTTTTGTTAAAAATATGTTTGTGCATGTATACACTTATGCTAAGAAAATATCTTCATTTTTTTTCCTTTCTCCTTTATCATGTGACCTAAGATTTATTGACTTCACATCAGCATTTAAGTATTGTTAACTTTATGTAATAGTATTTGGGTTGGGGACTGGTATGTTTCTGGTTGAACAAAGGATAGTTGTATTATGTTAGGTATAATTATGACCTTATTATTGTCTTTATTTGAAGATTATGTATGATCTTAGGAAATGTGTATGGGTTCAAGTTGACAAGGCGTAGACTTGTGATGGTTAATACTGAGTGTCAACTTGATTGTATTGAAGGATACAAAGTATTGATCCTGGGTGTGTCTGGGAGGGTGTTGCCAAGGGAGATTAATATTTGAGTCAGTGGGCTGGGAAAGGCAGAACCACCCTTAATCTGGGTGGGCACAATCTAATCAGCTGCCAGCATGGGTAGGATAAAAGCAGGCAGAAAAATGTGAAAAGAGAGACTGGCCTAGCCTCCCAGCCTACATCTTTCTCCCGTGCTGGGTGCTTCCTGCCCTTGAACATTGGACTCCAAGTTCTTCAGTTTTGGAACTTGGAGTGGCTCTCCTTGCACCTTAGCCTGGAGAAGGCCTATTGTGGGACTTTGTGATCGTGTGAGTTAATAATTAATAAACTTCTCTCTATAGATATGTATATACATTCCATTAGTTCTGTCCCTCTAGAGAACCCTGACTAATACAATCACTGTTGCTGGAATATCAGAAATCTGCAGTGGTTGTAGCCAAGTTGGCTTTTGAGGGGAGACTCATTATTATCAAGGCCACGCAATGTCCACCACACTGTCATAGCTGCTTTGTTCATGAGTCCATTGGATAAAAATAGACCAACAAAGGAAGGAGATGATTTGCAGAGCAGTTCATCCTGGTAAATGATTGCAGTCCTTGGTGGTCGGCTATGAGGAGGGGGTTTCAGAGTCTCCCTTAAAGGTTTCTCAAAGATTTCTCAAACCCTTTCACATAAGAGGCTCCTGGGTGGTGAAATGACACACCTGGAAACTGTGAAGAATGACAACTGCTACACACTGTATCAAATATTGCAAATGTCTGAAATGTCCCATTCCTTGGATACTATCTTCTGTAGTTCTCCATCCTTTTGTTCTCTTTTTGGCTGCGAGCAAGAAGGGAAGAAAGAAAATGACTGCTGCTCCTAACAATGTCAATGACCTTCATTGTTTTAAGGCTCCTTTTTTCACCCCTGTCACTCATTCTTATCCCTTCTCCTCCAAGACTGGAGTCATTAATCACCTCCTATCATTCTTTCCTGCAAACTCCTCTGTATGTGTTCCTGGCTTTGACTTCCTCAGCTCATACTAATCAATGGACATTTCCCAATCCATTTTTTTTGTTGTCGTTGTCCAGAGTAAGTTTTCAAAGCTCCTTCCCATTCCATGGAAAATGTCTTGAAGCACTCATTTTTTGTCATCTTGCTTATTCTACCAAATTGCCTGCTTTTACCACCCCATCAAACACAGTGAGAAAATCAAGAGGCAAGCACTTCATTCTCAGTGAATGATGAAATGAATACTGATGCATTCCTTGTTCTTAATGGCCTGCGGTATGACAACCACCACTCCAGCAGTTTTGTCTTCATTGATTTGGCTCCACACTTGATTTTCTAGTCATTTTTTCCAGTTGACCCCATATCCACTAAAACACTCACTGATTTTTTAAAATTTCCTCATCAGTTATTTTCCATTCAAGTATGCTGAAAATTGACATGTTTTCACAGAAGACCACCATTAAAATGATTAAATATTGAACATTTACATGTTCAGCCAGCTGTGAAGAGAGAAGCTCAGTTTCTCAATCAGGTTTTCAATATGTCTTCTGGGCACATTAAATTATGCCATTTGCAGGTTTAGCTTGGTAAGGACAACTTTTATATTTGTCCTCTCTTTTTGACTTAAAGCACTTCTGAAAATATTGACATCTAAGAGTTGTATCAAATCTCTCCTCTTACTTGACTTTCACCTTTTAATGGATTGCTAACATTGGCTTAAAGGTCCTACAAATTTTTTTTACTTTTTGAAATTGTACATTTCCTTGCAGAGACCCTAGCAAAGATTTCTGTCTTTTTAGATGCAGACAATTCTGATTACATTCTAACAATTTTTAATGATTGATTTAAATATTGCTTTGAAATTAATCTTTCATGTATTTACTGCTAACAGATTTCTCTTATGAGACATTAAAGTTAATTTGTTATCCATTTGATACATATCTATTTTTTGAGGAATATGTTGGTTGCTTCCAGTTTTTGGCAATTATGAATAAGGCTCCTCTACATATTTGCATACAGGTTTTACGTGGACATACATTTTCAACTTACTTGGGTAAATACCAAAAAGTGTGATTATTGCACTATGTTAGTTTTCTATGAAAACTATGTTTCTATGTGAGCCTATGTTAGTTTTCTAAGAAACTGCCAAACTGTCTTCCAAGGTGGCTGTACCATTTTGCATTCCCAGTGGCAATTGCTCCACATCCTCACCAGTGCTTGGTGTTCCTAGGAGGGAAGGAAAATTATGTAGGTCAGAAACTTGGACATAAAAAAGGACAAGCATTAGAGAAGGAGTAAGTGAAGATAAAATATAATATTTTCCTTATTCTTAATTGATCTAATGGACAACTATTCAAAATAATAATAGCAACAATGAATATTGATTGACTCTGTCTTATAAATAAATAAAATGAATGATAGCAATGTTATAAGGGACAGATAGGAGGAATTGAGAATACTCAGTTATAAGGTACCTGAACTATCCATGAAGTGGTATAGTGTTATTTGAATATAGACTTAGGTTAGTTGTTAATGTTAACTGAAAACTCTAGAGAAATCATAACAATTTTTTAAAAAGTATATTGATATGCTAATACCATGTATTTTATATACATACATATGTGTATATAAGTATTTTACATACATACATGTGTGTATGTAAGTATTTCATATACTAAGTATCTTAGTATTTTATATACATACATATGTGTATAAAATACTTGTTCAGAGAGGTCAATCTACATCTTCATTGTCTCATAGCTGGTAGGTGGCTGGATGTATTAGTCCATTCTCATGCTGCTAATAAAGACATACCCAAGACTGGGTAATTTATAAAGGAAGGAGGTTTTATTGATTCACAGCTCCGCAGGGCTGGGGGGCCTCAGGAAACTTACAATCATGGGCGAAGGGGAAGCAAACACATCCTTCTTCACATAGCAGCAGGAAAGAGACATGCAGAGCAAAAGGGGAAAATTCCCTTATGAAACCAGCAGATCTCATGAGAACTCACTCCCTATCACACGAACAGCAGTGTGTGGGGGTAACTGCCCCCATGATTAAATTACCTCCCACTGGGGCCCTCCCATGGTACGTGGGGATTATGAGAACTACAACTCAAGACGCGATTTGCGTGGGCACACAGCCAAACCATATCATGGGGCCAGCACTCTGATCCAGGCCAATCTCAGTTGACCGCATAATCTTTCCACTTCAGTAATAATTTTTAGTTTTTAGTTAGGTACAAAACTGCTTGGAATGCTGAAGATATGATCTGATTTAATATACATACATTTCAGATTGAGACGAAACAGTGCAGGACGGTATATAAGGACAGATAGAGGAGAAGAATTCAGAGGAGGTAGACAATGCTGTGATTCAGGCAGCATTGATGCTTCTCGTTGAAGTAAGAGGCAAGGACGCCTATAAAGAGTGAGAATGTTGGGCCAGAAAGCGGGGGCTTAAGCAAAGGGGCAAAGAGTTTGTCATTGCTAGACCAGGGACTCCACAAATGGAGAAGAGGAAACTAGTAAAGAGGTATGCAGGTGGACAGTGATACCAAAACATGGGGCTGAGACCCAAGAAGGTGAAGTGCTGAGAGCTCATTGTGGCCGATAGGTTTGGATAACCATGAAGAAAGCAGAAGGTTGGAAAATGGAATGCAGGACCATGTTATGAGCAGGAAATGGTGAATCAGGCAAAAGGAATAGGAAGAAATTGGAAAACTGACTGAACTTCGCACAATTTCTGTTGGATGTTGATATCGTATAGTCCCATCACGTACTGAGTTCTATTACGTGGCATTCTCTCCAGTGAATTTATAGTGAAAGATGGCGAAACAAACACATACAAACACACTCCTTTTGAGAGGAGTAAGGACAGGGAATTTCTTTGTAATGACAAGTGGTAGAAAATGTATCTGTTTGCTATTTGATGATTTCATTTCTCAATACAAAACCTATTATTGAATGAGACGTTACTACTGCATTCATGGATCCCTCAGCATTGATTTTCCACCAGTACCTGATCTTGGGGGAAAAAACTCCTTGAAACCAACCGATAGCAACAGGTGAAGAACAAAGTTTAGATTTTAATGGTTATTCAATACTATAGAGCTTGAAAAAGAATTCAGGAGTCCGGCCTTTTTATCTGAATATGTGGAGCTCAGCATTGAACTCAATGAAAAAGATCTTTAAGGAAAGGCTTTTTGACTGTATTCACCCTGAGAGGTAAAAGCTTGCCTTTCAAGAACAGCCCGTGGTCATTCCTGGTTGTCAAAGCTACAGCTGTTGAATTGATATGATGGGCGATTTATAATAAGAAAAAAGTAACAGCCACAGTGTATTAGTCAGGATTCTCTAGAGAGACAGAACTAATAGGATAGACGTATACATAAAAGGGAGTTTATTAAGGAGTATTGACTCACATGATCACAAGGTGAAGTCCCACAATAGGCTGTCTGCAAGCTGAGGAGCAAAGAAGGCAGTATGAGTCCCGTAACTTCCAAAGTAGGGAAGCCAACAGTGCAGCCTTCAATCTGTGGTCAAAGGTCAAGAGTCCAAAAGCTGAAGAACTTGGAGTCTGATGTTCAAGGGCAGGAAGCATTCAGTATGGGAGAAAGATGTAGGCCAGAAGACTACACCAGTCTAATCTTTCCACGTTCGTTTGGCTGCTTTATCCTAGCCACGCTGGCAGCTGATTAGATGGTGCCCATGCAGATTTAGGATGGGTCAGTGCCTCCCAGTTCACTGACTCAAATGTTAATCTCCTTTGGCAACACCCTCACAGACACAACCAGGAATAGTACTTTGCATCCTTCAATCCAATCAAGTTGACACTTAATATTAACCATCACATATAGAGTTAATAAAAATTTTGTACTACATACTTTGAAAAAATGCAACATTATAGAGATAAACACAGTGAATACCAACATACTGTCTGTTGTAGTACTGTCTTTTAAAGTGGCATGCCAATACAAACACCATGTATACTGTATTTGACTATCATAATAAAATACCACAGATTGGTTGGCTTAAACAACAGAAACTTATTTTTTCACAATTCTGGAGGCTGGAAGTCCAGGAACAAGGTATTGGCAGGGCTGGTTTCTTCTGAGACCTTTTTCCTTGGCCCGCAGATGACCCCCTCCCTGCGGCGTCCTCACATAGTCTTTCCTCTGAGTGTTCGTGCATCCCTCGTGTCTCTCTGTGTGTCCTTTTCTTTTCTTATAAGGACACCAGTCAGCTTGGATTAGGGCCCACTCATACGACCTTACTTAACCTTAATCACTTTTTAAAAGACCTTATCTCCAAATATGGCTTCATTCTAAGGTAGTGAAAGACTTCAACATGAATTTTGGGGCAACACAATTAAGCCCATAACAAATAGATTATAATGATTTCTGTGGGGAGGTGGGGAAGGGAGGGTGCCCTTGTATCCAGTATAGGGAAGTTTCAAAACTCTGTCGGAGGAAGGCATACTTTTTACTTCTCCAGATCTACATGAATTTTCCCTTGAGTTGCTGGAGGAGATGTCTGAACTGGCTCCTGAAAGATGAGTAATACTTCCTTCACTCCCTGTCAACAAACACTTAGTGAGCATTTACTGAATGTTAGGCACTATTCTAGGCTCTGGGGATGAAAAAGTAAACAAGACAGAGATGCTTTATGCTTATGTTGATCTCTTATTCTAGCAGTGATGGTGCTCAATAGACAAATAAGCAAGTCATGTAAATTCAGACAACAATAAATGCTTTGATGAAAATAACATACTTTAATGGGATAGTGCCAGGCAGCAGGAAGTTCTTTAGATTGACATCAAATTATGTCAAATCTAAATAACAAAGAGGGAAACTCTTAAAAAAATGACGTTTATTTGGAAGTGGGCATTGCAATGAGAATACATGTGGGTGTGTAAAGGGAGGTACAGGAAGAGAAGGGGTTGTAAAGGAAAAATGAGGAGGGTTACATAAGTTGTTTTGAGACAATTAACCATTGGATATAAGGATCAATAACAAGGCTGGACAGGAAGTTGCTGGGCAAATGTCCTCAAAGAAGTATTTTTCTGTGTAATGTTGTGGTGATCTTTGTGCAAAGTTATGGTTTTGGCAGACACTTTTGTGATAGTTTCTTTATCAGGCATTTGTATGTGACAGCCCTCCCTTCATGACCTTCCCAGGCTTTACTTGTCAGGATTTAACACAAGTGACTCCAATTTGATTCCGACAACTTTCAAAAGATTAAGAGTTTCAGAAGGCGACATTTGAACCAACACCTGACTGAGAAGAAAGGAGCAGAGATCTCGTGATCTCAGAAAAGAGGTCTGGGTAAAGCACCAGCAGGCAGAAGGCTTGAGGCGGGGATGTGCATAGCATGTTCAAGGACTAGCAAGAAGGCCAGTGTGGCCAGAGTAAAGAGCATTAAGGGCAGCTGTGGGATATTAGGGCAGAGAAATAAGCAGAGTTTGGGTCATGAATGGTCTTGTAGGCCATGGTAAGAACGTTTGATTTTATTCCGGGTAAAATGAAAACACAAGAAGGGGTATGAGCAGAGAATGTGACATGCTCTAAATCACTTCTCTCTAATAGGATTTTCTGCACTGATGGAAAAGTTCTATATCTATGCTGTCCAATATGCTAGCCAATAGCCATATGTAGCTATTGAGTTTACAAAATGTGGCTAGTGCGACTAAGAACCTGCTTTTCAATTTTAATTTAAACAGTCACATGGGGCTAGTGGCAACTACATTGGACAACGCAGCTCTACATGGGTCTGTCTGGCTGCTGCATGGGACTTAGATTGTGGCGGGGAGCAGGGAAGCTCTGCATCTTCATGTAAGAGATGTACTGGCTTGGATGAAAGCATCTGCAGTAGAAGGAGCTGAGAAATGGCTGGATGCAGGATATATTTTGTAGGTGGAATCCGCAGGCTTGCTGTCAGATTCCAGGAGATTCAGGAGAAGAGAGGAGAAATGAGTTGTCAAGTGAAGACAAAGAGAAGGGTGTGCATTTCCGGCAGAGGGAGCGTGTGGTGAGAATGCTGGGAGGGCGTGACAGCACACTTTCTGAGAACTCAATCAGTTTCTTACCAGCCACCTGTGAAAGGTTAGGTGGGGAATTTCAGGGAACAAGGCATAAGGGGTAGATTGGGCTAAAGGTATCAAGCGTAGAGAGTACTATGCTGAAAAACTTGTGGTTTTGTTCTTAGTGCAACACGTGTGGAGGTGTTAAAGGGTTTGTGTTAGAAAAATGATGTGGACATGTTTGTGTTTTAAATTAATTTCAATAGGTTCAGTATGCAGAATGGGTCTAAGGAGAAAATGACAGGAAGGAGAGAGGCTTTTTGGGGGCTACTGCTACCACCGAGACCCCTGCAATGAACATCCTCATGCATATTTACTTGTGCATAGCTCTGTAAGCATTTCTATAGGATCTATATTTAGCAGTGAAACTTCTGGGTTTTAGGGTGGTGTGATGATTTATATTATGTGTCCACGTGGCTGGGCCATGGTGCCCAGATGCTTGGTCGAACATTATTCTGGATGTTTCTGTGAAGATGTTTTTGGATGAGAGGAACATTTAAATCTGTGGTCTTTGAGTAAAGCAGATTGCCATTTGTAATGGGGATGGGTCTCATCTAACCTATTCAAGGCCTTCACAGAATAAAGACTGACCTTTCCTGAGGAAGAAGGAATTTTGCTATCAGATGGCCATTGGACCATTGGACTTGAGCAGCAACTCTTTCCCTCTTTCCTGGGTCTCTAGCCTGCTGGCCTCCCCAGTCAGATTTTGGACTCCCAGCCTTCATATTTATTTAAGCCAATTCCTTAAAATAAATCTCTCTCTCTCTTTAAACACACACACACACACACACACACACACACACACACACACACACACACACGGCCCTGTTGATTCTGATTCTCTGGAGCCATATACTTATTTCTGCTCTCCAGAATGGCTATATTCACATGGCCCAGAGATCTGGCATCTCCATACCCCACCCACACTGGGCATTAGCTAGCTTTCTAAGTTTTGCCAGACTAATGAATGTAAAGAGTATCTCATACTCTTCCAACTTGCATTTATTCTGTAACTAACAGGACTGAATAACTTTTAAGTTTCCTTATCTATCATTTGCCTCTTCACACTTAGGCCTTTTTGCCCCCCAAATGGGGCTCCTGGCGTTTTGTTATTGATTTGCTAGAACTCATCTTTCCATTAGTCCCTTGTTGATTTCAGGTATTACACATACATTCCAATATCACTCCTCTTTGTTATCTTTGCTCAGGGTAACCTTCAGTTAATATAATTTCTTAATATTGGTGTGATGAATGACATTTTTAGCTCATGAGTTATGATTTTGTGGCACAGGTAAAAAACATTCTACATTTTTTTTCTGTTGATTTTGTATTTTTTTTGTTTAGATCTTTAATCTTTCTGGAATCTACATTTGTATGTTTTAGATAAATATTGTTTTGCTTTTCTTTTTACGGGCAAAACAGTTTCTCCAAAACTATTTACTCTTTTTATTTCCCCCCATTGTTCAATGACATCATTTTCATCATCATGTATGTTTTTGAGTCTTCTATTATTCTATTGTATATTTGTCTGTGCGTGTGCCAAAACTCCGTTTAAAAAAAGCACTACAGTTGTATAGTCTGTATTTACGTGTTCTAGAGGAAGTCCTACTTCTTTACAGTTTTTTTCCCCGAATTTGACTTATGTTTTCATAGGCCTTCAATCTTCCATATTTAATGTGGAATAAATTTCTTGCATTAAAAAACATACCCTGCAACTCTGATTGAAATTTAACTGATTTTATGGGCTAATTTGGGAAGAAGTGACTTTACAAAAAAAATCTTGTCTTACTGTAGAGCACAAAATGTCTGTCCATTTACTCAGGTCATTATTACTATGTGTTTAATGAATATTTAAAAGTTTTTTCTATCAAAATCTTGAGTATTCTGTGGAACTAAACTTTTTGTTGCTCTTCTGATAGATATTTTAAAAGCAAGATTTAAGAAATTTCAGGAGAGAAAAGATAGTGACTTTTATAAGTTCATCTTTTATCCGGTAACCTATTATTGTCAAAGAGTGATAGTTTTATCTTTCATTCCAATGTTTAGATCTTTTCTTTCTTTCTTGTTGTCATGACCGAAACCTTATATGAAATAGTGGTGGAGACATTGGGCATTTAAAAAATAATTCTGTTCTCAAAGGCATTGATGAAATCAAGTTTTCCCATTAAGAATAACTTTGTTCTAGGTGTTTTGAATACAACTTTTATCAAGTATGTTTATCAAGATAGGCTAGGCTATGCTGCAGTTATAAAAACAAAAAAACAAAAACAATGCAACGCCCTAATAGCAGTGACTTATCCCAGCAACATAGTCCTCTGTGGAACTGGGAAACCTTCAAGGGCACTTGTCCTCCACGTGCTGATGGCTTGAAAATTTGGGTCATGCTGCCTCAATAGAGGACTCCTCCATGGAGAAGGAGGAATGAGAGACCAAAAAATTATGCATCGTGTTTCACTGCTTCTGCACATATGTGACAAGTAATTGTCCCCTGGCAGTCCATTGGTCAGAACTGGTCATGTGATGCTGCCTAGCTACATAGGGACTGAGATGTGCAGTTGGTTGTGTGTCTGTAAGAAAAACAAAGCCAGTTAGGGTTGAACACTAGCAATGTTACCACACCAAGTTAAGGAAGCTTCCACCAGTTCCTCGTTTTAAATTAGAAGCATGTGCTGACATTCACTAAAATACTTTTCTGCATTGATATTATATTATGGTTTTCTGCTGTAATCTATTGAGGTGGTAATTACTTCATTAGATCTTCTGATGCTTAATGTTCCTGGGACAAAGCCCACCTCCTCATTTTGTGCTTTTATACACCATTGGATTTGCTAATATTACCTAATGCTTCAGTTGGGATTGTCTGCATACACGTTCACGCTAAAAATAGATCCATGATTTTTTTCTTGTATTATCCTTATCTGACTTTATGCTCACTGTTATTTTTTTTTCCATTTTCTTGAGCAATTTGCATAAAATATAAATTAACTATTCCCTGAGAAATCCTGTAAAACCATTTGGGCAGGATTTTTTTTTTTCTAGGAACTCACTCATTTCAACTAGATTTAGAAATTTATTTATGTGCAGTTTTTCATAATGCTTGGAAATATTACTACATTTTTACTCTGTATTTTGTTTATTTTCATCTTCTCTTTCTCCTCCTTAAGGAGTTTTGTCAGAGGTCTGTCTAGCTTATTAATCAGTTGAAGAAACCAAGCTGTAGACATGCCTACCTTCAACTCTCCAACCCCTCAATTTACACACATTTGACACAGCCTTCAGTTTTCCCAAAAGTTCATGGAATCCATAACTTCCTCTCACTTCTCTGGTTTCATCAGCGTTGATTTTGGGGGAATGTCAGCAGTCAAAGCTTGTTTGCCATCTTTTAAGAAACTAGAGACCAAGACTTTTTCGTGTGCAGGAGGCTGCTTTTGTGAGAGAAAAAGTAGATTTCTAATCTAGACACAGCTATACACTCACTTACAGTATAATGTTGGAAAAGACATTTCTTTATGCCTCAATCTTCTCATTTGCAAAATGAGCAAATATAACTTCATTAGATGACTGTCATGAACTCTCTAAGTTCTAAAACTGTATTGAAGCTTCATGCATGTGACAGTTGGAGTTCAGCAAATATTCACTACCCTGTCCATCTCACTGTAGGAGGAGTACACTTCCTTGCTACTCTGATGTTGGGCTTGGCTGTGTGACCTGTGGCCAATGGAATGTTAGCTGACATGATGCTTGCAGAGGTCTAAAATATTTGTGTCTTTTTGGCTTGGCTCTGGCAACCTAGTGATTTTCCATGAGAAGTACATGCCCAGGTACTTCTGCCCCTAACACATGGGCTCCAGAATGAACACTTGTACAACAGACTTGAACCTAAACTACAGCCTGAAGTAATCCTACTCATCATCAGCCTGAATAGAGCCATTCTGTTTAGCTCCATTGAAATGCAGTTGACCTCAGGCCTATGAATGTGAGGATAAATGCTCAGTTTAATATATCAATGAGTTGAGGGGTAATTTATGACTCAGAATTACTATGGTTGTAACTGATTAATATAATTTAGTTGTATCAATGGTTTTCAAATGATGTTTGAATAGAATACTAATGCTTCCCAAACTGGGTTGAGGTTTTTGTTTCTAAAATCATTTTTAGACATTTCTTGCTAATTTTTAAATAAATTTAGAAATGGATAAAATAGATTAAGCTTAACATTTTTACTCCTCTAAAAAAAGAGAATAAAATAGCTTTCCTTTAATAACTTTTTTTGTACACATGAACAAGTGTATTCATAATGGTAATTTTATTTTGCATATATGCAATGCAGTCATATTTTGTGCTAGGATAATTATTCATAGTTTGCATGCTAACAGTGAATCCATAAATATTTCAAGACATGAGTGGATAACTCCTCAGCTTCTATTTTCCCAGTTTTCATTAGGAATACAGGGGTTTCTGGACAAGCCATCTCCATTCTCAATTCCAGGGAAGAAACATATAACCTGGACAAGGTCCATTTGTATATTTCATTCAGGAATTAGTTTGGAGTCAGGCATTAATCCGGAGCAATGCCAATAAGTATGAATTCGAGGACTTTTGCTAGAATTTCTAGGTTATTCTTTCTTGCTCTGGAACTTTGAAAACAGTATGGATAGTGAAAAACTCATTTATAAAAGACAATATATTATATGATTTTATTTATGTGAAATGTCCAGAATAGGCAAACTGATGGAGAAAGAAAGCAGGTTGGTGACTGGGGATGTGAAATGTGAGTAACTGCTAATGATTATGGAGTTTCTTTTTGGGATGATAAACATGTTCCAAAATTAATTGAGGTAATGGTTGCACAACCCTGAATATACTAAAAACCATACTAACTGACTTTCACACTTTAAATGAGTAAATTGCATGGTATATTGCATCTCAATAAAAGTGTTACAAAATTATGGTAGGCACCAGGGTCTCCCAGAGTTGCATTTGCTGCATGACGTGTGGGTGTTGAGTGAGGTAGTTTCTTGGTAAGAGTCACCTTAAGAACCCTGGAGAAGAATTGCCATGCCCATGTGTGGCATGGGGATATCCCTGTTACCCTTGTTTAGGAGTGGCATATTCCAATTTTCCCCCAAGTTTTTATGTTTTGAGCACAATGGAGTAGATGGTGCTTGAAGAAAAGAACAACTCTCACAACTTCATTTTTGAATGATGCCTCCATACATAAGGGTTCTGCAAGTGGATGGCTGCTATGGTTTGAATGTGTCCTCCAATGTTCATTGTTAGAAACTTAATCCCTGATGCAACAGTGTTGAGAGGTGGGCATTTAAGAAGTGACTAGGCCATGAAGGCTCTGCCCTCACGAATGGATTAATGTTGTCATTGTGGGAGTGAGTTTGTTATCTTGGGAGTGAGCTCCTGATGAAAGAATGAGTTCATTCCCTTTCTCCCCTCTTTCTCTTGTGCATGCTCTCTTGCTATTTCACCTATTGCCATGGGATGATGCAGTAAAAAAGCCCTCACCAGACGTGGGCCCCTTGACCTTGGACTTCCTAGTTTCAGAATTGTAAGAAATAAATCTATTTTCTTTATAGATTACCCAGTCTCAGGTATTCTGTTATAACACACAAACAAACTAAGACAGAAAATTGGTACCAGGAATGGAGTCATTGTTAGAAGAAATATCTGAAAATGCCCAAGTGGCTTTTGAACTGTGTAATGAATAGAGGCTGGAAGAATTTGGAAGAGCAGGCTAGAAAAAGCCTAGGTTGCCATAAACAGAACATTAAGGGTGACTTTAGTGAGGGCTCAGAAGAAGAAGAGAGCTCTAGGGAAAATCTGAAACTTCTGAACAATTACTTAACTGATCATGATCAGAAAGTTGGTAGAAGTATAAACGGTAAAGACCATTCTGATGAGTTTTCAGATGGAAAAGAGGAATATCTTATTAGAAACTGGATTAAAGGCCATCCTTGTTATGTGGTGGCAAAGAACTTGGCTGAATTGTGTCCATGCCCTGTGGCTTTATGGAAGGCAGAATTTAAGAGTGATGAACTGGGATATCTGGCAGAAGAAGTATCTAAGCAGAAAGCATCCAAAGTGCTACAAGGCTTCTTTTGGTCACTTAAAGTAAAATAAGAGAAGAAAGAAATTATTTAAAGACATAATTTATGTAATTAAAAGGGAACCTGAATGGAAAGATTTGGAAAACTCAGCCTGGCCAGGTAAAGAATTTAAAAAACCTGTTTGGGAGAGAATATTAAGGGTGTGGCCAAGTGATTTTTTTGCCAAAGAGATGAATATGGATAGAAGGAAGCCAAGTTCTATTCATCAAGACAATGGGAAATGACTCCAAAGGCATTTCACAGATCTTCTAGGCAATCTAGGACTTTGAGGACAAGGATTTTCAGAGAGGCACTCAGAAGATCTCAGTGTTCACTGCCTAGGAGAGTCTTGGGACTCTGCACTCCTCATGGTGGTGCAGTGCCGCTCAGCCATCTCAGCCATGCTCGGGTGGGCCCAGGTGCAGTTCATGCCACAGTTCCGCAGGGCACAAGCAGTAAGCCTTGGAGGCATCCATGTGGTGCTGACTCCGTTGACATGCAGAGTGCGCAAGTTGTGTGGCCATGGTGGCCGCCAGCTAGATTTCAGAGGATGCCATGGATAGCCTGAGTGCCTAGGTAGAGATTTATTGCAGGGGTGGAGCCACTGCAGACAGCCTACACTAGGGCATTGCCCAGTGGCACCGAAGAGGCAGAGAGTTCACACTAGGGCAATGGCTAGTGGAGCTGTGGGAATCAGGCTGCTATCAAGATCCCAGAAATGTAGAGCTACTGCTGTGCAATGCCAGCCTGGGAGAGCTGCAGGAATAAGACTAACACGTGAGAGCTGCTGGATAGACTAAGCCCAGCAAAGCTATAGGGGTGAGGCTTGCCTGAGGTCTTGGGGCCCCACTCCCTACTCCAGTGTGTCCAGGATGCAGAACATGAAGTCAGAGGAGAATATTCTCCAGCTTTAAGACTTCCTATTGTTTTCCGTGTGGGGTTTTGAACTTACTTGGGACCAGTTATCCCTTTCTTCTTACCTGTTTCTCCCTTTTGGAGTGAGGATGTCTATCCTATTCATGGTCTATCATTGTATTTTTGGAAGCAGAAAACTTGTTTGATTTCACAGGCTCACAGCTAAAGACAAATTTGCCTTAGGATAAATTTTGCTTTGAGTCTCACCTATATCTGATTTGGTGAGACTCTGGACTTGGGATTTTTGAGTGGATGCTAGAACAAGTTAAGACTTTTGGGGTTATTGGGTGGAATGAATGTATTTTGCATGGGAGAAGAACACAAACTTTGCAGGCCAGCAGTGGAATGCTATGGTATGAATGTGTCTGCCAAAGTTCATGTGTTGGAAATCTAATCCCCAACGCAATAGCGTTGAGAGGTGGGGCCTTTAAGAGGTGATTAAGTCATAAAAATTTTCTGCCTTCATGAATGGATTAATACCATTATGAGGGAGTTGGTTAGTTATTGTAGGAGTGGGCTCCTCATACAAGGATGAATTTGGCTCCCTTCCCCTCTCTCTCTTGTGCACGTTCTCTTGCTCTTCTGCCTTCTGTTATGGGATGATGCAGCAAAACGATCCTCACCAGATATAAGCCCCTTGACCTCAGACTTTCCAGCCTCCGGAACTCTAAGAAATATGCTATTTTCTTTATAAATTACCCAGTCTCAGATATTCTGTTATAGCAGCACAGAACAGACTAAGACTATGGCATTTCTTTTATTTTACCAATAACCTTATTTATTACATTCTCCAAGTCAACATTTGTTTTCTGTGAATGTCCTCTCACCCCTTCCTTGAAGAACTTATGTAGTGTATGCTTCCTATTAACTCCACAGTGACATTCTAAAATAGGTCTTGGTCAATTTAACATTTAAATAGCTATAGGGCAGAGACATAGCCTTGTGCCTGCATAAACACCATTTGGTGATGGTTTCATAAAAGTGCAGCATTCTGTAATTACAATAATTATCTCCGAGGTATAGGCTGGGTGTGATGGCTCACACCTGTAATCCCAGCACTTTGGGAGGCTGAGGCGGGTGGATCACGAGGTCAGGACATTGAGAACATCCTGACTAACATGGTGAAACCCCGTCTCTACTAAAAATACAAAGAATTAGCTGGGCGCGATGGCATGTGCCTGTAATCCCAGCCACTTGGGAGGCTGAGGCAGGATAATCACTTGAACCCGAGATCGGAGGTTGCAGTGAGCAGAGATCACGCCACTGCACTCCAGCCTGGGCAACAGAGCGAGACTCCACCTTAAAAAAAAAAAAAAAAAAAAAGTATCTCCAGGGTATAGACACGAGTCTGTATTCTAGAAAGTCCAAGATGCCCTGAAATATGAAAAAATATACTTGAGGCTCTGTTGACTGGATGATTAACTGAGAAATGGGAAGCAACAAATGAGAAACACTTGGGCAACAGTTTCCAGAGAGAAACTCAATAAGCTGATGTAAAACAAGAAAATTGCCCTTCTTTGTAAAAGAAAACCTTGTTTTTAAGATGCAGTGATGAAATGCTGAGAAGGATGCACAGAGGTGAAAGCTGATTTTCCCTGAAGTACACATTATACATGCAACGCCAAAATTCTTTCAACAAGATTAATAAGTGCTATTTATGGCATTCCCTGGGCAGATCAACAAAGTGAAGAGCACAGGAATAAGGCTACAAAATCCCCTGTTGTCTTCGGATGTGTTTGAGCTGCAGCCGACCATAGGAGGAACCCTGATCCTCTTTTGTGGGGAGGAAACCCACTGAGGAGAGTGGGTGAAGTTATAAAACACAAATCATTTTTAGGCAGATCTGGTGGTTAATTAAATGGCTAACTTATAAGCTAAGGACATTTACTTGAGAATATAGAACTTTTCTAACTTTGAACTTGCAACTCAGGAAGGTAAAAAGTGACAGATCCTTTCTGAGGGATACAAACGTAGGATAAGTCAAGATGGCCCTAGGTCATATGGGGAGATCAAATATATGAAATACAGGGAAAGAACATGGCAGTTTATGCTTCTTTTTTATTCTGATTAGTGATTAATGATTAAAATTTAATTCACAATTAGATTAAAATAAAAATTGGAATTAATTTCTAATTCTGGCAATAATACAATTGAAAAATCAGGGCCTTGGGAGTCAGAAGACCTGGGTTTGGACCTGCCTGCTTTCAACTTTTAAGACTGTAGGCAGTTCTTTTCACTGCTCCAGGGCTCAGTTTTCTTATCCATATAAGGACAGGGATTAAAGATTCTATGATGCCTTCAACTTCATGATTTTATGATTTATGAATCTTGAGTTTCAGAGCTGGCTGACTCATTGAAGATTTATCCGAGAAAAATAATATTATTGACTCTCAAATGAGAGATTAATATTTCCTGTGGGTGAAAAATTAATTTTTAGCTATCACTAATGTCAAACCAAAGAAAATATCCTGACTCCAATAAGAAATTTAAAGAGTCTGCCTGAAGACAAATGGCTAAGAATTAGCAGTGTGTGAGTTCCCACAATTAACTAAAACTCCGCATAGGAATCCTCCTTAATTTATTAAAAAATTCTGTTTCCTTTCCTTTTCCAAACTAAATATTCTCAAATAAATGAAAATATGCTTAAGGAGCATACTTAGCTAGGAGCTACTAGATTGTATTTTCCTACTAATACTGTCTAACTCTTTAAATGATGAAACTAATATTACAAAGTGAAAATAACATACTGCCACACGCTAATCCTCAATTTGTACTTTATATTTAATCTACAAGAAGAAAGTGAACCATTGGACACTTGGAATGTATACCTTAAAACCTTTGACAAATGAAATAGATTTTTTCCGAGTCCTTTCCATAACCAAAGTTACCACCCAGTCATGGTTGTTTAGATCACAGAATAAACAAGCATGTAAAGTATAGCAGAGAATGTTTAGATGTTTAGGAATTTATCAGTGAGGATGCTTTGGGGATGTAAATAACAACCACCACCACCATAAGAAACTTGAACAAATTTAAACGAACAAAGAAGTCCAGAAGGAGAGCAGCATTCAGGGCTGATGTAAGCTAGATCTCTAGCTTTGCTTCCCCTTATTCATTCTTCCCTTCCATGTTTTATCCCATACTCAGTTTGGTCCCTGGCTCCTGAGTCAAACCACTGTTGCAGGACTTTTCCTTAGTTCAGCTAAAGACAGGATGCTTGTCCCATGGCCATGAAAATTTAGGCTCGCGGATGATTGAAGGATGATAATTATGGGATTTATTGGGCAAAAGGGAAAGAAAACAGGGAACAGGGATGTTCCACAAGGCCAGAGTTTCTGCTGGTGTGTTTCCTACCTCACAGCTTGAATCCCAGGTTCCACACAGGAAGAGGAGGGGCCAGGCTCCTTCTGGGTGCAAATGGGGTGAAGTTCCCAAGGCTCCACCCCAGTGCCCAGGTTGGCTGGAGTTTTGCCAGGGAGCCCCTCCCACCTGTCTGTCTCACCACCACTCATTGTCTTCTGGCTCCGTGTCTTCTTGACAGATTGCAGTGCTTGGAACACAGTGAACATACAATGAGTAATCAAAATCGTGAGAAGTACCAGCATTTATCAAGCTCTCATTGCAAGTTCTAGGTGCTTTACATGTATTGATTCATTGGCCCCACCATAATCCTGTGAGGCAGTGTGTTAATTTTGAAAATAAGTCCACAAATTCTTGAGATGCTTCCCTTCCAGAGGTGGGGTGTCATTCCCCTCATCTAGAATGTGAGCTGGACTTGACTTGTTTCTAGTGAGTAGAACAAAGCTAAAATGATGTGTGACTTTGGATCCTAGGTCATAAAAAGACTATGGCTTCCATCTTGATTGTTCATTCTCTCTCTCTCTCTATCTCTCTCTCTCCCTCCCCACTCACTTGGGACAAACTATCTGCCATGTCCTGGGGACACTTAGGCAGAAGTCCTGTGGAAAGGCCCGCTTTGTGAAGAACTGAAATCTCCAGCCCATAGCCATGAAGTCTGCTAACAACTGCAGGAGCCATCTTGGAGGCTGATTCCCCAGCACCAGGAGAAACAGGGATGACAGCAGCCTCTGTTGGCAGCTCAGTTGCAACCTCATGCTGGACCCTGAGGCAGAGCCAACCAGCTGAGCCACTCTGGGATTCCTGATTCTTAGGAACTATGTGAGATAATGAATATTTGTTTTCGTTAGCTGGGAAGCTTTGGGTAGCTTGTTACACAGCAATAGAGAACGAATACAGGCAAGTACTATTATTATCCTCATTACAGATGAGCAGATAAAGCAGAGGAAGGTAGAGTCACTTGTCCTGGACACGTGGCTGGGAAGTGGTGGAGGGCAGACCCACACTGTCTGACTTCTGAGCTCACATTCTGAACCCCTGTGGTTTATAAGCATGATGTGATGGTCTTCTGTGCTTCTGCTTCGTTTATTTGAAGTCCTCAAGTCTTATTGGAAGTCTCTAGCATATTTGTAGTCTTTCCTTTTTAATTGCCCCAATTTTCAAGATTGGTGGATAATTTCAGAGGGATTGAGATTAATAGGGAGTCTAAAAGTCTCCTTTAAAATTATTTTATTTGCAGTTTAAAATAATGTTTATATGTAATCTAACATTGATATGTTTTGGAATCTTGTGTCACAGAATAGAGATGTCAGAGGTGGCTCATAGTTTTAGGAAAGGAGTAAGGAAGTTACTGACCTTCCATTTACAGGGTGAGATTTGAATTGGACTTCTATGTAGATACATGGTTTCCACTCATTGAAAGCATGCAGAGAAACAGAGTCACACATTAGAAGAATACAGCATTATCAATTCTGGTAAGCATAGCTCTAGCTAGATCAAGGGTTGGGGGATTTCTTTAGATGTCAAGATCAGACTTGATTACACAACTTTTGCTCTGAATTCATGTGGCCATTGATTTGAAAGTCAAGAAAGCCCCAGGTTTTAATTCCTGTGTCATTGCGGAGGTTTCTTGGTGAAATTTCTGCATTATGTTTTTCCTTTCTCATTTGCAAACCTCTCAGTTTTCTACCCTGCAGTTGGAGAGAGAAAGAGTCTGTGTTGGCTCCTCCCAAGTCTCTCAGTTCTCCTTACTTTCTTTTTTCTGACCCCTTAGTTGGTGAGAGGCATGTGGACTGGCTGTAAGGTCTTGGGCATCATGTGACCACTCTGGTTTTACGTGGAAAATTCCAAGCTACCTGCTTGAAGTCACTCTAAGAATGAATGATAAGGCCTCCCAGTCTGGTTAGCCTTCCACCTCTGCTGCTCAGTCTAGAGTTTGCTTCTAAGTCTTACTTGATGCAGGATAATTCTTTATTCAGTAATGGGAGGTGACCAATACAACATCTATCTTATATTCCTTGTGCCACTGTTATTTGGGTCTTTCTTATCTCCCTAATGGCTTGGAAGCTCTTGGAGGTAGAAAAATGGGAACAGAGCCTTGCCTAGAGCATAGCTCAATATATACCCATGCTATTGATCAATAAAAGGACAGATGGAAGCAAGGGTAGATGATGGAACTATGAAGCATACTGCATTTTCCTACTAATGGTGCCTTGCTAATGTGCATTGAATAAGAAAACAAAACCTTTTATGTATTTTGAATATACGAAACAGGTCAGCTCAAAATAGGTATTTTACTTTAAATAAAAGTGGCCCTGGTGTGGTGGCTGACACGTGTGTAATACTAGCACTTTGGGAGGCGGTGGTGGGAGGATCCCTTGAGTCCAGGAGTTCAAAACCAGCCTGAGCAACATAGTGAGAACCTGTATCTACCAAAAAAAATTAAAAGATTAGCCAAGCAAGGTGGTGTGCACCTGTAGTCTCAGCTACTTGGGGCGGCGGGGGTTGAGGTGGAAGTGTCTCTTGAGCCCAGGAGGTTGAGGTTGTAGTGAGCAGTGATTGTGCTGTTGTGCTACAGCCTGGGTGACAGAGGGAGACCTGTGTTAAAAAAAAAAGTTGCCCAGAGCATAAAGTTCAGTTTCAAAAATTTATTTTATAGCCGACTTTTCAGTGATTGATCTATTGGTAAAGTTTTATCATGAATAATTTAAAGCAGAGACCATTTTCTGGCTTGGCAGATGTTTTGTTTTAACAAATCTGTTATATTTTAATTGTCTATTTCCACACACACCTTTTTTTGTTTTTGGCTGGGAAGGGAAAGTTAATTGATGCTTGATTTATGTTCTACCTTTTCCCAAAGGATTAGAAGTTGTTTACTGCTAAATCATAATGCAAAATGTAACGTTCCATGGCTAGTAACCACATGGTGCTTTTCTGGTGATAATAATGTTGTTCTGTAACACTGTTTACCACGTTATAATGCATCATATTAGAGATGCACAAATGAATAAATTCAGAGGCAGAATAAGCAATAAAGTTTTCTACAACCAAAATAAATGAATAAATAAATAAGGTGGGCTTAGGATGGGGAGAGAACATGTGTGTCCAGCAGTTGCATAGAGAATTAAGAGTTAAGACTGAATGGTTCTATCTATGTGGTGGACAGTGAATAGAGAATCATAACTATAAGACATATTCTGATAGTATATTTGTAAGTAATTTTACAACATAAAAGTGTTTTCTCATTAATATTTCACAACAAAACCCACCGTTTACTGAATGCCTACGACACTGTGTGACATATATTAGGCACCTAATAAGCCAGCACAGGGCAGAGTTATTCTTCTAATCTCTCTGGCTTCCCCTTCTGCAGCATCTCTACTCTCTTTGGCCAGAGAAAGTTCTCTTCTTTTAAGGAACCTTATCTGATTAGAGAAAGCCTACCTGGATAAACTCTGGGTAACCTTAAGGTCAACTGGCTTGGGACTTTAATAACATCTGCAAAATCCTTTTTGCCACGTGGCACAACACAAGTATGGGTGTAACAATAGAGGCTGAAGTCATGTGGGCCAAAATTCTACCCACTACAACCATAAAGCTAGAAAGCAGCAGCTTCAAGAGCCTAATCAAGGTCTAACTAGCTTCCAAATCTGTATTCATTCATCACACCATGAATATTCATGGGTTAAAATAAGAAAAACATTAGAAAATAGTTTAGGATCCCCAATAGAATATGAATAATTGCTGATGCTATGAAACTACCCATGTTCCCTTCCTAAAATAAATGATTTGGGAATATAATCCAGAATAGACCGATCAAAATATTCAATTCAAAAGGGTAAATGCTTTATGATACTGGAAAAATTACCAATACCAAAACCATCCAGTATGTTCAGAATATTCATCTGAAAGATGGGAATGATAATAACAGTACTTACTTCTCTTGTCATCACAATGCAGTAAAGTACATAATACAATTTCTAGTGCATAGTAAATGGTCAGTATGTACCAGTTGTTGTACACGTACAATGGTGCCTTTATCATATTTACCATGCTTATCTAACTGCCTTTGTTTCACACTGTCTTCCCTTTTTGAGTATAAGTCTCATAAGAGCAGGGATCACATGTCTCTTTCATGGTATTCTTTCTAGCATTTGGTACTGAGCTTGGCATGTGTAAATTGTCTCAGTACATATTTGCTGAATATATGAATGAATAATTTTGGAAGAAATCTCTCAATTATTTTTTAACATAGTGTGGGTCAAACAAAACACATCTGAGGGCTGGATTTGGCTTGTGGATATCTAATTTGTGATTTCTGCCAAAGAGTATGGCCATGACAATTTAGCATGGAAGCTTTTCAGACATGTGTTATCAATCTTCTACAGAATGCTGGAAGACTCAATAAACATCCATAGTATGTCTAATTTTGAGCAATACAGATGCTCACAAAACTTTGACATTTCAATAGTTCTGGTGATCTTAAAATCTTTTCTCTCGCAAACTGAAAGAATGTCAAAGTTGTTTGTCGAAGTTGTTTTATTGTTTCTCTTTGAATTAAAAAAATTTCTCTTTGTTTTAAAAAAATGGTGACATGTCTTGAAAGCTCCCTAAATGTGTCTTGTAGCATTTGGCTCTTTCTCAGGGTGTTTCATCTACTATTTGTTCCTAACTCCAAGTTGCCACCCATGGAGGAGAACCGCAGAAGCTATCCAGAGGGAGTCACCTCAGATTGGTCTTCAGTGTCCATACTGTGTGTTCTCTCCTGGTCTCAGAAACACAATCTCTCCACCGATATTTAACTTCATTGCATTTCACACTTTGATACTATAGGAAAAGAAAAAAAATGACTTAACTTCAGGCAATTTACCATTAAAAAATTCCTTGGAATAAAACTCAGTGTAGAAATTGGTGTGACACATTTCCCAAGGCATTATTAGGACCAGGGCCAGAAGTTCACTATAAAAAATGTTAATTATAAAAAGTTTACATAATTAAATACTACAGTCTCAATAACCTTAACACGCTCCTGATGTAATTATGTGCACAACTATTTCAATCAAAATTCAGAGCTGTCTAGGCAGACTCATAGGATATCTTGAGCTGGAATTTAATTAAAGATTTTTTAAAAACTTCCAAAAGAGCTAAAATACTGGATGGCTTTGGTTCTTGTTTGTGAAGATGTGGTTTGGAGAAGAACAAGCCTATGAAGAGAGAAAGAAAGAATGTCAGTTCCAGAAACCAGATATTGGGTAAAGGAGAGGGATAAAGAATGTGGCTAGAGGCTGTTATATCTGTGAAACCACTTTTAGTGATTATTCTGTAACGCACACTGGGAACTGAGTCCGTGTTAGATTTCTGTTTGGTGGTGACATACATGTTTTGAAAAATGGCTTTTCCCTTTTTTATTCATTGACTCATGATTTCAGTGTTCCCTTTTCTGCAGCCCTTCCAAAAAGGAGTTCTCTGCAGTTATGTCCTTTCTTTTGGTTTTTAGTTTATTAAGATGTTTTCAAATATAAATTTCATATTTTGGAATGAGGTTTAAATATAGATCCAGTAAGAAAACAATCCCAGCTTCAATCTAGAGTCTCAAAGATTTCAGACTGTTATGTGGTCTGCAGAGTGAAAAACTCAATCAAAGTGTAGACTTTTACTGTAGAGAAACTCAGGTTTGCAAGGCAAATGTAGTGGAATAAGGCAAGGCCCTGCATGGTAACTTGTCCCTAACATGGTGCCATTAATTCCTTCTCTTCCTGCAGGGGCAGGTCATTCCTCCATTGAGAGGGGTAACCAAGCCTCCGTTCCCTTTAATCCTACATCTCAGTGACTGCTTTGACCAATTGAATGTGATTTTATAGTAAAATCTAGCTTTAAAGATGTTAAAAAATATTTTGTTTTAATCAGCAAAATTCTTACTAATTAATTCCATCCTATTGGATCAGGGTAAATAGATAGTGACAGCTAACACTATGGGCTGTGGCAAGAGATGGTACGGATCCCTTTTCTGCTTTTGATGTGTGTTTATTGTAGACACACTCCCAATCACTACCACCACATTATCCAGCCTGCCTCCATTTAGGAAAGTGAATTTGCACCATATGGTATACAGGACTGGACTATGCAAGATGGGAAATTGGAGGAATATGTGGAAGGAAAAGTTGTCACTCCTGAGACTAAGTTGTAAGAAACCTTGTAGTGTCTGCCTGAATCTTCTGGAGCCCATTATCTGGGGGAATCTAGCTACCAGGTAAGAAGGGTAACTACTCTGAGACCGCCATGCTGTGAGGCAACTCAAGCAGTCACTTTCTGTCTTATTGTTGTGACACCTTCCAGATATGTAAACATTGGCCAGGACCTTTCCCCCGAGCCTTAGAGACATACACCTGCAAGTCTATCTCACGTCTCTACTTCTAGAAGTTCCACAGGCATCGCAGTCTTAATGTTTGAGACTTAACATTTGATTTCGAGTGCCCCTATTTTCCCATCTTGGGAAATGATTCCACCATCCACCCATTGCTCTAGCCCAAATCCAAGAGTCAACTTTGATTTCTCCTTCCTGCAATCTCCATGAACTAATCCATCCACAAATACTATTGATTCTGCATCCACAATGTACTTTGATTCCCCTTAGTCTTCTCTATCTCTATTGCCTGTATCGCCACCTCTTTCAATGCCTTCTCCGCAGACTCCCTACCTTCTTTCCTGACACCCTATCTATTCTGCAGTCATCAGCTAGAGTCATGTTCTAAACATGTAAGTTGTATCTTTCCATGCCCCTGCATAAATCCTCAAATGGCTTGCTGTGGCAGTTAAGTACAATCCAAGTCACAGAATGTGACTTGCATGGCTCCATGTGATCTACTCCAGCCTCGGCATCTTCCTTGCTCAGTACTTTTGGCACATAAGCCCTTTCTCTGCCTGCACCCCTCTCATCAGCTCTTCACATTCTCAGCCTACATTTCTGGGAGCCCCTCGTGACCACTATATATATACACACATAGATATATAGATATAGATATAGATGGATATCTATCTATAGATATCTATCTGTATCTATATCTATATAGTAGATTTCCCCCAGTATTTTCAATCCTGGCATCTTAGTGCCTTACCATAGTGTTTGTGACCATTGTAATAATTTTGTGTGGGTGTTTTACTTTGAATTCTCATTGTTTGGCTCTTCACAGTATTCTGCAAGCACCATGAAGGCATGACTCATGTCTATCATATTCACCCTTGTATCCTTGACACCCAGCATAGTGCCTGGCACATAAGAAATGCGTGATCAACTATTCTGTTGAATAAGTGAATAAATATCAAAAGCTTAGAAAATCTCAATCCCCAGATTAATGTGTGGGAAGTAGAAATTTCATCAGAAACAAATGTGTTTTGGACACAGACTCTCCCTATTTGGTCTGTGTTGAGAGAAAAGAAAGAAGACTTCTACTGGGCTTAATTTAGGGGGCAAATTATCAGAAAAATAAGGGGGAATTTGTGAACCTGTTCTCTTCCACAGTGAGCCAGTGAGGGACAAACTAGAAACAGAGGACCTGGTTTAAAGGGTGTCCCCTCAGCCTGTCCTGCAGACACACGAGGTGCTCCTCATGCCACACCTTCTGAACTTGCTGCTCAGCCTGTCATCACTCTGAGTCCCCATCCTTCTTCCCATCCTGGAAATCCCATTCTCAAGTCTTACCCTTCAGCAGCCCTGACCTGTCTTCGCTCACCTCTACCCGCGACCTCACCCTACTAAAGTTCCCGCCCCACATCTTGGATGCCGCTTAGCGGCAGCTAGAAATGGCAAGTTTCCACCTCTACCATCCAGTGAATGGGTAAGACCAGGATGAGGCAGGCAGGGGTTGTAACCCTCTTGCTGTTCCTGAGTCCTACAACCATGCTCCCAGCACCCAAGCAAATTGAGATAGAGATGCCTGTGGGACTTTTTTTTTTTCTTCTTTTTTTTGAGACGGAGTCTTGCTGTGTTGCCAGGCTGGAGTGCAATGATGCCATCTTGGCTCACTGCAACCTCCACCTCGGGTTCAAGCAATTCTCCTGCCTCAGCCTCCCGAGTAGCTGGGACTACAGGCACGCACCACCATGCCCAGCTAATTTTTGTATTTTTAGTAGAGACGGGGTTTCACCACGTTGGCCAGGATGGTCTCAATCTCCTGACCTCGTGATCTGTGTGCCTCGGCCTCCCAAAGTGCTGGGATTACAGGCGTGAGCCATCACACCCGGCCACCTCTGGGACTTTCAAGCAGAGACATGACCTGAGAGATGCAGGTAGGTTACTGAGGCTCAGAAGACAGATTCTGAGCCAAAAGTATATATTTGGATATTGTCACAATAGATGAAACCATGAGAAAAAATTAGATCCCCAGGGAAAAGCATAGAGAAAAGAGGAAAGAAGGTGATGGCAATAACAGGAAAATTGGATAGCCAAGAGGAAAATAAGTCTTTTTTCTTCTCCCTCAACACTTAGACCAAATAGGAAAAGTCTGTGTCCAAAACACGTTGGTTCCTGATGTAATTTCTACTTCCCAGACATCAATCTGCGGAAACAGCATTGAGTATGTCTTTCAGATTCTCCTCCCATGGCTATTACAATATCCCCAGCCTCCCCAGTTTCTCCCATTTCATTCACAAAGCCCATGAGGGTTCTGAGAAGTGTGCAGAAGCTGGTCCTTTTTGCTACCACATGGATTCCATCCCATTTTTTTCTCTGAATTCCCTGGCTGTCTGGACTCCTGCAGCCAGAGTGACCACAGTGTTATACCCAGCCATGGGCCACCCTTCTGCAAACTCTAGGCTGGGGAGCAAGCCCTTGGGCCTTCCTGGGATGCACCAGAACCCTAGTTACCAAAATGCTTGCAGAGTCTAGCTAGAAACAGGAGGGATCTTCTTCTCTTCCTTTGCACCAACTTTTGTTCAAAGAGTCACACCCACAAGGTTTATCCTTTTTGAAAACTATTAACTGGTAATTTAGGCATGGTATCCACTACTGCCATTAAACTCAAATTTTGTAAAAGGACTTCTGAGGTGTCCAAAGGCAAGCCTGTCCCCCAAAGAAAAACCTAACTCCACATGCCCCAAGAGAAAAGATGCATAAATGAAGACTTCGAAAGCTCAATATCTACTGATATAGTGCCCCCTTTCCATAGAGTGGAACTCTACTCCATACACCCTGGGGTGGAGGTGGAGCCTTTGTGCTCTCTGGGGTGATCATTGAGCTTGTCCCCTTGTCTCTGCCTGGGGGCAGGAGGATTTGGGTGACTCATGGTTGGGGGTGTCTGAGGATGAAGGAGGACAAAGAAATTCCTAGTTCCTTTCCAGCAGGAGTTATCCACCCTGCCTGCAAATGAGACTTCACAAAATACTAATACTGCTAGCATATCAAGCTCACTGATTGTGATGTGATTCATCTCAGGTGCACCTGGAGCACTGAGACTTTTAAAAGCTTTTGCACATTAAAAAGAGAGAGAGAGACAGAGTCTCTTGGGCAGTTTAAAAATGTCTACATCATTTAAAAATGTCTCTCTCTTCCCTCTCTGAAATTTGTTGAGTTTCAGATACAAGATCTCCAAAACACAAATGTAAGCTGAATCATGGAAATACAGAATGGTTAGAAGCCAGGACTCAACAGGTGCATTTTAGACCATAAGCAAAGAGAAGATAAGGTTGCAAAAATAAAAATATCAAAAGTCTTTCATGCTGTTTTCCTCATGGATATGGACTGTAATGGTTATAGGAAGGAATAGAATTAGAAACAATCCGGAGGAGAAAATATTGTAATATTGGGCTGGGATGAACTCTCTCTCTCTCTCTCTCTCTCTCTCTCTCTCTCTCTCTCTCTCTCTCTCACTCTCACTCTGTCTCTCTCTCACTCTCTCACTCTCTCTCTCACTCTCTCTCACTCTGTCACCCTGGCTGGAGTACAGTTGCATGATCACAGCTCACTGCAACCTCGACTTCCTGGGCTCAAGCAATCCTCCCACCCTAGCACCCTGAGTAGCTGGGACTACATGTATGCCACCACATCCAGCTAATTTTTGTATTTTTTGTAGAGACGGGGTTTTGCCAAGTGGCCTAGGCTGGTCTCAAATTCCTGGACTCAAGCAATTCATCTGCCTCAGTTTCCCAAAGTGCTGGGGTTACAGGGGTGAGCCACCATGCCTAGAAATAATCTTCTCTATATAATTGTTGTGACATTCTTTTTTCATTAATCCTGGCATAAGGTGAGCCCCAGTCTTTCCCCAAGGTGTTCCAGACACTGGGAGGCCAATAACATCTGGGATTCTGTGAGCCTAGTGGATCCCTATTACTTTTATGTCAGATGTCCCCCCAAAGGACATGGCAACTACATGAAAGAAGTTTAATGATATAATTTAACTTATATTTTATGTTTTAGACCCGCTTGTAAGATACCTCCACTGCCAATACTGACCTAGACATTTACCAGTGTCAGTCATGGGCTCTCAGGAAAATTGTTTTTAAGCTATTGGGGGAAACCATGATATTTTAACTCCTCTTGGTGAGTTTTAGCATGCCAATCATTAGCCTAGCTGGTGAGAAAGGGTAAGCTGCATGGACTCACCAAAACAATATGTTACAGTTTCAAAAAAAAAAAAAATAAAGTGAAGGGGAGGAGACAAACAGTGTAAGTATGGCATGGAACTTTTGAGTAGAACTATAAATCTAATTTATCCATAAAGACACAATGATTGTCAGTAATGAAAAGGGCAATAAATTAGCCTAGCTGCTCAGAAATGAGGCTAGGAAACAAAGGAGCTGGGGCCAATGAACAGCCTCCATTGCAGTTAGGAATAAAATAACAACCTCTGAGTAATTTATTTTCAAGTTACACTGGTTGCAAAATCGATGCAACACTGGACCACTGTGAAAAACTGCAATTACTTTGGAATTAAGAAATTTGGGCGTCATGAGTAGGAGTGGTATTTACTTGGTTTTCAGCTCTTGAAAGAGACAGTCTGATTTGGAGGTGGGTGGCTTTGTGTATAGCATATGTGACATATTTAAACTCTACGCGACATGGATATAATACAATTAGTATTCCCATACTTCCTCACTAATCGTATTTCCATTTTGACTGTTGTTGCTGGCTTTCCCGTCTAACCTAAAAATTTTCTACCCCTAGGAAGAATGAAGAACCCTGAGTGTGAGATTTAATGAAAGGATATGCCAAGTGCTATATCAAAGCAGGTCATGATTTTATTAAGTTGTACTAAACATTGATGACTGTTGGCCTCGAGCACTTTCAACCTCCCTGTTTCCTTGAAGTCAGGAATAATGTTGGAATTTTAAAATTATTCTCTATAGGGGATGACTTGAATTTCTAGGGCAGTAATTATGGAAGAGGCATGTTCCCGGTCGAAGACTGCTTCTCCTGGGTGCCGTCTCAAATGCAATGGCTTCGTGGTATGTTTAAAGTGCCAACCATTGTAGCCTTTGAGAGCCAACAAAGGGTCCATTCTATTAACTTTGGCACGCTTCTTTGCTAAGCTGAGAAATGTGCAACACGTTGGTGTGCGCTCAGATTTTGAAGGAAATCTACCAGCCTGGCCTCACCCTCATGTAACACATACTTGTGTAGCTTATTCTTCCAAAGCCCCACTGGCAATCTCTGAAAAAAAAAAAAAAAAAAAACAAAAAACAAACAAACAAAAAAAAACTATCTGATTAGCAGTCATGCAACTCTACAATTTTCTGTGCTATCCAGAACAGCAATTCAGAGGGAATGAGCTGAAATAGCCACTTTTTTTTGTTTGAGAGAGAGGTGGTAGGTGCTTATCACACGCTTACATAAATGATAATTTAACATAAGGTGAAGAGCCTATGGGAGAACTACATGGGCTGGTGATACTTGAAAGTTAAAACACTTAGATTAGAATCTACGTCATAAGCATGCTATTATTTTGATGTCTGTTTCAAAAATTTTGTATAGTTTCCTTTAAAAATTTAGTCTAAGTTCCAGTGACCTAATATATAAAAAACTCTATGTGTGTGTATGTATACACACATATATACATATATGGTATATATACACACGTACACATAAAAGGTTATATATAAAAGGATATATGTAAAGATCCTTTTATATATTTGCATATCGATATCCTTTTAGATCTATTTTCTTCTCTGTGTCTGACTATATATATATGCTTATATGTATATTCTTTCTTAGAGAGAAAACAATCTTGATATGGTTGGAGGGTGGTAAATGTAGATACTTGTCAGTCAGTTCTCAAGATTCAGGAATGACTTTGGGAGGCCGAGGTGGGCCGATCATGAGGTCAGGAGTTCGAGACCAGACTGGCCAACATAGTGAAACCCCATCTCTACTAAAAATACAAAAATTAGCCAGGCTTGGTGGTGCATGCCTGTAGTCCCAGCTACTTGGGAGGCTGAGGCAGGAGGATCGCTTGAACCTGGGAGGTGGAGGTTGTGGTGAGCTGTGATCAAGCCACTGTACTCCAGCCTGGGCAACAGAGCGAGACTCCGTCTCAAAAAAAAAAAAAAAAAAAAAAAATCCAGGAATGAACTATTTTCATGGGCAGGAAAGACATAGAAAGAGAGATTACTCTTATAAACATTGTCCACTCAGCAGTTACACTGGAAATAAATATTATTAATTGTAAAGACAACTGAAAAAGAAAAAAATTATCGGACAGTGGTGGTTGCTGAATCAATTTACGGAAATTTCTTAGCTGTCTCTGCAAATTGAACTCTTGTTGGCATTGAGGAATATCCAGGATAACGCTAGACACAGAAGAATGTCAAGTTGGCTGCTTCAGCAAAGATAATGCTTGTAGCTACCTTCAATCCAGAGAAAGTACTTTAGAAGGGTAACGGAATTACACCTTGGTGTTTGTTTCTCTTTCTTTTAAAAATATTTTTATTCTCTTTGGAGAAAGTTTAAAGTTCTTGAGACCTGTATTTACTGCTAACTTTTTTCATTTTTTCGAAATGGAGTCTCACTCTGTCAACCAGGCTGGAGTGCAGTGGCGTGATCTCGGCTCACTGCAGTGGCATGATCTCCACCTCCCAGGTTCAAGTGATTCTCGTGCCTCAGCCTCCCGAGTGGCTGGGAATACAGGCATGTGCCACCACACTTAGCTAATTTTTGTATTTTTAGTAGAGATGGAGTTTCACCATGTTGGCTGGGCTGGTCTTGAACTCCTGACCTCAAGTGATCTGCCTGCCTTGGCCTCCCAAAGTGCTGGGATTACAGGCATGAGCCACTGTGCCTGGCCACTACTAACTTTTAACCATGGCATTTACCTCTGCTGTTACCACCTCTCACCTTGGCTATCATTATAGATTCATGGTGTCCAGCTTCAAAGGGCCCTTGGCACTGCTCTGTGGTCACTCGGGTCTCCATCCCAGGACAAGGCGTGTCCCTAGGGCTCAGGCCCTCATTCTCCCCAACTCCTCAGGTGTATTGGGTTCTACCCTGCTCCTCTCACTCCGGGCTTTTCTACCTTCCTCTCTAACGTGGCTTTTCCCTTCAGCATTTAAACTTATCCTTTACCAAGAAAACGCTTTCAAATCCCCACTTCCCTCCAGCTTTCTTTCCTCCACCTCCTTACAGAGACACACATCGTGAACCTTTGTCCATCTCTCCTGTTTACTGCTTATTTCTCAATTTTTCGTCACTCCACTGCCATCTGGGCTCTGCCTCTCTGCCCCCTGGAGACTCTTCTCCCCAATGACTGAGCTGACTCTACAGTGTCTATATCCAGTGGCTTCCTTGCCTGACTTCTCAGCAGAACCAACATTGTTGTCCAATCCCTGCCAGATGCACTCCCTCCCTGGATTCATGATCTGCGTGCCCTTCTGATATGCAGAACCACTGCTTTGGCTTCTCCTGCTCAATTTAAAAATTGTGGTAAAACATACATGTCATAAAATATACATGACATACCATTTTAGCCCTTTTAAAGTATACAGTTCAGTGGGATTACATACATTCACAATGTTGTACAACTATCATCTCTATTTCCATTTCCAGACCTTTTTAATTACCCCAAACAGAAACTCTGTACCCATTAAACAATAACTCCTCATCCTTCCATTCCCACACCCCCTGGAAACCACTATTCTACTTTCCGTTTCTATTAATTTACTTATTCTAGGTTCCAGATATAAGTGGAATCATACAGTATTTGTCCTTTTGTGACTGGCTTATTTCACTTAGCATAATGTCCTCAAGGTTCATTCATGTTGTAGCATGTGGTATCGAATTTCATTCCTTTTTAAGGCCAAATAAAACCCATTGTATGCATATACCACACTCTATCTATTCATCTGTTGATGGACATTAAAAATATACTTCACAAATGTGTATGTCATCCCTGTGTGTCCGGAATTGGTGGGTTCTTGGTCTCACAGACTTCAAGAATGAAGCCGCGGACCCTCGCGGTGAGTGTTACATCTCTTAAGGTGGCGCCTCTGGAGTTGTTCATTCCTCCCGGTGGGCTTGGGGTCTCGCTGGCTTCAGGAGTGAAGTTGGCTCCGGCAGCCTGCTTTTATTCTCTTGTCTGGCCCCACCCACGTCCTGCTGATTGGTAGAGCCCAGTGGTGTGTTTTGACAGGGTGCTAATTGGCGCATTTACAATCCCTGAGCTAGACAGAAAGGTTCTACACCTCCCCACCAGAATAGCTAGATACAGAGTGTCCATTGGTGCACTCACAAACCCTGAGCTAAACATAAATATTCTCCAAGGCCCCACCAGAGTAGCTAGATACAGAGTGTCTGTTGGTGCACTCACAAACCCTGAGCTAGACACAGGGTGCTGATTGGTGTGTTTACAAACCTTGAGCTAGAGACAGAGTGCTGATTGGTGTATTTACAATCCCTGAGCTAGACATAAAGGTTCTCCAAGGCCCCACCAGACTCAGGAGCCCAGCTGGCTTCACCCAGTGGATCCCGCACCAGGGCTGCAGGTGGAGCTGCCTGCCAGTCCCGCGCCGTGTGCCCACACTCCTCAGCCCTTGGGTAGTCGATGGGACTGGGTGCCCTGGAGCAGGGGGCTGTGCTCATCCGGGAGGCTCGGGCCGCACAGGAGCCCATGGCGGGCGGGCGGGCGGGGGGTGGGGGCGGGCGGGGGGGGCGGGGCGGTGGGAGGCTCAGGCATGGTTGGTTGCAGGTCCTGAGCCCTGCCTGGTGGGGAGGCAGCTAAGGCCCGGTGAGAAATCCAGCGCAGTGCCGTTGGGCTGGCACTGCTGGGGGACCCAGTACACCCTCTGCAGCCGCTGGCCTGGGTGCTAAGCCCCTCATTGCCCGGGGCCGGCAGGGTCGGCCGGCTGCTCCGAGTGCGGGTCCCACCAAGCCCATGCCCACCCGGAACTCCAGCTGGCCCGCAAGCACCCCCCGCAGCCCCAGTTCCCGCTCGCGCCTCTCTCTCCACACCTCCCTGCAAGCTGCGGGAGCTGGCTCTGGCCTTGGCCAGCCCAGAAAGGGGCTCCCACAGTGCAGCGGTGGGCTGAAGGGCTCCTCAAGTGCCACCAAAGTGGGAGCCCAGGCAGAGGAGTCGCCGAGAGCGAGCGAGGGCTGTGAGGACTGCCAGCACGCTGTCATCTCTCACCTGCATGCTGGTCTTCCCTGTATTGTTCCAATTTTCATTCACATACTGCTGAAAGAGCATTCCTGCTTTGTTTTGTAAGTTCTTCTTGCTGTCTCTGTATGTTCCCTAAGTGTCTTCATTTCTAAGGGCTGGAAACTCAGTCTTCTTCACTTCTTACTCTGAACACCATGCCAGTACAACCTCTAAAGATATCACACACTATCAGTCCTGATATATATAACGTTTCACCCCTTGCATTGAAAATCTTCACGTAGCTGCTAGATAAGAATTTTTCCAACCAACCTTGGTCATCCTCTCCTCCTGGAAGTCAGATCTTGTTCTCCAAGGCTGGGATAGACCCCTCTGACTCTGTTCCTCTTATTCATTATATCTACCACATCACAGGATCTATCGTGATGAATTACAACTGTTTATTGGCTTATCTGTTTTGTCTATTATGGTGTAAATATCTCAAGAGCAGGGGTTACAGCAAAGGAATATATATTATCTTTGGATGATGTTGATGATGATTCAGTAATAATGATAAAAATGACAATAATGTTAATGATGACTATGATGCTGCTGCTGCTGATGATTCTGATGATGGTAATGATGATGCTGTTGATGATGATGATGGTGATGATGCTGATGGTGATGTGATGATGCTGGTGATGATGATAATGATGGTGATGATGAAGATTATGATGTTGATGCTGGTGATGTCCAGCAATATTGAATGCTGTTCATGTGCCAGGCACTGTACTAAGTGCTTTACTTGAATGACCTTATTTTATCCTCACCTTGATACTATGAAGCAGGTTCTGTTTTTTAAATTATTATTATTATATTTTAAGTTCTAGGGTACATGTGCACAACGTGCAGGTTTGTGACATATGTATACATGTGCCGTGTTGGTTTGCTGCACCCATTAACTCGTCATTTACATTAGGTATTTCTCCTAATGCTATCCCTCCCCCCTCCCCCCACTCCATGACAGGCCCTTGTGTGTGATGTTTCCCACCCTGTGTCCAAGTGTTCTCATTGTTCAATTCCCACCTATTAGTGAGAACATGCAGTGTTTGGTTTTCTGTCCTTGCGATAGTTTGCTCAGAATGATGGTTTCTTTCCAGCTTCATCCATGTCGCTACAAAGGACATGAACTCATCCTTTTTTATGGCTGCATAGTATTCCATGGTATATATGTGCCACATTTTCTTAATCCAGTCTATCATTGATGGACATTTGGGTTGGTTCCAAGTCTTTGCTATTGTGAATAGTGCTGCAATAAACGTACATGTGCATGTGTCTTGATAGTAGCATGATTTATAATTCTTTGGGTATATACCTAGTAATGGAATCGCTGGGTCAAATGGTATTTCTAGTTCTAGATCCTTGAGGAATCACCACACTGTCTTCCACAATGGTTGAACTAGTTTACAGTCCAACCAACAGTGTAAAAGTGTTCCTATTTCTCCACATCCTCTCCAGCACCTGTTGTTTCCTGACTTTTTAATGATCGCCATTCTAACTGGTGTGAGATGATATCTCATTGTGGTTTTGATTTGCATTTCTCTGATGACTATTGATGATGAGCATTTTTTCATGTGTCTGTTGGCTGCATAAATGTCTTCTTTTGAAAAGTGTCTGTTCATATCCTTTGCCCGCTTTTTGATGGGGTTGTTTGATTTTTACTTGTAAATTTGTTTAAGTTCTTTGTAGATTCTGGATATTAGCCCTTTGTCAGATGAGTAGATTGCAAAAATTTTCTCCCATTCTGTAGGTTGCCTGTTCACTCTGATGGTAGTTTCTTTTGCTGTGCAGAAGCTCTTTAGTTTAATTAGATCCTATTTGTCTATTTTGGCTTTTGTTGCCATTGCTTTTGGTGTTTTAGTCATGAAGTCCTTGCCCATGCCTATGTCCTGGATGGTATTGCCTAGGTTTTATTCTAGGGTTTTTATGGTTTTAGGTCTAACATTTAAGTCTTTAATCCATCTTGAATTAATTTTTCTATAAGGTGTAAGGAAGGGATCCAGTTTCAGCTTTCTACATATGGCTAGCCAGTTTTCCCAGCACCATTTATTAAACAGGGAATCCTTTCCCCATTTCTTGTCTTTGTCAGGTTTGTCAAAGGTCAGATGGTTGTAGATGTGTGGTGTTATTTCTGAGGCCTCTGTTCTGTTCCAAGCAGACCTAATAGACATCTACAGAACTCTCCACTTTAAATCAACAGAATATACATTCTTCTCAGCACCACATCACACTTATTCCAAAATAGAACACATAGTTGGATGTAAAGAACTCCTTAGCAAATGTAAAAGAACAGAAATCACAACAAACTCTCTCTCAGACCACAGTGCAATCAAATTAGAACTCAGGATTAAGAAACTCACTCAAAACCGCACAACTACATGGAAACTGAACAACCTGCTCCTGAATGACTACTGGGTACATAACAAAATGAAGGCAGAAATAAAGATGTTCTTTGAAACCAATGAGAACAAAGACACAACGTACCAGAATCTCTGGGACACATTTAAAGCAGTGTGTAGAGGGAAATTTAGAGAACTAAATGCCCACAAGAGAAAGCAGGAAAGATGTAAAATCGACACCCTAACATCACAATTAAAAGAACTAGAGGAGCAAGAGCAAACAAATCCAAAAGCTAGCAGAAGGCAAGAAATTACTAAGATCAGAGCAGAACTGAAGGAGATAGAGACACAAAAAACCCTTCAAAAAATGAATGAATCCAGGAGCTGGTTTTTTGAAACGATCAACAAAATTGATAGACTGCTAGCAAGACTAATAAAGAAGAAAAGAGAGAAGGTTCCAATAGACACAATAAAAAATGATAAAGGGGATATCACCACCGATCCCACAGAAATACAAACTACCATCAGAGAATACTATAAACACCTCTACACAAATAAACTAGAAAAGCTAGAAGAAATGGATAAATTCCTGGACACATACACCTTTCTGAGACTAAACCAGGAAGAAGTTGAATCGCTGAATAGACCAATAACAGGCTCTGAAATTGAGGCAATAATCAATAGCCTACCAACCAAAAAAAGTCCAGAACCAGACGGATTCACAGCTGAATTCTACCACAGGTACAAAGAAGAGCTGGTACCATTCCTTCTGAAACTATTCCAATCAATAGAAAAAGAGGGAATCCTCCCTAACTCATTTTATGAGGCCAGCGTCATCCTGATACCAAAGCCTGGCAGAGACACAACAAAAAAAGAGAATTTTAGACCAATATCCCTGATGAACATTGATGCGAAAATCCTCAATAAAATACTGGCAAACTGAATCCAGCAGCACATCAAAAAGCTTATCCACCATGATCAAGTTGGCTTCATCCCTGGGATGCAACGCTGGTTCAACATACGCAAATCAATAAACGTAATCCATCACATAAACAGAACCAAAGACAAGAACCACATGATTATCTCAATAGATGCAGAAAAGGCCTTTGACAAAATTCAACAACGCTTCATGCTAAAAACTCTAAGTAAACTAGTTATTGATGGAAAGTATCTCAAAATAATAAGAGCTATTTATGACAAACCCACAGCCAGTATCATACTGAATGGGCAAAAACTGGAAGCATTCCCTTTGAACACTGGCACAAGACAGGGATGCCCTCTCTCACCACTCCTATTCAACATAGTGTTGGAAGTTCTGGCCAGGGCAATCAGGCAAGAGAAATAAATAAAGGGTATTCAATTAGGAAAAGAGGAAATCAAATTGTCCCTGTTTGCAGATGACATGATTGTATATTTAGAAAACCCCATCGTCTCAGCCAAAATCTCCTTAAGCTGATAAGCCACTTCAGCAAAGTCTCAGGATACAAAATCAATGTGCAAAAATCACAAGCATTCTTACACACCAATAACAGACAGAGAGCCAAATCATAAGTGAATTCCAATTCACAATTGCTATGAAGAGAATAAAATACCTAGGAATCCAACTTACAAGGGATGTGAAGGACCTCTTCAAGGAGAACTACAAAACACTGCTCAACGAAATAAAAGAGGACACAAACAAATGGAGGAACATTCCATGCTCATGGATAGGAAGAATCAATATCATGAAAATGGCCATACTGCCCAAGGTAATTTATAGATTCAATGCCATCCCCATCAAACTACCAATGACTTTCTTCACAGAATTGGAAAAAAACTACTTTAAAGTTCATATGGAACCAAAAAGGAGCCCACATTGCCAAGACAATCCTAAGCCAAAAGAATAAAGCTGGAGTCATCATGCTACCTGACTTCAAACTATACTACAAGGCTACAGTAACCAAAACAGCATGGTACTGGTACCAAAACAGAGATATAGACCAGGTTCTGTTATTATCCCTACTACATAGAGCAGTTCCCTGAGACTCTCAGGAAGGTTAAGTAACTTTCTCAAGGTCACATGACTTGTGGGTGTGGGTTTTGAATTCCCCTACAGAGCTGAACTCTTATTAAACAGCTAGTAGATTGAATTTTCAGTTTCTGGAAAACATTTTGGTGACTGTGTTGCTTTTAGAGAATGATTGCGTAGCTTGTTAACTTATAATAGCATAAATCATCACAGTGGTAGGCATGTAAGGCATACACATGGAACTGACTATTAAAAAAAAACTGGCCAATCTGTTTAAATGTTTAGAATATCCAACAAATCAACATTTAGCTGAAATGAGTCCTTTGACAAGTGCGCTTTTGGGTTTACATTTGTGTATATATAATATAGAGGGATTGATAAAGCTGTATTTTAAGAAACCAATTAGAAAATAAAATCTGCGAGCTGTGCTTCTCTCATGGTAGTTATAGAAGCTGCTGCTCTGAATTTACTGCTAATTTGGATTAATTTCTATCCCACCAGCTGCATGTGAGAGAATGTTCTCTACATTTTCTTTTTTAAAAAGTGAGGTACAACCCTTGCATGCAGCATGTTCTATACCTCATTTTTAAATGACCTTAAATGTGGAATAGTTTTAAATAAATATTCCATTTTCATTATTTGATTCTGTCATCAGTGGCATAAACAAACTTTGTTTATTTTAATGTCTGGAGCTTCTGCTCTAAGACATATGTGAGCAATTATGTCATCCCAACATCTTAACTCACCCTTTTCTGTTTTAAAAAGACAAGCATAATTTTCTTTTTTCTTCTCCTCTTCATTTATTGCCAATGTGTTGATGTTCATCATTTCTAAATAATATGACAAACACGTCAATGGCTCCTCTCTTCAATAAGGCCAAATGTTGTAACATTTGGATATTTTTAAGGATATTTGAAATAAATGTTTTTATATTTTGGGAAACAGCTTTCTTAGTTTTCATTGAAAAAAACCCCATAAAACATTCTCCATATGTAGTAATTTAGGTAAATGTACAGCAACAAAATAAAAGAGGGATCAGTCTAGTAGTTTTGGAAATAGATGAAGAATGAAAATTCTATTACAGCTGAATGCAGGTCATTAAAACCAAAAGGACAAGGGATAGTAGAGAAATTCTCATAATATTAAAATATGGGGTTGTGTGAAATACGCTTATGTACCATCTTGTAATAAAGTGCTGTGGCAAGCATTATAAATCAAACCCATAAAGTTGTGGAAGTAGAATTTATGTACCTGTAACAGCCCTATGTATACTGTCTTAAATGGTATGTGCTTACAGAGCGAGTGAATGAATCTTAGAGATAGCGTAGGGTAGTGTTTAATTACACAGGCTCCACCAACTGGATTCTGCCACTAGCTTTGCCACATCCTAGCGATGTGATGTGGGACAAACAACTTGGTTTCTCTGGGCTTTTCCTTATATGTATGATATGGATAATAATGGTACCTTCATGATAACATTGTTATGAGGATTAAATGCCTTGATATCGAAGGCATTTTGACAGTCTCTGGCACATAGTAACCTTGTATGTGTAAGCTTTAGTTATATGATTGTTTTTCATTCTCATTCTTCTCAAAGGAATAAAATGAAGGTGAAGCTAATAGTAACAGAACTAATCTGCTTTGATATGATGAAAAACATGCAAGCATCACAGCACAAGGTTAAACTGCTGAAAGGGTTCCAATTCCAAAGAACTAACACCCAGATGCAAAGTGACCTGAGAGAGGAAAACTGAACGTCAACTTGTGTATCTGCTCCAGTCAGTTGCTAGTGACAGTGTGAAATGACGAGCTGAGGAGGCAGGAAGGCTGGTGACCTCGGGGAGGAGTGTGCTACGGCCACGTGATGTTTACCAAGTGTCAGGAGCTGTGGGTGTTGCAGTTCACCCCATATTTTCCTTCCCTTGCCTAGAGCAAGTTCACACACCCAGGCCTGCTGATTGAGCCAAATTCACTTTTTGTGAAAGAGTTGAGAGAGAGAGAGAGAGAGAGAGAACACTCATCTCTATCAATTTGACCAGGATATAGCTCTACCTGCTTCTATCAGCTGAGGCCAGATATTCAGCTAAGCACAGTCAGGAAATTCTTCAGCTGCTGACCAAATAGTCCTTTATCCTGTGAGGTGGGACCAGTTTACTAAAATTTCCCTTTCTTTGACAAAGGTCCCTGCTAAATGCTCCTGAACAATGTCTGCAATGCACTTTCTAATGGACTTAAAAAATTACAAAGTAACAATTTTTATCATCCATGGAGAATTTCTTCACCACTATCTTCAAATTCTCAAAGAGTCTTATATAATCCTACTATTGGTTTTCACTCACAGTAACTCACTAATCAATGACATTCGTGGAGTCTGATGAATCACATTGTAAATGGCTGTTATGCGTTAAAGTCAGCATATCAAGCATGTTGTGATATTTGAAGAAACCTGCAAAGTAACACGTCTTATATGCATCATCTCACTAAGCTTTATAAGCATCCTGAATGGTACATAATATCCTCATTTTACAGATCAGAATACCAACACAGAGAGATATATAACTCTTCCAAGATTACTCATCTAGAAATGGGCAGAACTTGAATTTCAGGTATATCTGACTCCAGAATCATAGCTCATCATTTTCGCTTGTTTGCTTTTCTGATGAGTTTGTAGGTACTCTTACTCTTGGTGTCAGGAAATGGTTTAGTGCCAATGTAAAATTTAGCTCCATGGAAAAGAGGCAACTGGGAATGGCCAGGTTGTAATTATCTAGTCATCAAACATTACAAAGGAACTGACTGAGCACTGAAGCTAGAAGAGACCAACTCTTGGCCTTGGTCACACCACTGGACAAGCAGGTGCTACTATCCCTGGTTAATCAGGATGCCTCTGGGGCCAGCACAGCCTTTTACTTGTGGGCATCAGATATTGGCTGGACAGTCCAAGGAGGATTGGGCAGATAGGGTGTTGGGAATGCAACAGCATCTGGGATCTCTTTACATTGATAAGTTCTATATTCCAGATTAATGTGCTAGTAAAATAACTGAAAAAAATCTATCAGATTCTCATTTCATGTAATACCTTAAACACTTACGCATACCAGCACAAAGCAGAGCCTGAAAGAGCTCAATTTGGATGGATTGTATACCTGGCTGATGGAAGATACACAGTTTAAAAATAATGGAAAATATGACCATGCTTTGCAGCAAAGCGCTCTCACAGTCAGGTGCAAATAATCATTTCTGAGAAGGTAGGAAAGGATATAAAACAGGCTGGGCTCATTTTTGGAGTCTGATAGATTTCAGAAGATTTGAAATCTTGGGTCATCTTATTGTTCTTTTACTTAAAGAGAAATTTTGACCAAAATATCTGTGAACATAAGATTGAAAATGAGATAATAAGCTTTTAGTTTCTGTTCGTGTAGATGTAGGCCAGAAGAGAGTGGAGCATGCATAGTAACTTCCAGCTGTGAGCAGCTGGGACCTTCCCCCAGAAGATCCCAGGAGCTCTGTGTCACTCCCTGAAGATTTTACCTAGACAGGAAGTTGTTTAAAGAAATATCTCTTGGATCCTCGCAGAGGGACTCCAGTGCATTTCCTGAAAACCTACAGAAAAAATAGTTTCATATTTAGTGAAAATGAATGGAAATATGGGTGTCAGCTGACATTGTCTTTTGAAGTCAAAATTTAGGAACAAATCCAGGATGTGGGAGATGAGAGAGACACCTGTCTGGGTTTTTCCAGACACATGAATGTGATGAAAAACAAAAATGGTGGTGGAGAAGCCTGTCCTAGATTTAAAGAGACTGAAGAGACATAAAAACCATAATACCAAGTGCAATGTGTGAACTTTGAATGGATCTTAGGTTAGGAAAAAAAAAGTTGTGAAAGATTTTTAGAGACAATAAGTATTTCAAGGTGAGGTCTTATAATGATTATAAGTTGCTATCAAACCATTCAGAAGAAAAAAAAGGAGATCAAACTAGAGAGATATAGAAAACACAGCAAAATATTAACAGTTGGTGAATCTAAGGAAAGAGAATACAGGTGCTTCATGAGACTATTCATTCTGCTTTTTTGAAGGTTTGAAAGTTTTGTAAATAAAAAGTTGGAGAACACGATCCCTAAGACTGTGTCTCTTTTCTGGAATGCCACATGCAGAACTCATCTCACAGATCAGCAATTGTCTTCTGAGTGTCCACCAGGTGCAGTCGTCTTCTTGAGACATGTTTTATGTTTTCCTTAATTCTATTTTGTCTTTCCCAGAATGGTGACTTGGCTTTGCACACACTCAGCACTTTGGAAGTACTGCTATAATTTTTAAAGTAAATTCTATTTTAAATAAATGCTGCTTGCTAGATGAGTCACCTTGGACAATTTACTTCACATTTGAGAGTGTATCATCTCCCCAGTTCCTGACACTCCTATTTGTGAAAACTTCATCTCCAAGTTTCTCCTCTTGGGTGGTTGGTTTCTGAAGATGCCCAGAGCTCATGCTCTGTCTGGGAGTGACCACAAGATGGCACTGTTTCAGAACATTGTTCTACTGGGAAGGCGGACATGAGAGTGTAGTTGAACCATTGACAAAGCAAGCTTCAATGGCAGAAGGCTGGCAGATTGGATACTGTGGTGGACATCCAAAAGATTTGAAACAAAGACCTAGAAGGTGGATTGGGAGAAAGACAATATGAGTTGTCCTTGTTATATCCCTCGCCTAGAGCTCAACCAGTTTATATAACAATATTCCCATGGAACTTGAAGTATTTTCTTGTCAGTGCCAACCACTGAGTTTGTAATTTTCCTCCAGCTGTCTCTGTTGTTATGTGTTAATGCAAGGACTTCACTTGGCATTTTTCTTTGTTATCCATGACCCACTACATTTACTATGTAAGAAATACAAACTGCATTCTACATTATGCTACCTATTTGTGGTACACGTTCTAAATACGATTAACAATGAATATTCTTGCCTCCTATATGTATCCATAGAATTATGGATTTTTGGATGTTACCATGATCCATCCATCAACCTTAAAAATCAAAGAAGAAAATGTTTCTCATTTAGAACCATTGTGTAGGTTCTAGCCATTATGTAGGCTGGACTTTTATACTCTGCAAGGATCTGATGACTGAAATAGATGACTGAAATGTATGATTTTGATGACCCTGTGACAAAGCAAACCAAAGTCATCTTTGTCTCAAGTCCAGTGGAGACTCAGTAAATTCCACAGGAGTCTAATAGAAACAAAACTTGATGACTATGCAATTTTCTTTGGATGAGCTTCAAATTGAGGCTATAGATCATTGTGAATGTGTAGGAGAGTTCTGTGTTGCTGAAGCCAGACCCAAAGCTTGAGAAGAGGTTAGGAGGCTGCTCTGGGATCTTCTTGCAAATGTGTCCCTTATTCCATAAATCTGCTTGTCCTTATCTCCAGTGTGGGCTCTTTGGCAGGACTCTTTTCATTTCTGCAAGGTGAGCTTGATGTCTGGTGACACATCATTTGTGGCCTTTTTCTCTGACAGCCTCCTGATAAATTCTTCCCCAAATGGACAGCCACTTGAGCAACTGTGTTTAATGGATTATCTCTTTAGAACAGTATAACCTTTGGATTATTCAGGGCTGAATGAAGTGCAAATGTTTGTCTTCCACTTGGCAAACCCGCAGAATTAATCCCTGGCTCATTTATCAGGTCAACCGGCAAAATGGCTTCCTACTGTGTAAAGATGCAGTGGTGTGCATAGAAAAGCTCATACTTGGACTGGAACCTATGAACCTAAATTGTCATAGGCTGCCTTAGTATGCCTTAGTGGTTAGTGTATGTTCTGCTATTTCACAATTATGGATTATTATTATTATTATTTTTTAACATGGAGTCTTGCTCTGTCATTCAGGCTGGAGTGCAGTGGCCAATATCGGCTCACTGCAACCTCCACATCCTGGGTTCAAGCGATTCTCCTGCCTCAGTCTCCTGAGTAGCTGGTAATACAGGTGCAAGCCACCACGCCCGGCTAATTTTTGTGTTTTTAGTAGAGATGGGGTTTCTGCCATATTGGTCAGGTGTGTCTCAAACTCATGACCTCAAGTGATCTGCCCACCTAGGCCTCCCAAAGTGCTGGGATTACAGGAGTGAGCTACTGCACCCGATCTACAATTATGGATTATCTTTTGTTTCTGATTTTTGAAAGCTCCACGGATTAGCTGTGAACTGGGATGAATTATTGTGAAGCCTAATTGTTCTGCCTATAAACACCAGAGTCAGTATTTTGCCTCTGACTTCATGATACACTATTGTTATATATTTACAGACTCCATTCTTAAGATTTGCATTTGATCACTGATTAAGTTTTTTCCCCCAAAGTGGAACACACTTTATCACCCTGGAAAGTAATGACTAGAGCTAAAGTTTTTATAACAGCCTCTATCTTTTCCAATTGTTTATAAAACTTTAAAATTAGGAAAAGACTGGAATAATTTAGAAATGCATTAAGGCAGTTATTTCCCGATTGGTTGCATTAAGTTACCACAGCTTCTAACATCTGTTTCTTTCAATATGTTAGCAAACTGCACCATCTCAGGTCGTTAGGACAGGAAGTGGCCAGGGCATCCCATTTTGCCTTTAAAGTAGTTCCAGTGTCCTCCAGGATGTAAGGATTCCAACATTAAACAATAGCTAATGGTAGCTATGCTGCCAGGAAGAAAGATTTCAAAACAACAGATTAAGCAAGAAGACATACTCTTTTATGGTTCAAAGAATGTAAAATATAAGATGGTGTAAATATTGAATGAAAGAGAATTGTTTTCATCTGATTGGAAACTTAGTACTAAATCTCTCAACTGAGATGAGTTCAGTAGTGTTGCAGATTTGAATGATTCTGACCTGATTGCTGCTTCCTTCAAATGGCTGAGCCATGAGTCCTCACTACTGCCTGATAGGTTCTCATCTCTTTCTTTTTTCAGGAAGTTCGATATTTTAGATTTTTAGCACACAGAGCAACTCCACAGGTCGTCTTCTGTTTTCTTCTTCTTTTTTTGTTTTTTGAGATAGGATCTTGCTCTGTTGCCCAGGCTGGAGTGCAGTGACACAGTCATAGTTGGCTGCAGCCTCATCCTCCTTGGCTCAAGTGACCCTCCCACCTCAGCCTCCTGAGTAGCTGGGACTACAGATATGTGCCACCATGCCCAGCTAATTTTTTATTTTTTGTAGAGACAGCGTCTCCTTATATCGCCCAGGCTGATCTCTAACTCCTGGCCTCAAACTATCCTCCTGCCTTGGCCTCCCAAAGTGCTGGGATTACAGGTGTGAATCACTGCACCCAGTCAATATGTGGTTTCTTAATCACCCAGAGCACCCAGCTCTATTGTTTGCCAAAGATCGTGTTCATGAGATACTCTGGCTGGAAAAGGTATCTTACAAGCTAAAAAATTTTTATGACAGAAGCTCTTGCTAAGAGCATTGAATTATGATGTTAATGTGATGTCTCAATTTATGAAATTTACTTTATTAAGGGAATTAATATCATTATAACAATATTGATGATGGCATATCCTGAATTTACAAAGGACTTTTCTACCTGTTGACTCATTGGGAACCATCAGGGCGAAAGAGAACCTGTGAAAGGAAATTAAATCTTGGAACCCCAAACTCATTAAGTCAAAGTGAAAAGTTAAAACTGGGTCATGCAAACCTGCCTCCCCCTTTTGGTTCCTAAATGAGATAGCTACAAGATGAAGAGCTACATGCCTCCCCCATATTTTGCCCACAAGGAAATTCCTAGTGAGCTGCCAGATCTTTACCCTAAGGTGTTTCTGTTAAGATTTCACCATGTCAATGTAAATTGATAGATTATCTTTACAGGTGCAGTCACCCCCCTGCTCATCAGATACAAATACATAGCTGATTGTTCCCCTGCCCTGTTTGGTCTATATTATCTTATGTAAAAATGCAGATTACAGCTGGGCCTGGTGGCTCACGCCTGTAATCCCATCACTTTGGGAGGCTGAGGTGGGCGGATCACAAGGTCAGGAGTTGGAGACCAGCCTGGACAACATAGTGAAACCCTGTCTCCACTAAATATACAAAAAAATTAGCTGGGTGTGGTGGTGGGCACCTCCCAGCTACTTGGGAGGCTGAGGCAGGAGAATCACTTGAACCCGGGAGGCGGAGGTTGCAGTGAGCTAAGATCGTGCCATTGTACTCCAGCCCTGGCAACAGTGCGAGACTCCGTCTCAAAAAAAAAAAAAAAAAATGCAGATTCCCTGCATTTTTCCTCTGCCCCATTTGTCTATGTTATCTCATATAAAAAACGCAGATCCACTGAGCCAGATAAAGCATGAATGACTATTTTTTTCCTACCCTCCTCTTACATGAAAATTGTGCACTTCTCAATATTTCACCCTTTCGCCTTTAAATTTGGAGCCCTCAAAATCATCTTCGGAGAAACATATAGACCTGTCTCCCAGGCACGTGTCCTTAACTTGGGCAAAGAAAGCTCCTAAAATGATTGAGACTTGTCTCATCCTTTTTCTCAACTGACAAACCTAATAATTTAAGTAAATTTGACACCAATAGTTTTTATACCTTTTTTGAAGCAGCCATGTGAAAAAATAGAAAGTGCCATGATATTAATGTAGTTATTGTGTAAAGAGCTGAGAAAGAGCTGTAGTTTACCAAGCATGTAGAACTAATAGTCTAAGAAGAACAGTTCAAAGAAACCCTGGATGAGTTCCCTGTCATTGAAACTTAAACCCACAGAACTGGGGTATGTTGATACATGACACTAGAAGGGCCTCCACGGGACTGATTCTAGTAGGAAGAAAAGTTAAGTTGATTGAATGTCCATTGACAGCCATGACTGTTCCAGTGGTGTGAAGCTTAACTATGTCCTAGGAGCTAGATATTTTTCAGCTCAGTGAGACAGAGCAATCATCCATGGTTTCACACAACCAGTACTTGGTTAGGGTGAAGCTTATCACCCAGATCTGCCTGACTCTGTCACCAAGCCCTTTGCCTGAAGGTAGCAGTCACCTTTAGTAGCATAACAAGGTCTTTATCTGCGGAATAGACTGTATCAATCATTTCAACATCATTGCTGGTCAGTGATACAGAAACAAACTCAATTCAACTTGGATTCTCCCTGAATCCTGAAAATGTCCCTGAGTTCTGAAATGGTTTTGATGGAAGCTAGAGGTCAATGGTAATTATCAGGACAATGAATTGATACTTCTCAGACTTCTCGTCTACCTTCCTACCTACAACTCAAAGGGAGATATTCTTCTTTTTTTTCTTTTTTAAAAATAGATTATCAGGAAGAATCAGAAAGGCTCAATTGGGGTGCTGCAAGGCCTGATTACACAGAGTTATTAATCACGTTTCATTCTTCTCCAATCATCATGTTCTGATCTGCCCTCCAAAAGGAGAAACAGGTAAGGATGATCCCACCTGATGATGAAATAACATTCTGTACAGAAATATGATGTCAACACATTCAGTACTTAATTGTGAGGTTAGTAATGTAAGAATAACCACGTAGGGGCAGGGAAAGTCAGAGATGCTAGAACCAGGATCTCGAATCATAGATTTCAGATTCTTGCAAATGGGAACGGCTAATGTGTTCGCTATTGGGTATCAAATAATGTATTCCTATACTGTACCTCTCCAAGTAATACCCACATCCCATTGTAGTACTTTTTCATTCTTGTAAGTTAAAAAAGTTAATTTAGCTTTTTCTCAAATTGGGAGGGGTTGGCCAGAGAAGAGAAAAATTTCTATGTGCAAAAGGAAGCAATTTTAAATGCTTTTTGGTTTGTTCACCTTCACAATGCCTTGTATCCTCCTCAACCAAGGTCTCATATTACTTCAGGAACAAGGTGAAGTTTAAGGTAATGTTGATTATATTTATGGCTTTCCTGAGGGGGAAAGAGAGACAGAAGTTGCTCATCCAAGAGCATCACATGAAAGGAATATTGAGCCGAGAATAAAATGCTCAGATCCAGAGACTTCACCTTCCTTGTGCTTACCCAATACCTTAATTATGCAGAACAAATTCATTGCATGTCATCTCCCCTTTAGCTTTGATGCCCATTTTCCTTACAGATATTTACATGAAAATAGCATCATTGTTTATTAAGAATTTGTTTTTATTCTTCTTTCTGAGGGCAACACTCCCTTTAAAAACAGTGACTTTGGTCACCAAACCCTGAGGGATAGACCCACATTGTCCTGATTGTAACAATGCTGATTAGTTGACAGGGAAACATGGAACTTCACAGCTAACATCAAAGTGAGTTAAAATAGACAAGCTTTTAGCATAATTGGAAGTTATAATATTCATGAAAAATAACTTCTGCTGATAAATTTTGTGTTAATTCTCCATAATGGGCGACTGTTGGCCTTCTCAGATAGGCTGATGGTTTCAAAAAAGATCGGGTAAACAGACTTCTTTAAAGGATCTTGCACTCTGACAAATAATTAAATATACTTTAGAAGATTTCTTTAAGGGATCTTGGATTCTGACACATTATTTAAGAAATCTTAACAATATTATTTATAACTAAAGCTTGATTTTGAGCCCTTGCTTTAAGCTAGGGACTGTGCTAACCACTTGGCATCCATATTAACACACTTAATCATTACCACAGTAGTTGAGGCAGGACTTTTTATTGTCTACATTTTACAGGTGAAGAATTTGTGTAGCAGAGAGGCTAAACAGCTCATCCCAGAAAACATAGGCAGTCAACTGGCAGAGCAGAGGTCTGAGCTTGGGGAGTCTGCCATTATTGGTAGTGGACTTCATTAGCTGTTTAAAAACTCTACTACCTCCCAACCGTAATCCCATTGGTTGTTCATTCATAAAAGTCAAAATTAAAAAAAATATTAATTGTTAAAGAGCTGGAGAGTAAAAATTTCATTGCATAAGCAAAAATTTCCCACAGTGGACTCTTTTGTCTCATTATGCCAATTCTAAAATAAATTAGAGCCCTATTTTTTTGGCTTCTTTGTGCAAGGGCGGAATGAGCTTCAGAGCATCATTTGTTTTTGTAGTGACTTCAGGCATATCAATCCTCAGTGAAATGACAGTCATAGGACTGGCGGAGACGTTGGCTGACCCACAGAAAGCAAACCGGCTCTCACATGTTTCTTGCTCTCTCCAGAGCACACATCCATCCTTAAAGCTGTTTGGTGGAAAAGCCTCATTCAATAGTGAGACAGAATCAAGGGCCAGTGGGTGAGGAACAAGTCCTTCTAGAAGATATTTGTGCAAAGGGTTCAGTAGGGAGAAAAGTTGTTCTCCTCTAATGTCCTCTTAAGGAACAGCATGCTTTTCTCTGCCAAAGAAATAATTCTGTCTTCAGAGAGCTGCCACAGGGAATGTCCTTGAGTCCAAGTGGGCTGTCTCCTTAGGGGTGTGCTTGGGTGTCTATATCTGCTGCATATGTGCAGAGAATGATGCAGGAGGCTTTTCAAAATGGAAAAGTGACTGGAACTGGTGATGAGCTGAAACGATAAAGGCAAACTGAAGTAAACAATATTTCATTTTAAAGAAAGGACAGAATGATACTCTCTTGGAGTTCATATTTTTCACCAAAACTGCCTCAGGATTAATCACAGGCCTATCTTTACAAACATAGCTTCCAGCATGGCCGGATTAGATTGGATCTGTTTTCTCATCTCCACCATTCAAAGAATATCATATATTTTAACTTTTGTGAAAACTCCCCTTAATAAAGACAAAAGTAGTAATTAACAGTCTCAGCAGCTTAGCTGCCAAGAGTCCCTATGGCTCTTCCCTGCTTATAGATCTACAAGGACAGGCGCTGCCTACCAACAACCCTGGAACAACATTTTTTCCTCTTTTACTTGTTCTCCATGTACCTTATAACCAGTTCAGGATTACTACTATCCAATAAAAAGGTTTAAATTTTTTTTCATTATTATGCTAGAAAATTGGTGATCAAATATATCTTTTAAATGCAAAACATGCTTTTGAGTAAGAGTCATTTCAATGAGGTGCTTTATATCAGGATTTTCATCCTCACACTAATCTTGAGATGGCTGGACCTCTGTGTGTGTGTGTGTGTGTGTGCATGCACATGTGAATGTGTATGCATAGGTGAGCATGAGTGTGCTGGCTCAGTACCTGAACATCCAGGGTGCAATATTTATTAAGGAGGCCCTCAGTCTTGTGCAAGCGCAAGATTTGTATTTTCCAGTGAGCACCTCCTTAAATATTGGCCTTAAGCGTCTCGTACCACACCCATTCTCTAATAGAAGGGGTGAGAGGTGGAGGAATTGCTGGCTTAGTTTCCTGTCCCCTCATGGATAGTGGAGGCCTGTGATACCGCAGATGGGTAAAGTCTGTGAGCTAGGCTAGATATGGTAGTGCTGTCACCTCGCCAAGATACTAAAAGGGAAAGAAGCTAAAGCAGATTTGCAAAATTTGCGATGAGTTTAAAATGTCTGCAATTTAACTCATTGATGCTTCCAACAATGTTTTATAATTGTGTCATTCACAAATTAATTATATGATAAAATGTGAATTCATAGTACATTCTAGGTGGTACAATTTATGAATGGGAGTCATGTTTAAAGTTGTCAGATAAAAATATTCTCTCAAAGCTGCTAGCATATCTTCCTGGCTGCATGCACCCACTCATTTATTGATTAAGGCCAGGAGTCTGCATTTGAGACCCTCCAGCTCTCTGGAGCCTGAGGCAAGTGACCCATTAGCCCCTTACCTCCTCTGCATAGGTTCCATATTTGGGGGTCTAAGTGGCAAACAGCTATGGGCCAAGCTGGTTTTGAGAAATGTTTTAGTCAGTGTTCTCTAAAGAGACAGAACTAATAGGATAGATGTATATATAAAGGGGAGTTTTTTAAGGAGTAGTGACTCGCACGATCACAAGCTGAGGTCCCACAACAGGCCATCTGCAAGCTGAGGAGCAGGGAAGCCAGTCCGAGCCCCAAAGCTGAAGAACTTGGAGTCCGATGTTTGAGGGCAGGAAGCAGCCAGCATGGGAGAAAGATGTAGGCCAGAAGACAAAATCAGTCTAGTCTTTCCATGTTTTTCTGCCTGCTTTTATTCTAGCTGCTTTGGCATGGTTGATTAGACGGTGCCCACCTAGACTGAGGGTGGGTCTGCCTTTCCCAGTCCACTGACTCAAATGTTAATCTCCTTAGGCAACAAACACCCTCACAGACACACCCAGAAACAATACTTTGCATCCTTCAATCCAATCGGGTTGACACTCAATATTAACTATCACAAGAAATAAATACCCAATCCCGGCAACCTCCTACTCAAAGGGGCTCTGCAGAGAAGCAAAGCCCAGGGTGACTTCTGAGCAGCAGCAGGGAACCCCAAATGGAGTTTAACCTTCAGGTAAAGAAGAGAAACTGACCAAGGCACTCATCCTGCGAAACAGTGACCTTCAAATCAGGCAGTGGCTTTCCACTGGCTGTGTGTTAGGACCCCTTGGGGGAACTTTAAAATCTATACGTCCCCAGGAATCTCCCCAGACCCATGAAATCAGAATCTGTCGAGATGGGTTGGACATTTCTAGTTTTACAAAGCTCTCCAGGTGATGCTAAGGTGCAACTAGGGTTGGAAGGTATATTCTGGCGAGCTACCAGGCTGGCCAGGTACCTTTACCATTTATTTCTGCAGAAATCTGTGACCTTTGTTTTGGTGGAGACGGAGGGGGAAGGCCCTAAAGGGCAAGGAGAATGGAGGATTCCTAGAAAAGGCACCATTTCCTGGTTGAGTACAGCCTGGTAGGCAGGAGTGATTGTTCGGGAGTGAATGGGAAATCCATCATCCTTTCAATGAGAAATGGATAGGGAAATGAAATCATATTTCCTAGCTTCCTTTCATACTCCCTAACTTCTGTGCTACAGCTGCAATAAATTCTGAACCCTGTGCCCCAAAGATGTATGAGGACAGAAAGTAGCTAATGAAGTTCCTTTTCCTGATCATCAAAGACAGCGGTAATGATTTCACTTCCATCCCAGGCCTGGTGGCCGAGGGGATGCTGGTTCCCAGATGAGAAAGATCGAGTTGACTGGAGATGAGGTTGCTTGCTTCCATGGTTTTAAACTTCAGCTCATCTCTCAAGCTCGGGTGATGCCAAAAACAAAGACAAACAACACACCAGAAAATTACATAAACTGTTCTGGAAACCTATGAGATATTTAGGTTGTATCTGAAAACAATGGAAAAAAATTCCAAACATAATTGGAAACTTTCCCCATCGATTTTCTCAGAATCCCAAAGGACTAAATCCAAATTTCTGGGACAGGTCTGTGGGTAATATAAATGTTAAGAGTGGCCTGTCCTGAGATGCTAAGATTCTGGAACTGACCAAACAATGGCAACCTAGGTGCTTTGCCCTTAAAAATACTGTGTAGGTGTATTAAAAATACCCAAAGAAAGCCTCTTAGCAGATACACATGACAGTCAGACCCTTCTGCCTTAGATGCTTAGGCAGGTTTTCTCCTTCAAAAAAAAAAAAACAACAGATTTCATATTAGGCATGTGTGTGTGTGTGTCCAGGAAATCATTGACCTGCTTCTGGTTTGATACTGTAGAAAAACAATTCTTCATACATATATAATGAGTATATGGAGCAACATAGTGGAAAGAACATAAATATGGTGGTACTCTATACCTGATTTCATTTCTGATTGGCCCATTTACCAGCGGGTTGACTTGTTCTCTCACCTCTAAGATGAGATAAGAAGACCTCTCTGGCACATTGATGGTAGTCAGTCAATATAAGCCATTTCTTTTTTCCCTGTGACATGAAATAAGACAAATGTAAAACATTTAGCCCACTACCTGACACATAGTAGGTGCTTAACAAATGTCAGAAATTATTGTGTCTTTGTATCAAAAGCATTCTCTAGCATATAAAATATGCTGAAAATTTCTTTCTGATGCATGAATTAGTGTCTGCACCATAATATATAACTCTGATGTCTTGTTCACTTTGTGCTAGGCACTGTTGTAACTGCTTAACTTCTGTGAATGAAATCCAATCTTCTTAATAACACAACGATACAGATAATATTATGAAAGCATTTGATAGAGGGGAACACTGGGGCAACAAAGACTCAAGTAGTTTTGCCCCAGGAAGGGCCTCTGCCGTACCGTAATGCCTGCCTATACCAGGTATATTTTCACCCTGATCTTCCAATGACAACATATCCATGTTGACTAACAGTGGAGCATTTCCTGGGGGAGATTCAAACCAGGGTGTAGAGAAAACAGCCAATGGGATGGATGGAAGGTTTTGTTCGACGTACCTAGTCTGGGAGACTTTGTTCTAAGTGTCTTCTTAGAGGTTTTCTATTTTGGGGAGGGAGGACTTTCCTCATACATGTATTTAAGGCTTTCCCGAAAGCGAAGTCAAACCAACAAATAACAGAGCTACCTGCAGTTCTCAGCATGAACATGCGCTGGCATGTAGGTGGCAGAGCTTTCTCTAGGTCCACATGCTTCTTGAAGGCTGGTTGTGTCCACTGAAACATCCAGTGTGTCCATCCTGGCCACCCACTGTGATTTATTCACGGGCCATTTGCTGGCCGTGTGGTGCCAGCTGGGTGGACCTGGCCCTTAGCTACATTCTCTGAGGTCAGAATCTTGGTATGTGAAGACAAATCTTGGTATGTCCTGTGTAAAGACATTGACGTAAATAAATGAATCCCTGTGTCTCATCTTGACAGTGTAAAGTACCTTGAGGTGATAGAAATAGGCTCCATCTGGTACGTGTTTTGGTGAAGCTGGTTTTACTGCTCCTGTGACCTATCTATTTTGGCTCTGTGCTTCCCATTCTCAGGAAATGGAAATGTTGTGGGTGGGTCTGGGTCACGGTGGAAAAATCATAGGTTGCACCCCTTTTGTTATCTAGCCTTTCATTATACAAATTGAAATTGTTATCTTTTTCCTCCCAAGTCAAATGCTTTGTGTGTGTGTGTGTGTGTGTGTTTTAAATCTTAGCCAATAAAGAAAAAGTTTGAGGAGGAAAACACTATAATTTTAAAGTTCAAACTGTCAGGAAAGGAAAAGGGTCACTTTGATTATGCCACCGTGTGTGGTAAATGAAAAGGTCTGAATTTCTCGTAAATCATCACTCTTCATAACAAATATATCAGTGTTCTTTTGTTCCTTTCTGCCCTAACCTAGAGAATTACATTTTCTCAGGTTGTCCGTTTCTTTATCAATGGCAGATGCATTCCTCCTCCTCCTTTGGAAATAGCGTTTTGATTCAAACATCACTTGTTTCTATTGCATTTTGCTGATGAGATGAATCATAAGATGAGGGGAACTGATGCATTTTTGTTTTTCTTTCCCTGAAAGCAAACACTTTGGGGCAGCCTCCAGGGCATTTACAGCCCACATGTAACTCGTTAAAGGTTCATTAAAAAACTCTTAAATTGAATTTGTTTGTGTAACCAGTGTTTATGTTTCTCTAGTTGATGATTTATCACTTAAGCTACAGTAGCACTCCCCATAAGACATGTCCAGGCTGTGAGGGGGACTCAGACTCGCCCATGTTTCTTTATGTCTTGGTTTGCAGGTCGCCTGGATGTGGACCATCCAATTTGCTCGGAAGTTTCCTGGCTTCTATTGCAGAAGGAAATGTCTTTGTAAAGGCAGATTCTGTAATGTGAGGAGTTTCATGCACAGAGATTTTCGAGCAAATTAGTGGCTTACTCACTTTGTCTGAATAAGGGAGCTGAAATGTCATGATATTCTTTCAAATGATGTGCTCAGCAGGTTTGGGAAAATGCAATTTGCGTAGCACAATTGTGTTTGTAAAGCATTTTTGTGCGTGCAATTTTTGGAGCCTCAAAATGACTCTGTGAGGCAAGTAGGGTGGGGACTCTGAGACAAACAGTGTTTTTTTTTCTTTACATCGATGTTCAAAGTTCTCAGTGGTTAGGAGGCTGGACTTTCACTCAATAATTGTAGAGTTTCTAAATAGCTGAAGCAGAGTTTGAAAAAACTCTTACTTAAGTCTAGTATCTTATATAACATTTTCTGCTCCCCTGACCACAGCTGCCATTTTTAGAATTTAAAATTTCATCAGGAATTGGTAATCATATGTTGAGGTGGAGGTGGAAACTGCTTTTGTCTTTACTTTGTTTTCATGTGAAGGCACCTAAGTTAGAGTAACGTTCCTGGCCTGATACGTTTACCCTTACTATAGGTATGTCGTGAATTTGGGGGAAGTAACTGGACATGCTCATGTTGTCTTTTCTCGGTATTAAAGCTGACAATTTGATATCTATGTTAGACCCAGTGTTTAGACTCCATAATTCGTAATTTGGTCCAAGAAGTTATGGTGCTTGATTTTTACTAGAACTCCCATCTCTCCTCCTTATCCCTCTACCCCACCCCATGCGACCCCCATGCTCACAAAACTGTAGCAAAGCAATTTTCCCCCTAGCCAAAATTGTTGGCTTGCTATCCATTTTGCTTTTCAGATTTTTATGGTTGGAGGAGAATGGTAAAATATAAAGATGCCTTTAAAATTTGTTATTGATGTGTTGAGTTGTAACCAACTCAGGAATTTTTTGGTGGGGGACATGGCTAGGGACAATGTCTTATTCTTCTTTGTATTTTCCTGAATATAGGTAAGTTCTCATTGTTTAGGAGCTTGAATTGAGTTGAACGAGACAAGTAATTGTTGCTATGGCTGCCTTTCCTTGGGTGTAACTATTTTACCTGCAAATTCTACTACCTGTCCTTTTACATTGCTTAAACATATATATATATATATATATATATATATATATATATATATATACACACATACATACACACATACATATATATTCTAATTATATAAGTTACAGCTGCTTGGTGCAAGATGTGAAATATTTAAAAATATGACAAAAAGTTATCAACGGAGATAACTGCTATTAGTAATTTGATGTATTTCCTTTCAGTTTTCTTCGTGTCTGCCTTTCCTCTGACTGTCTTTCTCTATATTTGGCCCCATTTGGCTCTTATCTCTCCATGTTTTCTTAGTCTAAACATCAATATCATCTTTTCTCTATGGATACTGTTTTCTCACTCCTCATTATGTGTATTTTTCTTGGTTCTTCAATATCTTCTTGAAAAATATTAACAAGGTATCTTATCCTCTCATACATTATTAGGAGTTATATTTTGGTTGATGTTTAAATTGTTTCAAGTTGTGAATAATGCTGCAATGACCATCCTTGAATACAAACCTCTGATCAAAGCTTTATTTCCTTAGCTGTAGTGTTACAGGACAAATAGGTATGCCTAATTTTTGGTCCCTTGGTAATTACTAACCATTAATTTTTCTGAGCTTTTGGACTCTGGGATGAATAATTCAAGTCTTTTGACCCAGATGCCTTTCAAAAGCTCATCCCAAAAGCCGCTGGTTTTTATGTTGCTTGTGTGATTCTCAATGATGTGGGATTCCCTTGGCCTAAGAGACATGCGTGCGTACACATAAATGCACAAGTGATTATCATTTACACTGATCATAAACGCTCATAGAAAACTAATTTACACAGTCATATCTTGCAAAAATTTTGATACAATTACTTTAATTTCAAGTTTTCACAAGAGCAAAACATGAAAGTCTCCAACAGTCTTTTTGTTTCTGTGCTAACATTGGCATTTCGGCTAGCAGAGGTTACAGGTCTGAGAGTTGGCCTCTCCAGGTGTCAGGGTTGTTTCAGGTCTAACTATTCCAGGTAACTTCTGAGATGAAGGTGAGACTCAGTGAAAGGCTCCTCACTTGTTTACACTCCGAAGGTTGACCATATTCATCACAACCAAAACAATGATTTGAGGGTTGTGTATTTGTAGTTTCTTGGAAGGTTTGGCCATGCTGGTCACAACAAAGCAAAATTGTGGGTCTAAATGTTATTCCATTGCTCAACTAGGGCCCTCCCCAACTGCTTCTTTAAAGCAGAGAAGTGAGGATTGATGGTATTGGCATAATTCTCATTGTTCCTATAGTGGGAATTTTTCAGTAAACTCAGCCCTAGTATTTACAGTGGTTATAAGGACACCACTGTGGTGAAAGTGGTTACTGTAAACCATAAACCATGCATGGCAAAAAATTGGCATGCAGGCCACCACCCCCTCCTCCCAATGCCAGGGCAGATGTGCAGTGATTCGCTGCATTCCGTGCCCCTGAGAATCCTCAGTAGGATGTGCCAGTGACCAGAGATCAGGGACTGTCCATGAATTGGAATCTGTTTGCCGTTCCTGCCTTAAACTGTGGATATACTGGCTTTGGAAAGAAGAGACGGCTGAAGAAGCCCTTGATGATGTTTTTTGAATCACTTTAATACTCTTCTGTCTCTTTAACTTAAAAAAATTTAGTTGTGGTAAATACACATAATGTAAATTCACCATCTTAAACATTTTAAAATGTACGGTTCAGTGGTGTGAAATGCATTATTGCTATTGGGCAACCGATCTCAGGACTCCATTTTCATCTTGCAAAATGGAAACTCTATATCCATTAAACAACTCCCCATTCTCTCCTGTCAACTATTACTCTACTTTCTGTCTCTAAAATTTGACTACTCTAGGTAGGTCATAGAAGTTGGAATCAAAGAGTGTTTTTGTTTCTGGAACTAGCTTATTTCACTTTAATGTCCTCAAAGTTTATCCACGTTGCAGCATGTGTCAGAATTTTCTTCCTTTTAAAGAATTGATAATAATCCATTGTGTGTGTGTGTGTGTGTATATATATATTTTTTTTCCCACATTTTGTTTATTTATTTATCTGTGAATGGACAGTTGGGTTGCTTGCATCTTTTGGCTATTATAGATAATGCTGCCATGAATATGGGTGTGCAGGTATCTCTTTGAGAGCCCGCTTTCAATTCTTTCAGATATGTATTCAAATGTAGAATTGTAGATCACAAGGCAGTTCTATTTTTTTAATATTTTGAGGAACTGTTATACTGTTTTTCTTAGCAGTGGCACCATTTTACATTCCCCCAAACAATGCACAAAGGTCCCAATTTCTCCACATCCTGGCTGACACTTGTTATTATTTTTTTGATTGTGGCATCCCAATGGTCATGAGGCAGTATATTAGTCTGCTTTCACACTGCTGATAAAAACACAACCAAGACTGAAAGAAAAAGAGTTATAATGTACTAACAGTTCCACGTGGCTGGGGAGGCCTCACAATCATGGCAGAAGGCAAGGAGGAGCAAGTCACATCTTACATGGATGGCAGCAGGTAAAGAGAGAACTTGTGCAGGGAAACTCCCATTTTCAGATCTCTTGAGACTGATTCACTATCACAAGAACAGGACAGGAAAGATCTGCCCCCATAATTCAATCACCTCCCATTGGGTTCCTCTCATGACACATGGGAATTGTGGGAGTTACAATTCAAGATGAGACTTGGGTGGGGACACAGCTGAATCATATCAGGTGGCATGTCACTGTGGCTTTGATTTCCATTTCCCTAATGATCAGCGATGTGTTTTCATGTGTTTATTGGCCATTTGTATATCTTATCTGAAGAAATTTCTATTCAAATTCTTTGCCCATTTTTGTATTTGTGTGTGTGTGTGTGTGTGTGTGTGTGTGTTGTAGGAGTTACCTCTATGTTCTAGATATTAACTCCTTATCAGATATGTAATTTGCAAATATTTTCTTTCATTCCCTGGGTTGCATTTGCACTCTGTTGATTGTTTTCTTTGATGCACAAAAGTTTTTCAGTTTTATGTACTGAATTTTTTCTACTTTTGCCTTTGTTGCCTGTGCTTTTGGTGTCATGTCCAAGAAATCATTGCCAAATGCAGTGTCACAAAGTTTTACCTCTATATTTTTTTTAAAGAGCTTTATAGTTTAAGCTCTTACTGTGTCTTTAATACATTTTGAGTTAATTTTTGTATATGGTGTAAAGTGAGGGTTCAGCTTTACTCTTTTGTATGTTGATATTAAGTTTTCCCAGCACCATGTATTGAAAAGACTGTCCTTTCATTATTGAATAGTCTTGGCACCCTTGTCAAAATCAATTAACCATATATGTGAGGGTTTATTTCTGGCTTCTATATTCTCCATTGGCCCATATGTCTGTCTTTATGCCAGAACTACACTGTTTTGATTACTGTAGTTTTGTAATAGGCTTTAAAATCAGGAAGTTTGAGACCTCCAGCCTGTTCTTTTTCAAGATTTTTTTGGCTTAACACTATTTTAAGCAAATTTATGTTAAATCTATAAAGTTTATATCATGGAACTTTTTCCACTCTATTTACCAAACAAAATTTCCCACTGAAGTGGCTTTTTTAAAAAAATAAATAACTGCAAATCTGTTAACTATTTTAGGTACATTGATTCTTTGAAATTATTTGCCTATCCTCATGGCTTACTGGAAAACTTCATTAGGAGTCATGGAACCCGACTTCCAGGCCTAGGTCTGCCACCAGTGAGCAACTGTGTCATCAGATAAGTCACATAACCTGATAAACTTCTTAGTTTTCCCCTTCATGAAGCATAAAAGTTTGACAAAATTATTCTTAGGGTCTCTCTTGGCTCTCAACGTCTAAGTCTTTATAAGGCAGATTAGCATTCAGATATTTGCCAAATAATTATTTCTTTTGATGTAATATAAATGTTTTTGTTCTTGTTAAACCTTTCTACTTTTTCATCATGACATGTGCAATGATCTCTATATTACATGCATATATAATATATATATATATGTGTGTACATATATATGTGCATATATATATATATATATATGATCTATTGATGTCCTTGTAAAGAGTATAAGTGAGCATCTCAGATATGGAACCAACCAGACTTCCGAGATGTAAAGAACAAACAACATTTTTTTTCCTCATCGCTCCTCATTAAACTTAATCTATGGAATAGTGTTTTTCCAACCCTAGGTAAAGTCTTTAGCATCTCAGCAGATCTGAACTCTGCAAGAAAATTAAAAGTCCACCCCGTTGAAAAATCATGGGACACCTTATGCCACACTCGCACAGCTGTTTCACAGTTAACTTGGGGCTTCTCTTCCACTCTGGCTCCAACCAGCCTCCAAATCAGATTCATGTAGTGCGTGTAGTGGGCAGAAATGTTGTCCTCGTCATGGACTGTTTCTCCCGCTATGAGATAAACTGTTCCACCCTGTTCCTTCCTCACTAGCTGCTGTTTGGAGCCCTGAGAGAAGAGATACTAGAAGGAAAGGTAAGGAAGTAGTTATTTTCCTGGTAAAGTTGTAATGTGGTCGTGTTTCCATGTGGTGTGGTATCTTCAAAATGTTGACTTTTTTCTCTCGTTGCATGCATCCTTGTCCCTGCAAACTCTGGAAGTTCAGGTCATTACCTGCCCAGTCCCACCTTACTCTTGTCACGTTTAGATAGGTGGGAATCAGGAAGTCATCCTCTTGTCTTCTAAATTCTAAGGTATACAGCCAACCTTTCCATGGAGTTCTCTTAAAACCTTCTTCGACTGGCTTCCAGGAAAGGGAAAACAGCAAATCAGAGCACTGTCTGCAGAGAAGGTCCTTATGACTGGACTTTTCAAAAACCCAAGGAATTCTGTCTTCTGTTTTGCAAGCTAGAGGGAAATAAAAGGGCCACACCTGCAAAGCTGTTTCACAGTTTCTTGGCTAGGACTCATGGCTGCTTTAGACTCTTGCTATTCAAAGTGTAGTCTTTGGACCAAGGGCAATGGCTTTACCTGGGAGCTTGTTAGATACACAAACATTGCATTGTACCAAATCCCCAGGTGATTCTTATACACTTTAAAATTTGAGAGGCACTAATCAAGAACTTGGAATGGATAGTGCCTAAAAATGTGCCTAGGAGTCTCTGCTGAGGCCAGGAAAAGTCATATTCAGCACCCTGTTACATACACATACACCATAAGGTTATAAACAATAAAATATTGAGTCAGGACATGGATAGAAAGGAATGAAAAGAGAAGATGAGGTGGCAAATTTTTAACACTAATTAGGTCAGATGGAATAAATTTTAGGGTTAGCAAGCGTTTCGTCTGATGTCATCACATTGGTACTTGTAGAAGTTTTATTTTCCATTTATTTTCAGTTTATTTTTCACTTTGAGCCTTGGTTGCATGTTTCCCCCCCATCTTTTGTTAATTGCTTTTCCTGCCATGTCTTAGTCTTTGCCCTCCTAACCCCACTGTGCTAAGTCAGCAGTTTGGGTTCTTTATTTGTTTAGTTCATGTGATTCAGAGATTTCTTTTTGTAAACTTGGTAAACTTTTCCATATTTCCAGTTATACTGTTAGTGGGTTTGGAACATTTTTTCCATTTATAGAACCCTTATTGAAGTTGTTGAGTCTTGGAACTGTTAACTATTCAGTTATTTGTCATAAAAATATGGCGTGTGTGTGTGTGTGTGTGTGTGTGTGTGTGTGTGTGTGTGTGTTTAATGGGAGTCAGTTTAAATAATTACAAAGAAATTGAGGCTAAATAAAACTGCAATTTGTTGTTTTGTCAGTAGGCCAGTATGCACTACTTACACATTAAAAACATATACATTTCAACATTTTTGTTTCCTTTAATTGTAACTGACTTATCTGAAAAGCTTTGGGCTGGACTTAATTTCTGCACGCCATCTGTTACCACTGGATTTTAGACCATTCTGTTTGGCTCAGGCACATAGAGCACAGTTAATTTCCCCATCACTCTTCTGAATGCAACTATTTATATTACAATTTGTCAAGTTAAACATATTTTGATATATTAACTTCTTCTTCTTTTTCTGGCAAATGAAACTTTTATCTTCAATTGAAGTTTTTAATAGTTGAAGACGTTTAAGATAAACAAACCTCAAGGACTTTTTCTTCCATTCTTACATTTCTTTGTTAGACACCCACTTACCCAACTCTGTGTCTCTACTATTTAAGTATCATAATGTTCACTTTGTTTCTCTCACTCTCCTCTTACTGCAGGGCTAGCCAGAAGCAACATTATGCAGCTGGTCTTTGGTAATGCAGCTTTTTTTTTTAAGCTTTAAATTTTGGAATAATTTTATATCTACAGAACAGTGGCAGAACTTTCTCATGTACTATTTACCCAGTTTCTCCTATTAACATGTGACATAATTGTGGTCTAGTGATCACATCTAGGAAATTGACATTGGTCTATTTACTTGCTATGATTTGAATGTTTATCTCTTCTAAAACTCACGTTGAAACTTAATCCTCAATATGGTAGTATTGAGAGGTGGGGCCTTTAAGAAGTGATTGAGTCATGAGGACTCTGCCCTCATGAATGGATTAATCCATGTATGAATGAATGAATTAGTGGGCTTATGGGTTACTACCAGCATGGGACTGGTAGTTTTGCAAGAAGAGGAAGAGAGACCTGAGCTAACATGCACGTCCCCCTCACCATGTCATGTCCTGTGACACCTTGGGACCCTGCAGAGAGTCCCCACCAGTAAGAAGGCCCACATCAGATATGGCCTCTCCACCTTAGACTTCTCAGCCTCTGTAGTAAGAAATAAATTCTTTTTCCTTACAAGTAATGCAGTTTAAGGTATTCTGTAATAAGCAACAGAAAATGGACTAAGATATTACTGTAACCAAACTATTTTATTTGGATTTCACCAGTTTTTCGACGCATGTCTCTTTTCTCTTCCAGGATACCATCCCGGATACCCCATTGCATTTAGTTGTCATCCCTCCTTAGCCTCCTCTGACCTGTGGTAGTTTCTGGGTTTTTCCTTGTTTTTCATGGCCCTGTGAGTTCAGGGATTTTGTAGAATGTCCCTCAACTTGGGTGTGTCTGATGCCTTTCTCATGCTTAGATGCGGGTTATACATTTTTGAGAATAATACTACAGAGGTGACGTGCCCTTGTCATTGTGTGCAAATGGCAGTAACTGACATTGACTTGAATTATAATTGGTGAAGCTAACCTTGACCACATGCCTAAGGTTTTATCTGGCAGGCAGTCTTTCATTTATACTTTTTGGCCCTACAACCTACTTTCTATACCATATCCCCTTCTGCTTACCCAGAATGGATAATAATTCCCTTACTTTTGTTAAGATAAATCTCTCAGAATTTTTTTTGTATTCTGCACGTATTTATTTTCTAACTTTTATTTTAGGTTCAAGTGTACATGTGCAGGTTTGTTACATATGTAAATTGCATGTCTTGGGAGTTTGGTGTATAGATTACTTCATCTCTCAGGTAATAAGCATAGTACCTGATAGGTAGCTTTTTGATCCTTCCTCTCCTCCCACCCCCCACCATCAAGTAGGCCCTGGTGTCTATTGTTCCCTTCTTTACATCCATGGTATTCAATGTTTAGCTCCCACTTATAAGCAAGAGCATGCAGAATTTGGTTTTCTGTTCCTGCATTAGGATAATGGCCTCTAGCTCCATCTATGTTGCTGCAAAGGATACATTCTTGTTTCTTCTATGGCTGTGTAGTATTCCATGGTATATATGTACCGTATTTTCTTTATTCAGCCTTCTGTTGATGGGTATCTAGGTTAGTTCTTTGCTATTGTGAATAGTGCTGTGATGAGTGAATATGTCTTTGCTATTGTGAATAGTGCTGTGATGAGCATACATGTGTATGTGTCTTTATGGTAGAATAATTTATGTTTCTTTGGGCATATACCCCAAAATGGGGCTGCTTGGTAATTTTGAGTTGTTTGAGAAATTGCCACATTGCTTTCCACAGTGGCTGAACTAATTTACGTTTTGCTCAGCAGCGTATAAACCTTCTCTTTTCTTGACAACCTTGCTAGGATCCGTTATTTTTTGACTTCTTAATAATAGTCATTCTGACTGGTATGAGATGCTATCTCATTGTGGTTTTAATTTGAATTTCTCTAATGATTAGTGATGTTGAACATTTTTTCATATGCTTGTTGACTGAATGTATGTCTTCTTTCGAAAAGTGTGTTCATGTCCTTTGCCCATTTTTTTAAATCCGACTGTTTGTTTGTTTCTTGTAAATTTGTTTTAAGTTCCTTATAGATTCTGGATATTAGAGCTTGGTCAGAAGCATAGTTTGCAAATATTTTCTCCCATTCCTTAGGTTGTCTGTTTACTTTATTGATAGTTTCTTTTGCTCTGCAGAAGCTCTTTAATTAGGTACCACTTATCAATATTTGTTTTTGTTACAATTGCTTTTGGCATCTTCATCATGAAATCTTTGCCAGGGCCTATGTCCAGAATGATATTTCCTAAGTTATATTCTAGATTTTTTTTTTATAGTTTTGGGTTTTACATTTAACTCCTTAGTCCATCTTTAGTTGATTTTTGTGTATGGTATAATAAAGGAGTCTAGTTTCAGTCTTCTTCATATGGTTATCCTGTTATCCAATCATCATTTATTGATAGGTAGTCCTTTCCCTATTGCTTGTTTTTGTCAACATTGTTGAAGTTCAGATAGTTCTAGGTGTGTGGCATTATTTCTGGGCTTTATTTTCTTTTCCATTGGTCTATGTGTCTGTTTTTGTACCAGTACCATGCTGTTTTGGTTATTGTTGCCTTGCAGTATAGCTCAAAGTTGGGTAATGTGATGCCTCCAGGTTTATTCTTTTTACTTAGGACTGCCTTTGCTATTCAGGCTCTTTTTTGGTTCCATATGAATTTTAAAATAGTTTTTTCTAATTTTGTGAAGAACATTATTGGTAATTTGATAGGTAATTTGAATCTGTACATTGCTTTGGGCAGTATGGCCATTTTAACAATATTGATTCTTCCTATCCATGAGCATGGAATGTTTTTACATTTGTTTGTGTCATCTCTGATTTTTTTTTTAACAGTGTTGTAGAGATCTTTCACCTGCCTGGTAAGCCGTATTCCTAGGTATCTTATTCTTTTTGTGGCTATTATGAATAAGATTGCATTCTTGATTTGGCGCTCAGCTTGGACATTATTGGTGTATAGAAATGCAACTGATTTTTGTACATTGATTTTGTATTCCGAAACTTTGGTGAACCTGTTTATCAGATCTAGGAGCTTTTGGGCCCAGAGAAACTATGGGGTATTCTAGGTATAGAATAGTATCATCTGCAAGTAGAGATAGTTTGACTTCTTCTCTTCCTATTTGGTTGCCTTTTATTTCTTCCTCTTGCCTGATTGATCTGGCCAGCATTTTCAGTGCTATGTTGAATAAGAGTAGTGACAGTGGGCATCCTTGTCTTGTTCCAGCTCTCAAGGGAAATTCTCCCAGCTTTTGCCCATTCAGTATGATGTTGGCTGTGAATTTGTCATAGATGGTTCTTATTATTTTGAGGTATGTTCCATCAGTGCCTAGTTTGTTGAGAGTTTTTAATATGAAGGGAAGTTGAATTTTATCAAAAGTGTTTTCTGCATCTATTGAGATAATCATGTGGTTTTTGTTTTTAGTTCTGTTTATGTGTCAAATCAGATTTATTGATTTGTGTATACTGAACCAATCTTGTATTCCAAGGATAAAGTCTACTTAATTGTGGTGGATTAGCTTTTTGATGTGCTGCTGAATTCAGTTTGCTAGCATTTTATCGCGGATTTGTGCATCTATGTTCATCAAAGATATTAACTTGAAGTTTTCTTTTTTTGCTGTGTCTCTACCAGGTTTTGGTATCAGGATGATGCTGGCCTCATAGAATAATTTACATAGGAGCCCCTCCTCTTCAATTTTTTGGAATAGTTTCAGTAGAAATGGTACCAGCTCTTCTTTATACATTTAGTAGAATTCAGCTATGAATTCTTCTGGTCATGGTTTTCTTCTGGTTGGTAGGCTTTTTATTATTGACTCAATTTCAGAACTTGTTATTGGTCTGTTCAGGGATTCAATTTCTTTCTGGTGCAATCTTGAGGGGTTGCATGTGCCTAGGAATTTATCCCTTTCTTCTAATTTGTGTACGTAGAGGTGTTCATAGCAGTCTCTAAGGGTTTTTTGTATTTCTGAAGGGACAGTGGTAATGTCCCCTTTGTCATTTCTAGTTCTGTTTATTTGGATCTTCTCTGTCTTTTTTTTCTATATTTTTAGTCTAGCTAGCAGTCTATCTGTCTTATTTATCATTTTAAGGAATCCACTCCTGGAATTGTTGATTTGTATTTTTTTTTTTTTTTTGTATCTCAATTTCCTTTAGTGCAGTTCTGATTTTGGTTATTTTTAATCTTCTGCTACATTTGGGGTTACTTTGCTCTTGTTTCTCTAGCTCCTCTAGGTGTGATGTTAGGTTGTTAATTTGAAATCTTTCTAACTTTTTGATGTGAATGTTAGTGCTATAAACTTGCCTCTTAACACTGCCTTAGCTGTGTCCCAGATATTCTGATATGTTGTATCTTTGTTTTCATTAGTTTCAAGGAATTTCTTAATTTCTACCTTAATTTCATTGCTTATCCAAAAGTTATTTAGGAGCAAGTTTTAAAATTTCCATGTAATTTTATGGTTTTGAGTGATCTTCTTAGTATTGATTTCTATTTTTCTTGCCTGTGATCTGAGAATGTTTGGTATAATTTCAGGTTTTTAAAATTTGCTGAGGATTGTTTTATGGCTGATTGTATGGTTGATTTTAGAGTATGTGCCATGTGCATATGAGAAGAATATATATGATATTTCTTTTGGGTGGAGAGTTCTGTAGATGTCTTTTAGGCCCATTGGGTCAAGGGTCAAGTTCAGGTCCAAAAATATTTGTTTTCTGCCATGATGATCTGTCTTATAGTCACTGAGGTATTGAAGTCCCTACTATTATTGTGTGGCTATCTCAGTCTCTTCATAGGTCTCTAAGAACTTCCTTTATGCATCTGGGTGCCCTTGTTTTGGGTGCATATATATTTAGGATAGTTAGATCCTCTTGTTGAATCAAACCCTTTACCATTATGTAATGCCCTTGTCTTTTTTGATCATTAGTGGCTTAAGGTTTTTTTGTGTGAAATTAGAACAGCAACCTTTTCCTTTTTCTGTTTTCCATTTTCTTGATAGATTTTTCTCCATCGCTTTACTTTGACTCTATGGCTGTCATTGCATGTGAGATGGGTCTCTTGAAGACAGCATACAGTTGTGTCTTCCTCTTGCTTCTACATCCAGCTTGCCACCCTGTGCCTTTTAGTTGGGGCATTTAGCCCATTTACATTCAAGGTTAATATTGATATGTGTGAATTTGGTTCTGTCCTTATATTGTAAGTTGATTACTATGCAGACTTGATTGTGTTTTTGCTTTATAGTGTCAGTGATCTACATACTTAAGTGTGTTTTTGTGGTCCCTGATAATGGTCTTTCTTTTCCATATTTAGCACTCTTTTAAGGACCTCTCATAAGGCAAGTCTGATGGTAATGAATTCCCTTAGCATTTACTTGTCTGAAAAGGATCTTGCTTCTCCTTTACTTATGAAGCTTAGTTTTTCTGGATATGAAATTCTTTGTTGGAATTTCTTTTCTTTCAGAATGCTGAATATAGGCCCGAATCTCTTCTGGCTTATAGGATTTCTGCTGAAGGGTTCAATGTTAGCCTAATGCAGTTCCCTTTGTAGGTGACCTGCCCCTTTTCTCTGGCTGCTTTTAACAGTTTTTCTTTCATTTTTACCTTGGAGAATCTAATGACTATGTTTCTTAGGAATGGTCATCTTGTGTAGTATCTTGCAGGGGTTCTCTGCATTTCACGGATTTGAATGTTTCTTATATAGTGAGCTTGAAAAAAATTTCATGGATGATATTCTCAAATATGTTTTCTAAGTTGCTTGCTTTTTCTCTCCCTTTCAGGGATGCCAATGAGTCATAGATTTAGTCTCTTTACATAATCCCATATTTCTTGGAGATTTTGTTCATTCTTCTTTATTATTTTTTCTTAGTTTTGCTCGACTGTGGTATTTTAGAGAACTAGTCTTTGAGCTCTGTGAGTCTTCCTTTAGCTTGGTTAATTTTGCTGTTAATACTTGCAGTTGACATTTGAAATTCTTGAAGTGAGTTTCTTAGCTCTATCAGATGAGTTTGGCTCTTTCTTTAAATGGCCATTTTGTCTTTTATCTCCTATGTAACTTTATTTTATTCCTTAGATTCCTTGGATTGGGTTTCAACTTTCTACCAGATGTCAATGATCTTCATTCCTATCCATATTCTGAATTCAATTTCTGTCATTTCAGCCATTTCAGCTTGGTTAAGAACCATTGCTGGGATACTATTGTCATTTGGACATAAAAAGACACTCTGGGTCTTTGAATTGCCAGAGTCCTTGTGCTGGTTCTTTCTCATCTGTGTGGGATGATGTTCCTTCAATCTTTGAAGCTGCTGTCCTGTGGATGAGTTTCTTTCCTTTTATCTTCTTTGAATTCTTTGGCAGTTTGATTGTGGTATAAGGTGGGTTCAGTTGACTGGGTTTGTTTCTGGAAGATTTTAGGTGGCTGAGGCTCAGCTCAGTGCTCCCTGTCTGCATGTTCTTACTCTGGGAGGCTGGTACTGGGTCTCCAGCTTTGTTCTCTGGCCCCTCAAAGTTAGGAACCTGCTGTTCCAGAGGGACCAAAGTGTGCCCAGTCCACTGGCCACCACACTTTGAAGGGTGATGTTGGCCAAAGCACTTCATTGGGGTGGTGGCAGCATGATCCATGCTCACTTACACATGCCAGTAGCCATGGCAGTGGTGGGGTGCATGCGTGCTAGCTGGCAGAAGCAGGGCTGCAGCATTCCTGCATGTGCTTCCACTGGCAGTGGGGCAGAAGTGGGGTTGCCTGCATGTGTTCGTACTGTCGGCAGTGGTGGTGCGGGGGGGGTGGGGTTGCCAGTGTCTGTGTGTGTTTGCACCAGCAGTGGTCTTGGCATGGGGGTGTGAAGCCATCGGTATTTATTGGTGCATTCACAACAGTTGTGGTATCAGCATGGGTGGGGCAAGATTGCTGGTGTTTGTTTGTATATTTGCACCAGCAATGGTGGTGTGGTTGAGTGCCCACATGTTAGCTGGGGGTGGGGGTGGTGGGTTGCGCTCATATCGGCAGCAGCAGCAGGGTCTGCACACACAGCACTGGGAGGAGAGGGAGTGTGAGGCTCACCCGTGTGCACACACCAGCAAAGCAGTTGGGGATAGGGGAAAGGCTGTGGGCAAGTGAACGCCAGAAAAGTGGCACAGGGGAAGCTGTGATGAAAAGAGACTGTGTGGGCTGGTGTGCATCAGCAGGGGTCGCTCTACTGGAGCTCTCTGATAGTCAGGCAAGGTCTGCCGACAAAGGAGCTATGATGAGGGTTCCTGGAAGCACCCTGGTTGAACATCTGAGGCTGCACTGCCGTCAGGTGAGGCCAAGCTGGGGCCCCAGCAGAGGCCAACAGACAGGAGAGAACTCAGGGTGGACTTGCCGCATCTCAAAGACAAGACCACCCTGCTCTGTCCAGGTCTGACAGTTACTCTGTGGCCAAAGTCGCCTAGAGGACCATGACGAGCCTTGGGGGATGGGTGTCCCTGGCCAGCTCCACTGCAGCTGCTCCCACACCAAACTCCGCAGGCTCCACACAGGCTGGAGTCCTGCTCCTACCCCCTCTCTAAGCAGCTCTCCCTGCCAGCTCAAGTGTCCATGGGGGTCATGGGGTTTTCTGCTGCCTGGAGTCTGGAGGTCCATGGTGGGAGTGGGCTGCTCCTTACCTGTTCAACCCACCCCTTCCCCAGGAGTCGCTGGGGGCTAGGAATGAGTCCCAGTGATCAGCAGACCTGTGCAGGGCATCCAGCTTTTTTCCCCTTCAGCCCGCATGTGTCCTCACTCTGTCCACTCTGAATGCCTTTCCTCTGAAGGTCTGCTGAAAGTGTGCCAGTCTTCCTGACATCCCAGTCTCCCAGTCTCAGATGTTCCTCCTGGGTGCACTTCTTGGCCACTGTGGCTGAGACTCAACTGTATTTTTTAAAGGAATATGTGATAAGAACATTGAAACTTGATATTTCAAATCATTTGGACCAATTCCAAAAAACACTCATGCATGGCTTTGAGAAGCCTCTTCACAATCAGAAAAATTTTTGAGACAATTATACACAACCAGGAAAACACTGAAATATTGTTTTTTCTCCAAGATTATTTAGATTCCTAGCTTCAGCTCTAATGACAGAACCATGGAAGAGAAGGCTTTGTCTCCTGTTAAAATTATTTCAGCGATCAAAAACTCTGACAGGAAGTTTGGCGAGAGTTTAATCTTTTCCTAGGCTATGAGGCAGGCCCCAGGGAGGAAGAGGAGTTGGGAGGACTGTGTAGTTTTTCTAGAACTTTTGACATCATTGTACTTCATCTGCTGCCTTCTCTTCCATGCAATAAGGTCTGCCCTGGGATCCCTATCCAATTTGTAATACTGTTAAAAAAAAAAAAGTAGTAAACCATGGCCAGGGGCTAGGTCTAAGTGAGGTCAACTTTCCATTTGAGAGAGGAACAGGCTGGGGTGTGCGGGTGCAAGATTGGGTTTCCCAGCAGCAAAAATGTGTAATGCAGATATTTGCCAATCATTTTTCTTTTTTTGGTCTTGAGATAGTCCTTGTTGTTTTGACTAGGCAGTGTGTTATACTTTGCCTAGGATTATTTTCTGAGATGGTTGCTTACTTTCTTTCTTTCTCTCCTCACTTCTTCTTTGTCCAATAGGCTTTATTTTCTAATCTTCTTTGTGTCATGATTTCTCCCTCCCTTCTATTTTGTATGCAACTGTAGCCGATGCCTGGTGATCCATACATATGCCTAAAGCCATTCCAGAGTCATCTGCCAGCAAAACCTGCACACTCTGACGGCTCTGTGCATCTCTTTGCCTGAGGGTGGTCTCTGACAGGGGGAGCAAGCCAAAAGACAAGGTAGTTAATTCTTCATGGATGACTCTTATCCAATAAGGGATAGGAGTTGGTGGATAGCTATCTTAGTTTCCTTCCCCATCAGATGAGACAATTCTGGGCCAGGATCTGCACCAGCACTGTCCAACAGAACTTTATGTAATAGTGGAAATGTTCCACCACCTACCCTGTCCAAAATGGTAGCCACTAGCCACATGAAGCTATTGAGCACTTGAAATGTGGCTAGTGTGAATGAGGAACTGAAATTTAAATTTTAGTTAATTTAAATGGAAATTTAAATAGCCATATGTAGTGAGTGGCTACTGGGTTAGACAGTGCACACACACAGTCTCTCAGAAGGTCTCTGGCAGGATTGAGCGTCATTGTTGTCCCCCACTTATTACTCTACCTCTCATTGGCTTTTCTCTTTCCTGCCTCACTCCCCCAACCCTCTGTACTTTCTGGAATTACTCTCCAAGTAAATAACAGGCTTAGAAATTCTTTTCTCAGAGACTGTTTGAGGGGATCCCAACCTAAGAAGCATTTGTTCTGCCTTTTCTGGTCCTGCTCTGTCTCTCTCCTAGTGTCTCTGACCCTTTTTCTGTGCTTCTGCCTCTGTATTCCTGCCTCCCAGTGGGTCTAAATGTACTAGGGTGTCAACGTGGGACTTTTCTGTGCACAATGTAGACATCATTACGGTGCTGTGATGAGTGGAAACAGGCCTCAACTGTTTGCTTCCATTCTCAAAGGCCACCTTCTGACACTCTGGTGTGCACTACAAAGAAAATACAAAAGAAATAATTTTCTTTATTCCTTCTGACTCTTGTTTTATTACCACAGGAATACACAGAAATCAAATTACCTATGTCCTTGGGCTTTTGCTGTAGGTCACATTCATCTCTTAAAAGGAAGTAAAACAAAATAAAATAGAAATGGCTACTGCATATTCAAAGAAAGATCTTTTTCAAAAGACAAGAACAGTCTACTTGTTAAGAAAGCTATATTACCTTGCTCAAACTATTTTTTTTTTTTTTGAGACGGAGTTTCGTTCTTATTGCCCAGGCTGGAGTGCAATGGCGTGATCTTGGCTCACCGCAACCTCCGCCTCCCAGGTTCAAGCAATTCTCCTGCCTCAGCCTCCCGAGTAGCTGGGATTACAGGCATGCACCACCACACCTGGCTAATTTTGTATTTTTAGTAGAGATGGGGTTTCTCCGTGTTGAGGCTGGTCTCGAACTCCTGACCTCAGGTGATCCGCCCGCCTCGGCCTCCCAAAGTGCTGGAATTACAGGCGTGAGCCACCGCACCCGGCCTGCTCAAACTATTCATTTCTGGGTTTCCTACTTCCTTAGGATTGATGTTTGCCATAGGGAAGGATATTCCCCTCAAGGACGAAGGGCACAGGGCACAGACAAAGGGACAGATGCAGGAAATGTGGGTTTCAAAGAAGTTTATTCTCCTCCTCCATGCACCTCTTGGAGCTCCTCTTGGAGTGCCTCAAATCTCACTGTGCAGGTCCTCACTGCTCTGCCTGTACTTATATCTCGGTCTGTTGGTTGCTTTCATTAATTCAAGCTGATTTACTAACACCAAGAGTTTCTCAGACAAAATCTGCTGTGTCAGTCCTATGAGCAGGCAGAAAGATAGGACAATATGAGGTGACATCCAAATTACAACACAGGTGGACTAGCCAAGGAAAACATTTCGCTTTCAGGAAGCAGTGTGCTGTTTGTTACTCTAGGGTGATAATGTTATGAAGAACATAAAGACAAGTTATTTTTGAATGTGTTTGGGGTTTTCTGTAATAATTTTTACCTTTTTTCTGTTATCTTTAATTCTTATTTATTCTAATTCCAGAATTGAAAACAAGAAAGCAAAGCTCCCATTATTTCTACATACATGATATGTTATATAGAAAATCCTAAAGAGTGTATAGACAAACTATAAGGACTCATAGGTAAATACAGTGTGGGTACAAAAATCAATTATATTTCAATACATAAGCCACCAAAAATACAAAATCAAATTTAAAATATATTGTGCAATTTAAAACAGTGTCAAAAATAAGCGAATGGAGTAAATCTGACAAAATATGTGCAAGGTCTCTTCACTGAAAACTCCAAAACATTACTAAGAAAAATTAAAGAAGATGTTATAAATGGAAGGGTGTGTCAATGTCATGACCCCAAAGACTCAATATTATTAAGACATCATTATCTTCAAATTGATTCTTAAATCCATGCAATCTTATTTTAACGCCAAGCAGGATTGTTTTGTGGAAATTGACAGTCTGATTACAAAATTTATGCAAAGAACCAAGAACACACAACTCAGTCTTGAACAACAAAAGCAAAACAGGAGCACTGAAGCTAAACTATGATAATTAAGGCCGTGGTATTCATGCAAGAAAAGAAATATTGACTAATGGAAGAAAATGGAGTTCACAAGCAGACCCTGATGTATACATTCATCTGACTTATGGCAAAGATAACACTGCAGTGTAGCAAGGAAAGAGTGAGTCAGTTGGATGTCCATGTGAGAAAGAAACATATCTGGACCCTGTCTCACACTACACAAAAAGTAAATTCTGAAAGAATTGTAGATCTAAGCGTGAAAGTTAAAATGATAGAATCCTTAAAGGAAAAACATATCAGAATATTTTCATGACCTTGGGAGAGGTAGAAATTTCTTTGAAAAAAATCGAAAATGTACCCACTATCAAAGAAAAATCTATAAATTGGACCATATTGAAATCAGAAACTTATGTTTACAAAGATCATCATTGGAAAGTCTATTAGTTCATTCTTGTATTGCTATAAAGAAATACCTGAGAATGGGTAATTAATAGGAAAGGAGGTTTAATTGGCTCATGCTTCTGCAGGCTGTACAGGAAGCATAGCAGCATCTGCATCTGGGGAGGCCTCAGGAAGCTTTTACTCATGCAGGAAGGCAAAGGGGGAGCAGGCATCCTACATGGTGGCAGCAGGAGCAGAGAGGGTGGGAGAGGCGCTACAGACTTTTAAACAACCAGAACTCACTCACTATCAAGATGACAGTACCAAAGGGGATGGTGTTAAACCATTTGTGAGAAACCACCCCAAGATCCAATCACCTACCACCAGGCTTCACCTCCAACATTGAACATGCGATTTGGGTGGGGACACAGATCCAAACCATATCAAAAAGGTAAATATTCAACCCATGTGTGGGACGAGATATTTGCAGGACATATATCCAAAATGTTCTATATCCAGAATATATTTTAAAAAGCAACAAATAATAAAGAAACCAGAAACAACCAGTAGAAAAATGGGTAAGAGACTCAAACAGACATACCACGAAAGAGGATATCTGGATGGCCAATAAGCATATGCAAAGGTGCTCAGCCTCATTAGTCATTGAGGAAATGCAAAATAAAATCACAATGGGATGCCACAACACACTGACTGAAATAGTTAAAATGAGAAAAGAATAAAAATGCCAAGCATTGGCTAATCTGTGGTGCAATCAGAATGCCATACGCAGCTGATAGGATGTGCACTGATAAAACACCCTGGTGAGCTGTTTGGCAGTATCTATTAAATCCACACATATGCATACGCTATGAGTAGTAATTCCACTCCTAGATATATGCCCAACAAACGTGTATATATATATATACATAGTCCTGGATGGAAGGCACTTTTTCACATTTTCTTGAATAGCTTCAAAGATAATTCAGTATGAGATTAATTTTGACTCCTTTGTGTGTGTGTGTGTGTGTATGTACACACAAACGTGTGTACTGCTGCTATAAATATTTTTGAACATTCCCTGATAAATATATATATGTATTCTTGAACATTCCCTGATATACATATATAAACATATATATTATTTATTATATAAAAAGTTTTAATATATTATTTATTATTATATATAAATATATTATATATAAATATTTAATATGTGTGTGTATATATGTATATCAGGAATGTTCAAGAATATTTATAGCAACACTATTCAAAATAGCCGGAAACTACCCAAATGCCCATCCACAGTAGAATGAATAAATTGTAGTATAGTCACACAATGGAATACTTTGGAACAATGAGAATGAATGATCTACAACTATATCATGCAATATCGATGAATTCACAAATATGATCTTCACTAAAAGAAGCCAGACACAAAAAGTATGTATGATGTAATTCCATTTATATAAAGTACCAAATAGGCCAATTGTTGTCAGCATAGGGTTACCTCAAGAGTGTAGTAACTAGGAAGCAAAACAAGAACATTCTCTTTCTTAGGTGCTGGTTTTATGGGTATGTTTCTTCCATGAAAATTCATTGAGCTTAATACTTGTGCTCTGTGTCGTCTACATAATACTATGGTGAAAAGTGACAAAAAATCAAGCATTTGTGCTAGATATGTCTTTTGATGGAAGGACACTATTTTCACATTTTCTTGAATAGCTTAAAGATAATTCACTATGGGATTAATTTTGACTCCTTTGGTCTCCCCACCCTTCCTACCTTTTGACTATTTTTTATAACAGAGGGTGAGTGGGAAGAAGCAGGAACAAGAGACAAAGTCCATTCACCCAGGTGTTACTTTTCAAAAAATTTAAGGGATTAGTAAAATATTCTAAATAAATGTGTTAATATTATAGAAATCTATAGTACTTTCTTTGTGTATGACCACTGATTTGTTGCCTGGGAATATGGAAAATTTTTGTGTGGAACATTTAATATTTATGGAATATTTCAGTTATCTGTGGGACCTCAGTGTTATTGCAGAGATAATAGATCAGATGATGCTAAAGCCTTTGTTGTTTTAACAGATTAAAATGGGACCACACCCATTGTTGGAGTCCACCCCTCCTTGTATATTTCAGTTAGGTTGTCTCTGAAATGTTAAGTGGAGAAATGTGTTTTCTTTAAATCCGTGGAGGGACCAAACTTTAATATTATTCAAAAGTTTATTTCTGCCAGAGATTTAAAGTTGACAAAAGAATCTATTTTCCCTTTTTTTGAGATCAATGACACATTAATTTGATATGTTATTCTCTCAATGTCCACGTCAAGGATGTTTCATATAAAATTAAACAACACGTTATATACATGGTCGAAATTCTTCATAAGAAAATATTTTTCCCCTTGCTCCATCCTCTTTCCCCCACTTTTCTGTTTCTCTCTCATTTTTTTTCCTTTTTAAATTTCACTTGACTGAAGGAAGAAGAATAATCTCATTTTTCTACCTACCTAGTGGGTTTATCTCTCATTAGAACACTTAATCCTTTCTTTGGTCTTATCCCTTAAGAGTAGAAGATTGGGAGTGAGAATGACATCAGCAGCATGGTGGAATACATAGTCCCAGCCCTCATGTCCCCACAGAAACACTGATTTAACAAAGATAGGCAGAGCAAAATATCTTTAGGAGAAGTTCAAAATGCCAGACAAGAAGTTACAGTACCCCAGATGAGCACTGATTTAACAAAGATAGGCAGAGCAAAATATCTTTAGGAGAAGTTCAAAATGCCAGACAAGAAGTTACAGTACCCCAGATGAGCACAAAACTGAGAAAAGCCATGTGGAAATGAGTAAGAAGGGAAATTTTTACCTTCCCCAGGTCAGACCTTCCTCCAGGCCAGCACAGCTCAGTTCCAAGAAAGCTTGCCTCAGCCTGAGACTTCTCCCTCAGGGGAAGGAGAGAGTGGAGCAGGCACCGCATGTGCCTGGCCCATCAGGGCACTGTCTGAAGGACTAGCTTCCCTCCTGCCTCACCCAGAGCACTGAGGGAACTGGTGTGGTTTGAATGCCTGGGGAGAGTTACGAACAAAGAAAAGAGTGAGGGCAGCTTCTTGCAGTCAAGAGGGCTCTGCAAGATGAGGAGAAAGCACACAACTCAGAGACTTTCCCCCAGGAGGGAGGGAGGAAGAGGAGTGGAGTGTGCTTCCAACTTCTTACACTTCCAGTGCACTGCCCTAGAGAAGAGGAGCAGGTGCTGCAGCCAGCACACCTCTGCAAGATCAAAAGAAGACACAACCCTGAGACTTCTCCTTCAGGAGGGAGGGAGAGGAGCGGAGCCTGCACCTCCACAGAAAAGGTTTGAGAATATCAAAAAACAAAAGATAACAACCGTTGGAGACGATGTAGGGAAATTGGAACTCTCGTATGCTTTGGTGGGAATGTAAAATGATGCAGTAAAATGGAAAATGGAAAACAGTATGGTGGCTCCTCGGAAACGTAAAAGTAGAGCCACCATATGATCCAGCAATCCCACTTCTGGGTATATATCCAAAAGAATTGAAATCAGGACCTGAAAGACGTATCTGCGTTCCTATGTTCATTTGGTCAAAGGAGCCAGTATATGGAGACAACACAAAATGTCCATGGGGAGACGAATGAATGAAGAAAAGATGGTATACATACACGATGGAGTATTAGCCTTAAAAAAGAAGGAAATCCTAATATTTGTCACAGCATGAATGAACCTGGAGGACATTATACTAAGTAAAATAAGATAGTAACAGAGGACAAGTAAAGAAGCAGAGATTAGAATGGTGGTTGCCAGGGGCTGAGTGGAGGGGGGAATGTGAAGGTCTTCAGTGGGTGTAAAGTTTCAGTTATGCACAATGAATACGTTCTAGAGATCTGCTGTACAACAGAGTTCCTAAAGTACAGTGCTAATAATACTGTATTGTGCCCTTAAAAATTTAAGAGAGTAGATATAATGCTAAGTGTTCTTACCATAAAAAAACCTAAAACAACAAAAAACAAAGGGGTATGAAGAAACTCTGGAAGTGATGGACAAGTTTATTACCTTGATGGTGATGATAGATTCAGGGGTGTATGCTTGTGTCCAAACTCATCAAATTGTATACCTTAAATATGTATAGTTTTTGGTATATCAATTATACCTCAATAAAGCTGTTAAAAATAGACAATTGGGTAATTTTGTATTTCTCTAGCCCATATTTATCACTGGATTTTCCTACAGCATCCCACTATATTTAATCCATTCCAAGTTTAGCTGTAGGATAATCTTTTTTCACCACCGGTGCTTGGGTCATGTCAATTACTTGGGACACTCCAAACCTGCTCAGTGTACCTCTCTTCTGCCTTTGTTTATGTTGCTTATTCCTTCCTTGGCTGGTAATGGCTCCCAGCATCCCCTTTTCTTCCACTTACCACACAGGTAGATTCTTTCTTCAGGGCCCAATTCACCTGTTTGGAAGCTTTCTCCATTGTCTTCCCAGTTCTGCTCAGCACATTTCAGTGTGTGTCATAAAGCATTTACCCTTCAGCCTGTGTTTGGCTTTGTTGCCTGTTGATCAGCTTCTCCCACTATAAAACTGTGGTTTTTATTTATGTTGATAATTCTCTAGTATCTAGGATGGTGCCTTTCACGTAATAGATGCCTAAAACATATTTATTGTTGCAATTTTTAAAACTTATTTCAAAACGCATAAATTAATAAAGTTTGTGTGTTAAAATATTTTCAAAACTCTACCCATTTGGAGAAGTATTGTGATTGAAATGGCTTCTTATGCATTTGTTAAGGGGTTCTAAGCTAGAATATGTTGGAATTAATGTGGCTGGCTCACAAAGTGGTGTCTCTTTGATAATCTGTTTTGAATTAAGAAATTTCTGATACCAGAAAATACATATCACTGATTCAGGGAAATAAGAAAGAAATAGCCAACCAAAGTAACAGATTAAATAAATTACATTTTGTTACTACCAAATACATACAGCTACTAGGTATATTAATATTTGACAACTAAGGAATTTTCATAACTTTCTTCAATAAAGACATTTATTCATAATAAGTATATATTGTTTGTTGAAAGGGCACTAATTAAACACTTTAAACTAGTTTGTTATTATAAATAGGTGATACAATGAAATTATAAAATGTCTCCACCCAACTTTTGCTTATTATGTCAGTTTGTTTCCAAACCTGTTTTCATAGTTGAATTATAGGTAAATGTTATTCCAAATCATAAATTCCAAATTAACAGCACAAGAATTAATGAGAATTTTGCCAGGAGCACTTCAGAGTTTACACACACACAAACTGAAATCAAGTCACACATCATAACTCAAAATCAGCCACACTCACTTTTGAAAATATTTTTATTAAAAAAGGAATAAGTATGCAATTCCATTGAATGACTGTTGCCTCAAGTAAAAGAGCTATGTGGTTCTAAAATACTGTAGACAGTGATCATAAAAATAACTATTTATTGGCCCAAGTTGTCATTATTTCTGCTTTGGATAGAGTAAATCGGAGAAATCAACTAAGGAGTTTTGCACAGGTTGGATGAGCATAAGCTTTCTTGAACTTTAGTTTTCTCTAAGCCTCAAAGTTTCATACTTTTAAACCTTGTTTACTTTCAACAAGACGTGACTTCTTTGCTTCAGAGTAAACAGGCTATAAAAAGTCTCATAAGTCATCTTGGGATTTAGAAAGCTCTTACCAAACAAAAATCTTAATGGCTTCAGTATCCATGATTCAGAAACATACGGATTGAATTTCCCTTAAAATACACAAGAGCTTGAAAGTTAAGGGTGAAAGTGGTTGGCCAATTGTACTTGGGGTTTTGTGGGAGCCAAGACTTTCGGAAAGGCACTTGAGACGATTCTCTGTATCCTCAGATTCAATCAGGTTTTCCAATTCGGAGTGAGCTCCTTGTAATCACAAGCGATGCATGTATGTAGCTTGAAGTGTTCCCATGGAGGTTGGACAAGCCTTTGTAAAGACCGATGGCATGTGGCATGTTATGTAATCACGATAATTTGTTTTCTTTTTGTAAAAACATTAACATATATCACTCATTGTCTTTTATCTCCAACGTGAAAGACCTTAACCTTCAATGTTACAAGTAGAGCAAAATTATGACCCTTAGTAAGTAAATTTAATGTGGGTGACAACTATCATGAGTTTAGACAACACGTGAGCTTCCATGCCATCTATAGTTTTCTGTCCTGAAGAGGGAGAGTATATAAAGTCTTCTGTTTACCCAGAGCCCAAGCACCACCTAGTTCTTTGATTATGAGTTTATAATGACAGATTTCTCAATAGTATACATGTAAGGTACTGAGACAAATTTTGATGAGTGGCTTATGGGATTGATTACATTTTTATGGCCATTCACAGTATGTCTTTGAACTGATGGAAACAGTTGTCTAGCGTAGACAACTTTTTTTTTTCATAGCCATTGGAGGTTTTATGTTCTTTGGAATCTGGAGGGTGGTTTCTTCACTGCTAAGAAAGGGAAAATGCTAATTACACTTCCTAGCTTTAAGATGAGATCATGTATTTAAATGAAACTTTTAATGTGGTGGTAATTTGCAGTTGTTTTGGCTCCATAAACTTTGCTTGCAAGATGATATTTGGTTTGGAGTGGGATCATTTAAAGATTGCATAAAAAAGACCTCTTTGAACGTGATATGGCATGGTGCACACTTAATCTGATAGAACGCTAAGCAAACCAAGGAATCCCAGCTTTCCTGATCAGAAAAACAATGCGTGAGCTCTGCCTGGTACCTTCTGGTTGGTCAGTGGATGAGGCCCAGAAATGTGTACTCTGTCCAAGAGAACCAGAATGGTTTATTCTTTCTTCCTCAATGTTGGGCTAAAAGGTAATCAGTTCAATGGGTTAAGAGTTAGGAAATCTTTCTTTATAAAACCTAAATGGAAGGTTCTCAATGGAAATCAAATTGTAATATAAAATATGTTCTCTTCAAGATAATTTCTGTATGTTTTGGGATAGGCTAGGTAAAATCACTTCTTTTTAAAGCCTCTTGATCAAATTCTTATAGCTTTGAACATTTAAAAAAAAAAGGAAAAATCATTTTGAGAAGCTTGAGAGACAAGAGATGTTTTCACATAGAATGTTTCCAGACAATTTCTATAGATAACTGTGTGAATCAGATTATGCTGAGATAAAAAGCAAATCCCATATTTCAGAGGCTTAAAACAGCCACATCGAATGCTGTCTTAGGGTTCTGCCCCCACATAGTATTATCTTACTCTGTAATCCTGGGTGGACTTGCAGGCCATCATAGCAGAACGAAAGAAGAAAATGGTGAAGTATGCACTGATTCTTCTGCTGAGAATTCTTTTCTCTTCTTTTTCTTTTCTTTTCAGACAGGGTCTTGCTCTGTTGTGCAGTCTGGAGTGCAGTGGAGTGATCACAGCTCACTGCAGCCTCAAATTCCCAGTCTCAAACAATTCTCCCACCTCAGCCTCCAGAATAGCTGGGAATACAGACACGTGCCACCATGCCTGGCTAATTAAATTTTTTTTGTAGAGATAGGGTCTTATTATGTTGCCTAGGATGGTCTCAAACTCCTAGGCTCAAGCAGTCCTCCTGCATTGGCTTCTCAAAGTGCTGAGATTACAGGCATCAGCCACTGCATCTGGCCCCTTCTGCTCAGAATTCTTGTCACAAGGCCACCTACTTCATGTGGAGTTGATGCGGTTCTACATATGCCTGGAAGGGGAGAGCAGGGATAATGGTAAAACACCCCAATGGCTATCACACAATTTCATATGCTTACAACTTATAAAAGTCAATTTAATTTTCACCAAAAATTTTATTCATTTGTCTATCTCTCAAGAATGCATTACAGGTTGATTATCTGTTATCTGAAAAGCTTGGGACCAGAAGTATTTTGGATTTTGATTTTTGTAAGATTTTGGATATTTGCATATACATAATGAGACATCTTGAAGATAGGGCCCAAGACTAAACATTAAATTTACTTACATTTCATATATACCTTACACACATAGCCTGACGATAATTTTTGATAATTTTATACATGAAACAAAATTTGCGTGCAATGAACAATTAGAAAGCAAAGATGTCACTGTCTTATGTCTGTGCTTGAAAAGTTTCAGAAAAGTTTCAGATTTTGGAGCATTTTGGATATGGAATTTGTATATTAGGGAAAAGTGAGTAATGTGGGGCTCTTTGAGAGTGAGCATTGTGCCTCCACATCACAGGTAGGGAATCATGGCTTGCCACAAATAATAGACTAATTGACCAGAAGAAGCCATTCTGTAAATGGAAAAGCTTTCACTTCATTTAGATACTTAGAAGTTTGGCTGAATGTGCTGATACTTCTTTTACAAAGAGGAAAAATAGTCTGTGGGCAAGATTATAACATCCATCTTGAAATGTTTTGTTACACAGGTTGAAATAAAGGTAATAATAACAATGTTTTTTTGGGGAATGAAGAGAGTATCAGCCAGGTGTGGTGGCTCATGCCTGTCATCCTGGAACTTTGGGAGATCGAGGCAGGCTTGAGCTCAGGAGTTTGAGACCAGCCTGGGCAACATAGTGAGATCCCGTCTCAAAAAAAATTTAATTAAAAAAAGAGAGTATTATTCTATAGCTACACAAACATCTAGGAATAAATTTAACCAAGTAGATGAAAGACCTATACAAGGAAAACTACAAAACAGAGATGAAAGACCTATACAAGGAAAACTACAAAACAGTGATGAAAGAAGTTGAAGAGGATGCAAACAGAAAGGCATCCTATGCTCAAGTATGCTCATGGGTTGGTAGAATTAATGTGGTTCAAATCACCATACAATCCAAAGCAATCTATAGATTCAGTGCAATTCCTACCAAAATACCAATGCCATTCTTCACAGAAATATGAAACAAATATTAAAATTTTGTATGAAGCTACAAAAGACCACAAACAGCCAAAGCAATCTTGAACAAAAAGAGCAAAGCTGGAGACATCATACTACCTGACTTGAAAATATCCTACAAAGCTGTAGTAACTGAAATAACGTGGTACTGGCAACAAAACAAACACATAGACAAATGGGACAGAAAAAAGAACACTCAAATTAGTCCGCTTATCTACAGCCAACTAATTTGGACAAAGTTTCCAAGAACATTCACTGGGGAAAGGACCACATTTTCAATAAATGATGCTAGGAAAACTGGGTGTTCAAATGTAGAAGAATGAAGCTAGACCCCCACCTCTCCTCCTACACAAAAATCAACTCAAAATGGATTAACGACATAAATGTAAGATCCCCAAACTGTAAAACTACTGGAAGAAAACATAGGGGAAATGCTTCAGGACATTGGTCTAGGAAAAGATTTTCTGAGTAACACCTCAAAAGCCCAGGCAACTAAAGGAAAAATGAACAAATGGGATCATATCAAAGTGAAAAGCTTCTGTGCAACAAAAAAACAGTTGACAGAGTAAAACTATAACCTATAGAATGGGAGAAAATAGTTGCCAACTATTCATCTGACAGGGAATTAATATCCAGAATATACAAGGAACTCAAACATCTCAACAGTAAAAACCAAACAATCCAGTTATAAAATGGACAAATTATCCGAACAGACATTTCTCAAAAGAAGTCATACAATGTCCAACAAACATATGAAAAAATGCCCAACATCACTAATCATCAAGGAAATGCAAATAAAACCATAATGAGATATCGTTTCACCCCAGTTAGGATGGCTATTATCAAAAGATAACAAAAAATAACAAATATTGGTGAAGATGAGGAGAAAAGGAAACTCTTACGTGCTGTTTGTGGGAACGTAAACTAGTACAGCCACTATGGAGAACAGTGTGGAAGTTCCTCAAAAAACTGCAAGTAAAACTATTATAACTATTATATGATCCAGCAGTCCCACTACTGGGCATTTATCCAAAGGAAGGGAAATAATATATTGAAGAGACATCTGCACTCCCATGTTTATTGCAGCACCATTCACAATAGTCAAGATGTGAAATTAACTTAGTGTCAAACAACAGATGAATGGAGAAAGAAAATGTGGCATTTGTACCCAGTGAAATACTATTCAGCCATAAAAAGATGAAATCTTGTTATTCATGGCAACATGAATAGAACTGGAGGACATTATGTTAAGTGAAATAAGTCAAGAACAAAAAATTAGACACAGCATGTTCTCAATTGTATGTGGAAGCTAAAAAAAGTTGATCTCATCAAAGTAAAAAGCAGTGTAGAGGATACTAGAGGCTGAGAAAGGTAGAAAGAAGTGAAGAGGATAGGGAGAGATTTGTTAAAGGATACAAAATTACAGCTAGATATGAGGAATAAATTCTAGTCTTCTATAGCACTGTAGGATGACTATCATTATAATATATTATACAGTTTCAAATGGCTAGCAGAAGGATATTGAATGTTCCCAAAAAAGAAATTATAAATGTTTGAGATGATGGGTATGCCAATTAATTACCCTGATCTGATCATTAGGCATTGTATGTGTCAAAACATCATTATGTACCCCATACATATGTACAATTATTAGATGTCAATTAAAATTTTTTTAAAGGATACTATTCTAGTCCCCACAAAATTATTTATAATTAGATGTTACTATAGAAAACATTGATAGAATTTGCCTCAAATACATTTTAAAAAGGTTAATTAAACTTTAACTTGATCTAATTCTAACTTGGCTAACTCCAGAGTCTTGTGATCTCTTTTTTTGCCTTTACTGGATGTCTTTTTCATCTTTTTGTTCATCTATCATTTGACTTATGGCTATGTGTTTCAAACAAATGTCAAAACCATTAGAGGGCCATCCAGTCGTTATAATGGGTGGTATCCAGCATAGTTTCCTAAACAGACTAGAATACAAAATATGAAGATGTGTGGTGTAAAGTTACTGTGTAATGAAACTCTGGTTTCAGGTAATTATGTATATGTTTGCGTGTATATATTTTGTGTGTCTAGGTTGTGATGTTAGCCCCTATCAAAAAGTTTGAAAATAATAGACTTGAAGCATATCTTGTGCACAAGGAGTTTCAAATTGTAACTGAATAATTGAATCAAACTTGCCGTAAGAAAAAGGCAGTAGAGTAAAACGTTTTTTGTCATAATGCCTTCAAATGTCTGATTATAAACTAGAAGGAAAATATTTAAAAAGATATAAGATTAAGTACAGGTGGTTTAATTATATATACATTTATAGCAACTATCTGTAGCAAAGAACTGTTCACATATTCTTGAATCATGGTTGTGCTTGCATATCCATTCTGGAATCCAATTAAAGTTGGATCAGAAACAGAGAGATTATAGTGTACTCTTGGTTTGTTTAAAATTCAAATGCTGAAATAGAACATGCCTTCATTTGCTATAATTGAAACAAATGATTTCTGAGATTGTATAATTAAACCAGTAAGGTCCTAGTCAGGAGGAAGCACACCATGTCTTATGCTCCAGGCTAAACTTCTGTTCACGAGGCCATTGTGTGCTTCTCTGTTGAGTAGAGCTCCTACTTGAGAAAAATGCACAAATGTGCTTGAGTGTGGGAACACTTCCCCCATATATTGGTTCTTCTCTCAGTGTCCCAGCAGGAAACAGGCAATGCACTCAAAAGAGGCGATTCAGGAGGGGTCAATGAGAAGGGTATTTGCAAGAAGCAGAAAAGGCGAAGGTAAATGAATAAGGGATAATAGAGCACCCCAGGTTTAGCAGGAAGGGGAAGTTGCACCTCCCCAGGTAGGAAGAGGCAAGGAAAAGAGCAGGTTATTAGATTGGTCAGAACTTTATCCATAGGAGAGCTCCACCTGGAAGGAGAGCAGTGGTTTTAGGTAGAAGAGCACACTCTTAGAAGCCAGCACTTGGGAGGGAGTTGGAGAGATAAATGCACCGATATCTCTGGCTTCCTAATCTTGATTTCCTGCTAACACCTTGCCTTGGCCAAACCATCCAGAAACTTGAGGGCAAGAGGCGATATTGCTACAGTCCACAAGGTCAACATAGAGGCAAAAAGCAGGCAGTAAAAGGATAAAGTGAGGTTAGGTATTGGAGAGATGAATAAAGTCCAAGTTAGAAGGAGAGTTGAGATTTCACCATACCACATGACAACATATCATATGAGAAGGAGAGGTGAAGGGAAGTGAGCTGTGGCCCTTGTGTTGTATTCCTGGTAGGAGGCAGCTGAAGAGATTTGTCTTCTGGAACAAAGCCATCTGAAGGTGAAAGCTTAGGGCTGTGATCCTGGGAGTGGGAAGCTGAAGCTAGCATAAGAGCACCTACATCATATGCTCTAGGCTGTGGAATGTAGCCATCCTAAGAGGAACTCAAACTGTGTGTATGGTATGGGGGAACTTAAGAAAAACCTACTCAACAATGCTTTTTAGGCTGACTGACATCATTCAATTATTTTTCCATCTCAAATATCTAAGTTTTCTCTGGGACTATAATGGAACACAGAAAACCATGCTGATAGTACAGAGTTATGGAACTAGAAAAGCTTTATCATTGCATGAGCAAACTGAAGAGAAAATAATGCTTTAATATCCATGTTTTTTGCAATGAAGCCAGGCAAATTTGCTAGCAGAAATCTGGAAGTATCAGAGAGGGGAATCCCCCAAACTGATAAAAAACCAGATATGATTAAACAGGAAATGATACTTACGATTGGGTTAAGGATGATAAAACACCAATAGAATAATCACTTATTTTGGTGTCTGTATTTGGTTGTAAAGTATATTGATAAATAACTTGAGTGCATTCATGTCTTTGCTCTCCAACTGTAATCTTGCACGAGATCTTACATTTCTCAAACCTAACTACTTCAACAAGGGTGTTTTCAGAGTTTGATGGCCAGGGTTCTCTATCTTGAGGTCACAAATGAGGTCATCCTTAAGAGTGGCACATAAGCAGATGAATTTTAATGATGCTGATGAATTTTACTGCTTGCATTATTCTCTATGTGAAACTCTAATATTGGCACATTTATGACTTTATGACACTTTGCATTTCCGTGAGGTTTGATGCATATTTATGACTTTATGACACTTGCTTTTCCGTGAGGTTTGATGCAAGTCTACTTTTATCAAGAATGAATTTGTATTCATGGGCTTTATGTAACTTTCATCTTTACTCAAAAATGTCATAACTGGTAGATGTTGCTATTCTTGAGGACAGGTAGTCTGAAAGACAAATTGGCAGACAGTAGAATTGTCTGAGGACTTTCCAAATCTCAGCATTTGAGAAGTTTGTAATAACTGATTTACATGTCAACCTTTTTGTCTTACAGTATTCCCAAAAGGATTGACCTGAAATAAAACTATGAAGTGGGCTTTTTTGTTCCTGGAACTCACATTCTTACTTTCTATTGCTGCTCACTAACCTTTGCATTCATCTAACACTAAGGTGACTTCATTATGTGTTTATTGAATATCTACTAAGCACAAATCACTGTGGCAGATAGATGGGAAATTAGTAGGTCAGAATTTGCTACCATATGCTCCCAAAATTGTCTTGGAAATAAAATGATCCTACTAATTCTGCACTCCAAAACTTCTGTGGCACCCCATTGTGCACAGAATATACTCTCCAAACATTAACTTGCTGTTCAAGTCTGTTTTTATGCTCCTCCTAACCTGGGTGCTTTTACCGTGGAGTTATACGTTTTTCATTTAATTCTTCCTCCTCATCCTCCGTGTCTTGATTGCTCCATTTTCTCTCTTTCTGATTTTAAATTTTTATCTCTTTCTATGATTTTATTATAGGTAGTTACTATAACACAGCTACAATTTACAGCTAACCACTTTAATGTAGTATAAAGGTATGGGTTATTTAAGCCACACATTATTGCACTTAAGCCAATTTATTTTTACTAGTTGGTTATGTCTGTGAGCAACTTGAGGGTGGGGATTCTGTCATTGAATTTTTGTATCCCTAGAGCCTGGCACATAACAAATGCTTTAACAAAAATGGGCTTAGAGAATAAAACAAGTAAAAGAGATAATAGAAATGCACACACAGTTTTCTACAAATCAGTATGCTGTATACAGACTATTGAGTGGTATGAGCTCAATACTATTGAATATTAAAGATTCTGGGACTGAGCTCTTAAGTTGGGGACATTAAGAATAATTTCAAAGAAAGGTTAAATATCGAAGTGCTCTGTGGACTATCAGGACTTTGATAGCTAGAGATGGGGAAAATGCTTCTTTTTTTGACTGTTTCCTACTTTCGGTTTCCTCTGACTTGCAAAATCCTAATGCAGAGAAAGCAAGGTAAGTTTTACCCCCTTTCCAACTCTGAATAAAAGTAGTAGCTTCTAGGAGCATGGTGTTGAGAAGGATGCTGAGGCCCAGTCTGAACAGGACAGAACGAATTCATGGGTGCTGAGCAATTGACACATACTGGCTCACCATATTTATGTCACAGGATGGATTAGCTCACTTCAAACATTACAAGTAGCTTTCAGACTACATTTTGTAATATAGGAGTGGCAGGAAACTTCTTAGGGAAAATATCTCCCCTGTGACCCCTCCATTCTATTTCTGTCAATTTATGTCCTTATGTTAAGGTTTTCCTACTTCTAAGATGAATCCAGATGATCAAGTTACCCTACCTATGATCTTAGAGACCAGGATAACATTGTAGGGCTTCCTAGGTAAAATATTAATTCTCGGGGTGTGCTCTACACACTTTGTAGGGTTTTGAATGAGACAGTTATGTACAATCATAGGGCACATAGACCCTTTGATTCTAGAGTCCTGTGATAGATTACAAATTAAGCTGTGGTGTTTCTTTCAAATGTGTCTGGGGAAAAGTGTGAGGCAATGTGACACCCCTACACTTTGTGCTGCCTGCGTGGGTGGAAGACTGCCTCCTCGTCCCTACCAGCATCAAGACACGTCGTGTGTCCAGACTGTCGTAATATTTATCCACAACATCTGGTATGAGACAGACAGTGAAGTCTGTGCCTTCATTCAAATTAGATTCATGACTTGGTTTATTTGAACTAGTACAGAGGAAGAAAAAAATCTTTATACAAAATAACATCTGGGAAGAGATGTACTTGCTTTTCAAAACACTAATGGTATCATAAATTCATGAGTTTCTAGAATGATGGCAGATGTCTGAATGGGAAATACTACAAAGAAAGAAAACTAAGAAGTAAAATGGATTTGAAGTACATAGCACTTTGGTTCCTCAGGTGTTTCCCACTAAAGCCAGAATTAACTACTGATTCTTCCTCTTTAGTAGGGCAGGGGCATGGGGGGCATACTGAATCTGATGCCAGAGAGTCACTCATTGCTCTATGTGGTCATGGCCATCAGTGGGATGACTGAGCTTTGAGAAGTGCCAGGCTGAACAGTGAGGCAGGAAGGGGACATCGCTCATTGGAAGTAGAGTTTGCAGGGCAGTGCTGACTACAGAAGTTGGAGCATTTGTAGATGAGTTCCTCTGTGAAGGTGGATGGGGGTACACCTGTGGATGTCCTCTCCTGATCACTGATGAATGTATCATCACCAAAATCACTGGAATCTTCCCTGTTCCTACTAAATGTCACTGTGGTTTTTTTTTTATCTCAGACTGGGAAGGGGCAGGAAGAGGTCACAGGAAAAACCAGAGTTTTTAAAAATATATCTTGAATGCCAGAGGTCTTTCTTGTCCTTCTTTATTGAGCACCTTTAGGCAAATAATATTTTGCAATGCCAAATGACGCTTTTCTTTTTCATATTTCATTATACCTGACCTTCTTCCAATTCAACCAGAGACCTCCATTCGACAGGGAAGAGTTAGGATTGCTATAGAAAAAAATGCAAAGACAGGGAGAGTTAATAGTTTTAAAATTCCAAAATAGGCACTTAAAAGTCTATTGTAGGGGCCATAGTTATGAAAGAAAAAGGCAAAGCTTGCATTTGCAAGAGTTATTTGAGAGGTGTATTGAGTGTTTTGTCTATTTTTATTTTATGTTTTAGAAAATAAAGCAGTTTTAAAATTGATATATAATAGTTGTACATATTTTGGGGAGTACATGTGATACCTTGATACAAGCATACAATGTATGATGATCAAACTGGGGAAACTGGGATGTCAATCACCCCAAACATGTTGGGAACATTCAAATTCTTCTCCTCTAGCAATTTTGAAATATATGACAAATTATTATTGACTATCATTGCTCCGCCATACTATAGAATCCTATATCTTATTCCTTCTGTAAAATTGTATATTTTCTTTGTTTTACAAAATAATTTCAACTCTTACTTTATCTTTAGGGAGTACATGTGAAGGTTTGCTATCTGGGTATATTGTGTGATGCTGAGATTTGGGGTACGAATGATCCCACCACTCAGGTAGTGAGCATAATACCCAATAGTTTTCCAACCTTTGACTCCCTCCTCTCCTCCCACTTCTGGTAGTCTCCAGTGCCTATATTTGCCATCTTTATGTTCATGTGTACCCAATGTCTAACTGTGTTTTTGTACCTTTTAACCAACCTCTCTTCCTCCCTCCTATCCCTTCTAGCCTGTGGTAGCCACCAATTAACTCTCTATCTTCATGAGATCTCTACAGAGATGGAAAAAAATGGTCCTAAAATTCATAGGGAACCACGAAAGATCCTGAAGAGCCAAATTCTTCTTGAGCACAAGAACAAAGCCAGAGGCATCACACTACCTAACTTCAACATATACTACAAATCCAAAGCTGCAGGGCATAAGCATAAACACATACACACCGACCAATAGAACAGTACTGAGAACCCAGAGATAAATCCACACAGTTTACAGACAACTCATTTTTGACAAAGGTGCCAAGAACATACACTAGGGAAAGAACAGTCGCTTCACTAAATGGTGCTGGGAAAACTGGATAATCATATGCAGAAGAATGGAGCTAGACCCCTATCTCTCCCCATGTACAACAATTAAGCAGGGGTATTTAACCATTTTTATGCCATGGACTCCTTTGGTGGTCTGGTAAAGCTCATGGACTACTTAGAATAATGTTTATAAAAGCAAGAAATACATTGTTTACAAAATTGCGATTTTCTTGAAATACAGTCATCAAACTCATAAGGAATGACAAATGTCTCATAGGATAATATGTATGCTTGTTCCTCAGTGCCTCAGATGACAAGATCTTGTGGTGGGTCTAATGACTTTGTTATTATTAAGTGGTGATGAGTGCAAATGATATTATGAGATGTCTGCATCTGCAATGTGATATGAAAATATATGTGAAGTTTTTGGTAACAAGGCCACAAATTCTAATTACTGTGGTTGGTTGCCTGCGTTCATATTGTAGGAAATGTTAATTTTCAGTTAGAATTTAATGAAAATAAAGATCTACATTTTTTCCTCATTTAAGTTCACAGAATCTCTTAATTCTTTTTTTTTTTTTTTTTTTTTTTGAGACAAAGTCTTGCTCTTGTCCCCCAGGCTGGAGTGCAATGGTGCGATCTCTGTTCACTGCAACCTGCGCCTCCCGGGTTCAAACGATTCTCCTGCCTCAGCCTCCTGAGTAGCTGGGATTACAGACATGCGCCACCATGCGTGGCTACTTTTTGTATTTTTAGTAGAGACGGGGTTTCACCATGTTGGCCAGGCTGGTCTTGAACTCCTGACCTCAGGGGATCCACCCGCCTTGGCCTCCCAAAGTGCTGGGATTACAGGCATGAGCCACCGCGCCCAGCCAGAATCTCTTAATTCTATGGATTTACTGTATTAGTATGTTTTCATTCTGCTATAAAGAACTGCCAGAGACTGGGTAATTTATAAAGGAAAGAAGTTTAGTTGACTCACAGTTCAGCATGGCTGAGGAGGCCTCAGGAAACTTACAATCATGGGGGAAGGTGGAGGGAAAGCAAGGCACCTTCTTCACAAGGTGGCAGGAAGGAGAAGTGCCGAGCAAAAGGGGAAGAGCCCATTATAAGATGGTCAGATTTCCTGAGAACTCACTATCACGAGAACAGCATGGAGGAAACCACCCCCATGATTCAATTACCTCCACCTGGTCTCTCCCTTGACACATGGGGATTATGGGGATTACAATTCAAGATGAGAGTTGGCTGAGGACACAAAGTCTAACCATATTGCCTACAGACCTCAAGTTAAGAGCCCTTGAACTAAAGGCAGTTTTAATGGAGCCAGACTTAAAGTTAGTTTGTGTACAACAGAGGCTGGGTGGAGAGACAGATGCCTCTGGCCTGAGGCAGGGGGACCAGGGAAAGGGGAGCTGGTATCTAGAGCCTGCCTAGCCTCTGCTGAGGGGGCTCTGTCTTGGCATCCTTAGGATCTTGGTGGTACTTACCAGTGCCTACAGATGATCCCTCACCACACAACAAGGAGTGCATGCTTTCTGAGATGCAGATCTTGGACTTCAGAAGGAGCAAAACCAGTAACAAAGGGTGTGCCCAGTTCACAGAGCACATATTCATTCAGTGTTTCATGAGCAACGATTTCTTGAGCACCTATTAGGTGCCAGGCTCTGTGCTGGGTGCTGAGGATGCGATGGCGGGGAGCACACTCATGGTGCCTGGTTTCATGGAGGACAAACAGGCAAGCAATTAATCAGCCAGAACAGTGCTAGGACAGTGCTGTTCAGGTGTTAAGGGGCACACAGGTGGGGCATCCGCTCAGCACATAGAGATCAGGAAGAATTCCTGGAGGAAGGAGGTGGTGGACAGCGAAGGTTGAAAGTGGTTTCTCCCAGAGGAAATAAAAGGAGGAGAGGGAACGACACATTTTGCAAGCCTGAGGATGGCTGGTGCTTCAGATGTGGAAAGGGCGAGGGGAGGAGTGAAACTTGAAAGGTGAGGGGTGAGGGTGGAAGTCGGCTCACTGCGACCCTGGCGGTGGCATTAAGGTTCTTTTGAGAGCCTTCGGGAAGCACTGAAGTGTTTCAAGCAGTGGAGTGGTGGAACCAGCTTTTCATTTCAGAAAGAATAGTCTATCTGTGGAGAAGTTCATGGATTAGTATGAGGTGAGAACAGAGGCAGTGAGACCACAACAGGGACCTATGTGGGAAGATGCACCTGGATCGTGATGGTCAGGATGGCAGTGCTGGCATTTGGGATAAAGAGAAGTGGAGAAGTGCAGGAGATATTTTGGAAGCGGATTTCATCAACTTGATAGATGATTAGTTTTAAAAAAACAAGGAAGAGGTGGAGTCAAAAATGCCTTCCTGGTTTATGGCCAGCTCCTTACTGACACCACCCCACCCCATATCGACCCATAATATTATTGTTTCAGGAAAGGGGAGAGAGAAGGAGAGAGAGAGAGGGAGACCAAAAAGTTTACTAGGAGGAAATTATCAGATATCTAGGAGGAAAGCAAGGAAAAATAAAAGCCCAGGGAGCATATTTCCAGAGGGGAGAGTGGTCGATAATGCTAAATGCTGCTGAAACACCAGGTAAAATAAGCTTTGAGAAGTAAGTATTACACTAACAACAGAGGTCATCAGAGAATATGGCATCAGCAGTTCCTTCAGCATGGTGGGTAGGGCACCAGGTTCCCATGAGTTAAGAATGTATGATGGGTAGGAAAATAGACCAAAGTTTTAAAGACATTTGGCTGATAAGGGAAATAGATGAAAGATGATAGCTGGAAAGAGATTTGTTCACTAGTAATCTTTTATTCCAAGAAACAGAAAACCTAAATCAAAGTGCATAAACACAAAAGCAATTTATTGTTCTTCATGGCTGTAATTAGGTGGTGATGTCATCTGAGAATGAAGGAGACAATGGAGAGACTGTAAATTTGAGAAGGCCATGTATGGGGGACACTACTAAAGTTGGGAAAGAGAACCAGCCAGGGAAAAACAGTCACAGCGCATAAGACGGCTTAGAGCAGGCAGAAAATCCAGGGTGTAAAATAAAAAGCACTGTATTTTTTTGTGTCAATGTATTTCAGATACTAAGCATTTACTAATTTAAAGAGCTTCTTTAATTTTGGTAAATCCAAAGTCTTGCCATGCCATTTCCATTGAGTTCATCCTGTTTTGTATTAATTTCCCATTTCTGCATGACATATTAGTTCAAGCTTAGCAGCTTAAAGCAACACCCATTTATTATCTTGGTTTTCATGGGTCTGGAGTCTGGGTACAGGTTAGTTGCGTCCTCTGCTTAGCATCTGAACTGGCTGAAATTAAGGTGCTGGCTGGCACTGCAGTGTCATGTGAAGTGCAGGCTCCTCTGTTGAGTTTGTGTGTTGTTGGCAGAATTCAGTTCTTTTAGGTTGTAGGACTGAAGTCCCTGGTTTCTAGCTGCATGTTGAGTGTGACCACTGTCAGTTGTTAGGGGCTGTCCTTAAGTCATTGCCACGTGGCCCCTTCCCAGGTGGCAGCGTACTCCTTCAAAGCCAGCAGGATAAGCTCCTTGAATTTTTATTTTCAAGACTCACCTCATTAAGTCAGCCCTGTTCAGGATAATCTCCCTTTTGATTAACTCAGAATCAACTGATTAGCAACCTAATCATGGAAATAAAATCCCATCATATTCAAAAGTCCTGGCAAAACTCAAGGGGAGGTAATTATACAGATGTGTACATGAGGCGGTGGGAATCTTGGGGTTATTTTAAGATTCTACCTACTGCACTTCATAACTTTTTTTCCACATAGCACCTTCCTAAATTATTTTATGTTTTGTTACTGTGGTAAATTGAATAATTGGTTTCCATTGCACTATCCTGTAGAAACATTACAACTACACATCAGCATATCTGCCATGGCTTCAGGGTGGGGGAGGATAATTTCCCACCTCTTGGGTTTGGGATTGGCCAGGTGACTTGCTCATGAAGGTTAAAGGGATGGGGACGAGAAGGTGGAAAGAGTTTTCAGACCCAGGCGAAGAATTAATAGGTGCAGAAGTGGGGAAGGAGGAAGATTGGGGATAAGATAATCTGCAGTGCAGTTGGAGGAAAGTTTGGGTCAGATTCATGGGGAATCCTCAAGCCAAAGTCGCCCAGTTGAGTCCTGCGTCTTGCAGGAATAGACCTGCATTAGTAGCCTCCATCCCCAGTTTCAGTCATTGGCTGGGAACAGCCTAAGGGAAGTGCAGCATTGGCATGAATACAAGGTAAATTCAAAACAGCAACAATTGGTGTCTTCAGTTGATTAATCTTGCTGCAGGATATCTGAGTGGTGCATTTTCATGCATTCCCTGGCAGAGCGATGTTACTAGATGTGAGGTGGGTAGAGGCTTGCAAAGTGCTGGGTTGGTTGGATTGCTATTTGATGTGGTCACCGTTGCCATCACCCTGGGTAGCCAGTATGTGATATGTGGAGCAGAGACCACCCCACCCCTGCCAACTTGTAGAATCATGGGTGTTTTTCTTACACATAAATAGCTGAATGATAAAATGACTTAATGCAAAGTGCTTCATATGGCATTCTTCAGCAACGTAAACTAAACAATGTTAGGTTGTATATTTTAAGGGCAAGGAAGATAAGTGAAATTCAGATAGGATCACAAAATTAGAAGGTTGCAGTATTTCCTATACAAATGAGTAAACTGGGATTTAGTCAGGTTAAACTAAGGGTCCCAGATCACAAAGAAAATTAGAAACAAATGGAAAAGTAAGTCAGACTAGTCTGGGTCTTAATATATAGCTCTACTGTCAGTATCGCAGATATTGTAAGGTGACGCTTCTTACACATGAAATAGATTTTAAATCTCTTGAATAATATTTAATCATAACTCTTCTTAATTAGAACCAGAATCTGGGTGCTCCTGTATTGGGTGCATATATATTTAGGACAGTTAGCTCTTCTTGTTGAATTGATCCCTTAAAAAAAAAAAAGAACAAGAAATGAGATAACTTTAAAATTGAGTATCAATTTTATTATAGAGTCAAGTCTGATTATATGGCATTTTGAATTTCTGGGCTAGGAAGTTTGGAAATAATCAAAATCAGAGAGAGAAACATATGTGTATGCTGGAAAATACACAGAATAATAGAGATCACAGTGCGGCAGCCCATACACTTTGCAGGTGTGCTTTGTTGGCAAGAGTTTTAAAAATGGAATTTTATGCCTTTAGTAGGGGTAGGTATTCTCCAATTCCCCCAAATCCCACTACCTTCCATTGTTTTATACCTGGCCTACCTCACTTACTTATTGTACTTCCCTAGCCCCTGAAGGTATTTGAACTTACATCCTTGATTCAGAATTATGTAATATGACGTTTTCCTTCTATCTATGGGATCTCCATTAGTGGCTGCTACATTGTTAACTTCTTGATTCCCTAATTCATTTATACATTCATTCAATAATGTCAGTGTCAACTTTGGACAAATACTATTAAATAAGTAAATCATATAGAGTATTTGAAGGTGAGAAATAATATAGCAAAAGAGAGAACACGGCAAGGCGGAGGAATTGGTTTTATAATTTTAAATCGAATGGTCTCAATTGTAAGTGTAGACCTCACTGAGAGTATAATGTTGGAGCAAAGACTTGAAGGAAATTAGACAGATGATTTTTGAAATGAGTAGGAAAATCTTTCCTGTAATTGAAACATATTTTTATCTAAAATAGTTCCCAAAGTTAGTGGCTTTTCTGTTTCTGGAAGAATAGCAGGGAAAGGATCCCATTGCTTACATTTTTTAGGTTCAGCTTGTCCCCTATTTCAGGACTTTTCTAATATTTCAAGCACCATTACAAGAAGTCAGCCTGTGTCTGCCTTTTCCTTGAATTTCTGTGTCACCGGGTTTATCCTAGCACTCTGCATTGCCACATGGATTTACTTTTGTGTTTAAAGAGAGGAGACTCTGCAGGTAGAAGTAGGATGCAGGCACCATTCCTTTCAGAAGGCATCAATGGTTCTATTGTGAAGGGGGCACATTTTTCCCTTATGGATGGCTTCCATGGAGCAAAGCTGGAGCTGAGCCACAGACAGAAAACAATTTCTGTCAAAGGTGGCAGAATAAAACATCGACAGCCCATTGAAACACAATCGCAGGCTTTGACTGGAGTAGCCAAGTCTAATTGAAGCCATCATTTCATGACTGAGAGGGAACTTTCTCTGGAGAAGCTGAGGTATGCAATATCAAAACAAATTCGATCCAGAACTCAGAATTTCAGAGTTACAGAATTTGCTATGTTGGAAAAAAATTGTTTCCTTCTCAGACAGCTATACTGCACTAAAAGACCCCAGGGATTACAGCCGATATCTGATCTAACATTTAATACTGGAACACAGCATTTGTACCCAGACCCTGTGGCCTTACTGTTGAGATTCAAAGAGGTGGTTAAAATGTTTATGCTTCAGAGAAGGAGGCGATGAGAATGGGCACCATTTCAAAAATGTTGATTTTGGAGAAGTAATCCTACATAAAAGACTTTTTGTTTCTGTCCTTTAAGATGAAATGGCACTGTCTAGCCCTTGCTAGCTTTGGGTTGAATTATTGTAAGGACTGTTTTGTGTGCATTTTCTTTCAGTTGTCAACACCAAAGCAAAATATAAAGAAATCCTTGTCATTCCTCAGGAATTTCTGGGATGTAGCTCACATTTAACTTTTCCAGGCATGTTAATGGGCCTTGGGTAATATTTTGGTAATTCCATCTAACAAATTGGTTTCTTTGAATCTGGTGGTGGGAGGAAAAAGGGAATGGGGAAGTGGCAATGGGATGAGGGATGCTGCTGAGCACCAAACTTGATCTCATGTATCTTTTCCAAATGAATTCTGGCCACCCTCCAGCAGAGGGAGGGAGTCTAAGAAAGGGACCTGTTCACTACTTGGGTAATGGGTACACTAGAAGCCCAATGCCATGAGCATGCACTATATTTATGTAACAAACATGCACAAGTATTTCATATATATATATATAATATATATATTTTTTAAAATAAAGGGACCTACATCCAGCTAAATTCAGGAGGACTGAAAGGATAGGTTGAGGCGAGGGTTTTAGTTTGCGTTTCCCTCGAAGCAGATACTCAGATAAGGATTCTAGAACAACTGGTTTCCTTGGGAAGTGAGGAAAGACGTGGATCAGGAAGGGAAGGCAGCCAATAAAGGTATGCTACTGGGAGGCTGGCATTTACTCTGTCTGGGGGGAAATGGCATAAAACAGAGCTAAGCCAGTATATTCTCTTAGGACACTAACGATTTTCATCAATCCATTTGTCCAACAAATATTTTTGAGAGCCACAAAAGCGAGACCCTCTTTCGTGCACAGGGGCAACACATTAGTGAACAAAACCAAAATTTATGTCCTTATGTAGCTTTCATTCTAGAAAGAAAGAAAGATAACCACAGAATAAATAATTAAAGTCTAGAACTATGTCATCTAGCATGGTAGCCTCTAGGTATATGTGGCTCTTGAGCACTTGAAATGTGACCAGTTCAAACTGAGATGTGCTGTAAGTGTAGAATACATGCTGACTTTTAGAGACATCCTATTAATACAAAAAAAAGTAAAATGTATCATTCATACTTCTTTATTGATAACATGGTGAAATGATAATTGAGATATGTGGAATTAAGTAAAATATATTGTCAAAATTAATTATAAAATTAATTAATTGTCAAAAAAATTATGCAATTTTAAAACGTGGCTACTAGAAAATTTAAACTTTCATATGTGGCTCATAGTATATTTTATGGGATAGGGTTGATTAGAAACGTAGAGCCTGACTACTCAGTGTGTTTCAAATTCTAGCCACATACCATAACCAGCTGGAAGCTTGTTAGAGATGCAGACTTTCTGGCCCCACTCAGGCCTACTGAATCAGAATCTGTTGTTTAACAGGATTCCCACATAAAATGTAGGGATATCAACGAGAATCACCGATCAGTAGCGTGCACTTTTTGAGTGTTAAGGTGAAGAACAAAGCAGGGAAAGAGGATATGACATCCAGGTAGTTGCACGATTTTGTTTTCATACAATTTTAGATATGATGTCTAGAGGATGTCCTCACTAAGTCTGTGGGAAGATCTCACTTAGGAAAACAATAATTAAGTAATATTTAAAGGAAGAGATGGAGCAACTATTCAGATATATTTGGAAAGATTATTCCAGGAAGACGAAACAACCAGTGCAAAATACTGAGGCATGTATGTTTAAGAAGATAGAGATATTAAGCATGGGTGAAGTCAAATGACTGGAGGTGTGGTTAGGCAGGTGTGGGGCCAGATCCCATAGAGCCCAATAAGTCATAATAACGACTCTGGCTTTTGTTCTGAATGGAACAAAATGGGGTCTTTTAGTGCAGTATAGCTGTCGGAGAAGGAAACAATTTTTTTCCAACATAGCAAGCATAGAAAGCCATAGTCAGATTTTGAGCAGAGGTATAACATGATCTGACTCTTATTTCAATACAAACACTCTGGCTGAAGTGTTAAAGAGACTATAGTGAGTCATGAGTGAAAACAATAAATCTAATTATATTGCAACAATCTAGGCAAGAGATCATAACAGTTTGCTACTGTGATAATCTAACTTAGATATATGGTGGCTTGAACATGAGTAGTAGCAATTGAGGTGATGAAAAGTTAGACTCTCAGTTTATTTTGAAAAAAGATTCAGCAGTGTTCTTTAAAATAATCAATGATAACTCAAGACTTTTTGGTCTGAACAAATGGAAATTTTTGTCATTTTTCTGAGGTAGTAGAGAGTAGGGTACATGCAGATGTAGGGGAAATATTAGAAGCTTGGTTTTAACAGGTAAAGACTGAGATGCCTATGGCTATGCAATTAGAGTTGAAGTAAGCAGGTAGATTTATGAATCTGAGTTTCAAAGGAGAGGTTTATATAAACTTGAAAGATTTTACATATAGTCGATACTTAATTCCATAAGATTGGAAAAGATCACAAGAAGCTGAGAGTAGACAGAAATGAGGAAATAAACTACTCAATTCCTCAACATCAAATATTGGTATTTTAGATGGAAGGGGAGGAGTCAGAGAAGGAGACTGAGGAGTAGCCTGAAAGAGAACAGGAAAATCAAATGAGTGTAGAGTCCTGGAAATCTAGAGGAGATGGCGTTTGGGGGAGTAAAGAGTTATCAGCTAGGTCAAAGAATGTTGGTTCTTGTACTAGTTCACTTTCACATTGCTATAAAGAACTACCTGAGACTGTGTAATTTATGAAGAAAAGAGGTTTAATTGACTCACAGTTCCACAGGCTTAACAGGAAGCATGACTGGGAAGCCTTAGGAAACTTACAATCATGGCGGAAGGTGAAGGGGAGCAAGCACCTTCTCCACATGGTGGCAGGAGATAGAGAGAATGAAGTGGCAAGTGCTACACACTTTTAAACAACCAGATCTCATGAGAACTCACTCACAAGACAGCACTAGGGGGATGGTGCTAAACAACGAGAAACCACCACCATGATCCAATTACCTTCCACTGGTTCCCTCCTTCAACATGAAGGGATTATAATTCGACATGAGATTTGGGTTGGGGACACAGAGCCAAACCATATCAGTTCCCAATTAAGATAAAGATTGAGAACCAACTATAGAATTTAGTAGCATGGAGTTGCTCAGTGATCCTGAAATGAGAAGTTTTTGTGACATATAGGTAAGAAAGCTAGATTGGATTTTATTCAAATAAGATTGAGAAGAGATAAATTGGTGATAGTAAGTATAGTTAACTTTTTTGTTGTTATAAAATGAAGGACAAAGATTAGATGGTAGTTAGATTAGGAAAGTTGGGGGTCAAGAGAGAATTAATGTGGTGGGAGAAATAGCAGCATGCTTGGTAATGATCTAGTAGAGGGGAAAGTTGATGATGTGGGGAGAGAGAAGAACCACTGCTGATGGATGTCCTTGAGTAGGTGACAGGGCATAGTATCTGGTGGATCAGTGGATCTGGTGGATTAGCTGGGAATATAGACCATTTTTGCAGGAGAAAAGCTCATGACTGAGGATAGATACATGTGTAAATGCATGTGTAGACGTACTGGTAGAAGCTTGAGCAAATTTCCTTCTGATTGCTTCAAATTTCTCTGTAAAGTCAGACACAAGCCCATGAACTAAGAATAAGGATGGGAGAGAAGCTGTCAATTTGAGAGGAGAGGAAGAAGGCATAATATAATGGTTCAAAAGAGTGGGAGAGAGAATGAACTGAGGATGCATAGCAGGATTGCTGGGTGGCATTAAGGACCTACTTGAGGTTAATGACTGTAGCAATGACTGTTGATTGTCAATCAAACCACTTTATCACTTTCTTCCATTGTCATAGAGTTTTAACTGGGCACTTAGTTACCCAGTCAGTTTTACTGTCATGGCTTCCTCTGTAGCTTCACGTGGCCATTTTACCAAGTTTTTAAAAGCAAACTATGAAAAGAGATGTGTACCCCAACCACATTTGGGCCATATCACTTTGGATATGAACTCCTCCTGGTTCTTTCCTCCTGTACCTTATTAAATAGGGTATATAAGATTATATATATATATATATATATATATATATATATATATATATATCTTTAAAGCAGCCAGCCCCCAAACATATGTTTTATATATATTTATATATCTCACACAGATAATATATTACATAATTTAAACTATATATCTATTAAAATATATAAATATATGTATCTTGAAAATATAACATATAAGTATATATATCATATATATGTGTGTGTGTGTGTATATATATATATTAAAGAATATACATATAGCCTTTGAGGACTGTGGCAGATTTTATTTTTCAAAGTAGCCCCTATCAAGAAGTAGAGTCTATGTCTCCTTTCTCTTAAGTATTGGTGGAACTGTATGACTACCTCTTTCCATAGTATATGGTAGAAGTAACACTATGTATTACAAAATGTCATGCACTGCTACCTTATTTTCTTGGTATGGTAGCCTGTGGAACCCATCGACCATGTTGTAAAGAAGCTCAATAGACAAGACTTAAAAACTCTGGCACACAGTCCTGGCTGAGCTGCCAATTAACAGCCACTATCAACTTGCCAGTCATTAGAGTAAGCCAGCTTCATTCTATATCCCCCAGTTGAGCCTGTCTAGTTGGTACTATTTGGAACAGTGACAAGCCATCCCTATCAAGCCATAACCAAATAGCAGATTCATAAGTAAATTTAATAATGGTAGTTGTTTTAAACCACTAAGTTTTGGAGTGATTATGCAACAATAGACAACTACAACAGATTTTGTACCTAAGAATGAAGTACTTCCATACAATAAAAACAAAAACAAAAAACTGAAGACATTTGACATAGACTTTGGGATGAGTAATAGGCAAAAGCTGGAAGAACTTTAAAAAGAATGTTAGTGAGAACCTAAAGGACCTCAAGGATAATGTTAATGGGAATGTAAAGGGAAGCTGCAATGAGGGCTCAGAGAAATGTGAGAAAAGTGTTATTGGAAGTTGGAGAAGAGAAAATCCCTGATAGGAAGTTGTGAATGTTTTGCAACACTGTCATCTGTGGTAGCCTTGAAAATAGGGAATACACCTAATGAAAGACATCTTGAAGATTTAGATAAATTTCCGGAAAGGTTATCAAAACTTTTCTCCCTTGTGTATAATAAAATAGGAGAGAGATGGGCTAAAGAATGAACTGTTAAATATAAAGAAGCCAGGACTTTCCCAGCTTTCCTGGACCTCAATTTCCAAAGTAGGCTAAAGATAAGATCCAGAGTGGAATTGTAAGGTCTTTTTTTTTTTTTTTAAAGCACCTCATAAACATCTCAGGGGCTACCTTTTAGAACCTTTCTCTGGCTCTCAAGGCCAGAGAAAGATTCTTAAGGGTCTAAGGATCTTAAGGCATAACTTCTCACAGATTCTGTCCTTTAAACACTATGGCTTATAAGAATCTTAAGGGCATTGTCCAGCAGTAGCCTCAAAGGGAGGTAAAGAAGGCTTATCTTGAAGCATGTTGTGTTTTTGGCTTTTGTGTAGAAGAGAAAAGTCACAATGTTTTAAAAAGACTTTTCTAAAATAAATATTTCCAAAGTGAGCTAAAAAAGACAGACTTAGCACAAAATAAAAAGAGGCTTAAAAAAAACCATGAAGCTTGTATTAATCAGGCTGATAAAACCACATAGCTGCAAACATGGGCTACTTTTAATGGGAAGTTGGAAGGACTCAAGAACTTTCGGGGGAGAACCTCAAGGAATACGATTTATAACTAATAAGCAATTGGCATCTGCTACCTAGCTGGATTTCAGAATCGCTGTGATCAATGACTGCTGTGTACCAACTGATTTTACCATTTTTGAACAGGAATGTCTAAAGTGGTCATCCTGTATCTGTCCTGCCATTGTATGTTGGGGGTATGCGTTATGAGATAACTTTTCTTTTTAGTTCATACATTTTCAGAATGAGAAGAATGATGATTGAAGAGCTGTACCTGAGAAGCTACACTTGCAGAACTCATCCATACCTAGATCTGATTTGGGAGACAATACTCTGAATCTTAAGCCTAAGCCTTATACTGTGCAATGAGATTTGAGGTCTTGGGGTGAGGTAGGAGGTGGGACTGAACATTGGAGGTGGGGACTTGCACACTAGCCCAGATTGAGGACTGGCTAAAACAGGGCCAGTGTGGAAGCAGCTTTCTACAAGACATGCCCACTAATGTGCCATGTCAGTTTACCATTGCCATGGCAACACTCAGAAGTTACTGCCCCTTTCCATGGCAATGACCTGGCGACCTGGAAGTTATTATCTTTTTCATAGAAATTTCTGCATAAACTACCCTTTAGTTTGTATATAATTAAAAGTGGGTATAAATATGACTGCAGAACTGCCACTGAGCTGCTACTCTGAACACACTGCCTTTGGGGTAGTCCTGCTCTGCAAGGATCAGTAGCTTTGCTGCTGCTGTAACACTGCTGCTGTAATCAAAGTTGCTGTCTAACACCAGTGGCTCACCCTTGAATTCAGTTTCTTCCGGGTGAAGCCAAGAACCCTTCAAGGTTAAGCCCCAATTAGGAGGCCTGCCTGTCCTGCATCGGGGGGAGGGAGTAAATGTATTTTTTATGTGGGAGGGATGTGTATTTTGTGACGGAATGGAGGACTGTGACAGATTCCATGTTCAAAGGTTTCTGAAAAATTATATCTCATCCTACATACACTTATGGAGACTTGCCACTCTTCCATCAGGAGATAAAGTCTGTCTCCTTGCTTTGAATCTGAGCACTGTTTGTAATTTGCTAGACCAATAGAGTGTGGTGGAAGTGTTACTAAATAACTTCTTCTGAGATAGGTCATAAAAATGCCATATGCTTCTGTTTTGTTCTTTTGTGGTGACAGCTCTTGGAACCCAACCACCACACTGTAAGGAAGCCCAAGCATCCTGTGAAGAGGCCCACATTAGAAGCACTTGCTTGCCATGCTGCAGGTAGATCTTTCAATCCCCAGTAGAGATTCCTTACCTGATACTTCATGAGACAGAGATGAAATATCCTTGTCATATCCTGCCCAAATCATAGATTCTTGAGTAAAATGAATGATCATTTTTTGTTTTAAGGTAGTAAATTTTGAGGTGGCTTATTTTTAAGCAATTAAATAATGGAAGCTCAATTATATCAAGATATCACACCACTCTGTTTTAGCTTCCACTGTTGCTGCTCAGAAGTAATCTGTCAGTCTAAATTATGTCCCTCTACTCTTTATCTTTGTGCTTCTCTTAAGGTTATACTTTGTCTTTCTTGTTTTTCAGTTTCTTTCTGTTGTATATAGGTGTCAATTTATTTTAATTTATCTTGCTTGGATTCATTTGACTTCTTGAAACTATGCTTTGATCTTTCACCATATCTGGAAAAACTTGAAATGTTGCCCGTGTTCCATCCTTTCTCCTCTCCATCTGGAACTCAAAATCTTTGGATGTTAGTGAATATTTGTTAGTTTTAATAATGAAATATTTAGAGTGCCAGGAAAGGAGAGAGAATGGAGCAGGCAATATTTGAAGTGATAATGGCTGAAAATTTCCAGATATACTCACTCTAATCTCCATGTGCCCTCTTCTGTGTCTAATATACTATTAAACCTATCTACCAAGTTTCCATTTGCAATTATATTTTTCATTTTTAAAAGTTTATTTGCTTTCTGCATAAGAATACAAGATCATTAGTTTCTTTTACTTTGTAGATATTTGCAAGCCTGGCTTCTAATTTTTACTCTGAAACATTGGTTATTGTTAATAATGTTGGTTCCTTATTCCTTTGAGAGTTAATTGTGGGAAGATTTTGAGGTCTAGAATGCAGGCAAATTCCTCCAGATAAGATTCGAGTTTGCTGTTGCCAGGTGCTTGTGAGCCATCCCAGTCTGGACACTCTTTATACTGAATACACTGCATGAATTTGCTGATGTGAATTTGGGCAAAAACTCAGTACAACAATTAGCTTGTCATTACCATTTGTCTTTCTTCTTTATTTTTCTTTTCTTCTGCTTTGCTTATTGCCAAAGCAACTAAGCAATTTTCTTGCTGTCTTTAGTAATGGGGAGGTGTTACTTTTTCTTCCAGTTAATCCTTAAGCGGAAAGTAGAACCCTTTGGGGTCCCAGCTTTATGGGGGGGAAGGCCTATTATTAGACCACCCACATTGTTTCTGTTCTACATGTCCTAATTGGAACATGAAAATCACCACTCCAGTTCCCACTTTGGCAAATGCCCTCAGGCCAAAAGGACTAAAGCACATGGCTTCCTATTATAGCTTTCAGCTTTGCTTAGATTTTGGCCGCAGACAGTCTTATTATCTTGCAGCTCATCAATGCTTTTAAGATGTGTTTTTTTGTTTGTTTTCACCAGAACTTTTAGTCATTTTTCATGGGAAAATCAAGCCTAATACCTCCCCACCATATTACTAGAAATGCTTCTCTCCCTGTGTGGCATAGTCAGGCCTTCTAAGTGCTTCTCAGGTCCTTTGGGCCTTGTTCCATGTGGATTTTACAAACATGAATTTAAGCCAATGGCCAGATATGGAATATAGACTAAAGATTCCCGAAGCCCATTAGAGAGAACAGATGAGACTTGCTTCCATCACTGCCCCACAATGGAAAGAAAGAATTTTGGAAATAGAGGGAGTTCCTAGCAGAGTAACCAACATTATGTTGCCTTCTTTTACACACATGGCATATTTAATCAGAAAATGGAATTTAAATGCCACATGCATGGCCTTCAATAGTCTTTGGCTTTTGATTAGGGATTGAAAAAAGCCCCCAGCTGTGGCTATTTGTTTATTTGCTAGCATAGAGTTTCTAAATGATATTTAGGGCAATGGTTCACTTGTGGTGGGAAGGTCCATTAAAAATACAGATGGCTGTTAGATGGGCTTTATTAAGTTTAAGCCTAGAAGCAGTTTTCAGTAGATAAGAAAACGAGATGATAATGTAAAATAGTATAAAGAAAATGAGATTTGCTTTAAAATATCAGTGTTCAGAGTATTTGAAGAAATATCCAGGCACAACTTTACCTTAATTTCCCCCTCCATTTTTCTCCAAATCTTGCATCTCACTCTGGAGTAAGTATTCATGATTTTGAGAAACGCTTATGTATGTTTTGCAGTCTTAAGAAATACACAGCAGTTCCCAAGGGTATAATTTCACAAGAAAAAATACTACCCACAAAATTAGGATTTACTAATAGATAAAAGGAATCCTATAATGACATTTGAGAAGAACTGTCAATTACCATGAACATAATTGTAGATGCTTAGGACTAGGGACAGAAAGGACTAACACCAGCTCTCACTGCATAGTTTCTTTTCCAAGTGCCTGCCACATCCATTTTCCCCTTCTTAGCAAAATAATAATAATAATAATAAAATAAAAAATAGGCTTTTTGCATCTAGATTTCTAAGAGATGGATCATAAAACCCTGTAGATTTAGCTACTACTGATGGGTCTGGGGATGATGTCTGGACGTAAGGAAGCTGAATGACTTAGGATGTTATCCTGCATAAGGAGCCCTGTATAATAGGGGCAGTCTGTTCTTGTTGGTGCTAACTTTAACAAACCAATTAGATCTTCTTTTTTGGGATGTTTAAATGTAATATAAGAAAGACCAAAATAGATAGTAGAATAAAACAGGGAGAGGAGGCTATCAGCAGAAAGCAATGATGCAGTAGAAGCTATGAGTTGGCAGAACCCATGAGGTAGGGCAGCAAGCAGAGAGAGGCAATTTTGAGTGGCCACAGAAAATGGGAAGGAGGAAGCTGAGAAGAAAGCTGTTGGATGACAGTGTTATCACTGGGATGCTAATCTTGCTATAGCTTCAGGAACAGCATCCAGCTCTCCAGGAAGACTATTTGATTACTACATCTGTTTTTTATCTTAAAGTACTCATGTATCATTCCAATAAACTCTCATTACTTTAAGAAATGTGCTTCTCCCTTTCTTTCTTCCTTCCTTCCTTTCTTTCTCTTTCTTTCTTTCTTTTTTCTTTCTTTTTCTTCTTTCTCTCTCTTCTTTCTTTTTCTTCTTTCTCTTCTTTCTTTCTCTCCTTTCTTTCTCTTTTTCTTTCTTCTTTCGCTTCTTTCTCTCTTCTTTCTTTCTCTCTCTTCTTTCTTTCTTTCTTTTCTTTCTTTCTTTCTTTCTTTCTTTCTCTCTCTCTCCTTCCTTCCTTCCTCCCTCCCTCCCTCCCTTCTCTCTCTCTCTGTCTGTCTCTCTCTCTCTCTCTCTTTCCTTTTGACATGGTCTGGCTGTATTGCCCAGGCTGGTCTCTAACTCCTGGGCTTAAGTGATCTTCCCACATAAGACTCCCAAGTGGCTAGGACTATAGGCATGTGCCACTGCACCTGGCTTCTGTTTCTTAATAACTGGAAGATATTAATCAAACCAACCTGATGGAAAATAGACAATGACAAAATGGGCATTTTAATAAATTTTTCATGAGCTAATTGGTCCAAATGGTGCAGTAGGTATATATTTTGAGACCCTTTCCTCTTCTTCAAACCAAAGCAATGATAAATTTTAAAAAATTATATATATATATATATATATATATATATATATATATATATAATTTATAAAGAGAAAAAAGTTAAAGTCATGACCATAATGAAAATCAAGTTGTATTTGGGAGGCAGAAGTGGGCAGATCACTTGAAGTCAGGAGTTCGAGACTAGCCTGGCCAACATGGAAAAACCCCTTCTCTATTACAAATACAAAAATTAGCCAGGCATGGTGGCACACACCTGTGGACCCAGCTACTCAGGAGGCTGAAGCATGAGAGTCGCTTGAACCTGGGAGGCAGAGGTTGCAATGAGCTGACATCGCGCCACTCGACTGCAGCCTGGGTGGCAGAGTAAGACCTTGTCTCAGAAAGAAAAAAGAAAAAAAAAAAGGAAATCAAATTGGAGATGTCTTGAACTGAAGCTGAGCTAAATATAACTGACACAGGAGCATCGAACCAACAAGGCAGAGGTCCAGATGAAGAAATGGGCAAGGAGACTGTGTGTTCCATTCCTGTGTGTTCACAGAAAAAAAAAAAGGTGCTCTGTGTGAGCTGGATGGCTATGACCAGCCTTGCGGCTTTACAGCATATGAAAGGGAGGTGAAGAAAGCTGTGCCCATTTTCTGCCTGAGGCCCACATCTTAGGGAATGAGGAAGAGGCAGACTCTGCCTCATCAGCAGGATGTGGCCAACCTTCACTGGCTCAGGGTCAGGAGCAATAATGGCCTAACGTCACCTTGGGACACAGCCTTGGGTAACTGGATGGAGGCAAATGGAAAACTGCTGGATAGAGAGGGGTGAGCTCAGAGCCAGAGAGAAAAAAAGACAAAGGAGCAAACAAGCACCAACTCAAACTGAACAGAAGATGCAATTTGGAATCAAGACTGCAACATCAACTCTTACCTGAGCTTCCAGACTCCTGACCTGACTTATAGATTTCAGACTTGCTAGCTCCATAATCCTGTCAGCCAGTCTTTTAAAGTATACCAATATAGGCCCCCCCACCCTATATACTATTGGTTTTGTTTCTCTGGAGAATCCTGATTAATACAACAACTATTGAGGGTCCAACTGGAGTTTCAATACACACACACACACACACACACACGAACAAGAGAGAAAGACAGGAAAAAGGAGAGAGAGAAGAAACTTTTAGTTTGTTATGATGGCAAAGAACTCTAGTAACTTGGTATATTTAGCACTTTCTTTTCTGAAAAATCAGACTTCCCATGGAAAAGCATTCTCAGGGTCAGCTCACTTACTGGGGCTTCTCTAACTCAGATTTCAGTTTGCCTTCAAAGCAGCAACTCTAGTGCTCCTGTCTGTGGTGAGCAGCAGAATATTTCAGAACACTCTGGTCTTGGGAAGAAAAGACCTTGTGGCATCTTTAAGGCCAAAAGGATCATCAGTCGGAGTCAGCATTAAATGCAAGTTCGGGAGGTCTTAAAAGTCATTGCTCTTCATGTTGTTTACTCTGACCTTTGTTTTCATTTTTCTTTTTCTCTACTCTTCACTTTTGCCATTTCGTCCTCTCCAAGTGGAGAAGGATTGTGAAAGCCTTTGGTGTGCACCATTGAGCCTTTTTATTCATTTCAAAGAGTGCTCTACTATGGTTACCTGGATGTCAGGTCCAGTCAATGGAGTTTAGGAGGTGCATAAGTTTAGGAGGTACATAAAAAACACACTTGTAGGAAAGACACACAGTGATAATGGGTTAGGCATGAGGGATGTAAACATGTGGACTCATCCATTCCTTGAAAGTTGAAGAGCTTTAGGGAAGACAGACCAAAGAACAGAACATTTCAATACACAACATGATGAGCATGGTGGGTAGGTAACCCTTATGGGAGACCCAAACTCATCCCTGGGAGGGAATGAGCTGAGGTCAATAAGGCTTCTAGAAGAGGAGTCACACTTGAGTTGATGGAAGTGTAAGAGTTCACAGGCTAAGTTATGCTGGTTCATTTTAGGTCACAGGTCAATTTAAAGCCACTGAAAACTTGTTCTGACCACAATTTAGCCAGATTTATTCTATCCTTATATTTAACAACTGTATCATAATAGTAAATTGTGTGGTTGGAACATTGAACAATTTGCTTCCAACCCATTATGTTAGTCATGAAACTTCCCAAATAGATCTAACATATTAGGTAGATTTATTTAACTTCTTTATTTTAGGGAAGCCTAAGCTGTATAGACAGTTTCATTTATCCTGTTATCAAATATCATTGAAAGGTTAAACTTGGTGTTCAGTGACATTGTGCAACCAAAACTTCCAAAGCTAAAGTGGAAAATAATGGCTGTGGCATCCTTTCCAAGAAATCCCTATGACCCTAATCTCAAAACTTTAGAGGACTCAGCTGTTTTAAACTGGAGCTCTGAATATTTCAACTGGACAAAGTGTCTTGGGACTTGTATTCCTCTAGCAGGCAAGAACTGGAAGGAAGGAAAGAGCGAGAAAGGGAAATAGAAAAAGAGGAAGGAAGAGAATGAGGGAGGAAGGGAGAAAGGAGGCAGGAAAAGAGAGAGAGTACAGGTGTAAGAAAGAGAGAGAGAGAGAAAGTGGTTGATCATTAAAAGAGGTCGCATCTCCATTACTGATGAAAAGTAATTAAAGGAGATACCCTTAGAGGAGAGAAGTGGAGCAAATGGTGGGATAGAAGGCCCTACCAATCATCCACTCTATGGGAACACGAAATTCAACAACTATCTACACAAAAAAAGCATCTTCATAAGAACCAAAAATCAGGCGAACACTCACAGTAGCTGGTTTTACTTCATATCACTGAAAGAAGCACTGAAGGGACTAGGAAAGATAGTCTTGAATCACTGATGCCACTCTTCCTCGTTCCCATACAGCAGGAGAAAGATAATATGTGCTTTCGAGAGAGGGAGAGAACAGTGATTGTGAGGCTTTGCATTGAACTCAGTGCTGCCCTGTTACAGCAGAAAGCAAAACTGGGCTGAACTCAGTGGATGCCTACTCATGGAGGGGCATTCTGACCAACCCTAGCCAGAGGGGAATCATGCATCCCAGTGGTTCTGGCAAGCCTCACCACTGCAGGATAAAGTGCTCTGGGGCTCTAAATAAACTCGAAAGGCACTCTAGGCCACAAGGGCTACCAGTCCTAGTGCTGAGCTGGGTTCAGAGCTAGCAGATTTGGGGAGAATGAGACTTACTGACACACCAGCTGAAACAGCTAAGGAAGTGCTGGTACCACCCTTCCCCCAACCCAAGGCAACAAAGCTCACAGCTCCAAAAAAGACCCCTTCCTTCCATTTGAGGAGGGGAGAGGAAAGAGTAAGGAGTTGTTAGGCCCCTATTCCAGGTCCTAGTTCCTGGACCAACATTTCTAGACACACCCTGGGCCAGAAGGGAACCCATGGCCTTGAAGGGAAGACCCAGTCTTGGCAGGATCCATCACCTGCTGACTGAAGAGCGCTTGGGCCCGGAAAAACCAATGGTAATTACCAGGTTGTTCTTGAGTGAGGCTCAGAGATGTGCTGTTTTCAGGTTCCAGCTTGACCACAGAGGGGTAGAGCACTAGGCAGGCTTTTAGGGTGCCCAGTCCCAGGCCTTGGATATTGAATGGCATTTCTGGACCTTCCCTGGGGCCAAAGGAGAGCCCACTGTACTGAAGGGTATGTCTCAGGCTTGGCAGCGTTCACCATGAGCTGACTGAAGAGCCCTTGTGCCTTAAATGAATATCAGCGGTAGCCTGGCAGTACTCCTGGTAGGCCTGTGGTGGAGGTGGTCATAGAGTGAGGCTCCTCTTCCTGTGGAAATGGGAGGGAAGAGTGGGAACAACTGTATCTCATGGTTTGAGGGCCAGCTCAGCCACAGTAGACTAGAATGCCAGGTACACTTCTAAGGTTTTGACTCCATTCTGTAGCTCCAAGACATGTCTGGACTTACCTAGGGCCTGGGGGAACTCACCACTCTGTAGGGAAGGACGTAAGCCTGGCTGGCTTTGCCACCTGCTGATGTAGAGTGCCAGGACCTTCAGCGAACATAGGCAGTAATCAGCTAGTGGGGTAGTGGTTACAGCAGGCCTTGGGTGAGACCCAGTGCTATTCTGGCTTCAGTTCTGATGCAGCACAGTCTCAGTGGTGGCCACAAGGTTATTGTGTCACCCCATCCCAAGCTTAAAGAGGCTCAACACAGACCGACCCCATTTCTTTGGGAGAAAGCTAGGGAAAGGAATTTTCTTTGTTCTTTTCCCAGTCTCTGAAAATAATCAGCCTCTGGCTGGAAATACAGATGATTATTCTAGATCTTATGCCAGACCACCAAGGTGGTACCTCTATAAGTCTGCAAGAACCACAGCATTACTGGGTGTGGGATACCCCCTAATGCAGAGACAACTTATATGACAACAGCCAGTTCCTTTCAAATATCTAAAAAGCCTTCCCAAGAAAGATGAGTACAAACAAGTCCAGACTGTGAAGACTACAATACATACCCAACTCTTCAATGCCCAGACACTGATAAACATCAAACATCACTGCCATCCAGAAAAAACATGATCTCACAAAACAAACTAAATAAGGCACCAGGAACCAATCCTGGAGAAACAGAGATATGTGAACTTTCAGACAGAGAATTCAAAATAACTGTGTTAAGGAAACACAAAGAAATTCAAGATAACACAGGGAAGGAATTCAGAATTCTACCTGATAAATTTAACAGATTGAAATAATTAAAAAGAATCAACCAGAAATTCTGGAGTTGAAAAATGCAACTGAAATACTGAAGAATGCATCAGAATCTCCTACTTGCAGAACTGATCAAGCAGAAGAAGTAGTGAACTTGAAGATAAGCTACTCAAACATACACAGTCAGAGGAGACAAAGGAAAAAAAATCAATGAAGCATGCCTACAGGATTTAGCAAATAGCGTCTAAAGGGCAAATCTAAGAGGCATTGGCCTTAAAGAGAAGGCAGAGAAAGAAATAGGGATAGAAAGTTTATTCAAAGGGATAGTAATAGACAACTTCCCAAACTTAGAAAAGGTATTAATTTCCAAGTATGAGAAGGTATAGAACACGAAGCAGATTTAACACAAAGAAGACAACCTCCAAGGCATTTAATAATCAAACTCCCAAAGGTCAAGGATAAAGAAAGGATCCTAAAAGCAGCGAAAGAGAAGAAACAATGTATAATGAAGCTCCAACATTTCTGGCAGCAGACTTTTCAGTGGAAACCTTATAGGCCAAGAGAGACCGACATGACATATTTAAAGAGCTGAAGGAAAAAAACTTTTACCCTAGAATAATATAGCCAGTGAAAATATCCTTTGAACATGAAGAAGAAATAAAGACTTTCCCAGACAAACGAAAGCCAAGGGATATCACCAACACCAGACCTGTCCTACAAGAAATGCAAAGTGAGTACTTCAATCAGAAAAAAAGAACATGAATAGGCAATAAGACATCATCTGTAGGTAAAAAACTCACTGGCAATAGTAAGTACACAGAAAAACACAGAATATTATAACACTATAACTGTGATGCATAAAATACTTTTATTTTAAGTAGAAAAACTAAATAATGAACCAATCAAAAATAGTAACTACAACAACTTTTCAAGACATAGACAGTCCAAGAAGACATAAATAGAAACAACAAAAAGTTAAAAAAGCAGGGGTATAAAGTGTAGAATTTTTATTAGTTTTATTTTTTCTTGTTAGTTTGCTTATGCAAGCAGTGTTGTTATCAGTTTAAAATAATGGGTTATAAGATAGTATTTGAAAGCCTCATGGTAACCTTAAATCAAAAAACATACAACAGGTACACAAAATGTAAAAAGCAAGAAATTAAATCAAGCCAGCAGAGAAAATCACTTTCCCTAAAAGGAAAATAGGAAGAAATAAAGGAAGAGAAGACCACAAAACAACCAGAAAACAGATAACAAAATGGCAGAAGTAAATACTTATCAAGAATAACATTGAATGTAAATGGACTAAACTCTCCAATCGAAAGACATAGATTGGCTGAATGGATGAAAAAGAAACAAGACCCAATGACCTGTCACTTACAAGAAACACACTTCATCTAAAAGACACACATAGACGGAAAAATAAGGGATGGAAAAGGATATTTCATGCCAATGGAAAGCAAAAAACAGCTGGAACAGCTATACTTACATCAGACAGAATAGATTTCAAGACAAAAACTATAAGAAAGGACAAAGAATGTCACTATAGAAAAATAAGAGCACCCTAATATGAAGCAAATATTATTAGAGCTAAAGAGAGTGATAGACTCCAAACAATAATAGCTGGAGATTTCACCACCTTACTTTCAGCATTGGACAGATTTTCCAGTTAGAAAATCAACAAAGAAATATTGAACTTAATGTGCACTATAGACCAAATGGACCCAATATTTATAGAACATTTCATTAAATGGATGTAGAATATACATTCTTCTCCTCAGCATGTGGATCATTCTCAAGGATAAACCATATGTTATGTCAAAAAACCAATCTTAAAACATTCAAAAAATTTGAAGTAATATCAAGCATCTTCTCTGACCACAATGGAATAAAACTGGAAATCAATAACAAGAGAAATTGTGAAAACTATACAAACATTTGTCGATTAAGAACTAAGAAAGTGAGTGCAAACCAAACCCAAAATTAGTAGAAGAAAATAAATAATAAAGATTAGAGCAGAGATAAGTGAAATTGAAATGAAGAAAACAATGCAAAGATCAATGAAACAAAAAGTTGGTTTTTTGAAAAGATAAACAAAATTGGCAAACCTTTTGTCAGACTAAGGAAAAAAGAGAGAAGACCTAAATAAATGAAATCAGAGATGAAAAAAAAGACATGACAACTGATACTGCAGAAATTCAAAGCATCATTAGTTGGTACTATGAACAACTATATGTCAATAAATTGGAAACTCTAGAAGAAATGGATATCCTAGACACAACCTACCAATATTTAACCATGAAAAAATTCAAAACCTAAACAGATCAATAACAAGTCGCAAAATTGAAGCTATAATAAAAAGTCTTTTAGCAAGGAAAAGCCCAAGGAAAAGTCCAGTATTTGATGGCTTCACTGCTGAATCCTACCAACAATTTAAAGAAAAACTGATGTCAATTCTACTCAAACTATTCCAAAAAAAATAGAGGAAGCAGGAATACTTTCAAACTCATTCTCCAAAGACAATATTACCCTGATACCAAAACCAGACAAAGACACATCAAAAAAGAAAACTACAGACTAATATCACTGATGAATATTGATGCAAAAATCCTCAACAAAATACTAACAACCCAAATCTGACAACACATTAAAAAGGTCATTCATCATCACCAAGTGGGATTTATCCCTGGTATGTAAGGATGGTTCAACATATGCAAATCAACCAGTGTAATACATCATGCCAACAGAATGAAGGACAAAATTTATATGCATATTTCAATTGATGCTGAAAAAGAATGATAAAATTTAACCTCCCTTCATGATAAAAACCCTAAAGAAAACTGAATATAAAAGGAACATACCTCAACATAATCAAAGCTATATATGGCAGATCCATAGCTAGTATCATACTAAATTGGAAAATGCTGAAAGCCTTTTCTCTAATATTTGGTACATGCAAGGATGCCTACTTTCACCACTGTTATTCAACATAGTACTGGGAGTTCTAGTTAGAGCAATCAGATAAGAGAAGAAATAAAGTGCATCCAAATTGGAAAAGAAGAAGTCAAATTATCCTTGTTTGCAATGATACAATCTTATATTTGCAAAAACTTTAAGATTCCACCAAAAACTATTAGAACTGATAAATTTAGAGAAGTTTCAGCATACAAAATCAACATACAAAAATCAGTAGCATTTTTATATGACAACATTAAACAATCTGAAAAAGAAATCAAGATAGTAACCACATTTACAATAGCTGAAAACAAAATAAAATACTTAGAAATTAACTTGACCAAAGAAGTGAAAGATCTTTATAATGAAAACTAGAAAACACTGATGCAAGAAATCAAAGAAAACACAAAAACATGGAAAGATATTCCACGTCTATGGATTGGAAGAATCAATATTGTTAAAATGTCCATACTACCCAAAGCAATCTACATGCAATCCCTATCAAAATACCAATGGGAGGCCGAGGCAGGTGTATCATCTGAAGTCAGGAATTCAAGACCAGCCTGGCCAATATGGTGAAACCCTGTCTCTACTAAAAATACAAAAAATTAGCCGGGCGTGGTGGTGGGTACCTGTAATCCCAGCTACTGGGGAGGCTGAAGCAGGAGAATCACTTGAACCTGGGAGGTGGAGGTTGCAGTGAGCCGAGATTGCACCATTGCACTCCAGCCTGGGCAACAAGAGCAAACCTCTGTCTCAAAAAAAAAAAAAACAGAAAAACAAAAAAACAAAAAAGACTAACAAGGCACATTCCTTGCCAATCATGACCCATGGTCATAAGATGTTTACAGTTGAGGAAACAGCCTAAGATACCTACAAAAACACACCCCTACAAAAGCAAAAAGTCCAGATGTCCCAACACCCGTAACAATATATGCTTTCAAGATAATTGTAGTTATGCTTTGATGTATTCAAACAGTAGAATGCCAAGGATCATTTTCTTTAAATCAATAGAATAATAAATTTTGACATGCTGTCAGCCCACATGCATGTAAGGACAGCTTGGTTTAGTCTTTATAAGAAAAACTTAAAATGGTGCACTCCTTTTGCTTTCTGAGGGCATGCTACTCTGTAATGGAGTAGCTTTCAGTAAACTATCTCTTTTCATGGCACTTTGTAACTTGCCTTAAATTCCTTCCGGCATGAGATCCAAGAAACCTCTCTTGAGGCCTGGATTGAGACTTCTCTTTTTTTGTTTTTTTTTTTTTCAGTAACAAAACCAGCATTAGAAATGAAGTTGGTGAGAAGTGGTCAGATTTCATATATATTTTGAAGATAGAACTAAAAAGATTTGCTAATGGATTTGAGGTGTGAGAAGACAGGAGTCAAGGATGATTCAAAGGTTTTTGGCCTGAGCAACTGGAGTTAATATTTACTAAAAATAAGGAATGTTACAGGAAAGGCAAAGGGTTTGATTTGGAAATTTGTTTTTAAGTCTGAGATATCCAGTAGATATCAAAATGGAGATGTCGACCACAGAATCAGCTATATGTATTTGGAAGACAGGGAGAAGAATAGCTGGGAAATAAAGCTTCAAGTTAGTGTATAGATGACATTTAAAAGCACGATACTCAGAAAGATCTCTCAGGTGCCAAATACATAAAGAAAATAAAAGTGAGCCAAGATTGAACTCTGTGAGGTAGATAGGACAGGTATTGCATATTACAAACAAGAAAACAGATTTAGAAAATTTAAAGAACTTGCTCAAAGGAGAGCAATTAGGAAGATGCCAGGATTTCAAATTAGTTCTTTAGCTTCTAATTTCTTTTTTGTTTTTAATAATGTAGTGTCTTTTCCATAAACCTTTCTATAATAGGGAAAGTTTGATCAGTACAAATGGATTCTAACCTGTTCTCTTTCTTACTGTTCCTGATTAAAAGATGTAATAACTAAAAATAAATTGAAATTTTAGTTATTTTATGGACACATGATTTTTTTCTCTGACCTAGTATAATAGCCTAAATTGTCACATTTATCCATAAGTTTAAAATCAGAAATGAGTTTGCACTTGAGACAATTTAAGTAAGCTTCATCAGTTCCAAACCTAATTCTGGATTTCATTAAAATGAAGTTATGCTTTGAAAATCTTATCTGATGGTATCTTATTGATGTTCTTCTCATTCCCATTTTGGGAATGGATAACATGGTTGGTTTATTGTATATTGTCTTATGCAGCTGTGATTCTAAAACAGTCTTGGGTATGTTCTCTATGAAGTTTTGTTGAATCAAATACATTTCACATTCCTGCTTGGTACAGTAATTGTGTAATTTAAAAGTTGTACACCACCACAGCATTGATTAAGTTAACAGCAACAACAAAAACACCTTTCTTCCAAAAAGGAAGAAATAAACTCCAAAAGCATAACTCCTAGAACATTAGAATGGAAAGAGACTTTATAAATCACTGATTTTAACTGCTTCAGTTTAGAGCTAAGTAGAGCTTTACACTGGAGGAAACTGAGGCCTAGAGGAGTTGGTATAGGCCAGCTGGGACTGGAATTCCAGCCTGCTGATGTCCAGTGCTGGGGCTCCATCCCCCTATGAGAGAATGAAGAAAAGAGGAAGGTAAATCAATGCACTTGGCTGGTACCCTCAAACATTTCATTTTAGTATAAATTTAGAGGAGAACAGAAAATCAGGAAATAAATGAAAAAGGCAAATTTTCTGCAGTGTTTGGGACTAAAAGTGTTTCAAGGAGCACCATAGCCAAAGCATAGGAAGCAAACCCTATCTTCATCATTCACTTACTAGGACATCTCCATTCCTTATGCCTCCATTTCCTCTTCTGTAAGATGGAGATAAAGATACCTGGGCTGTTTTGAAGACTGAATGTAATGAGACCCACAAAACTTTTAAATGATGCTTGGCACACAGTAGGAGCTTAGATAATGCTAGTTATTATTAGTAGTATTTTCAAATAACAGAGAACCTAGGCTGATGCCCTAGCTCTTCCACTAGTCCTGTTATTTTCAGATGCATAACTGAATGTTTCTGAGCTTCTGTTTCCTGCTGTACAATGGCATCATAGTAGTTTGCCTGCTGATCTTATGGTGATGTTAAGCACAAGGACAAAAATGACAATGGTAAGGACAAGGGCCCTGAAAGAGAGAATATCATTTTAATAATTCTTATTTCCATGCCCTGTCTGTAGTATTCTGTTTGTAAATACCTTGTCTGAATACATTTTTAGCTATAGTGTTGACATGATTATTACTATATTAGTCGGAAGAAGAGAGCAGCTTGTTTTGATATTGAAGGAAAAGATACAGGATGCTATTAAAGACCAAATATTAGAAGTTTAAAGAATGTAATCTAATAAATTATTTTATATCAAATGAGACCTTCCTAAAGTAATGAGCAAAAAGTACTCATTAATCTAGTTTTCCCGGCACAGTGACAAGTCTAATCAGCTTGCTTTTTAAAGCAGTTGGATGGGATTTATAAAATGCTAAAATTACTGAAAGAGTATGGTAATTGTGAAACTTTTCCATATGAATACATTTTGGAATATGAAAATGGAACAGGAAATAATTTTTATTAACCAGTGGATAATTAAGAATCAGAAACCGTGATGCTTGTTTATGAATTCCATTTGAATTTTCTCTAGGCACTTTCTTCATTTATGCTTCATTTATTTCTTCTTTTAAGGTACAGTTGATTTTTAGCTCTTCTGCTCATGACACTGAATTATGAGGTTTGCATTAGAATAGCTCCCCTGAGTTAGTAATAGAATAGTAACTATTTTGGGATTGTTACCCTTGTGAAAATACTATTTTAATTGAACAAAGGAAACATGATTAAAATTACAAAACACAGAGTGGTGGAGTATGGCATACTTTTATATATTTATAGTCTTACTTTTTAGTGACATATTCATTACATTTTTATGTGTAATTTTCTTCACAGTTTTAAAAATTAATCACTTTATAAATCAGGTTACTGGTGCCTAATGAAAAATTTCACATAAAAGTTTGAGTTAAGAGGAGTAAATACTAGTTTTTTCTATCATGTCAAAGATCAGACATATCAGATTTCCATATTGATTTCCAATGAAATATCCCCTACTAAAAGGAGGCCTGTAATGAATGAGGGATAAAGCAGGCTTGGTAGGTAGTTCCCAAGGCAAACTGTGATATAAGTAGGTCTTGGCATCTGCCTGTTTCTATTTCTGGGCTTGTTTCCCATTTTCTTGGTCTCTGCCTCAATTCTCCTTTGGCAGGTAGGAACTTCTTTCCTCTCAGCCTGTCCTCCCTCTCAGTTTTATCAAAACATGGACTAAAGAAGGGCTTTGATTTCAGTCCATTTTACTCTGTGTGAATTGAAGCCAGTGAATTATTTCTCCCATGGTTACTTACACTTGAAGTCTTAGCAACAAATATTGAAGAAAATACTTTCTCCTTTGTAATCTACCTTTACATCCTTAATAGGTAAAGAAAGCATATTTTTAAGCAGAAAATCAAGTCTCCCTTAGTGCCTCCATGATCATGCATTTAACGCTTAAAATGGGTAACAATGACCAGGATCATAGCGAATACTCCTATTCAAAATGCTAGTGGGATAAAAAGAGGAGATACGTGAAGAATTTTGCCTTTGAAAAACAGAGGTATATTTGAGAAATCTTTGGGATTTTTTGAGAAATCAGCATATTTAGTTCTGAGTGAAACTCTCAAGCTTACTTTCAGATCTTGTTCTCTTGAATTTTATATTTTTTTAAAGATGATAAGCAAAAATTTTTATTTTATTTATTACTTTCTAAACTTTTATTTTCGGTTCAGGCGTACATGTGCAGGTTTGTTATATAGGTAAACTGTGTCTTGGGGGTTTGTTGTACAGATGATTTTGTAACCCAGGTACTGAAATAGAAGAGAACCAAGATCTGTATACTATTTAGTTACTTATTTTATTGAATATGTCATTAAGTTTTACTTATATGCTCACTCTTCTCAGAGACAAAGAATGGTGAGTTAGAGTTATATAATATTCAAATAAGAAACATTTAAGAAGAATGACCATGTAAATATGGACCATTTGTTTCTGACGTACAGCTGTCATCTCATGAACTAGACTGCCTCTGATAGGCAAATACATTTCATTGGAAAGGTAAAACACTCTACCTAGAAAATGATTGTTGGAAAATCAAATATGAAATCTGAATTATTTGCAAACCAGAAAGCTCAAGATCTGGCTCTCACCACTAGTTTAACTCTGCCCCCTTGTGTGTACAGGATGCATTGAGATGGGGCCAATAAGCTTCCTAGAAAACAAGGCAAGTCCAGTGTCTCTCCTTAAAGGATTTGATTAAAATCTCCTGGAAAAATCATTTACAATTTCTATATCTTATAGAATAATTTTATAAGGTATTCATTAAATAATTTGATAACATTCTATGGAAAAATAATAAACTACATTAAAATTAAATTTAGGAATAGAACATCTCTCAAAATTTGTATGAACTTTATACTCTACAATGAAAATGATATCCTCAGGAACAACTTGTGCAACAGACCAATGAGTGAAAAGATAAGGCATATGAATCTATACCCAGGTGATTTTTGGTATAATTCCCTGTCTTACCGCTATAACATTCTCAAGTATGACTGTACTTGCTAAAAGGTAAAACATTTTGACTTAAAATTCTAACTTAACAAAAGAATATTTGTTTTATTCTAATACGTTTACTACAGTACTTTAAATATCAAACAACTTTTAAGTACTCATTAAAGTGAACTCTAAAGTACTCAGTTAACTTTTAAAGCGAATTGACTTTTTATAGCAAAAACCTTAACAGTGTACTGAAGGATTTGTGATATATGTAGAAAGAAAACAACAATAGTAGCCAAAGATGGAAGAGACTGCAAATGGAATTAGACTGTTGTAAGACTCTTATGTTATAGGGAAGTGATATAACGTTAATTTAAGACTTACTGTGATAAGTTAAAGATGTATAATGTGATCCCTTAATATATATATAGCCAATAAAAAACCAATAGAGGAGATAGAATAGAATACTAAAATAGTATTTGATTAATCCAAAAGAAAGTAGTGGTGAGGACTAAAAGAATTAAAAAAAACTAGAAGGAATAACAAGAAAACACAGCAAGCTGAGAGAATTAAACAAGATTCCATTAATAATTGTGTTCAATTTAAATAGGCTAGAAACTCTATGTAGAAGGCAGATCGTCAGACTAGGTAAGAAAAGCAACACATAATTATATGCTGTTTATAAGACAGTCTCAATAAATATAAAACAAAGCCAATGGAAAAGTATAAAATACAATACATTATGCAAATTCACACATTACTGCACAAACTAGACTTCAAGGAAATGTGCTTTACTAGAGGTAATGAGGGTCATTTCAGAGTGATAAAAGGATCAATTCATCAGGAACATAAAAACATGAAATGTACACACATATTATAACAGAGATACTATGATATAAAAATGGCAGAACTTAAAGAGAAACAGAAAAGTTCACAGTAATAGTTGGAGATTTTAGCACTCCACTGTCAATAATAATTAGAAGATATATACAAAAATTAAAGCATTCAGATTGATGAACAACTATACTGACCAACAAGAAAACCATCTAGAACATTGTACTCAATAACTATAGAATACACATTCTTTTCTAATACATGTGGAACATTCATCAAGATAGAACACATGACAGATCATAATACATGTTTTGATAAATACATAAGAATTGAAATACACAATATACTATTCTGAACATAAGACAATTAAGTTAGCAATTAATAATAAAATAAATCTAGAAAATAACAAAATATTGGGAAATAAGCAACCACTCTTAAGCAGCTAATAGGTTAAAGAAGGAATCACAGATGAATTAGAAAATATTATGAATTAAATAATATGAAGACACAATATATCAAAATTTATAAGATGCAGCCAAAGCACTACTTAAAAAAGAAAAAAATTCAAAATAAAAAATTAAACCCAGAGTTACAAAAATAAGAATATGAGTAGAGATAAAAAAAGAGTAAACCATGAATCAAGTCAACAAATTTGATATAAAAATAATAAAAGTAAGAACACCCTATCTAAGTTTATTCTCCCCTGCAAGGAAAAAAAAAAGAAAACAAAACACAGAGAAAAAACACAAACTACTAATATAAGGAATGAAAGATAATACTTCACTACCAATCCTGCAAGCAATATACATAATAGAGGAGTATCAAGAATAATTTTGTGCAAATAAATTCAACAATTTAGATGTGATGGAAAAATTTCCAAAACAAGTACAAAAAGAAATTAAAAATCTATATACCTGTGTCTATTTATAAATTTGAATTTTTAGTTAAAAATTATCCTTCAAAAAATTGCTCAGCCCATATGGCTTCACAGATTAATTCCTTCAAACAAAACACTCCTCAATTCCTTTCATCAGGACATATATCCTTGATAACAAAACCTAGAAAGGGAATTACAGGGAAAGGAACTTTTAGACCATTATCTCTCTTGAACTTAGATTCAACAATTCTCAAAAATTTACAATTTAAATCCAAGAATACAAATAAATGAATAATTCATCATGACCAACTGGGGTTTATCCCAGGAATGCAAGGTTGGCTTAATATGTCAAAAATCATTCAATGGAATTTACCACTCTAACAATAAAAGGAAAGGAAAACATAACCATGTTTATATGTGCAATGAAAGTATGACAAAACTCAGCACACATTCATGACTGAAAAGAATTCTTTTGACTTTTCTGTATATTTTAAATATTTTTATTTTTACTTTTTATTTTATTTTTTACTTTTTGAGATGGATTTATTTTTTTTTCACTCTGTCACCCAGGTTGGAGTGCAGTGATGGAATCTCAGCTCACTGAAATCTCTGCCTCCCAGGCTCAAGCAATACTCCCACCTCAGCCTCCCAAGTACCTGGGACCACAGTCGTGTACCACCACACCCAGCTAATTTTTTGTATCTTTTTGGTAGAAATGGGGTTTTACCATGTTGCCCGGGCTGGTCTTGAATTCCTGAGCTCAGGCAATCCATCTGCCTTGGCCTGCCAAAGTGCTGGGATAACAGGCATGAGCCACTGTGCCTGGCCTATTTTAAATATTTTTAAATATACTGTTGAGAAAAAACTGTAGGGACATGATTATGTACAATATTATAAAAATATAGTTATCCTTAATTGACCTATAGATGCAATGTAATTCTATTAAAAATCCCAGCAGGGTGTCTGTCTTTTTAAAGAAACTGTTTCTAAAGTTTATTTAGAAACACATCTACACACACAAAAGAACAGGAAGAATGAAAACAAAGGACAAATTTGGAGGACTTACCCTACCTGATTTAACACTTACTATGAGGATATAATAATCAAGACAGTGTGATATTGGTCTAAAGATAGGCATGTAGATTAATGAAACATAATAGAGACTTCAGAAATAGATTGATCCATATATAAATTTCTTTTTTGATAAAGACACCAAATTAATTCAATGTGGAAAAGGAACCTTTCAACAAAAAGCTCTGGAGCAGTGGGTATCTGTAAGGAAAAATAATAAGCTTCAATTCCTGCCTCATGTAACATGTAAAATTAATTAAAATTAATTACAAAGTAAAACAAAAATTGTCCAGAAGAAAACACAGCAGAATATCATTTTGACTTTAGAGTAGGCAAAGTATTCCTAAACAGGGTAAAAAGAGACAGACATGCCTTTTTTCCTATTTTTGTAATGAACTGTAAGTGCTTTTATCCATTTTAATGGCTTTCCTGTTCCCAGCATTATGTGGATCTTTAGCACAACTTCTCACTTATGTAACAAAATGCAATGTTACTGCTACCAGACATATTACATTGGAGGTGTAATGGCAACACTCAAATAGATATTCAAGGTAATTTTTAAGGAAAAGCAGAGTGAGTTAGAGTGCTTTTGTCATACTTCCAAGGAAGTGAGACTTGAACCTCCTATTGCTGCTGTAACAAATTACCACAAACTTAGTGGTTTAAAACACAGATTTATTCTTAAAGTTCTGGGGTCAGAAGTCCAAAATCAGCTAACATCAAGGTGTCAGCAGGGCTGCATTTCTTCTGAGGCTGTAGGGGAGAATCTGGTTTCTTCTTGAGGCTGCAGTATTCCTGGCTCATCTTCCCAACCTCAAAGTCAGCAATCACATAGCTTTGTCCTCTGCTTCCATCTGTAAATGTCCTTCTCTGACTGCTTCTCCTGCTTCCTTCTTTCACTAATAGGGATCACTGTGATTACATGGGGCCCACCCAGTTAATCCAGGATAACCTCCCCATCTCAAGATTGTTAACAACCATATCTGAAAAGGCCCTTTTGTTGTGTCAGGTGACATAGTCACAGGCTCCAGAAATTGGGGTCCTTATTCTGCTGATCATATCTGGGTAGAATTAGGATAGCTAGAGAGGAAGCACCTTTTAGATCATAAAAGAATGAGTATGGTTTCATTGCAATGCGGAAGCTTTCTGCTGGTTTAGAGTCTCACACTGGGAGATAATGAGAGAATGAATCAGCTGAGGGGTGGTTCGGTGGGCAGCCAGGTAATCAGGAATATTGCTTTCCAGGCACAGCAGTTTTTTTGACTTTTCTGGTCAATGGGAGTATTTTGAAATTTTTAAAGTGTGGAATCAAAAGTCCTGGATCTTTATAGCATCTTAGGGGAAGTCCTGACCCCATCCTGTGCCTTCAGGAATATGAAGTGTGATGAAGAAGTTCATTTTAAAGGTAAGACCACAAAAGTCTAGCTGTTGCCTTATCTGAAGCATAAATATGGAGTATTAGCCAGCCTTGTTACTGCATGAAGAGTGATTCAGGTTTGGAATTGGTGATACAAATCCTCTACACATTACTTTCCAGGGTCATTCATTTGTTAACTTTTCCTTTGGCCAAATAAAGAAGAGATGAAATGTGTCTGGGCTTTTCTGCCAATCAAAACTTCTTGGAGTCACAGATGCCAATTTTAATGACAGTCGATTAGCGTGTAATATTTTTATATTCCATGGGAAATAACACTGAACCTTTGAAATCCATCTGAATTCAAGGGGAATTTTTTAGACAACCTGAAAAGAATGCTTGCTTGGTTGTCAAACTCTGAAAAGAATTTAATGCTTGTGAATATTTCCAGCCTTCAACTTTATCTAACAAATTTCTTCTTAATGTTGTTACTTTTTGGAGTTCTGTCCCTTTCTTATACCTATTTAAACACCACCTCATATTTTTAGAATTCTCTATACTAGTATGGCTAACTATGAAGTCTTGCATATTCATGGCTATATATAAGATTTCATTTGATTAAAAATGGAATTGGAAATACAGGGTTAAAGGAACTTACCACTTAAAAGAATTTAGGAATTAATGTCTTTAAGAAAACAGTAAGATTTCATGTTTTTACATAGTTATCCCTTTTGATGCCTTTTTTGGTATGATGTTATTTCAAAGTTGGTTCTGAAATACACGCTTTATGATTTTTACATCTTTTTTTTCTAAATACACATTCATATTTTGTTTACCATCTTATGAGAGGTATCTGCAATTTTTAATAGGTATAAGTTTAATATCACTTATCCACATTGCTCTTATATCCAACAAGTTTTTTATTCTCAGTATTAGCACAGTACCTTAAGTAACGTATGTCTCTTGGTTTAACAGCAGGTACCATAGCTATCAAAACTTCTTTTGTACAGCTACATTTTTCTTTTTCCTGAACACCTTGCAAATGTCACTTTTTAAGTACAACCCAAGACACAATTAGTTTCTAAGATACCCGTATCATCATTGGCAAAACATAACAATCTAGGGCGTTGCTTATTGAAGGATGGATACCTCTGTGTGTTTCCCACAGTGGTGTGGGAAAATAATAGTGCATTAGGTAAGGTTATTGCAATATTGCAGAACTACCAGGGAGATTTTTACCCCTTGATGCTTAATTTTTATTCATTTCAATTCAGGTGAAATAGTATCCCTTCAGCATTGGTTGGCACATGAAAGAAGATTAGCATGTAGAAACCTATATATCACTCTGTATCATGAGATAAGGAATGAAGGACTATGTCATTCTTAGGTTCTTGAGCTCTAATGGACAAAATGTGGCAGCAGAAAAAATATGAGCCCCTAATTTTCAGCAGGAATCATTTTTAATAAGTCCATGACAGTGGATCTTCTTCACCCTGCAGTTGAGACTTTGGACCACTCCAGAGAGATGAGGAGGAATGGAGGATTGTTTTTCTTCTGCTGGGGCATTTGCTCACAGCTCCACACATTGTGAACAATCAACTTTCTTTAATGGATGAAAGACAACTAGCAAGGGCCCTGTGACAAAGGATAGCAATGGGTGATGTGGCAGGCCAGGAGTAGTGTTGGATTATCCATTAAGAAAAGTGATTAGATCAGCTCCTTTAGAGAATGGATTATTGGTACATTCATTCTGTTTCCAAATTTGTTGTTTCTTGAATTTCTTTAAAGGTGGCTAAAACTGAAAATCACTTTTTTTTTCTTTGAGTCGGAGTTTTTGCTCTGTTGCCCAGGCTGGAGTGCAATGGCACAATCTTGGCTCACTGCAACCTCCACCTCCTGGTGGAGAATCAAGAGATTCTCGTGCCTCAGCCTCTCAAGTAGCTGGAATTACAGGCGCCCCTAACCACACCTGGCTAATTTTTGCATTTTTAGTAGAGATGAGGTTTCATCATGTTGGCCAGGCTGGTCTCAAACTTTTGACATCATGTGATCCACCCGCCTGGGCCTCCGAAAATGCTGAGATTCCAGGCGTGAGTCACTATGCCTGGCCAACTGAAAATTGCTTTAAGAGAACAATGATCAGCCTAAGACAAATTCAAATCTAGATGCAAACAAAACAAAGATATACAGTTTTCTCATTAACATAAGCCAGGTGGAGGACTGATCCTTTGGAAATTATTTTCTGTATCACCTGAGTGGCAAAAGTCGCCTTAGAATAGTCTAGGATGTTGATGGATAGCTCTTGAACTTGGGCTTAGAGTTGACGGTCTACAAACTCTAGGTGAAGTTCAAGGTATTTCAGCTAGGTTTGTGTAGTTTGGGGTCTGTAAGGAGTTTCTGAAAACTGGCACAACAGTGGATTATTATCTATTGGATCTGAAAGCTAAGATCTTGTTAAATGGCCGTGGATGATGTCATTCCACAGTAGGGAGCCTGGACTCAGAGTGGACGGCCTTGACAATTGAGGGCAGTTGTGCTATAGATTGGTGGATTTTGATAAGGTCTCTGGCAGTGGGGTTCAAGTGACATCTTTCTTTGACAAACTCCATAAATGCTTATCTCACAGACATCCACAGGACTGTCTTAACTCCTTCAAGTTTTTGCTTGTCACCTTGTAATCGTTCTTTATTTAAAATTGTAGCATATCTCCACCCCTTTCACACTCCAGAGGCCGCCAATGCTGCATTCCTTTTTCTCTTTTCCATAATTCTTATTACCATCTAATGTATTATATCATTTAATTATATATTTTGAGTTTTTTAAATTGTGTCTTGATTATAAGCTCCAAAAGGGCAAGGATCATTGTTTTTTTTTACAGTGCTGAAACTCAAGGAACTTTTATGTAGTTGGTGTGCAACAAATATCTTTTAAATGAATGAATTAATGGAAGGAGTGAACGTGATCCTTGATACACTTCAATAATGCTTAAAATAATCGTAAACCAACATTAGGCAACACACAAGTGTCCTGCCACTGGAGGGCCCTAGGTAATAACAAAAGTCTCAACAATCTAGCCATTAATATTTTATGTGGGGAGAAACCCAAACATTTATTTGCTGAAGATTTCCAGCTCATCAAAACTACAGTTAGTATATTTGGCAACTTCATGCCTTTGCAATATTTACTTTTTAAATAAGTATTTTATCCTTCAATTGACTTCTTTAATTTTTCCATTTGGAAGGCACGGTTTCCAAGTAGAAAATCATTTTTGCATTGGGTACTTTGATTACTAATGTAATGAATATATTTATACCAATTTGTAAGTTTAAATAACAACCTTCTTTGGAGCAAATTCCTTATCTGTAAGATCCATTAAGATCACCACAGTTTTGCTATGAGAGGAGATAGGGTTAATGAAAATTTAACTTTTCCAGAAATTCTGAGAGTTTATATTGGCATCTTTTAGGTTGTTAAAGATTTTCTTTATTTAGTTATAACATGTCAATAATTTCCACCTTTATCTTATAAATTCATACATATTTAATATATGACATATGAACATATATATACCTATACATATATGATACATGAATACATACTACATGTCTATGGGCAATATATACATATATATGAGTATTTAGTATTAGGGATTTTATTGAGATTTATATTTCCAATGACTTTAGATTCAATATGAACCTCAGAATTTGCATGGTCAATGTAGTAAGATCATATTTTCCCTTTCTAAGAGTCCCCTAAAAGAAGAAATTAAATTCAAAGATTTAGAAGTGCCACCAATACTTTGCTCAAAAGTTTGACAAATCCACTGTTTTTTAATGAAAGTTTTTAGAGCTCCCAACTCAGGAAGTCTTACTTAGGAAGTAAATCAAAAGTTACACATTTCAAACAGAAAAAAATGAGAAATTTTATGGCAGCCTGTTGTGAACCAACCTAGTTTGCATCAGTGGAGACTGGAATTGGGACAGTCTAAGTCTCAGGTAAGCGAGGCAAAAATTCATCTGGTGCAAGAGAAACACCACCAACAGAAAATACTTGGTTCCCAGGACACTAAAGCGAAAGAAATTCTTCACCTGCAAATGTACCTGCTGGGGCGGCAGGGGCACTTCTGAGGACAGGGCACAGGGCCAGATGGCTGGTTTCACCACTTGCCGATGCCAGGGCACCATTTTGGGTCCCCCATCTTGCTCTCATTGTCTAGTGTTTTATGGCACCTCTTTCCACTATGGGGAGCTTTTTATCCATGTCACACATCTGCAAGGGAAGATACAAAATCTTTTATACTAAATATTTTAAGATAAGTAAGCTAACATTGTCTTCCATTTATCATATTTTCCTTTATCCACAGGAAGAAGAGATAGAATTTGGGGCTCTTGTATTAAACAAAAAACTCTGATTTTCTATACTTTTTTTTTCTTTTATTATTATACTTTAAGTTTTAGGGTACATGTGCACATTGTTCAGGTTAGTTACTTATGTATACATGTGCCGTGCTGGTGCACTGCACCCACTAACTCGTCATCTAGCATTAGGTATATCTCCCAAAGCTATCCCTCCCCCTTCCCCCCACCCCACAACAGTCCCCAGAGTGTGACGTTCCCCTTCCTGTGTCCATGTGATCTCATTGTTCAATTCCCACCTATGAGTGAGAATATGCGGTGTTTGGTTTTTTGTTCTTGCGATAGTTTACTGAGAATGATGATTTCCAATTTCATCCATGTCCCTACAAAGGACATGAACTCATCATTTTTTATGGCTGCATAGTATTCCATGGTGTATATGTGCCACATTTTCTTAATCCAGTCTATCATTGTTGGACATTTGGGTTGGTTCTGATTTTCTATACTTTTAGAGTTACAGATGCTAGTTTGAAAACAGCATTTAACTTTCATGCAATGCTTTGAGATGGGGTGTGTGTGTGTGTGTGTGTGTGTGTGTGTGTTTGTGCACGTGTGTGTGTGTGTGTAGTGGTCCCATTCCAAAGGAGATAACGTTAAATCATTCAAGCCCACACAGTTCTAAGGCAACATCCAAGACATCCTAGTGAGGAAATTTTCCTGGTACCAAATGCCAAGCAGAATTTTATTCTTAAAAGATTTTTGGGTTTAAACTTTGACAGGATGTTTGAAATGAATTTACTATTTGGAATTTCATACCCTTCTTGCTCCTTCATAAACAGTCTCTTCTTATCTTCTCAGAATTGTATTTACTAGCTACAGCAGTTTGGGAGGGCTTACAGTTTAAAAGCTTCAGAGAGGAACCCTTTTGCTCAGATTGAACCAGAAATTGAGGACATAGAGTAATGTTATGGACTCAATGGTGTCCTCCAACATTTATAGGTTGAAGCTCTCACCCCAATGTGACTGTATTTGGGGATAGGCCCTTTAAGCTGGTGAAGTTAAACGAGGTCATTAGGGTGAGACTCTAATCCAACAGCAGTGGTGTCCTTATAAGAAGGGAAAGAGACACCAGGGGTGTGGCCACAGAGGAAAGACCATGTGCGGACACAGCGAGAAGGCAGCCATCTGCAAGACAGGGAGAGAGGCCTTGGAAGCCAACTCTGCTGACACCTTGACTGGGGACTTTTCCGCCTCCAGAACTGTGCAACGATACATTTTGTTTGAGTCATCCAGTCTGTGGTATTTTGTTGTGGCAGCCCTAGCAGACTAATACAAGTAATAACAAAACGTTAACAAGAACATAGGAAATAGTAGTTATTTCAATATGAGACCCACTGGTTGTTTGCAAAAATGGCTACACTTTTTTGCAGCTACTTCGTTAAGAGTTGATGTCTATTTTTTCACCCCCTGAATGTCTTCTGATTGTTTTTCCAGACTCTCTCTCTGCATCTCCATCCTGTTCTTGCCCTCAGACACTGACCTGTATAGACCATACCAATCAGCTTCTCTGCCCTCTGACTTCTATTGCGTTGGCTATCAGGGAGCACCAGCATGTGATGGGAGAGAGACAAGAGGGTGATTAGGGCACTGATTTGCCCAGAAACTTGCCTGCAGGGTCACTATGGGTTGGTTGCATCTCCTAGAGGAAGGTCCTCTCCACCCAGACTTCTACCTACCTTTGGGTTCTGGGAGCTGCCAGCTCCCTTCATCTCTTCAGGCCTAAAGCTGATAGAGAAGAGATATGGTTTGGCTCTGTGTCCTCACCCAAATCTCACCTGGAATTGTAATAATCCCCACATGTCAAAGGCAGGACCAGGTGGACATAATTGAATCATGGGGGTGGTTTCCCCCATACTATTCTCATTATAGTGAATTAGTTCTCATGAGATCTGATGGTTTTATAAGGGCTTTACCCTTCATTTAGCACTCATTCTCTCTCCTGCTGCCCTGTGAAGAGGTGCCTTCTGCCATAATTGTAAGTTTCCTGAGGCCTCCCCAGCCATGCGGAACTGAGTCAATTAAACCTCTTTCCTTTATAAATTACCCAGTCTTGGGTATTTCTTCATAGCAATGTAAGAATGGACTAATACATGAAACCTGTTTCTTTCAAGTCCCAGGGCCCAAAGTATAGCATGAACCATTGTTGTTTCCCTCCCTGCTGCCCGGGTCTTTTAAATTAGTTCTTTTATTAAATTCTCTTCAAATTGCCCTTACGTGATTGTCCCATTACTCCCTTGCCTGGACTCGGAGGGATACAACACAAAGACAATCTATTCCACAGAAGAAATCATTTTTTTTCCCTACTAAATATCACCTGTGGTGGTGGTGGTGGTGGTTTTGTAAGTGGTGGTGGGGTGTGCATACAAGATTAGTCTTTGTTTCTTTCTTGGAATTGCAGCACATCAAGTGATAACTTAGCATTTCTTGTCTTGCCTTCCCTGTGTGTATACTTCTGCATGTAAATCTATTTTCAGCCTGGAATAAAACATTTCTTCAAGGCAGAGCAGGCTAATTTCATAGGTCAAGAGGCTACCATTCTGTCTTTTAAAAAAGAGCAAGTGTCTGACTGCTTCTTACAGTATTTGTGTCAGGTAGGAATTATGCTAACTCTGCTGGTAAAGTACAAAGAAAATCATAAACCAGACAAGGGGTTTATTTTCTAAGTAGTGAGAAGCACAGATTTTAGTCAGTTCAAGATTGGTGTGTGTGGTAGATTGCAAAATTGGTCACAACTTGTTACAACATTCCCCATAAAAGGAGAGGTTGTATTAGTCCATTCTCACTCTGCTAATAAAGACATACCCAAGACTGGGTAATTTATAAAGGAAAGAGGTTTAATTGACTCACAGTTCCACATGGCTGTGGAGGCCTCACAATCACGGCAGAAGGTGAAGGAGGAGGAAGGTTATGTCTTACATGGAGGCAGGCAAAGAGAGAATGAGAGCCAAGTTAAAGGGAAACCCCTTATAAAATCATCAGATTTGGTGAGACTTATTCACTACCATGAGAAGAGTATGGGTGAAACTGCCCCCGTGATTCAATTATCTCCCACTGGCTGCCTCCCACAACTTATGGGAATTGTGGGAGCTACAATTCAAGATGAGATTTGGGTGGGGACACAGCCAAACCATATCAGAGGTCTATTTCTTCACCCTACAATTCCAGAGTGGCCTTGTGACCAATAGTGTGTGACAGAAGTGACAATAAGCAAGTCTCAAGTGTGAGCCTCAAAGGCTTTGCATACCTCTTCTCTCGGGACTCTCCCGCTTGCTGGAGAGAGACCATAAGCAGAGAGGCTTCTATTGTCCTAGCTATCTCAACTGAGGCCATCAAAAACTTGCTAACTCCAGCTGACCTACTAGTTAACTAAAGACCTATGAGTGAATGCAGCCAAGATCAATCAACACTATCCCAGGCTGGAAAAAATAATCTAGTTTAGACCAGCCCAAACTGTCAAAATGCAGAAGTGGAGCTAAACAAGTGAGTTTGTTTTAATCTAAGTTTTAGGAGTGGTTTGTTATGCAATAAATCTTGGTATATTATTGTAGTTCATCAGGGCTCAAGGTCCTTCCAGTTCACTGCTCTGCCATTCCGAAAGTATCAGCTGTATGCTGATATTCACAAGGAGGCTGCTGGAGTGCTAACCATTACATTTGTATTCCAGACTGGAGGAAGAGGAGAAAGGCAAGAGGAGTCTCCCACATGAAAACATGGCCTCTATTAAAGGAGCTTGCTTAAGAACGCCACCCAATGTTTCCCTTATATGTCTCCTTAGCTATGCCTATTTCCAAATAAAATTAAGAAGTATAGTTTTGAGAGCTGGGCACATTGCAACCCAACCCCCCACATAGGAGTTCTGTCATTGAGGAAAAAAAGGAAAATTGGATATCAGTTAGCAGTTAGCAATTTTACTACATTATTGTCATGAACCCTCTGGGATTTTAGGATAGCTTAACTTTGAGTCTGTTGATGAATGACTCTTATTCTATTACATAGAATTCTTGTGTCATAACTACGTTGGAGTTCTCACATATGCCTTTATCTTATTATTATTTTTCTTTTTGCAAAGTGAAAGCAAGTTTATTAAGAAATTAAAGGAATAAAAGAATGGCTACTCCATAGACAGAGCAGCCCCGAGGGCTGCTGGTTGCCTATTTTTATATTTATTTCTTGATGATATGCTGAACAAGGGGTGGATTATTCATGCCTCCCCTTTTTAGACCATATAGGATAACTTCCTGATGTTGCCATGGCATTTGTTAACTGTCATGGCGCTGGTGGAGTTTAGTGGTGAGGAAGACCAGAGGTCACTCTCGTTGCCATTTTGGTTTTGGTGGGTTTTGGGGCCGGCTCCTTTACTGCAACCTGTTTTATCAGCAAGGTCTTTATGACCTGTATTTTGTGCTGACTTCCTATTTTATCCTGTGACTTGGAATGCTTTAACTGTCTGAGAGTGTAGCCCAGGTTTCAGCCTCATTTTACCCAGCTCCTATTTAAGATGGAGTTACTTTGGTTCACACACCTCTGATATTTCCCCCCTTTCTTTTATAAGAGAATCCTTAATCCTAAGGGTTGCAGAGGAACAAAGATCCATCTTCTGTAACTTCTTCAGGCTGAATAGGGGTGATGATATTCCTGCCTACTTATTAGGGTCTCTTGCATTCAGGGTAGAGAGGAGCTCATTCAGAAAGCATCAGTATGGGGAGGGCCTTTTGTGATTCTTGAGTTTTGACAAGAGATGATATCTGGAAGATTAATAAGTGTTTAGTTTAAGAAAACATTCAGTAAGCTTTTTCTGGTATTCCTACACAAAGAGTAAAACAGCAATGTATTCCACAAAAGTAAAGCAAAATAAGTAAAGTTATTCCAAGTAAACTAAATTAGAAGGCTTTTTATGAACTGGGCAACTGTTGGAACTAAGCTTATATGGGGTTGTTAACTGATTGTAATGTGCCCGGAATTAGAATACTGATCCAGATTTTTACATTGCCCATCCCTCTTGTTTCTTCTGAGCAGCAGTCAGAGATCACTGGTTCACAGGAATAAGCAGGGTTACCCTAAATTGCAGAAACAAACCTAAAAACAGCTAATGAGACTAGAATTTAATAACAAGTGTACCACAGTTCTTGAAACATAATATTTCTGTCTCCTGTTTCCCATTTTTACTAAAGACAAATCATGGTAACACTGACTTGCTTTATTATATTTGGCCTAATTATTTGTATAAAGTGCAGCAAGAATAATTATTTTTCACATAGGCTTTTTAATTGGCTTTGAAGGAACTCTGTTTCATAAGGAATCTCAGATAAGACTTTTTTAAACCTTAGTCCTGCCATGGGTTTTTACCTTCAAATACCTATGAGTTGGGTAAATTTCTCTCCGTTTGAGGTCCCAAGATAACTCTGGGCTCCTGGACCTGATAGGAAGTGATATTCTTTACTTACTACAGGTCAGAAACCCCATATGGGGACTGTGTAGGCAAGGTATAAGGCCAGTTCCCCAAGGGTCTCTTATTGGCTCTACAAGTCAAGTTTGATTCCTTAAAGGAAAACACACCATTCCAGTGAAAGCCTTGGTAAAATAACCAATTTCTCCAAATTGTGTCCTGTTACAAAAGAAAACAGATTCTTATTGCACCTATGCAAATAACTATATTGCCATAAGTTAAGGATACTCACAACTAGTTTCCAAATTCCAGAGAAATCAGGTAGAGAGAAACAAATATGCTCTAAATTTTGTTCACAGGAGTATACTTTACTCAATTGCTGAAAGCTGTAAATAGCTCAAAAAAGAAAAAAAGTTTCCTTGACTCTGAGAAACAAAATAAAGGATCAGCAACGTTTTAAACAAAGTTAAAAAGATTACTTCAGTTTTCTATTGGTTCAGTTAATTCAGTTAACTCATGTTCTATTTGATATTCATGAACATTCCAGCTCTTCATGAGAGTTCTGAAAGTTGCTTCCTCTATTCTAGTGTTACAATTTTCAATTAGAAACCTGCATTTAAGAATACCTGCTAGAGTTCTATAGTTGATTATAAACCACCTTCTAAAGAGGATTAAAACAAGACAACAATTGTCTGTGGATGACAAAATGTTTTAGGACAGTCACTATTAAAGCCACAATTGATAAGGAAATGTAACTTCTGTGGCACAGAAAATTTTATATAATTATAATTATTAATAACATACACTAATTCATATTAGAATTATAGGAGTTTCCCATAACTTTGGAACATATACCAATAACACATTTATGCAAATATAGTTCCAAGAAAACAAAATACCATTTCACATTTGTTAATGCTTCCTGTGTGATTTTTATACCAAATAAGCCAAATTTAACTTTTACATTAATGTCCTATTAATGTTAAAGTCAATGTTTAATAAAACCTTATAGACATATTTACCCAATTTTAATGTGTAACCATAAGGTAAGAGTCTTACAAACCTTTATAGCCCTTTACATTTTTTTTTTTTTTTTGGAAAGAGCAGATCAGAAAAACCTGTTGTGCTTTGATTCCAATGTTTAATTTATGGAAAAACTGAATAATACCCCCTTTAACTTTAGCCAATATGTTCACACACAGAATCTCTTACAATTAATTTTTATGAACCTTCCACAACTTGTTTAAATCTTTAGATTATTTTCTTACTTAAAACAATCCTTTAACACCTTAATCTAGGCAGAAAAAAGGTCCACATTCCCATGACTTCTTACAATCTTTCACCAAAACACATTTTACTTTCTTTACACAACTTGCATGCAAAATTGTTTCTTTAGTAGTTTTAATTACATGTTATAATGTTAACTCTTAGAAACTTTTATTTTTGGTGGAAACCTTAGTAAGTTTGAGATTTTAATTATGTACTAGGTGTGGAGCCTAGCCTAGGACACACCAAGCAGAAGTGCAGATAACAGCTGACTCTCCAGAATAGCTAGGGGGCATGGCTAACCACACATGTCCCCAGGCCTCATCTAGAATCTAATGGCTTTAAGGTAGGTAAATTGAACAATTTTCAAAAGTCAAAGAAACAGTTTGACCTTAAAGCATTTAACAAATCTGATATCTGACCTTAATTTAGACCAAATGTCTACATTTTCAAGACATTTTATTTTACCGATAATCATTAAAACTGTCTTTGTTTCCAAAAGATTACTAAAGTTATGTGAACAAAAAGCATTAAGGTTTCTATTGTTCTGACAAAATATTTGGTTTAAGTGCTTATTTTTCTAAGCCAATTAATGAGAGCTCTTTTATATATAAACATACAACACACATACATACATAGTCAGAAGAGTCAGCACTTGTAAGATTTTTCATTTGCCAGTTTCTTAATTAGATTATGGGCTTCAGGGTGGAGCCCTTGGAAAAACAGGGCCAGGAAAGCATGTGTTTCTAGGGCTAAATTAGCAGCAAATAAGCAGCTGAAGGCAAAGACAGACCCCCAAAATAAGGATGTCATTTTATACTGGCTCCTGAATCTCCAAAAGGAGGGAAATAATGCAGGAGAAGACAGTGCAGTGCTTCTACTCTGCATTTCATTGCAAGGCAACCCAAAGCCAATCAGCCTATTTTGTATCAGCCCATCCCTCATGAGAGTCTCGTCTCCCAGCGGGGGGTGGGAATGTTTCCTTATCTTCCAGGTGGCCAAGAGCATGCTTCTCTGATCTAAGTGTGCAAAGAGTCAAGTATCCCTTCATAACTACTATTAGCCATGCCTTAAAGTATATTTCCTACCCAGTCATTACACACCAAAGCTCTCTCATAATGTGAAGTAATTTCTGATACCCCCACCCAAACTCAAAACCATCAGATAACACAATGCAAAACAAAACAGAGCCTTTAATCTGGAGAGGGATCTATCTGCTTTTAATTCCTGGAGTTTCACAAAGAAAACAGAAGTGTTTTTTTTTTTTTTTCCCAAAACGGGGTCTGTGGCACCTCCTCTGTTTTTCCCAAGGACTCCCAGGCTACCAGAAGTTACCTTAGGGCCTCTCATTTGTGCATTAAGAGTGGCAAGACAAAAAAAGATGGAGAAAAATAATTCAGCTGACTGAGAAGAAAAAACATTTTTCCAGAAAAACAAGTTCCAAGAAGAGAAAAACATAAAGGCCTTTAAAATGTATCTATAGCTTGTTTATCCACTTTTAATTAAGCTGATTTTAACCATAGCACTCTTTAATAAAGTCCTTTTAGAATTTAGTATGCCAAATGGCCAATGTTTCTGGGTTTCTGGCTTTTGAACTTCACCAAAGGTCACCTCCTAGGTGCTTAGAGAAAGGAAAATTTAAGACAGTCCACGAAGAAGAGACTAGACAAGGTCACAAAGATATTAAACCAGAAACTACTTACTCCCTAGGTGAGGAATCGAACTTGGACCACCACTGTGAAAGTGCAAAACCTTAGCTAGTGGGTTATAGCAACGGGCAGTCTCCATTTCTTTTTCCAGAATGAGTCAGAGTAGCTAATTTCGAGCTTGCAAAAGCTTCTATTTAATATAATTTTTAGAGCTAACTATGACATGAACCCTAAAATTCTTGTTCCCTGAAGGCGGAGACCAAAAGAAATTACTGCCACGTGGTTAAAAGGTCAAGCTCCCAAGGGCATAAAACATCGTGGAGACTTCATCTGTTTTTTCTGTTTGTTTCAGGGACCTGCAGCCAAGTTTGTTACTGACCAGTTTGCTGGGTTGTCTTGAAAAGTGGGCTTACAGGTGTTCTAAGCCCGTGTTTTATCCTGAAGTACCCCTCGACATGGAAAAACGAATTCATTGCACAAAATACACCAGTTTAAGGCTAGCCTTAGAATTCTTTTTCACATTAATTAAAACTTTACAGAGGAGATACATACTGATCTTTTTTTTTTTTTTCCATTCATTCAACTGTTTGCATGGAGAGAGAGAAGCCAGAAATCTGACTGGTAAGAAATTCTTACCCTTTGCCAGCATGCCAGGCTTCTGGGTTCCCTTTCCCTGAGCAGCCCTAGTGATCCGGCTTGCGGGCTTGCGGGCTTGTGGCACCACCTCCCTGGGGGCCAAGCTGCACTATAAGGAATATTATTATTTTTTCATTCTGGCCAGAGCAAAATACATGTGATAAAACATAGACAGTAGCTACTCTGCTTAGCACCCAATATCAAACTGGCAAGGCTTAAATTTGCCCCCAGATGGGCCTCTTCATCTTTAATCCAACCTCCGACTTGGAGTTTCAACACGTGGTCTCTGGGCAAGGTGGTTGCCCTGAGTAAGGGAAAAGAAAGGGAAAAGAGAGAGAGAAAAGCATTGTCTGTGGCAGGGTGGGGAAGGTGAAATGCCTAGGGAGGCCAGAGAAAGACCCACCCACTGCGGTGACACTGAAAATTTCAGGCAGCTGTGGCTACTGTTGTGAAGGGATTTTTTCCCAGCAGTCCCATCAGCTCTCATGTTTCCCCTTTTAGGGAGGAAAAAGCTCCCCATGTCCCATGATCCTGTACATGCCTAACCCTGTCACCCACAGCCATCAGCAAAGAGTACAAGACAGATTATTCCAAAAAGAATAGCAGTTAACATCCCATAATGCCAAACTTGTTCTTAGCCCAGAGGGACTTTAGCGAGAGCGGCCTCTAACCCCCTAAATCTTAGAAGGGACTCTAACCCTCCTAAGTTGGGCCTCTAACCCAAGATCGGTCAAGCGTCCTTGCCTTTTATTAAGAGGGGCCTCTAACCCACTCTGTTGTAGGAGAGACTTTAACTCCCCTAAGTTGGGTCTCTAACCCAATCTCATTCTTTACTTGGGTACTCTACCACTTACCCAAAGTCATCCAATCAGTGCTGCAGTCTATTTCCTTTGGGTCAGAGGGGTCTTAGTATTGTCCCTTTGTGGTTTGTGAGAAAGATGTTACCGGACCCCACCACTCACCCAAAGTTAGCCTTTGGGTTGGGGGTTTTCACAGTATAGTTGCTTCCGTGGTCACCAGAAAAATGTTACTTATTATAAAATAATAAGCTTCAATTCCTGCCTCATGTAATATATAAAATTAATTAAAGTTAGTCACAAAGTAAAACAAAAATTGTCTAGGAGAAAACATAGCAGAATATAATTTTGACTTTAGAGTAGGCGAAGTATTCCTAAACAGGGTAAAAAGAGACAGACATGTCTTTCTTCCTATTTATATTACAAACTGTAAGTGCTTTTATCCATTTTAATGGCTTGCCTGTTACCAGCATTATGTGGATCTTCAGCACAAGCTTCTTACCTTTTCATGTTTGCTACATGGTTATCCTGAATGTGACTAGAAGACAGCCTGCACCATGGGACTCATCACATGCATTTCCACACTATCTAACTGGTCACTGCCTGTTCACTGGGTAAGCCCACTGATCACATGCTTGGATGTTCTGGCAATGGAAAATTGCTCTAAGAATTTCTAAACACTTTCTCTTGATTTCTGTACTTATCTCATTGCAGTGACAAATGGCTCACAGACCAACAAATAGTTCACAGACAAGCAGTATGCTCTGCACCAGGGGAGTTTATAATCTTGTTGGGAAGATAATAATTAAGGAAGGGAAATAATTATTTTTAAGGCAGCATGTAAGAAAGTGGGAGGTGATGTTGTTTCCGTTCTGTCCCCAACGAGCAGACCTATAAACAAGAATTTGGGTGGAGAAGGTGCGTGGGGAGATGATAGGAAGTGTCTACCAGAAAGTACCTTTAGGGATGTGGGAATGCGAGGGAGGGAAAGGAAGGATGCCAATTCGAGTGCGTTATTAGCAGGTTATTTATTGGTGTAGGAGATGAATCATGCCGGACCCTTTAGACTATGTAGGGACTGAGTTGTCCCATACAACATACTGACAAAGCTGAAGTATCTGTCCTTCAACTTTCAGATGTCATTGCTTGAGGGTTGCTTTGTTTCTGGGGAATTCTGGAGCAGGAGCACTTCCTCCTGCTCTACACATGAGCTGGGCATGTTCCATTGACCACAGAAATCCTTCAGGCAGAGTCACAGCTTCCTGTAGAAATGGTGAGGAGTGAAGGGACATGAGTGGGCATGGTCAGCATCTGCTGATGCCATGTGTTCTATAAATAAACCCTAGGGACAATGGAGAACTTCAAGGGTTATTCAAGAAAGTTTTCTTGGGGGAAGTTTACTTTGAATGTGTCTATAAAGAATGGATACAAACAGAATGTCAGAGAGAGAAAGGCCTAGCACTGGGAATGCAGATAGTGAAACCAATAAGGACAAAGATGGTAGTAAGTAAATAGCCATGGGAGCTACAAAGGAACAGCCTACCTGGAATAGATGTACCATATTGCCTGGAGTAGAGGTGCCACACTGGGGAATATGTGCGGCTCGCATGGTATTGGTTAAAGATGTGTCATGAATGAAACATAAATAATAAAAAATGATAATAATTGCTGACATGGAGTGGGCATTTCTATGTCTCTGCTACTATCATGCCCATGGAGTGGGCATTTATATACGCCTGGTACTACTGAATGCCTTATTTTCATTGTTTTTTTTGTAGTATGCATGAAACTTTATTCCATGACTTCAGGTGAAAGCAATTTTATGGTAAACAATTTTTTAATATAATTTAAATCTACTCCCCAATCCTACTCGCTCAGGTGATGGAAAATTCTCTCTTGGTTCTGTTTTATGGGTCTCCTTTTTCAGACCACGCCTGAGTCCCAGAACAGAACATTTAGAGATGGGTCTGCTGGCCTTGAGTTCACTTTGCCGTGCTCAACTTCCAAGCTTACGGGGCTCCTTGAAGACAAGTAACTCTGATGTTCTGTGTCAAGCACCAGCATAAGAATCATTGTCAAGGAAAAAGTACTTTGTGGCTTTTCCCATTTAAGGTTCTGAAGGTTTCCTTGTGGAAACCAGGCACTACTCCCACTATTCATGGACCTAAAATGTCCCATCACTATCTGATATGGTTTGGCTCTGTGTCCCCACCCAAATCTCATCTCAAATTGTAATCCCCATGTGTCAAGGGAGGGACTTAGTGGGAGGTGATTGGATCATGGGAGTGATTTCCCCCATGCTGTTCTCATGACAGTGAGTGGGTTCTCACAAGATCTGATGGTTTTATAAGTGGCAGTTTCTGCTGCACTTTCTCTCTCTCTCCTGTCCCCACTTAAGACATGCCTTGCCTCCTCTTAGCCTTCCACCATGATTGTAAGTTTCCAGGGCCTCCCCAACCATGTAGAACTATGAGTCAATTAAACCTCTTTTGTTTATAAATTACCCAGTCTCAGGTAGTATCTTTATAGTATCTTTATATATTTAGAGAATAGGCTAATACACTACCCTTTAACCCTAAGGAAGGATTCTCAAAATCTCTTACTTCTATGCTCATCTATTTCTGCCCACTGAGATGCTGAGACATCCTGGGTGTTAGGGGTGCTTGAAAATTTCTGTTTTTCACTTCAAAGATCTAAAGTGCCAAGGAAAGAGATGCAGAATTCATAGCACAATGTCCATCCAGCTTCTCAGGATAAGAGAGAAGGGCTATCTTTCATTCCACTCAGTGCTCTACATCTATAAATACAAAAACTTTGATATTCAATAGATTGTTTTATAATCGGCACAACAACTCTATGAGACAATATTATAAAGCTCATTAAGGAAATTGAGGCTTAGTGAGGTTTTAAAAATACACCTAAGATTTTGTTGTTTGTTAGTGTGAAGTATGTCTAACTTCATGATGTAACACCTAAAAACTATGTATGTGGTCATTTAAATTTCATTGAAAGTCAACTGCAGGCCTCTGCAAATTTTGAAGCACTTGTGCAATATTAGGAAAACAGTCTTTTGAAGGTTTTGAAGCATGGAGAGAATGGAGATGTGGAATATTTTAAAGGAATTCGTTCAGCAATGCTCAGATGAGGTTAGGAGCATCAAAACTAGAAGATGTCACCCAAGATGATTCATTGATTACTGAAAGGAACAGAAGAGGAAAGTTGAGAAGAGATAAAGATAGCGTAAGATTTCAACATCTGTTCTCCTTATACCCCCACCTGTTTCATTAAAATATTTAAGTTTTTCCTTACATAATTATCACATAAATGGCTGCATGGAGCAGTTAAAATCTAATAATCTTGTCATCATGCTCTCAAACTAATTCCTTATAATTACCATTGAATCTGAGATTAAATCTTTCTGATGAACTTTAATTTGCCAGTGGAACAAACCCTTTGGAACTTTGACTGCAATGGTACTACATTTATAGAATGCATTTTAGATGAGGTGGCAGATTTATATTATTGAGATTATCTATATTGGAACATGGTATAATTTCCTACCTTTTCAATTCTTCTTTGATGACTTTCTATAATGTTTAAATTGTTTTCTTTATATCAAGCTTGCACATTTCTCATAATGTAAATTTCTGTACATTTTATAATAACTGATGCTATTATAAATGGGTTTAATTTCATTATACGATCTGATTATTGCTAGTATAAAACAAAGCTATGAATTTGTTAAATTAATGTTGTATTTAACGCCATAATACTGAATAGATTTTACGGGTTCCAAAAGTTTTCCCTGTTTTTTTCTGGGTTTTTCTAGATAGGGAAATTATATTATTTTAAAATAATAATTATTTTCTAAGAGTAATACTTATCTTGCCTTGCTTTAGCACATTGGCTAAAAACACAGACAATGTTAAGTAATAATGATAGTTAAAGGAAAAACTTCTATAGCAAGTGGCATAAGTCTGATGAAATCTAAACTATTAGTGATGCAATACTTCAATTTATTGTTTTTGATTAGGTTTGTTGAATAAAGGGCTGTCATTTGTTTGCAAAACCATAATTCCAAGGCCAATCACTTCTTTAAGAGGAAACTCATTATGAATGGGAGATGGTTTAATTCCAAAGGATGCTAATGTATTCAAAAGACAAGATCTCGGTACCTTATATAGATAGAAATATCTATTATTACATGACATATTGTTGAATGGTTCATTTCCAGATAACTTTTGACTAAGTCAAATGTATCTCACTACTATTAAAAATGTCTCCTTTGGGGGAATGGCATACTTGGAAGTTTATACTATCAATAACAGCAATAAATACAACATATAATTAGTTGTTAAAGGGATTTAGGAGTTAATTCACATTGGGTCCTTATTTCAAGTAGGGTTACATGATTCATATAGTTCACTTTTATTCTTTGTTATGTACTAAAATCAAATGACATCATTAAAGATAATCTGAATATAATTATAATTGTGTCACTACTTGAATTCCTTTAGAGAACAAATAGACATATTGGCAGGGAAAGTAATCAGAGGTAGTCTTGGGGAAATGCTAAACGTTGAAAGAGGCAGAGATCTTTAAATACCACCCAAAGTGGAGTCATGTGCTCAGGGGGAGGATGCTGGAGAAGTGAGCCCATTGTGGATTACTGACACTGGTCAGGAAATGAAACAGGTGTCCAAAATGAAACTTCAAAAAAGGAAAGTTGGCTGTTTGGCTGGGACAGAAATTATATCCCATGATACAGAAGAAGAAGGTCATCATAACCACCATGACCAAACCTCCAAAGCTAATGTAAAACAGATAATTGGAACAATTTTGCCTGATTGGTGTCTTTTCCTTATTTTTCTAAGGACGTAGTTTAGTGGTGATCCAAGAAGATTATAAACCTCAGACAAAGTATGCAGGGGTTCTTATCAAATTGATTCTAGATACTTGAGTCTTTCCTTTGGTGTTAGACATGAGCTCCTGAATAGGAGAGTGGCTACTGAGAGCTGAGCTCTGGCTGAGTCTACACGGACACAATCGCTTGTTGAAGAAACAGAGGCATTCCTCTGAGAAAAACTGGCATGAACAAGTCAACATAAAGAGAATGGATGATTCAATAAAACGAAAAAGAAATGACTTCAGAACACATAGTAGATATTCAAGAAATGGCTGATGGATGGCATTGAATTAACTTTGGTAAATGAAATACAATCCCACATTGCCTTATGCTAAACAGGTGTTCTCAAGTACTTCAATGGTGCCTGTGAAATCTACCTTTGCTGTAGGATCAAATGTGCAGTTCACTTAGCATTGGCCAACAAAGTCTGTTGAGCAGATCGTGCACCCTATGCTCTTTGCTAATGTTTTTACCATTTTTGGTCCTTGACAAGACACTTACTTGTTGTCGTGAAGTAATATTTCATGAATTGTCAGTGTAATACTCATGACAAAAAAATAGTGTTAATTGTATTTAAATAAAATCATAGAAAACATTCTCTTATGGCATGAACCCGGGAGGCAGAGCTTGCAGTGAGCCAAGATTGAGCCACTCTAATCCAGCCTGAGTGACAGAGCAAGACTCTGTCTCAAAAAAAAAGAAAGAAAGAAAAAAAAAATTCTCTTATGTAGACTATTAAAATTAGTATATCCTGATAAGCCAATATTTTGATTTAAAGATTATGTATTGACAATGCATACATTGAGCAAAATTAGCATGATTTTAGTTAGTTTCTGGTAGTCCACAAGGATCTTGTGATTTCTTAAGTTTTTTTTTTTTTTTTTTTTTTTTTTTTGAGACAGAGTCTCGCTCTGTTGCCCAGGCTGGAGTGCAGCAGTGCGATCTCAGCTAACTGCAACCTCTGCCTCCCGGGTTCAACAGATTCTCCTGCTTCAGCCTCCTGAGGAGCTGGGATTACAGGTGCCCGCTGCCACGCCCGGCTAATTTTTGTATTTTTAGTAGAGATGGGGTTTCACTATGTTGGCCAGGCTGGTCTTGAACTCCTGAGCTCAAGTGATCCACCCATCTCAGCCTCCCAAAGTGCTGGGATTGCAGGCGTGAGCCACCGCACCCGGCCAAGATCCTTATTTTGCAGTAGTAATCATTGTATGACACTACATACAAAATCTAGTCATTTGTAATTTGATTTAACTGTTATTTAAATATAAGGTAAATAGAAAGTTTAACGTATAATTCTGAATTACTTTCCAGAGGGACAAAAAATATCCTAAGGAGGTTGAAATTTTCTTGAAAGAGAAGAATTTCTCAAATGGCTTCACTATAAAGGAGATGTATTTTTAGGAAGATGTGTGCCTCAGGGAACATTATAGAAGAGGGATCTTATTTATGATCAAAACAATAAAGCCTTTTTTTTTTAACTTTGGAAAGCAAAAGGAGACCCCTGCAGTGGGGAGTGGGCTCTCTGTCCCTGTGGCCTTCACCTTTCTAGCCTCTTGGTACCTTAGAATGAAATCTGCATGAGTCTGGTACAAGAGCAAAAGAGACCAGATACAATTCTCATGACATTAAGAGCATATTATAGCAAAAATTGGTGGTTCAAACTCTGCAAGGTTTGAAACACTGTCCACATACCAATAAACACCAGAGCTAAAATATTTAATTAATGCCATAGCAGACACAAACAGCTGCCAAGCTCTTTGCCACCCATAGTTCCAATGCTGCTGTGCTATTATTATATGCTATGCTCTATGCAAATATTTTGTTTTCAATGAAAAGATCCATCTGTAGAAAAAATGCTTAGCTCACTTTTGAAAGTCCTCTGGCATGCCTCTAAGGATAAGCAGCAATGGGGAAACCAAAGTCCCAACGCACTTACAAGGAATTTTGTGGAAGCAGATTATGTTATATCCTCTGTAAGTGAGACTGAAGAAGTGCCATATGACTAAGGTACTTCTCCTGGCTTTTTCCTTTTGAATTATGCACTTGTTGTTGGATTGTCTAACACCCCTTTCTTTTTGAGGATGACTCAGCTCTTTTCAAGGAACTGCTTATTCCTTGGCCAGTGATAATACTCTGCCAATTTACCTATATTCTGCCAGAGACCTGACAGAGATAACGAAACACAAACCAGGCTGATCAGTCTTTCCTTTAGAATTTTCCACTTGTAACTTGGAAAAGAGTGGTCTTTACTGTCAGGTGGCAAACCAAGAAGACATGTGTCTAGGAGCTGCTCCCAGTCTTATGGAGAAAGCTCACGTGCCTCAGGAAATAATGAAGCTGACAGCTGGTATGAAGCAGAAACCAGCTCTGGGGCACCCTGTAACCTCAAGCCCCTGATTTCAGCTTTCTGCAGCCCTATCTGATCTTCTCCAGTGATGTGAGTCAACCAATTACCCTTTTTGCCTAAGTTGATTTTTAACAAAAAACAAAGCAAGACAAAATTTATTTTTAAATTTATTTTGACCTTCTTGTCATACAAAATTTTATTAATCTTCCTTCCAGTCTCAGCTCAAGTGTCATCTCCTCCATGAAGATCCATATATCATTTCATGTATGTCTCCCAGAAATTCTATATTATATATACTTCTAGGTATAACTCTTTGGGCAAACATGTTTGGCACTTAAATATTTTTTTGCTCTGCCATATTGCCTCACAAAAGCTTAGGCCAATTTGCTATATAAAGCTGGTTGTTTACACCACTGCCAACATTATCTATTATCGAACTTAAAAATAAATGCAAGTTATCAGCAAAAATGATCTTATTGTTTTAATTTCCATTTTCCTGATTTTAGTTTGAAAATATTCTTGCAAATGTTTTAACAAGTTTATTTAAAGTATAAAAATTAGTCTGGGCAGAAATATCATCAAGAAACTTTTTTTGTTAAAAGAATAATTGTCTATTGTTGAAAATGTGTAAGAACAAATAAAATAATTTTTAAGGTGTCTGGATATAAGATCAATATGCAAAATCAATGATCAGTGGTTTCAAATTTAGTGGAATAGTATTAGCAAAGCAGTAATAAAACTATTTGTCTTTTATTCTACTCATATAATTAATAATTAGTAAACATAGACATAAAAAAATGAAATATAGGCACAATACTGCACACAGTAAAATTTACATCTGATGAATTTAACTCTGGAAGTATTTGCTTGGGATAGACAGTGGCCACAAAGATAAACTCACATTGGCAACAGCTCAGATCAGTAAAATCTTAAACTATCTGCTTCAGAAAACAAACCCACCCCAAATTCCAAAGAGAATCTGATAAAACTATGAACACCATCTGAGGAAACACACACACACAGACACACATATACGCATCTAAACACATGCATGTACACAACTTTATATACTTTATCACATATAGTATCAGAGATTTCACTGAATAAAAACCCTAAGTTGGCAGAAAATATGTGCACTAGATTGTTAATTATTCTCATTATTCCATTTGGTATTCCTGAGAAGTGAGAAAAACACATTCCCAGGTGATGGCATTATTTCTTCCCAGGCTTACAGCACTCCTGTACATATCTGAAACTTGTGCATTCATTTATGACCAAGTAAGCCTATTTTAAATGTATGTAATATATATTGCTTAGTTTGTGAGTCCCTAACATGTAGATGGCATTTTTTAATCATTAAAGGGGGAAAGTAGATTGCAAGAAAAGAGTTCTCAGAACCAGGTCCTTGGTCACTCCGGAATCTCCAGATCTTTCAAAGTACGAGAACTCATGAAAGAAGACTTAAAAAGAGGAAAGTTTCTTTGGTACAAGGAAAACCAGGATATTACGGGAGTGTGATGTCATGAAGCTAAAAGAAGAAAGCATTTAAGACCAATGAAGTGGTCAACTGTGATGAATCTTGCTGAGATGTTAAATAAATCACTTAAATCACTTATTTTTTTTAGTATGAAGGTCACAAGACAAACATATTTAAAGCAATAATGCCACAATAATATAATGGGTAAACAATACAAAAAGACATAAATTGTGACACTAAAACCATAAAATGTGTGTGAGGGGATGGAGTAAAGTTGTTAAATATTTTTACGCAATCAAAGTTAAGGTGTTATCAGCTAAAATAACTTGTTATAACTAGAAGATGTTTTATGTAAGCTTCATGGTAACCACAAAGCAAAAGCCTGTAGTAGATACCCAAAAGATAAGAAGTAAGGAATCAAAGCATAATGCTAGAGAAAACTATCTAATCACAAAGAAATACAGAATCAGAAAAAAAAGGAACAAAAGATCTCCAAAACAACCTGAAAACAATGAACAAAATAGCAGTAGTAAGTCCTTATTTACTAATAATTACCTTTAATATAAATGAACCAAATTCTCATAACAAGAAACAGAGTGGCTGAATGGATTAAATAAAAAAGGACAAACAAAACCCAACTATATGCTGCTTACAAAAGACTCATTTACCTTTAAGGATGCATATACATTGAAAGTGAAAGGATAAAAAAATTCATGCAAATAAAAACCAAAAGATGTTAAGGGTAGCTACACTTAGATAAAACAGACTTTAATAAAAAATGGTAAAATGAGACAAAGAAGATAATTATACAATGATAAAGAGGTCAATTCATCAAGAGGATATAACAATTACAAATATATATGTACCTAACACCAGAGCATCTAAGTATATAAAGCAAATATGAATAGACCTGGAAGAAGACATAGACTGCAATACAATAACTCTAGGAGACTTCACTTAATTTTGACAATGGACAGATCATTGAGACAAAAAATCAGAAAATAATGGACTTAAACTGCACTTTAGACCAAATGGACCTAATAGACACATACAGAAAATTCCATCTAGCAGCAGTAGAATACACATTATTTTCAAATGCACACAGAACATTCTTCAGGATGGGTCATATATTAGGCCACAAAACAAGTTTTAGCAAATTTAAGATTAAAATTATAACATATATCTTTTCTGATCACAATGGTATGAAACTAGAGGTCATTAACAGGAAGAATCTCAGAAAATTTACACATGCATGGAAATTAATATGCTCCTGAGCAACCAATGGGCCAAAGAATAAATTAAATGAGAAATTTAAAAATATCTTCAGACAAATGAAAATAAGCACTACATAACAAAACTTACAGGATGTAGCAAAAGCAGTTCTAGGAAATTTCATAGCAATAAACATCTACATTAAAAAAGAAAAAAGATCCCAAATAAATAACCTAATGCTACACCTCAAGGAATTAGAAAAAGAAAAAATTAAGCTCAAAGCTAGAAGAAGGAATGAAATAATAAAGATAATACCAAAATAAATGAGAAAATGTAGTGAATATACACCACATTGGAGTATACCACGTGGAATACTACTCAGCCATAAAAAGAAATGAAATAATGGCATTTGCAGCAACCTGGATGGAATTGGAGACAATTGTTCTAAGTGAAGTAACTCAGGAATGGAGAATCAAACAGTATATTCTCACTTGTAAGTGGAGCTAAGCTATGAGGATGCAAATGCTTAAGAATGATACAGTGAACTTTGGGAACTTGGGGGGAAGTCTGGAAGGGAGGTAAGGAATAAAAGAATACACAATGGGTACAGTGTACATTGCTTGCATGATAGCATCAAAATCTCAGAAATCATCACTAAAGCACTTATCCATGTAACCAAACACCACCTGTACCCCCAAAGCTATTTAGATTAAAAAAACCATAATCAGTTAAAAAAAAGTAAAATAGGAACACAGAAGCAGCTCTTGGATTTGCAACATTGAAGTTATTGCTGACGTTGGTAAGAACAATGTCACTGAAGTAGTGAAGATGGTAGGCTATTGTGCTGCATTCAGGGGTTAATGCAAGACAAAGAATTAGAAACAGTGACAATGTACAGATCCTTCCATGAAATTTTGTTTGAGAGTGAAGAGATAAATGGGGAGGTAGGTGGAAAGAGGTGAAAGGACAGATAAGAGATTTGTTTTTAAAATTAGATATACCAGGGCTTATTTGTAGACTAGTGTGACTTACTCAAAAACAAAGGAGAAATTGATGGGGTAGAAGACTAAATTGCCATAGGATTAAAGTCCGTGAGAAGGTGAGAGATGATGGTATCCACAGCGTTGGTGGAGGAACTGGCCTTAGAGTGGAGACATTCTTTTATATGTAATAAGAGAGAAGACAACATGTCAGGTACACACCATGGAAGATTAGTTAATTCAGAAGTAGAAATAAGAAAATTCACGTTTTTAATAGTTTATGCAATATGAATTATGTTCATCAGCTGAGAGGTATGTGTAGGGAGAAGTGGCAAAGAGTGTTTTGAAAGAAGAAGAAAATAAGAAATAGCCATTTGGAAAGTGAGAAAGGAAACATATTAGGCAAGTCCAGTAGGAATGATGAGTCGTGGTAAATTGTTTTCTGAAATATGTGATCATAAATTTAAAGTGAGACCATACAGCATAGTTTTATAGTTTTATCCAGTAACAGCCACTCCACTTCAGGGAAGGAATTGGGGGAGTTCTTTTTTTACCTTTTGATTATGAATGGAAGGAGTGGAGTCAAGAAGTTAAGAGTGTTTGTGAAAAGATTATAATGACGGACCATGTAATTTGAATTGGGTAAAAAAAAGACATAAAGCTATGCAGATAAACATGGATACAGAAAGGTCATATGCTCAATGGATTTTATATTTTTTTTGGAAAGAATTAGCAGTGAAAAGGAATACAGTGTTACCGGAGTCATTATCAAAGAATAAGAGATGTGGTTGGGATGTTGATAGATGATGACGGAAGGTTTGCTGAGTGGCAAAGTCAAATGACATAAACTCCCCAGGTAGAGCAAGGTTTGAAATAAGGAGAAATAAGATGACTTGGAAACAGCAGTGAATAGCATGAAGGAACTTATCCCAACTCCATGAAAGACATGAATAGCCATGTACAAAAGTCAATGTTGAAAGACATGAACAGCCACTGAACAGCATCCACTAAAGAGGACAGCAAAGGAATTAGTATTGTCAGAGGATAGGCCAGAAGATGAAGGAAATTTTCAGAAAGGTTGAGGACATATAGGAATTTTCAGATAACAGAGCACCAGGCATGGTTCAAGGGTCAAAAGCAAAGAGGATTGAAAAGATGGGTCAGTTTTAGGGGAGTACAGAGGCCAAGGATGACCTGGGAGGCTTAGGCTTCTCTGACTGATGACATCAGGGTTGGTTCAGTCCAGAGACCTTGAAGGTAGACAGACAATCAATTCAACCTGGGAGGTCTGAGTCCAAGGCTTTAATGGCTGCAAGCTTCTGTTGTGTGCAGGGACAGCCTGGGAGATGGCTGAAAGGCTCCCTTCACAGAGGGCTGATCTTTTAGGCAGCAAAGAGTATAAGACAGTTGGGGGTCTCTTGTCTCCTGCAGAAAAGTAGTACAGCAGACCATGGATTGCCTGTTTTGCCTGAAGTAAATGACTTTGAAATGACCTTTACTCTCCTTCTCTCCCTCTGCATGATTCCAGAACACCAAGTGATAAAGGTTATTGACAAATCTTGGGAAATAATGAACCTCAGCAGTTTCACTCTCTTCAGGTCTCCATACAGTGTTGCATGCCCAGGTCCCTCCTGCAGGTTGTACTGACATAATCTCCCTCCAATATCCCCTATGAAATATCACTCCCATAGAGATCCTCTCTGTGAAGAAACTCTTTAGCTCATTTTACTTAGATCTTAATGTCTTTCAGACAGAGACTGTATCTGTGTTACATGCTGTAGAAGTGGCAGTGATAAATCATTCTTTGCTCAAGACCAACAAGAATCAGTGAGAGAATGCATTAAAAAAGCAGAGACAAAGTCAGCCAGGAAGATATCTTTGGGTGGAGAATTCCTTCCTCTGTCTGGGAGATTTAAAGAAATGGTGATGGAGAGGAAATTACAAAAGCCCTGGAGCTGATTTTGAAAACTTAAGTTCCATTGCTGGGATTGCTTAGACACAGTCCAAGCGCACTGCTAATCACACAGTCCTGGGGCACATGGCCAAGTGGCAGAACTGGGTGAACTGTTTGCCTTCTGTAGGTTCACAGGATAGAAAAGTCTTCTATTATTTTGCATGTTGAAAAGACCACGTCCTTCAACTCAGTGTATTCTTGACACTCTCTGTCCTTGAGTTCCTGGTGTTATTACTCAAATGACCCATCAGATTTGTTCAATTTCTCAAACAGCTGCAATTTGTAAGAACCCTGACTGTCACTTTAAGTATTTTCTAAATTCTTCCCTCGTTATAGAAGCTTGAAAATAATAACCTCTTTTTAATGGGTGTAAATGGGCAGAGTTAGTTTAGAGTCAAGTTATTCGTCATTCTGGTCTCGGTCCTGCTACAAATTAGGTGAATGACTTAGAAGAAAGACACTTTCCTTTGCTAGCTTTGTCTTCTCATCTGTAAAATAAAGGATTTGAACACTTTCCAGTTCTAACACCCTGTGAACCATAAAATAGAATTCCAAGAGGAAAGAGCAGTTTGTCTCCTGACTCCCTTAACAAGGAAAATTGTGCCCCACTGGCAATCAAGAAAATAAAAATTTAAAATCAATGTCATTTCAACTTTTGTCCATCAAGATAACAAAGTAAAATAAATAATTGTCTGGGCTGTATTGAGTGCAGGAAAAAAGACCCCCAAGTAGCGCTGGTGAGAGTGTAAAGTGGAACATCAATTGGAAAGCGATTTAGCAACAGTATCAAGAAAATTAAAAGCATTCAAGTCCGACAATTCAACCTTTGAAATATTTACTTCTATTTTCTATAATAAATATGTACTGATTTATTATAAGCAAAAAAGAACATAGAGGAAGTAAGTAGAGAAGGGAAGGAAGGAAGGAAGGAAGAAAGGAAAGAAGGAAGGAAGGAAGGAAATCAGTCTTGGGCCATAGACATCCCATGTATCATGCTGCCTTCTGAATACCTAATTATCCTTACATGGCCACACCTTTTGGATTATGAATGAATGAAATGCAGTCTTCGATAAAGTGGAAGTATATGTTAGGGTCACTAGCATATGTATTTTGAGTTTAAATATTTTAATAATTTTGTGGAAGCTTCTTTATATTTACTAATTCAACAGAAAATATAGAGCATCCACTAAGTGATGAGAATGGTCTTCTGTATGCCTGATAGGGCAGTAAAAAATACAGATATTCTCTGCCCCATTTGATATGAGATATAAGATAAATGTTGATGAGAAGAACTTGGAGGTTACAGAGTGCTGAGGCAGGGAGCTGCTTTTTTTTTTTTTTTTTTTTTTTTTTTTAGGATGGTCGTGGACAAGCTCTCTGCAACGGTGATATTTGAGAGTCTATCTGCATATGGTGATGAGTAATCCGTGCACCTATCTAGGGGAAATTATGTGAGGCACAGGGAACAGCACATGCAAAGGCGGTGAGCAGGGCATCACTTGGAATGTTTGGGAAATCACCAAGAGGTTAGTGTAGCTGGAATGAAGTGAACAGCAGGGCTGCCACCCCATGGTGTTATACAACCCATGTGAAGGCCACCATACGGTGGCTTTCATAGAGACAGTAGCAAAAAATGAGATCAGAGATATGTAGGAGGTGCAGAAAAAAGATCAGAGAGGTGCAGAAAAAAGATCAGAGAGTTGCAGGGGGTGCAGATTATGTATGATCATGCAGCTGAGATAAAAAATTTGGATTTTACTCTCAGATGGAAAATCACTGGGGAGTTTTGAGTATAGTAGTGGTGTAATCCAAAATAAGTTTCAAAAGAAACTTTATTATGGCTCTATGTTAAGGGTAGACTGTAAGAGAGCAGGTTAAAATAAGAACACCTGATAGGCAGCTGTGAAAAACAACCAAGATGTCACATCATGGCAGCTTGACTAAGGCTGGTTATGGTGAAACTGAAGAGAAAATATCAGATTTGGGATCTGGGTTTCTCGTATGTTCTATGTAGGCCTGTTGAGTGGATTGGCTTGGTTGTGGTCTGTGAGATAGAGGAGTTGAAGTAGACGCCAACCCATTTTTTAGTCTAAACAACTGGTAAAATAGAATTTTTGTTTTTTCATTTACTGAGATGAGAAAGAATGTGAGAATGCAGGATTATTTTTGTTTTCTGTTTTTAATTTTCTTTTTATTTCTTTTGTTCTTGGCTGGGTTGAATCAGGAGTACAATTTTTGACATATTAAGTTTGAAATGGATATTAGACATACAAATGGAGTTATTTAATAGGTTTGTGTATATAAACGAGTTGGATATGCTCCATTCTTTTATTCAAGTCTTTCTTTTACCTAATGGCATAGTTATAACTTGGTTGTGTTTGGAGTTTGGTTTTGGGTTATATGAGAGAATTTAAATATAATTGTATATACTTAGGCCCTATGGGCTTCAACCTTTAATTGATAAATGCATTTTGTGGTCATGTCAGCATCCTTGATGTATTTAAGAGTGACACATACTGGTACAAAGAAAATTCTATTTTCATTTTTGTTTGAAAAACAGTGTATACTTCTATAGGCTTTCTTTCAGATGGAGCAATCCTGTACCCAAGGAGCATTCATTATAATGTTTCAGGTTAAAAAATATATGTAAAGTTGTCTACCAAGATTTACCTCATTCAAGAAATGTGTTCATTCTACCATGGGAAGCAGGAGAAAAAGAACCTAATTGCCATCCTGAAGCACTTTACTGAAAATGTGTCCCAACTTTGTTTCAAGTCAATCCAAAGTGAAATCTTTCTTAAAATGAGGGGAAAAAAGGGGATTATGATTTTACTATGAAGTACATCTGGCTGGTTAAGTCAATACTAAGAGAGAAATGATGATGGTTTTACTTTGCAGGCTTAGCTCATCTTTGATGTTTCCTTTCAGAAAATGGAGTGTCTGCAACCTTTCACATACCTCACAGAGGAAGCAGCTGCAATAGAGGTGGTGCTGGAGGCAGATGAACCCTCACTTGTAATTAGAGGAGTTTAAGGGAAATTGGACATCTCGCCTTTGGAATGTGGCATCTTTTTCTGAATAGGATAGTCATATCCTGTGGGTTTATGCAAAAGGTTAGTAGCTTATGCAGGATTAAGATAAACTAAGTTTACAATATTTTTTAAGATTTTTTTTTTTACTTAAAGGCTGGTAATTGCTACAAATATTAAATAACATATTGGCATTTATCTAGAGAATATCAAATCATATTCAAACACTCACACTGTAGGACAAGACGAAGGCATCTGCTTTAGTCAGGATTTTTTTAATTGTGAGAGAAAGAAACTCAGTGTCTGAGGCATGGAGGGAGTTTGTTGGCTCACACAACATCAAGTCTAGGGTGGGTAACAGGAGGTAAGGATGGAGCCAGGTGCTTCCACAGCAATGTTTGGAACCTTTATCTCCCCATCTTCTGGCTCTGTGTGTTCTGTCTTGGGTTTATTCTCAGACAGCCCCTTCCTTCATGGTGGAAAAGATGAATCCCAGCAGCTGCAGGCTTATAGTCCATTGACTAAGCAATCTCAGAGGAAAATGGAGTGCCCCCTTTCCCAGTGTCCTAGGGCAAAACTCAGGACTGTTCCGATTGGCCTGGCTTGGGTTGAATACTCAACCCTGAACCACTCTCTGAGGCCCAGGATGGAATTTTTTGATGGAGTGAGCAATGATCACATGCCCACAATTGGAACTGCAGCATTAAAATGAGGATCATTAGCACCTGCACCATAGGGGGAGACTGGGTATTGTATTACAGTTTGCTAGGACTGCTAAAACCAGATATCATAGATTCAGAGGCTTGAAAAATGGAAATGTATTTTCTCAAGTCCTGGAGGCTAGAAGTCCAAGATCAAGGTGTTTGCAGGTTTGGCTTCTCCTGAGGCCTCCTTGCTTACAGATGGCCACCTTCTTGCTGTGTCCTCACATGGCTATTTCTCCGGTGTGTCTTTCTCCTCTTGTAAGGACAACAGTCCTATTGAATCAGGTCTCCTTTATGGCTTCATTTCACTTTAATCACCCCTCTCAAGAACCCATTTCCACATACAGTCACATTGGACCTTAGGGCTCCAACATGTCAAATGTGAACTTGGTGGTGGAAGGGAGAGACACAATTCAGTCTATAACAGGTGCTGATTTTTCAAAAGGAAGGCTAGTCAGGCAGAATCCTGTCTCCACTGCAGGCTTAATAAACCTTGGGGAATGAAAACCATGATAAGAGGCAGCAGAAGGGTGCTCCAGGTACCAAGTGATAAGACATGGGGAATTCTTGCTCAGATCATTCAGGTGTTTCTTCCAGAGGACACTGAATAGTGTGGTCAGAGTAAGGAAGGACATCCCAACCCACACATGGGCAGAGCTCTCATTCTTTGAATGGAAACCCTACACAGTTCTAATGAAAAGATAAGATTGGGAAATAGTTTGGCTTCTGACTTCTTATCTCAGTGTTCATCCACCTCCTCAGGCCAGGGTTTGTATTTCCCAGGGCTTGCTTTGTTGATTCTCTTACATGGAGTAAGGAATAGCCACCACTGAGGCCAGCATTCTTTGTTGGCATTCTAGTATGAAAAGTGGAAGAAGGAGAAGATGAATGTCAATGGAGGCCCTAAGAATAACTGCAGCGGAGGAAACAATAGTTATTTTTCACTAACCTCCTAAATTTCTTCTCAGGGAGAGGGGCCCACCAGAATACTTGAGTAGCTGCTCCCCAAATGTATATGGAGCACTGGATCCAACCTGCACAAGGGCTGGACTGTGGCAGGCATGGAAATGTGCTCCTCACATCCCCCTTCAAAGAAAAATTTGCTTCCAGCTGCAGGGAGTGGGGTCTCCAGGTGGCCTCCAGCAGTCAGCTCCTGCAGGCTCTGCTGCTGTTGAAAGAGCTGGCTTGGCTACATTTATGTCCTTCCTGGAGATGCCTGAATCCCACGGATTTAAAACTCCTAGAGAATTTTAAAACAAACAAACAAAAAACCCCTAGCTAATTTAGCAAGGTCACAAAATGCAAGGTCAAAAATCAAATCTATTATATTAATACATATTCATCAACAACAATTTAAAAAAAGAAATTAAGAAGCAATGCTTTCCTATCCACTTCCTAGAAACCTAATGGAGGGGCACCAAGTTCTCAAGGTTTGCCCATATCTGGGGGTTTCATCTTATTGAAACTGTTTGGCTAGCCACCCATAGACCCTGCCCAAAAAGCAAGGAGGAGTAAATACAAGGAGATGGGGTTGAGACCAGCAACAACGTGGTGAAAGATATATTCAAACAGATTTTTGTGGAGTTTTTTTAGGTAAAGTACAAAATAACTCACCTCTTGTTTATTCCTAAGAATTCCTCAATAAAATTCACATTTATGCTAATTGCCCTTAAGGTAGCTAGTCACTGTTCCCTTCTTAGGTTGAGGCTACTGTAGTTTTCAACTTACAATCATTTCTCCATTGCCCAGTTACTTAAAAATGGCTATGGGTCCCTTGGGGAAGGACCGGGGAATCAATACCATGTATATTTCCATGAATTTTTCAGGGTCCTTCATTCTGGACACCTGAGCACCTATTTAGCCAGTGGATTCTGAGACTGAAAATGCTGACAGGCTGGAGCACTGGGCAAGGGCTCATAGTATTTTATTGGGGTCACTACCCTATCATTAGTCTCCTAATCATTCTTCCTTTTCTTTTTCTGCTGCTGCAAGTTGAGTAATGCCCTGGACAGATGTCCATTGATTTTTGTCCCTCAGGATGCCATGTTCTATTAATGTCTCCACAAGTATCTATGGCTGCCACTCCGGCTTTGCCTGCTATTGCAATAAATGCAACGTCATGACTTCCGGGTGATTAAATGTCACCACTTGGCCTCTATTACTACCAGGTCCTGTTTTTCCCTTTACCATCAGTGAGTAGAGTTCTTCCATAACTGTGCCTCTTACCGTGAACCCTGCTTTACAATGGAGAGTGACTGCTGAACTTTTTTTTTAGTCCATACTGCTGACTTTCTCTACCAGTGCATTCCTTATGGTCCTGGTGGATAGTGTATCCTCTGATCTTTTCCATGGAGCTTAATCATCTGGTGGATTTTCGCATTATATATATGTATCCATCCCAGCACACTTACTTTCCTAAACCTTTTAATCCCTTTCTACCATCTTCCATGACAATTATGGCATTTAAACTTTCATAGAGGGCCATGGCTTCTTTCAGGATTCTTAGAGTCAACTTTCCTATAAGTTTGCACTATCTCCCTTGGTCTTTGCCTGGTTGTAAGGCATAGCATCTCAGGAGAGCACTACCAGGTCAGTACACTCTCTCCTACCCAGTTTCATATTCTGAATATCTTAATCTAACATTCTCAGAGTCTAGTTCCACACACATGCCTCCTAGATCTTGCCAGTACATGCTGGCTAAATCTTTCAGCTCCCTTAAAGTATAGCCCATTTCCTCCTTCAGCAGGATCAGCTCATCCACAGCTAAGCTATGCTGTGATTTACCCTTATAGACTTACTGGCCCAAATTTGAGATGGAGGAAGATTTTGACTGGAGTACCTGTTGCGAGAGGGAGGACTCTGCATTGTCTTCCAGCATGGGATGGAGTGCTAACTCTTACTAGAGAAGAGTGGATAATTTATGCATACTCAGACGATTCAAATGAGTCTAGAGAGTCAAAATCTTTGGAGCATCAAACAGATGTGTCCATCTCATGTGTCAGGATCCAAGATTTTCACAAACAGAGTTTCAGATCTAGGCTTATCAGATGTACCTTAGTTGAGGATTTAAAATTCTTTGAAGTTCAGCCATTTGGGTTCTTAATTCCTGGGCTTAATAATCTTCTGCCCTGCTGCTGCAGGAGATGAAAGCTTCTTCATAATAGGTTTTCATTGCCCATTATGATAAGTCAGTTGTTAGTTGTATTCCAGTAGAGCATCAGTGCCACTTAGCAATAGCCCTCCTTTCTTGTTATGTTTATATCTACTGTTTTATCCATGAGTCTGAAAATCCTGATCCATTGCACCCTCTTATCCATTCCCTTCCAACAGCAGACCATTCTAATTTATTACTGGTGAAGGCTTGACATTTGACCCACTTCCACGTGCCTGGGGCTGTCTGTCTTCCACCAAAACCAGCTTAGGATTCTCGTTGTCATCTAAGCAATGAATGATTCATCTCCAAAACTTCATCTTATCACCTGATTTTTCAGAACACTGCCAGTATTAACTCTTTGAGGTTGAGCTCTCTGAAAGCAGATGTTGAGACAGAGTTTGTGATACAAAATATTTAATAGGAATTAATCCATGGGAAAATAAGGGGAAAGAAGTTCAATTGGGCAGAGGAAGAAGTTGAACTGAGATGCAGGCAGACAAAACATTGGCCCAAACAGCAGGGAGCTCTGGAGTTAACATTGCTCAGCTGGGCTGAAATAACCGGGACTTTGTACCTCTGCCTTATTCAGTCACCAGATGCAAGCTGCTTAAAACAGAATTAGGCAAAGCAACTCTCTATAGTTAAGGCAGGTCCTGAAGGAACTGATAGTTGGAGGCTGTGTGCCAATCCTATTTCCTGCAGCAAGATTTGAAGTCCTTCCTTGAAAGGGGAACTGGGCAGTGCATCTTTGTGTCTGTTACAGATATTGTCTCATAGGTCCCAAGATACTGTTCCTTTTCTTTCTTTTCTTTTTTTTTTTTTTTTTTTTGAGATGAAGTCTCTCACTTTGTCACTCAGGCTGGAGTGCAGTGGCACAATCTCGGCTCACTGCAGCCTCCACCTCCCATGTTCAAGCGATTCTCCTGCCTTAGCCTCCCAAGTAACTGGAACTACAGGCTGTTCCTTTTCTTTAATCTTGCATTGTTTCTATGTATTGGTTCTTGAGTTCATTGGCTCTTGTGCTATCTATAATCTGCTGTTGAGCCCATGTACTAAATTTAAAATTTTTATTCCTTTTACTTTCTGTGTTTTAGAATTGCCATTTTTTTAAAAATCCTGTTTTTTGTTGAGATCCTTTGTTTGCTCACTCATTAAGACCACATTTTCTTCAAATTTTCAAGCATATTTTCCTTTAATTCTTTAAGTATGCTTAAAATAGGTGCTTCCAAGTTTTTACTGCAAAGTTCAATATCTGGTCCATATTTTAGGTTTGTTTTTAATGACTGATTTTTTCTTCACTAGAGTTAACACTTAATCCTCTCTTTTTGCATATCAAGTTTTTTTATTGTATGGTAGACTGTGGATGCTACTTTGTAGGACCTCAGAGTCCATTTGTCCTTTTTGAAGAACACTGATGTTAGTTCTGTTGCATGGATCAGTTAGTGATTGAATAAATTTTAACTTGGGTAGGCTTAGAATTACGTGTTATTAGAGAAGATCTATAACAAGACGGAAGTATTTTCCAAGGCCCTCTAAGTTGGTTGGATTCAACCTTCAAACTCTTTCTTTGCAAATTGTGTTAGGGTTTGATTTTAGGCTTCGTCAGAGTGGGTTTAAAGTCAACGTCCTTCTGGGACATGGTTCTTCCTGAGGACAGTCCTTTTCTTGTCTCCGCTGGATAATTTTTAAAATATTTTTATTTATTCCTGTAATTGACACATAATTATACATATTTGTGGGGTACATAGTGATGTTTCAACACATTATGTATAGCAATCATAGCAGGATGATTAGCATATCCATCATCTCAAACATTCATTATTTCTTTATGTTGGGGATATTCAATATTCTCCTTTTAGCTATTTGAACCTATATATTGTTGTTAACTATAGTTATCCGACACTGATATAGAACACCAGAACTTATTTCTCTTATCTAGCCATAATTTTGCACATATTACTTTTTGGTTTCTAATTTGAAATGCACATGAAATCATACAAAAGACTCTTCAGTAATGAAACGTAAGCCTCCCTCACATCCTTGTTCCTCAGTTCCTCATTTCCAAGGCTGCCAAGTAAGATTGTTCAAGTCATTTGCTGCACAATGGCACCTGGCTGAGGCAGTGAGTGGTGGTTTTAATCTAGCCAGAGCACTGCTGCATAAGCCATAACTCATGGCTCCGAGAAAAAGAGTCCTTTTTATCGCTACCACACAAAAGCATTATGCAACAAATTGGCCGCCCTGCCCTTTTCCCCAAAGGCATAACTGTGCCTAGTTTCTTGTGTATCTATCCTGACATAGTCTATGTTGTCCAAACACATACCACATACTATATGTATGAAAAAGTTATTTTAAAAGAATAAAGAAATGGCGATACAATGGTGACAAAAGGCAATACAGTAGAATCAGAGTTGAAGTATTCCTAGAGAATTCATTCAACGAAGCATGGTAAAATTGAATTTAAATGAAGAAAAGAAAATTGGAACAAATAAATCTTAAGGAAAGAAGCTTAAGTGCAATCATTGTTGGATTGTTTTCCCCTTGAGTAATCCTCAATTCAGATAAATTGTTTAAGCAGCTACTGAAATTGGTTGTATCCATTGCCAAGGGGGTTAACATTTGGTACTTCATTCACAACGTTCCCCACAGCTTAGAAGAGTGTGGAGGCTTGTTTGTGGTCTAGCTACCACTGCAGAAACCTTTAGGATTTTAGGCTGCTGGGAAACCTGAGAATGGGTGTCCCCATGTGAAGACTGACACTTCCATCTCATTCACTCTAATGTCCTTCAAAACGAAGAATTGCTCCAATGGGCAACCCTAGGGCACTCTATCAATTTTGTACCCTAACATCTCTATATTCATTCCACCTGGGGTGAAATTTCAACTGGTTCAGAGAAAACAGTGATTAAATCAGCAGATAAGTGAAATTATGAAATTTGATTATAAGGATTGCTCTGCCACTCTTCATAACTTCTGTCTTTGTTTCTGTTTCATGTTTTGTCTCATTACAGAAGACCCATATTGGTCTTCTTTTGGGTTGCAATGCTTTTGCCTTAGGCTCTTTGTATTTGTTGTTCTTTAACTTTTGAAGACTCTTCTCTACCTTGAGATTTAATCCAGTGAACTCCCGTTTATCTTTCAAGCCTTGGCTTTAATGTTGATCTGGCAAGGCAGGTAAGTGCCCCATCACAGCAGCTTGAACTTCCCCTCTTATTACATCCACCACATTTAAAACTACCTGCTTAAGGCTTGATTTTGACACCAGACCATAAGTTCCATGAGCACAGGGACCATGCCTGTCTTGTGACCATGATATTGTCATTGCTGAGCACAGTGCCTGGCTCATATTATGCATTCAATAAACCTGTTGAATAGACTCCATCCCTTGAGTAGATGGAATTATAAAAGTTATTCGTGGCCCTATAAAAGGAGAGTTTTTCCCTGTTAAAAAAAAAATAGAATTGGGGCCAGGCGCAGTGGTTCATGGCTGTAATCTCAGAACTTTGGGAAGCCAAAGTAGAAAGATTGCTTGAGGTTAGGAGTTCGAGAAAAGCCTGGTTAACATAGTGAGACCCCGTCTCTACAAGAAAACAAAAACAAACAAACAAGCAAAAAATTAGCAGGATGTGGTGGCTTTAGTCCAAGCTACTTGGGAAGCTGAGTTGGGAGGATCTCTTGAGCCCAGGCGTTGGAGGCGGCAGTGATCTATGATTGTACAACTGCACTCCATCAGCCAGATGATTTTTAAATTAATTATGGGGTAAACAGATCTTTCCACTCTGGCTGGGCTGAAAATTCAAATGTCTTCCAGTAGTGGTCATCTTCAGTATCTTTCTCTTTTGACCTTGTAGCAGCCAATCTCCAGTAATTCTCACAGATTTGACCTGCACGAATGCTGCCCAACCCTCAGCTAGAACTAGTGGGGACATTTTGGTGGACTTTTTTTGGGGGTATATTTAATCGTGGTAAAATATATTAACATAAATTTACCATTTTAATAATTTTTAAGCATGTAATTTAAGTGGCTTTAATTAGATTCACAATGTTGTGAAGCCATCACTACTATTTATTTCCAAAACTTTTATTACCCCAAACAGAAACCCTTTAACCATTAAGCAATGATTCCCATTCTCCTTTCCCCCGGCCCCTGGTAATATCTGTTTATTTTCTGTCTCTATGAATTTACATATTCTAAATACTCCTATAAGTGGAATCATGACAGAGTTTGCTCTTTTGTGTCTGGACTATTTTACTCAGCATGATGTTCTCAGAGTTCATCCATGTAGTAGCATATATCAGAACTTCATTTGTTATACCTGAATAATATTCCGTTGTATGTATATATCACATTTTGTTTAACCATCAATCCATTGAGGAACACCTGGTTTGCTTCCACCTTTCGGCTATTGTGAATAATGCTGCTACAAACATGTGTACAGGTATTTCTTTGAGACCCTACTTTAAATTCTTTTGGGTATATACCCATAAGTGGAATTGTTATATCATATGGTAATTCTATTTTAAGTTTTTGAGGAACCACTCAACTGTTTTCCATAGTGGCTGTGCCATTGCACATTTTCACCAACAGTGCATGAGGGTTCCAACTTCTCCATGTCTTAGCTAACACTATTTTCTGGTTTTATTTTTAATAATAGCCTTCTTAATAGGTGTGAAGTGGTATTTCACTGTGGTTTTGATTTATATTGCTCTTATAAATAGCAATGTTGAGCATATTTTCATTGGCTGTTTGCATATCTTCTTTGGAGAAATGTCTATTCAAGACTTTGGTCCATTTTCAAAATGGGTTGTATGTTTTTTGTTGTCGAGTTGTATAAGTTTTCTATATATCCTGGATATTAACTCTTTATGAGATATATAATTTGCAAATATTTCCTTCTGTTTTGTGGTTTGTCTTTTTACTCTGTTCATAGTGTGCTTTGGTGCACAAAAATTTTAATTTTGAGCAGTCCGGTTTATCTCTTTTTTGTTTTGTTGCCTGTGCTTTTGGATATCAGATTCAAGAAATCATTGCCCTGTTTTCTTTTGTGAGTTTTATAGTTTCAGGTCTTACATTAAAGTATTTAACCCATTTTGAGTTAATTTTTATATATGGTGTTATGTAAAAGTTATACTTCATTATTTTGTTTATGGATATCCAATTTTCCCACAGCCATTAGTTGAAAAGACTGTTGAATGGGGAAGCACCCTTGCTGAAAATCATTTGGCCACATACATGAGGGTTTATATGTAGGCTCTCTATTGTATTCCATTGGTTTATATGTATTTATGCCAGTACCACACAGTTTTGATTACTGTAGCTATGTTGTAAGTTGTGAAATCAGGAAGTGTAAGATCTCCAATTTTGCTCCTTTTTGTCAAGATTATTTTGGTCATTTGAGGTACCTTGAGTTTTCATATAAATTTGAGAATAGGTTTTCCTATTTCTGCAAAAATATCATTGGGGTTTTGATAGGTATTGCATTAAATGTGTAGAATTATTTGAGTAGTATTGTCACCTTAACAATATTAAGTCTTCTAATTCATAAACACGAATGTCTTCCCATTTATTTGTGTGTTCTTTAAAATTTTCAGCAGTATTTTATAGCTTTCAGTGTACAAATCTTTTGTCTCCTTAAATAATTTTAGTCTGAAATATTTCATCATCTTTTGATACTATTGTAATAAAATTGCTTTTTAAATTTGTTTGAATTGTTTGTTGTTAGTGTATAAAAATGCAACTGATTTTTGCGTGTTTTATACCCTGGAACTTTCCTGATTTTATTTATTAACTCTAACAGTTGTGTTGTGAAGTCTTTAGGGTTTTTCACTTAGAAGATGATATTATCTCTGAACAGGGATTATTTTATTTATTCCTTTTCAATTTGGATGCCTTTTATTTCTTTTTCTTACTCTGGCTAGAATTTCCAATAGTATGTTGAACAGAAGTGGTAGAAGTGGGCATCTTGCCTTGTTTCTGATCTTAGGGAAAAGTTTCAGACTTTCACCAATGTTTATGATGGTAGCTGTAGGATTTTCATATGTAACCTTTATTACATTGAGGAAGTTTTCTTATATTCTGTTTGTTGAGTATTTTTTTAATCATGAAAGGGTATAGAATTTCATCAAATGCTTTTTCCTGTATTAATTGAGATGATCACATGTTTTTTCCCTTTATTCTGTTAATGTGGTGTGCTACTTGATTGATTTTCATATGGTAAACAGCCTCCTTGTATTCCAAGGATAAAACCCAGTTGGTCATGGTATAATCTTTTTATTGTACTAAAGTACTTGGTTTACTAGTATTTTGTTGAGAAATTTTGTATCAATATTCATTAAGAACACTGCTCTGTAGTTTTCTTTCTGCTTTTTGGTATCAGGATAACTCTGCCCTCATATAATGAGTCAGGAAATATTCCCTCTTCTAATATTTTTGCAAGAGTTTAAGAAGAATTGGTGTTAATTCTGCCTTAAATATTTGGTAGAATTCACTAGAAAAGCCATTTGGTCATGGGCATTTCTTTGTTTGAAGGTTAATTAATTAATTTAATCTTCTTACTAATTATGTCTATTCAGATTTTTATTTCTTTATGATTCAGTCTTGGTAGATTGTGTGTTTCTAGGAATTTGTCCGTTTCATCCAAGTCATCCAATATCTTAGTCTCATAATACTCTCTTATGTTTCAACATTTATTTTGAATTTTAGTAATCTGAGACTGCTCTTTTTTTCATAGCCAATTAGCTAAAGATTTGTCAATTTTGTCGATCTTTTCAAAGAACTAATTTTTTGTTTCATTGATTTTCTTTAGTTTTCTGTTTGTCTATTGTGTTTGGTAACATTTTTTTCTTTTTTTTCTTTTTTTATTTTTATTTATTTATTTATTTTTTGAGACAGAGTCTTATCTGTCACCCAGGCTGGAGTTCAGGGGCACAATCACAGCTCACTGCAACCTTGACCTCCCAGGCTCAGGGGATTCTCCCACCTTAGCATCCTGAGTAGCTGGGACTACAGGTACATGCCACCATGCCCTGCTAATTTTTGTAGTTTTTGTAAAGATGGGGTTTTACCATGTTGCCCAGGCTGCTCTTGAACTCCTGGGCTCAAGTGATCTGCCCACCTCAGCCTCCCAAAGTGTTGCGATTACAGGCACGAGCCACCATGTCTGACTGATTACAATTTTTTACTTAAAGTCTATTTCATCTGGTATTAGTATAGCCACTCCTGTTGTCTTTGGTTTGTATTTGCACAAAATATCTTTTTATGTCCTTTCACTTTCAACATATGCTTGTCTTTATCTCGAGTGTCTTCCAGACAGAATATAGTTGAATTTTAAAAAAATCCATTCTGTCAATCTATGTCTCTTGATTGGGGAGCTTAATTTATTTACATTTAAAGTAATTATTATAAGGAAGAACTGACTATAGCCATTTTATTATTTGTTTCCTGCATGTCTTCTAGCTTTTTTGTCCTTCATTTCTTCTTGTACTTCCTTCCTTTGTGTTTAGTTGATTTTTATAATGACACTTTTGATTTCCTTCTCATTTTCTTTTGCATATATTTTATAGATATTTTCTTTGTGGTAACCATGGGTATTACAAGTAACATCAGAAGGTTATACAAATCTATTTTAAACTAATACCAACTTAACTTCAATCACATACAAAAACTACTCCTTCATAGCTTTATGCTTCCCTTTATGTTATTTGTCACTGATTACATCTTTGTATATATACTGTACTTATTAACATAGATTTATAAAGATTTTTATGCCTTTGCTTTTTGAATCTTGCAGAAGCATAAAAAGTAGAGTTATGAACCAAGATTACATTAATAATGGTTTAACATTTGTCCATGTATTAATCTTTACAAGAACTTTATAGGTTCATATGGCTTTGAATTGCTCTCTAATGTCCCCTAATTTCAACTTGAAGGACTCCCTTTGGTATTTCTTGTAAGGCAGTTCTAATTGTAATGAACTCCCTCAATGTTTGTTTATCTGGGATATCTTTGGCTCACATTTTTGAACAACAGTTTTGCCAGATATAGAATTCTCACTTGACAGTTTTTTTTCTTTCAGTATTTTATATCATTTTACTGCCTTCTTGTCTGCAAGATTTCTGCTGAAATATTAACTGCTGAGGTCATTGAAGATCCTTTGTTTTGTTACTTTTCTCTTCCTGCTTTCACAATTCTATCTTTTCTTTGGCATTCAATAGTTTGATTATAATGTGCCTTTGGATAGGGTTTGTCTTCTTTGGGGTTTGCTGAGCTTCTTGTATTTGAATATCCTTGTATTTCTTCATATTTGTAAGTTTTTCATCATTATTGCTTCAAATACATTATCTGTTTCTCTTTTTCTCTCTTCTTTTTTGACCCCTATAAGATGTACTAAGTCCACTTGACGGTGTCCCATAAGTCCTTTAGGCTACCATCACTTTTTAAAATTTGTTTTCCTTTTATTTCTCAGACTAAATAATTTCAAATAAACTCTCTTCAAGAGCACTGATTTTTTCTTCTGCCTGTTAGAGTCTTATGTTGAACACCTCTAGTGACTTTTAAAAATCAGTTAGTTATTATGTTTTTCAGCTGTAGAATTTCTATTTGGTTCTTTATAAATTTTCTTTGTTAATATACTATTTTTTTTAATAAATCATTTCATAGTTTCCTTTAATTCTTTGTCTATGTTTTCCTTTAGCTCTTTGAGCATATTTAAGATAAGTATTTAAATGTGTTTGTCAAGTAAGTCCAATGCCTATGTTTCTTCAGGGATGGCTTCTGTAGATTTACTTTGTTTCACAAAACGGGCCTTTTTCTGTTTTTCTGCATGCCTTTGAGCTTTTGTTGAAAAGTAGGCATTTGTTAAAAATGGCCACCTATTCCAATCTTTGCAGGCTAGCTCTGGGCAGGGGAAACCCTTCACAAGTCATTCCAACAAAAAAACTTAAGGTCTTCTTAGGCCTTTTTAGGCTTATGTCCCTGAGCTTGTGTTGGTGCTTTTTCCAATTCCTCTCTATGCATGGCTGCTTTTAAATGCCTTAATTTCCCCAAGAGTCTCACTCGTGCTGTCACCTCAGCCTTAGCTGTCCTGTTTAATCTTTCAATCAGTAATCTCTTACTTCAGGCATCTAAGGGTCTGTAGTTATTTTTTTTCTTTGTTTGCAGTTTTAATAAGCTATGCCTTCTGCTTAACATGACTTTCCATGGCTTGACATCCCAGCCACTTCTGGGTGTCTGAACTCCAAGTGAGGTGACATAGACACAAATCTCTCAGGTAGCTTATAGACAGGTTAGAACATTGCAAATTTGCTCCATTCTGCTCTTGCTGGTGGAAGGTAACTGGGGATCAAGCCACCACTTCACCCAAACTGTGCTGTGCCATGCCAGCTAAGAGGTGGAACAAGGACAAGTAAAATACCACCAAATGTCTTACCATTTTGGAGTGGTTTTTTCTTGATTGAGCATTTGCTTGGTTGCCATAGATCTTTGATTAAATTTCCAGAGCTCCTATAAAATTATTTTAATCAACTTCTAGTTATTTGCTTAATGTTTTCATGAAGGAACAATGGCCGGGAACTTCCTCGTTTGCCATCTTGCTGATATCACCCTCCCACTTTTTTTTTTTTTTTTTTTTTTAATACAATGGAAACTTGGATCAAAACATGTGGTATCTGAGAAATGATGTTCTTGTCAAAATGAACTCTCAGCTGGTCTAAGAACTAAAATGGATGCTCAGCATATCAGTGGGACACTGAAATTCCTATTTTGAATTGTTACTATGTATTTCCATAGGAGCCTCTGAGAACTGGAAGGGCAAGGGCAAATAGTCTGAAGAAGACTTTCTTTGTCAGGCATTATATTTTCCCAATTAACATTTCCTGCAGACTTCCTGTTAAAAATCGGAAGATTAGACAAAGTTGGCTGACATTGTAATTGTCCCCCTGACCTTTCTCTAAACACAGGAAGTAGGACCATCAGTTCAGATTTACATCAATTTATAAACCAGAGTGGATTACTGCTTACTAGGTGTATTGCAGAGGAATTAACTTTTAATTGAGGTGACCCAAAAAGGGAAGCTGTTTCAGCAGAGACCTCTGCTCCAAGATATTGGCTTTTAATGACCAATTGCCTTTCATGCCAACTCACTAGAAGTTGTTAGGTTCCAGAATCTTTTACTCACCTCTTATGCTGGAGAGTAAACTCAAGAGAGAGGATAAACACTAATTAAATTTGCTTTTGTGACAGGGAACTGAGAATGTCATAAGTCTGCTGAAGAATGTCAGAAAGGGAAGAAAACATTGTGTGTTGTTAAATAATGGAACATTGAAGCAATTAAGCTCTTGACCTTGAAATTCCCTTATTACAGAATAGCTTCTATCGCTAGAGCTCATAAAATGACTGAGGACACAGGTTTATTAGAAATGATAACCACTGATTATAATTGTTGTATGCCTTACATTTCTCCTGTTTTTGGACAGTTGGTCTCTCCCACTTGCATTTGTGGATTTTGCTAAAACCGACACCCACAGAGTGGCCCATTTAAAAATTGAAAAGTAAATTTTAAAAATTGTTTCTATATTTATCAATCCATCTTCTATTTTTCTAGGGTACTTAATAAGCATGTGTCATTTTGATGAAGTCAAGGAACTATTTTCTTGTAGATTTAAGGAAATCTTTCCCACTATTTTATAGTTGCCACCCATGTAGTAGGACCATCAAATAATGACTGCTCATGCTTAAGGAAGAAAAGGAAGACTTATTACATTTGAAACAGTCTAAACAAATAATGATAAGATTATTTAAATTCTTATAAAACATTTGTATAAAGTTGTGGGGTACAAACATGCATACATTGTGTAGTGGTGAAGTCAGGGCTTTTAGGTTATCCATCACAGGCAGAACATACTTTGTACCCATTAAGTAATTTCTCATCATCCACTCCTCCCACCCTCCCTCCCACACGTATCTCCTCTGAGTCTCCACTGTTTCTTTCTCATTCCACACTCTATGTCCATGTCTACACATTATTTTGCTCCCACTTATGAGAACATGTAGTATTTATCTTTCCGTATCTCAGTTGTTTCACTTAAGATAATGGATTACTTAAATTCTAATTATGTTCTTATACTAACCCTTATGTAATTAAATAAAGTAAAGAATCACACAAATTGGCATGAGAACTGCCTACTAAGTGAAACACTGATAAATATACTCATTAAACAAACAAGGAGGTACTATGTATAAATATAAATGGGTATGATCTTGCTTTGACACCCTTCTAATTAAATATGATGTTTTTCTTCTCATGAATGCTTATTTTCTCAGATAAGAAAGAAGTAGATAGAATAAAGAAGGAAGTATACCAAATAATTTCTTTATTTTTTAATGAGCTTGTAAAATTGAAATTTCAAAGTGCTATATATTTGTCACAGTGAGGTACATTCTGAATCACAAACAGAATTTTCATTGGAAATCTTTTTTAAAAAAACTACCACATGGATAAAAATAAATGTCCTTTTGCGTCAGTCATGGCAATAACAATTCAGGATTATAATCAGAAATCTCTTTGTTTGAAAGGAGCCCTGAACACATGCCGACGTTGGCAGATAGAAAGCATCGGGAGTGTCAGTTTCAGGACGAGCTGTATTAACCCCACCCACCACTTGAAAAATTATTTTGATATTACGAAGAGCAAGCCGTTTTCACTGGTGAACACAGTCATCACTGCAATAGCTAAACATACATGGAACACATCAGAGTGGAAAAATAAACATCGATTTCCTTGCTAAAGTCAGTAAGTCTGTCTATTCCATTTTGTAAAGGGAAGTCAGTGACCTTTAGTAGGGAGTGTCTCATGCACAATTATAACACTTCTTTCTTTAAATCTTATATCCTAAACTCTTAGGTTTGAAAAAGGTAACATTTGTAAAAATGAAACTGCTTTGAAAGTCTACTAGTGTCTTGAAACCCAGGGACATCAGAAGACTCAGAAGTGAATTTTCGACAGTAGCAAGAGCAAACATGTTTGAGTATTGGTAGATTCAATCTCTCCCACCTCCCCTCTCCAGGCAGGTTCCTGGGGTTGGGAATGAGGAAGACTTGTAATCCAAACACATATTTGCTTCCCCAAAAAGTTTTTGTAACAAGATTCCCAAGCTCTGTTGATTATAGTTTCTGTTAAAGAAAATTTATCTTTAATTAATAAATCTTTGTAGTTTTCTACTAATACTCAGATCCAAGCACCCTGAGAATTTTTCTTATTTCTTTCTTTGAAGCTTGGTGTTTTGCTCCTCGTATTCAGGGAAGCAATGTAGGAAAGGCAATGCTGTTTTACAGGTCCCAGGTGAGTTATTTTAAACCAAGAAGGTTATGTGCAGGAAACCCCCTAGTGGGAACTTTTACTTGGATGTTGCATGGGCTTTGATCTCTTTCCTCACTGCTCAGCACAGGGAGAGGCTGCTCCCAGCTCCTGCTGACCCAGCTATGTTCTCAGCCATAGTACTATTTTGATACCTGTGGTTTTCTTGTTCTCGTGAGATAATGTGCTTGCTGGTGGGAAGGGTGAAGGAGCAGGAGTTTTGCTTGAGGTATGAGATTGGAATGTGAAGTCTAGAAGTGAAGACAGAAATGAAGTCTAAAAGTCAATAAATATCAGAAACAAGTTTCAATTCTTCTATCCAGGAGTCTGTCTTCTGCGGAAAATTCAGACCATAGTAAGCAAAGCCCCACAGCTCAATATAATAGAATGGTAGTTAGTAACATTAGATGTATTTGAATAATTAAATTTGTTTAAATTTAACTACTCAATCAAGCCTTTGAAAAGATTTTAGAATACCTATATGTCTATTTGTACATCTATCTATCCATTTGTAAGGTTCAAACCTGTCTTAAGACTGTATTACTGAAATGTAATAAATAGAGCTAGATGAACTCACATAAAATCATGACAGGAAATCTTTTTTTATAGTTAAGTAATATCTTCAGCTCTTGTTTATACATGGTTGACTTGGAGTGAGTTTTCTCAGTGTTGCAACCTGGGGCAGTTAATAAGGGCCAAATGGGGACAGAAATCCTGCTCAAGAGGAAAGGGGAGATTTCTTAATTACTTCCAGTGCCCAGGAAGAGTTATGAAAACTGGAGAATGGAAGATAAGATGGTCACCTCACGTGAAGATGAATGGCTTCTTGGAGGCAGAGAGAAGATGGTTTCTCTTTGGTTTCATTTGTGTAAGTTGGTAATACATTATTTTCAGAATAATTTTCAAAATAATGTCATATACCACTGCAGTGATTTCTAGAAACCACAGCTTCAGTTAGCTATCTTTTGAACACATTCATGGCTCTGCTGACTTTGCAACTCTGGAAATTCATTCGCACAAGAAAGTGTCTTTGAAGGGGATATTGGAAACCTCTGGTTACATAATGTAATATGGGAAGAAGAATGCAAAGCTGTTTGTTAAATACATATTTTTTGGCCTCAGGAAAGTTTGTTAGAAGTAGGATTTTATGTACCAAGTTGATTGAAGTTTTTTTTTCACTGGCAATAAGCAATGTTTAAGTGTTTAGCTTGTCTTAGAATTTCTAACATTAATTTTGAATTCAGTTCTCTTCGGTTGTTCAGTCGTTCATTCTTTCTTTTTCATGTATTCCTCAAGCATGCCTATCACACTGTTCCCTTGGATAGAACAAAGAAGACCATCCTAGACCATTGGGCTTTTGAGGAACTCAATGTGCAGTATGTTTGCCAATAAATGATTTATCATAATATATATATGAATAATAATAAAAGGGTTTGACGTACACATTTAATACCAGAAAAATTAGCACAGCAAATCAAGAGGGAAATGAAAATACAAATTAATCCTAAAGCATGTACTAGCTTGGAGATTTTTGAAGGCCAAAAAAATTTTTATTTTGAATTCCCCAGTGCAACTGGAGTATGTTTGGTGGGTATTCAACTGATGCTTGTTGAATTAATTCAACACAATAAAACGTTAAAAGGCAACAGGCCATAAATTGCTGTCTCGTATGCTTGTTGTTGGGACATATTGAATTCAGAATGTTTTGACAGAAGGTTAAGCTCTGTATCATTCTTCTGTTTCCATTCTCCATCTATTTTCAGCTATTTTCATTACATTACCCACATCTCTCAAGAGTTCAATTCTTTCTGCTTTTGTTTCATTATTCTAGACAGGTTTTTGTGCTTTAGAAATGCTCAGCAGAGTACTTTTTAATTCACTGTTTTTCAAGTAAGATTAATTTTCACATTTCCCACAGGTTTAGTCTTTAATCTGCTATATTATAGGACTAGAAAAACATAGCAACAATGAGTAGATGAGGTTTTGAATTTCAAGACGCGGAGCCAAGTTGATGGTACAACAGAAGGGAAAAATATATCTTTCTCACACACAGAAACATCAGTAATGTGTTTTGTGGAAACTTTTAGGTAGCTAGATCCCAAATTTAAACCAAAAACAAAAAAGTAAGCAAGCTAGGGAATCTATGAATAAGTAAGCAGAGGAAATCAGGCTCTTCCATTCTCAGTGGGTTTGTCTGATCTATATATTTCCTCCAATTTTAGGCCCAAATTTCCCCAGAAAGGCATTTTTAAAAAATTGTATAAGCCACAGTGACTTAACTCTTCAACACCGTTATGTTTGTAACTTGGCAAATGATCATCTCCAGCTCTTTGGAGAGGGTTGTTAAAATTCATCTTTTAAAGAAACCACTTAATTGGCTCATTCTAGGAAAAGCAACAACGCTTTTTAGTGTAATGAGTTACCTTAGGGACTTTATTATATTTCTACTGCATAGAACTCAATCTGAAAGGTTTAAATATAGTTCTTTACACCAAAGAAAATGCCTTAAACACAGCATTTTCTTTTATTAATGCTAAGTGATTGAGAATAGGTGATTGGTCTTTTTGATAATGGATGAATTACAAGATTAAAGAAAAGTGTCTAAGTAGAATAGCAAATACAGTCAAGTTAAATAGGAACGGGGCCAGAGTTGTGAACACGGTCTTACGGAGGGACATTCTGAACTCTGGACTTTTGTTTCTGAGAAAGCTCTTTTTGTCATGACCATTTATATCATTCAGCCACTTTTTCTCCTTGTCTAAAGGAGCATGCACCTCAGTGTCGTCTGCCATGCTCTATAGCTACTGGCTTATATCATTGCTTCTTCCTTTCACTCAAAAAATTCCTCAGAACTCTCTACTTCATCATCCTCTATTCACTCTCAATCCATTATAGTCTGACTTTTGCTTTCACTTTCACCCACACATTCATTTCTAGAAAAATAGTAGTAAAGAGTTTTTTTAAAGAATTGTGTTTTTTCCCTTTAAGATGGGTGAATTCATCTTAGGAAGTAACTAGTTTTAAATAGTTTTGAATTTTGAACAATTGCCTATCCACTGATGTCAATTTAAGGAGAAAATGGCTCTTTAATTTTTAAATAAAGAAGAAAGAAGCTTCTGCAGAATGAAGAAAATGTCAGGCCTTGGACTTTGACTTAGAAAACCAGCCATGGTATTGCAGAGAAACGACATAAGTTTATTGAGAATGTTAGATCTCTTTGGCAAAGCTTGGAAGAGAGAGAATGAAAAGCAATCATCTGACAGCTTATTCCCAGAGCTCACCTTACCTAGCATTTCTGCAATTTTCCACACTCTTGTCCCTAACTATTTCTGGTAGCCTTCTCCCACTCATCCTCACCCTCACTGACTTTCTTACAGTGTAATTTTATGGTTTTCCACCTGCTCCTTCTCAGTCACCTTCTTGGCTCAATAACTGTTGAGATGTTATTATTCCCCAGTCACTCTTTCCAGACCTGGGCCCTCCTCTGAGCTCAAGACCTGTGTTTCCATTTTCTCCATGCAAATCTCAACTTGCCCGTCTTTTAGGGACTTTATATTAACAGATTCTAACTAATATTTTACTCCTTTCACCTTTCCTGCCCAAACCTGTGTCTCCTGCTGCGTAAATTGCCCCACATAATGGAATTGTGTTGCCTCAACACTCTCATTCTCCATACCCAGTCACCCCCAAATCCACTGTCAGATCTTCTTCAGAAATAGCTGTCCAGTCTCTTTCCTCTTATCCACTCACCACCTGTTACCACTCACCAGCTGTCACCGGCATGTTCAAATAGTCTCTTGCCTAAGCCCTCTATTCCTAGTCTCTTTTTATTCCAACCCTCCTCTAAACATTCTAGAGTGGCTTTCAGGTACTCCAAATCTTAAAATAAAGTGGAAACTTTTAACTTGTCATATAAGAACTTTCAAGATCTGGCTCTAGTCTAGTTGGCCAGCTTCATCTTCTACAGGATCTTCCTCAGCACCAGTCAAGCATCTTTTGTGATTTCTTGTCAGATCTTCTACTTTGAAAGACCTCATTAAATACTACTTATTCAAAAAATGCAGATGGAATGTATATCCTGTTGATGCCCTCCCTCAATCTTCATTCATTCCAAAGGGGTTGGTCCATACCTCTGTTACAAGAGTATAGAAGGTGCTCAGTACATTCCCTCTGCAGCTCAAGGAGCCCTAGATTTGTTACCATATATAGAAAAATTATAGTTGTATATATTTATAGGGTCCCTGGATTTAAAATCCATTGATTTGGCATAGCTTCCTGGCTTACCTGTTTGTTATATGACCATGGATAGGACATGTAAATAGATATAATAATAAACCACCTGATGAATTTGTGAGAGTTAAATAAAAAAAAAAGTATATGAAATGACTTTGTAGATCATAGTATTTTGTAAAAATACATTTTTGTTCACTGTCCACAAAAGTTGATCTGGAATAAATCTGATGCTTCACATCCATTTAAGAATAAGAAAACAGAACAAGTTAACTTTATGATGGTTAGAGATGTATGTCTTTCCCTCACTCCTGATTTCTATGAAGAGAGATTTTCTTGGTTTCTTTCAATGTCTTTACTCTCTCTAACTGAGGATATGGAATAAATTACCTGATGGATGAATGTCAGAATAATAGCTGGTGTGCATTCTAAGCTTAGCTTCACCATTCTTTGTTTTGAGAGCTGTCTTCACAGATCGGAAGAGTTTTCTTCTGCTTCCCCTCTGTAGAGGATGAAATATGTGGAGGAAAACGTGTCCACTTGGTCAGCAGACCTAAAGCTTTGTCCACCAACCTGGATTTTATCTGTTATGCTGGTAATATAGTTTGGATTTGTGTCCCCACCCAAATTGCAGGTCAAATTGGAATAGGGACCTGGTTGGAGGCAATTGGGTTATGAGGGTGGATTTTCCCCTTGCTGTACTCACAATAGTGAGTGAGTTCTTACAAAATCTGATCATTTAAAAGTATGTAGTGCTTCCCCCTGCTCTCTCTCTCCTGCTGCCATGTGAAGAAGGTCTTTGCTTCCCCTTCACCTTCTGCCATAATTGTCAGTTTTGTGAAGCCTTCCAGTCATGCTTCCTGTTAAGCATGCAGAACTGTGAGTCAATTAAATCTCTTTTCTTAAATTACCCAGTCTCAGGTAGTGTTTTATAGCAGTGTGAGAATGGACTAATGCAGAGAATTGGTACCAAGAGTAGGGTACTGCTATAAAGATAACTGAAAATGTGGAAGTGCCTTTGGAACTGAGTAATGGGCAGAGGTTGGAACAGTTTGGAGGGCTCAGAAGAAGACAGGAAGGTGTGGGAAATTTTGGAACTTCCTAGAAACTTGTTAAATGATTTTGCCCAAAATGCTGATAGTGATATGGATGATGAAGTCCAAGATGAGGTGGTCTCAGATGAAGATGAGAAACTTATTGGATACTAGAGTAAAGATCACTGTTGCTATGCTTTAGCAAAGAGATTGACAGCATTTTGTCCCTGCCCTAGAGATCTTTGAACTTGAGAAAGATGATTTAGGGTATCTGGCCGAAGAAATTTCTAACCAACAAAACATTCAAGATGTGACCTGGCTGTTTTTAAAAGTGTACACTCATGTGTGCACAAGGGGATTGTCTGAAACTGGAACTTATATTTAAAAGGGAAGGAGAGCACAAAAGTTTGGAAAAGTTGCAGCCCAGCCATGTGGTAGAAAAGAAAAACCCCTTTTCTGGGGAGAAATTCAAGCCTCCTGCAAAAAATTGCCTAAGTAAAGTAGTACCAAACGTTAGTAGCCAAGACAATGGGGGAAATTTTCTCTAGGGCATTTCAGAGACCTTCACAGCAGCCCCTCTCATCACAGGCCCAGAGGGCTCAGAGAAAAAAATGGTTTCCTGGGCCAGGCCCAGGTCCCACCTGCTCTGTGCAGCCTCAGAATATGGCACCCTGAGTCCCAGCCACTCCAGCTCCAGCAGTGGCTAAAAAGGACCAAGGTACAGCTTGGACCATTGCTTCAGAAGGTGCAAGCCCCAAGCATTGGTAGCTTCCATGTGGTGTTGGGCCTGCAGGTGTGCAGAAGGCAAGAGTTGAGGTTTGGAAACCTTCATCTAGATTTCAGAGGATGTACGGAAACACTTGGATGTCTAGGCAGAAGTCTGGGGCAAGGATGGAGCCTTTATGGGGCAAGGATGGAACCTCTACTAGGGCAGTGCAGAGGGGAAATGTGGGGTTGAAGCCCCCACACAGAGTCTCCACTGGGGGTCTGCCTAGTGGATCTGTGAGAAGAGGGCCATCATCCTCCAGACCCCAGAAGGGTAGATCTATGAACAGCTTGCACCATGCACCTGGAAAGGCTGCAGGCACTCAATGCCAGCCCATGAAAGCAGCCATGGGGGCTGTGCCCCTCAGAGCCACAGGGGCAGAGCTGCCTAAAGTCTTAGGAGCCCACTTCTTGCATCAGCATTCCCTGGATATGAGACATAGAGTCAAAGGAGATTATTGTGGTTTTAGGATTTAATGATTGGCGTGCTGGGTTTGAGACTTGCATGGGGCCTGTAGCCCCTTTGTTTTGGCCAATTTCTCCCATTTGGACTGAGGGCATTTATCCAATGCCCGTATTCCCATTGTATCTGGGAAGTAACTCTTTAAAAACTCTTTCTTGTTTACCACTTATTATAACTATATCCTTCCTACTATTAGTAAACAATTTTTATGTGAACAATTCTCTTTCTAGGCATGAACAGCTACTTAATTTCATGAAGTTGCATATGTTTATATCATTTATCATACTTTGTTTTTGTTCTTGTTGTTTGTATAGAGTAGTTTCTCCTTATGTATGGGTGATACATTCCAATACCTCCAGTGGATGCCTGAAACTGCAGATATCATCAAACCCTATATATGCTGTTTTTTTTTTTGATCTGATAATTGAGAGGGCTCCTAGGTGACTAATGAGCAGGTAGTATATACCGTATGAAAATACTGGACAAAGGGATGATTCACATCCCAAGTGGGATGAAGCAGAACAACATGAAATTTCATCATGTTACTCAGAACAATGGCAATTTAAAATTTATGAAATGTTTATTTCTGGAATTTTACATTTAATATTTTTGGACCAGAGTTGACCATGAGTAACAAACTGCAGAAAGTGAAACCACAGCTAAGGGGGGCTATTGTACTTGACTCTTCCTGCCTATGAGATTATATACTTCTGAGCAGGAGACATTGCTATACTCATCATTGCAATCCCCCACAGTGCCTTGAATATGCCAGAGGTTTACTTAATATTTGGTGAACTGAGTATGTAGCTCCATGTTAGATTATTAGGCTTAGTGAATATTGGAACTACTGCATTCTTGTATACTGTAAGCCAGTTATTCCTCAATGGGAGATGATTTTACCCCTAAGGGGACATTTGGTAATATCTGGAGACGTTTTTCATTTTCACAATTGTGTATGTTTAGGGTCCCATGGTATTTAGAGAGTAGAGTTCAGGGATGCTGCTCAACATTCTACAAGGCACAGGATAGTTCCCTGAAACAAAAAATTATCTGACCCAAATGTTGATGGTGATGAGGTTGAGAAATCCTGCTTTAAACACAAAAAAAATATATCCACAAAAATATGTTTATGGGCCAATATAGTCTTGTACTAATAATAATAACCAGTATTTTATAATAAATATCACTTAAATAGGATTCAGCTTTTGAGAAATGCAATTCTGTTATTTGAGGGATTTCTGAAATTAGAAATTTATTTGAGAGTTTTTATAGAGCTTTATTTTCATCATGGTGTAAATGTTATTAACCTCATAGCTCATCTCAACTTATGATGTAAGTTCAATAGAGGAATATTTCTCTTGCTTTAAAAATTTGGTTTAATATTTTATAAAAATGATAAACAGATGCCAACCTTGCATATATTTTTAAAAAGTAGTTTCAATGTTTTCAAATATGTTTGAGTTTTATAAATATTATCATAGAATAAAATCTTATGGGTATATTTAGTTTTTTCTTATGTATTATTATGCAATTGAAGAATTAAATGTAAAGGACATGAAAGAGCATGCTCCAGATAAAGACATAGAAAACAGAGACATAGAGAACATAGAGAATAATACTCTTTACCTTTGCTTAAGAGGTAAGATACCCATTTTCTGCTTGATCAATCTTAGGCAAGCTATGGTATTAGGGAAGTAGTGGCAGGATGGTTATATTGGGAATTGGAGAAAAAGCTGTGTCAAGACTTGTTTAAAGTAGAAAAAGAACTCACCCCTGTGTTCCCCTTCTCTAGTATCTTCCTTCTCAGTTGCTAAGAATGTGGCACAGCCTGTAATGTAGCCTGATTCTTTACCTGGACTGCATGATTCTGTAGTCCACTAATATTTCAGGGAATGCTAGGGTTGTGATATTTCTGCCATCTGCCTGTTGAGACATTGTCATACGATACATTTTGATGCTTGGATCCATAAGAGAGAGAAATAGGAATTAGTTTTCTACATCACAAGGCTAAGTTTTCACCTTATCTCTTTTAGTTCAACAGAAGGCAGGGCACATGCGTTTTCTACTCTTCTCTTTATTTAAAAAAATGATGATGATGATAATAATAATACCTATCCTACGTAAGTGAAACTACTGGTTTCATAAATGGGTCTTGAAAGCTAACACATTCTACAAATTACGTGAATTATTATTTAACAAGTACATACTTGAGTTTTGAGGAGAGAAAAAAACTCTTTAAAACTTTTAGAAGCCTCTTCTTTTTCTGACAATATGGCAGTAAGTGAAAATTTTCCTTCTGGAGGATCCTAGAAACTGCTGTGTTGGGTCACAGCTTTTGAAGATAGAGTAAGTTTTTCTGTGAGGAAAAGTTGATAGAATATGTGCTTCCCCCCACCCTTTTTAAACTTCAAAAATAAGACTCTAATTACAGATATCTTTTCCAGATTGAACCACCACTAATTTAACCAAAAACATGTGTGTGTAACAAAAGAACTTGTAAAAGGAACATTTGAGGTTTCACATGGATTTTTGCAAAAGACAAACACAGTAAAATCACAGAATTGGCTGACGGACACTCTGCTATACTAAGGCTATAAAGGTTTTATTGAGTCCTTGGGACTTATAATATCCATTCATCCTTCAAGAGAAACGAAAGGTCTTAATCCACAGAGGATCTTTCCACAGCTTACCAGAGAAGCAAATCCTCCCACCTTGAATGACACAGTCTAGGGCTTTCCGGAGCCCAGTGTGATTTGCACATCTGATCTTCATCGATCCCAGTATCAGATGTGCTGTGGAGAGGTCTCAGCCCTGTCATTTAACATATGACCTGAAATGATATGAGAACTGGAGTTACTGCTGTATGTTTCTGATTAGGAAATTGCCCATTTTGCAACTCTCATTTCAGAAAGATGCCTAATAATGCCAAGAGTACTAAATAGATATTCACCAATCACCAAAAAATGTAAGTTTAACTGACTCATATTCAAGATGAATGTGCTCAGAACTAGACACCTAGAGACCACCTATTAAAACCAGGAAGGCTGACAAATGGAGATGCACTCTACACCCCATGGAAAAGCCCTCAAAGTTTTGTAGTGATATTGAGAAAAATTTTTTAATAAGTTGAATTCAATAAACAGTTCCTTTTCCCTTGTGCTGCCTAGTTACGCACTCTTATTTTCTTTGTCCTTGCTCATAAGCTGTTAAGAGAAATTGTTGAGAAGCTGAGCAGACCAATACACTAGACCAAGAGCCTTAGAGGCCATCAGATAGCTTAGATAGATAGGCAATATCTGCTGTATTATTACACTACTTGGAAATGAGGAGGGTCATTGTAATGAGAAATATCCTTTGGACTGTTTTGAAACACTGCGATTGAGGGGGAGGAGAAAGGGGAGCTGTTGCTTAGCAGTTATCTATTTTGTCAATTATAGGGGCCCAGTATATCCACATTCCCAGTCCTGAGCACAACAGATTCTTCTCAAACAAGAAGAAAAGAGAAATACCTGTGGGCAAACACTATTCTTTTTCTTTTTTAGCAGCTTTATTGAGGTATAATTGACAAAAATGTATATATTTAGGGTGTACAACATGATGATTTTATATACATACACATTGTGAAATATTTACCACAGTCAAGTTAATGAACACATCAATCATGTCACATAATAACCTTTTTTATTTTGTAGTGAGAACAGAAGATCTAGTCTCTTACAAATGTCAAATATACACTATATCATTATTAAGTATAGTCACCATACTGTATGTCAGAGTCCCAGAAGGTATTCATCTTATGAATGCAAGGTATTTGGGGGTAATGCTTTATTACTTATCTCTCAAATTCTTCTATACTGGTAATAAAAGTAATTGTGAAGCCACCATCTCTAATAATCACTGGTTATCTGGTGATACATACAGCAGTTATTATATAGAATAATATTATAATTTCTTGTCTAAATACTTTTAGTAAAAAATAATTAATAAATATCTGGGTAAAGGCAGCAAGTAATTCAGGGTCACACACATTTTTCCAATATTAAACAAAATAAAATTTAAAAAGTTAACCAAAAAAAAGCAGCCAAAAATTTACTAGTAGCAATCAAACCAGGAAAAATACTAAATTTTATGACAAATATTTCTAAAGGTGAAGCCAAGGAAAAAACTTGAAATGTTTCTACGTAGGTTTAAGCCACAGTCAGACCAACAGCCAGAAGCAATACCAATGAAAGAATGATAATTAATAAAATCTTATGAATATGTATCACTATTCTTTAATGTGGAGAGATGTGAGTCAATGAAATGAGTAGGAAATACTGGGAAATTAGAAAAATATTTAAGTATGAAACACCTACCTGTCACTATAAGACCAGAGCAAAGGCAGAGAGGACAGTGAGGGTTTGCAGTTTTCTGGTCCCTTGCTGAACTGGGAGAATGGAAGGAGTCTACATCCATGGTGGGTGGAATGAGCTGCTGTGCAGGATTTTTAATGGAATTTTGGAAGGGAAAGCAGAGTTCATGTCCCTTTTAATGAGTCAACAAACTAGGCCCTTACACTCACCAGTTTGTACACTGAAACTTCAAAAAAGTAAATAGACAGCAGTTCCTAGACCTCAAAGTATAGCTTGAGTGGCAAAAGACAAATCAATTCCATATAAGATGAGAAGGAAATGGAAGATAATTCACTTATACCATATTAGAGCTCATAAGTTCTGCATATTTTGCATAAGCAAGGTGAAAAAAAGTCATGACAAATATGCAAATGTGTTAAAGCAAAATGTTTTAAATGGGAAAAGGGGAGAAAGGAAGGAAGGATGAAGGGAAGGAAAAAAAAGATGCAGCAGGCATAACAAAATGGACTCAGTTTGGAAGAAAACACAGACCAAGAAAAAGAAGCAGATTTCCCACAAGTGTCAAAGAAAAACGGAATAAGATTCATTCAATAAAACAGGCCTTAAAGATGAATTTTTTTAAAAAAAGGTAGAATAATGTTAACATGGAAAGTGAAATAGAGAGACAAAATTGAGAACTAGGCAAAACATTACAGAGTTACCAAGTTAACCATAAAGGGAAAGGAATGTAGTAATGGCAAAGAGAAAATCCTTGAGATAATTACTCTGAATTCAGAAAAAAAAAAAAAGGAGACAAGGAATAATCACAGAGTTGATGAAAAAGATGGAAGGCAGAGATGATACAACATAGGAATAATTGGTTTCCTTTAATTAGGGACCCATACTAATGGAACAGAAATAAGTTTACAGAAAACTTTTCCCTAAAGGAAGGAAGAAATAAACTATATATTGAAATGACGTGTGGTATATAAGAAAAAAACTGATTGATAAAGAAGAATTTACATGGAAACCTCACTTCAAATAAAATCTGAAGACCTTCAATTGCCTCAAAGCCCAAGGTGACACATATGTCCATTGCCTCTGTGACTTCATCTCATATTTATTCTTGGCAGAACTCACTCTTCACTGGCCATGCTTATCTTCCTTGCTGTCACTCAATATGTCAGTGACAATAATGCCCATGGTCTTTGCATCTGCTCCACTTTATGCCTAGAAGGCTCCTCATCAGATACCCACATACCTGGATTCTTTATTACCTTCCCAGTAAGACTTTCCTTGCTCGTTAAAATCGAAACACAGTATTCAGTCATTCTCATCCAACTTTCTCACTTGATTTTCTCCATAGCAATTATCTCCTTCTGATATATTATGTAATTTACTTTTTATTTTAGTTTCTGTTTCTGTCTACAATACAAGGTATCTACCCCCAAGGACAAGATTTTGCTTTTATTTTTGTTTTGATTTTACTGCTCTTAGTTCTAAAAAATGACTGACATATTATAGATAATTGATAAGTATTTATTAAATAAATGATGCCTGTGGGTTATTGCCTGCTAAAGAAGCAAGCCAGCCATCTCCAGTAAACAAGCAAGAATGAATCAATAAAGACAGTAAAGGCACCAGGACTAAGTCTGGCAGGCAGTGCTGTGCAGGAGCCAGTGTCCCCCGGCTCCTAGAGCCAACTCTGTGCATCTCTTCTCAACTCTGTGTTCAGTGACATCATACGGTAACCTGAAATCAGCCACGAGAGCATTCATACCACAGAAATCAGCAAATGCTACAAGTGAGGGCACTTTTCCTAGAGAGCTGGCTATTCAACCTTTACTAGTATATGGCTGTGTAAATGAAGCAACTAAACATGGAATCAGAGGACTGAAATTTGAATCCCAGCTCTACTACATACTAGTTCTCTAATTTGGGAAGATCATTTCCCATGGCTGAGTGTCGGTTTTCTCGACTTTAAAGTGAGAGGGAGAAAACCCGTCATGAAGGTGGTCTGAGATATAACACATAGAAGGGACTTTGGAATCTCTAATCTCTACTCACTTGGCCTCTCCACTCCACATAGCCCAGGCACCGTTGAAAACCCTCACTGCCTACTCCCTGGATTGTCTGGGCTATCAGGTAACGAGATTTATTTGTATTACATAGTTGGATACAGCTTCCAGTATTTTGTTAATGATTTTGAATTTTAGTCTGTAATTTTGTAGTTTAGCTACAAAATTCTGTAGATAAGACTTTTCTATCTTGTTTTGGAATCAAAGTAATACAGATTTCATTAAAAAAATTGAGAAGCATTCTCTAATTTTCTGTTCTCTGGGAGAGTTTTTATAAGACTGACTGAAATAATTTCCTTTTGGAATATTCAATAGAACTTGCTTGCTTCTGGACCTGGTGGTATTTTGAAAGCTATATTTCTATTGATTTGATTCATTTAAATGTTACAAAGATACTAAAGGTTTTGTTTTTGTTGATTCAGCTTTGATAAGTTATATTTTCCCAAGAATGTGTATATTTTATCAAATATTCAAGGCCAATAAACATTCAAAATGTTTTCTCTTTTTTTGACTATATATTTTTTTAAATAGTACAATCTACAGGAAATACCCATGATGTCTAAGGCAGGTAACCTGACTCTAACATTAACAAAATACTGCCTAGCATCAGGAAAATAACTCATGCCAAGTATCAAGAAGTCAGAATATTAGAAAAGAAGACAAGGTAGATAAAGTACAGTCAAAAACAAAAGGAATGTAACATAACAAAATCAAAATTGCTAAACAGGAAGAGAATATAAAATCTGTAGTTTCCATATTAAAAACAGAAATTATAAAAGTAAATATGCATTACATTTTAAAATAAGGCATATATTTAATTTATTAGTAAAAATGAAGACTGAAGGGTGGGAAACATTATGGCTAAATGTATATTTTTAAATTGATTATGAAATTGGGCTTTTACATGGAATTATCAGTTTGGTAGATGCTAAATAACTGTGTGCCTCACTGCTGCTCTTTTATTTGAACTCTTTGTTTGTAACCTCTCTCTTTTTCCACTGTGTTGGTGTTATTTTTTGTTTGTGAATCTTTTTCTTTGTGAGTCTCAATTTTTGATGTACATATGGGGAGCTTATGCCATTAAGTGACTATAATAGCATCTCTGTGTGTGTGTGTGTGTATATATATGTATATGTATATATGTATACATATACATATATATACACACATACACACACACACACACATATATATATATATACATGTACACACAGAATATATATATCTATCTTCATGGTAAATATCACTAAGAATGCTTTAGGGCATAAAGCCTATTTTGTCTGTTACTAAATAGCCATACTAGGTTTATTTTGATTGGTTTTGCCTGGTATATCTGTTCCCCATGCCTTGACTCCAACCTGCCTGTGTTTTAATGCACTGTCTGTTATAACACATAAACCTGGAATTTGTTTTTCCCTTCTCCTGCCATTTCAATTGATTAATATTTTTAAATTCAAATTTTCTCTTTATTTTCCTGGAGTTTACACATTGTATTTCTACCATGTTAGTGGTTACCCTTAAATTGTTCACATTAGTAATTGATTTAACACAGTCTAAAGTTAATCATTATCTTTATTATCTTTTCACATAATGCAAGGACCTTAGAATAGCTTAAAGCTAACCAGTTCCTCTTAAGTGTTATTGCTAGCTAGTGCACCATTTCAATCTTTTTAGAGTTCTAAGAACAAGTATTATTATTATTGTTTGAAATAGTATTTATTTAGATATAACCATGTGTTTACCATTTTCTTTGCTCCTTCTCCTTAGTGGATCTCCACCCTCCCTGCTGGAATCATTTTATTTGCTTATAGTGTACTTTTTAAAAAGTGCATTGTATGTTATGGCATATTCTCTTGTTTTTGTTTCTCGTTTGAAAAGATCTATTTTTTGGTCTTCATTCTTGAATGATAGTTAAGTTAATGGCTATTTTCCCACAGCATTTTAGAGATATTAGTTCACCACGGTCAGTCTTCCATTGTTACTGTTAAGCAATCTACTGCCTGTTAAATTCCTTTGTGGTTAATCTCCTTTCCTCTCTGACCTTTTTTGCGGTTTTCTCATAGTCAATATATGTAATTGCTAACTGTCATAAATGCCTTCCTGTATAACTAGCCTAAAATATTTTATATGTTAGGAAGATGATTTTTTTCTTAGTCTTATGAAAACTATACTCTATATGGTTATTTGCCATTCCTTTATTAATTGTTTCATTTAGTTAACATTTATGGAATATCCTCTACATTTATGGAGTTGTTCTAGGTACCAGCAATAGAGGCAAAAACAAAGCAAAGAAGGCCTGTGCTCTAATAGAGCTTATCTTCCACTTTCAGTTAAGTCTCACCTCATTTTTCCATAGGCTTTAAAAATATTGGGTTAATTAGCAATTTTCCTTATGTGCTCGATTTTCCACCCCTAATAATTATTATCTTTCTTGTAAGCCTTCTTAACACCTACTTTGTAACCTTGAGTCTGCGAAAGTATATTAATGATAAGCAAGGCTCTAATGAAGACTTTGATGGTCTCAGAGTCAAAAGTTCTCTTTAATTTCAGAGTTACAAAAAAGCACACCGAGGTGGAATTTAGGATACTAGGACTCTTGTTCAAACTTCAGTGGTTGAGCGGTCTTGAAAAAATTCCTAAACGATTCTGAGTTCTAATTTCCTAAATTCTAAAATGAAGAAGTAGTCTCAATAATTCTTCAAGTTCATCTAGTTCTACTGCTTTACTTTCCAAAGGAGTAGCAAGTAGACACCTTGGATAAGTCCTGAAATTTATCCTCTCCTATTCAGTTGTAAAGAGAAAGAGTGCTCTTTGCATAAGAGCATTTGTATCAGGAATGACTTCATTTGCGAGTACAGAAAATCCAGTTTCATGGATAAACAAATAGGAGGTTAGATTTATTATTTCATGTGATAATAAGTCTTAAATAGGCGAGTTCAGGATTAATATAGTTGCTTACATATGTCACAAGGGGCCCAGGCTCCTTCTACTTTTCTACTTTGTCATCATGAGCAAGAAGCATTTGTTCTCACTGTGGCAGGATGGCAGCCATGCCTCCAAGCCTTTCCTTTCCCTTTCAGGCAGCAGAAGAGACAAGGAGAAAAAGCTAAAGAGGCAAAGTGGGCCACAGCAACTGAGTCTGTTCCTTTCTTAAAAAGCTTTCTTGGAAATTCTCCCACTGACTTCCATGAACAAATAATTATCCAGAATTGTGTCACATGGTATTACTATCTGTAAGTAGCCATGAAAATTTTACTATTTTAGTTTTCAGCCTTTCTAACAAAGAAAGCTAACACATACTTAAACTGACAAAGTCATTACCTGTCTTGCCTTTGTTAAAAAAAAAACATAAAGACTTAGATACAAGGAAGTGTGCTAGGAGAAAACATCAAAACATCTAATCATTATAAAAACAAACGACAAAATTCAGTGATGGAAAGTAAGAATTAACTGAAAATGTGTGATTTTGAATGAAATTCGTGTTTCCTTCACCCTGCATTTTGATCATGTCACATGTTCTCTTGATACAAAAGCAAGATGCTTTCCATTATCTTTGTTCTATATACATACAGATGACCTTAAAGTGCAGAGACAGAGACAAAGGAAGAAGAGAGGTATTCAGTGCAGAGTTGAATGTAGTTACTTTCTATGTTCTCAAGCCACCTTGACTTGAAGATGATCACGTAGCTTTTAATTATATACAATGGAATTCATGTTGTCAATCAACTGGGTTTATTCTGTGGACTGCTCTTTGCATAGAGGAGAGTGGCTTTAAACAAATTATCTTCTACCATTGTTTTATTTTCCCTCTGATATGAATCCTTTCTAGTGCACTTGGCTCTCAATGCTTAATGCTTAAGGTATACTATGAGTCTGACTGCTTAATGTTGCTTAATGCTTCAAATGTAGTAGGATATAATGGAAATGATGTGAGGTTAAAGATCACAAGACCTGGATTCAAGTGCTTCCTTCTATGAAGCTCACCAATCATATCATCTGTCAAAACATTAAAGGAAACATTACTACCCACACCATGTGATTGTTGTAACAGTCAATGAGAAAAAAATAACCATTAAGTCTCACCTATTTGCATTTGTTTTTGTTGCATTTGCTTTTGGGTTCTTGGTCATGAAGTCTTTGCCAAAGCTAATGTCTAGAAGAGTTTTTCTGATGCTATCTTCTAAAATTTTTATGGTTTCAGATCCTAGATTTAAGTCTTTGATCCATCTTGCATTGATTTTTGCATAAGGTGAGAGATGAGGATCCAGTTTCATTCTCTTACCTGTGGCTTGCCAATTAATCCCAGAACCATTTGTTGAATAGGGTGACCTTTCCCCACTTTATTTTTCTGTTTGTTTTGTCAAAGATCAGTTTGCTATAAGTATTTTGGGTTTATTTCTAGGTTCTCTATTCTGTTTCATTAATTTAACTAAAGAGCTTCTGCACAGGAAAAGGAACAGTTGGCAGAGTAAACAGGCAGCCCACACAGTGGGAGAAAATATTCACAATCTATATATCTGACAAAGGACTAATATTGAGAATCTGCAAAGAACTCAAACAAATCAGGAAGAAAAAAACAAACAATCCCATCAAAAAGTGGGCTAAGGACATAAACAGACAATTCTCAAAAGAAGATATACAAGTGGACAAAAATATGAAAAAATGCTCAACATCACTAATGATCAGGGAAATGCAAATCAAAACCACAATGCAATACCACCTTTCTTCTGCAAGAATGGCCATAATCAAAATAAAAAAAAATAGATGTCGGTATGGATATGGTAAAAAGGGAACATTTCTATGCTGCTGGCGGGAATGTAAACTAGCACTACCCCTATGGAAAACAGTGTGAAGATTCCTTAAAGAACTAAGAGTAGAACTTCCATTTGATCCAGCAATCCCACCACTGGATAGCTACCCAGAGGAACAGAAATCATTATACAAAAAGATAGTTGCACATGCATGTTTACAGCAGCACAATTCACAATTGCAAAAATATGGACCCGGCCCAAATGCCCATCAATCAATGACTGGATAAAGAAATTGTGGTGTATATATGCGATGGAATACTACTCAGCCATAAAATGGAATGATTTAATGGCATTTGCAGCAACCTGGATAACATTGGAGACTATTATCCTAAGTGAAGTAACTCAAGAATGAAAAACCAAACATCCTAGATTCTGACTCATAAGTGGGAGCTAAGCTATGAGGATGCGAAGGCATAAGAATGATACAATGGACTTTAGAGACTCAGGGGAAAGGGCAGGAGGGAGATGAGGGATAAAAGACTACAAATGGGGTTCAGTGTATACTCCTTGGGTGATGGGTGCTCCAAAATACCACAAATCACTACTAAAGAACTTACTCATCAATCTTTTCTATAATTATGGAACATTAACATTCAGCATTCTACAAACCTCATGGAGAAATAGACAAGTCATTATGTACTTTGTAATATAATCATCACTAAAATAGAAATAATACACAAGTGAAGCAGTAGTTATAATGATTATTTAAATCTGTGTAGAGAAGATAGGAAGGGCTGCTTAGAGAATATAGTCCTTGCACCGAGACTCTTAAGAACATATAAGATCTTCTAGGGAAGTAAGATGTGGGAGGGAATTCATGAAGAAGGGGAGGAGCCAAGAACTATTGAATGTGATGTATTAGGAGAGGTGTGACGGATAGAAGGCTGGACAAGAAAGCAAAGCCCACATCATAAAGAGCCTTAGTATATGCCTGATTAAGGAGGTACATTCTGTTGTGTAGGCTATAGGGAAGTTTGAAGAATTTTGAGCAAGTCAAAGAACAAAGAGAGAGAGAGAAAGAAAGAAAGAGAAATAAAGAAAGCAACCCAATAACATTGTCCAGAATGGATTGGAAGGGGTGGGAAGCCTGTGAGTAGACTATTGCAATTGTCCTACATGGAATGATAGATGATACCATGAATACCTGGGAGTGGGCAGGTGGGTTGTGGATTATTTGGGAAGTAAATTAACTGAATGTTTTGATCAATTTGATATGGAAGGGAGTGAAGAAGCTTATTGAGACTCAGATTTTTGGCTGGATATTATTATTCTCTGAGATAAGGAATTTGGAGGACAGAGTCAGAGTAGCTTAAATGATTGAGAGTATAGTTCAAAGCAACCTGAGTTTGAGATATAGACAAAGTAGGAGATGGGGCTTTGGAGGATCTAAGTAGCGATGCACAGACAGCCATTAGATATCCTGTAATTCACTCATTCAATATTCATTAAATATCTATGGGCCAGGCACTAGGCTGGGCAGAGAGGATGTAAGATGATAGAATATAGTTTCCTCAAGGATTTTGTTGTCCTACTGGAAAATAATCATATACTACTGTAAGTTAAATGAAACCATGTAAATGTTAAGATAAAGGTAAATAAAGAACATGAGGGATAATACATTAATTTGGTTCTTAAAAGGAACGCCTAGAATGGAAGTTCATTGGTTTAAGAACATCAACATGGAGGCAATTGATGAACCCATGGGCATTGCTGGGATTGCACAGGGAAACATGTAAGATGAGAAGAGAAAATTACTGAGGTCTACCTAGAAGTCACCAACAAGCTTGAGAAAGGAGAGGCAGGACAGAGTGGTACTTAACAGCAGGGGTGTTGTTTCAGAAAAGACCAAGATTTGAGTCCCAGCTCTGCCTCTTCTGAATGATTACCTTGTAAGACTTATTCAACCTCTTTAAGGATATTTTATCATTTAAAAAATGAACGTGTTGTTACTAGGTCTGACTCAAAGGGGTGTGGAAAGAATTAGAGAAATGATGTTTAAGCCTAGAAGACACATAGTATTTTAAGTTAAAATGTTTAAAAATATTTTAAATCTCCAGTAAAATTGGAAAACAAGAGTTTAAAGATGAGAATAAGAACAGGGAGACAGTCCTGCCTTGGAAGCTAGGAAATAAAATAATTTCAAAATAGAAGTCAGTAGTCATCTGTGCCAGATATTGCAGCAAGGCTAATATAGTGAGGAATAAAAATTGTCTGTTGGGTTGAGGGATAGAAGGCCATTTTTTGCCTTGAGTGAAAGTGGTTTCTAATGTCTTCTGGAGCCAGTGGTTTGAAGGTGGATGGAGGGTAAAGAATTGCAAAGAACAAGACACAATTATTCTTTCAGGAATGTTGGTGCTGAAAGAGGAGGTAGATAGCTTGAGGGAGATGAAGTGTCAAAGGGAGAGCATTGTTTTTCCTCTAAGATGGTAAAAACTGTTTTCTATGTGGATAAGAGAGAATCCGTGAAGAAGAAAATGGTGAAGAAACAGGAAAGAAAAAATACTTGGATTGAGGCCCAGGAGACTGTTGAGGATATGAGGACTGGAGCATTTACCGCTGGGTGAGCTTTGAAGAGGACCTAAGTTAGCAGGGATGGAGAAATTATCTTGATTAGGTCATCTCTGTGTGTTGAGTTTCAGTTTTCATGGAGATGGGTGGTTATTGCCCAATGGGGTCAAGCAGACGGCTTCTATGAATAGAGCTGGCCTGCCTGAGTGCATCTGCAGACATTATGTGAGTGGTAGGGCTTAGATGGAATTAGAGCACTGAGGCTCCTCTGTTTCAGCTGGTTGTACCTTGTAAGAATATTGAGGCCAAAGTTGTGAGACATTCCAGTTTTTCAAAAGAAGCCAAAAGCTTGGATTTTATATGAAATATCCTGGTTTTATTTGGGTTCTCATTTAAAGGAAACAAAAAGCCAAGCCCAACAAAACCCACCTGTGTGCTAGACTTGGCCCATGGACCACTAGCTTGTAATTTCTACCACGAGAAGAGAGAATGCAGTGTTGGAAAAGATAGAGACTCTGAACTAGTAAGACAAATACACAGACAGGGGCACATGGTCAGAGATCAGGAGACTATGAACTATCTGACTCATTTGTTGCTCTAAAGGTAGGCTTAATGGTTGCTGTGAATGAAGACATCAATAGAAATAATAAGAAAGCCAGTAACAGCCTTCATATTTTAAAGGTGCTTCCCTTCTTGTCCCCACTTTGCACTGACACGTGTATGCTCAGCCATTCTTGCTTGTGCTCCTCCCCTGACTACTCCAAACACATCCAAGCATCTTCCTCCATTACCACCAGGATTCTTCACTTCTCCTCTGGTACCAAAGCCCCAAGGGGAGGATGGGCAAAGGAGAGTGGTTTAAATTGGAAAGAAAAAGAGCTTTCAATCCAATTTCATCCCCTTTCCCACCTTATCCTGACCTTAGACGTGTTGGAAGGGATGGCATTTTCCTATATTACAAAAGTAAGTTGCAGTCCACTAATATTATAGTCTCCTTGGCTCCATCTCTAACCTGGCAAGCATGGAAAAAATGGAAGTTTACATATTGAAAAAAAAAAAACAACTTCTAGATTAGCTCATGTTTTGTTTGGAAAACATATGACTCTGCCTGGAGATAGTAGAGTAATGCAGTTCCTTTATGGTGTGGGGGGATATTGTGACATTTCCTAAGCATAGTAGCCTCGTGGTTTCTTGGATGGTAAATGTCTAAAAGAAACTTGCAAAAAGTTGTTTTGTAAACTTAACAGAAACTTAAGATAAAAAATGTCATTTTTGGCTCTAACTGCAATAATTGCTTAGAGAGTACCACATGCGTATTTTAAAAGGTTTCAGAAGAAAATATTTAATCATTACATGCTGAATTATATGTATAATTCTTTAGTAAAAAGTGTTGTTTTCTCTTATTGTAGAATGTGGAATAAGAGAAGTGTTAATTTCTCTTCCTGAAGGTAAGTATAATTGTGGTAAACCTAAAGTAAGACTGATGGTATATATTGCCAGGAGCAAAGATATACACAATGGCTGAATGGCACTACCAGGGACCTTCAAAAGCTTTGTGCAAGAGGAGACTGCAGGTGTGCACTCACTGCTGTGCCCTTGGTGACTAGCTCAAAGTCTAGACTATGCAGAGGGCTCCCTAATCATTTTTAAAAGGAAGAAATGGGAGTTATGTGTGAGGTACGTATTTTAGTTTGCATATAACTATTTTGTTACTTTACTTTTTAAAGTTTGAATTTTGCCTCAATTAGATTATTTTCTTTATTAGGTTTTTATTTTAAATATATAGCATTGATACTTCATTGTAGTAACTCAATAAATTTTTGGTGTGTCTACACAGCTTTTCCACATTGAACTAATTTGTTCTGATTTTTTCCACTTAGCTGCTAAAGTCCTTCAACGCTGTGCAGATACAGTAAGGATGTATTCTCTAGGAAATTGAAGAGACGTTTTTAGTCCCCATTGCAACTTTTTCAGTCTCTCTTCTGTAGAACACTAGTATGAGTCAAGATGTTAAAGAGGTCGGCCAAAAAAGTTTATGGTGGCCAAGTAAGTTTAGGAAAGACAGCATTTTGGGACTAGACCTTTGGGAAAGTCTTTTTTTTTTTTTCCTCCTCTAACGCAATTCAGCATTGAAAGCCTTGATATATATTAGTTTATTAAGGGCTCTGAAAAATCCTTCAATAAAATAAATCTATTTAGTTTTATTTATCCAAGCACACCCAATTTTTTTGACCATGGGATCTATTTCTAGTGGTATTAAGTGTTCCATACAAAAAGCTTATAAAATGTTGCCCTGCCCTGTACTTATATAGTTGTGCTAATTCTTAATATATTATAAATCAAATTGAATGTACCATGAAAAAGAAATAAAACTAAAACAAATTTGGACATCACTTTCTGATACTTGTAAGGTTTTTCTTTATTTTTAGAAAATACACGATGAACTTTAAAGTGTATGAAATGTGTGCAGAGTAGTTAAATGACCTAACAGGGTTCTTTGGTTTCTAATGTATAATTTTCCAAGCCAAAAAGGACACTATGCACCTTGGAAAGTGGATAAATAGATACAGATATCCACGTTATTGACCCTTTTCATTTTGTCTGTAATACATTCAAAATTCCCAGGGCTACACTGCATTGTCTTCAGATATAATAAATTCTACTTTGAACGTGAAACGTACAACTCTCACATATTGGCAGAAAATTGTCTCTTGACATGCTTATATGCCATAGAATCTGAAATGTTTTCGAGATGAGAGAAAATTTGATATTGTCCATGTCAACATGGTATGGACTGTGCTTTATAAGAAACTGAAATCCAGTTTCTATTAGGTTTACATACATCATTCCACCCTTGGGGAAAGAAATATGTATAGTAAACCTATGATCAGAGCTGTTGAGAACTGACAGGTCTTATTTAATTTGTTTTAAAATCTGAAGGCATACTATATTTCTAAAGAGCCTGAGGCATCCACATTGTAAAAGTTGAGCAGCTAACCTGCAAAACAGATTAATATGTATGACTGGAATTTAGCATTCCATATTTTATTCATACTTCACTCTTCGATGTATTGTGGAAGGCTGGTAATATTATTTTAGGTCTCACTTTTTTTTCATGGAAGTGGGGATAACAGAGGGCAGGATATGGATGTGTAAGGCTGATGGTGTCCTCCACAAGAAGAAATTTAGAAAACAAAACCTTTTGACTGCATATGCTCTGGAACTGACCTACACAGCTTGGTTTCCTAAGCCTTGAAAAAAATTGAATTCAGGAAGATCAGGATCCTAATGTCTACGAAATGATGACTACATAGATAAGAAACGGCATCTACATGGTCGAAGGGATAAGTATAATCAGGCACTATCACATTGATATCTTTTCTTGGTCAGTTCTGAGAAAAGCTGTTAAAAATGAATAACTGCTTGTGACATACGAACAGGAGTACATCCACCGTCAGTGTTTTACACAAAAAGAATAAATAGTGCTATAAGGGAGAGAGTTCTTTGGCTCATTCAATGCCTTTGGACATTGTTGAACATGAGTAGACCTTTGTGAAAATCCAAAATTCCATGGACAATTAAGATTCCAAGATGGTTATTCAAACTATCCAGAAAAAGCTTCCCCTGGTCAGTTCAGCAATAATTAAGTATATATATAAAGATCTTTGGCAGAAAATCTTTATTGGATTATGAAATTAAAATGACAGGTCTGGATAGCTAAGCCTACCCAGACTCATTGTTGCCTAGGCTGGAGTGCAATGATGTGATCTTGGCTCACTGCAACCTCCGCCTCCCAGGTTCAAGCAATTCTCCTGTCTCAGCCTCCCAAGTAGCTGGGATTACAGGCATGCTCCGCCACACCCGGCTAATTTCGTATTTTTAGTAGAGATGGGGTTTGTCCATGTTAGTCAGGCTGGTCTTGAACTCCCGACCTCAAGTGATCCACCCGCCTCAGACTCCCAAAGTACTGGGATTATAAGCATGAGCCACCATGCCTGGCCTTGTCTCTTCCCAGTCTTTATGAGCATGAGTCTAAAGCTTTGAGAGTAACTCTTTAACAGAGAAGCCCCTCTAAGGTTTGTGACCCTTCCTGCTGAAAAGGTTACAAAGTTCCTCTCCTTAGGCTATGATATCTGTCCAGAACAGAGTATTTGGTACTTCTGGAATGATGGGGTTACAGAGAAAGCCCTGTTGCATAGAATGCTCTGTGTTTCCTGTACTGCTTCCTTTTCCTGGGAATACAGGAAGACCACATTCTCCTAAACCTCTTGCTGTGTAGTTGGGGCAATGAAACTGGCCACTGTCACATGCATGTAAGTGATGTTTGCTACTTCCATATGTGGTGCTTTAAAACATCCCAGGGGAGCAGTGTGAATCCCTGAATTACCCACCCAGAGCTGCCCAAACTTCATTACATTTTGTGAGAGTAAAAACTAGACTTTTTTTTTGGTATTATGTCACTGGTTTGTAGGTTTATCTGTTGCAATAACTAGTATTAATTACCCTGAGTAATAAACTCAGAAAACAATCAAATAAGCTGGCAGTTAAGTACTTTCATTAAATTTTGTCCCATTAAATATTTTCATATTGGTCGATCTCATTAATAATGGAGCAAAAGTGTCCACAGGCCCCTCATACACTTACCAATAGTCTAGGAATGTCGTATCACATGGAAACAAGCATTAATAGTCTGAATAAACATGTCAAAGGGTGATGGGCTGTTATTTTGTTTACCTTAATGAAAATCTTATTCACAGACATTTATTTCAGTGTGGCTTAGATTCTTTTAGTCCATTGGCCTCAGGGCTTTTAAAAATGTACATTATAGGTTGAGTTCTGGGACTTCTGTCCCAGAGAAATGAGACTGTTGTGCAATTCAGGCAAGAATACTTAATTTTAAGTATTTACGGCTACTTAGTGTTTACTACCAGTGCTTTCTCAGATCTGTCTCGTGCCTCCATATCAATCCACGTCAGCCCCACATAGAACCAAGCTATGTTACATTTCTGTTGAGTGATAGAAAAATGTAATTTGAGTCACAGAGGTATTCAAATATATGGATAATTTTCCTGCAGGATAAATAGACACTCTTGGGGACACTGGTTCCATTGGTTCCTACATTCAAATGACACCGTTTGAATGTAGGAACCGATGGATATGTCTGTCCAGCTGATGAGGTGAGGGAGGGAGTGGGCCATGTGGAATCAGCAATGGCCTTGGGACTGGAAAGTCTGCTGCCAAGTTCTTACCTGGCAACTACTGTTATGTGACCTTAATATTTATCAGGAATAACTTAGTGTTTGAGAAAGTCAGTGTTCTGATTTGTAAAATGGGGATAATAATATCTGGCCAGCTTCCTTCACGTGATTGCTTTAAATTGTAAATAAGTTAATATACGTGAGTGTGTTTGGCAAAATTTATACCAGCCTATTCTTCTGGTTAATTTAGGATTATTAGTTAGCAGTCTTGAGCCAAAGCTGGAAAAGCACAAATGTGCATGCCATTCACTTTTTGAATAGAGACATCGTGAAGGAGCTATAAGAAGGGAGCAACTCACACCCCATTCATCCACAATTGCTCAGTGTTTAGAGTTAAGAGGTTGAAGATCCCTCGCCTGCAGAACTTCGGCAATGGACTCCTATGGATATGCTAACGTCAGAGAATAAAACAATATTTTCGCATCTAGATTAGTTAGCCCTTTATGATTAAGAAAATAGGCAGACTTCACTGGAGGGGCTTTTAAATAGGGGGAGAAAAAGCATCCCAGATACAGACAGAAATCATGTGACACAGATCATAAAATTTCTCCTGAGCTGTATTTAATTAGAAATTGCTGGAACTATTTGGCATGCAAACAGCTGCTGTCAGATCTGCACAGCATTTCCCAGCCTTGGAACAGCTGTATATAGTTTTTCTTTCTCTTTCCAACTAGACCTATGTAGAAAACCTGTTATGTTCTGGCAGGAGTTTGGAGTTATTCTCATGAGCTAATCAGATCAGCTTAGACAATACATGAAAAAGATTTGAGTGTTTTATATTTAAACAATCCTTTATCCTTATTTTGTTGAAACTTTCTCAGAATGTTTTCAGTGTGAGCTCGTGAATTTTTTTGAAGGGAAAATATTTCAAAGCACCCTGGAAGCTCTAGCAGTATTGCAGAGGGTCTGTTACACTTTGAGCTGGTACAATTTTAGTGCCGTTAAACTCATGTGAGCTGGAGGCACTCTTTAGCTCAGGCTTTTGGAATGTGCTACTAATTATAATGAGGTGAAGGGGTGAGGGATCTTTGAATTTTGTTCTAAAAGGATAGGATAGACAATGCTTCTCATCTTGAACAGTCACCATGCAAATTAATTGTGGTGGTCACAAGGACGAGAAGAGGGTGAATATTTCTGTGTGGTCATCCCCACTGCCAGGGGAAACATTAATTTCAAACACATGCTTCACTGGTGATTAATAGTATTATATAGCCACGCCCAAGGGAGTACAGGGTGTGTGTATGTGTGTGCGAATGTGCACACGTGTGTGCATGCGTGCATGCACACACATAAAAGCTGTTCTGAAGAGTTCATGGGACTTTAAGATCTGCTATGGGAGTGGTTCCTACTAGGGAAATTAAATCCTTTCCCCCAAAAGCAACTCTAACAGTGGACAAAATGGTCAAAAACAACCATTTCACAGCACTCTAGAATCTGATCAAAAGCATGCAACTTACTGAGAAGGGCTTATTCATGAGAACTACTGGATCTTGGTTAAGAACAGAATGAACCTGTGGCTCTATTCCCAGGGGCTATTTCTAGCCTCCCAACTCTGTCACTGTAGTAGCTCAACCAGGGCAGGCAGAACATTCATAAAACCATCCAGCTTAACTGTTCCTGCAGAAATGGTGTCTTCATCCTTTCAGGCTGCTGTAATAGGCTAGGAGGTTTATAAACAATTTATTTATTGAGAACTTTATTTCTCATAGTTCTGGAGGCTGAGAAGATCAAGGACAAGGCACTGACAGATTCAGTGTCTTGTGAGGGCACACTTCCTGGTTCAGGGCCCTGAGGGTCCACTTATTGGCAAAGAGGTTCATTTAATTAGGAGCATTGCCAGTTAAAGGGGCAACTTGGTGGTAAGTGAACAGGGAGGGCCAGCAGCTCTGTTTGCCTGAGATTGTGAACCCATTTGGGGCAAACAGTATTCAGAAGAACAGGCAGAGAGTTGGCAGAGATTTCTAGGATGTAAGAGAGCTTTAAAGGCTTGCTAAGCTCTGCTCTATGCTGGATTCTGCAAGCCATGTACATGCACAGCAGAGATCAAAGCAGCTCATGCCACCATGACACACATCCTTGGCAGATGCATCCTGAATACAGGGGTGCAGGGTAGATGGGAGGGAGCCAATCATTGGCCCCTTCATTGAAGATTCTTCTATGCACCACTAAAAACTTTGGACTCAATCCAACAGCAGTGAAATGTCACTTGGATTTTGAAAGAATAATTCTAGTAGCCATGTGAAATGGGGAGAAGATGAGAAACTAAAATTGTATTCCTCAAACTGTGATGCCTTGTCCTAGAATAATAAAACTGTATCAGGATCATCTAGAGAGCCTACCGAAATGCAAATTCCTGCATTCCAGTTCAGACTTACTGAATTAGAAGCATAATTCAGCAGTTCAGGGATAGGGCCCAGAAATGGACAATTTTTACAAACATGGCAGGTGATTGTGAGGCATCCTAGGCCAGAAGGTTAAAAACCAGGGAATTGAAAGGCAGAATGTTGGTCCAGGTGATGGAGGAGTTTGAAATTAGGAAGAAAAAAAGAATTGAAGTTTTTGAGCACAGAGGAAATATCATAGTAGTTAAGTCGTTCTAACTGTAACGTGCAAAATATTTACACCTTTTGGCAGCTGCAGCTTCCATTTTGAGTGATAAAATATCATAGCTTATTTCGATGCAATTATGAATTATATATGTACCACACTAATTCCAATTTACAGTATATGGTCACTAAATTTAAAAATAAGAAGAAATTGTAATTACTAATCACTAACAATGTGACTATAATTTATCATACAAACAAAGGTACTTTCAGAGTTAAAAGGCAATGCTCAAGTAATTTTAATAATATGACTTTTTGAAGGATTTATGTACTGGGCTACACATTAATTTCATTATACTAGTGGACCTATACATTCACAAAAATATTTTAACAAACAGAAATATACAAAGAATAAAGTAACATATAGTCATGTGAATTATATATGTTAAAGAAAACCTTCTTTAAACTACTTACCCAAAGATTTAAAATAGTCTTTGGTTATTCCTGGAATATACCATAACTCAATCAGTTTTAAAGCATTCTGTAATACCATGTTACTGGTATTTTTCTGAATTTTTAAATTTCAATATAGTCTTATTTTTCTGTAAAATTACATGTCATCTTATTTGAGGCTATATTTTATATGACATTATACAACATTTATATGATAAATATATAAATGTTGACACAATCAATTAACATTTCTTTGTATGGCATAATATTGTTAGTTTAGAAAACTCTCTCTCTTCAGGTGTTAGGGTATTTGGTAATTCAGACAAAATTGCTAAAAGTGAGACTTATCAATTAAAACTTTTTTCATAGTGAAGTATGTAAATATTTAAGCCCCAATATTTTCATAAGTACTGTTTTCTTCCATTGAAAACTTTTTTTTCTTAAAAGGTATTTTTACAAGACAAAACATGTCAGATAAATTTTCTGCATTATTATTTTGAATGTTTCACTATATACAGATGCTTCAAAATCATAGACCTTCTGAATTTTACTCCATTTTGATGGAGAATATATATTTATTCAACCAGAAATAGGAGCTCCATCAAAACATGAAAATTTTAAAATCAAATTATGCTGACATGCAACTACAGAGGATCAAAATTAAACCACTGCAGGTGGTGACGTCAGCAAGAAGTAGAACAGGAGGTCCAAGCCCTTGTCTCCTCATAGAAACACTGATAAAAACAATGATATTTTGGCCACGATACATGTATTTGAGCCAAAATGCCTGTATGTGAATTTTAGAATCCAATTAAGAAGTTGCATACCTCAGGTGGGCATAAAACTAAGAAAAAACACCTTAAAACAGTTAATAAGAACAGTTTCACTTCAACTGTGTCAGAACCCTCCCCCAAGCTGGCACAGCTCATTATTGAGGAAGATTCATTCAGCCTGCAATTTCTTCCTTGAGAGAGTGAGTGAGTGAAGTGTGCTTTTGATATCCCTAGCATTTTGGGGTGTTCCCCGAGAGATTTACCCCTGTCTCCCTCACTCAGAGTGTTGAAGCAACCTTCCTAGTTAGAACAGCTGGGGCACCTAACCACAGAGCAAAGGGGCAGGAGCTGTCAGCAGCCTGCATGGCATTGCAGAATTTGAAGAAGGTGCACAATCCTGAGACTTCTCCTTCAGAAGGAATGCAGAGAAGTGAAGCTTGCACTTTACCTCCCAGCACTCCAGCAGTCTGACTTAAGGCCAAGGGGCAGGCAGCTCTTAGCAGTGTGCCATACATTGCAGGATTAAGAGAGGGTACACAATGTAGAGACTTCTTCTTTAAGAGAAAGAGAGAGAGGGAAATGAAGTTTGTACCTAATGTCCATGCATTTCAGTGTACTCCCCTAGTGGTTCTCAGAAGCTGCCTAGGCTCTGTGGGAGGGAGAAAAGGCACATAATGCTGAACCTTCTCTCTCAGGAAGGATGAAGAGGAGTGGAGCATGTACTTCCATGAAAAAATTTGAGAGGCTCCAAGAATCTTTAGCTAGGCTGATTGGTGCAAGTCTTTCCTTGATTAAACCAGTCTGTAAAGACTTGAAGAGGCGGCTGCTTCTTCAAATGCACAACACCAAGACAAAACTAGAAGGAACACAAAGCATCAGGGAAATATGACACTACCAAAGGAACAAAATAAATCTCATGTAACTGACCTTAAAGAAATGTAAATCTACAAATTTCCTGACAAAGGACTCAAAATATCCTAAAGAAACTCAGTGAGTTACAAGAGAACTCAGATGGATAATTAAAATCTGAAAAACGATACCTGAACAAAATTATAATATCAACAAGGAGAAATTATTAAAAAGTACCAAACAAAAATTCTGAAGCAGAAAAATACAATAACTAAATTTTAAAAATTCACTTGAGAACATCAACAGCAAATTTTATCAGAAGAAAGAATCACTGGGCTCAAAATCAGGTCATTTTAAATGACCCAGTTAGAGGAGCAAAAAGACAAAAGAATAAAACAGAGTTAAGAAAGCCTATGGAGCTTATGGAGCATAATAAAGTGAACTAATATGTGCATCATGGTGATTCCAGAAGGAGACGAGTGACAGAAAGGACCATATGAGTTATTCAAAGAAATAACAGTGAAAACTTCCTAAATCTAGGGGAGGGAAATGGAAATCCAGACTCCATGTAACCTATAGTATTCCAAACGGGATGAATTTAAAGAAGTCTACAACGATACAATGTAATCACTATATACCTATTATCCTGACAGCCATACACATTAGCATTTGCCCTAAGTTTTATATTTTAATTAACTTAATATTTTTAATTTTATATTTTAATTAAAATGTATTTATATATATACATATGTGTATGTATATATACACACATATATATACATATGTGTATGTATATATACACACATATATATACATATGTGTATGTATATATACACACATATATATACATATGTGTATGTATATATACACACATATATATACATATGTGTATGTATATATACACACATATATATACATATATACACACATATATATACACACATATACATATATATATACACACACACACATATATATAGGGCAAGTGCTAATGTGTATGGGTGTCAGGATAATAGGTATATAGTGAATGCAGGGAAAGAAAGATCTATGATCACATTGTATGTAAGTTGGGCACTATTCTTAATAGCTAAGAAGAATATCCATTTTACAACTGAAAATTAAGCCATGGGAAGTGTTGAGAGCAAAGGGTAAGAAACTCAACCAAGTTTCTGCATCCAGTAAGAAGAACCTATAAGTTTTATCCTAGAGCTAATGTTGTAAATCACGGTAGAATTTTACCTCTTATTTAAAGGATAACTTTTAATATGTAACAGAATACATTTTGATAAATGGCCACAATACTATTTCCCATCCATTTGCTCTTTTTATGTGTTTTGGAAACTCCTCCCATTGAGAGATGGTATCTCTGTTCCCTCCACTTGTATATGGGCAGACTTGCGATTGACAGCAAAAGTGACAGTATGTGATTTCCAGGTCATAAAAAATACATCTTCAGCCTGATTCTCTTGAGATTCTCTCGCTTGGAATTCTCTCTTTTGAAGCCCAGGCACGGTATTGTGAGGAGGTGCAAGGGTGCCCCATGGAGAGGCCCGTATGGAAAGGAACTCACAGCACCAACTTGCCAGCCAGGTGAGTGAGCTATTTAGGTGAAGTCATTCAGCGCCAGGTGAGCCACCTGGATAACATTGCATAGGGCACTGTTGTCTCCATATTTGTCATGAAAATAAGTAAGTGATATTTTCAGCTTTTAAATTACAGGGTTGCTTCTTATGTAACAATAATGAACAGGAATAGGATGACTCTCTGTTTCTAAAGTCAAGTAATTGGCTCTATTCCTTCTTTTCCCTCTAGAAATGACATTTTCTGGCAGTTTGGTATGGTAGTTGGAAGAAAAGCAAGGGCTGTCACCTGATGGAGTATGTTTGGAATGTGTGATCCTCTTCCACTGAAGAGTGCATTGTAGGGTCTGACAGCAGAGTTCCTCTCACTCAATCATGTGAGGCCTGAGTCCAGGGATTTGGTGTCTTCCCCTTGTCCAGGGACTTGGTGTTTTCCCCGTAAGGCCTCTCCCAAAAGGTTAATACTGAAATGAAGGCCATAATCAGGTTATTAATTTAAGGCATTAAAACAGTATTTTTCAACTCTGTCACACATTTGACTCACCTGGGGAGATTTAAAAAGTGCTGATGACTGGATGCTGCTCCCATACCCAAATGATTCTGATTTAATTGGTTTTGGGTGGGGTCTGGGGGTTATGATGCTTTAAAACTTCCCCAGGTGATTATAATGTGCACCCATGTGTAAGGACCACTTGTTTAGCGCTTAAAAAGAGGATTCTACAATGAGCAAAAGAGGAAATAAGGATTAATTGATGGAGATGAAAGAAAAGTGCCTGGAGACTTTGCAGAGTAGTAGAATCCTCCCTAGGCATGGAGCAGACACATCTGACAGCAATAACTTAACTGAAGCATACCCTGAGAGTGGCCCTGTGGTCTAAGAAGACTGTGTGTTCAGAGTTCCCAGCTAAGGAATCTGGGAGTAGCCAACCCAGAGTTTCATTCCTTATCTATGAGGAGCATCTGAATCCCTAGCTCATCTTGTGAAATGCAGGCTGTACAGGGGATCTAGGCCTGTTGTTGGGGTTAAATGAAAGTGGCCAGGCGGAGGTTGCTAGGGGGAGGGTGCTAAGTGAAAATGCTGTATAAATTACATGCTTTTTACAAGTGGTTGTGGTTCTCCTGTCCAGCCTGCCGCCACTGAACTGCCCTGTATGTAAGTCTCCTCAATGAACCCTATGTCTTCTTTGTTGGCTCCAGGTCTCTTCTTCATCCTCTAGAAGGTGGTACCATCTCTAACGAAGTTAATAGGGGTCTAGCATGACAACAAGCAAGGCAGCAGGGCCTGGTGTCTATTTGTGTGGTTCCAGTTGGTTTTCTGCAATGTCCCTGTGGTAATCATTGGGACACCTCCCCTAAATCCAGTTATCCTCTCCTTCTGAGCTTATAAAGATTGAATTTGGGGCCCTGTTATGCTTTAGTGGGGCCATGATACTAGTACTGGCCAATGGGGTGAGAACTGGAGCATTTATTTGCAAGTTTTGCATCCTCCAGAATGTTTTTTTTCCTTTCTGGCATGAACATAAGCAACATTTGAAATGTGGCTGTTCCATCAGCATGGATCACAAGCCATTATGCAGAATCAAAAATGACTACCAACCTCTGTTATTTATACAGTGTGAAGGAGAAATAAATCTTTGCTTCAGGCTACTAAGATTTTGGAATTGTTTGTTACTGAAGCATAACCCATAATATACTGACTAATACAGAATGCGAGCAAAATGAGCATGCATTTTTCTACAGAGAATGAAGAAGCAGAATTCCTATCCTTCTGCAGTCAAGTTATGCCCAGGATTCCTTTAAGGAAAACAAGAGAACAGAAAAAAGACAGAATTTTCAGTTCATGCTTCATGAATTAAAGCAACATGCTTTAGCTTGAAGTCAGAGAACTGAGTATTTTATTTAGAAACCAGTATTTGGATCCTGGCAGTTTTCCCCTAAGGGTAAATTGGATACTATGCCAAGTTCACACTCATGGAATTAATTGACTGCTCTACTTTCAACATAAGGTATCAAAGCTTTCCACATTAGTGACCCATGTAAAACAAACCTTACCACATGGTCTGTGGTTTTCAAGAAGTCTTCTATTAAATGAACTACTCAATATAAGTTTACTGCAGGGGGTGGGAGGAAACGGAAAAATACATGCACACTTAGAATGGGCCTTTGTGTGTTTTCTTTCGTCTAATTTTATATCCAAGGGCATTTTTTCAAAACTTTTTGGTATTCAAAAGTCAACATTATTGGCAGAATTTATTTTAGTCACAGGCTTATTCCTAGAGCTGGAACACAGAAGAAACTAGTTCTTTTAAAAATAAAGCCTACATGTAGAATCCCCATTGTTTGTGCATTTTTGATCAGTTTACTGAACTTTTGATGGCTCTCTTTGCCATGTAAATGCTTAAGGTTGCCTTCAGGCCCAGCCTGCTTCGTAAAGATTCATTCTGTATCTATTTCCTGTTCAGTTATTTTCTGGGGTCCTCTCTTTCAGGACTGCCTTTGGAGAAGCTTCACATTCATTCCTGAAGGCAGATGCACATCTATGGCAGAATATCTTGTGGTGTTTACATCTGCATTTTCTACCCAATATTTCCTTTTTTTTCCCTTTTACATTAAAGAAGGCTCACGGACAGGACTAAGAGCAGGAAAAACCTATGATCTCTGACATTTAGTGGTTAAGTAAACAAGAGGGGTATGGTGTTCAGACAAAATGTTTGACCAGAAGCAGGAGGGAAAATGAAGCTTCCCTGTAAACCTACAAAACTACAAAAGATGTCCCTGGTTGGAGGAAAGAAGAAAAGAGGAGACTTTTAAAATATAGTGAATTAATAGAAAATTTGAGGTCTAGTAATGGCAACAGATCAGGAGATGATTTTTGTTGAAAAGACAGTTCATTATTCATAGTTTTTCCCAAAGGGAAGTAGGGGGCCCAAACAGGGCAGGGTTGATCAGGGGGCAGAGAGATGGTGGGGAATGGGGCAAGAGGTTTTATTATGGTTTCTAATGAAGAAACAGGCTAAGCAGGGTAAGCTGGTTTAGGATGGCTAGTTTGAATAATTTTAGCAGGCTCTGGGGCATAAGGGTTGTCTCTGGTGGTCCAGCACTTGGCTCTGGGGTGACTAGGACCAGTGGATAGTGGTCCAGAGTATAAGAGGCCAGCCCAGTAAAAAATGTGGTTGAGGTATGGGCTCCTTATTGGTTGATTTGTATTTCACAAAGCCCACCTATGGGCAAGTTACTTACTGTCTGTAGTTATTGGCTAACCCTGGGAGGATCAGGGCTAGCAGGACCCCAGATATGGCAGCATCAGATACAAAAAATAAAAGCCATTGTTATTACAAGAAGGGTTTTTCTCTCTAATTTTTTATATCAATAAGACCTAACACAGATATGCAAAGCCCCAGAGCAGAAAGAGCTGCATTAGTTACGTATTGCTGTGTCAAAAATTACCCCACGACTTAGCAACTCAAACCAACAAAGACTTATGATATCACAGTTTTAGTGGGTCAGGATCTAAATTTGCTTTAACTGGATCCTTTGCTCAGGGCCTCTTACAAAGCCTCTATCAAGATGTTGGTCATGGCTGCAGTCATCTCGCACCTTGGCTGGCGGATGATCTGCCACCAAGCTCATTCACGTGATCACTAGAAAGGTTCAGCTCCCTTGGGCTGTTGGATTGAGGGTTCCTTTCTTGCCATGTGGGTGTCTCCCTAGGTCAGCTCACAACATAGCTGCTGGTTTCCATCAGTGAGCAAGCAAGAGAGCAAGAGAGGGAGAGCAAGATGGAAGTCAGCATTTTCTGTAACCTAACGTCAGAAGTGACAGCCCATCACTTTTGCTGTATCATGTCTGTTAGAAGTATCAGTAGATCCTTCCCACAGGCAAGGAGAGCATGGATACCAGGTTGCCTCCCACATGGACTAGGGTTTAATTTCTTGGCATTGTATCAGGGAAGCATAGATCCCATGCAGCCTCTCTGCATCAGGACATAAACAAACTTGGAAAGATGCCACTACCCAAGCATAGGACACAAAGTCCCAGTCCCCAGGTCTGATTGCCCACACAAGCCAAAATTATGGATATTTCAGAGAACATCTGAGTGACTTAATAATTAGACCCCTCTTCCTTCCTCCCAAAATATGTCAACCTCTTGAAACTTTGAGATGACATGAGGACTGAAGAGGTGATTCACTAAGGTGACCAAATGTGGACACCAGGACACATTTGAGAGTACTTACAATGATATGGTTTGGCTGTATTCCCACCCAAATCACATCTTGAATTGTAGCTCCCATAATCCCCATGTGTCATGGGAGGGATCTGGTGGGAGTTAATCGAATAATGGGGGCAGGTTTTTCCTGTGCTGTTCTCATGATAGTGAATAAGTCTCAGGAGATCTGATGGTTTTATAAAGGGTAGTTCCCTGCACAAGCTCTCTTGCCTGCCACCACGTAAGATGTGGAGCCTTTGCTCCTCCTTCACCTTCCGCCATGATTGTGAAGCCTGCCCAGTCATGTGGAACTGTGAGTCCATTAAACTTCTTTTTCTTTATAAATTACCCAGTCTTGGGTATTTCTTAATAGCAATATGAAAATGGATCAATACATATAATGATGCTAGGGTAAGCTAGGACTGTCCCAGGCAAACCAGGACCTAGGATCATCCCAGGACTAACCTGAAGGAAGATGAATTTTTTTCTGCCATCCTGCTAAGGGAGGTCCAAAATGGAAATTAAGTTGAGATGTAGAAAATAAAGTTCTGAACTGCAAGCATACCTGCCATGCAAGTCCTTCCCTTTGTAAGGGTTTCATTACTAATCCTTACTGGGAAATATTTGTTGGGAGAAGATGTTGAGGAAGTTGCAAATGTGCCAGTATCACATTTGATCACATTAATCACAATAATCACACTTGATCATCCCAGCCATGGTCTGTAGTCCTACTCCCTTGCCAGATAATATATTTATATCCACCATGCCTGAGTGTGTAGTCATCCCACTCCTTTCTCACTCTAGCTCTGCAGTCCCTAGGTTATACAAATGCTTCTTAAGGTAGAGTCAGGTCAGATCAGGACCATTGAGGAGTCTGCATACCCTCCCAGCCATATAGGCAGTGTAGTTGTATCAGGCAGAAAGCTTTGGTTCTCCTTGCTGGTTAGCACTGCTAGCACCAGAATCATGCTACAAATCCTTCTAAATTCTTTTCCTTAAGGAGAGGTATTTCGTCACCAGGTGCAAACAATGAGTTTATCACCATGCAGACAATAACATAACATCTTTCATAAATTTAGGAAGATGGCCGAATAGGAAGAGCTCCGGTCTACAGCTCCTAGCGTGAGCGATGCAGAAGACGGGTGATTTCTGCATTTCCATCTGAGGTACCGGGTTCATCTCACTAGGGAGTGCCAGACAGTGGGCGCAGGTCAGTGGGTGCGTGCACCGTGCGCGAGCCGAAGCAGGGCGAGGCATTGCCTCATTTGGGAAGCTCAAGGGGTCAGGGAGGTCCCTTTCCTAGTCAAAGAAAGGGGTGACAGATGGCACCTGGAAAATCGGGCCACTCCCACCCGAATACTGCGCTTTTCTGACTGGCTTAAAAAGCTGCACACCAGAAGATTATATCTCGCACCTGGCTCGCAGGGTCCTACGCCCACGGAGTCTCTCTGATTGCTAGCACAGCAGTCTGAGATCAAACAGTAAGGTGGCAGCGACGCTGGGGGAGGGGTGCCCACCATTGCCCAGGCTTGCTTAGGTAAACAAAGCAGCCTGGAAGCTCCAACTGGGTGGAGCCCACCACAGCTCAAGGATGCCTGCCTGCCTCTGTAGGCTCCACCTCTTGGGGGCAGGGCACAGACAAACAAAAAGACAGCAGTAACCTCTGCAGACTTAAATGTCCCTGTCTGACAGCTTTGAAGAGAGCAGTGGTTCTCCCAGCATGCAGCCGGAGATCTGAGAACGGGCAGACTGCCTCCTCAAGTGGGTCCCTGACCCCTGACCCCCGAGCAGCCTAACTGGGAGGCACCCCCCGGTAGGGACAGACTGACACCTCACATGGCCAGGTACTCCAACAGACCTGCAGCTGAGGGTCCCGTCTGTTGGAAAACTAACAAACAGAAAGAACATCCACACCAAAAACCCATCTGTACATCACCATCATCAAAGACCAAAAGTAGATAAAACCACAAAGATGGGGAAAAAACAGAGCAGAAAAACTGGAAACTCTAAAAAGCAGAGCGCCTCTCCTCCTCCAAAGGAACGCAGTTCCTCACCAGCAATGGAACAAAGCTGGACGGAGAATGACTTTGACGAGTTGAGAGAAGAAGGCTTCAGATGATCAAATTACTCTGAGCTACAGGAGGACATTCAAACCAAAGGCAAAGAAGTTGAAAACTTTGAAAAAAATTTAGAAGAATGTATAACTAGAATAACTAATAGAGAGAAGTGCTTAAAGGAGCTGATGGAGCTGAAAACCAAGGCTCGAGAACTACGTGAAGAATGCAGAAGCCTCGGGAGCCGATGCGATCAACTGGAAGAAAGGGTATCAGCGATGGAAGATGAAATGAATGAAATGAAGCGAGAAGGGAAGTTTAGAGAACAAAGAATAAAAAGAAATGAACAAAGCCTCCAAGAAATACGGGACTATGTGAAAAGACAAAATCTATGTCTGATTAGTGTACCTGAAAGTGACGGGGAGAATGGAACCAAGTTGGAAAACACTCTGCAGGATATTATCCAGGAGAACTTCCCCAATCTAGCAAGGCAGGCCAACATTCAGATTCAGGAAATACAGAGAACGCCGCAAAGATACTCCTTGAGAAGAGCAACTCCAAGACACATAATTGTCAGATTCACCAAAGTTGAAATGAAGGAAAAAATGTTAAGGGCAGCCAGAGAGAAAGGTCGGGTTACCCACAAAGGGAAGCCTATCAGACTAACAGCAGATCTCTTGGCAGAATCTCTACAAGCCAGAAGAGAGTGGGGGCCAATATTCAACATTCTTAAAGAAAAGAATTTTCAACCCAGAATTTCATATCCAGTCAAACTAAGCTTCATAAATGAAGGAGAAATAAAATACTTTACAGACAAGCAAATGCTGAGAGATTTTGTCACCACCAGGCCTGCCCTAAAAGAGCTCCTGAAGGAAGCACTAAACATGGAAAGGAACAACCAGTACCAGCCGCTGCAAAATCATACCAAAATGTAAAGACCATAGAGACTAGGAAGAAACTGCATCAACTAATGAGCAAAATAACCAGCTAACATCATAATGACAGGATCAGATTCACACATAACAATATTAACTTTAAATGTAAAGGGACTAAATGCTCCAATTAAAAGACACAGACTGGCAAATTGGATAAAGAGTCAAGAACCATCAGTGTGCTGTGTTCAGGAAACCCATCTCACATGCAGAGACACACATAGGCTCAAAATAAAAGGATGGAGGAAGATCTACCAAGCAAATGGAAAACAAAAAAAGGCAGGGGTTGCAATCCTAATCTCTGATAAAACAGACTTTAAAACAACAAAGATCAAAAGAGACAAAGAAGGCCATTACATAATGGTAAAGGGATCAATTCAACAAGAAGAGCTAACTATCCTAAATATATATGCACCCAATACAGGAGCACCCAGATTCATAAAGCAAGTCCTGAGTGACCTACAAAGAGACTTAGACTCCCACACATTAATAATGGGAGACTTTAACACCCCACTGTCAACATTAGACAGATCAACGAGACAGAAAGTCAACAAGGATACCCAGGAATTGAACTTAGCTCTGTACCAAGCAGACCTAATAGACATCTACAGAACTCTCCACCCCAAATCAACAGAATATACATTTTTTTCAGCACCACACCACACATATTCCAAAATTGACCACATACTTGGAAGTAAAGCTCTCCTCAGCAAATGTAAAACAACGGAAATTATAACAAACTATCTCTCAGACCACAGTGCAATCAAACTAGAAATCAGGATTAAGAATCTCACTCAAAACCGCTCAACTACATGGAAACTGAACAACCTGCTCCTGAGTGACTACTGGGTACATAACGAAATGAAGGCAGAAATAAAGATGTTCTTTGAAACCAACGAGAACAAAGACACAACATACCAGAATCTCTGGGACGCATTCAAAGCAGTATGTAGAGGGAAATTTATAGCACTAAATGCCCACAAGAGAAAGCAGGAAAGATCCAAAATTGACACCCTAACATCACAATTAAAAGAACTAGAAAAGCAAGAGCAAACACATTCAAAAGCTAGCAGAAGGCAAGAAATAACTAAAATCAGAGCAGAACTGAAGGAAATAGAGACACAAAAAACTCTTCAAAAAATTAATGAATCCAGGAGCTGGTGTTTTGAAGGATCAACAAAATTGATAGACCGCTGGCAAGACTAATAAAGAAAAAAAGAGAGAAGAATCAAATAGATGCAATAAAAAATGATAAAGGGGATATCACCACCAATCCCACAGAAATACAAACTACCATCAGAGAATACTACAAACACCTCTATGCAAATAAACTAGAAAATCTAGAAGAAATGGATAAATTCCTTGACACATACACTCTCCCAAGACTAAACCAGGAAGAAGTTGAATCTCTGAATAGACCAATAACAGGATCTGAAATTGTGGCAATAATCAATAGCTTACCAACCAAAAAGAGTCCAGGACCAGATGGATTCACAGCCGAATTCTACCAGAAGTACAAGGAGGAAGTGGTACCATTCCTTCTGAAACTATTCCAATCAATAGAAAAAGAGGGAATGCTCCCTAACTCATTTTATGAGGCCAGCATCATCGTGATACCAAAGCTGGGCAGAGACACAACCAAAAAAGAGAGTTTTAGACCAATATCCTTGATGAACATTGATGCAAAAATCCTCAATAAAATACTGGCAAACCGAATCCAGCAGCATATCAAAAAGCTTATCTACCATGATCAAGTGGGCTTCATCCCTGGGATGCAAGGCTGGTTCAATATACTCAAATCAGTAAATGTAATCCAGCATATAAACAGAACCAAAGACAAAAACCACATGATTATCTCAATAGATGCAGAAAAGGCCTTTGACAAAATTCAACAACCCTTCATGCTAAAAACTCTCAATAAATTAGGTATTGATGGGATGTATCTCAAAATAATAAGAGCTATCTATGACAAACCCACAACCAATATCATACTGAATGGGCAAAAACTGGAAGCATTCCCTTAGAAAACTGGCACAAGACAGGGATGCCCTCTCTCACCACTCCTATTCAACATAGTGTTGGAAGTTCTGGCCAGGGCAATTAGGCAGGAGAAGGAAATAAAGGGTATTCAATTAGGAAAAGAGGAAGTCAAATTGTCCCTGTTTGCAGACGACATGATTGTATATCTAGAAAACCCCATCATCTCAGCCCAAAATCTCCTTAAGCTGATAAGCAACTTCATCAAAGTCTCAGGATACAAAATCAATGTACAAAAATCACAAGCATTCTTATACACCAACAACAGACAAACAGCCAAATCATGAGTGAACTCCCATTCACAATTGCTTCAAAGAGAATAAAATACCTAGGAATCCAACTTGCAAGGGATTTGAAGGACCTCTTCAAGGAGAACTACAAACCACTGCTCAAGGAAATAAAAGAGGATACAAACAAATGGAAGAACATTTCATGCTCATGGGTAGGAAGAATCAATATCGTGAAAATGGCCATACTGCCCAAGGTAATTTACAGATTCAATGCCATCCCCATCAAGCTACCAATGACTTTCTTCACAGAATTGGAAAAAACTACTTTAAAGTTCACATGGAACCAAAAAAGAGCCCACATCACCAAGTCAATCCTAAGCCAAAAGAACAAAGCTGGAGGCATCACACTACCTGACTTCGAACTATACTACAAGGCTACAGTAACCAAAAGAGCATGGTACTGGTACCAAAACAGAGATATAGATCAATGGAACAGAACAGAGCCCTCAGAAATAACGCCGCATATCTGCAACTATCTGATCTTTGACAAACCTGAGAAAAACAAGCAATGGGGAAAGGATTCCCTATTTAATAAATGGTGCTGGGAAAACTGGCTAGCCATATGTAGAAAGCTGAAACTGGATCCCTTCCTTACACCTTATACAAAAATCAATTCAAGATGGATTAAAGACTTAAACGTTAGACCTAAAACCATAAAAACCCTAGAAGAAAACCTAGGCATTACCATTCAGGACATAGGCACAGGCAAGGACTTCATGTCTAAAACACCAAAAGCAATGGCAACAAAAGCCAAAATTGACAAGTGGGATCTAATTAAACTAAAGAGCTTCTGCACAGCAAAAGAAACTACCATCAGAGTGAACAGGCAACCTACAAAATGGGAGAAAATTTTTGCAACCTACTCATCTGACAAAGGGCTAATATCCAGAATCTACAATGAACTCAAACAAATTTACAAGAGAAAAACAAACAACCCCATCAAAAAGTGGGCAAAGGACATGAACAGACACTTCTCAAAAGAAGACATTTATGCAGCCAAAAAACACATGAAAAAATGCTCACCATCACTGGCCATCAGAGAAATGCAAATCAAAACCACAATGAGATACCATCTCACACCAGTTAGAATGGCAATCATTAAAAAGTCAGGAAACAACAGGTGCTGGAGAGGATGTGGAGAAATAGGAACACTTTTATACTGTTGGTGGGACTGTCAACTAGTTCAACTATTGTGGAAGTCAGTGTGGCCATTCCTCAGGCATCTAGAACTAGAAATACCATTTGACCCAGCCATCCCATTATTGGGTATATACCCAAAGGACTATAAATCATGCTGCTATAAAGACACATGCACACGTATGTTTATTGCAGCATTGTTCACAATAGCAAAGACTTGGAACCAACCCAAATGTCCAACAATGATAGACTGGATTAAGAAAATGTGGCACATATACACCATGGAATACTATGCAGCCATAAAAAATGATGAGTTCATGTCCTTTGTAGGGACATGGATGAAATTGGAAATCATCATTCTCAGTAAACTATTGCAAGAACAAAAAACCAAACACCGCATTTTCTCACTCATAGGTGGGAATTGAACAATGAGAACACTTGGACACAGGAAGGGGAATATCACACTCTGGGGACGGTTGTGGGGTGGGGGGAGGGGGGAGGGGGGAGGGATAGCATTGGGAGATATACCTAATGCTAGATGATCAGTTAGTGGGTGCAGCGCACCAACATGGCACATGTATACATATGTAACTAACCTGCACATTGTGCACATGTACCCTAAAACTTAAAGTATAATAATAATAAAAAAAGAGTAAAAAAAAAAAGAATTAAAAAAAAATCTTTCATTTGCATGTATGTATGTTTAAGACTTTTAAACTGTCCAGTCTATAAGAATGAGCAGATGGCGGGTTAAAGGTGAACACAGGTGTGTGCTTAATACAATTTGATGATTTCATTAGCAAATCATCTCAGCCATCACTCCCAGTACACTTCTTTGGGTAAGAAACAAATACTCGTGATTAATAGTGGTTTGACATGAAAATCCTTTTCAGGGACGTTCATGCTTACGGTTTGTAGATGTGAGACACTTGTATTTTGCACCAATATATATTTTTAAATCCAAGATGTGATATAAAATAAACTAACTTGTTGAAAATCCAAAGGATTTTTTAAATCTAGAGTTTATTCTTTTTTTTCTAATACCAGGAGGAATTAAAATCTCCATTAGTGTTTTTGCATATCTCAATTTTTTTTTTTTTTCTGAGATGGAGTCTCACCCTGTTGCCCAGGCTGGAGTGCAGTGGCACAATCTCGGCTCACTGCAAGCTCCGCCTCCTGGGTTCACACCATTCTTCTGTCTCAGCCTCCCGAGTAACTGGGACTACAGGTGCCCATGACCACACCCAGCTAATTTTTTGTATTTTTAGTAGAGATGGGGTTTCACTGTGTTAGCCAGGATGGTCTTGATCTCCTGACTTCGTGAGCTGCCCTCCTCGGCCTCCCAAAGTACTGGGATTACAGGCATGAGCCACCGCGCCCAGCCTGCATACCTCTTTTCTAATCTTCATTCTCACCAGGAAAGTCCCTGCATCTTCTATTGTTCCTTTTCATAAAGATAACATAGTGATAATATTTGCTGGGAGATTTGTGACTGTCCACTATGACAGATATTAATAGACTAGTTTTCTCAATTATTACTTTACTTTTATATTAAATCCCATTTCAGAGTTTCCTGCAGACATGCTTTTTACACAGCACTAAATCTGCAGAGTTTGTATAAGCCTGTGTCTTTGAACTCTTGACAATTCTGGAGATATTCAATATTTGCTATAAAGATCCTGAGAGGGGAATGATGCCAAGCATTTTTATGTATTTTTGAGTAGCAGAATTCATAGAGTTTGAGTGCATTTCTTTAAAAGAAATTAATTATCTCCTTTAGCTAGGATGTATAAAATATGGATATTCTGTTCAGTCTTTCATAAAATATTATAAATAGATAACATGTAAAGCATTATTTTCTGTGTCTGACTGAAGTTGGTGCCAGGAGTAGCTTCAGAAAACAGTCCTCAAAATGTGTTTCTGAGATTGAGTTGCTCATAATATTGGGTGAGGACTAGAATAACCTTGTTGTTGGGGGAAATAGGACACCGGTAATCCATGGCACGCAGTTCTACGGTAATAATTCAAATTATTACCAGTGGTAGCACGGGGTGAAATATACATGTGGGGTAGGACACTGGGAGATCAAGTGGCTGTGGCATTTAGGCACTATGGCAGCCATAGTAATTACAAAGGTTGCAGTCACACCTGGTATGACAGAATGGCATTGTTACATATCCCTTCACTAACCTGCCCCTCCCTCTGGGATGAAGTATATTTCCCATGCCCACTGACTTTGGACTTGGCCACATGTCTTGCTTTGGCCAATGGAAACTGAGCAAATGAGAGTTAAACAGAGATATTTCTATAGTTTGAATGTGTCCTCAAATTTTATGTGTTGAAAACTTAATCTCTAAAATCATATGTTGACTGGAGGTAGGGCCTGTAGGAGGTCATTACAATTAGATAATTAGGTAATTAGAATTAGTCACAAGGATGGGATCTCCATGATGGGACTGGCTTTATAAGAAGAAGGGAGACCTGAGCTGATATACATGCTTGTTCCCTCTCACCATGTGATGCCTTCTGCCACATTATGAAGCAGTAAGAAGGCCCTCACCAGAAGCCAAGCAGATGCAGATGTCATGGTCTTGGACTTCCCAGCCTCCAGGACTATGAACCAAAATAAACTACCTTTCCTTTAAAAATTACCCAGTCTGTTGTATTTTGTTATAGCAACAGGAAATAGACTAAGATAGGTATTAAACAAATTGTACAGTATAGCTCACATCTGCACCACCAAGATTACTATTAGAAGAGCTTGTCCCTGCTAGCTACTGATTCTTCAGCCTGGTTCTCAGCATAAGACAATTGGGACAGATATGAGCCTAAGCTAAGGCCAAACACAACTGAACTTCAGCCCAAACCAAAGTCACTTCAGCCAATCCTCAGACCTGTAGTTGACAAAAGTAAATGCTCTGTTATAAGCCATTGAGTTTGGGGCTGTGGATTGTTACAGGGCATTAGTTGACAACTGACTATCACACCTAACTTCTTCTTATTGCACTGCATATACAAAAAATATTTGCTTAAGAACATACATGGAGAACCAGAAGCCCCCAGTGATAGTTTTTAAGTAGTCTTTTATCTCCTGCAGACTCGGGGCAGATACAGTGAGCATCAAGCTATGGTTTGAATGCTTGTGTTCCCCCAACATTCATATGTTGGAATCTAAACCTCCAGGATGATGGCATTAGGAGATGGCATTTTCAGAAGGTGATTAGATCATGATGGCAAAGCCCTCATGAATGGGATTAATGACTTAATTCCACTTAAATAAGTGACCCCAGAGACCTCCCTTGCTCTTTCCACCATGTGAAGACACAGGGAGAAGCTGGCAGCTTGCAACCTGCAAGAGACCCCTTGCCAGAACCTAACCATGGTGGCATCCAGATTTTAAAGCATCTAGAACTATGAGAAATAAATTTCTGCTTTTTTGTAAGCTATTCAGTCTATGATACTTTCTTATAACAGTTCAATGGACTAGCAGTCTGACTGTAAGGGTTTCGGAGATGTAGGGCCAATTAAATGCTAAAAACTGTCTCTTACTCTAAAGTAGAAATTGATGTGGAGAAGGATTCAGAGAGGTAAAAATGACAGTGCATGCTGCCTGCCTTTGCCTGTGTACTGAGATCTCCACTGATTGCCTGCTCTATTCTGTCATTCATCCATATTCCGGAAACCCAGCCTTGCCTGCCCTCTGCTTTCCAAACCTCATTCATTATACTTTCTCTCAGAACATGTTTCTTTTCATCATATCCAACCTCTCTCTCTTCTTGTCCAGGATTTTGGTTATACCAGACTGACAGGAGATATTGAGCTACGATTTCTGGCAGCAAGTGAATTTCTCATTGAAAAATCCAAAGCTTGTAAAGGTCCCATGAGCTCCTTAAGTATCGGGGCTATGTCTGAACTCATCTTTGAGTTCTTAAGTCTTATACCAGTCTCTGCAACTCACAGAAGCTTAATCAATCAGCTCCTGTAAATTTTTCCCCCATGGGGAGAGGAGTTAAACATCTGCTATATTTTTCAAATATATCTGTAAAAAAAGCAAAAAAAAGTTTGCATGACAATAAAGTTTGAGATAAGTCTCCAAAGGGTTAAATATGTGTCATTAAAAACTCCAGATTTGCAAAACCACAATGAGATACCATCTCAAATCAATCAGAATGGTTATTACTAAAAAGTAAAAACATAACAGATGCTGGTGAGGCTGTGGAGAAAAAGGAACACCTATACACTGTTGGTGGGAGTGTAAATTAGCTCAGCCATGTGGAAGACAGTGTGATGATTCCTCAAAGACCTAAAAACAGAGATATCATTTGACCCAGCAATCCCATTACTGGGTATATACCCAAAGGAATATAAATCATTTTCTTATAAAGACACATGCATGCGTATATTCGTTGTAGTACTATTCACAATAGCAAAGACATGAAATCAACCCAAATGCCCATCAATGATAGACTAGATAAAGAAAATGTGTACTTATATGCCATGGAATACTATGCAGCCATAAAAAAGATAATGTCCTTTGCAGGAACATGGATGGAGCTGGATGCCATTATCCTTAACAAACTTATGCAGGAGCAGAAAATCAAATACAGCATATTCTCACTTATAAGGGGGAGCTAAATAATGAGAGTACATGGACACAAAGAGGGTAACAACAGACTGTGGGGCCTATTGGTGAGTGGGGGGTGGGAGGAGGGAGAGGATTAGGAAAAATAACTAATGGGTACTAGGCTTAATACCTGGGTGATGAAATAATCTGCACAACAAACCCCCATGAAACAAGTTTACCTATATAACTAACCTGCACATGTACCCCTGAACTTAAAATAAAAGTTGAATTAAAAAAATAATAAAATAAAGATAGAATTATATTTTCAATTATGGTAGGTTGAGTTACTTAGAGTAACCCCTTCTCTGAAACAATTAAAATGCTGAGAAAAAAAAAAAAAACCCTCCAGAGTTGGTTGAGGTCCTGGCCCTACTGGACTGCCCTCTTCTCTTCCCCACAACTCTCCCTAAGCATTTATGTAGATGTTGCTCATTCTCCTGCACTCCAGGTGCCTTGGGAAAATGCTGTTTCTTCTCACTTCTCATTGCCACTTCCAAACTATTATGTCTCTACTCTTTACTGACAAATTTTTGATGATTCAATTTGTCCACAGGAGTAGGAGACAGACTGGAAATGTAGGCTGAGTTAGCGCATAAATGATCCTGTGGGTCGTGCTATGGATTTAGGATTTTATTCTGTAGGGAGCTATTGAAAATGTTGACCAGTGCATGGCACGATCAGATTTGCCTTTTGGAAAGATAATTCTGGTGGTGTGTGAAAGCTGAGTTTGAGGGGGTTCACACAGAGCAGGGAGCAGCTAATACGCTATTCAAACAATTAAGTTCAGGCTTTAATGTGGCATTGAAACTGAAGAAGAGAGGATAGACTCAAAAACTATTTAAGAGGTTCAAAACCTAGCACTTGTTGTTTTGTAAAGGCTCTTTCAATTCTCACTGATACCTTCTCCCCCCGTTCATAGAACTTGTGAGCGTGTGGCTTGGGAGAAGCATCTGCATGCCAAAACAGGATCCTCATGTTCTCTAACTCTTGTCCACCTCTGAACCCATTGCTACACAGTCTCTATTGAACATCATCTTCCCTCAGAATGAATTCTCTAAGACTTACATTACATGGGTTAAAGTCATATTCATTTAATGTTCTGATAGTTAATCCTCTTCTCTATGAAATATCAGTTGACACTTAGGAAGAGGAAAGCGTGTTTTGTGTTAAAGTAAAAAAATGGCAAACACAATTTCTCCTTAACTAATGAATAGTAAGATGTGTTAAGAGAATATCTCAAAAATGGTCCCTCTCAAATTAAACATTAAATGTAATAGACCAAGAAAATAATGGAAAAGTAATAATTCACTTTGGTTATGTTGTTTATATTACACATGATCAACAGTGTGGAAGTTGCTGTGGTTCATAAATAGTCTCCATATGGTGTCAGATTATTCACTCTGTCTAGCAATCTGCAAACAATTTTCTCACACGATGCCAATTTTTAAACATACTAAATAGGAGAGGTTTACCCAAACACATGAATCTGTACACTTTTTTCTGAGATAATATAACTTGTCTAATGTCATGGAAATTCACCTCCAGATTTATTTGAAATAGTATTTCTGTATTTATATACGACTTCATCCTGAAACTGTATCTCTTTTTCTCTTTTTTTGAAATAACACAGCTGGTCTAATATTGTGGGAATTTACATTCAGATTCGATATTTAAGGTTAAAAAATGCAGGTTCTCAACAGAATTGATTGTGGTCCTTATTCACATTTTATAGCACCTTGCTGCCATTGTGGTAGAAATCAGGGAGAACATACCTCAAAGCCAAGGCAAGCAGCACATCATCCTGATAGGTCCCACTGAGGGGCAAAGATCTTCTCAATGCTGCCGAGTGCCTTGTGGGAAATTGGGAGAAAACCAAGCCTCTATTTGCATGAATAAAATCTCCATATGGCTTCAAGAAGCTGTGCATGTGTGTGTTTTTAAAGTAGTTTGCTCTTTCCCACGATCATAGGAAGAAGATCATGCTTTAAGAATTTCAGTTTATAACAGCCATGCAGCTGTGGTTTAAAAAAATCAATAGTTGTGTGTGTGTGTATGTGTGTGTGTGTGTATATATATATATATATATATATTTATATATATATGTGTATAAAGAAGGCACATATTGAAAGAAAACAAGTCAAGGGACAAATAAAATTATGTCAAACAAAATCCAAAAGGTATGTTATTGTAATGACAGAACTTTGGTACTTTTGCACAACTTACTTTCAAGACCTTCAAGGAAAACTTCAATGTAGAAAACCATCATCCTTCCCTCCTTGCTGTACTCTCTCTGTATGGGTGGAAAGGGCTACAGAAAGTCCCTATTGTTATTGTGTGTGTCGTTCACTGTTTTCTATTGTCCCATCCACTCATTCCACACTACCTACAAGGACCAGCTGTGGCTCTGTAGTCATGAGACAGAATCCACAAGGGACACACATTCCTGGGGCAGGGCTAAGACTAGGGTGAGGAGAGTGAGGTTGCTGGTCTTTGTGCTGCAGTGGGTTGAATAGTGGTCCCCAAGAAGACTGTCCAAGTCCTAACACCCTAGAACCTGAGAATGTAACCTTATTTGGTCAAAATCTTTGCAAATGGAATTAAGCATCTCCAGATAAGATCATCCTGGATTAAGAGTGGGCCCTAAATCCAATGTCAGGTGTCCTACCAGAGGAAGGCAGAGGGCAAGCTGACACACAGAGATGCAGGGAGGATGGCCATTTGATTAAAATGAAGTCAGAGATTGGCCTGATGCCACCAGAAGCCAATGAACACCAAGAGCCACCAAAAACTGCAGGAAGCAAGGAAAATCCTTTCCTCGTGGCTTCAGAGGGAGTGCGGCCCTGCCAACACCACAATTTCAAATGTCTGGCCCCCAGAACCATGAGAGAATAAATTTCTAGTATTTTAACCCACCCAGTTGTTTGTGGTAATTTGTCACGGCAGCCCTTAGAAGCTAATATAGGTACAAAACATAAGAGAGTGCCAAAAAACCCTGTAATCAACAGAAACAATGTTTTGATGCAATCTTTTTTAAAAATTAAAATTAATGTTTAAAAAGCCAAACTCATTATAAACAAAATGTAGAAACTGCAAACAAAGATAACATCCATGAGGTCATAGCAGGGATGGCCATGACCATCCTGGGTGCCCTGGGTGGGCTGACTACAGTAGGTTAATAACTTGGGACCTTTTAACAGAACTTAAGCAAAGAAAAAATGGTTCACCTTTAGTAGAGGCCAAACCCCCCATGGGAGAAGAGCATAATCATAGCTGCACCCAATATCTTTTCTATGCTTCGGGTCCAGATATGCCTGGTTCACACACCACAAGGCAAAAGCTCTGAAGTGAGCCAAAGCTACAGGAGAGGACTAGTAAAATTTTTGTTTAACATCAAGTGCTCTGAGACAGGCTTGGTAGGAGTTATTTCCTCCATGTGGCTACAATTCCCTTTAGGTTTATGGTTCTAGCACCTGCCTTCCTGGCTTCTTCTGCCTCTGACTTCACTGACATCCTTCCAGCCCATCTTAGAGTCTGGCTGAAGCTGGGAGCTTCAGAAATGAACTGATTCTAAATGGAGGAACTACCTTCAGTGGAAACCAGCTGTTTGTGCTCTTCCACTATCTTCTATTTGGAGCATGAATCTATCTTCCTGGCCCTCCTAAATCATCACAGGATCTCACTAAAGAATGAAGGTCAGAGCCTGGTGAGCTACCTGAGAGGTGGAGGACCTGCTGTTCAAGAGCAGGCAATGTTCTTACCATCAGAGAGATGCATCACGTCCACTGGTTAAAGGTTGCATCACTCATGTCTAGGGAAACATAGGCTCTACCAAGAGCTCTCTCTCCAATTCAATTGTATTTCTAAGCGCCTACTGAACTCTTCCCATATACCAGGCATTGTAGCAACTCGGAGCAATGGGGAGAGAAAGGAATGGGATAAAGTCACCAAAAAAACTGAAAATATCTAGTGATAACTCCCAAACCCCCATGGGCAGTGGGCGTACAGGAAAGGAGAAGGAAAGGTCTACATGAGTGACTACATGAGGCTTAGGTAGCCTTATTCCTCCCTAGGACTCTTTCCACAGCTACAAGCTGTTTCCTGGGATTATGCAAAATATGCCAAAGATCTCCCATGGCTGTTTTCTACCTGTGGAGATAAGCAACAAATTCTGAAATGTCTCTATAACTTGTCATGACTTAAAGTCAAGCCACAGAAAGGAATCAAGACCCGCATGACCTTTGCATTCCAATAATCAGTGACTATAACTTAACAGCTTTTTCTATAATACAGCGGCAGGGAATGATTTTCACTTGCGATTTTAGGGCAGGTTTTTTTTTTTTAAATGTATGGTGCACGCATTTCAATTACTGATGATATCCTGTATTAAAATCTTTGCAGATAATGGTGAGAAATGCAGTAACTAATCTGAACTTTTAAGGCTATGAAGCTGAGTATCCAAGTATCTGGACCTAGTCTTTAATTGAGTGGATGTGACATCGGTTTAGAGGAGGATGTAGCTCACACGGTCCAGGTCAAGAAGGGCTGAGGCAGTTAGGTTCTGAGTCACCGTGGGGGTTGGGGGTGACTGAAGTGCTGTGCAGGAAGTGTCATGGTGTCCATGTTTCTGCACAATGTGGGATTCACTTTTATCTTTCTCTCCAAGCAGGAAATGACTTTTTCTGCCAAAAGAGTTTAAAAATCCATCCTATCACCACAGCCTGCAGCAGACTGATGATCCTACAGAGAGAACACAGCTGTCAGAGCAAGCGAGCACCGCTTCTCACAAAGAGACTGAATGAAGCTGCTGGCAGACACAGAGCCCTGAGATCAGAGAGAAATGCAATGAGGAAACACAGCCAGTGCCAGGAGTTTGCATAGAATTTTGGATGAAAGCAAAGCCTTCCATTGAAATAAATTGGTAAAGGTTCAGTCCATAAATGATGGACTTTGAGTGCATATATTGGGGTATGTTTACTAAGATTTCATCACACAGGCTCAAAGCTGGAGATGGCCATCTCATACCATCTCATGTTTGATGGGAACAGCCCTGGACACTTTGAACAGGGTCCAGACTCAACCAACACCACATCTTTAGCCCCAGTAAAAGCTATTGTATGCTCCTTCATGAGGAGGGACTGTGGACTGATATCATGTGATTTAAAATGTATTCTTAAGTAGGTGGATAGGAATCTCAGACTGCAAATGCAAGTGCTCTATGACTTCTATTTTTTTAAATGAATGTAATTCTGTTTGGAGCCTCTGTGCCATCAGGTAGTAGAAATTTAATCTCAGACAACTCAAGTTTATGTCTCCATCTCTACCTCTTTTTCTTCAAATCTGTGTCTACATGCTCAGGAGGTTGTGTTGTGCTCTTCACTAGGCTAAGGGGAAGAAACTCGTTTTCCACCCATCTGGCTGCCCTGTTTTGTCATCCTTTCTGGTCACTAGAGGGCCATCCAAGGTTACTGCTGGCCTCACTCACCAGGCTTAACACAAGGTTCCCCATCTCTGTTCTTCTATGATTCCAGGGCCATTCCTGAGCATGCTACCCCATCAAACTGCCTCTGCAGCTACCTCCAGGGCCCCTTGGGAATTTTTCTGTTGATCATGCTCAACCCAGGACCATGGCCACACTGACTTTGCCTAGGGCCCCATCTACTTATATGTGCTTGTAGCCATTATTACTGCAGGGTCTTGCTACCTCCTCAGAGTTCTCTGGAAAAGACCATGTGATCTTCTCTGCTGTGGATGAGTAGGACAAGAGGGGAAACGGCAGAGTCTATGTTCCTCCCTAGAGATCCTCCAGCATCTCATGGCCATCTTTCTGATTCTCTCCTGTCCCCAAGGACTAGGAAGATTTTTTTTTCCTAGTTGTAGCAAGAGAGGAGCTTAGAGCAGATATGCTTTTCCTTAATAGACATTCTCTCAAGTCTACTGTTTGTGCCTTTTCTCTGAGCTTTGAACTTGTAAAATCAGGGCCAGCTTTTCTTGAGTCCCCTGCTTGGTGCTGCAGCTGCCCTTCTGTGGGCGGTGGTGCAGATGCCTACCTGCCTGAGTGAGAGAATGAAGTTCTTCAATGAACTTCAAATGAAGTTCTAGGTTTAGGCAGCCTATCTGGCATCATTCATCTTCTGTGGAAACTACAGTTTATTAAAAATACAGTTTCAAGGCATGCTGATACTTTAAAATGTTAATGAAGCATTGTTGATTGCTGGTATTTCCTTGAAGTCTGCTTCTTTCACTCAGACAGGTAGGCATCTGCATTGCTGCTTGCAGAAGGGGAGCTGCTGCACCAAGCAGGGGACTCAAGAAAAGCTGGCCCTGGTTTTACAAGCTCAAAGCTAGGTTTAGGCAACCTATCTGGCATCATTAATATAAATATTCCTGGTCTATGCAGATTCTATCTCTTAGAATTAAGATTCTTATGTTTATAATGGGAGAAAAACAATATGAACATTATCTTTTCAGACTTACCTCCTTGAAAGCTATATTTGATATGTAGGTTCATCAACACAGTCTGAAACATAATCAGAATTTGGTAAGTATCTAATGTCTAAGTTCATTCAAATACAGTTTTGTTTTGTTTTGTTTTGTTTTTGGCTGGGGTTGGGGGGGTGGGGATTCAAGTCTAAAGTGAATGAATTACTGGGAATAACAAGTTAAGCCCGAATCTTAAACATAAAAGGTTTCCACCATCTATGTGTAGATAAATACATCTTTCTCTTTTAACTAAAAAACCTAATACTGAGTCTATGCAGTATTGAGAAGTCAGTTGTTTAGGAAATTGGCAACTTGTTATTCACTTTGTGGTAAACATAATTTTAACGTAGTGACCAAAATTTTATCACTTCCAGAAAACTCTAAAATTTGAGCAAAATAACCTTTTATTTCAAACATTTATGAGATTCTCTATATCTAGTTTAAATCAGTCTTGCAGCGTTTTATCATTCTTCTTACAAATTCACTTAACAGAAAGTGGTTTCTAGAGTTGGAAATAGTGTTAGAAGTGAAAGCCAATAGAAACTTCAAATGAAATGAAAAAGCAACAAACGTCAAATAAAGTTTAGACTTATAGAAATTGCTCACTAAGTTTCAAAAGAGTTGACAGGCACAGAATTTATCTTGATATAGTTAATGTCCAGCTCTTACCTCCTTGAGGAAAAACTGCCAAATAACCCAATAAACCCTGGACTGCTTACCAGAGGCAGCTTAAAGATTTGCAACTGCAAAGTTAGATAAACATCTTAGATAAAAAGCAAGAGCTTTAATCCTTTCTGCAGGTTTAGGCCCCCCAATTAGGACACTGGCTTAATAACATCTGACCTAAATGTGTGACTATTTTGCAAGGGGAATGCACTAAACTTTAGAATAAAAGTTGGTTTTATTCTAAAACTGGTTGTTCAGTTTTACAGCTGCCAGTCACCTTTATTCTGCAGAGGAAACAAGTACAGTTTGCTTTGTGGCACAATGAGTGTCAAAATGTGGATTGTAAGTGGAATAATACAGGTCACATCATTCTCTTAATAATCTAGGCCTTTTTATGCCTTCTACTTCCTGAGAATTCTTGAATACATTTTCTCACTTGGTTCTCAGAGGACATGAGTGGTTATGGAAACAGAATTTCAGAAATTACATCATTTGCTCAGGGTCACTGGGGATAATTTATACATGACACCCCACATTGCCCCTCCTCCCCCACCCCATTTCCTTTACTTGATCAGTGTCTTAGCTCAGGCTGCTGTAACAAAATACCGTAACTGAGTGGCTTAAACAATAGACATTTATTCCTCATGGTTCTGGAGGCTAGAAGTCCAAGATTGAGGAGCTAGCAGATTTAGTTAGTGGTGAGGGTTCTCTTCCCAGCTTGCAAATGGCCACCTTCTTGCTGTGTCCTCACAGGGTAGAGAAAGATCAGATGTCTCTTCCTCTTCTTACAAGGACACTAATCCCACCCATCATGGGGCTCCACCCTTATGACCTCCTCCAAACCTAATCACCTCCCAAAGGCCCCACCTCCTAATTACCATTCATTGAGGATTAGGGTATATGAATTTGGAGGTGGGGGGACATGAACATTAGTTCATAACAATCAGCAACAAATTCCTCCGGAGTGTGACCTCCTTCAGGAAGCCTTCCCTGACTTCTCATTTTGATTTGGTTTAGTGGTCCCTGGAGGCAACCCCAGAGAATCTAGATCTTCCTCTATCATAGACTGCACATAACAGTGGGCCTGAATACTTGAGTTTCTAATAGTGCTTATCCAGGTGGACCTGCATAGTTTCTTCTCACCCAAAAATGTGTGTCATTGATGTGCAGCATTGCAAATCTAGCCCATGATCCTTCCACACAATCCTTCTCTTTTTCTCTATTCTCAGTGACTTTGAAGGCCATGTGTTGAGAGTAGCATGAGTGATGGAACATTTTGAGTTTTGCTTTCCATCAAAAGAAAATACAGTCACACATCAGTTAACACTAGGCATGTGTTCTGAGAAATGTGTTGTTAGGTGATTTTGTCATTTGGTGGACATCAAGGAGTGTACTTACACAAATGTAGATGGCATAGCCTAATACCCACCTAGACTACAAAGTATAGCCTATTGCTCCTAGGCTACACACCTGTAGAGCATGTTACTGTATTGAATATTGTAGGCAACTGTAACACAATGGTAAGTATTTGTGTATCTAAACATATTTAAATATAAAAGTACATCCAAAATAAGATATAAAAGATAAAAAATGGTAGACATGTATAGGGCAGCTCTATTATAATCTTATGGTACCATTGTTGTATACATTATCTGTAGTTGACAAAAACATTGTTATATGGTGCATGATGATATGTAATAGAAAATCCATTTCTTTTCCTAAAAAATAATTTAAATTTTACTGTATCTTTACCAAATGAATTATTGAAACTGACTACTGATGAAGAATTGAAGTTGAATTTTGAGAATGTTACTTATTTCATTTTAAATAAAAGTTAAAAGTGAATATCTTGAGCTTGCTGAAAATACTTTATGATTTCTTCTCCTGCTTACATAAAGATACCTCTGCGACTGCAATGTCCCTATGATTGAGAATCATTAGAACAAAACTTAAGAACAGTTTAGATACACGTTAGCCCTTGAGAAGGGCTGTCATCAATCCAATCTAGATTATGTAAATGAACAAACCAGAGATAAGTTAATTTTTCAAGTGAAAAGCATGCACAATGTTTATTCAATGCACAATGTTTATTCAAGCATAAAGGTGTTTTATTCAGGAACCGCTGTTTTACTCATAACGAGTGTCATAGTAATTCTCTATATTAATCTTCCCAAAATACATTCTCAATGAGTAATTTTGTAAGTTTTTTGGTTTGTTTGTGCTAGGTTTATTATCATTATATGTATGGAAATGTAATTTTGTGACTATTGAATTTAACAATCAAAGATCAGACCTGTATTTTGTATATTGCTTTTTTATTTTATTTTTTCCAGTTATCCATTTTTGTTAATTATTAAAAAACATTAGTCCATGATCGATTAGGGAAAAAAAAAAAAACCTAACAGCCAAGTAAAGCAACTCCTTCCTCACAGCTTAAGAAACACCAAGGTTCCTGCCTTGGGGCTTATGGTGAGGGGAAGCAGATGATTTGTCTCTTTAGTCCTCAGGAACCAGATTAGTGCCACATCCGGGTAGGACTGATGAGTAGGACACAGTCCTACCCATAGATCCTGAACCATAGCTGCACACGGTGACAGAGTGGGATATTGTGTTTTCTCTAGAGGGCGATGGTGAGCGTGCTTTATGTGTGGGAAGAAGAGCGAAATCATTTGCTGACCAAAAATGGATACTGTTTCAGAGTGCTGAGATAAGAATTGTGTTAATGTCAGCAAGGAAATGAATATCCAGAGGTACACAAGCTGATAAAATAATAGTCGTTAACTTTCTTTGAGCTTAATCTATGACAGATTCTAAGCAGGATTTCCCAACCTTGGCACCATTGACATTAGTGGGTGAGGGGAGGCTTTCCTGTGCATCGTAGGATGTCTAGTAGCATACTTGGCCTCCACTCCCTCAATTCCAGTAGCATCCCTGCCCCCGTTGTGATGACCAAAAATGTATCCAGACATTGCCAAATGACCCCGGGGTATAATCAGTCCCAGTTGTGAATCACTGGTCTAAGTGCATTGCAATGGCGGATCTCTGAGTAGGCGCTGTTACTATTACCTGCATTGTCCACATGAAGACAATGAGGTGCAGATTAGCTAATGAAGCAGCCCAGGTTCAAGAAGATAAGTGACAGAGCTGGGGCTTGAACAAGCACATGTCACAGGACCCAGACAGCTGTGTCTGGGCTGCCTGAGCTCTTCCCAGCTTCCATAGCTGAAAGGTGTTAGTGGCTTCAGCCTTTGAATAGCAGGCTTGCTTTGAAGGAAAACATCATAGCTGTGTCTCCTCCATGACCTACTTTGAAGAATTGAAAGAAATGTTTGTGGTTCTGCAATGGAATTTAACACTTTCCTTAGAAACTTGCTCTTCTGGGGGAGGAGCCAAGATGGCCAAATAGGAAAAGCTCCGGTTTACAGCTCCCAGCATGAGCGATGCAGAAGACGGGTGATTTCTGCATTTCCATCTGAGGTACCGGGTTCATCTCACTAGGGAGTGCCAGACAGTGGGCACAGGTCAGTGGGTGCAGCGTACCGTGCACCAGCCGAAGCAGGGCGAGGCACTGCTTCACTCTGGAAGTGCAAGGGGCCAGGGAGTTCCCTTTCCTAGTCAAAGAAAGGGGTGACAGTCGGCACCTGGAAAATCGGGTCACTCCCACCCGAATACTGCGCATTTCCGACTGGCTTAAGAAACGGCGCACCAGGAGATTATATCCTGCACATGGCTGGGAGGGATCTACGCCCACGGGGTCTCACTGATTGCTAGCACAGCAGTCTGAGATCAAACTGCAAGGTGGCAGTGAGGCTGGGGGAGGGGCGCCCGCCATTGCCCAGGCTTGCTTAGGTAAACAAAGCAGCCGGGAAGCTCCAACTGGGTGGAGCCCACCACAGCTCAAGGAGGCCTGCCTGCCTCTGTAGGCTCCACCTCTTGGGGCAGGGCACAGAAAAACAAAAAGACAGCAGTAACCTCTGCAGACTTAAATGTCCCTGTCTGACAGCTTTGAAGAGAGCAGTGGTTCTCCCAGCACGCAGCTGGAGATCTGAGAACGGGCGGACTGCCTCCTCAAGTGGGTCCCTGACCTCTGACCCTTGAGCAGCCTAACTGAGAGGCACCCCCCAGTAGGGGCAGACTGACACCTCACACGGCCGGGTACTCCTCTGAGACAAAACTTCCAGAGGAACGATCAGACAGCAGCATTCGCGGTTCACAAAAAACCACTGTTCTACAGACACTGCTGCTGATACCCAGGCAAATAGGGTCTGGAGTGGACCTCTAGCAAACTTCAACAGACCTGCAGCTGAGGGTCCTGTCTGTTAGAAGGAAAACTAACAAACAGAAAGGACATCCACACAAAAAAACCCATCTGTACATCACCATCATCAAAGACCAAAAGTAGATAAAACCACAAAGATGGGGGAAAAACAGAGCAGAAAAACTGGAAACTCTAAAAAGCAGAGCGCCTCTCCTACTCCAAAGGATCACAGTTTCTCACCAGCAATGGAACAAAGCTGGACAGAGAATGACTTTGACGAGTTGAGAGAAGAAGGCTTCAGACGATCAAACTACTCCGAGCTACAGGAGGAAATTCAAACCAAAGGCAAAGAAGTTAAAAACTTTGAAAAAAATTTAGGCAAATGTATAACTAGAATAACCAATACAGAGAAGTGCTTAAAGGAGCTGATGGAGCTGAAAGCCAAGGCTCAAGAACTACGTGAAGAATGCAGAAGCCTCAGGAGCCGATGTGATCAACTGGAAGAAAAGGTATCAGTGATGGAAGATAAAATGAATGAAATGAAGCGAGAAGGGAAGTTTAGAGAACAAAGAATAAAAGGAAACGAACGAAGCCTCCAAGAAATATGGGACTATATGAAAAGACCAAATCTACGTCTGATTGGTGTACCTGAAAGTGACGGGGAGAGTGGAACCAAGTTGGAAAACACTCTGCAGGATATTATCCAGGAGAACTTCCCCAATCTAGCAAGGCAGGCCAACATTCAGATTCAGGAAATACAGAGAACGCCACAAAGATACTCCTTGAGAAGAGCAACTCCAAGACACATAATTGTCAGATTCACCAAAGTTGAAATGAAGGAAAAAATGTTAAGGGCAGCCAGAGAGAAAGGTCGGGTTACCCTCAAAGGGAAGCCCATCAGACTAACAGCGGATCTCTCCACAGAAACTCTACAAGCCAGAAGAGAGTGGGGGCCAATATTCAACATTCTTAAAGAAAAGAATTTTCAACACAGAATTTCATACCCAGCCAAACTAAGCTTCATAAGTGAAGGAGAAATAAAATACTTTACAGACAAGCAAATGCTGAGAGATTTTGTCACCACCAGGCCTGCCCTAAAAGAGCTCCTGAAGGAAGCACTAAACATGGAAAGGAACAACCAGTACCAGCCGCTGCAAAATCATGCCAAAATGTAAAGACCATAGAGACTAGGAAGAAACCGCATCAACTAACAAGCAAAATTACCAGCTAACATCACAATGACAAGTTCAAATTCACACATAACAATATTAACTTTAAATGTAAATGGACTAAATGCACCAATTAAAAGACAAAGACTGGCAAATTGGATAAAAAGTCAAGAACCATCAGTGTGTTGTATTCAGGAAACCCATCTCACATGCAGAGACACACATAGGCTCAAAATAAAAGGATGGAGGAAGATCTACCAAGGAAATGGAAAACAAAAAAAGGCAGGGGTTGCAATCCTAGTTTCTGATAAAACAGACTTTAAACCAACAAAGATCAAAAGAGGCAAAGAAGGCCATTACATCCTTTACATAATGGTAAAAGGATCAATTCAACAAGAAGAGCTAACTATCCTAAATATATATGCACCCAATACAGGAGCACCCAGATTCATAAAGCAAGTCCTGAGTGACCTACAAAGAGACTTAGACTCCCACACATTAATAATGGGAGACTTTAACACCCCACTGTCAACATTAGACAGATCAACGAGACAGAAAGTCAACAAGGATACCCAGGAATTGAACTCAGCTCTGCACCAAGCGGACCTAATAGACATCTACGGAACTCTCCACCCCAAATCAACAGAATATACATTTTTTTCAGCACCACACCACACATATTCCAAAATTGACCACATACTTGGAAGTAAAGCTCTCCTCAGCAAATGTAAAACAACAGAAATTATAACAAACTATCTCTCAGACCACAGTGCAATCAAACTAGAAATCAGGATTAAGAATCTCACTCAAAACCGCTCAACTACACGGAAACTGAACAACCTGCTCCTGAATGACTACTGGGTACATAACGAAATGAAGGCAGAAACAAAGATGTTCTTTGAAACCAACGAGAACAAAGACACAACATACCAGAATCTCTGGGATGCATTCAAAGCAGTGTGTAGAGGGAAATTTATAGCACTAAATGCCCACAAGAGAAAGCAGGAAAGATCCAAAATTGACACCCTAACATCACAATTAAAAGAACTAGAAAAGCAAGAGCAAACACATTCAAAAGCTAGCAGAAGGCAAGAAATAACTAAAATCAGAGGAGAACTGAAGGAAATAGAGACACAAAAAACTCTTCAAAAAATTAATGAATCCAGGAGCTGCTTTTTTGAAAGGATCAACAAAATTGATAGACCACTAGCAAGACTAATAAAGAAAAAAAGAGAGAAGAATCAAATAGACGCAATAAAAAATGATAAAGGGGATATCACCACTGATCCCACAGAAATACAAACTACCATCAGAGAATATTACAAACACCTCTATGCAAATAAACTAGAAAATCTAGAAGAAATGGATAAATTCCTCGACACATACACTCTCCCAAGACTAAACCATGAAGAAGTTGAATCTCTGAATAGACCAATAACAGGATCTGAAATTGTGGCAATAATCAATAGCTTACCAACCAAAAAGAGTCCAGGACCAGATGGATTCACAGCCGAATTCTACCAGAGATCCAAGGAGGAACTGGTACCATTCCTTCTGAAACTATTCCAATCAATAGAAAAAGAGGGAATCCTCCCTAACTCATTTTATGAGGCCAGCATCATCCTGATACCAAAGCCGGGCAGAGACAAAACCAAAAAAGAGAATTTTAGACCAATATCCTTGATGAACATTGATGCAAAAAACCTCAATAAAATACTGGCAAACCGAATCCAGCAGCACATCAAAAAGCTTATCCACCATGATCAAATGGGCTTCATCCCTGGGATGCAAGGCTGGTTCAACATACGCAAATCAATAAACGTAATCCAGCATATAAACGTAACCAAAGACAAAAACCACATGATTATCTCAATAGATGCAGAAAAGGTCTTTGACAAAATTCAACAACCCTTCATGCTAAAAACTCTCAATAAATTAGGTATTGATGGGACGTATCTCAAAATAATAAGAGCTATCTATGACAAACCCACAGCCAATATCATACTGAATGGGCAAAAACTGGAAGCATTCCCTTTGAAAACTGGCACAAGACAGGGATGCCCTCTCTCACCACTCCTATTCAACATAGTGTTGGAAGTTCTGGCCAGGGGAATCAGGCAGGAGAAGGAAATAAAGGGTATTCAATTAGGAAAAGAGGAAGTCAAATTGTCCCTGTTTGCAGACGACATGATTGTATATCTAGAAAACCCCACTGTCTCAGCCCAAAATCTCCTTAAGCTGATAAGCAACTTCAGCAAAGTCTCAGGATACAAAATCAATGTACAAAAATCACAAGCATTCTTATACACCAACAACAGACAAACAGAGAGCCAAATCATGAGTGAACTCCCATTCACAATTGCTTCAAAGAGAATAAAATACCTAGGAATCCACCTTACAAGGGACGTGAAGGACATTTTCAAGGAGAACTACAAACCACTGCTCAAGGAAATAAAAGAGGATACAAACAAGTGGAAGAACATTCCATGCTCATGGGTAGGAAGAATCCATATCGTGAAAATGGCCATACTGCCCAAGGTAATTTACAGATTCAATGCCATCCCCATCAAGCTACCAATGACTTCCTTCACAGAATTGGAAAAAACTACTTTAAAGTTCATATGGAACCAAAAAAGAGCCCATATCACCAAGTCAATCCTAAGCCAAAAGAACAAAGCTGGAGGCATCACGCTACCTGACTTCAAACTATACTACAAGGCTACAGTAACCAAAAGAGCATGGTACTGGTACCAAAACAGAGATATAGATCAATGGAACAGAACAGAGCCCTCAGAAATAACGCCGCATATCTACAACTATCTGATCTTTGACAAACCTGAGAAAAACAAGCAATGGGGAAAGGATTCCCTATTTAATAAATGGTGCTGGGAAAACTGGCTAGCCATATGTAGAAAGCTGAAACTGGATCCCTTCCTTACACCTTATACAAAAATCAATTCAAGATGGATTAAAGACTTAAACGTTAGACCTAAAACCATAAAAACCCTAGAAGAAAACCTAGGCATTACCATTCAGGACATAGGCATGGGCAAGGACTTCATGTCTAAAACACCAAAAGCAATGGCAACAAAAGCCAAAATTGACAAATGGGATCTCATTAAACTAAAGAGCTTCTGCACAGTAAAAGAAACTACCATCAGAGTGAACAGGCAACCCACAAAATGGGAGAAAATTTTCACAACCTACTCATCTGACAAAGGTCTAATATCCAGAATCTACAATGAACTCCAACAAATTTACAAGAAAAAAACAAACAACCCCATCAAAAAGTAGGCAAAGGACATGAACAGACACTTCTCAAAAGAAGACATTTATGCAGCCGAAAAACACATGAAAAAATGCTCACCATCACTGGCCATCAGAGAAATGCAAATCAAAACCACAATGAGATACCATCTCACACCAGTTAGAATGGCAATCATTAAAAAGTCAGGAAACAACAGGTGCTGGAGAGGATGTGGAGAAATAGGAACACTTTTACACTGTTGGTGGGACTGTAAACTAGTTCAACCATTGTGGAAGTCAGTGTGGCGATTCCTCAGGGATCTAGAACTAGAAATACCATTTGACCCAGCCATCCCGTTACTGGGTATATACCCAAAGGACTATAAATCATGCTGCTATAAAGACACATGCAGACGTTATGTTTATTGCGGCACTATTCACAATAGCAAAGACTTGGAACCAACCCAAATGTCCAACAATGATAGACTGGATTAAGAAAATGTGGCACATATACACCATGGAATACTATGCAGCCGTAAAAAATGATGAGTTCATGTCCTTTGTAGGGACATGGATGAAATTGGAAATCATCATTCTCAGTAAACTATTGCAAGAACAAAAAACCAAACACTGCATATTCTCACTCATAGGTGGGAATTGAACAATGAGAACACTTGGACACAGGAAGGGGAACATCACAGTCTGGGGACTGTTGTGGGGTGGGGGGAGCGGGGAGGGATAGCATTGGGAGGTATACCTAATGCTAGATGACGAGTTAGTGGGTGCAGCGCACCAGCATGTCACATGTATACATATGTAACTAACCTGCACATTGTGCACATGTACCCTAAAACTTAAAGTATAAGAATAAAAAAATAAAAAATAAATAAATAAATAAAATAAAAAATAAAAAAAAAGAAACTTGCTCTTCTTCTCTTTCCTTTCTCAGCAAAACAGCACCTCCAATGAGCCCATTGCTCAATTCAGAAATTTTAGCTTTCTTCTTTTCCAAAAACCCCTAGCCTATTACAAAGTTGTGGAGTATCATGCCTATAAATTCAATTATACAATAATCTGAAGCAATAACCTGTTTTTTCTCATAAAACTATGATGTGAATATTTTCATAGATTATTAAATATTCGTCTTCAGTATAACATTTAATGGCAGGATAATATCCCATCTTTGAGAAGTAGCCAATCTATGTAACTAATTCTCCATTTTGGTGCACTGCAAGTTTTTAATTTCACTGATGCTTCATGTATCATGATAATTTTGGAATGCACTGCACGCTTTGTGTGCATCATTTAATTTAATCCTCACAACATTTTTACATGGGAATCATCACTGCCATGCCCAATTATAAAAAATGTTCAGGAAGTCGCCCCATAGCAGATCCTCAGCAGGTTTGGGTTTCAATAGCTCCAGGAATCACGCTTCAGCTCACACAGCATTGCTGCACTAAATGAAATTTCTCTATATTCAACTATTAAGATTCAAACAGGAAAAACAATAGAAAACATTTTATCATATTTTTTCCAAGTGTCCAAATCAAGGTAGAATTTTAATAATAACAAGCTCTGATATTCAGTCTCTCTATACCCTTAATAAAGACAATTGTTGCCACTACACATTCAGAAAAAGAACTTCAATTCTGACACAATTATGTTACTAACCATTAATAATTTAAAATGACATCTGCCCTTGTACCACATTCAAAGAGTTTTCTAAGAATGTTTTTTTGTATCCACAAAATTTTATACAGAATTATGACTGCATTTGAGAAACATTTTGAGCATTCTCCAATACTTAGAAGTACAAAAACATTCCTGTAATCCCAGCACTTTGGGAAGCTACGGCAGGCAGATCACCTGAGGTCAGGAGTTCGAGTCCAGCCTGGCCAACATGGTGAAACCCCGTCTCTATTTTAAAAATTACAAAAATTAGCCAGGTATGGTGGCACATACCTGTAGTCCCAGCTACTCGAGAGGCTGAGACAGGAGAATCTCTTGAACCCAGGAGGTGGAGGCTACATTCAGCCAAGATCATGCCACTGCACTCCAGCCTAGGTGACAGAGCAAGACTCTGTCTCAAAAAAAAAAAAAAAAAGAGAGGGAAAATGTCTGTTTTTTTGTATCATTCTTATCACTGAAGTAAGTCATCTAAACATCTTTACTAAATGGTCCTTTAGTTTCAGTGACTGTTTATTCTCCAAAATATTGAAATTTTTCTTCTCCAAACTGTAGTCTCTAATATTGTTTTTCCATTAATATGTATCTGCCTTACTGCCAATTAAAAAAGCAGTATACATTATATACTTTATATCTTTAAGGCATAAGGTATTTTAAATAAAATAGAAAAATAATTGTTTCTATTGTCCCATGTTGTTCTCCTCCTATTTTTGTCTTTTGAGTCTCTTTACCAGTTCAGAGGCAAATGCCATTTGTCCTATAGTTAGGCTTGAAAAGTTGTAGTCTTTTGAAGGACATAGAGATTCAGAAGATTAAAATATTTTATCCTATATTACTGTAGTGATCATATACTTCAACTTGCAGAACAGAAAACTTCACTAAAAATATGAGAAGATACAAATATTCTAAGCTTAATGAGGGCCATATGTCCAGCAGGAAACAGCTTATTACAATGCTTGCAATAAATACTCATAAGTATGACCAACACAGATAGAGAAATAGAATAATACAGAAATGGGGCAATTCTGGGGTCATAGGGTGGGGGACAGGCACAAGGTGCAACCTGGAAAGGCAAACGAGCTTCAATTCAAGGGCTAACTTCCGTCATTAGACAGTGGCTGAACGGAACACATGAGAAAATAGATTCTAAGGCTGTGCCTTTGTGTTTGGGGAGGGTTTTTGTCATTGATTAGTGATGTCCTCTGAGTAAGAATGGTGGTAGGGATGTTATGAACTCACCCAGTAGAGGATGAGATATGAGAAAGATATTGAAAGGACTTAAATACTAGGAAGCAGCGAGGAGCAGGCAACAAAAATCCCAGGGTATACCTGGAGGTTGGAAGAGACACCAGACTAAGGAGAAGAGGAAGGCACATGGGCCCGGCGAGGATGCAGCACCAAGGGAGGCTTATTTGGGCAGCTCCCTCTTGGCTCACAGCCTGCATTTGGATTCCCCTAAAAACACAGATCCCGGCACTACTCCACCGCCAGCCAACTCCCAGAACAGGGCCCACATGTGGAGACACAAAGCTATCCTGCCTTCTAGGACCATTCAAGACATTTGAAATCCAGAGTATGTGTCAGCACTATATGTCATAGAATGTTAGAGTAGGAATTTTAAACAGTTTTATTTCTTTTTTTAAAAATTTCTGTTCCAAGTAGCCCCTTAAAAGTAGTGCTTTTTGGATATATCTTTCTTGCTCTCCATTTTTCTATCTGCTCATTGCCACTTATTATTAGGAAACATGAATGCAGCAGCTCTTTCATCGTTCTAATTTTCTTCTTTTTTATTTTTTATTTGTTATTTCAATGGGTTTTTGGGGAAATATTTTTATTTCAATATCCCCCAAATAACTTTGTAAAACAATTTACCCCTGACATACTGTTTACCATGAAAGCTAAAAAATTCAGTCAAATGATTAAATACTAGCAAAAGATATTATTTCCAAAGCACTATAAATATTGACATTTTAAATAGAAACAAATATTTCGCTCTTTTAAATGTATCTAAAAGAATTTAAACTATCTATTGATTTGATACCCACATCATCCATTTTAACAAAATATGAACAAATTCTTCTTGGAAAACCTGAAAGTCTCTATTTTTTTTCTTTCTTCAACTTGCATTATCATTTTACTTCCTCACAGAATTTCCCTCTAGTATAGTATATTTTATGTTTGAAATGTGGTCACCCTGTCCTGCCACTCTGCAACAAAATTATAGATATAAATATAAAATCTAGAATGCTTTTATTTCTTGTGACCGTATCTAAAGTTAATATAGTATCTTCCAGATTATCATTGAAACCATTAAGAGTTTCAATTTTATTTTCAATTTCAGTTTACAATTTACCAACATAACATAAATATATTACAAATTTTGAGAAACAATTGTAAAGCTTGAGAAGTAAAATTTTGCTTGAAATCCATCTTTTGATGTGTTAGGTGAGAATGCTTTTTAAACATTAGTTAATGGATCCATGGATAAAAAAATGCATATCACTAAAACGAGACAAATGTAGCATCAGCTCTACTCTTTTTTATAAATCAGATGGATGCAAAGTATGAGAAACGGTTCTCATGAGTAAATAGAGTATTTTTATTATTGCCTTGCCTGTCAATTCTTTGAATTCCTTCTAACTTGAAAACCCATCTACCACTCAAAGAACTCCTACACCACTGTTTTGAACAAATTCTTTGTTTAGGGCACCCCAGGTTTTCACGGTCTCAGAGCTCCTTAAGGTGTGTACCTGCTTGAGTAAAGTGGGAGACAGTAAATCATGAAGTGGAAAGTAAAACAGGTGAAACTGCTGGGCACGGTGGCGCACGGTGGCTCACGCCTGTAATCCCAGCAATTTGGGAGGCCGAGGCAGGCAGATCACCTGAGGTCAGGAGTTCGAGACCAGCCTGACCAATATGGAGAAACCCCGTCTCTGCTAAAAATACAAAATTAGCCGGGTGTGGTGGTGCATGCCTGTAATCTCAGCTACTCAGGAGGCTGAGGCAGGAGAATCGCTTGAACCCAGGAGGCGGAGGTTGCGGTGAGCCGAGATCTCGCCATTGCACTCCATCCTGGGCAACAAGAGTGAAACTCCATCTCAAAAAAAAAAAAAAAAAAAAGTGAACCTGTACCCCCATGGGGGATGCATCCTTAGAGAGTTCCCAAGAATTTTAAGGTGAATCTGAAAAATAATTCCCTTAACACCACCTTTGGCTGTGTAAAGTACCCCCAGGGAGGGAGCTGATAGCCCATTATAGAGACCTTTGGTTTAGAGAAGGAAGAGGTTATGGGGAGTTCAGGAAAATTTCATGGAGAAACTGGTATTTAAGTGAGCCTCAAAGGGTGAGTGGGATATTAATACTAAAAATTTACTCAAATTAATTTTATTCTTTCATTCATAGATGGTACTGCTTATCACCTAAAAATTCCACAGACACACAGAAACCATATTTGTACATTAATTTACTGTTTGGGAAATATTATAATAATATATTATAAACATAATGATATAAACTATAATGTCTTTTATCACTGAGCATTGAGCCACCCGGGAAAACAAAAACATTTCTTTAGGTTGTTACAATGGATTGAATGTTTGTGTCCCCCAAAATTCATATGTTGAAATCCAAACCTCCAATGTGATGGCATTTGGAGGTGGGGCCTTTGGGAGGTAATTAGGTCCTGAGGGTGGAGCCCTCATGAATGGAATCAGTGCTCTTATAAAGGGGACTCCAGAGAGCTTTCTCACCTTCTTTCCACCATGTGAGGACGCAGCAAGAAGATGGTATCTATGAACCATAAAAGAGGTCCTCACCAGACACAGAGTCCCCCAGCACCTTGATCTTGGACTTCCAGCCTCTAGAACTATGAGAAACAAATATTTGTTGTTTTAAGCCTCTCGGTCTATTGTATTTTGTTATGGCAGCCACAGGACTGACTAACACATTGTCTAATGAGTTCAATTATAAAAATATAATGTGTCAATTAGAAAATTATAAAGAATCAGAATAATCATGACAAAATTGGAACTCGTGACATCAATGAGATTGAGTCTTTTAAATCTAATTCTTAAAATTTTTGGCAGTTATTCCCTATGGCTTTAATACAATGGATATATTAGTAATTACTTTATTATCATTTAGTAAATTATAAATAATCAAATTAGGATTAGGTAGAATTCTATAAAAATGAAAATATATTTCTCTATAGAACAAGCAATTAACAAATATGCATTGACTTCCAACCCTGTTCAAGTAAAGAAATATATGTGAGGTAATTTCTCTATACTTCTTCAGTGGAGTTATTAAAATATTTGATATTAAAAGTCTTGTGAAGCAAAGTACATTATATTTTAGGGTCACCTCATTAAATTCTTGCAGAAAACCTAAAGTAACTCACAAGTATGTCCCATAAATAATTAATGAAACTGTGATAGTGCAAAATATAATTAATCTACAAACATTATTGGGCATCCCTTCTAGCACCATGTTAGGAGGTATGTGAGGGGGTGTGTGTGTGTGTGCGCGCGTGCGTGTGCTGAGGGTGTGTGTGTGTGTGCACACGTGTGTGTGTGTGTTTGGACATCCCCACTCAGAGAGATGGATAAATCAAGGGAACCTACTACTATAGTAAAGGACAGTAGATGTTACCACTTACGGAAGTACAGATCCTATGGCAGCCAAAAGGTGGAGCATGAATGTCAACTTTGTGGGGAGATAATCATAAAACTCTTTTTGGAAGAGCTAAATCTTGGTTTAGAGAGCCAGAAGGTAAGCAAAAATGCTTGATTTCTTCCTGAAAGTAGAAGGCTTAGACTATGAGATAAGGAGGTCTGGAGTAAAGGCAAGTAGTAGATACATGGCAGTGAGTGGACACACCAAAAAAGAGTTTACCGCACCCATTATGGTCCATCAGAGAACATCCTCCATGAAAGAGTGTCTGACCAACCCAGGAAGACAAAATGACTAGGTTAGTTGATGTTTGCCAGCCTTTGTCAGCAGCCACACCAGAACTTGTGTGACAGGAAAATTAATAGAGGTGCCATGAGGGCAGCGATGGAGGCTATACATGGGCCCAACAGCATGGATTCCCAATTACCACGGCTGATCTACGTCCTGCTACCACTGGCCCTCCAACCTATCAGCAGCAAAGAACTATGGTAAGACCTGATGTCCCTGTTTTTCAAGTGAACAACCAGCTTCTTGATAGCAAGTCAACCACACTGGGTACTTTCCATGTGGGAAAGGCCAGCAGTTCATCTTTGCAGGGATACTTATTCTGGCTTTGGGCTTTCATTTTCTGCCCACAAAGCTTCAACCAGCTCCCTTATCCAGGGTTTATGGCATTCCACAGGCTTGGAATCTCATCTGATAAAACGTCTCTCCAGGAGATGCATTGCACAGTTTCACCGGACATATTGGGACATTTTAATCAGAAGGCTAACATGATTGATTCTGATGGTAGAAAAATCATTCTGGAAACACAGTTGAGGCTGAATTGAACAGAAATGAAACTGGATTCAGGGAGAAGAGTTGGAAAGCAACTGAGATGTGATAAGGTTCTGAAATAAGGTAGTGGCAGTGGAAAGGGCTTAAGAGATATTAAGGAGTAGGATTTACAGGACTTGGGGACTGATTAGATAACAGGGTTAGGGAGAGGGAGAAGTTTAAGATAACTCCTGGATCTACACTTCCTTATCATCCTGCTTTTAAAAATTAACCATGGAGGGATAAATTAGACTTCAGTTGATTGACAGAGCTAGAAGAAAAATAACTTGAGAACTATTTTGTCTCCTTGAAATCTAAACCATTTTAATCCCACTTGGGATCAATTCTGTTATTCATTATAATATGAAACACTATACTTTTTAAAAACTCTGAATAATGAAAGAGGAACTAATTCCCCTTTCACTATTTTATTTTTTTCAAAAAAATATGATCCTTGCACATATATATTTGTCTGGATAGAATAAAAAGACCTTCCTTGATTCTTCCTTGTGTAATGTGTGGGCAAAAGGGAAAAGAATGAAAATAGAGGTTACTTTGAATTATTAATGATCTAATCATAACAGCTTAATTCAATCCAGTAAAATCCATTTATTGAGTTTCTATGCCATGTGATGCTCTGGCTGGGTGCTGGGCTGTACCATGCCTATGCCAATTAGAGGCTGCTGAAAATGCAGTGCCCAGTGGGAGCTCCTGAGCTAGACAGAACAGGTGACCAAATGATTTGTCTATGGAATTGCCAGGACAGAGTTACAAAATGAGTTTGAAAGCCTGGAAACAGAGCCTGAGTTACAGAAATTTTTGTGCTCTAGTTTTTTGCATATGTAAATGGATTAAAACAGTGTGTGATATTTGATTTGGCACACTAGATTTGAAAGTGAAAGATCTGCTTTGTGAAAGACTGCTGAATTAGATTCCTGGAAACTTTCCCTATCACTCCAGCTAGGTGGACTGGGTGATTTCTTAACTCTTGTTAATGGATGGCTAACCTCAATATCTTTGCTTTACATCCTGATGTCTTTAGGTCTAAAATAAACAAACAAATTCAGAAGTAGTTTCTCCTTTAATATAAATCAAAAAAAAAGCAGAAAGAAACATCATATATCAATGATGATGTTTCCTAAAAATATATTTAGAATAATTATGCAATCTTTAAACTTGCACGTCATTTTTCTTCTTTTGAATAAATATTGATCAGGAATACTATGTAAAGCACAACTCAAAGAAATGCAAACAATGATGCAATATTAGCACATCTTCAACTACAACAAAATAATTTTATTTTTATTTTTTATAATTTCAGCTTTTATTTTTGATTCAAGGGGTACGTGTGCAGATTTGTTACATGGGTATATTGCTTGATGCTGAGGTTTGGGGTATGACTGATCCTGTCATCCAGGTACTGAGCTTAGTACCCGGTAGTTTTTCAGTCCTTGCCTCACTCCTGCATCCCTACTTTAGTAGTACCCTATTGATATCTATTGTTGCCATCTTCATGTCCATAAGTTCCCAATATTTAGTTCCCACTTATAAGTGAGAATATGTGGTATTTGGCTTTCTGTTCCTGCATTAATGCACTTAAGATAATGATCTCCAGTTGCATTTGTGTTGCTGCAAAGGACATAATTTCATTATTATTATTGTTCTTATTATTATTTTTGGATGGAGTCTCGCTCTGTCGCTAGGCTGGAGTGCAGTGGCTCAATCTTGGCTCACTGCAACCTCTGCCTCCTGGGTTCAAGCAATTCTGCCTCAGCCTCCTGAGTAGCTGGGACTAGGTGTGCACCACCATGCCCAGCTAATTTTTGTATTTTTAGTAGAGTTGGGATTTCACCATGTTGGTCAGGATGGTCTCAATCTCTTGACCTCTTGATCCACCCACGCTGGCCTCCCAAAGTGCTGGGATTACAGGCATGAGCCACCTCGTCCAGCCAATTTTATTATTTTTTATGGCTGCATGATATTCCATGGTGTATATGGACCATGTTTTCTTTATCCAATCTGTCATTGAGGAGCACCTAGGTTTATTCCATGTCTTTGCTACTGTGAATAGTGCTGTGATGAACATGTGAGTGCATGTGTCTTTTTCGTAGAATGATATATATTCCTTTGGATATATACACAGTAATGGGATTGCTGGGTGAAATAGTAGTTGTGTTTTAAGTTTTTTGAGAAATCTCCAAACTGCTTTCCATGCTGGCTGAACTAATTTACATTCCCATCAGCAGTGTGTAAGTGTTCCCATTTCTCTGTCGCCCCACCAACATCTGTTGTTTTTTCGCCTTTTAATAATAGTCATTCTGAATTGTATGAGACAGTATCTCATTGCGGTTTTGATTTGCATTTCTCTGATGATTAGTGATACTGAGCATTTTTTCATGTTTCTTAGCTGTTTGTATGTCTTCTTTTTAGAGGGGTCTGTTCATGCCTTTGGCCCACTTTTTAATGGGGTTGTTTGTTTTTTGCTTGTTGAATTGTTCACATTCCTTACAGATTCCGGATATTAGACCTTTGTCAGATGCATAGTTTGCAAATATTTTCTCCCATTCTGTAGGTAGTCTGTTTACGCTGTTGATAGTTTCTTTTGCTGTGCAGAAGATCTTTAGTTTAATTAGGTCCCACTTTTCAATTTTTCTTTCTGTTGCAACTACTTTTGAGGATTCAGTCATAAATTCTTTCTCGAGGCCAATGTTCTGAATGGTGTATCCTAGGTTTTCTTCTAGTGGTCTTATAATTTGAGGTCTTACATTTAAATTTTTAATCCATCTTGAGTTAATTTTTGTATATGATGAAAAGTAGGCATCAAGTTTTATTCTTCTGCATATGTCTAGTCAGCTTTTCCAGCACCATTTATTAAATAGGGGAATCCTTTCTCCATTGCTTATTTTTGTCGACTATGTTGAAGTTCAGGTGGATGTAGATGTATGGCTTTATTTGTAGTTGTTCTATTTTGTTCCATTGTTCTATTATCTTTTTGTACCAGTGCCATGTTGTTTTGGTTACTGTCACCATATAGTATAGTTTGAAGTCACATAATGTGATGCCTCCAGCTTTGTTCTTTTTGCTTAGGATTGCTTTGGCTATTCAGGCTCCTTTTTGGTTCCACAAAAATTGTAGTAAAGTTTTTTTCTAATTCTGTGAAAAATGGTATTAGTCATTTCATTGAAATAGCATTGAATCTGTAGATTGCTTTGGGCAGTGTGGCCATTTTAACAACATTGATTCTTCCTATCTATAAGCATGGAATGGTTTTCCATTTGTCTGCATCATCTATGATCTCTTTCAGCAGTGTTTTGTAGTTCTTCTTATAGAGAGCTTTCACCTCCTTGGTTAGATGTGTTCCTAGGCATTTTATTTGTGTGTGTGTGTCAGTTGTAAATGGCATTGTGTTCTTGACTTGGTTTTCAATTTGAACGTTATTATAGAAAGGTTACTCATTTTTGTACATTGATTTTGTATCCTGAGACTTTACTGAAGTCATTTATCAGTTCCAGGAGATTTTAAGAGGAGTCTTTACAGTTTTCTAGATATAGAATCATATTGTCAGTGAAGAGAGATAGTTTGACTTCTTCTTTTCCTATTTGGATGCCTTTTATTTCTTTGTCTTGCCTGACTGTTCTGGTTAGGACTTCCAGTACTATATTGAATAGGAGTGGTGAGAGTAAGCATCCTTGTTTTGTTATAGTTCTCAAGGGGAATACTTCTAGCTTTTACCTGAAGAAAATGGCTTTCATTAACACTTTTATTCAACAACAAACCTTTATCTTTTATTTATAAAACTGTTAAGAGTTTACCATATGTCAGTCACTTGTGTGAATAATAAGGGTGTATCAGTAAATAATACAGACAAGACCTCTACTTTCAATGTCAGAAACACTTGTTTTCTGTCACATTTAATGCTACTAGGTCTCCTTTTGAATGCAAAAGGAATGAAGATAGCCAACAGTTGGGAAATTATTTTTCTAATTACTTCTATGATTTTTACCTAGTTTTCATTACTTGCATGAAGCATCCTTTAATCATGAAGCATTTTTTAAGTTCTCTGGGATCATATGGAGATAAAGAAGATATGGTTCTTATCCTTAAGGATTTTGCCCTCTAGTGAAAGTAGACCAATCCCAAGATTATGGAGCCAAACTAAGAACTCAGTGTTGTCCTTCATGTGAAGTCTTTATGAAACAAATGTCCCCAAATTACACTCCTTTGATTATACTCTCACCTGGCAATTAGCCTGCATACAGCTAAAAATGCTAAAATAAAGGAGATGGATAACATTTTAAGCATTATCAAGAGTTTCTTTTATGGAAAACCTCCTCTTAATATTACAGAAATTAATGCTTTTAATATAAAATAAAATACTGTTATGCTATAAATTTAGTAAGCGCTTAATTTTTACAGCCATTATAACAACTTCCTAGGAAACACTCACAAAACTTGAGATAAGTTTGCCATCAAATCTTTAAGAAGTGGTTGATAGTAAGTGAACATGAGAAAAACTGAGTTCTCTAGAGCAACTGAGTTGACTTACGAGGCTGGGAAGACAACAGAGAGGTTGGCTTATAAGACTGAGAGAGAGGGAATGTCATACCTCTCACATCATAGAGGAGAAAGAGAAAGAGGAATGAATTTATTCTTGCCCAGTTTGGGATCTGAAAGCAAACAGCCATCAAAATGGTCCACAGCTATGGTGAGACATGTTCTTGCACCATTGCCAATAGAAAAAGTGGATAGTTTCCTGTAGCTCAGTTTCACACCCTGACCTAGAGATGCTTTGAAGAAAATGGCAGCCTTTTAGTAGCTACAGAGAAAAGAAGCTAAATAAGTCATGCCAGCAGCACTGGTGATCTAGTGGCATTATTGCTACACTAAGAATATGATGGCACAAGGACATGTTGGGTGACAGCAGTGTCAAGTATGCAGATTAATTGAAAACTCTTCATAATTCCACATAGTAGTCAATTGAGGTTTGTGAGATACCATGGGAATTCCACCCAGCTACCTCCCGTGAGTGGGAGGAAAGGGCTTAGTGGGTATGAAAGTTCCCAAGGGCGAATTCAAAGGTAAAATATCTTTATATTATCTTATAGCAGAGGAGGGGGGAGAAAGAGAGAGAGAGAAAGAAAGAGAGAGAGAGAGAAAGAAGAGAGAGAGAGAGAAAGAGAAAGAAAGAAAGAAAGAAAGAAAGAGAAAGAAAGAAAAAGAAAGATCACACTAGTTGTAATGATATTCATTCATAGACATGAGGAACTGGGAAATTGATTATTAACATCTGCTGTGTTTTTCTTGGAGATCACAGAATAGCTCAGTGCCCCTGAGTTTCTCAGTCTCCCTTTCAGTTAGATTTAGTTCTGGCCATTGGAATACAGTCAGAAGTAATGGAAGTCACATCTAAGACTGGCTCATGAATACACCCTTCAAGATTATCCAGCTCTTTCCTGCCTTGCCACTGTGACTTACAAGGATTGATATGGCATAGGGACAGGATGAAAGAGGGCGGCCTGTCATCCTTTATTAGACTTTATGTAGGCAGGAACTAAACCTTTCATGTGTCAAGTTCCTCAAATTGGTCTATTGTGGCAATTGAGGTGGATTACCTGTACAAATACAAGTCCTAGATTTCTGTCATTACTAAGGTGATGGGATAGAATTGCCACTCCCGACTTTGAGATACCTCTTCAGAAGGCCTTTTTATAATTATTCCCACCAATTCCCAACTTGGAGGATGCCTCTTTTATTAGTTTTAAACTCATAGGAACAAGGGCCTGGACATAAACACAATGTATTTTATCCCAGTAGTCTCTACTTTGGCTCAAGTATAAGTCTGATTTTAGGCTATACCAAGGAGTTGAAAAAAACAGTATCTAAAACTGCTAAGTGTATGGCCTAATTGGAGAAAAAAAACACTGTTATCCTGGAATCTAAAAAAAATCATTGGCAATCCTACAGGACCCTTTCTTTATGTTAGGACACATCCATATGGTTAATTATGATATTTATTGTGTAAGGACAGAGATTCTGATCATTTAGGGATGACTTTTATCTTAAAGAGTTTTATGTGTCAGTTATTAGCATTGCACTTTTTTACAAGTTATTGATGACACACATTTTAGACATTATAGTAGATCCTGGGACAACCAATTATAAAGTTACATCTTTTTATTTGTACAATTTGATCTTGCATTTCAAACTTACATACACGTATATACACACACATAATTATATATATCTCAGCAAGAACACATGTGATGTAGAATAATAATGGCAATTTATACATGAATGAATAACATCTCCTCCACTCAAACCTGTCACCTTCAGGAAACTATAAATATCTTTTGTATTTTGTTGCCTGTGTAAAATATATCATTACGCTGAAAAGTGGTTACCCTAATCAACTTTTGGAGCATGTAATAGAGATAATAAGCTTGAAATAGGAAAATGGAATAATTGCATAGCCGACTCTAAAAGTTTATTATGCAATTAGTTACATGCATTTGTTCACCCTTTTAAATTCTAGACTACCACTGTAATTTAAAAAAAACTTTGAACACAGAAAGAATAACAAAGCTATAAAACATGTAGATCTGCTTACGACTCAATGATAACTAACTTAGATGATCAGATAGATAATAAAATGGGAAGTTTCCCAATAAAACAAACCATTTAACATCAGATAAAGCCTTCTTACAAAGGTAAAAAATTTTAAAATTTTACCTATCAATTTTGGTTTTAATAACAGCCTGAGGATACTTAGTGATTTGCCCATTAGAATGAATCTTTTAGGAGATCTGAATTGGAATAAATATTATAACTTGAATTAATATTATCAAAGTTAATGTCTATTTAATTTCTGGCTTTAAAAGTAACATAAATCGTATTTTCATGACCCATATGGTATCATTTTTTCCAAGGCAAAGCATTCAAAATTAATGATTTCACTTTAGTCAGTGTAGATATAAACTAGGCACAAAATACAGTGCTGATATGATCATGAATCTTTACTTGTAAATAAAATAAGGTACTGTAAAGCAGATGGCTGAGTTTACCTACATTGTAATATATATGATATTTAATCTCACTGTACCTAGAGTTTTCTTGTTTCTAGATTAGCTTTTATGCTGAAATCACTTAAAGTTATTCCTAGATCTAAAATTGTGTCTTTTCATTAATATGCAAAGAATAATATGCACAGAAATCCATTTAGAAGTAAAACATTCATATAGACAAGACAAATATTAGTTTATCACATCATTCAATAATGATTGCTTACTTTTGTTTCAGACTCATTATATGCATATTAAACCTCTTAGCAAAATTAAGAAAGTGTATTATAATTAACTCCAATTATAGAAGAGGAAATGATTTAAAGAGATTAAGAATCTTGCTCAAATTCACCCAGCAAGAATTGATAAAATCCAATTTACATTTAATTATCGTTAGTTCATTTGATTTGAGACATTCTGAAAAGCCTAGTTCTTGATATTTTATTTTCTCCCCACTGTCATTGGGTCAAACACTCTATGCTGGAACTCAGTACCATTCCTGCCTTGCAAGCACTTCTCCATATTGCATGGGCTGAAAGCACCAGACTTCCCTGCCATTAAAGTCCCATTTAGATTCTTCCAGTGAGAAGTTGTTAGTGAAATTTGAGAGGCAAAATAGAAGTTTCTATTCTACAGTGGCAAATGGCTATCAATGTTGCCAGTGGCTTTTTGGTGACCTCTTAGAATCATCTATGCAGTGCTATAGAAATAAGAGCTCATTTGGTGACAGTTTTCTAGGATTCCAGCACTTCTGAGCTCCTGCTGATAGTAGAAGCCTTCTGTGATTTTCACTTCTCTGGCCTTCCCAATTAGAAGCTGTGGAAGCTTCTAATGCCCAGAAATAGCAATGGTGGTTTCTAGTTTCCTTACTGAACCTCTCAGGTACAGAATTTGATACCAAAATTGGATATGGATACAGAACCTCCTAGATGGTAAGCTTAAATTGGTTATCTGACTGTGTTAGATTTGAAGACAGTAAATGATCCCATGACCAATAAAATATGGGCTATTGGTAGTTCACAGCATGCAGAGAGAAAGACTTTGCTTCAACTATCATGCTTGCAACTGTGTGACTACTGAAAAGAAAGACGTTGGAAGGCCAAGTGGCTATTCCAATACAATGTTATAGGGGAAATGATTATTATACAGACTTTGGAATTATTTGACTGCTTCATATTGCAATAGAGAGCTTTGAGTCAGATAATGGCAAGTTTATGGTGCAGAGAAGCAGAGAGCTCTATAATGATCCTAAAAATATATCTCTTAGTACTTATAGTCATACAGCCAAGGAATCCAAAACCCAGACTCCAGGTTTGATCCTATAGGCTACAGAAGCTAAACACCAATTGATTTCTTTTTCATCAGGTCTCTTATGTGAAAATTAAGGATTAGACGAGACTGGGATCTGGAGAACTGGAATGGTAACTTTTGGATGTATCCCAATGACTGAGTATCTTGATCCCCTCCTATCACTGAGCCTGACTTTCCAGAAGCAGCAGCCACTGCTGAGCCAATTCCTCCATCATTTCCCCCTACCTTGCCTAATGATCCTCCAGTGACTTCCCCTGAGACCATCTCTTGCATAGAGATACTGATTCTCCTTCCATCCCACTCCCAATATCTCTCCTGGTTGCTTGCCCATAATTAGCACAAATTCAGACCCAATAGGAGATAGCACACATACCAAAGGTCTGTGCATTTTTTGCTCGTTTATATTAAGAGGAACTCAGGGAATGTGTGTGAGGAACAGATTCTAAGCAACAAAGACCAAGGTATAAGACACTAACATTGAAATAGGTTAAATGTATTGATATCCCTGCTCACACTAGAGCTTCTGGATTTAATCTGTGGCTCAAATATCTGAGAGCAACTCTTACAATTTTATTGGTTGGCTAATTGAAACATGGACTCAGGGATTTCCTTGAATAAATGAAGTTGAAATATAAGGATTTCCTTAGCACAACAGAGAGGAAGGAATCCAAAGGCTAAAGGAAATAGGAATATTGGAATACATTGGTTATGTGCAATCAATTCATTATCTCTCTTACCATGTGTCTCTGGTAAGACCACAGGAATCTAGAGGCTACCCCTTTCCAAAGACTTTGAGAAAATATACTGATGAGAGGAACAAAAGCATCCTTATAGGATTTGTAGTGACTGCTGTCTATAGGTCAGGGATGATGGTGGGAGATACTTCAAGGAATTGAGCTCCTGTATTTTAAAAAAGGAATAAGGACATCCCAGAATATAGAAGCCACTGACACCACTTAAACACCAGGAACAAGTGGGCATGGTTATAGAAATGGGCAGCAGAGTTGGAGTGGTAACCAGATGGTTTAATTGGAAGATATTTGGGGCAGTGGTTAATTGATTATGGTGCCTTTAAAGTTGAAAAAGGTGGGAAGCTTGATCAAGTATTACTTAAAATATATAATCCAAAAATGTCTAGATTTTAATTCAACACAATGGATAGGGATATCTCACCTTCCACTTAATTCTCAGACATGAACCAATTCAAGAAGCAAGAGTGCTTTTTAAAAAATATATTTTTTATTTCAATAGGTTTTTCAGAAACAGATGGTGTTTTATTACATGAATAAGTTCTTCAGTGGTGATTTCTGAGATTTTGGTACACCCAACACCCACGTGGTATACCCTGTACCCAATGCAGTCTTTTATCCCTCACCCACATTCTACCCTTTCCCCCAAGTCCTCAAAGTCCATTGTATCATTCTTATGCCTTTGAGTCCTCAAAACTTAGCTCCTAATTATGAGTGAGAACATGTGATGTTTGGTTTTCCATTCCTGAGTTACTTTACTTAGAATAATAGTCTCCATTTCCACCCAGGTTGCTGTGAGTGCTATTAATTCATTCCTTTTTGTGGCTGAGTAGTATCCCATGGTATATACATACCATATTTTCTTTATCCACTTGTTGATTGATGGGCTGGTTCCATATTTTTGCAATTGCAAATTGTGCTGCTATAAACATGCATGTGCAAGTATCTTTTTCTTTAATGACTTCTTTTCCTCTGGGTAGATACCAAGTAGTGGGATTGCTGGGTCAAATTGTAGATCTTTTATCTCTCTAAGGAATCTCCACACTGTTTTTCATAGTTATTTTACTAGTTTACATTCCCACTAATAGTGTAAAAAGTGTTTCCTTTCACCACATCCACACCAACATCTATTATTTTTTATTTTTTCATTATGACCATTCTTGCAGGAGTGACGTGGTATCACATTGTGGTTTTGATTTGCATTTCTCTGACAATTAGTGATGTTGAACATTTTTCCATATGCTTGTTGGCCATTTGTATATCTTCTTTTGAGAATTGTCTATTCATGTTCTTAGCCCACTTTTCAATGGGATTATTTTTTTTCTTGCTGATTTGTTTGAGTTTTTTGTAGATTCTGGATATTAGTCCTTCATTGGATGTACAGATTGTGAAGATTTTCTCCCATTCTGTGGATTGTCTGTTAACTCTGCTGATTATTTCTTTTGACCATTAGTGAGATTAACCAAGAAAAGAAGAGAGAAGGTCCGGCCGGGCGCGGTGGCTCACGCCTGTAATCCCAGCACTTTGGGAGGCCGAGGCGGGCGGATCACGAGGTCAGGAGATCGAGACCATCCTGTCTAACATGGTGAAACCCTGTCTCTACTAAAAATACAAAAAATTAGCCGGGCGTAGTGGCGGGCGCCTGTAGTCCCAGCTACTCGGGAGGCTGAGGCAGGAGAATGGCGTGAACCCGGGAGGCGGAGCTTGCAGTGAGCCGAGATTGCGCCACTGCACTCCAGCCTGGGCAACAGAGCCAGACTCGTCTCAAAAAAACAAAAAAAAAGAAGAGAGAAGGTCCAAACAAGCTCAATCGGAAACAAAAGGGGAGATATTACTACTGATACTACAGAAATAAAAAAATTATTCAAGACTACTATGAACACCTTTAGAAGCATAAACTAGAAAACCTAGAAGAGGATAAATTCCTGAAAATATACAACACTCCTAGATTAAACCAGGAAGATATAAAAACTCTGAACTGACCCATCTGTTGGTGCACCCATCACCCAAGTGGTGTACCCTGTACCCAATGCGAAGTCTTTTATCCCTCACCCATCTTCCCACCCACAAGCAGCGAGACTGAAATGGTAGTTTAAAAATTGCCAACAAAAAAAAGTCCAGGATCAGACAGATTCACTGCTGAAATCTGTCAGACATTCAAAGAAGAATTGGTACCAATCCTATTGACACTATTCCATAGGATAGAGAAAGAGGGAATCCTCCCTAAATCATACTATGAAGCCAGTATCATCCTAATACCAAAACCATGAAAGAACATAACAAAAAAGAAAACTACAGACCAATATCCCTGATGAATATAGATGCAAAAATCCTCAACAAAAGACTAGGCAACTGAAGCCAACAGCTTATCAAAAAGATAATCCAGCATGATCAAGTGGGTTTCAAACCAGGGATGCAGAGATGGTTTAACATTCACAAATCAATAAATGTGATACACCATATAAATAGAATTAAAAACAAAAATCACATGATCATCTCAATACATTCAGAAAAAGCATTTGACAAAATCCAGCATCTCTTTATGAGTTAAACCCTCAACATAAATGGCATAGAAGGGACATAACTTAAGGTAATAAAAGCCATCTACAACAAACCCACAGCTAACATTATACTTAACAGGGAAAAGTTGAAAGCATTCCCCCTGAGAACTGGAACAAGACAAGAATGTCTACTCTCACCACTTCTATTCAACATAGTACTGGAAGTCGTAGCCAGAGCAATCAGACAAGAGAGAGAAATCAAGGACATTCAAATTGGTAAAGAGAAAGTCAAACTGTCACTGTTTGCTGATGATAGGATTGTATACTTAGAAAACCCTAAAGACTCATCCAAAAAGCTCCTAGAACTGGTAGATGAATTCAACAAAGTTTCAGGATACAAAATTAATTTACACAAATCTGTAGCTTTGCTATACATCAGCGACCAAGCTGAGAATCAAATCAAGAACTCAACCCCTTTTATAATAGCTGCAATAAAATAAAATATAAAATAAAATAAAATACTTAGGAATATACCTAACTAAGGAGGTGAAAGATCTCTACAAGGAAAACTACAAAACACTACTGAAAGAAGTCATAGACAACACAGACAAATAGAAACACATCCCATGCTCGTGGATGGGTAGAATCAATATTGTGAAAATGACCATACTGTCAAAAGCAATCTACAAATCAATACAACTTCCATCAAAATACCACCATTATTCTTCACAGAACTAGAAAAAAATCCTAAAATTCATATGGAACCAAAAAAAGAGTCCACATATACAAAGCAAGACTAAACAAAAAGAACAATTCTGAAGGCATCACATTACCCAACTTCAAACTATACTATAAGTCCGTAGTCACCAAAACAGCATGGTACTGCTATAAAATAGGCACACAGACCAATGGAACAGAATAGAGAATCCAGAAATAAAGCCAAATACTTACAGCCACTGATTTTTGACAAAGCAAACAAAAACATAAAGTGGGAAAAGGACACCCTGTTCAACAAATGGTGCTGGGATAATAGGCAAGCCACAGTTAGAATGAAAGTGGATGCTCATCTCTCACCTTACACAAAAATCAACTCAAGATAGATCAAATATGACCTGAAACCATGAAAATTCTAGAAGATAACATTGGAAAAACCCTTTTAGACATTGGCTTAGGTAAAGACTTCATAACCAAGAACCTAAAAGCAAATGTAACAAAAACAAAGATAAATAAATGGGACTTAATTAAACTAAAAAAAGAGAATGTTTTGATTGAAGGGAGGCTATGTTTCCTTGAGAGACACCTTGAGGGACTGACATCCACATTTATGGTTAATCTGTACTCTCACCTTCCCAACAAGACAATTGGCTTTTTGACATGATGGCTGTGACTTTGACTGGAGAAATGGACTTATCAGGACCTTGCTGATATTTTTTGGACAGTTGCCTTGAGCTGAAATGAAAATCAAAAGGCAATACGCTCCCACCAGTCAGAGAGAAGACTTATAGAAATCAATGGGGTTTTGGTCCAAGTCTATCTCTTGCATAGATGTGGTTTTGCAGTGGATCTGCAAAACCATAGTGGTTATATTCTCTGTTTCTGAATGCATACTTGATTTAGACAAAGTTGGCAACTGGCAGAATTTCCACAGAGTCAGGGATACTATGCAAGAAAGTGACAAGAGAAAGTCCTACAACCACTAGCAGAAAGTAAACAAAAGTAAATAACACATTCCTGGGAGAATCACAGAAATTAATATCACCATAAGAGCATTGAAAAATACCAGGGAAATGAGTACTATTCCATCCTCATTTAATTTATTCAATTGGCCTATGGAAAAGACTGATAGATCTTGGAGAATGAGTGGATCATTGTAAACTTTAGCAGATATTCACTCTAATTGCAGTGGCTTCTGGCACCTGGTATTCAACTACTGACCCAGAAAATGACTTTTCATCTATACTAATTAATAAAGAAAATTAAAGGGAATTTTCTTTCACTCTATAGGAATAGCAAAACAGATTAGCTGATTTATCTCAGAGCTGTGTTAATTTTCTGGTATCTTTCATAATCTAATCCACAAAACCTTGACTGTTTCACTGACTCACAAAATGTTAAGGTTGTCATTGGGTTGATAACATTATGCAGATAATTCCTGATAAGCAGATGTAGAAAATACTCTGGATGCTGAGGAAAGATACAGGGCAATCATTCTATTAAAAGCCTCCTTGAACTTTCTAGTGGCATTATGGCCTGAGAACTTTGAGACATCACATTTTAATGTGAAAGACAGTTTTCTGCACCTTTTACTCCCAAGTCCTGAGAAAGAAATGAAATACTTGGAAGCTTCTTTGAATTTTAAAGACAACCTCTACTATATTTAAGTGTGCTGCTCTGACCCATATACTAAGCATTTCTTTCTTTTTTTTCTTTTTTCATGAATGACTTTGTTTTTTACTTTACACAGTTTAAAATACAATATGAAATCACTTTTTCTTAAGGCTACCAGCTTGCCCGGCCTCTCTGTCAACTGTATCTTATGACCACAAATCTAAATGGAGCTTGAATTGTCTATGGTGCATACAGGAATGCTATACGCAGTCACTGACAAGCTCCCATGAGAGACTCACTGTGAAGACTTCAGAGCAAAGCCATGCGCTCTTCTGCACATAACTTTTTCCTTTTCAGAAACAACTCCTGATACTGTACTGGGCCCTGCTAAGAATTAATTGCCTGATCATGGGACACTACATGAAAACATGACCATAAAAGGTGTATTTGATATATCAAGTCATAATGATGGGCCAGTATAGAAGCAGTTTTCTTCAAGTGGAAGTGCACCTACAAGATCAGACTTAAGTAGGTTCCAAAGGCCTAAGTAAATTTAGTGTACAGATGACTCACACTCTCATGAAACCTATTCCTAATGGACTGCCATTCTCACTAAACACACTCTATCTTCATAGTTTCCTCTGACCATTGAATGAAGGAGAAAATGATTGCTCTTGCTTTAAGTTGGTTCCACAGGATATGCTGGCACTCTTCACATTTGATTGGCTACAGCTTCACAGCTATCTCAGTGCATGCCCTGCACACCAGGAGGAAAGAGAAATACTTTCAGGGGAAAGAACTCCCAGCATCTTGTTTTTCATTGTGCATAACAGGAGGATGACCAGAGATAAATTTCTATACTAATTTATGGGCAGTATCTAACAGTTTGGCCAGACGGTCAATTTTGGAAGAAATTATTCTAGAGGATAGATGACAAAAAGGTATAAGAATGGAGCTCTCAGAATGCAGAGATTACAAAAGTGTTTATTTTCCATGGAAATGCTAATTAAACGTCACTCATTATGAATGTCAACCATCTTTTCTTAGCCACCTCAGTGCTTGCTTTACGGCCCCAGGAACTAAATAGCCATGGTAATAGGATTGAGGTTATGGCTGGGGTCAAAAGCATAGTCTTCATCCAATCAAAGATGATTTGGTTGTGATCACTGCTGAGTGTTCAACACACCACCAGCAGAAGCCAACACTATGAACCCCTAACATGGTGCCATTTTCCAGAGGAACTAACCAACCATCTGATATTAGGTTGATTACATTGGAATTTTTTATGATGGAGGGGAGAGTTATTTCTCCTCACTGGAATAGATGTTTCCTCTTGGTATGGATTAACCTTCCCTTCTGTCAGTGCTTTTACCTCAACCCTTATCTATAGATTTAATGATACTTCATTCACAATCATGATGATAATGAATTCATCACCCATGAATAAGGAATTAATTCCACAATAATAGAAGCTAGGCTGATAGGAAAATGGGATAGCCTATTGAAGACAGTTTTATTTTGACTTGGAGACAATACCTTGCAGAAGCTAAACCAAATGCCTATGCTTTTGAATATGATATAGTGCTCTTTCTCCTATAATAGGAAATCACAGATCTGAGAAACAAGGAGTGGAAGTGGGCATAACTCTTCTCAACAATTTCACTTAAAAAATGACTCTCAAAATTATGCTTCCCCTCCACTAGCACTGGGCTCTACAGACTCTGAGATCTTGGTTCCCAAGAAAGAAAAGATTCTACCAGAGGGCACATTGAACTTGAAGATCAGATTGCAACCTCGCCACCTTAAACTTCCAATGCCATTGAAATAACAAAGAAGAGGGTTACTGTACTGACTGGGGTGGCTAATCCTAGTTATCAAGAGGAAATAGGGCTATGCCATCAGGGGAAGAGAAGTATACCAAAAATGCTGGAGGATTGTCTGGGTGTGCCTCATATGATTTCTAACACTGTTAATGAAAATCACAGTTACCCAGTGGAGGAAAGACTAATAATGGCTTGGAACACTCAGAAATGAAGCTTTGGATTTCTCTGCCAGGCAAAAGCTTACATCCACCTTCGATGCTGACTAAGGACAAAATAAATATGAAATGAGTAATAGAAGTAAGCTTTACGATCAGTTACAGAAGGAAGGACTTTAGTAACTATGCTTATATTCTTTCTTCACATTATATATATATATATATATATATATATATATATATATATATATATACACACACATATAATGTATTTATCTTAGCCAAATTCTTATTCTACTTTCTTTTCTATTAGCTTATATAAGGAGTATTGTTAGTCATTAAAAGTATGTCTCTGTCTGCAAAATTATAGGACATTGGGTAGAGATTGTGACCAAGACAGAAAAAGAATGAATATCCAGAAATGAATGCAGTGGCATTAGGATTATTGTCTTGCCTTTTGAGGGAGAGATTGAGCACAACTTTATTAGATTGACAGATAGTTCTCACATGTTAGTTAAAAGTGTAATATTATTGTTGTTTGGAAATTTAAATATATGTGTATGGAGAGCTAAACTAGATATTGTGTCTTGATATGTAATATGATCCCTGCTCTTTTAAACTCTGTCTTGTTACATGGGGCTTGACAGTTTGGAAGCTACATTAAGCAGATTTACTAGCCAGTAGGGAATCTGGTTTAAATTCTGCCAGTAAAAGGCATTTGTGTGAGGCTTGGAAGTGGAAGATATAGAGAGGCCATTATTCTCCAGGAGCAGCTGGGCATCTGCAGATGGCTGACGGGGGGGTTCCACCTGTGGCTTTCAGGTGTCCTCTTGCAAGGCTGTAGGCAGCATAAATCATTGGTGGAGGCTTATCAGGATCCTCCTACTTTCTTATTTTTTGGTATGCTTTTCAGCTTTCCTGACCTTGCAATAATTGTCTAAGACTGCTTTTCTGTGTTACACCCTTTCCTGCTTAAAATACCCAGCATGGTAGCTGGTTTTCTGACCAAATCCTGATGGATATCTAGACTGCATCTTTATTTCTATATTTGGCTACTTTGTAAGGTTGTGTGATGTGAACAGTGAAAATAGATGCCTATAAAATATTTCAAAATACGTGCCTAAATAAGTGTTTATCTGCAGCATTCTCTTAAAATACAAAGATAGCCCATAAATGGAGTCCCTCTGTATCCATGGAAGATTGGTTCCAAGATACTCTCATGGGTACCAAAATCTAAGGATGCTTGAATTGTTTATATAAAATGTATAGTATTTGCATATAATCTATGAACATCCTCTTGTATACTTTAAATCATCTCTATATACTTATAATATGTAATGCAGTATAAATGCTATGTAAATAGTAGTTACACTGTATTGTTAAGGAAATAATGGCAAGAAAAAAGTCTGTATATGTTCAGTACAGTTTTTTTTTAATATTTTCAATCAGTAGTTGGTTGAATCCATGGATGCAGAATCTTTGGATACAGAGGGCTGGTTGTATATGTAAATATAACATATGTTGTGAAATATAGCTCAAGTGGTTCAGCTATAATCAAAACAGAATAGATTTAATTGGACCGCTCGAACACTCAGCCAACTCATATTTATTATGTTGGTGTTCCAAAATGTTACGCTGCTGAATTTTCTGCCAGTTTAACTTACTGTGACTTTGCCAACATAAATGGGAATAGAAGAAGAGGTTTAGTTGTGTGAAAATCATCACAGAGCCAACCATATGTTTATGCCTTTTTAAAACATTATTATTATAAATTTATTTCTATCTTGCTTGAATTCCATACTCTTCTGCATTGCAAAAGAGGAAGGAAATGAGAGTGATAGCTATTTTCAGCAGGGAAACCATATTTATTTTTTCTTTTAGTTAGACAAGTAAACTCTTCTAATGCGCTTTAGTCAAACTGCCTGGAAAAACTTAGTATTTCTAATGATGTGTCAATGTTGTTTGAGTGACACTGTGTAGATTTAAAAGAACAGAAAAAATTATTTCCAGGATAGAAACCAAATCTCTCAAAATGAGGTAGATTCATTATGGAAAATTGAGAAAATATGTTAAAGAATGAATTGGTCAAGAAAATACCAAATGATTTATAATCAATCCATTCTATTTCTAGGCAATCTTTCTAAAACATCTTTAAAAAAGAAGAAGAAAAGCAATTTTGATGATTCTCATTTAGAGAATAAAGTCTAAGCTCCTTGGCATAGCACACAGACTTCTAGGCCACTCTTCCCTTCCATTCACCCTCCACCACTCCATGGATTGGCACACACCACAGTGCTTCCATGTGAGACTATTTGCTAACCTGGAATATGCTAAGCACTTAGTGCTCCTGCTTGGGCAATACTTGGATCTGAATTCTTTTAGCAGTTTTAAAATATCTCTAGCTGTTTATATGTGTCTCTTCAGCTGGAATGAGTTCAATAAGTATAGAGATTATTTTTACATCTCTTTATCAAAGGTGCTTAGCAAATAAATGGTAGATACCAATAAATTGTTGATACATGCAATGAATAAATGTATGGATAAATAATAGTTTTGATTTGAAAAGAATAGGAGGTTTCTTTTGTTCAGGTTCTATGTTTTACAAAAGGAAACTGAGGCCTAGTGAACTTTATTTTGTTCCAATGTACAGCAGTAGCACTTCTGGTACTGGACCAAGGGTGTCCCTGCTTTCCACTCAGAGATCTTTCCACTGTTTCATTCCTGGCTAATTTGGAAAGTTGTTTGAAGGAATTGTGGTTCATTTTCTAGCTATTTGCCCTGTAATGCTCCTAACATCCTTGGGGACATCACTCACACTTTGAAAATAATTGAGGAAAAATACCTATAACTTCAGACATTCAAAGAGCTACATTAGCCTTCTAGTTTTTCACCTGGCTCCTTGCCTGCCTAGCATTTCATCTCTCATAAAACAGCGGGCCCATTGTGGCAATTATTTACAAAGCACAAGCCTCTATATTGGTTATAGACTCTATATTCTATTTCTATATTTGACTTTTCATTTTGAGTTGTAGGGATTCTTTATAAATTCTTTATGTAAGTCTGTCAGAGAAATAGATGATAGATAATTGATAGAGAAAGAGATAGATATTAATAGATAGCTATTTCCTCCCAGAATATGACTTGTCTTTTCATTATCTTCCCAGTATTTCTTGAAAAATAGAAGTATTAAATTTGGATGAAGCCTCATTTATACATTTTTTTCTTTTGTAGCTCATTCTTTGTGTGTCCCTAAGAAATATTTTCTTACCCCAAGGTCGTGAAGATTGTCTCTGATATTTTCTCTGAGAACATTTATAGTTTTTTCTGTAAAGTTTAGACCTATTTAATTCACATTAAATGAATTTTTGAATGGTATGAGGCAGAGCTTGATCTTGTTTTTCTGTATACTCACTTACTTGTTGCAAAATTACTTTTGAGATTTTCTTTCCCTATTTAGATTTGACATTGTTTTGAAAATCAATTCACCATATATATGTGGGCCTATGTCTAGACTATCTATTCTGACCCATTGATATATTGGTTTATCATCTTGCCAAACCCACTCTGTCTTGATTATTGTAGCTGTAAGTCTTTTAAATCAGAAGGCTTACATCTTGCAATTGTGTTCATCTCTTTCAAGATAGATTTTGCTATTCTAGATCCTTTTCATTTCCATATAAATTTTAGAATCTGCTCACAAAATTATGCCATGCAATACGTTGAGTCTACAGATCAACTTCAGGACAATAAACATCTGGGCAATATTGGTTTATGGTCCATGAATGTGAATATTTTTCTCCGTTCATTTAAATCTTTATTTCCCTCAGCAATGCTTTATAGTTTTCAGTAGAGATATTATGCATCTTTTTGTTAAATCTATTCCTAAGCATTATATTTTTGATGCTATATTTTTTTAGTTGAGAAGACAAAATCCTACTATTTTATTTCAAGATTTCTAAGTCTCATTTGCATTCAAATAAATTGTAGAAAAAGTTAATTGTTGGACAGTGTTTAGATCTTAGAACGTAATTCCGCACTGATGTAACTGTTAGAGAATGATAGTTACTGATCCATGTTAGGCCATCCAAAATGAATTTGATATTACTGGGAAAAAACGAGTCATAGACCCATAAATGAATCTGTATACACATAAATAAATCTGTATTAATATTTGAAAACCCTTCTCACTCGATAGTTAATTTAGCTTTCCAAATTAGTCATGTGTTGTTTAACTCTTAAGTATCTTTACTGATTAAATGTGTGCTGCTTATTAGCTCTAACACATGACATATGGATGTCAGGCAGGACTGGTGATGACAACAGAGACTGCAGCTTATTATTAAGCCTGCAGTAGACAATATGACTTTTCTACAGAGGTGAAGTGACTAAGCGTAGCTATAATATCTGCAAAGGAAACCAGAGGAGACCAACTGGGCAAAGAGGCAGTACAAACTTAGCTACTGTGAGCTGGAATGCAACGGTGTGTTTCATCAAGAGTGGGTAAGCTAAAATTATTTACTGCTTCCTTTATTTACTCAAACTCATAATATATTTGTATTCCAAAGATCTTGCCAACGGTCACATTTCATTTTACCTAGTTAAATGTAAAGAATCAGTCCTAATATCAAAACCATTCAATTTTCAGAAGAAATAATATACATAATATATTCAGAATACATATCAACACATAGCAATGACTTTTTATTCATCTTTTGTTTCCCTGAATGTGTAGATGTTTGAGTTCCTGGTATTTCTTCTTTTACACCAGATAAGGACTGTTTGATACTATTTCATCATCACCATTCAATTCACTCCAGCCATTTTGATTTTCACTGCTCCAAAAATGGTATACAAACTGCTGTGTGATCCTGACTATCTTAGGAGAGTCAGAGTACTTGAAATCTTTTTTCTCTTTCGGTAAAATGGCTATTTATCAAATTCTGAAGACCCGTGCTTGAGATACTTTTTTCCTTTTTTTATAAGACCAGTGAAGGAAAATCACAATCTATTCCTAGTTTACCTACTTTCTTTATAATTTTTCTTGGTTTTTAAATCTCTTCTCCATTCTAAACTTTTTTGTAACTATTCATTTCTTCTACCATTCCACTGATTGTATATTCAGACTCTGCTGCATACATCTGAAGATGATGATAAAGGCTGGTGGCCTGCCCCTCCTGGGAAGATACTGTAGTCCTCAACTGAGACCTGGGAAAAGAAGAAACCCTGTGTTCTTGTCTACACCCACCTAGTGGAGTTTCAATCATTCTTAGCTGGAAGGAGTGAGTGAAGGTGTGGGTTATGGTTCAAATGTTACATACTCTCAGTGGTCTGTAGAGTTTTTGTAGATTTTCTTGAATTTTTTTTTCATTTGCTGTATGCCTTTAGGACAAATTTCCAAGATCTCAAATAGTTTAGTTTTTCTAGTTTTTCACCAGTTATGCTTATTTCTCTGGGAAGTGCATCTACAGAGCTCTTCATGCTACCTGCCCAGAACTAGAACTCTACAGTCCATTTTTAATCCCATCTAGTACCTTTCAAATTTTTAAATATTAAACTATTCTATCATAGAGTTTCAATTTTGTTCTTATTTATAGTTACCATTACTCTGGTGGTATTTCCTTTATGTTTTCTCATTATGTTCATATTAAAAATATATTTGAACATCATTATGATAAAAGATTTCACATATTGTCGCTAATTCCAACATTGTGGTCATTTCATGGTCTGTTTCTATTGCCTGTGTTTTTCTCTTGGTTGTCAGTCACCTTTTTAAGGTTTTCATTTGCATACCTATTTTTTTCTGTATGCAAAACATTATGAATATTTTGTTGTAGGATATCTGAAATAGGTAGTCTTTCTTTGAAAGGTGTTGAGTTTTGTTTTGACAACAATTAAATGACTCGAACATCCTGTTGATCTTATCTGACTTGGTTTATGCTTTGTTAAAGGAGACTTACATTGGATTTGTCTCCTTTGCCCTAGCATGTTCCTTATTCCCAAAGCATCACTTCTCTTGGGTCTACATTGAATGTCTAAGTTGCCCAGTAGTATATTTCCACTCTGGCATGACTGAAGCTACTACATATTAGAGCACTGCATGATCTCTGCATCTCTGTGGCTCTCATTCCAGAAGCCACTCTCTGCTAGGCATCATGTTATTTTGCACTGTGCATGCACAGCTTACTCCCAGCCAAGAGGTCAAAGGAAACCTCTGTGCAGATCCGAGGCTCTCTTTTTGCATTTTCTCCTCTTAAGTATGCCAACACACAAGATTTCATCTGACTCAGTAGCAAGGGGTTCTTATCTTTGCCTTCTCAACTTAGCGAAATGAATTTTTTTGGCTTATGCTCTATTTCCCTGTGCAATCATGAGGAAAGTACTCACAGTCTGAATGTTGAAGAAAGTGTGGAATTAACTTTGCATATTTTTCTTTTCTCAAGAATCACTGTACTGTGACGCCCGTTGTCCAATGCCAGAAAATGGTTCTATGATATATTTGGATGTTATCATTGTTTATGTTGGGAATGTAAATCTGATAACACTTTCCCCTTCATAACTAGAAGCAGAATTATTGCCTCCTCCTGACCGCTTTTAAAAATATATTAAAACTTATTTATAGATTCTTTAATATTTTCAATCTAGTTTACATCTATCTATATCTCACCTAGATGCCAGAAGTTTGCACTATTGTAGTCAATTAACTCTCATTTATAATGTCCTACCCTAATTGAGAAACCACAGCAGTTTGTGATTCAGTACTCAATAGTGTACAAGAGAATTCTAGTAGATGCTGCCATGGAGTCTAAAATTCTTCTCATTCTTTCTGTGTAAATCAGCAACTAGGCAAAGTTTGTCTCACCTTTATGCACAAGAGGAGATATCTATCTGGAAGGGACACAGGTTTCTGAGAATTTTAAAGAACATAACTTTACTTCAGGAAGTTGGAAATCTGAGAGTGAAGAGATGGTAAAATTATCCAAACAAGTGGTACAACCAAAGTTGGACCATTAGAAGGGGAAAAATCCCCAACTGAAAGAGAATAAATTTAATGCAGTGTAAACAAATAAGAGCCAAATGTTTAGTTAGCATAGCATTGCTACAATGGGGTAAGCTTTATTTATTATTTTGGTTTGACAAAGTATGTTGGAATTGATACTCTCCAGACATCCTAAATGCTAGAAAAATGTTATTAGTGATATAACATATGTGACTTGATCTAAAAATATTCTCTCACTTGTATATGTGTTAAACATATTGCTCAAAAAATGTCAAGTCAATATAATCACACTTCATGGTTAGAAAACATTTCAACATATGAGTAAGATTGCCTAATAAGATTGCCATTAAATTTGAAATGGAAATGTTAAGCCCGCCAAAGCTAACATACCTTCCAAAGGAGTACTTCATCTGTGGCATCTTTGAAAGTGGTATAGACTAGTTGAAATGTCCTCTTTTTTTGTGAATGTAGCAACTTTTACTATCAGTTTCTACTTTAAGCACTAGAATTCTCAGGTGAAAGGAGGAGGAGTTTTGCCATGAACGAGTATCTCCTAATGCAATGTGCTACCATGTGACTTTATATTTCAATTGGCATAGAGATTCCATCAGGTGATCATTCTTTTGCTCATGTGAGTTGGGTGGACCTAGAGGTAATGAAAACACATGCCTAGCTCTTATCATTTCAACATTGTGGGAACTCCTCTGCTACATGTGATATCTAAAGCATAGAGGCCAGGCATGGTGGCTCATGCCTATAATCCCAGCACTTTGGGAGGCTGAGGCAGGCAGATCATTTGAGGTCAGTAATTTGAGACCAGCCTGGCTGACATGGTGAAACCCTGTCTCTACTAAAAATAAAAAATTAGCCAGATGTGGTGATGGGTGCCTGTAATCCTAGCTACTCAGGAGGCTGAGGCAGGAGAATTGCTTTATTCCAGGAGGCAGAGGTTGAAGTGAACAGAGATCGGGCCATTGCACTGCAGCCTGGGCAACAGAGTGAGACTCCATCTCAAAACAAACAAACAAAAACAACCAACCAAACAAAAACCAATAAAGCCTAGAGTATTCTGACTTAACTAATCACACAGATGTTATAATCACAGGCTAGAAAATTCCATAATGATATGATTGATCAACTCCTGCAAATTACTCACATAATAAACCCAATATTTTAGGAAGTTATTTTCCAGATTGCCCAAGTGCTACTCCTGCATTAAAAGGATATGTACGCCACTGTACTCCAGCCTGAGCAACAGATTGAGACCCTGTTAAACAACAACAACAACAACAAAAGGATATATAGACAATATTATCTGAGACTCCTCAATAAATACTTTCACTGGGTAAAAATTAAATAATTATGTGCTCAGCCTATGAAAATAAAAAATTGAGAAGCATGCATTTGGTCAGTTTTTCTGTATGTTTTGCAAATATGTAGTTTAAAGTCACTATCTAATATGTCATTTAGTGCCCCTTAAAAAGGAATTCATCTTTTCTCTAATTTAGTTTCTGGGGAAAATGTAGGTTTCTGCAAAGTGTTTGACTTTCTTTTCTTTTTCAGGCAATGAATAATAGATAATTCTGTGTGTCTGTGTGTGTGTGTGTGTGTGTGTGTGTGTGTGTGCATGCCTGCGCACTTATTTCCTTATTTGCATGTTTCACCATATACATATCAGACAAATCAAGGGCCCAGGAGTGATATAGCTCATCTCATATGGCTGGTAGGATCATACGGCTGGTAGGATCATATGGCTATATGATATTGTGGGAAGAGCAGCACACATAGAATCAAAGAACTTGGGTTTAAGTTCTTGATTCTGCTTCTCCCAACTTGAAATGTTGAATAAGTTACTTATTCCTCTGGGGCTTTAATTTTCTCATCAGTAATATGTGGCTAATTATACTGATCCCAAAGGATTACTAGAAATTTCAAAGGATCCACATCAGGGAAATTAAATGTTAAATATCAATAATATGCTATTATATAGTAAAAAATATGCAATCCCCATTATGTAAACTGTAAAAGGTTGGAGGATATTATTCATTGCTTCCTCTGACATGCTTCTGTTTCTTTTTATTCTATAGAATTGTAGAATTATAGGCTTGGAAAAGACATTGGAGTCATCCACCTTCATGGCCCAAAATATGTAGAACTTTTCAAAAGTACAATATATAAAGAGTGATCGGAAACAAGACATTTTCAGTGCTTTAAGTAATCCTAGTTTGTCCCAATACTTGAAAACATATTCTCATTCATCTCTTCCCACCAAGGATCTTTTAAGAAGCCACAGTTTGTTTCCATAAGCATCAGAAGTTATGAGAGAATATCTGACCACAGCTGTTACCTGGGAACTTGTCATAGAGCCATAAATGTTACCATTCAGCCCATGCAATTTCTAACTGAAATGAGAGGAAACATGACAGAGGCACTGATTGTAGCCTGCTTGGTGGATGTCAACATAAATGCCACCCCTTTAGAGATATCTCTTCTGACTCCCCTATTAAAGTGTACTCTGGTACAAAGAAAGAAGATATAACAATTAGTTTCAAAGTGGGAGACAAAGTAAAATTCAAGAGACTCAAAAAGAGTCATTTAGAGTGAATAACAAAACAAAGATATAGCTAGAAATCATTAATGTTGTCTACATAGCATCAAATATAAATATCAAAATATATTAGGACTACAGAGACACATTGATAAAAACATTTTCTAGAGATGTTCAAGAGCATTAAAATAAATAAGAATATGAGATTGGAATATAGATATTTAAAGAGTAAAAGAGATAACCAAGGATGCAGCTTTTTATCCTGTAGAAATTACATATTTTCTTCAAATGTACATAATACAGTTATAAACATTTTTATATACTACAACACAAACAAAATTATAGTAGGAAACAGTTCTACAAAGTACAAATGATATATACCATATATTTTGACTAGACTACATTAAGACCAGAAATTCATAAAAATATTCACCGACTCAGAAATGTTTACATGGCTTCTCCACTTAATAAATATCATTTTAAAGAGATATTAAATCTATAATTTTTATTTTTAGAATATTACAGAAAAGCATTTCATTTAAAAGTATCAATATGTAAATGTGATGGGTGAATTGACCTAAAAGGTAATAAATTGACCCTCATTAAATATTAACATTGAAGAACCATAACCCCGAAAACAAAGTTTAAAACTTTGATGTAGCGTATTAGATCCTCCAAATTTTTTATTCCCTCTTCATTATTAGAATTAAATATCCATGTGACTTTTGAGTACCTCCTACTACAGCAGACAGCTTATATTTCTTTGCCCCATTGACCTTGAGCTTGCCCTATGATTTTATATCCCAAATGGAATGTTAGTAGAAGCGAAATGAACAATGTTACCACTAATCAGCAGTTCTATACATAAGAAATCGGTAAGACACTGAGTATTAGGGCTGTTCATTATGCAGCAGCATTATTGCAGCAACAGCTGATGAGTATACAGTAATCCGCCCCTTATCCTTGGGGGATATGTTTCTAGACTCCCCAGTGGATGTCAGAAACCAACAGATAGTGTGAAACCCAATTGCCATCAACTGGAACATGTCTCTTTCTGTTCATGTCTTCCACCCACAAACGTAATGCCTTTTCCATCTTAACTAAGCACTTAAACACTGTAGCTATAACTTTTGCAGTTAGAGGTGTCACAGCAAAACTAGCATGAATTTATTTTCCTTTCCTCACAATTTCACAGAGAGAAGATTCATTCTTATGATGGATCTTAGTAACTTTGGAATACAATTTATTTCTTTTCTTATTAAGTGAAGAACTTTTGCTTTTTCATTTAAAGAAAGCACTTTATGGCCTCTCTTTGTCATATTTTAACTGCTAGCATCACTACTCTTGTACTTTCGGGCCATTAGTAAGTAAAATATGGGTTAGTTGAATACAAGCATTGCAATATTGTGACAATCTGATCACTGAGACAGCTACTAAGTGACTAACGGGGCAGGTAGCATGTACAGTGTTGGATATGCTAGACAAAGGGAGGAGTCACACCTCAGGCAGGATGGAACTAGAAGACACAAGATTTCATCATGCTACTCAGAACAATATACAATTTAAAACTTATGAATTGTTTGTTTCTGGAATTTTCCATTTAATAGTTTTGGACCATGATTGACCATGAATAACTGAAATCACAGAAAGTGAACTGTGGATAAGTGGGGACTGTTGTACTCAATCAAAGGTTTGTAGGAAATATAGCCAAGAGTGAATGTTTTAAATCATTGAACAAAAGCCTCTTAACTCCACAATTAAAAAAATAAACAAATGACACAATTAATGAAGACATTTTAAAAGCAAATAAATAAATATATATACACAATTTAAAAATAATGCAATCAAACTAAGTTACAAAATATAAGCTCGATTTTTACATATTAAATAAGCCAAAATTTAACATTTAAAATGCTTAATAGTGATAAAGGTGGTAGTTGCAACATTCTACTACTGAAGTTTAAATTGGTTTAGTAATTTTATGAATCTTTAGCAAACTTATAATCTTTGATTAAATAATTCATTTTCCAAAGATATTTCCTAAAGAAATGACAGAAATATGAGTTACTTTTAAATAAGGCATATATAATATTTTTTATATGCTAGTGGGACAAAGAAGAGAATTTAATGCCCTACCATAAGGAAATGCTTCAATGAGTGTCATGACACATATATAAAGAAATATCATTTTTGAAACATAAATAGTATTTTCAAAGAATTTGTAATGACATAATGTATTTGTAATAAAACTTTAACAGCAAAATAAAGATTTTTAAAGGAAAAGTCTAGAAGAAAATGCTAAAATATTACCAGTGGCTATTTACTTCCTGTCCTTCAATTTTCTCTTGATTGCTTTATAATTGGTTTCTTACCACACTTTGCTACATAGCAATTCTTTTTTGTTATTTTAATTTTTATTTGAGATCCAGGGGGTATTTGTGCAGATTTGTTAAAGGGTACATTTCATGGCACAGGAGTTTGGGCTTCTAATGATCCCATCACTCAGATAGTTAATATAGTACCAAATAGAAAGGTTTATAAGTGAGAACATGCAATATTTGGTTTTCTGTTCCTGCATTAATTTGCTTAGGATGATGGCTCCAGCTGCATCCATATTGCAAAGGACATGATTTTGTTCTTTTTTATGGCTGTGTAGTATTCCATGGTGTATATGTACTATATTTTCTTTATCCAATCCACCATTGATGGGTACCTAGGTGGATTATGTCTTTGCTATTGTTAATAGTGTTGCAATAAACATGAGTGCATGTGTTTTTCGGAAGAATGATTTATTTTCCTTTGGGTATATACCCAGTAATGGAATTGCTAGGTCAAATGATAGTTCTATTTTGAGTTCTTTGAGAAATTTCCAAACTGTTTTGCACAGGGGCTGAACTAATGTTACATTCCCATCTGCAGTGTGTGAGTATTCCCTTTTCTCCACAGCCTCACCAATATCTGTTATTTTATCTAATCCCAAAGCTAGCAGAAGAAAAAACTAAAATCAGAGCAGTACTAAAGGAAATTGCCACTCCAAAACCATACAAAGGATCAACAAGATGAAAAGTTTCTTTTTTGAAAGGAGAAACAAGAACAATAGATAATTAGCTAGATTAACGAAGAAAAAATGAGAGAAGATCCAAATAGGCACAATCAGAAATGACAAATGAAACATTACAACTCAGCCCACAGAAGTATAAAAGATCATCGGAGACTATTTCATGTTTTCACATTTCTATGTGAACAAACTAGGAAATCCAGAAGAAATGGATAAATTCCTGGAAACATACAACCTCCCAAGATTGAATCAGGAAGAAATGGAAACCATGGACAGACCAATAACAATTTCTGAAACTGAGTCAAAAATAAAAAACCTACCAAAGAAAAAAAAGCCTGGGCCAGATGGATTAACAGCTGAATTCTGCCAAACACACAAAGAAGAGATTGGTGCCAGTTCTACTGAAATTATTCCAAAAAATCAAGGAGGAGGGATTCCTCCCTAAGCCATCCTATGAAACCAGTATCATTCCGATACCAAAATCCAGCAAAGACACAACAACAAAAAAGAAAACAGGGTCAATAACCCTGAAGAACACAGATGCAAAAATCCTCAACAAAATACTAGCAAACTGAATCTAGCCGCACATCGAAAGTTAATTTACCATAATCAACTAGCCTTTATTTGTGGGATGCAAGGTTGGTTCAACATACAGAAATCAATAAATGTGATTCACTACATTAACAGAATTAAAAACAAAAATAATTCAATATTCTCTTGAAGTGTATTAATAGCCTACTTTTCAGATACTAAGGATGCCATTTTCTGAGTTATTACTCTTTTTGAGCTTTTCAAAGTCTTTGACATTTTAAGCCGCAACAACTACTTCAAATATCTCAAAGTTTTTTTTTTTGCTTTCTGGTAGTGCTTTCCCTTGGGCATCTTCTCCCTGTAATCAGTTTCTCCTTCTTCCTGATTGGCTTCTCTACCTCTACTTAACTGTGGTGTTCCTACAAGTTTTGGTCCTTGGTTTCTTTTTTCTCAATGTACAAATTTTCTCTTAGAAAATTATAGCTTAATATTTCTAACCTTCTAATAGAACACACTGTTTTGATTGGAGCCACATAAACCATCTCTTCACTTCTGGAGCCTAGGGTAGAATCAACCACTCTTGAAGTACATTCACTGGAAGTGTTGTTCCCTAAAGGGAAACTGAGGAATTGTTATCAAAAGAAAGGGTCATTAATGTTTGGTGTTGTGTTGATGGCAAACACAATGGATCTTCTCAATGGAGCATTCTTGTCTCCAGGTGTTCTCTACTTAAATTGTCCCCCCACATACACTCTGTCTTGCCTGGTTGCATCACATTCCTGCACACAACTTGTATGAGTGACAGTTGTAAGCAGAATAGGGGCCACCTATTAGAATCTAAAGGCTGAAGTTCAAAGTACTTAGTGACTCGTTCCCTAACTACTTTTCCAGCCTTGTACCACCCTCATCCCCCCAGACATGCATACAAATCTTCACTTCAATGATGCTGGTAGTCCTTTCAGTTCCCCTAACAGACCCTGCAACCCCCCTGGTCCCATTATTGCATTTGACATGCCATGGGTCTTTTAGGGCCTCATCCAAATTCAACCCTTAAATCATGCCCCTCCCATGGCTTGTATCACAGCCTCATGTTGTGTCAAACACTTACGTATTTACCAGATGCTGAGCCTCTGGAGGAAGTAGGTAAAAATTCACCTCTGTATTCCCCAGAGTAAGTTACGCACCACCTTTCAAAGAGTCAATAAATATTTGTTGAAATTGTTGACTTGTGGAATTACGCAGCCTTAGGCTGAAGAGCAGAAGTTGGGATTGGCACAGAGCTCAGTATTTTCAGCATGTAATTTCTTCAGGCTTGTACAGGTGACTGAATCCTGACAAGCTGCTGGGCAGGCAAGGTGATTCAAATTACATATTTAAGGGAAGGCGTAATTTAGCCCATGTGTTGGGATAAAATAAGCAAGCACTCAGAAAGTTCACACAAAGAAGAAAGAGGCCCAGTGTTAGCTACAGGGGCCCAGCTGAAGTGTTTTTAAAACACATTGCCCACTATTTGGGGGAGTTTCTCTAGTATTAGGAAAGAAAGAGTTCCTGGGCAGATTGGAACTCAACTGATTAGTGGTTAGATTCTGAATAAGAGGCACAGAAATTTTCCTACCTTGTAAGCATGTCTTTATTTGCATAGTGTGCTAACAGCTTGGAGGATACTTGAGATACTTGTGACTTGTGAGGGAAGAATGAAAGTAATCAGAATTTTTTTTTTTTCCTTTGGAGACAGAGTCTTGCTCTGTCACCCAGGCTGGATTGCAGTGGTGCAATCTCTGCTCACTACAACCTCCACCTTACAGGTTCAAGTGATTCTCCTGCCTCAGCCTCCCAAACAGCTGAGATTACAGGTGTGCACCACCATGCCCTGCTAAATTTTTTTTTTGTATTTTTAGTAGAGACGGAGTCTCATCATGTTGCCCAGAGTGGTCTCAAACTCCTGAGCTCAAGCAATCTACCTACCTTGGCCTCCCAAAGTGCAAGGATTACGGGCATGAGCCACCACACCTGGCCAAGAAGTTTTTATATTAAGTGGTACTTAAAATGCTTGCCTTTTGTCTTATGTCATTTTTACATAACCAAATAGCCACAGCATTTAGCCTAGGGCGGTTAGAAAAGAAATACATTGTGATCATGAGGGTCACATACACATACACATATGGGGCAGTATTGCTTTTTGAAGTAGTAGAAAGAGCATCAAACAGAGGGCGCTAATATGTGGTCTCTAGCTTGAGCAGTAGGGCTAACTAGTTCTGTGGCTATGAAAGTATTTCCTAAATGCTCTGAGTCTCTCAACATAATCTGAGAATCTAGGCCACAGTTGGAACTGCCTTTAAAGTCATCCTAAACTTTTTGAGATCATGTGATTCTATATTTGATAAGATACTATATTTTATGTAAGATATATAAAAATACCAAAAAGGGGTTAGACGAATCTGATAACAGACAGTCAACAATACTCTTCAAGTATTGTTAACTTGGATTTAATGAGTAACAAGGTGGGAAGGGCCCAACAAATATCACTTGTCAAATGGAAATGGAATGTTCAAGAACATAGTTGGCCTGCCCCAGTGACATCTGACTTCGAGTAGGGAAGAATCTCAAAACTTTCAGTTTTGAGCTTCTTGAGCTTCAGGGGCTCAGAACTTTCTATTATCTTGGGGTAGAGGACTAAAAAGAATATGTATTGTCCTGTATTTTAGTTATAAAGCTCTTTTCTTGTTTTACTAGAGAAAATAGCCTTCAGTGCTCATGTGAAGAAGCTATTGCACTTGTCCTGGCAAGAGATAATATTTCATTAGACTAGGGTAGAAAGAAGTGAGGGACAATCAAGTTTTGAATATGTTTTAGATATAGAGCAATATAATTCATAGAAACATAAGTTGTGGGATGTTTCAGAAAGAGAAGAACCAATGGTGATATGGTGATTCCTAGATGTAGGCCTATAATAACCGGGTTGATGGTGGTGCTATTTACTAATATGAGCAAAGATTAGGACCCAGGAGAATTTGAGTGAGAGTGGAGATAATGGCTTTTTTTTAACACATTAAGTTTATCTTTTAAATATCCAAGTGGAAATACTGAGTAAACAATTGAATATACAAAGTCTAGGGATATGCTTAGAGAAGAATGTGATTTAAGGAGGGAAGGGTCAACAGTGTCCAATGTTGCTGAGGTTTAAGTATGATGAGTATATGGAATTCAACACAATCTCCATTTGAGAATTGTGGTCGTAAATTCAAACTACATTCAGTAAATTTGACTTGTCATTTTCTTCATTAATATTTACCTATTCAGAAGCAGGTACCATGTAAAAGGATAGGAGGTTTAAACAGGTTTGGGTTCCACTACATGAGTGTATTAAAGGGAGAGAGGTAAAAAGGAGATTTTGCAAGAGTGTGGTTTCACTTGATGTAGCCAGCAATACACATATACTGAATAAGCTACAACTACATCAGCTCCTCCGTCCTATGTCATCCTCTAGTCCACAGAGAGTGTAATTACCTTCTATTCCATGAGACTTCACACTGACCTATTGCATGGATGATATTATGCTGACTGGACCTTGAGAGCAGGAAGTAAAGGCCACTCGTCCTAAGACACATGATTGCTAGAGGGTAGGAAAAAAAGTTTCATAAAAATTCAAGGGTCTTCCCTTTTCAGCAAGAGTTCTAGGAATCTAGTACTCTGTGGAGTATCAAGATAACTCTTTCAAGGTTAATGACAGGTCATTGCATCTGACCTTTCTAATACTAAGAAGGAGACATAGGGCTTAATGGGCCTTTTAAAATTTTATTAGCAACATATACCTCATTTGTATGTGTGTGGTGACCCATTTACTGAAGTTTCCAAAAAGCTACAAAGTTTGAGTGGAACACAGCATAAGAGAATGCCCTATAAAATGTCCAGGTTGCTCTGAAAGTTTTTCTGCCACTATGTGTGTGACATGTAGGGATGTAGTATGAACATCCTTGAAAACATAGTCCAGAGAAAGGCTGTCAGTGTCTCTAATTACGGTGTGTAGAAATGGGAGAGAATTGTCCCAAACAGTCCAGCAAAACAAAAGTAATATCTCACTACACGGAAAAGATCAGGCAGATTTTCTTGCTGCCCATTATAAAATACTTGGTTTCCTTGCCTGAGATGTAAACTCACTGTATATGCAACATCTACCTGGGCCACTTCATGATGCCTTAGTAGAACCTGGAGCTAAGGGAAACTGACACAAACAATTCATGCTGCTTGTTGTTCTGTGAGTAATAAACGTTTTCATCATTGGCCCAGGAGACTCATGTCTTCTGCTGGTGCCCAAGAAACTATGGCAGGCTAATTTCTTAGCTTGGAAGTATGGTGTAATCTCAGACCCTTTACAGCTGCTGGAAATTTTTGGTGAGGAGGATGGGATGCTTACAGAAATGTGTCCTTCCGGAAGAGAAAGAATGAGTGTCTTGTAGGCCTGGTTTGGGAATCTGAGAATACCCTCTATGATCCAATAGAAAATGCCCTCACCCATGTATGAAGTAATGGTCGTCCATTATCCTACCTGTTGCTGCATGTTTGGAGGCTGAGCTCAAGGAGTAGAATTAAAACAACCCTCTTGAATAGTGATTTCAGTTTTGCCTGCTCTCTAAATGGCAGAGCAGGAGGTGACATTTATCATAACAATGTGGCAGCAAGTCCTGAGACCCCAGACAAACGGCAATGTGACTATAGCTACTGAATCAAGGAGTCCCCAAAGCAGAAATAAATGATGTCAGCAACGAGAATGAAGAGCTTTGGGTGGATCAAAAACATCATCTGAGCCATAAACAGCCTCTACAAGACGGAAAGTCAATGTGCCTGCTGTAGTGGCATGGAGCTGCTTCCTGCCTCTCTACCTCCAATCCCTCCCTCTCCTTCTACCCAATTTCAAATGCTTTAAGAGAAAGATGATTAGGGTGTGGCTGAAGATTGTTTCCCAACGGCACTAAAGCTAGATGCAAACAGCTGAACATACATGAAAATTCTGTGAAAAGATGGAATGCTGTGGTTGGGACCTCTTGGGCTAATTTAATATACTCTTGCTGTTGTTTCTACATCTGAATATATAAGAGCAATTGCTGTGTTGATGGGACTGTAAGTGCTTTAAGGGATTTTCCCAATCAGGGAGAAAAGTGCTAATGGCACAAAACTCCTGCCACTTGCCATCAGTGGGAACCAGGATTTGTGCCTCTCTCTTCTGATGTCTTGTTTGTTGGCAAGTCAGAAGCTTCAGTCTATATTACGCTGACTGTGATGTTATCACACCTCTGCCAGCTGGGGTGGTTGATAAACCCTGACAAAATTCAGTCCTGCTTGCCAAGTTGTTTCTTAGAACAATGTGGATAAATTCAAAATGCTTAGTCCCTCTGGGAGTGAAAGAAAAACTGCTGTATCTTCAATGTCCCCAGCACCTAAAAAGAGGTCCAACACCTTATTTGATTCTTTAGGTATTGGACCACATGTGACTCACTTGGGCATTCGGCTTTCTCATTTATATCAGCTGCCCATAAATTAGCATGCTTTGAGTGGGAGCCAAATCAACCAATTGTAGAGAAAGTTATCCAGCAAGCTGTGGCATGCTCTTTTTACCTTTGGGATCCCATAACCTCAATGATCCCTTTGAAGTGTATGTCTGTGTGACTGATGATTTTAACATCTGGCAAAAGAAAACAGCTTCCCCACAGGCACCTCTTGAAATTACGGATTCATTGCCTACCTGACCCAGCTACCATACAGCCCTCTAAGAGTACTTATTAGCTAACTATGGGGGTCTTGTTAAAACCAAACTTCTGACCCATGGAAATCTTGTGACCCTCAAGCCTGATACTCCCATTTGAGGATGGTTAACTTGGATTTCATGAGTAACAAGGTGGGAAGGGCCCAACAAATATCAATTGTCAAATGGAAATGGAATGTTCAAGAACATAGTTGGCCTGCCCCAGTGGTATCTGACTTCAAGTAGGGCAGAATCTCAAAACTTTCACAGTTATTGACAGACAACACATGAACATGCCATCTACTCTGAGTGGAGACACTCTCTTCATCTGCCAAGGTTGTTTATACATAAACATCATTGAAAAATAGTCAAAAACAAAAGCCATCGGTGACTATGCTCACAAGGCACCTAGAAATGCAAGCAACCCATACATAATTGCTGTCCAACAATATGCTGGCACTGGATAGATGTGGATGGCTATATTTCACTTGAAGGACAGTGAAGGAAAATGCTCCTGGTGAGCAGAACTTTGAGCAGTATACATGATGGTTTATCTTCCTTAGAAGGAAAAAACAGAGATTCAGATATATATATATATTGATTCATGGGTAGTGGCTAACAGTTTCACTGATGGTTAGGGACTTGGAAGGAAGATGATTAGGAAAATCATGTAAGAAGGTCTTGGGAGGAGCTATTTGGATAAACTTTTCTGAATGGACACACAATGAAGAAATTTGTGTTCCCTGTGAGTGCTCAACAAGGAGCAGAGTAAGATCTGAACAATCAGATAGACAAGATGACTTGTTCTGTTAGACATCAAGCAGCATCTTTCCCTGGTGTCTTACTCCATTTTGTGCTGCTGTAACAGAATACTAGAGAAACAGAATACCAGAGACTGGGTAATTTATAATGAACCAAAATTTACTTGGCTCATGGTTCTGGAGGCTGGGAAGTCCCAGATCAAAGCACTGGCATCTGGTGAAGAATTTCTTGCTGCATTATAACATGGTGGAAGATGTCACATGGGGAGAGACAGAGGAAAGTGGGCCAGACTCATCCTTTTATAAGGAACCTATCCTGTGATAATAAGCCCATTCCTGAGATAACAACGTTAATCCATTCGCAAGGGCAGAACCCTCATGAGCTGATCACTTCTTGAAGGGCCCACATCTCAATATGTTGCATTGGAGATACAGTTTCCAACACATAAACTTTTGGGGGCACATCCAATCCATAGAACCTGAGCTTCTCTGTCTTGGCCCAGTGGGTGCATAGACAATGTGTCCATGATAGTAGGGATAAAAGTTCTGTATGGGATCAAACAGATTTATTTCCAGGGCTGATATCACTCTGGCATCTACTGAGTGCACCATTTTCCAACCACAGATATGACACTAAGCTATTGGTGGCACTACTCCCACAGGGTCATCAGTTAGACATCCTAATGGCAGGTTGATTCTATTGGATTGCTTCCATCATTAAAAGGACAGAACTTGGTTCTCACTAGAATAGAGATTTTTATCTTCTCTGCCTGCAAAGCTTTTGTCCAAACCATTATCCATAAGCTCATAGAAGCCTTATTCATCATCATAATATTCTACAACATTGAATATGATCAAGAAACTCATTTCACAACAAATCAAAGGTGGCAATAAGCTCATGCACATGAAATTTCTACCATGATGCACACATTTTCATTTGTCCATTGGCTGTTCATATATATGCTCTTGTAAAGTGTTTTTTGAAGTATTTTGCTCACTTTTTAATAGTGTTAATCATTTTTATTATTGATTTATAGGAATTTTCATATAGTATGAATGCATTTTAAAATAATTACTATAATAGCATATGCAACGATAATTGATACTGCTTCCAAAAGAGATTAGAAATTTACTTATTTGAATCTGAGACTGAAACGATATGTATATTTTATATGACTTGGTGTATCAGTCCATTCTCACATTTCTATAAAAAATAGCTGAGACTAGATAATTTATAAAGAAAGGAGGTTTAATTGGCTCAGAGTTCTGCAAGCTGTACAGAATCATGGCAGCATCAGCTTCTGGGGAGGCCTCAGGGAGCTTTTTCTCATGGCAGAAGGCAAAGCAGGAGCTGGCACCTCACATGGCCAGAGCAGGAGGAAGACAGAGAGGGAGGAGAGATGCTACATACCTATATTTATTTATTTATTTTTAAACTTTTATTTTAGGTTAGGGGGTACATCTGAAGGTTTGTTAAACAGCCAGATCTCACTAGAACTCACTCACTATTGCGACAGTCCCAAGGAGGACATCCATTCTCGTAATCCAATCACCTCCCAACAGGCCCCACCTCCAACACTGGGGATTACAATGAGGCATGAGATTTGGATGGGGACACAGAGCCAAAATATATCAGTTGGTTATATCAATAAGGTCCAAAAGGGTTTTCTTCAGGTGAAATGTGCGGTGGAGAGGCTAGAGGAGGCGATTTGCTTGGTAAGGACGGAACCCAGAAAGTATGTCTCAAACCTGCACTCTCACAGAGAAGGGGAGGAACAGATCAACTTCCTGGCTTTCATCTCAGCTTTCCCCAGTCTCCGAAATGCTAAAACATCTTATTGCATGTCTGAAGGCACTGAACCGGAACTTAGCTATCAATCATTTAGGATTTTAAAAGAAGACAAATTCAAATGCTTGCTTTCTTACTTGTCTTTAAAAACCTGAATTGGCAACTCAGCATCCAATGGCAGAATTGTGCATAAGATTTTTCTTTCTTTAGTTGTTTAGAAGACAAAATAACAAAGGTAGTTTAGAGCAAATGTCTGTCTCCATTGTTCTTTTACTTTTGCACAGTTTTCATAAGCTTTCGAGACTAGCAATAGAATTGAGAAAAGGGTGAGAAAACTTGGGATAGATGGCAAAAAAGGCCACTTATTTCACAGCTTCTCCCAACAAGAGGTGGAGTACATTTCCCTTGCCTTTAAATCTGAGCCAAAATGATGACTTCCTTTGACCAATTAAATGTAGCAGAAATGAGAACATACAAGTTCCAATCCAAGGCTTCATGAGGCCTTGAGCTTCCTCCTTTGGAATTCTGAGGCCACTATAGGAAGAAGCTTGGGCTAGTCCACCAGATGATGAAAGGCACACTGCCCAGTGATGCCTCTCGCTCTGAACCACCAATGCCAGTAGCCAGACATCCAGCAAAGCCATCCTAGATCATCGTACAGTGATCAGCGAAGCCAGCCCAGATCAGACGGATCACTCAGCTGATCCATGGAGTCATGGACAAATCAATGATTTTTTTTTTTTTTTTTTCTTTTTTTGAGACTGAGTCTCACACTCTCTCCCATTCGGGAGTGCAGTGGCGCGATCTCGGCTCACTGCAAGCTCTGCCTCCCAGGTTCACACCATTCTCCTCCCGAGTAGCTGGGACTACAGGTGCCCGCCACAGTGCCCGGCTAATTTTTTGTATTTTTAGTAGAGACGGGGTTTCACCGTGTTAGCCAGGATTGTCTCGATCTCCTGACCTCGTGATCCACCCGCCTCGGCCTCCCAAAGTGCTGGGATTACAGGCGTGAGCCAAGGTGCCCGGCCAAATCAATGTTGTTTTAAGCTGTTATGTGATGAGGTGGTTTATGATGCTAGAAAAGCTAAATGACCCAGGGCCCTTTTTAACAAACTTAGTGAATTGTAGAGGAACTACGTGCCAACTGCAGACACACAAACATTGCAGCCATTCCGCAAATACGGAAGGCCGATAACCAGGCTTTTATACTCTAAGATTTTATTAAACATATATCCTGAAGTGGCCCATCTGCTTTAGAAAAGGTTATGGCAGACTTTTTGGCATGAATTTCAAGAACTATCAAACAGTAAAATGGCATATTTTAAAACTGAAGAAGACAAAATAGGCTATGTCTGCTCAGGTAAATAATCCCAACATTATAGAAGCATTATAGAAATTTCCTTTGTTGACTGTATCATAGCAATATTTAACTCAATGCTTAAATGTTTAACTTAATACTTAAAGATACATTGTAAATAGTCACTTGCCCAAGGCCGTAAAATGTTGAGCCAGGAAAGCCTGTAGTCCCAGCTATTCGGGAGGCTGAGGCAGAAGAATGGCGTGAACCCAGGAGGCGGAGCTTGCAGTGAGCCGAGATCGCGCCACTACACCCCAGCCTGGGCAACAGAGCGAGACTGTGTCTCAAAAAAAAGAAAAGAAAAAAATCATTAAAAATAGTAGTTTTTTTCTCGTTTCTTTTTATTTTTTATTTTTGAGATGGAGTCTCGCTCAGTCACCTAGGCTAGAGTGCAGTGGCACGATCTTGACTCACTGCAACCTCCGCCTACCATTTCAAGTGATTCTCCTGCCTCAGCCTCCCCAGTAGCTGGGATTACAGGCGTCCGCCACCATGCCAGGCTAATTTTTGTATTTTTAGTAGAGACGGGGTTTCACCATGTTGGCCAAGCTGGTCTCAAACTCCTGACTTCGGGTGATCAGCCCACCTTGGCCTTCCAAAGTGCTGGTACTACACCGCTCCCAGCCAGTAGTTTTATTTCGATTACCTTTGTATTTCCAGGAAGAAGATTAATATGTTTTCAAGTGGAATTTTTTTCTTTACATTTTGAGACATTGGAAACAGCTTCCTTAAAGGAAACCAAAATATCTAGAGTCCAAAGGCAACATTTTTTTGAGTGCTGGTTTGCCCACTTATTATGTGAGCTTGAACTAGTTCCTTTTAATTTCCTCACCTGTATATTGAGGATCATGATATCTATTTAACAGGATTAGGTGAGGATTCAATAAGATAATGTTCATTAAAGGAGATGACACATTGTAAATGCTTAACCAGTATTTACTACCACCCTGCAATTTTATAATTCTTAAATCTTGTTTTTGAGTATGTCTGGACCAAGAAAAAAATGATGGATAAATATCAGAGCATCATTAAATTGATGATCATAAATTAAAGGAGCAAAGCACCTGAGTTCACATTTCTTTATATTATTTTTGTCACTAATAGTATTCCATTATAATAACCAAAATGTGACATTTTTGCAAAGTTCTTTTTTCCACAGTAATAATTATGTGTTTTTATTGCTGTTCTTTAGATATAGTGCAATTACATGGCACTCTATATTTTTGAAGGGGCTGTAATATCCTATATGTTCCTTGACTGTATCTTCAGCACTTAGATATATGTAGGCCAGATCTTATTACTCCACATTTTTAAGCAGGAAAGTGAGAAGCTATTAAATTAAATGACCTACCCAAGATCACGCAATGATACAACAGTCTCAGTGTTCTGCTTGATCCCTTGCTATTGGTACAATATCTATTTATACATCAGCTGATACAGGTTCACAGTTGCGAATATGAGTGCCGTGTTTTGTTAGCCATTTTAATCTGCTTTTAACTGGCACTTTTCTGCTTATTTTGGAACTCGTTTTGTTAAGGCTTCTTTAGACATAACCCAGAGATGACAGGTTTGGAGTTTGAACTCAAAATGGAAACACTGGGTGTGTAAAATTTATTTACTGTTAGCAAACCACAGCTTCCTGTTATTTGGCCTTCTTTAAAATGGCTTCTTTTTAATGTAAGGAAAGTAAATGTAAACACTCTTAGATGATTGGATATTTCTTGTATATTAGATAACTATGAAATAAACCAATTTTTAATGATCGAAGTGTAAATGAATCAAATACATATGGATACAATTTTCTTTAAAACACACATGGGTTTAACAACAAAATAAAATTGCTCAGGGCCAAATACATCTGGAATTTTATTGAACCCAAAACATTTGAAAAGTAGATTGTGACCTTCAACAGTCTGTCACCATGGCTCAATCCTAAACTTTTTATTTTGTAATGTATCTGGTGGAACCTAGATCAAGAGTAAGTTGCTCTCAAGGTGAGGTTACGTGTACTGAAATGATGACTTCTCACCCAAAATGCCCTTTGGACAGACCCACTCCAACAGCTGAAATTTCACCATCATAAGCACTTTTTTTTTCTGAAGAGATTTATCACTTGGAATAAACAGATCCCTGCTAAAAAAGCGAATATCAGGAAAAAATAATAAAGCAGTTAATATTTAAGTAGCCCTCTATAATTAACAAACCCTTTACTACATAAGTGATTGAATGCTATTTTTATATGTAGCTTATAAGATATATTCAAGTCTGGCATGTGAGGCTCAGAAAGGAAAGTGATTTGCCCAAGATGTTAGGGCTCAAGCCAGGACAAGAACCAAAAACTTCTATGACTAGGATTTCACTATGCCACACTTTCTGTTAGATAGCATGCATTTGTTTGCCCTCGCCAATCCATTGGTTGGTTTAGCTTCTCAGCTTATTAGCTGCCACCTGGAAACACTTAGAATAAAGACCTTTAAAAATGGGACATGCTAAAAACAACAGATGCTGGTAAGGCTGTGGAGAAAAGGGAATGCTTATGCACTATTGGTGGGAGTGTAAATTAGCCCAGCCACCGTGGAAAGCAGTCTGTAGCATTCTCAAAGAACTTAAAACAGAGCTATCATTTTATCCAGTAATCCCACTAATGGGTACATATCCAAAGACAAGAAATCATTCTACCAAAAAGACACATGCACTTACGTGTTCATTGCAGCACTACTCACAATAGCAAAGACATGAAATCAACCTGGGTACCCACCAACAGTGGATTGAATAAAGAAGATGTGGTACATATACACCATGGAATACTTACACAGCCATAAAAAGAATAAAATCGTGTCCTTTGCAGTAGTGTGGATGGAGTTGGAGGCCATAATCCTAAGTAAAATGCAGAAATGGAAACCAAATATTTCATGTTCTCACTTACAAGTGGAAGCTAAGCATTGAGCACACACGGAAATAAATATGGGAATAATAGACACTGGGGACTACTAGAGGGTGGAGGGAGGGGGTGGGTTAAAGAACTACCTATCGGAGGCCGGGCGCGGTGGCTCACGCCTGTAATCCCAGCACTTTGGGAGGCCGAGGCGGGCGGATCACGAGGTCAGGAGATCGAGACCATCCTGGCTAACACGGTGAAACCCCGTCTCTACTAAAAATACAAAAAATTAGCCGGGCATGGTGGCCGGGCGCCTGTAGTCCCAGCTACTCGGGAGGCTGAGGCAGGAGAATGGCGTGAACCTGGGAGGCGGAGCTTGCAGTGAGCCTAGATAGCTCCACTGCAGTCTGGCCTGGGCGAAAGAGCAAGTCCCATCTCAGAAAAAAAACAAAACAAAAACAACTACCTATCGGATACTATGTTCAGTACCAGGGTGATGAGATCCGTACTCCAAATCCCAGCATCACACATTATTCCCGTGTAACAAATCTGCACATACATCTAAAATACAAGCTGAATTTTTTTTAAAAGGGGATTATATGGAAAGAAAAAGATTCAAATACAATATCAATATTTTTTAAATGGGTGGCAGAAAAAATATTCAAATCAAAAAGTGGACAGTGAGTGCAAGACTGAGGCGGGGTGGAAGAATGGGTGTTTTTTTGAGATGGAGAGTTTGAACTCTTTTAGGATGTCCAAAAATGTCTCTTAGGTAGTTGGAAATAGAAAGTTGGGAGCACAGGCCGGTGGCGCAATGGATAATGCATCTGACTATGGATTAGAGGATTCTAGGAAATAGAAAGTTGGCTTTGGGGTGAGAGGATAATATAGTCATACGTCTGCCTGGAAGACAAGAGGTGAAATAGTGCCTCAAGACAATACTCTGAGATAAAGGCAAGGAAAACAAACTTCATATGCGTAGACACTTCCTGCATCTCCTCTATCCTCTTCCTGTCTTGCTTTACTGCTCTCGAAAGTTTGAAACTCACAGAGAAATTGTTTTGCAAGAGTTGCCCTCCTCTTGGCAGAAATGACTATACTTAAAGCATAAAATTACCATAATTTGAGTGTGCCATCTACTTTCTGATAGCTCTGACTGGTATATATTTATATTGCTTAAGGGAAATACCTTCATATGTGTTGTAGATAGCTGGTATTCTGTTTCTTAAGCCATGAAGGACACTTTAGTCTACAGAAAGTGTAATCCTGTGCTACCTCCTGCCTTATACACAGGATAAAATACTTAAAGTCACAAATAAGAAGAGTTACTGTTTTCCCATCAGTAAGCAAGCTGATTCACAGCAGCATATATACATATAGGTATGCTGGCTGGAATCAGATCTTATAATAAAATTATTTAATAAAACCACATGTTTAGTGTTTGGGGTTATTTTAAATTCACAGGACAGAGGCATCCTCAAACATCATATATGGAATTGGGGTAATGGGGTAATTATTCTAAGGATACATAGATTAATTAATACCAACATATTCATTACAGGGTGTTTTAGATTTAAGTGTGCCACCCTTCCCCCACACATAAAAAAGTATGTTGAAGCATCTACCTCCAGTGCATCAGAATGGGACCTTCTTTGGAAGTAGAGTCTTTTAGAGGTAAGCAAACAAAAGTGAGGTCATTAGGGTGCCCTGACTTAGTATGGGTTAAATATTGATATTATATAAGAATCCAAGGTCCTTATAAAAAGGTTATGCACAGAGGACGATAATGTGAAGATGCAGAGGGAGAAAACGGCTCTGTGACTGGAGCGATGCAGCTACAGGCCAAGGAACACCAGGGACTGCCAGCAAATACCAGAAGCTGGAAGAGGCAAGCAAGGATGCTCCCCTAGAGTTGTTAGAGAGAGCATGGCTCTGCTGAAGCCTTGGTTTACAGCTTCAAGCCTCCAGAACCATAGGTCAGTAAATGTCTGTTCTTTTTCAGGCCACCCCTGAATTCTTAAGAAACTACTGCAGAGACACTGTGTTTCTGGGACAAGGTGAGATGAAAGAGAAGAATAGATGAATCTGGAGAAATGGGTATTGTAAAATAGAAAGGCAGTAATGGAGACGGGCTCTGACAGCAATTGAAAGTCCAGTCCTGCCTACCAGAAACAAATGGGGCCCCCGGGTTCTTGTTGGGCCTCAGAAGCAGGAGTTCAAAGATCTTCAGTGAGTTCTCAGCATTCGTGTGAGTATTAGTTCTATTTCCCACCTCTGCCCGCCTTCAGTGGCCCACTGGCTACCCTGTCTTCTGCTCTACATCTTTCTCTTTCTTCTCCCTCAAAGTTCCACTTCTTCTTAGATTTTTCTTCTTTCTCACTGAAGACTGTACCTGGTCCTTACTGATCACTACTTTAGCTCATTGCTTCTTTATGTATCTTTTAAGCCTCAGCTCCTATTCATAATTTCCTGTTTTTCTCTTTATTTCACAACTATTTTGCAAGAGTGATATAATGATTGGACTAGCATCCCTCTTTAGCTAGATTTTTTTTTTCTGTAGTCCCTGGAAAATGGATACCATCGATATATAGTATTATAGTATGTACTAAACACCTGTGAAGCTCCTTATCAAACTGGGCTGGGCCATGTATTAAGCACAAGGATCTCCTTCCTCCAAATTATAAGCAGGCCAATAGGCCTAAGCAATATGTACCACGACTCATCTCTCGTGATTTGAGGGTTTACCCTGAAAAGTCAACGGGATGCCTTTTTCTGTGTGTGCATCCTCTTGTATATATCTGAAGAATGAGACAAAGGAGAGAAGCAAGGGAAAAACAAGATTCATTTAAAAATCATGTTTAATAGGACACTCATGTGGATGAAAGAACTTTTAGCCTTTCTTAAGCACCATGGACATAAATAAGAGCTTGTCTTTGTGGCAGAGTGAGCTGAGAGAAGGAGCTCTGGGGCTAATGTGTGCTACTAATACACCTTCCATTTCATTCTTTTTGGGATGGCTTCTCTCTCTCTGTCTGTCTCATCTTTTTTGTTCTGGTGCATGCTCCACAAATATTATGTATTATTATAGAAAGATGATCAAGCATTGATCCACATGCATTTCACATTCTATTTTCACAGAATTGATCCTTGTTTATCCAAGGGCACTCATTGCCTTAGAGAAGATGAGATTTATTTAAACAGAAATTTAAACTGAAATAAAAAATAATTATTAAGCTTTGATTTTCAAAAGAGGTGTTTGGAGACATTTCTGGGGCATCAGCCATGAGAGACACTTTTTTTTTTAGATAAAATAACAATTTTTTAAAATAAAAAAGGCCTAGAAGTAACAAAGCAAAGAAGAAGAGATAATAAGTTTCACCTGGGAGTTGTAGGTTACATGAAGAGCTGGACCATCCTGGCTGGAAAAGGCGGCTGGATTTGCCTATAGCAGCCAGAGTGGGGAGCAGAAGGGGCAGGAGAAGGAAAGCCAGTGGAATCTTCTTGATGTGGAAAAAACATCAAGGTCATGCTCAGCCTCCAAATAAGTGAAAAGGGTCTTTTAACAGCACCCAGCACTCTATTACTCTCTTTCTCTTTGCCACCTACTGATGCCATCCTATGGACAGCTGCCAGCACATTCCCTAGAGACCATCAAGCAGAAATTATGTGCATCTGTTTTATATGACTCCTGAGTCCCACCTCAATACCCCTCCTCACTGGCCCAGCTGACTTGTAAGCTCCTTGAAACAGAAAGGCTATTGGGAATGGTGTGAAAAAGAAAGCCCCCTAACCTTGGAGCTGGAATCCAAGCTCTCTCTATGAGCTAGCACACGAGGTACTGTTGCAGGATATTAGGTTAACTAGTCTCCTATATTTTCATTGTTATCACAAATTACATTACGCTATGCAGTCCCAATGCACTCATCAGACTTTTATTTAATATGTACAAATATGAGAGAAATCACTCAACACCAGTAGCATTAAATCCATTAAATATACTGTCAAGATTTAAAATTAGACACTGCAAATTCTGTTCTCTTGTCAGCTCAATCTTTAGTTCCAGAGATAAACTTTTGAGTATGTACAAGACTGTCTTTTCTCTCCCATATTTTTCACTCAGGTTTCTCAGTCCCACCTGAGATCTCATGGGGTCGCAGGTAAGTAAGTGCTCATTGGACAAACATGGCCTGAAAATGGCCACTAGAGACAAGGTACTCCTGTAGCATATTTGGTTTCAGGTTACCTTAAATCCAGGTCCCTCACATATCTCCTCTTTCCAAAGTCCCAACAAGTTTTGATACGGAATAATATTCTAGCATTTGTAAGCATTTTTTTTTAAAGTATAGAAGCCACAACAAATCCTAGAAACAGATATGACTAGTGTATAATGTGCAATAGAAGCACCAATTATTTTGGCAGCAGCTTCCCCAAAACCTAGTGTTGCCCAAACCCAATACCTGACTTGCAATTTTCATATTTGCTGTTCTGAACAATGAGCTCAAGAAAATATGCTGAACCCTTGGCATAAGCAAATGTTTACTGTATCAGGCAGAATTGGCAGACAATGTAAATGTTCACCTTGTAGGGGAAAATTTATGCTTGAGTGTAAACCTATGCATTGTCGAGTCCCAAAATGTCTCCCTTCAGATGAGCTGGCTCTGTCTATGGAAGTGATTTTATAACACTGTAAATTATAATTGGTAGCCATGCAAATTATTCTTGTGCATAGACACGCAAATTCTGTTCTGTCTGGTGGAGGTTCAGTTGAGTTCCCTTCTCTCTGTGGAAGAAGCTAGTTTTGCCTCTATTTACATGTTCATTTCAGCCAGCATTTCTTTACTTCATGAAACTGTGTGCTTTTTTTTTTTTTATCTCTCCTTTGAAGTGGTTATAACACCTGCCTGGTTCCCTCACTGGTTAATGACTTAAATAACATCTTTAACACATCTTCAGTTTATGTTTTATATAAAACTTCACATGCTTATTGTGCTTGTCCCTGCATGATAGCAACATTGACATACCACTTACCATAGATTAGTTTCTGTTCCAAGCATTTTTATATATACTAACTTAGTTAATTCTCACAAATCTCCAATAAGTAGGTACTACAATGATTCCCGTTTTACAGGTGAAGAAACTGAGACACAGAGAGATTACATGTCATTTCTTGGATCACACAGTCAGTGCCAAAGACAAGATTTGAAACCGATCATGACAGTTTCAAGAGCTGATGATTTTAATTCTTCTCTGTCTCATACCAGGAGTCTAGAAACCATCACTCTGTAGCTTAAAATTAAGGACATTATGTTTCCGTATTTGTTTGTGTGTGCAGAAGAGGGTCTACTAAATGGGCAGATTCTGCCCTTTCTCAGCAAATAACTTCTAAAACGTTCTAGTTTTCTTGAAAATATTAGAATTAACAATGGTGGTTTCTCTAGTTTTCAGTTCTTTACTGGGGCTCTTTTCCTATTTACTGTTTATTAAATAAATTACTATGTCTTAATATTTTCTCTTTGACCCTGCCTTCCTGGCACTAGAGTACTGAGCTGGATGTTGTCTATGACTGGGCAAATAATTTCTACTGTTACGTTTAAGCAAGGTGATATATATATCACCTTGTGTGTGTATACATATATATGGAACTTCTCCAAATAAGATTTTTGATCTTGGTTTTCCTAGAATCCATGAATCATACATACCCTATAAAACCTCATTTCAGATTAATCTAAACATCATTCTCTGCTCCTACAACTAAATTTCTGAACACTGATTGGAAAAGCCATTTGCTTGGCTGCAAAATGTTACTAAGAATTTTAACTACTCCAACCGCGTTAGAATCCAAGGCTTTTTTAAGCCCATGCTATTGGTGTTACTTTCAAAGTGTGGTTTCAGTCATGATAATGAGAATAGCCCATGGGATCCTCCAAAAATGTTCACTTTTGCTTAGTTTTTGAATTGTCCAGTCAATTGCTAACCTTCACTACTCTAATAACAGCACAACTTTCCCTTTCACACTGTCTCTTTCCTTGTAGCCACAGGAAAGAAACTTGGTTTCTTCTGGAGTAAAAGCCAGCATAGGATGAAGAGTTGGATAAAGGACAAAATGAGAATTTTGGAGCATATTCGTATATTCTGGATATGTGTCCTTTATCAGATATACTATTTGCAAATATTTTTCCCCATTCTGTAAGTTGCCTTTTTACTCACTTGATAATGTCCTCTGATGCACACAATTTTTAATTTTGATTTTTTCATGTCTTATTAAAAATTTTTTGCCAAATCCAATGTTATGAAGATTTACTGGTATGTTTTATTCTAAGAGTTTCAGAGTTTTGGTCCCAAATTTAGGCCTTTGATCCATTTTGAGTTAATTTTTGTTATATAGTAAAAATGGTTCAATTTAATTATTTTCTATGTGGATATCCAGTTTTCCCAAAACCATTTATTGAAAAGACTGTCCTTTCCCCCATTGAATGGTCTTGGCACACTTGTTGAAAACCAAATGACCCCTTGAGTTCATTTTTTAAAAAGAGTTTACAGTTTCTGAGAAGAATAGAGATCTTTTCTTAAAAAAATTATGTACCTAAAAGGATTGAATCCACAGTGTTAGTTATACAGAATTGGTATGTACCCAGACAGACCCTGGATCTAATTTTTGGGATCAAGATTTTAAAGGTATGAATTGAGCTTTCATAGTTTTAAAAATGTTAGTATGCATTAGTGTACTCAGGCTGTCATAACACAATGCCATAGACTGGGTGGCTTAAACAGCAGAAATCAATTTTTGCAGAGTTCTGGATATTGGAAGTCCAAGACCAAAGTGCCAGCATCTGGTGAGGGCTCTCTCCTTGGGATGCAAATGGTCACTTTACTATGGTAACCTCACCAGTAGAGAGAGACAGCAAGCAAGCTCTGGTGTCTCATCCTCTTATTATCTAGGCACCAGCCTTATAGGATTAGGGCTTACCCTATTACCTTATTTGACCTTAATTACCTCCTCATAGGTTCTGTCTCCAAACATGATCACATTGTGGGTTAGGGATTCAACATCTATGTTTCAGGAGGACACAGGCATTCAGTTTATAACAAACAAACAAAGTAGGGAGTTCATCCCTTTGGGTCTTCATGCTAGCTTGTACAAAAGAAGGAGGAACAGTTTTCCCAGTGCTGTGAAATACAGTGTCAGGTACCTTAGAACCACGAAAACTTAGTGCTGGAGGGGCCACAGAGATGATCCAATGTACTCATCCCATTGAACTGGGTGAGGAAACTACACCTGAGAGGTGATGGACTTTGTATAATACAAGGTCATGCAGCCAATAAGTCAGACTCGTTTTGAACCAGTTTTGTAACTCTAAATCTATTGCTCTTTCCAGACTGAAAACATTTAAAATTCCACATCCTCTTTTTGCCTTATTAGAAATCTTGTGAAATTCTCTTTGCCCTAACGGCATGTAACATGTTCAGGCAGGAAGAAGGAGTCTTTGTGTTTCATGAAATCATTATGTTTTTTACATGAGTATTTCTCACAGATAGAATGGGAGCAGTCTGGTCCATTTATCTTCTTCCTTGTTGGCAAGAGTTTCAGACTCTTGGCTTCCAACTGCATGTAGACAGGTATCAGAGCTGCTATCATAATCAAGAAAAAAATAATGTTTGAATGTTGCCAGTGCAAAGAAATGGTGGAAAACACTTTATTTCATGAAACCTTGAAAAGTCATTTTTTTAAAATGCTGAGATGCTAGAGTGTTCATTCATTCTGTTGAATAAAAGCACATCTTTACTTATTAGCTGGAAGGCTTGAGATCTGTGAAGGTTTTGTGTCTAGGAATAATGTGGAGGAAGGTATTCAACTCTAGTCAGTTTCCTCCATGGGCACGTTTTGGGGTCCTGAGCAGATACAGAAAGTAATAGCGTTTTAATACCATATTATTATGGAACCCATTTGACAAAGCAAATGAAGGATGTATTTCTCAGTATTTCATCTTCATGTCTACTGAAAATATATAGATAAATATTCTAGCTAAGACTCTACTCATTTTGAGGCAAGTTCACGAGCCCTCTGTTAGCTGGTGTAGATGAGATTGTCTGTTTTTCCTTGGCATTCAACAATTCCACTCTTTTAATCTTTCTAGCATGCAACAATTCCGAATCTCTGCAGCCAGGCTATGTATGACTGACGTCATTCCCACACATGGGTGAAGCCCACTCCGCATACATTATGGAAAGCAGCTCGTGTTAGTATTTAAATGCGACTTGTCTCCCTGCCAAGGGAAGTGCAGGGCCTCTAATAAGCCCCATGTGTGGGGGAAACTTGTTTGGAAGTTTGGAATTTGCAGTTTCTGTAGAGGAATGTCCTATGAAAATACAGTTCTGTATTGGTCACCATGGCATCACCTTGTCACAGTTCAACTGCATTTGAGGGTTTAATATTCTTTGAGGAATGTCTTCTTTTTTTACATTCATATAATATTGTACCCTACTAGAAAGGCAGTGAGAAGCTCATCTTGGTTTGCTAAGGATCACAGCCTTAGAACCCCTCTGGGCCTCAGCTTCTTCACCTAAATCCTGCAGGAGTTTTAGCTCTGATTCTTTACGGTTTGCTAGCAATCAAGTGCTGCCAGTACTTGTTAAGCTTTACTTTACAATTTTTCAATTCTTACTTGCTTACTCTGCCTCATCCACCTTCAGCTCCTGATAAACGATGCCCATCTCTTCTTTTACTACTTTTCCTTTGAATTTCTTCCTGTCTATGGAGAAAGCCATTGCACCCGGCTGATGGTTCCATTAATGATGCACATTCCCTCTTCTCTGAGCCCCATTATTCTTTGGAATTCATGACTTCTATTATACATTCTGAAGAAGCCCCTTTCAGGTCACAAATGACCATTCTCAGCCTACACGTTTTCCAGGGGAAAACCAAGCAGGCTATAAAATCCCCCTTCCTCACCACCACAGGGTGGCGAAGATCTTATACAACAGAGAGAGAGAGGCATAAAGCTAATGCAGCATAGCACAGATAGTCTGAAGTCAATTCCAACAATACAGTGATGGAGGTATTTTGCAGAAAGCACACACTGGAAGAAAGCAAACCTCTGGATTATAATGTTTCACTACTTTTCTAAAGAGGAAGGATTTAAGTTAATATTAGCAGCACACGTATTATTTGCTATTTGTTGTAGATACATTTATTATTAAATTGCCAATTTAGTAAACATGTGGTATATTTAAGTTTAGGAATTCCCAATTAATCTTAGTTTCTTAAAAAAATTATAGATTAGAAATTTGTTTTTAATATCAACAGTTAAGTCTTATTCAGAAGTTATTAAGATCCAGGGACCATACTAACTAAGTGCCTTATATTTCTTGGAGGTAATGATTAAAGAATAGGGAAAAGTAAAAATAACCCTATTATTATAGTTTTGTCAATGGCCATTACCACTAAGCCACCAGAGCACATAGAAACATAAGGACATTTTGAAGAAAGATGATGAATTCTGTTTTGAGCATTGTATTAGTCTGCTTTCACACTGCTATAAGGAACTACCTGAGACTGGGTAATTTATAAAGAAAAGAGGTTTAATTGACTCACAGTTCCAAATGGCTGGGGAGGCCTTTGGACACTTACAATCATGATGGAAGGCAAAGGGAGAAACAAGGCATGTCTTACATGGTGGCAGGAGAGAGAGAGAGAAATTGCCACCCACTTTTAAACCATCAGATCTTGTGAGAACTCACTATCATGAGAATAGCATGGGGGAAACGACCCCAGTGATCCAATCACCTCCCACCAGGTCCCTCGTTCACATGTGGGGATTACAATTAGGGATGAGATTTGGGTGGGGACACAGAACCAAACTGTATCAAGCATATTGAGATTGAGGTCTTGATGGTACAAAGAGATGGAGATATCTAGATGGTCATCATAGTTAGTTTGAGACTTGAAGAAGAGGCTAAGGCTATACATTTGAAAGCGATTCACATACAAACATAAATTAGCTGAAAAATGGGATTAGGGTAGGTCATTCAGAGCAGGCCTGATGGAAAATAAAACGCAGAAAATCTAAGATGGAACCCCAAAGAAAGCAACATTTAAGAAGAGTCTGTGTGTCACTTCCGAGATGGCCGAATAGGAAGAGCTCCGGTCTGCAGCTCCCAGTGAGATCAACGCAGAACACGGGTAACTTCTGCATTTCCAACTGAGGTACCTGGTTCATCTCACTGGGACTGGTTGGACAGTGGGTGCAGCTCACGGAGGGCAAGCCAAAGCAGGGTGAGGCATCGCCTCACCTGGGAAGCACCAAGGGTCCAAGGATTCCATTGCCTAGCCAAGGGAAGCTGTGACAGACTGTACCTGGAAAAATGGTAAACTCCCACCCAAATACTGCCCTTTTTGACAGTTTTAGCAACTGGCAGACCAGGAGATTCCCTCCTGTGCCTGGCTCAGCGGGTCCCATGCCCATGGAGCCTTGCTCACTGCTAGCGCAGCAGTCTGAGATTGAACTGCAAGGCTGCAGCCTGGTGGGGGGAGGGGCATCCACCATTGCTGAGGCTTGAGTAGGTAAACAAAATGGCCAGGAAGCCCAAACTGGGTGGAGCCCACTGCAGCTCAGCAAGACCTACTGCCTCTATAGACTCCATCTCTGTGGGCAAGACATAGCTGAACAAAAGGCAGCAGACAACTTCTGCAGTCTTAAACATCCCTGTCTGACAGCTCTGAAGAGAGCAGTGGTTCTCCCAGCATGGCAGTCAAGCTGTCAGAATGAAAAGACTGCCTCCTCAAGTGAGTCCCTGACCCCTGTGTTGCCTGACTGGGAGACACCTCCCAGTAGGGGCTAACAGACACCTCATACAGGCGGGTGCCCCTCTTGGGCAAAGCTTCCAGAGGAAGGATCAGGAAGCAATATTTGCTGTTCTGCAATGTTTGCTGTTCTGTAATATTTGCTGTTCTGCAATATTTGCTGTTCTACAGCCTCCACTGGTGATACCCAGGCAAACAGGGTCTGGAGTGGACCTCCAGCAAACGCCAACAGACCTGCAGCTGAGGTGCCTGACTGTTAGAAGGAAAACTAACAATCAGAAAGGAATGGCATCAACATTAACAAAAAGGACATCCACACCAAAACCCCATCTGTAGGTCACCAACATCAAAGACCAAAGGTAGATAAAACCAAAAAGATGGGGAGAAGTGAGAGCAGAAAATCTGAAAACTCCAAAAACCAGAGCGCCTCTTCTCCTGCAGAGGATTTCAGCTCCTTGCCAGCAACAGAGCAAAACTGGACAGAGGATGACTTTGACGAGGTGACAGAAGTAGGTTTCAGAAGGTCAGTAATAACAAACTTTCTGAGCTAAAGGAGCATGTTTTAACCCATCACAAGGGAGCTAAAAACGTTGAAAAAAGGTTAGACGAATGGCTAACCAGAATAAACAGTGTAGAGAAGACCTTAAATGACCTGATGGAGCTGAAAACCACAGCATGAGAACTTGGTGACGTATGCACAAACTTCAGTAGCTGATTCGATCAAGTGGAAGAAAGGATATCAGTGAGTGAAGATCAAATTAATGAAATAAAGTAAGAAGACAAGATTAGAGAAAAAAGAAATGAACAAAGCCTCCAAGAAATATGGGACTATGTGAAAAGACCAAATCTACATTTGGTTGGTGTACCTGAAAGTGATGGGGAGAATGGAACCAAGTTGGAAAACACTCTTCAGGATATTACCCAGGAGAACTCCCCCAACCTAGCAAGGCAGGCCAACATTCAAATTCAGGAAATACAAAGAACACCACAAAGATACTCCTCGAGAAGACCAACCCCAAGACAAATAATCGTCAGATTCACCAAGGTTGAAATGAAGGAAAAAATGTTAAGGGCAGCCAGAGAGAAAGGTCAGGTTACCCACAAAGGGAAGCCCATCAGACTAACAGTGGATCTATCTGCAGAAACCCTACAAGCAAGAAGAGAGTGGGGGCCAATATTCAACATCCTTAAAGAAAAGAATTTTCAACCCAGAATTTCATATCCAGCCAAACTGAACTTCATAAGTGAAGGAGAAATACAGTCCTTTACAGACAAGCAAATGCTGAGGGATTTTGTCACCACCAGTCCTGCCTTACAAGAGCTCCTGAAGGAAGCACTATCATGGAAAGGAACAACCAGTACCATCCACTTGTAAAAACATGGCAAATTGTAAAGACCATCGATGCTATGAAGAAACTGCATCAAATAACGGGCAAAATCAGATGACATCATAATGACATGATCAAATTCACACATAACAATATTAACCTTAAATGTAAATGGGCTAAATGCCCCAATTAGAAGACACAGACTGGCAAATTGGATAAAAAGTCAAGACCCATCAGTATGCTGTATTCAGGAGACCTATCTCACATGCAGAGACACACATAGGCTCAAAATAAATGGATGGAGTAAGATCTACCAAGCAAATGGAAAGCCAAAAAAAAGCAGGGGTTGCAATCCTAGTCTCTGATAAAACAGACTTTAAATCAACAAAGATCAAAAGAGACAAAGAAGGCCATTACATAATGGTAAAAGGATCAATTCAACAAGAAGAGCTAACTATCCTAAATATATATGCACCCAATACAGGAGCACCCAGATTCATAAAGCAAGTCCTTACAGACCTACAAAGAGACTTAGACTCCCACACAATAATAATGGGAGACTTTAACACCCCGTTGTCAATATTAGACAGATCAACAAGACAGAAGGTTAACAAGGATATCCAGGATTTGAACTCAGCTCTGCACCAAGCAGACCTAATAGACATCTACAGAACTCTCCACCCTAAATCGACAGAAAAAACATTCTAATTGGCACCACGTCACACTTATTCTAAAATTGACCACATAATTGGAAGTAAAACACTCCTCAGCAAATGTCAAAGAAAAGAAATCACAACAAACTGTCTCTCAGACCACAGTGCAATCAAATTGGAGGTCAGGATTAAGAAACTCACTCAAAACCACACAACTACATGGAAACTTAACAACCTGCTCCTGAATGACTGCTGGGTAAATAACAAAATGAAGGCAGAAATTAAGATGTTCTTTGAAACCAATGAGAAAAAAGACACAACATACCAGAATCTGTGGGACACATTTAAAGCAGTGTGTAGAGGGAAATTTATAGCACTAAATGCCCTCAAGATAAAGCAAGAAATATCTAAAATCGACACCCTTAACATCACAATTAAAAGAACTAGAGAAGCAGAGCAAACACATTCAAAAGCTAGCAGAAGGCAAGAAATAACTAAGATCAGAGCAGAACTGAAGGAGATGGAGACACAAAAATACCCTTCAAAAAATCAATGAATTCGAGAGCTGTTTTTTTGAAAAGATCAACAAAATATATACACCACTAGCAAGACTAATAAAGAAGAAACAAGAGAAGAATCAAATAGATGCAATAAAAATGATAAAGGGGATATCACCACTGATCTCACAGAAATACAAACTACCATCAGAGAATACTACAAACACCTCTATGCACATAAACTAGAAAATCTAGAAGAAATGGATAAATTCCTGGACACATACACCCTCCCAAGACTAAACCAGGAAGAAGTTGAATCTCTGAATAAACCAATAACAGGCTCTGAAATTGAGGTAATAATTAATATCCTACCAACCAAAAAAAGTCCAGGACCAGACAGATTCACAGCTGAATTCTAACAGAGGGATAAAGAGGAGCTGGTACCACTCCTTCTGAAACTATTCCAATCAATAGAAAAAGTGGGAATCTTCCCTAAGTCATTTTATGAGGCCAGCATCATCCCGATAGCAAAGCCTGGCAGAGACACAACAAAAAAAGAGAATTTTAAACCAATATCCCTGATGAATATCGATGCAAAAAATCCTCAATAAAATACTGGCAAACTGAATCCAGCAGCACATCAAAAAGCTTATCCACCATGATCAAGTCAGCTTCATCCCTGGGATGCAAGGCTGGTTCAATATGCACAAATCAATAAACGTAATCCATCACATAAACAGAACCACCAACAAAAACCACATGATTATCTGAATAGACGCAGAAAAGGCCTTCGAAAAAATTCAACAGCCCTTCATGCTAAAAACTCTCAATAAATAAGGTATTGATGGAGCATATATCACAATAATAAGAGCCATTTATGACAAACCCACAGCCAATATCAGACTGAATGGGCAAAAACTTTAAGCATTCGCTTTGAAAACCAGCACAAGACAAGGATGCCCTTTCTCACTACTCCTATTCAACATAGTGTTGGAAGTTCTGGCCAGGGCAATCAGGCAGGAGAAAGAGATAAAGGGTATTCAATTAGGAAAAGAGGAAGTCAAATTGTCTCTGTTTGCAGATGACATGATTGTATATTTAGAAAACCCCATCGTCTCAGCCCCAAATCTCCTTAAGCTGATAAACAACTTCAGCAAAGTCTCAGGATACAAAATCAATGTGCAAAAATCACAAGCATTACTATACACCAATAACAGACAAACAAAGAGCCAAATCATGAATGAACTCCTATTCGCAATTGCTGCAAAGAGAATAAAATAGCTAGGAATCCAACTTACAAGGGATGAGAAGGACGTCTTCAAGGAGAACTACAAACCACATCTCAACAAAATAAAAGAGGAAACAAATAAATGGAAGAACACTCCATGCTTATGGATAAGAAGAATCAATATCATGAAAATGGCCATACTGTCCAAGGTAATTTATAGATTCAATGCCATCCCCATCAATGACTTTCTTCACAGAATTGGAAAAAAACTACTCTAAAGTTCATATGGAACCAAAAAAGAGCCCCCATTGCCAAGACAATCCTAAGCCAAAAGAACAAAGCTGGAGGCATCACACTACCTGACTTCAAATTATACTACAAGGCTACAGTAACAAAAACAACATGGTACTGGTACCAAAACAGATAGATAGACCAATGGAACAGAACAGAGACCTCAGAAATAATACCACACATCTATAACCATCTGATCTTTGACAAATCTGACAAAAACAAGAAATGGGGAAATGATTCCCTGTTTAATAAATTGTGCTGGGAAAACTGGCTAGCCATATGTAGAAAGCTAAAACTGGATCCCTTCCTTACACCTTATACAAAAATTAACTCAAGGTGGATTAAAGACTTTAATGTAAGACCTAAAAGCATAAAAACCCTATAAGAAAACCTAGGCAATACCATTCAGGACATAGGCATGGGCAAGGACTTTATGACTAAAACACCAAAAGCAATGGCAACAAAAGCCAAAATTGACAGATGGGATTTAATTAAACTAAAGAGCTTCTGCGCAGCAAAAGATATCATCAGAGTGAAAAGGCAACCTACAGAAAATTTTTGCCATCTACCCATCTGACAAAGGGCTAATATCCAGAATCTACAAAGAACTTAAACAAATTTACAAGAAACAAACAACCCCATCAAAAAGTGGGCAATGGGTATGAACAGAGAGTTCTCAATAGAAGACATTTATGCAGCCAACAGACACATGAAAAATGCTCATCATCACCGGTCATCAGAGAAATGCAAATCAAAACCACAATGAGATACCTTCTCACACCAGTTAGAAAGGCGGTTATTAAAAAGTCAGGAAACAACAGATGCTGGAGAGGATGTTGAGAACTAGGAATGCTTTTACACTGTTGGTGGGAGTGTAAATTAGTTCAACCATTGTGGAAGACATTGTGGCAATTCCTCAAGGATCTAGAACTAGAAATACCATTTGACCCAGCCATCCCATTACTGGGTATATACCCAAAGGATTATAAATCATGCTACTATCAAGACACATGCATAGGTATGTTTATTGCGGCACTATTCAAAATAGCAAAGACTTGGAACCAACCCAAACGTCCATCAGTGTTTGACTGGATTAAGAGAATGTGGCACATATGCACCATTGAACACTATGCAGCCATAAAAAAGGAGAGTTCATGTCCTTTGTAGGGACATGGATGAAGCTGGAAAGCATCATTCTCAGCAAACTATCACAAGGACAGAAAACCAAACACCTCATGTTCTCACTCACAGGTGGGAATTGAACAATGAGAACACATGGACACAGGGTGGGGAACATCACACATTGGGGCCTGTTGGGGGTTGGGGGGCTGGGGGAGGGAAAGCATTAGGAGAAATACCTAATGTAAATGACAAGTTGATGGATGCAGCAAACCAACATGGCACATGTATAACTATGTAACAAACTTCACGTTGTGCAGATGTACCCTAGAACCTAAAGTATAATAATAATAAAAAAGAAGAGTCTCTGAAGGAGGCAAGGAGAACTAGCTGAGAGAGATATCTAGAGAAATGAATATTCTGTCACATACTCAAGAGAGGGGGAAAAGTTCTGCTATGTAGTCTTTTGGAATGGTCCCAAAATCAAATCTGCTGGTATTTTGAATTGGGCCATTGGGTTACTCCAGTAAGAACAGCTTCTAGCAAAGAAGAAGATTCCATTTCACAAGTGGTTTAGGGATGAATGAAGAGTAATGAGAGGGACATGGCAAATGAAGAACACTATTAAGAACATTTGGATGCAAAGTAAAGTCTCAATGATAGCTAGAGAAACAAGGGACATATTTTATTTTTAAGAAAAGAGAAACTTTGAGTATTTGTGGATTGAGGCAAATTTTTCATTCAATGATAACCAGATCTAGGATGTGGTGAGTGATAGAATGTACAGTGAGAGATGGTTGAAATTCAAGATACAAGTCTAGATTTCTAGGTGCACATGCTACTTGGTATTGCTACTCAGGGTTAGAAAGAGAGGAAGATGGTAGATATGGTCTTAAACTATTCAATGTATAAATGGAATTGACCAGGGAGTCAGTGGGTGACAGTGATGAAGAAGCATAGAGCATAATTTTAGCTGGAGGGCGTGAGCTTCAGAGAAATAGGAACTCTTGAATGAAGGTGCACAGATAACAATACGGAAGAGAGAGAAGACTGGAAAAGAAACGACAACCCCAACTCCTGCCTCCATCTTTTGTGCAGATTGGTCCCTGTCCATTAGGGAAGAAACATAGGAACATTTCATTCATCATCTAATTATTTGGAATTCACTTACAAAGCATTTTCAGTTTTATAGAAAAAAAATCACAATATCACAATTTGCTTTGGGACAGCTTAAACTGAAAACTTTCTGTCTTGTGGACCAAAGCAAGTATTTTTGATTTTCTAGTCACTCATTCTGAATAAGAAAAACATGAATGGTCTACATTTCTAATTAAGGCTCTGAGAATGTCTACTGTACATTTTATTTTCCCTGGAACCTTTCTGACAAGGTTAAGAGAGGCTGTGGTAATTGCCAGCACATTGCGGATTCAATTTGGTTTGAGGGGAGAATTTTAAAACCCAAGCTCAGCAGGCCAAACCTCACAAAAGGTTTAAATTTTGAAATAAAGGCCCGGGCCTGCAGTCATCTCATTAATACCCGTGGACTCTGCTTGTGTATGTATCTCAGCGACAAGCCCTATGCAATCAACTATGAGCTTCTACCAGTAACCTTTGTGTCTGGATATTTTACTTGAGGGGAAAAATAATAAGAGGCTGCTGGTTTTAGAAAAGTCAATAAAGCAGGTACTTCCAGAGGAAAAACTGATGGTGAACTTGTGAGACACAGGGCCATTCTTGGAACTGACATGTCCACAGGGTTACAGAACAAAACAGCTCAGGAGAGAGAATTCTCCCATGGTAATTTTGCATGAATTACACGGCACCTTAAGTGTTTCTAGGACACCCAAGAAAAAGAATTATTCATGCCTCCTTGATCATTTCAGCCTAACAGCATAAACCAGTATAAAAGAAGGGCTGCAGTGCAATGCTGTTGGGCCTGGAATGATTTACAGAGCATTTTTTCCCTCAAGAGACTCTCTAAGGGGAGTTGGGGATGGGGAAAGTTGCTGCAGGTTAATTGTGAAGCGGTTCCAAAAATTAGAATTGGCATGCAGGCAGAGGGTGTTAAAGGAGACAAAGTGTAGATGGGGAGTTGCCTGGGCTAGGGAAGGGGAAAGGAGGAGAGGAGAGTATAAAAGCCAGGATATTGCAAAGGGTTTGCTTAGCTGCCAGGAGCTCTGAAAGTGAGAAAACGGTGCATTACCAAGGTAGAAAATCACTTAGCTCCTTAGAGCAAAGAAAGCATGCAACTCAAAACCAAAAGGAGTTTTGCTGATGGAGGTATGAAGCCAACTCTGGTACCCTGTCAAAGCGTCATTGTGCGTGGTGAATAAACATGAAGTCTTTTTGTGTGAATTGCTGACTTTATCATTGCTTTTAGGCAAATCCATCTTTGTGTTTAAGCCCTTCACTTTATGTTTAAGCCTCTTTTACTAATACCTGATGTTCAGTAGACTAGCCTGTCAAATAATATGTGCAGAGATTATCTATTCTTTGGAATGGTCCACAACTATTTTAGATTTCTAAGAACTGTCTTTTAGATGATATTTTGAGTGTTTCCAAAATAATTTTCTTTCTCTGTAAAACTGTAAAAGGTATTAAAAATAAAGCATGCGAGTATCAATTACACTGAGAACCACATCAAACAGCTTCTGTTTGGAGAACTCTTTAGAGAAAGTGGGGAGAAAAGGAATTTTCATAGATATTCATTAATATTCATAGAACAAAAAAAGTATAAATTTTCATGCACATTTTTCCCAGAAAAATACTATAGTAGCAAAACAGGGAATTTTTAGCTCACGTTTGACTTTTCAAAAACAAAATCAAATAAAAAGATGACACCTGTGAGCTTCTGCCTACTTGCTTTGTTCAGGTTTTTACCCCTGAAATATCCTCTCCTCCCTTTTCTATGCATCCTAGTCCTTTGGAGCTCATTGACTTTTCCCCTCCTCTGTGAAGCTGCTGTTTGCAATCCTGCCTATGGCGATTCAGCACTCTTACACCATTTATTTTCTTGTGTAGTAATTTAATGTTCTATAAATGTGCTTTGTTTTCATATGTAGGAAAAGCTCTTTGTGGAAAGAGAACCCTTCAAAATGATGATTATTTTTTATTTGCCTCTGAATTCTCCTATCCATTCAGCTTTGCAAATTGGTGCTAGGGAGGTATACTCAATTGGTATTTATTGATTAAATAAAAAATGCAGTAGCTGGAATGCTAACATAATTTCTTTAACAAAAAGTATATAAACCAAAGTTTATTCTCTGCCAAGACACATGTTTCTATCTGTATGATTCATTTTATTGCCTCAGATTTAAAAGCCCTCATTTCCTCTGCCCCACAGGAAGATATTGAATAAGAGAGATTTTAGAAAATCTTATAAGCATATGGTGTAACATGCTTGTCTCCTGTGCTGTAAATATTGGGAAAGATTCATGGCATTCACACTGCCACAGAAGTACAATTCTGCACTGGTTTCCCTGCAAAGAAAATGAGTGAGTTTGGAACTTCTCAGGCTAGTGAACACACATTTCACTTTGCAAATTTCACCTGTCCATCACTTCATACAATATTGTGCAGGGTCTTTCTTTCCTAAGCATATACTTGAAAGATTACATCAAGAAGGAAGATATCACCATAACCCCAAAATACTGAAACATGCTCTTTGATATTGCTCTCTTTTTGAAGTCACCCATCTACCAATTATGTCAATATCTGTGCCACTGTTGGCTCTTAGCTGATAGGTGAATATTATACACGGTTCAAAATAAAAATGTAAAACTTATGCAAATCTATTTTAGTGAAAATTGCAAATCTTGCAAAAGATTCAGGATTTCATAAAGTCAATGAAAGTGATATTGGAGAAATATGATTCAGTCCTTACACCACACAGAAAAATAAATTCTACTTTAAATGTCTAAATTTTAAGAAACTTAAGTTAGAAAGAAAATATATAAGAAAATTCTTTCCTAATTTGGAGGTGGCAAAGGTCTCAGTAAGACAGAGAATCCAGAATACACAAAAATAAGGACTAAGATCCTTAATCACGCTAGAAGGAAAGAAAATATCATGATTCAATTAAGGATACAAAATAAAAAATAAAAAAACAGTGGGGCAGACTAGGAGAGAGGATGAGTTATTAAAGTTAACTTTTTCTGATTCTAACACCTTTATGCAGTGTTTATGGAGAGAAGCTATTTCCTCCCCTTTCCATTGTCTAGAGAGAAAGACCCTAAGAGATTCACTTACAAATTATAAGAGGCGTCTGCAAGAAGAAAGGTATATTCAGTTCCTGAGTTAAATGAGTACTTGGTCATTATGCTTATTAACCTTCACTGGTGTTATTCTCGCAGGGGACTATATATTATTGAGCAATGGCACAAAGGCCTGACCAGGTGGAGAAGAAATGAGGTTACCTTTCTAGGTCCCTGATCTTGACAAACATGGAAGATGGATCCTGCAAATTGTTGATGGATACAGAGACAGAGATCAAGATGCTAGAAAGAACCTGGATTTAGGAATCCTGATGCAATATTAGTCTCTATCAGAGACGAATTAAAATCTCTGGAGTGATTCATTCAAGTTTGAAACAATGGCTGTTTGAAGTAGATATTTGAGTACTGTTGGATAATTTTAATAGCGAATAACTCAAATCCTCAGAAAATAAAAAGTGGTTAGAAGAATAAGCTTACTCGAGTTGTTGAAACTAATTTCTCTGCCACCACCAACTCTTTCTGTGAGATAATTGTGCAGGTGAATGCATGGAGAATTATTTTTGACACTCTTATCTTAGACCCTCACCCTAAGCCTGGAATGTGTATCAGAAATATGGCCAACACACTGAGACAGGAGATAGGTGAGGTCATGTTGTCTGTACAGGAAATAATGATGCATCGGAAACTGAAAGTATTTTCAAACGATAGAACAGCTACCCAGGAAGAAAAGACATTTGAACCTTGGCTGACCCATCCTAACAGAAATCTGCAAGAGTAGTGGTGAGTGGAATGTGAGAATGATAGGGACTAGTGGAAGGCTTTAAAGAGTGTGCAGCAGAGGTCATCAAGTTTCCCGAGATAGGCAGTACCTACATAGCTCTAGCCACATAATACACTGGCTAAGTATTTTAAGAATTGCAAATAATAAGAAAGAAGGCAACAGCCTCTCGAAGGCAACAGCCTCTCAAAGGCTTGGCTCCAGAACGTTTTAGGAAACATTGCTCTCACATGGCAGGGTACACATTATTAGTTATTGGACTACTCTCAGTGAAACACTATTATGCAAATTTAGGCACAAGACTAATTCTTGAGCTTCCCAGAGCTGAAAGAAATGCTTAGATCATTATCTGGAACTTGAGAGCCAACTTGGCTGTGACAGCAGCTCTGAGCATTGTTCAGTGATGAACTTGAAAAGATCTGTAATTAGAAGACTCAATGTCCTAACATAAAAAGTATTTCTGAGATAACTGCCGAGGATTTAGGGCAACAAAAATGCCCACGTTGTTGTTTTGCTTCTGAGGAAGATGGTTACTTCCCTGTAGCCTGCACATAGGAGACTCTACTGCTAATGATGGAAAAAGTTGATTCTGAAAACCTCACACAATGAGAGGGACTCAGGTGAAGGGGCTTTGATTTTGCAAATGATTGGGCTCAGCAGTGTTAAGGATCTCTTATTACACAGCCCACAGGAAGCTGAAGAAGGGTGTGTGGTAGACTGAGTGATATGGTTTGACTGTGTCCCCACCCAAATCTCATCTTGAATTGTAGCTCCTATAATTCGCATGTATTGTGGGAGGAACCCAGTGAAAAACAGTTGAATCATGGGGGTGGTTTCCCCTGTACTTACTCATGGTATTGAATAAGCCTCATAAGATCTGATAGTTTTATAAGGGGAAACCCCTTTCCCTTGGTTCTCATTTTCTCTCTTGCCTGCCGCCATGTAAGACATGCTTTTCGTCTTCTGCCATGATTGTGAGGACTCCCCAGCCACATGGAACTGTGAGGACTCCCCAGCCACATGGAACTGTGAGTCCATCAGACCTCTTTTTCTTTATAAATTACCCCGTCTCAGGTATGTATTTATCAGCAGTGTGAAAACAGACTAGTATGCTGAGTAATCAGCCCATAGCTGTCTGCCTTCATTGGATAGTCTCCAGAAGTTGTCAACATTATGGGACTTTACAGACGTGACTAAGTTAAGGGTCTTGAGATGGGGAGGTGATCTTTATGGGCCCAATGTCATCACAAGGGTCCTTATAAGAGGGAGGTAGGAGGGTCCAAGTCAGGGTGGTGTGAGAACAGAAGCAGAAGTCACAGTGAAGCAGGACGTTGGAACAAGGAATATGAGCAGCCTCTAGATGCTGGAAAAGACAGGGAAACGATCTTCTCTGAGAATCTCCAGGAAGAAGTCAGCCCTGCTGACTCATTTAGGACTTCTGACCTCCAGAACCATAAGTTAATAACTTTGTGTTGTTTTAGGCTGCTAGGTTTGGGGTCCTTTATTATAGCAGTGGTAGGAAGCTAATGCAGGTGGACAAGACTAAAATCCCCACGGAGTGATCAGAACTTGTCAATAAGAGAGGCCGACCACCTCCACACTGGCCACCCTGTGCTAGGCCCCCTGAGAGTGAATTCAAAGTTAACTTCACTGCTGATGCCCTGAGTTCCACAGCAGGGGTCAGGCCCCCACACAGGAGCAAGAGCTGCCTGTTTCAAGGTGATGTCATTGGGCCTATTGCTTCGGGGCTGATTCTGACTTTGGTTAAGAAGAGAAGACAGCCAGAGGCTCACACTGCAGACAAGCCCACTCTGCTGGATACACCTGAATCCTTAAATTGGGAGGTCTGAGCTCAAGGAAGCAGTTCACTCTTAGGTTTCCCTGGGCTCATCAACAAATTTCTCAGTATCAGGGAAATCCAAGAAGGAATTAGGGCCCTTCAGAGTTGAAGAAGGCAGAATTGGAGTTGGAGAAGCTGCAGAGGAGGATCTGTCACCATAAAGAGAGAGGTCTAGAGGTCTAGCACTGCAGAGTCACCTGGAGAGGCACCTGGGGAAATGCCAGATACAAGACCAGATATTGCTGTGCCTTTGAGAGGTGACCTGGAGTGGTGGTGAAGGACCTTCTGGTGAGCAAACAACCTTGTCACATACAGAAACTGTGAACCAAGAGTGGCCTCTGGATGAGTCACGTCCAGTTCCCCAGCTTCACCCAAAGCCCAGCTCTCATCCTGCCACCACTGAGTTTCCAAACTCTGCTCCATGTTCTACCAAATTTAGCTCTAGGTTGAAGCTTATTAATCCTATTCTGCAAAACATAGCTCCTTAAAAGACAGCATCGTTGACTTCCCTTTGAGACCTCACCCTCACACCAAAGTGCAACCCAAAACCCTGGCCGTCTCCCTGGACAGTCTTGGAATAGGCTTGGGGGGATGCTGTATGTGGATGGGTCTGAGGAAATAGGGAGAATGAGAAGTCTTTGGGAATGGGTTATGTGGGAAGAGTAGTGGGGAATCAGTAAAATTTGCTATGTGATATCTGCTGTGCTCGTAATATCTTTAGTGTTAACTCTAATACTCATGACTGGACTGTGCATTTCAGTTTCCTTTTGAGAGCTACACTAAACTGCTGCACCTTGGCCACTTCAGAGTTACTGCAATGTCTGCCCGATAAAAGTATTCAAATGTAGAGTGTAGCTTTAAAAGCACATTTGTCAGCCCCTTTAAAAATAAATGAAATGTTGGCAAACATTTTACTTTTCTTAAAGTAATATTTAAGCAACCTGAGTGTTCATCAACAGATGAATGGATAAAAAAAACCATGGCATACACATAAAATGGAATATTATTCCACCATAAAAGAGAAAGAAATCTTGCCATTTGCCACAACAGAAATGAACCTGGAGGACATTATACTAAGTGAAATAAGCCAAACACAGAAAAACACATACTGCATGAGCTCACTTTTCTGTGGAATCTAGAATAGACAAACTCATAGAAGCAGAGAGTAGGGTAGTAGTTGCCAAAGGCAGGGAGGTGGGGGACATGAGGAGATGTTGGTCAAAGGGTACAAACTTTCAGTTATAAGATAAATACATTCTTGGGATATAATATACAACATAGTGCTAAAGTTAATACTACTGTATTGTTTACTTAAAAATTTCTAAAAGAGTAAATCTTAAATGACCTCATCATATACACTCACAAAATGGTAATTATGTGTGGTGATTGACATGATTAATTTGATTATGGTAATCACTACACAATATATACGTATATCAAATCATCATGTTATACACCTCGAATGTATATTAATTTTTTCAATTATACTTCAATGAAGCTGGGAAAATGTAATATTTAAATTCCCAAGTCTTTATTTATTTCATTGAATTGAATAAATACCTAGTGAACACTCAAAAAAGGATTTTGTTTCATTTTTTTTTTCTTGATTTGTTTTAAGTTGATCACAGCCAGGCTGTTCACCTGGGCTGTGCATTTCCATCCCCTGACTGCATTTCCACAGCCAAGGCCATTTTAAAGCTGAGAAACGAAAACTTGGGTCAAAGTCACTTTGTGCTTTCCATTGCATATATGGATCAACCTTCTGTAGAGCAGCCTAATGGTCTAGCCAGCCATTCCTCATTTCCTATTTTCAAATTACAACACTCATGTATGTTTTGGGAGCCTCAGCACACCTATATTAACACTTGAATGAAGCATTTGCTGTGTAAATCAACAATCATTAATATTTGCAGTAGGAAGAAACAGCCACACAAAGTGTGGTATGTCAACTTTACCAGCCCTCCAGAGGCCAGTTTTCTCACAGCAAATCCTAGCGCATATTATCACCAAAATGCTAGTGCCTATGTTTCTAAAGCATATGAAGATGTTTCTTTTTCTTTTCCTCAAAGAAAAAGAATAGAGCAAACTCAGAAAAATGATTAAATAAAAATGTAATGGAAGGAAATCCAAGGCAACCGAAAAAAGGAAGAAAGGAAAAGGAAATTCACTCCTCAGAATTCAGGAATAAAATACCAATAAAAACATAAATATATGTAAAAAGCATGCTGTTCTTCCTAAATACTCAAAGCAATGGATTCCAAGCATAGCTAAAAAGCATTGGTTCCTAACAGAGGCAGGACTCAAGTTTTACAGAATGATTAATCTGATTGTTAAACATACTTGCTTACAAAACCAAAAGTGGAGTGAAAACACACAGTGGCTTGCATCCCACGAAATGGGCCAATTGAGATATATAAACTACAAGAGACTAGGTTTAAATAAATTATGGTTAAATCAAGCAGACAAAATGCAAGGCATTCCAAATTTTTCTTGGGAGGAGACCTCAATTGATCCAAGTGGCCTCCCAGGTCAAGCAGTTGCATCTTAGTTTATAACCACGGAGGAGGAAAGCGTCCCAAAATAATGCTGACAGAAAGGGAAAGGGAAAGTTTATAAAAGAAAAATGTAACATGACATGGCCAGTTAATTTGTTGCTGCCCTGTTCTTCGCATCATCTACACCACAGCCAGCTGGCAGCCAAAGCCCTTGGACCATCTCTAGATGAAAAAATCAGGACAACCTGGAAGCTTCTACTGAGCAGAGTTTTTAAGACTCTTCTGTATGTGAAAAAAGACATTGGTGGATGCTCTCTTCAGGGGAGGGTGGTTGTGAGACACAGTTCATCCCTTTAAGGAATGTAGCAAAGCAGACGTGTGCATATGCACACACACACGCACACACACACATCTTTACTACAAAGCAGAGCCCTTTCAGAGCCACGGAAGAAAAGACAAGTGCCCTGTGAGTTCAGGAAATTCTCAGTGTCCTTAAGCAAAAGTAGTTTTACCCTCCTTTAAATTCCCATAGCATTTTGTGCCTTAGATCTCTTGATTAAGAGGAGAAATAACAACAATGGCCTCATATAATAAGAGGATGAATGTGTGAAGTGCGTGTGTATGAAGAATACCAAAAATAGATTCAGATGTAAATGTAGTCAATTTTAACAAAACAGGTATGGAGTGTCCACTATCTGTCCGGCACTGCCCCAGGCATTGGGCACAAAATGAGTTTTCTTATGCTCACTGTGATATGGTCTTATAAAATGTAACTTGGAAAATCAGTTACAGGCCAGGTGCTGTGGCTCATACCTGTATTCCCAGCATTTTGGGAGGCCGAGGTGGGTGGATCACTTGAGGTCAGGAGTTCGAGACCAGCCTGGCCAACATGGTGAAACCTCATCTTTACTAAAAATACAAAAATTAACTGGGCATGACAGGCACCTGTAGTCCCAGCTACTCAGGAGGCTGAGGCAGGAGAATCATTCGAACCTGGGAGGCAGATGTTGCAGTGAGCCAAGATCGCACCACTGCACTCCAGCCAGGGTGAGAGAATAACACTTTGTCTCAAAAAAAATCCCCAGTTAGAAATGAAAATATGCATATAAGTAGGTGACAGTGATGGTGGTGGCGACCCGTCTGAGGCGATTGCTGTGAAGACACCAGCTTCAGTCGGGGAGGCGCAGCTGGGGCTGTGCACTTAGCAGAGCTGGTGGAGGCCAGGAACAGGTGGAAGCCCTGTCCCCTACTGAGCTGGGAGACAGGAGCCCCATGCTTCTGAGCAAGAGGCAGCCACACAACTGCCACTTTGGACCTAGGCATTCCTGTGCTGTAGGAGGCCTGGGAAGTTTGGCTGCCCCTGCAGGCTTGGAAGTGCTTGCTCCTGATCCCTGGCTTCTACCTGCTCCTGGTGCCTGGTCTGATTTTGGAGTAAAGTTGAAGCCACCCCAGGTGCTGCCATGACCTGGGCAGGTGTGCATGTGCTTGGGGCAGTGTTGATACACCCCCCCACCTCGGCCCCCTCTGAAATTTTGCACCAAGGAGCTCAGGGATGGATGCCAGGGGTGGGGCTGAGGGTGGCCTGGCACAGGCCTGCAGGCACTCCTCTGCACAAACAACCTGGGCTCCAGTAGTGTGAGTTGAGTATGCCAGGCTGAGTGGGTAGAATAAGCCCAGTGGGCATGAGCAATACTCAGGCAGAAGGTGCCCCTGGCCACAGAGGCTCTCGGCTGGCAAAATAACAAGCCAAGGATTCCATAACCACAGCATTTATTCTCTGAAGAAAAAACAGAGTTTCCTTTCTATCAGGGGCAAGACTTTCCTGTACCATGTAGGCCACCAGGACCATGATTCCAGCCTGAGTTCCCCATCTTCCTTAAATCTAAAAAATCAGGAATTGTGGCCTGATATGAATTTTCTGTATTTGAAAATGTTTAAGAGAGATTGCCAATTTATCTACCACCATAGGGATTCACAGATAAGCTTTGTTATTACTGGCAGTCTATCATGGTTGGGAGTTCAACAAATCCATGAGACATCCATATAATGTTGAATGAATTATTACCAAACTCAGTTTTGTTGACTACATATTTCAACCACCATTAATATCTGAAGTCATGTCTAAATGGAGAATTGGTGAGCACACCTGCAGGAGTATGAGTCTATGAGAAACTATTTTAGTTGCCTGGATATGATGTAGCAAATTATCAACAAACTTCTGTTGTTGACTTAAAACAACAGGAAGTTATTCTCTCACAGTTCTGAAGCCCAGAAGTATGAAGTCAAGATGTTGGCAGGACATCCTTCCATCCAGAGGCTCTAGGAGAAAATACTGCCTTGCCTCTTCCACCTTCTGGTGGCTGCTGGCATTCCGTGGCTTGTGGCTGCATCTGTCTTCACATGTCCCTCTCTCGTCTGTGTGTCTCTCATCTTCCATCTCTTATAAGACCTTTGTTGTTGGATTTTGAGCCCACCTGGATAATCCAGGATGATCTCATCTTGAGGTTATCATGTAATTACACCTGCAAAGATGTACTTTTTTCCAAATAAGGTCACATTCACAGCTTCCAGAGGTTAGGCTATGGACATACTTTTTTTTATGGGTGGGGATCATCACTCAACCCTCTACAAGAAGCTTTGTGGAGAATAACATATCCAATAGGAAGGGAGAATTCAGGCATCTAAGTTGATCCCCAAGATAATGGGTCAGAAATATAGGGTATGTAATAGCAACAGGCTATGTATGGATTTAATTAATCCCAGTCCCTCTAGTGTTGGATCATTGGAATTTCTGTAATCATCTTTGAAAATCTCATTAAAATGAAAAGACTAAAGGGCATGTCCACCCTCAGGATGCTGATGCTTTGAGTCTGCTGGCTCATAGCTTAGAAACAGAGTAGGGGAAACTGTGACAGTATCTCTCTATTACCAGGTTCTAGCTCAGATCCTGACATATAGAAATAATAGCTGAATACATTAATGAATGATCAAAACCCAGATCCTAAGCTCAGCACCATCTTCAGGCAGCAATAAGAACCGGAGTTGTTTTAGAGCCATTGGAAAGGAATAAATAACTGGGTGAGTGGAAAGTTTCTGAAACCAGCCATTATTAATGTCAAGTTTCCTGGAGTCTTCTATTCATGAAAAGCCAAGTTCTGTACCTTACTTCATAGAAATGTCTCAGTGTGATATACTATCATCATATTTTGGCAGTGAGGTCACAGCATTGGAAGTCAGGTGACAAGGGAAATAGTCACATGCATTTCTAGTCATACCACCTTGAGAAAGCAAGTTGTCTCCCACCAGCCTCACTGGTCAACGAATGTGCCTTGTCCAACGAATAATCCATGTCCACACCAAATGCACGTGAGATCTCCCACCTGCCAGTCTTAGCAGCAGAACCACAGCACTGCCCTTCCCGTGGTGTGTCTCAGAGTTTTCTGGGTCCTGAGTGTCTTGAGATCAGAGCCTGTTTTAGCTCTAGTCTAACTGCTTCTAATTGGAGTAGGGTGCAGGCAGTTTAGTAGGCTTTATACTAATCAATTGTGTCTTTTATACCAAGTTCTCCCCAACCCTTACAGTGGGCCAAGGGGTTGGGACATTTGTTCTCTTGCAGTGCTCATGGCGAGCACTGGCACTGCTGACCTCCAGATGGGAGCAAAACTGTACAGTAGATGCTGGGTCCTCTTTTTTGTTTGCCTCCCTATTGCAACACCCTATAGTAGCATTTCTTTGTTCAAATCACCTGCATAGCCACATTCCAACAAGCCATGTTCCCATACAAGTGGGACAAGATATCTGAAGTGTTGCCAACAACAGACCTATCACTTCCTTTTGCTTTTCCCTGGCAATTCCCCTATGTACCACAGAGTTTTCCTATTACATCTTTAGGATACACAGGGTCAGTTGAGTCCCTTTCCTCTAGGTAGTGCATCACCCATTCTGCATCTCTGGCACATGATGTTATGGTGATACCAGTTGTTTAGACAGTAACATACTTCCATGTTGGTTAGTCTATGTGGCTTCTACCTTGTGTTTCCCAAGGTCCTGTCTCTAGCTCCTCCGTCTCCTCCCTTGTCGTCCCCTGACCTCTCCATTATTAGTAGCTAAAATTTAGTGTCCTGCACAGGAGGCATCCAGAACCCTGCTCCAGCTGTGTGGTTAATGTCTATTCTGCCTGTTCAGTGCCTGGCCCACACCAGCTGTTAATTTTTTGAATATCACCTCTGCATCTGTGACCTCTCTGCACCTTCCTCTCCCCAGCTTCCAAAGAGACCTATTCAGTGTGGTATCCTGGGACCTGCTTTGCTGAAGAAGAGAGAAAAAAAAAAACAATTTAAATCACTGTTGGGCCCCTGCTGCTTTCATTTAAGTTATGTAGCCATTCTTGATCTCAGATACTACATCTGCAAATTACAGGAGTTAAACTGCGATCTCTAAGCACCTGCCCCCAGCTCTGAAATCCTATGATTTCATATTATTTTGAGAAAAAGAGAATGTTAGTCCTAAAAAAGGTTAATGAATGATGACTCAACAATTAATTAAGCTGGTGTTTACTGACTGCCACAATATAGCCTTGGACCCTGTGAGCAACAGAATTCTGAACTTGTAGGTATGAAACTGATCTGGGATGCTGCCATTCTGTGACTGTTCCAAAGAACAAGAATAAAGTAGCTGATTCAGAAGACACCTCTAATTTACACTATTCCATGCCCTTAAGAGAGGTTATGAAGTCAGAGCCAGACAATCTCAATTTAACAAAAAAGTACTAACAGGAAGAGAATGTCCCTGAATGAGACTATACTGATGGCTATTTGTTTGGCAATTTCTAGGCTTGTCTTTTTTTTTTACTGCTTTCTCTTTTTTTGCCCATAGCCCAGATTACTAGATCACATTGTGTCTATGTGACAAGTAAAAAGAGGCTTTCATCAGAAAGAAAATAAGGAAAGGACTTGGAGAATCCCCAGGCAACTTGTAACTCTCCTCACTTCTGTAGCAGTTCTAGCTTGCACCAAGGTCTTTTGTGTGCTGGCTCTAAAATGTCAACTGCTCATGGAATTGGGAAACCCGTTATCATGGGTTGCTGTTTCCATTCATAGGGCTATTACTGAGATGCCAGGGATCCAAAAATTTCCATAGTTTAACTCATACAGAGTGACATGGAAAACAGAAAGAAGCAAAACCTTGTAATAAAAACAAGTGTTTTTCCTATATAATCCTGTCCTCTTAATTTCACAGTTCCCTAACTCCTGCACAAGGCAGGGTAGCTGGGAAAGAAGATCATGTTGGTATCATTTACTGTACAGAGCTTCCAACCTTTAGCTGTTGGGTTGGTTTTTCATTTCAAAAAAAGAACAAGAGAAATGTGTCAGTATCATGTCATTGCTAACAGGGGTTTCACACACAGCTGGTTCCTAAGTTGGTGTTTGACAAACAGCTAACTGAATCAAAATATTCACAGAATCTACTTGCAGCTGGTTCTCAAGTCAGTATATTACAGACAGCTAATTGACTCAAAATATTTGCAGAATCATATTTATGTTGGTTTAATGTATGATTAACAGTCAATGGGCTAAATTCTTAACATCATTAATATTTTAAGAAACTACTGAGTAGACTTAGAGGGATTCGACCACCTGGGCTGTATGATAAAATAAAATTTATTTTTGTACTGGGTATTTCATGCTTTCTTAAACAAACTAGCCTGGTTTTCCCAGGCCTTCTGTTAGTGCCTGAACTTCTGGGTTCTATTGAGCAAGGGTGTTGTAAGAATTACTGCATGTACAACAATGCTGGCAGCTGCCAAGTGTTCAACAGTCATCAAAAGAACAAATAAGATGCTTATTCATATTTAAAAATGGATACCAAATAACACAGACCAGATGAAAGTGGCACTTTATGGAATGAAGCACAACAGTATCTTGGATGTTTTCTCCATTTTTGGTCGGCTCATTTTAGGGAGGCATGAGCTGAGACTAAAGAAGTTCAGAACAAAGATGACAAAATTATTATAAACCAGTATGTATTCTGTATATTTTGTTTCAAATCTATGACATTCAGCTAATATTTCTACAGTGTCGATGGGTAAGATGCCATTTTTCTTTCCTTGCTAGGCAAATCTTGGTACTAGTCCCAAGGGTAGAGTATGACATTTCCGGTTTCACATATCTGGTTATCTTTCATCTCTTTCCAGTCTAGGGTAGAGTAGTGTTCAACTTGCAAAGCGTTAAACCAAATCACAGAAATTCCCTGGTGGTAATCCTGTAGAACTGAGCTCAGACTCACTCAGGAAAGAAATAGATGTGTCTTCTTGTTTTGAGGATAAGTGCATAGGACGCTCCCCACAGGGTGAAAAGGGAAGTGGCATATGATTTATTTTTATTTTTAATTGACAGATCATTGTATATATTTATGGGGTATACTATGATGTTTTGATATATGTATGTATTGTGCAATGATTATATGAAGCTAATTAACATATCCCTTGCCTTGCTTACTTACCATTTTTTTGTGGTGAGAACATTAAAATCTTTGTCAGCAAATCTGAAATGCACAGTACATTGTTCTAAACTACAGTCATCATGCTGTGCAATAGGTCAGTAAAATGTATTCCTCTTATCTAACTGAAACTCTGTACCCTTTGACCATGTCCTCTGTCTCTATTTCCCTGGCCCCTCTCCACCAGTATATTAGGGTTTTCTAGAGGGACAGGACTAACAGGATAGATGTATATATGAAGCAGAGTTTAATAAGGGGTATTGACTCACACAATCTCAAGGTAAAGTCCCACAGTAGTCTGCCTGCAAGCTGAGGAGCAAGGAGCCAGTCCAAGTCCCAAAACCTCAAAAGTAGGGAAGCCGACAGTGCAGGCTTCAGTCTGTGGCCAAAAGCCCAAGAGCCCCTGGCAAACCACTGGTGTAGGTCCAAAAGTCCAAAAGCTGAAGAGCTTGAAGTCCAATGTTTGAGGGCAGGAAGCATCCAGCACAGGAGAATGATGAAGGCTGGAAGACTCAGCAAGTCAGTTTATCCCACCTTCTTCTGCCTGCTTTATTCTAGCCATGCTAGCAGTTGATGAGATGGTGCCCATCCACATTGAGGGCGGGTCTGCCTCTCCCAGTCCACTGACTCAAATGTTAATCTCCTTTAGCAACACCCTCACAGACACACCCAGGAACAATACTTTACATCCTTCAACCCAAGGAAGTTGACACTTAACATTAACCATCCCAGCAAGCCTCTGGTAACCACTGTTCTACCCTCTATTTCTAGGAGTTCAACTTTTTTAGGTTGTAAAAATAAGGGAGATCAAACAATTTTTGTCTTTCTGTGCTGGGTTATTTTGCTTAGAATAATATCCTCCATCTTGCCACAAATAATCGAATATCCTTCTTTTAAAAGGCTGTATAGTATTTCATTGTGTATATGTATATCATATTGTCCTTATTTATTGATTTGTTGATGGACACTTAGGCTGTTTCCATATCTCAGTTATCGTGAATAATGCTGCAGTGAACATGGGAATAAAGATATCTCTTCAACAGACTGATTTTAATTTCTTCGGATACATACCCATAAGTGAGGTTGTTGGATTACATGGTAATTCTACTGAGAACATACAATTGGGAAAAGACAGTTTCTTCAATAAATAGTTTTGAGAAAACTGGATATCCACAAGCAGAAGAATGAAACTAGACCCTATATTATGCACAAAATAAACTCGAAAGGGATTAAATACTTAAATGGAAGATCTGAAACTGTTAAATTACTAAAATAAAACATAGGGAGAAATTTCCATGACATTGGTCTGAACAATAATTTCTTGGATATTGCAAAAGCACGGGCAACAAAAGCAAAAATAGGCAAATGGGATTGCATCCAACGAAAAAGCTCTGGATAGCCAAGGAAGTAATTAGCAGAATGAAGTGATGATCCACAGAATGGAAAATAACCATACACCTATTTGCAAACCATACATCTAATAAGGGGCTAATGTACAAAATATATAAGGAATTCAAACAACTCAATAAGAAAGAAAGGAACTTCCATTCCTGAGTTACTTCACTTAGAATAATGTTCTCCAAGTGGGAGCTAAGCTGTGAGGATGCAAAGGCATAAGAATGATACAATGGACTTTGGGGACATGGGAGAAGTGTGGGAGAAGGGTGAGAGATAAAAGACTATACATTGCGTACAGTGTATACTGTTCAGGTGATGGGTGCACCAAAATCTCAGAATCACCACTAAAGAACTTATTCATATAACCAAACACCAACTGTTCCCCAAATACCTATTGAAATAAAAAAAATTTTTAAAACACTGTTAAGAAAAGGAAAAGCCAAAGACTGGGAGAAAATCTTTGCAAAACATGTATCTGACAAAGGAGAACATATACAAACTCTGTAAGAAGAGTTTTGAAAGGCAGAAAGAAGAAGGAAGGAAGGAAGGAAGGAAGGAAGGGAGAGAGGGAGGGAGGGAGGAAGAAATGAAGGAAGGAAGGAAGGAAGGAAGGGAGGGAGGGAGGGAGGGAGGGAGGAAGGAAGGAAGGAAGGCAGGGAGAGAGGGAGGGAGGAAGAAATGAAGGAAGGGAGGGAGGGAGGAAGGAAGGAAGGAAGGAAGAAGAAAGGAAGGAAGGAAATTTTAAAAAGGGCAAAGGGCCTGAACAGATATTTCTCAAAAGAAGACATACAAATGCCTACAGGTATGTGAAAGAATTCTCAACATCACTAATCATCAGGGGAATGCAAATTAAAATGATAATGAGTTATCATGCCATACTGCCTAGGATGGTTATTATCAAAAAGACAAAAGATAACAAGTGTTAGTGAAGTTGTGGAGAAAAAAGGAACCCTAGTATACTGTTGGTAGGAAAGTAACTTAGTGTAGCTATTCTGGAAGTACCGTCTTTTGAATGAACTCTCTCAGCCACTCAAAGCTTGGGACAAAAGGACAGGTAAGTATTATTTGAGGAGAAAACCTGAGAACTATTTGAAGCCTGGAGCTAGGCTGACAAAGTGGTCTTTAGTATTAAGTAATTGGAGACGTGGGGAGCAGAGAATTCTAAAGAGCAAAAGAGGCACCAGGAAATTTTAGTGACACACTTTGTTTTAGGTCTGGTTTCCCAGATGTAGTCTCTGGTGGAAGCACATTATGACTTTCATGACCTCTAGACACCCTGATTCATAATCGGTTAGTGAAACACACTGCTTTTCTGCAAAAGTCAAGATGTGTTCAACTGACTAGAAACAGAAAGGGCAGTAAGAAGCAAGACACAAAGAAGGAAGAAAATGAGAAAGAAGGCTGACACCCACAGTGTAGCAGTGGAGGTGACCTGGGATGGGTGATGTACAGCTGACCCTATGGTTTAGGGGCACCTGGAAGTATTGATGCACAGTGCATCCTGTGATACTGGTGAGAATTTCGAATCGGTGATGCACAGTAGCATGGTTTGGATCTGTGTCACCACCAGATCTCATGTTGAAATGTAATCCCCAGTGTTGAAGATGGCGCCTGGTGGGAGGTGTTTTGGTCTTGGGGGTGGATCCCTCATGGCTTGGTACTGTCCTCAGGATAGAGAGTGTGTTCTCGCAAGATCTGATTGTGAAAAACAGTGTGTGGCACCCCCCCCTTCCTTGCTCCTGCTTTCACCATGTGATGTGCCTGCTCCTGCCTCACCTTCCACGATGAGTAAAAGCTCCCTGAAGCCTCTCGAGAAGGCGAGCAGATGCTGGTGCCATGCTTCCTACACTGCCCGCAGAACTGTGACCCAATTAAGCCTCTTTTTTTTTTTTTTTTATAAATTACTGAGTGTCAGGTATTTCTTTATAGCAATGCAAGAACGGTCTAAACACACAGTAAACTCTATGATGACAAGGATCAAAAGGGGTCCACCCGAAATGTAGAATTCAGAGAGGATTTTTAATGGAGCATGCAGCCATCTGCACTTTAATATCATAGTCTCATTTTGGATATGGATGTTGGTATTCAGGAAGGAATGGGCTGCAGGAATTGGTTTCTTCTGCTGCATCTGAGGATTCCTCAGGTTAGGTTTCACTGAGAAGCCATGGTGGTTCGTTGCAGATATGCATGTTCTAGCCTGGTGCCCAGTCCGGAGTACATGCGTCAGGATCTGAATCCAGCACTGTGTCTTAATAAACTGAATTACCGTGCACTGTAATAGTGAACTGCAGTCTGCCGGTAGCTCAGGTCATCTCAGAACAGCCACATTTTTGAGGACAGGGTATGCATCTAGGTCAGAAGCCTTACCCATCAGGAGGTGACCAGTTAGTGGGGGGTTAGGAGCAAAAATCCAAGTTTCCTCTTTCAAGATCTTTCCTTCACACTTCTCTTGTTCCCTTTAGTTTTTGTTTGTTTAAGAGAATGTCTTGGTTTATAGATGGTTTGAAATTCAACTACTTATAAGAGTAATATCTATAATATTTTAAATATTAATACAGTTATTACACAGCATTTTATAATAACTATATTATATAATGCCCATATGTTATGTGCATTAGTATATTACTATATTAATATTGATCTAGTATTTTTAATGGAACAGGCAAAACTGTTCTACTGATTTTAAATATAAAGTAAGCCGCCTGATAGTAGGGTCTTTGGATGTTTGATTCTCTGCTATATCCTATTGGTTAGAATAGTGCTAGGCAGATAATAGGTGTGGAAGAATATGTGTAGCTGAATGAACATGGAGATATCTTTCAAGAGACTGTGCTTTCTACAAAATTATATTGATTAATTTCTCAATTCAAATTATTGGCCAAAGCAAATCTGGTAGCTAAAGACAGTGTAAACTTATGAAAAAATAAGTTAAAGGAAGGGGGAAATGGAAGGAAAAAACAATGCACTATTTGTTTTTTTCCATGACTTTGAAGTGTCTGCTATTGTTTAGACCAAATATTCTACTCCTTTGCTAAATCCAACCCATTAAAAGAAATCATTTGCTCTGGGCTAAAATGATTGAGATATATGAATTCCAAAGTATATGTACTTTCTAAAATTTCAAGATACCACGTCAGGATTGAAAATATTCAGGTTTCTATATCCTCAAACTTTCCTCTGTTTGTTTAGTGTAGCTTTTAGCTGTATAAATATGCTAAGAAAAATCAGATAAAATGTTAATTACTTAGGCAATATAATACTAAAGAAAACAAGTGATCATTTACCACTATTTGGCTAAAATAGAGATGAAGTAGACATAACTTTACATTTAAAACTGATTTGTTTTAGAGTAATTCACTCATTCCACAGATATTTCATAAGCAACTACTACATGCCACGTAGTAGTCCAGGTGTTAGGGATGAAAGTGTACAAAACTGTCAAGAATTCTTGCCATTATGAAGTTTATAAATTGTGTTTTCATAGTTTTATCATAGACTTAAAAATATTCAGTGAAGTTACTATCTTCTAGAACAGGAGTCACCAACTTTTTTTCTGTAAAGGGACAGGTAATAAATATAGTGGCTTTGGGGGGCACCCTTTTCACTCACCCCCAGGCTAAGTAAGCATTGAATTCAGGGTAACCCCCTCTCAATAGCTTCTCCCAAGAAACAGCCAGCCAGAATGGAGACATTTGCTATGCAGTCTTCTGCTACTGCACGTGCTCAACACACCACCCCACATCCAGTTCTTTCTAGCCTTGTTAATCCTCTTTATAAAAGACGAGCCCTATCAGCCTCACCCTTGAGACACTTCAAGATTTTATGGTTGGGCATTCTCTGCATTGCAGTAGTCTCTCTCCCCCATGACAATTTTGTTTTTGAACAAAGTCTCTCCTTACCTAAATCCAGATTTGGTTTTTATTTGAGAGTTTGCTGACTTAACAAAAGGGAAATTAGAATACTTGCTTTCTCAACCTAGAGCTGCAACCTTCACATCTAACTGACATGTCAGAGTGTTCTCTGACCCATGGAAGGGAAAACTTGACTCCCAAGAAACTGAGCAAAGCTGTGAAAAGAAATGAGAATGTGCCCAAAGCGATCTTTCCCTCAGCTTTATAGATGTTAGTAACATTCCTTACTAAGACTCACGCAACAACAATTTGTACAGGATCATGGTACTCTTAAGTTGCAGCATCATTTTGAGAGCAATCATTTATACTTTAAAGAAAAAGTAATTTTGAGAGTAGATAAGATTTGCTCTTTAAAAGCCAAACATTATCCGGCTTTTCAAAGTACAAATAAAAACCACTGAAGCATTCTATAGGTTTTAATTTTAATAAGACAAATGTTGATATATATGTTAAAAAAAAAGTCCTTGTGATTTTCAATAAATTTTAAGAGTAAAGGGTTCCTGAGGACAAAAAAGTAAGAGTAAACTGCTGTTGTAATCAAAACTTGAGTTGACTGTCTCCAGGCCTCATTGATGGATTTTTTGATAGTTCCTATAAGGAGTCATTCCCTGTCCGGGCTCTAGGAGACACTCACTGCCTAGGTTTACATTCTTGTAGCTCAGGAAGCTGGTGATAGCTACCTGAGGGATGTGACCAAAGTCAGCTGGCTTCTTCTTTTGCAGACATCACATTGACATTCTGAGGCTTTTGATTGTTATTGTTATTAGTATTATTATTAGCTTTCCAATTATTATTTCTATTGTCATCTTTTTCTAATTTTGCTTTGTACTTTATTTCTCTCCATTTTTATTTTTTCTTTTTTTTCTTATTCTTTCATTATTCTCATTTTACTTTTTATATTTTCTTTTTCTTCATGCTTTTTCTTTTTTGCCTTTAGTCTTTTTATTTCCTTGATTTTTGATTTCTTCTCTTTTGTCTTCTTATTCTTTGTTCTCCCCTTTTACTTCTGATTTATCTTTTTCTTTTCTTCTCATTCATTTTTTTTCCCTTTTCTTTATATTTTTCTCATTTTCTTCTTCACTTCTTCACCATCTGGCCCCACCTGCACTAGAAATCCTTGTGGGCCTCACTCCCACAGTGCTGTGAGTGCCTGCTCCTCTCCCATCCCCCGGGTAGCTGAGGGATGCCAGGGCCCAGCACAGCCTCACAGCGAGTCCTTGTCGCCTCTCCATGTCCCTCAAAATATGAGCAATCGTAGTACCTCAGGCGGAACCAGTTTCCTCCTGGGTGAGTCCATTTGCAGCTGCTTCGTGCTGGACAGCTCTGATAGACAGGGGACCAGCAGAATTAGCCCCTGAGGCTAAAATTCCCCACGGCTACCGGCTCCAGCCTCTGTCTCTGGCCCCTGGGGATCTCTGGAGTGTCCTCAGCAGGGTCACCTCCAAGTTGATCTACAATCTGCCTTGCAGGTATGCCAGAAGAAACCTGGATGAACCTAAAATTGAAGGCCAAGGGGAGATGCTCAGGTCTCCCGTGGTGGCAGCAGAGGGGATAATAGAAAAAGAGGGTTTCCCAGAAGCCAGACCACACTCATTAGGCTTCCGATGGAGACCGAAGACCACCCACTCCACAGGGCCCCAGGAGATGAGGGAGGAGACTCGCGGGTTCTGAGCACCTCCAGCACAGGTGCGCGTCGCAGGAGAGGTGGTTCTAGCCAGCCAGAGCACCGGGCATGGAGGCGTCTCACTGCCGCGCAGTGTCCCAGGGGACCTCAGGCAGCTCCCTGGCCTTGGAGACCCTTGCTTCCAAATTAGCCAGGCGGCTGCCAGGAGCTGGAGGAAGCAGCGGGAAAGAGCGCCTCAGCCCCACCTGGGCAAGACTGCAGAGACTGGCCTGAACGTGACGTCTTCCTTGCTGGCCCTTCTCCTCTTCCTTGCCCTTCTGTAATTTTTCCTCCATGCTGTAAGGGAAAGGAGATGGGTCTTTCTCCCACACATCCACCCATGTCCAGAAACTCCCTCTCCCCTTCTCCCCCAGAGGAGGCGCAGGACGGGGAAGGATGGGCAGGGCTCTCCCTTGGTATTAAAATGGGAGAGTTCCCTGAGTCCCCTCACAGGAAGTGCGGCAGGGGTGTGGCTCGCCCAGCAGCTCACACTTCCAGGGGGAGCGCGCAGAGAAGCAGGTGCAGAGACTGGGGTGAGTGCTTTGGGCTCCGGCCTGGCACGGTAGTGTCTACAGGTGGGTGTCTGCAACCCTGGTATTACAAAGCTCTTTCAGCATTGCTGTCTGCAGACGGCTTGAGTGTTAATCAGCTCAGTGGTCCGCCTGCGTTATCACAAGGGCAGAGGGCCAGTGTGACAGCCTTCTGTATCCCAAGCTCTTGGCCGGTGTTCCAGAAGAATCAGATCACACGTGGGGTGGAAGGATGACTGCGAGTGGTGGAGGTGGCTCTCAGCGAGATGATGGGGAGCCGAAGGTGGAGGAGTGGGGGAGATAATCTTCCCCTGGAGTTCCATCTTTCTCCACGTTCGGAGGCTTCTTCTCTCCTTCTCTGCTGTTCCGCCCTGCCTCTGCCCGCCACTCTCTGCCACCCTGCTGCTCTCTGCTCCTCTCCACCATCCTCTGCCACTCTCTTCCTCTGCTCCTCTTGACGTTCCACCACTTATGTGTGTGCCTGCTAAGGTCTTGGGTTTATATGAGCACAGGATGGGAGGCGTGGCGGGTCAGAGCGGTCTTGGAAAATGCAACATTCGGGGTAAAAACAGGAGTGCCCGTTTTCACTTAGGTCCGCGGGCACAGGCCCGAGGGTGGAGCCCTCACCACGGACCCCCGCCCTTCTCTACCCCGCACTTCCCTGCCCCTTCCCGTATTAGTACTGCGGTTGCATGGAACATGTCACCAGAATTAAGACAGTGTTATTACCAAAAGAAAAAAGGAGAGGAAAAAATCCCCACAGTTACCTTCCCTCTCTGCCCCTTGGGCCAGAGAAACTGGATCTGTGACATGACTCAGGAGGGCTGCTCAGGCCACAGCAGGCTGGGGCAGGGGAAGAATGTTCTGGTCAGTGCCTTGGGCTGGGCCCACTTCAGGTTTCTACCCTCTCCTCCCCAGGCCACCAACAGAGGAGGCCTTTAGGGGCTTGAGGCCTGGGCAGCTGGGGGCCAGGAGTAGTGGGAGCTGCTCTGGGGCTGCTGAGGTGAGGACAGGGGTCACCATCCCTCCTCCTTCCCCAGAGCTGGACATTCCCTTCCACAGCTGCTGTGAGGACATTTATTCTCTTCCTCAAAAGTGGGTGCCATCCCTTCCCCGACCCCATTGTTGGGTAGAGGGAGGCTGACCCAGGGCTAGGAGTAGGGAGGCAACTGCAGAGAGGTGCCGGCTGTCTCTCTGGTGCTTGGTCTTCATTATCAGCACTCATCTGCACATGTGCTAATTCCACATGGCGCTTCTCCCCACCCCCACCCTTCTGTCTCATCTCTTGGCCTTGCCCTCTGTTCCTGACACTGTTGCCTCTCCATGGGGTGGGGGCAGACAAGGCCCAGTGGCTCTCACTGGATCACCCTTCATGGCCATGTGCAAGGGGAAGCTATGGGCACTTGGCTGGGGGTCTCCCCTGCATCTCCTAATTTCATCTCTGATGTTTCTGTTCTTGAGAAACTCCTGGAGGGAGTTGCGCACAGAAGTGGTCCCCACCCTCACCTGAGTCCTACAGTTTTTAGTGATGGGTTTTGTTTTTTATTACTTCATACCTTTGATTTATAAGGACTCTGCTCCTACTCATCACATGTGCTCCCAGCCGAGGCTCAGCAGCAAATCAAGCTCTTGGGTCCCAGAAAGTGGTCTCACCAACTGCACACTTCTTATCCCACACCCCGACCACGAGCTCTAGCTGAAACTCTCAGAAACAGCCTAGTTCTTTGAGAGGGCTTCGCTGGGCTCAGCCCACCAGCTTCTGGACTCAGTTTCACCTCTGGATCAAACAGGTAATAAAGAGAATGTTGGCAAGTGAGTCTATCCACGATGGTGGATGCATGTTAGGGCTGCAAGAGGGTGAATAGCCATACCAGTTAGAAGGCAGTTACAGTCCAGAAAGAATGAGGTAGTTTAAATTAGTATATCCAAGAAACAGAGTCGAGATGCATCTTGGAAGCAGAATGAGCAGGACTTACTGGATGTGGAGAGTGGTGGAGAGTCAAGGACAGCTCCTAGCTATCCAGCTTAAGCCACGGGGTGGATGAGAAAGACTTGATTCAGCACAGATTTAGATGGGAAAACCAACATTCAGTTCAGGACACATTAAAACTGTGTGGAGTGTGGATGCTGTGTTACCACTTGGATATGTGACATTGTGTCTTAGAGGAGAGGTCGGGGCTGAAGATAACATTAGGAAGCTTTAGCATGGGAATAGTGTTTAGAACCATGGTGGACTAGACCATTTTTGCATTGCTATAAAGGAATACTGCAGTTGTATAATTTATAAAGAAAAGAGGTTTAATTGGCTCACGGTTTTGCAGGTTGTACAGGAAGTGTGGTGCCAGCATCTGCTCCTGGTGAGGCCTCAGGAAGCTTACAATTATGGCTAAAAGATGAAGAGGAACCAGTGTGTCACATGGTCAGAAAGGATACACAAAAGAGGGAAGGATGAGGCGCCACACACTTTTAAGCAACCAAATCTTGGGTGAACTCACAATGAGAATGCACTCATTACCATGGGAAGGGCACCAAGCCATTCATGAGGAATCTGCTCCCATGACCCAAGAACCTCCCACCAGACCCCACCTCCAATATTAGGGATTACATTTCAACATGAGATTTGGAGGGGACAAATATGCAAACTGTACCACATGGCGACTGAGGAGACTGTCATAGGGAGAGGAAAGAGAGGGAAGAAAGCCTGGACTGATTCTTGAGGAATTTTGACATTTGAAGATAAGGACACAAAAAATAAGTCGGAAAGTGATGAAGCAGAAAGGCAGGAAGAAAATAAGGAATGTGGTGTCAACAGAGGCTGGCAGCAAAAAGAACAGAGACAGGGCTTAGGGGATCAAAGGGTAAGTTCAAGGGAGGCGCTTGTATAGGCAAAGGGGACACATGGGAGGTTTGGCCTTTGAAGACAAGAGAGGGCCTCCCTTTGTTTTACAAGAAAGAAGAAAGATCTGTCTAAATCGGGGTCAGCAAACCTGCAAAGGGCCAGAGAGTAAATATTTTGAGTTTCCAGGTCCATATGGTCTCTGCTACAGCACCACTGCTATGGCAGGAGGGCAGCCACAGACAATAAGTCAACACATGTGTGTGGCTGGCTTCCAAACAGACTTTATTTATGGACACTGGAGTTGGAATTTCATAGAATTTTCATGTGTCATAAAATATTATTCATCTACTTTTTCCCGTTATTCAAAAATGTAAAAACCACCATAAGCTGGTGGGCCATATGAAAACACACCGAAGGCCAGATCTGGCTGATGGGCCATCGTTTGCTGGGTCCTGGTCTAGATACTGGCAGGAACATAGTAATATTTACAAAACAATTGTGCACGGGGCTGGGGGTGTGGAGCGCAACATGTTCCACTCACAGAACTCTGTCACTTCAGTGAGATAAGAGTCACAGGCTTTAGCTGAGGTAAGAGTAGGCTTGAATCGCCAAAGGCAGAGAATTCTTGAGAAGATGAGGAAGCTGTTTTATCAGAATAACACAGCAGCATGCAGAGTGGAAATCCCACAGAAGCATGACGGTGTCAACCGATGGGAAGGAGCGAGGCTTCTGGAGGCTCTGACATGGAAGCTGAGTCTTCAAGGATGGTCCAAGGTTATGAATTCATTTCAAAGTGGGAAGCAGTATTAAAGTGTGAAGAGACCAAGAAGAAGTGATCACATGCTACAACATGGCCATTTACAAGTGACAATAATCACATTCAATAATTTCTGTTTTAAGCAAATTGCCTTTGAATGATACTAAAACAGAGATTGGCTGTAGTGTAACATGTCCAGACCTCCCCTAACAGGCCAGTGGGCTGCCTTGCACACACATCTGGTCAGCATCTGGAGCGCACACAGGAGAAAATTCATCATATTTGCTCTGCATGTTAAACTCGGGGGCAGCCAGAGAAGTTCTTGTTCATTTCAAATCAGGCAAATTTGCTCAATTTGGGAACAGGGTATATATAAGGCCTTAAATGCAAGTCCCATTTCCAGTTTCTGTGGAGTCTAGTATAAGCTCCTGGAGGATAATTTCACCTTCAAACCAGCTCAGCCTTTGTTCCTTCTGGAATGGTACAAGAAGAGTCAATGTCTAGGAGAGCAGAGCTAAGATTTCAGAGTAGGGATTCACAATTCTGTGTTCTTAAATTTGTATTTACATTTCAGAGTGTCTGGCAAATCAACATTTTTTAAAGGCAACATGTTGACTCTAGTTATTAAAAGATTTGTTCAAGAACATTCATATTTTAGGCTTTAAGATATCTTTTGGAAATATCCAATTAAGTTCACTGGAAGTTGTAAAAGAAATGCACACCTTTAGGGGGAGGTGGTTTTCAGGTAACACGCCTGTTTTGCAATGTGAAAAGAAATGGAAATGTTTAAGGAGAGATGAGTTTAGAATTGTCTTTGCCTTGTACCTCATATCAAAATAAATCCTAGGCTCCTCCCTTTAGATAGTGTTTTCCCTAGAGGAAGATTATTGTTTCCTTCTTACAATAAACTGGTTTTCAGTCTTTTTAAATTTTTATTTATTTATTTATTTATTTTGAGACAGAGTTTCACTCTTCTTGCCCAGGCTGGAGTGCAATGGCGCAATCTCGGCTCACTGCAACCTCCGCCTCCTGGGTTCAAGCAATTATTGTGCATCAGCCTCCCGGGTAGCTGGGATTACAGGCATGCGCCACCACGCCCAGCTAATTTTATATTTTTAGTAGAGACGGGATTTCTCCATGTTGGTCAGGCTGGTCTCTAACTCCCGACCTCAGGTGATCCGCCTGCCTCGGCCTCCTAAAGTGCTGGGATTACAGGTGTGAGCCACCGAGCCTGGCCTTTTGGTTTTCAGTCTTTAAAAACAAAAACACAGATAGAGGTAATAATGACCTCAGGCTTTGTAGAACTCCCACTGTAAAATGTCTGTAATAAATCAATTAAAACTATACACAGGGTGCAGATGCCAGGTGCCTCTGATTAGCCGATGCTAACGGGTTGGAAGTATTATTAATAACTGGCAGGTCAGAATTTCTGGGATTGGAAGGAAGTAGTAACTGGTAACTAGTGTTAGTCTCTGGAGATGCACACATCACCGCTTGAGACCCCTTTCACCAACTGTTCGAACAAAAGAGAGAACAGATCACCTTTCTTCAAACTTTGTTTTAGTTTTATTGAATATTACAACAAATTAAAATAAATACAGCAAACTAAAATAAAAACACTGAATTTTTCCATGAGTGCAGATGGTGAAGCTGAATCCAGAGAGCTTAGCCTCTTTCACCTAGGAGTCCTCAGAGGATGAGAGGCAGGGTCACATGGGATGAGAATGGGAATCTTTATATTCTAAAGTGGTCTTAGACCTCTGGACAGATGGCGTCCCAGGAAATAAACCCAATTTGATTTTGACAAATATCGTTGTTTTACATCTTCTGAAACCTGGAACATTAAAAAGCTTTGTGCTCCTTTTGATTTCTGGCAAAGAGAAACTGGTTTGGCTAAAGAGCTCTTTTGGAGGGCATTGGCATGTTCATATGTAGAGGATTTGCCTTTTAGCCCAAGCTAAATAAAAAATCAGACAATTATGGCTTTGGAGTTCTCTTCCAAGAGGCAAATCAATATTTTTTTAAAGGCAACATGTAGGCTTTAGTTATTAAAAGATTTGTTCAAGAACATTCATATTCCATAACCTCATGTCAGAAAAATTCAAGCAGTAAGACATCTAAAGAGTGGGTTTTTGCAGCTTTACCCTTTTCCTTGGTAGCACTTCATAAAAAGTGACAATCTAAATATCCTTTGGCTTTTTTGCATTGACTTCTAACTCTTACCTTCTAGTGGTTTCTCTCTTTCGATGGGCACTCATGTATACTTTTTTCTTCTCTATATTCAAGAGTATTTGAAACCTGCTTTCATTGTGAGAGACATCACCACTCTACAGAAATAAAATATCTGAATGATTTTTCACAGATACAGTACATAAGACCAAATAGTCACAATACTTGTCTTGATATTCTGCACATCACACAAAAATACGGATGCTATAAATTTCCTTGATTTGGTAACCATAATTCCAAGGAAACATTAAATTTTATTTTAAGGACCAATAAGCTAAATTTGTCACAAAATAAGGTTTCACTTTTATAAACTAAAAACCATTGGGGGTAAAGAGATAGCTTAAAGCTATCTTAAAAAAAGCATTTCTTTGCATTTAGAAGTGGGGGATGGCTAGGATGTGAAGGGAGAGATGGGGCCAAAATACCTTTAGAGGCTTTTACTTAACACTTGTAAATCTTGGAGTGTATTCTACTAGGGATAAAATAGATAATTTCTTCTAATTTAAAGATAGAATAATCTATTTGTATGTACAATCGAGTATGTTATGGAATTTTTAGTCGTTTGGCCAAATGAGAAATACAATTAAACTTTCCCTTGAGGGGGGAGATTTTTGTTTGGGAAAAGGGAAAGGGCAAAGAGAAGTCATACTATTTTACTTACAGTAAACCAGTTATAAAATTAAAGAAAGATTATTTTCTTGCTTGTGGGGAGAGTTGTAAGAGAATAATACATTTCTAACTTTCTCTAAATACAGGGACACGTCAACTTTTTGCTGTTTTCGTGCCAAGTCAAAGCCAACTCCCATAGAGGCAACATTGCATAAGGAGATGAAATATTTTCTACTAAAAGAAAAACACTTTGAGTGTTTCCATATTTTGTTGTTGTAGAATGCTTTTCCTTTTAAAAAGGCTGTTTTTCTCGGTTGTTTAGCCAAACTTCCAAGCAGGCACATCTAGCATCAATGAAAGAAAAATCTTTTTTAAAAAACTGAAAGGTTTAGCCAAACTGAATATCCTGATTTTTGATAAGGAAGTCCCAGTAAGGATAGCTTCGTGTTTTGCAGACAATTTCTCACTTTCATGTTTCTGTTGGAGGTCGAACGGGGCTGCTGCCTGCGTAGCACCGCGGGGGCTGTGAAGAAGCATGGCCTTAGCATTCTTTGGGAGATTCCCTGGTGTTGGGAATTCTTTAGGCAACGATATTACAATCCTGACTTTTGAACTACGCATCTGGCAGAGGATTTTCAACTCTTTTCTCACCCAGAGAAACCTGAGATAGTGAAAGAAACTGCAGCAATGTCAAAAAGGATGAAAAGGATTGACAATAACGTTGTATTTTTAGAAAGCATTTATTTGAGCTTTACACTCCTGAAAACATATAAAGATAGCCTCTCTATCCTTTTTGTTTAAACTGAAGAATAAAAACAATTTCTAATAACTACTGCTGATACCTACTCTCAGAATACACTCATTAGAAAAAGGAGAAATCGGCCGGGCATGGTGGCTCACGCCTGTAATCCCAGCACTTTGGGAGGCCAAGGCGGGTGGATCACGAGGTGAGGAGATGGAGACCATCCTGCCTAACATGGTGAAACCCCGTCTCTACTAAAAAATACAAAAAATTAGCCGGGCGTGGTGGCAGGCGCCTGTAGTCCCAGCTACTCGGGAGGCTGAGGCAGGAGAATGGCGTGAACCCGGGAGGTGGAGCTTGCAGTTAGGTGAGATGGTGCCACTGCACTCCAGCCTGGGCGACAGAGCAAGACTCTGTCTCAAAAAAAGAAAAAAATAAAAAGAAAAAGCAGAAATATTTTTAAAACAACATCATGTTAAAGTTTACTGTCTCGTTCAAATAAGAATGACACTATTTTAATATACTCACAAGTGGTTTAATCAGTTTAACATTTATAAATAAAATAAATAAATGTAAATGAATAAGTAAATAAATTCCATGAGAGTATGTACTTAATCTACTTTATTTACTGATGTAGCCTCGGGACTTGGAACAGTATCTGGCACATGGTAAGCTTTCAATAAGTATTTTTGTATATAAAGAAATAAATGAATATTGAGATTGGTCTTGCATAAAAAGAGAAGATTTGCAGGCCCCAAACTATTTTATTTTTCACATTGCTAGCTTAGTCTTAATAAATCTAGTGCATTAGTGTGTTATTGTTGTTGTATTTTATCCAATAAATGGCCTTCCTTTCTGCTCTTCCTTCTTCACCATTTTTCTGTTCTACTTTGATGTTATATGATGATTTTTCCCCAGACTATGCCAATACTCACAGTGGACAGGAATCTATGACTTGCGTAAGCCAATTTCTGTGGTTTTCTTTTGTTTTTTCCTTTCTAGTTTCCAATCAAGTGATGGCTCTACTGAGACATTTTTATATTTCTCAGTTTGTCACCATTTTCATTTTAATCTGTTTTTCTACTTCTGTCAATTATTCTTAGCTTTGTTTTTCCATTTTCCTCCAATTTTCATTAGCTCAAATAAATATCACTAATATTCAATCTTGTTACCTTTGTTTCAGGGTATACGTGAGGATTTCTCCAAAGTAAAAAGTACTTTCTTCCTTTTCTTCTTGACTTAAATGGTAGTTTATTGTTTTGCATATGACCAATAGTTTAAGCTCTTTTTCATCTCTCTTTGTTCAAATTTGCAATTGTTGTTTACATTCGCAAACGTTGTTTAAAAGTGTTTGTGTTGCTCTTCATAACTTTCTTCTTATACGACATTTCTTTATATACAAAAAGCTTTATTGAGATACAATTTACATAAAATAAACTGACTGTATCTAAACTGTGTAATTTGATGAGTTTTTTGAAAACAACCAGAATAATAAACATATTCATCATCTTTAAAAGTTGTCTGGTGACCTCTGCAAACTCTTAGCTGGGGCCCTCTGAACACTTCCAACCTGGTCCCTAGGTAACCACTGATCTGCTTTCTGTCACTATAAATTAGTTTGCATTTACTATAATTTTATATTAATACAAATGAAATAATACAGTCTGTACTCTTTTGTTCTTTAGCTTTTTTCACCCAGCATAGTTTTTTTGAGATTCATCTTTGTGTGTATGTGTGTGTATGTGTGTGTGTGTGTGTGTGTGTGTGTGTGTGTGTGGTGTGTGTATAATTCAGTCCTTTTTATTCCTGAATAGCATCCCATTGCAGAGATGAACCATAATTTGCTTATATACTTATCTATTAATGGACATTTTGGTTGTTTCCAGGTTTTAGCTAATATAAATAATGCTATTATGAACATTCGTGTACAAGTCTTTGCCTGGATAGGTGCTTCTGTTTTTCTTGGTTAAGTACCAGGGAGTAGAATGACTGAGTCATATATATGTGTACACGAATATCTGCATATATATATATATATAAAATATGTATACACACATATGTATATACATATACATACATATACAAATATATGTATATACATATACATACATATACATATACACATATGTATATACATATACACACATATGCATATACGCATACCCGTATATACATACACACACATATGCATATACGCATACCTGTATATACATACACACACATATGCATATACGCATACCCGTATATACATACACACACATATGCATATACGCATACCTGTATATACATACACACACATATGCATATACGCATACCCGTAGGTACATACACACATATGCATATACGCATAGCCGTATGTACATATACACACATATGCATATACGCATACCCGTATGTACAGATACACACATATGCATATACGCATACCCGTATGTACAGATACACACATATGCATATACGCATACCCGTATGTACAGATACACACATATGCATATACGCATACCCGTATGTACAGATACACACATATGCATATACGCATACCCGTATGTACATATACACAGATATGCATATACGCATACCCGTATGTACATATACACACATATGCATATACGCATACCCGTATATATATACACACATGCATATATGCATACCCGTATATACATATACACACACATGCATATGCGCATACCCGTATATACATATACACACACATGCATATACGCATACCCGTATATGTATATACACACATATGTATATACGCATACCCGTGTATGTATATACACACATATGTATATACGCATACCCGTGTATGTATATACACACATATGTATATACGCATACCCGTGTATGTATATACACACATATGTATATACGCATACCCGTGTATGTATATACACACATATGCGTATACGCATACACGTGTATGTATATACACACATATGCGTATATGCATACACATATATGTATATACACATACACATATATGTATATACGCACACACATATATGTATATAAATATACATATATGTATAGATTTTTTTATGAAACTGCCAAGTGTTTTCAAAAGTGCTTGTAAAAGTTTACATTTTTCTCAGTTGTATTTCAAAGCCCCATGTCTTCCATTTTCTCAGCAACATTGGTGTAATTAGTATCTTTCTAACTTTAGTCACTCCACTGGGGGGTGTAGTGGTGTCTCACTGTGGTTTTAATTTGCATTTCCCAAACAACTAATGATGTTGAACATCTTTTCATGTGCTTATTTGGCATCCATATATTTCTTTGGTGAAGTGTCTGTTCAAACCACCTGCCCATTTTTTTTATTAGATCATTGGTTCTTATTATTTTGAAAAGTTCTTTATGAATTCTGAAAATAAGTCTCTTATTGGATGAAAAGTTTGCAAATGAATTCTCCCTGTTGTTTCAGTTCCTTAACAGAAACTTTTAAAGAGCAGATTTTCTTCACTATAATGAAGTTCAATTTATCAGGCTTTTCTTTTATGGATTATGCTTTTGGTATTTTAAAGAAAATCCTAAAGAATCCAGAAAGAAACTATTAGAATAAATAAATGAATTCAGCAAAATTGCAGGATACGAGATCAACACACAAAAAACAGTTATATTTCTAGACATTAGCAATAAATAATCCAAAAATGAAATTAAGAAAACAATTCCATTTACAATAACATCCAAAAGAATAAGATGACTAATAATAAATTTAAGGGGCTGGCAGCCAAGATGGCCAAATAGGAACAGCTCCGGTCTACCACTCCCAGCATGAGCGACGCAGAAGATGGGTGATTTCTGCATTTCCATCTGAGGTACTGGGTTCTCACTAGGGAGTGCCAGACAGTGGGCGCAGAATAGTGGGTGCAGCGCACTGTGCATGAGCCAAAGCAGGGTGAGGCATTGCCTCACTTGGGAAGTGCAAGGGGTCAGGGATCTTCCCTTTCCTAGTCAAAGAAAGGGGTGACAGACGGCATCTGGAAAATTGGGTCACTCCCACCTGAATACTACCCTATTCCAACGGGCTTAAAAAACGGCGCACCAGGAGATTATATCCTGCACATGGCTCGGAGGGTCCTACGCCCACGGAGTCTTGCTGATTGCTAGCACAGCAGTCTGAGATCAAACTGCAAGGTGGCAGTGAGGCTGGGGGAGGGGCGCCCGCCATTGCCCAGGCTTGCTTAGGTAAACAAAGCAGCCGGGAAGCTCCAACTGGGTGGAGCCCACCACAGCTCAAGGAGGCCTGCCTGCCTCTGTAGGCTCCACCTCTGGGGGCAGGGCACAGACAAACAAAAAGACAGCAGTAACCTCTGCAGACTTAAATGTCCCTGTCTGACAGCTTTGAAGAGAGCAGTGGTTCTCCCAGCACGCAGCTGGAGATCTGAGAACGGGCAGACTGCCTCCTCAAGTGGGTCCCTGACCCCTGACCCCCGAGCAGCCTAACTGAGAGGCACCCCCCAGTAGGGGCAGACTGACACCTCACATGTCTGGGTACTCCTCTGAGACAAAACTTCCAGAGGAACGATCAGACAGCAGCATTCGCGGTTCATGAAAATCCGCTGTTCTGCAGCCACCGCTGCGGATACCCAGGCAAACAGGGTATGGAGTGGACCTCTAGCAAACTCCAACAGACCTGCAGCTGAGGGTCCTGTCTGTTAGAAGGAAAACTAACAAACAGAAAGGACATCCACACCAAAAACCCTTCTGTACATCACCATCATCAAAGACCAAAAGTAGATAAAACTACAAAGATGGGGAAAAAACAGAGGAGAAAAATTGGAAACTCTAAAAAGCAGAGTGCCTCTCCTCCTCCAAAGGAACACAGTTCCTCACCAGCAATGGAACAAAGGTGGACGGAGAATGACTTTGACGAGCTGAGAGAAGAAAGCTTCAGACGATCAAACTACTCCAAGCTACAGGAGGAAACTCAAACCAAAGGCAAAGAAGTTAAAAACTTTGAAAAAAATTTAGATGAATGTATAACTAGAATAACCAATACAGGGAAGTGTTTAAAGGAACTGATAGAGCTGAAAGCCAAGGCTCGAGAACTGCATGAAGAATGCAGAAGCCTCAGTAGCCGATGCGATCAACTGGAAGAAAGGGTATCAGTGATGGAAGATGAAATGAATGAAATGAAGTGAGAAGGGAAGTTTAGAGAAAAAAGAATAAAAAGAAACAAACAAAGCCTCCAAGAAATATGGGACTATGTGAAAAGACCAAATCTACATGATTGGTGTACCTGAAAGTGACGGGGAGAATGGAACCAAGTTGGAAAACACTCTGCAGGATATTATCCAGGAGAACTTCCCCAATCTAGGAAGGCAGGCCAACATTCAGATTTAGGAAATATAGAGAACGCCACAAAGATACTCTTCGAGGACAGCAACTCCAAGACACATAATTGTCAGATTCACCAAAGTTGAAATGAAGGAAAAAATGTTAAGGGCAGCCAGAGAGAAAGGTCGGGTTATCCACAAGGGAAGCCCATCAGACTAACAGCAGATCTCTCGGCAGAAACTCTACAAGCCAGAAGAGAGTGGGGACCAATATTCAGCATTCTTAAAGAAAAGAATTTTCAACCCTGAATTTCATATCCAGCCAAACTAAGCTTCATAAGTGAAGGAGAAATAAAATACTTTACAGACAAGCAAATGCTGAGAGATTTTGTCACCACCAGGAAACCCATCTCATGTGCAGAGACACACATAGGCTCAAAATAAAAGGATAGAGGAAGATCTACCAAGCAAATGGAAAGCAAAAAAAAGGCAAGGGTTGCAATCCTAGTCTCTGATAAAACAGACTTTAAACCAACAAAGATCAAAAGAGACAAAGAAGGCCATTACATAATGGTAAAGGCATCAATTCAACAAGAAGAGCTAACTATCCTAAATATATAAGCACCCAATACAGGAGCACCCAGATTCATAAAGCAAGTCCTGAGTGACCTACAAAGAGACTTAGACTCCCACACAATAATAATGGGAGACTTTAACACCCCACTGTCAACATTAGACAGATCAACGAGACAGAAAGTTAACAAGGATACCCAGGAATTGAACTCAGCTCTGCACCAAGTGGACCTAATAGACATCTACAGAACTCTCCATCCCAAATCAACAGAATATACATTTTTTTCAACACCACACCACACCTATTCCAAAATTGACCACATAGTTGGAAGTAAAGCTCTCCTCAGCAAATGTAAAAGAACAGAAATTATAACAAACTGTCTCTCAGACCACAGTGCAATCAAACTAGAACTCAGGATTAAGAATCTCACTCAAAACTGCTCAACTACATGGAAACTGAACAACCTGCTCCTATATGACTACTGGGTACATAATGAAATGAAGGCAGAAATAAAGATGTTCTTTGAAACCAATGAGAAAAAACACACAACATACCAGAATCTCTGGGACACATTCAAAGCAGTGTGTAGAGGGAAATTTATAGCACTAAATGCCCACAAGAGAAAGCAGGAAAGATCCAAAACTGACACCCTAACATCACAATTAAAAGAACTAGAAAAGCAAGAGCAAACACATTCAAAAGCTAGCAGAAGGCAAGAAATAACTAAAATCAGAGCAGAACTGAAGGAAATAGAGACACAAAAAACCCTTCAAAAAATTAATGAATCCAGGAGCTGGTTTTTTGAAAAGATCAACAAAATTGATAGACCGCTAGCGAGACTAATAAAGAAGAAAAGAGAGAAGAAACAAATAGACGCAATAAAAAATGATAAAGGGGATATCACCACCGATCCCACAGAAATACAAACTACCATCAGAGAATACTACAAATACCTCTATGCAAATAAACTAGAAAATCTAGAAGAAATGGATAAATTCCTTGACAAATACACCCTTCCAAGACTAAACCAGGAAGAAGTTGAATCTCTGAATAGACCAATAACAGGATCTGAAATTGTGGCAATAATCAATAGCTTACCAACCAAAAAGAGTCCAGGACCAGATGGATTCACAGCCAAATTCTACCAGAGGTACAAGGAGGAACTAGTACCATTCCTTCTGAAACTATTCCAATCAACAGAAAAAGAGGGAATCCTCCCTAACTCATTTTATGAGGCTAGCATCATCTTGATACCAAAGCCTGGCAGAGACACAACAAAAAAAGAGAATTTTAGACGAATATCCCTGATGAACATTGATGCAAAAATCCTCAATAAAATACTGGCAAACCGAATCCAGCAGCACATCAAAAAGGTTATCCACCATGATCAAGTGGGCTTCATCCCTGGGCTGCAAGGCTGGTTCAATATATGCAAATCAGTAAATGTAATCCAGCATATAAACAGAACCAAAGACAAAAACCACATGATTATCTCAATAGATGCAGAAAAGGCCTTTGACAAAATTCAACAACCCTTCATGCTAAAAACTCTCAATAAATTAGGTATTGATGGGACGTATCTCAAAATAATAAGAGCTATCTAAGACAAACCCACAGCCAATATCATACTGAATGGGAAAAAACTGGAAGCATTCCCTTTGAAAACTGGCACAAGACAGGGATGCCCTCTCTCACCACTCCTATTCAACATAGTGTTGGAAGTTCTGGCCAGGGCAATTAGGCAGCCAAAGGAAATAAAGGGTATTCAATTAGGAAAAGAGGAAGTCAAATTGTCCCTGTTTGCAGATGACAATATTGTATATCTAGAAAACCCCACTGTCTCAGCCCAAAATCTCCTTAAGCTGATAAGCAACTTCAGCAAAGTCTCAGGATACAAAATTGATGTACAAAAATCACAAGCATTCTTATACACCAACAACAGACAAACAGAGAGCCAAATCATGAGTGAACTCCCATTCACAATTGCTTCAAAGAGAATAAAATACCTAGGAATCCAACTTACAAGGGATGTGCAGGACCTCTTCAAGGAGAACTACAAACCACTGCTCAATGAAATAAAAGAGGATACAAACAAATGGAAGAACATTCCATGCTCACGGGTAGGAAGAATCAATATCGTGAAAATGGCCATACTGCCCAAGGTAATTTATAGATTCAATGCCAGCCCCATCAAACTACCAATGACTTTCTTCACAGAATTGGAAAAAACTACTTTAAAGTTCATATGGAACCAAAAAAGGGCCCGCATCACCAAGTCAATCCTAAGCCAAAAGAACAAAGCTGGAGGCATCAAGCTACCTGACTTCAAACTATATTACAAGGCTACAGTAACAAAAACAACATGGTACTGGTACCAAAACAGATAGCTACACCAATGGAACAGAACAGAGCCCTCGGAAATAATGCCACATATCTACAACTATCTGATCTTTGACAAACCTGACAAAAACAAGCAATGGGGAAATGATTCCCTATTTAATAAATGGTGCTGGGAAAACTGGCTAGCCATATGTAGAAAGCTGAAACTGGATCCCTTCCTTACACCTTATACAAAAATTAATTCAAGATGGATTAAAGACTTAAACATTAGACCTAAAACCATAAAAACCCTAGAAGAAAACCTAGGCAGTACCATTCAGGATACAGGCATGGGCAAGGACTTCATGTCTAAAACACCAAAAGCAATGGCAGCAAAAGCCAAAATTGACAAATGGGATCTAATTAAACTAAAGAGCTTCTGCACAGCAAAAGAAACTACCATCAGAGTGAACAGGCAACCTACAAAATGGGAGAAAATTTTCACAACCTACTCATCTGACAAAGGGCTAATATCCAGAATCTACAATGAACTCAAACAAATTTACAAGAAAAAAACAAACAACCCCATCAAAAAGTGGGCAAAGGACATGAACAGACACTTCTCAAAAGAAGACATTTATGCAGCCAAAAAACACATGAAAAAATTCTCACCATCACTGGCCATCAGAGAAATGCAAATCAAAACCACAATGAGATACCATCTCACACCAGTTAGAATGGCAATCATTAAAAAGTCAGGAAACCACAGGTGCTGGAGAGGATATGGAGAAATAGGAACACTTTTACACTGTTGGTGGGACTGTAAACTAGTTCAACCATTGTGGAAGTCAGTGTGGCGATTCCTCAGGGATCTAGAACTAGAAGTACCATTTGACCCAGCCATCCCATTACTGGGTATATACCCAAAGGACTATAAATCATGCTGCTATAAAGACACATGCACACGTATGTTTATTGCAGCATTGTTCACAATAGCAAAGACTTGGAACCAACCCAAATGTCCAACAATGATAGACTGGATTAAGAAAATGTGGCACATATACACCATGGAATACTATGCAGCCATAAAAAATGATGAGTTCATGTCCTTTGTAGGGACATGGATGAAATTGGAAATCATCATTCTCAGTAAACTATTGCAAGAACAAAAAACCAAACACCGCATTTTCTCACTCATAGGTGGGAATTGAACAATGAGAACACTTGGACACAGGAAGGGGAATATCACACTCTGGGGACGGTTGTGGGGTGGGGGGAGGGGGGAGGGACAGCATTAGGAGATATACCTAATGCTAAATGATGAGTTAATGGGTACAGCACGCCAGCATGGCACATGTATACATATGTAACTAACCTGCACATTGTGCACATGTACCCTAAAACTTAATGTATAATAATAATAAAATAAAAATTAAAAAAATAAATAAATAAATTTAATGAAGGAGGTGCAAGACTTGTACACTGAAAAGTATAAAACATTGCTAAAAGAAATTACTAAAGGCCTAAATAAAAAGATATTCTGTGTTTATGAAAGGGAGGACATAATATTGTTAAGATGACATTATTACCCAAAGTGATCTACAGATTCAATGCAATCCCTCTTAAAACTTTAATGAGCTTTTTTTTGAGAAATGGAGAAGGGGTTCCTCAAGTTCACATGAAATTGCAAAGGATCCCAAGTAAGCAAAATAACAGTGACAAAAAACAAAGTTGGAGGAATCACACTTCTTGATTTCAAAACTTAGTACAAAGCTACAGTAACCAAAACAATGTGATATTGGCATAAGGATAGATATATAGATGGAAGAAAATGTAGAATCTAGAAATAACTCCATACATCTATGGCTACTTGATTTTTCACAAGGGTGCCAATATCATTCAATGGGAAAAACAGTTTTTCCAACAAATGGTGCTGAAACAACTGGATCTCAACGTACAGTAGAATTAAGTTGGATCTCTACCTCATAAAATATACAAAAATTGACTGAAGTGTTGGTCAACAACCCAGAGTGAAAACTATAAACTGTAAAAATTTAGAGGAGTAAATCTTTATGACCTTGGGTTTAGCAAATTAATTTTTTAGATGTGATGCCAAAAGCATGAGCAACAACAACCACAAAATAGATAAATTGGACTTCATGAAAATTAGAAACTTTAGTGAGTCAAAGGATATTGTGAGCTTTGTTTTATAATGCATTTAAGTTATATGGAAATAGTTAGATCATTTAGAATCTTGTTTGTAACACTTGTTAGATAGAATCAAATCAGTAAGGCAAATTTTTTCACTGTTGAGACAAACTCCTTCGGAGTACTCTACTCATTGCCCCATGAATCAAAAGGTTTCCAGCCTTGCCACTGGGAAGAGTTACTATTCCTGTCCCTGTGTATGTTCAGCTCTTGTTTCTATTCTGATCCTTTCATGCAGTTCTTTCTGTGACATGAACTGGTCAATGCTGAATACTCAAGGAGATCCTTTGTAAATTTTTGAATTCTCTCTCATTGTGCAACTTTTTCACTTTGGGTACTCTGTCCATCAAACTCTTATGTCTGGTCTCCCTAGACTCCCAAATTTGTCTTCTCACCTAGGAAGTCTGCTAGGGTCTGCCTTGGTTACACCTACTTACTCTGTAGACTAGAAATTTGCCTACAGTTTTTGTTTTTAACAGTTTCATTGAAATATAATTCATTTACCACGCAATTTACCCATGTAATATTTATATTTCAATAGCTTTCAGCATATTCACAGAGTTGTGCAATCAGCCCCACACTTAATTTTAGACCATTTTCATCGCCTTAAAAAGATAACTCAGTGTTTTTTTCCAAATGAATGAGGAACTTTACATACATTGTGAGTCCTTTAAGCCAGACTTTTCTCCCCTACAATGTCGTTTTTATCATATTTCAAGTGAATATTTATGTGTAGATCTGTTTGTGAGTTCTTTGTCCTATTCCATCAATTTATTCTGGTGCCAACAGCACACTATTTTAATTGCTATAACTGGACTATAGGTCCTAATAGCGGCTTTAAGTAAGTAGTTAAGAAGTTTTCCACATTTATCCTACCAGCTTGCCTTGACCATTCTTGGCCCTTTGTATTTCCATATACATTTTAGTCAACTGATCAATTTATATAATATTTCTTATTTAGATATTTAACATTGTATTGAATTTATAGACATTTGGATGTTTAAAGAATTGACATTTTTTACAATATTGATTTCTAATCCATTTAGCTTAGAAACTGTTGCAGTTTTCAGTGTACAGAACTTATATGTTTTTAGGTTTATTCTTTGGTATCTGATGTTTCACATTATTGTAAACTGTTTCTTTTTGTATTGTTTTCATATTCAGCTTATATTCAATGACTTGGAAATACTTATTAATTTTAATAGTTTAGCTACAGATCATTTTAGATTCTCTAGATATGCAACCATGTTATCTGTAAATAAATTTAATGCTTATGCCCTTCATTTCTTTTTCTTGCTTTATTGCACAGGCAAAGATCCCTTATAAAACATTGAAGTGATCATATTGGGTATTTGTTTTTTAATTCCTAAATCCATGATCATTAAATTTAACATTTTCTGTGAAACATTCAAATAAATGCTGTTTATTTTTAGTTTTCCTCAATTCCTTGCTTGCTAAGAGTTTTTGTCACAAAGTATTATTGAATTTTATCCAACATTTTTCTACATCTATTAAGATTATTATGTTTTTATCTTTTTAAAAGTTAATGTGGTAAATGGCATTAATTAATTTTTGAGTAATAAATCTCTCTTGCATTCCTACAACCACCATGTAGTCCTTATATACTATCCCTGGTATACAATTCTGAATTTGATTTGTTAGTATGTCGTTTGGCATTTTGGCATCTATAGTAATGAGAGAGATTAGTCTGTAATTTTCATGTCATATAGGAACTTTGTTAGGATTTAGAAACAAGATTGCAATGGCCTTATAAAAAATTATGAAGTTCTTCCTCTTTTTCTATTATCTGAAGAAAGTTATGTAATTTTGTTATTATTTCTTTTTTAAAGGTTTGGTGAAATCATCAGGGAAGCAATCTTTTTTTTTATTATTATACTTTAAGTTTTAGGGTACATGTGCACATTGTGCAGGTTAGTTACATATGTATACATGTGCCATGCTGCTGCACTGCACCCACTAACTCGTCATCTAGCATTAGGTATATCTCCCAATGCTATCCCTCCCCCCTCCCCCCACCCCACAACAGTCCCCAGAGTGTGATATTCCCCTTCCTGTGTCCATGTGATCTCATTGTTCAATTCCCACCTATGAGTGAGAATATGCGGTGTTTGGTTTTTTGTTCTTGCGATAGTTTACTGAGAATGATGTTTTCCAATTTCATCCATGTCCCTACAAAGGACATGAACTCATCATTTTTTATGGCTGCATAGTATTCCATGGTGTATATGTGCCACATTTTCTTAATCCAGTCTATCATTGTTGGACATTTGGGTTGGTATATACCCAAAGGACTATAAATCATGCTGCTATAAAGACACATGCACACGTTTGTTTATTGTGGCATTATTCACAATAGCAAAGACAGGGAAGCAATCTTAACCTGAGTTTTGTTTATATGTGTGGATGGTCAGAGGGTGGGTTCAATAATGGATTCAATAACAATTTAATTGTCCATTTTAAACTAACCAAAACAGTATAATTGGATTTTTTGTAATACAATGGATGGATGCTTGAGGTAATGGATAACCCATCTCCATGATACGATTATTACACATTGCATGTCTGTATCAAAATATCACAGGTATTTCATAAATATATATATCTACTATGTACCCACAAAAATTAAAAGTAAAACATTTTTAAAAATGGATTCAATTTTCTTAATGGATATTAAACTTTTAGGATTTTCTCTTTATTCTATCAGTTTGATAAGTTGTGTTAATTTGTTTTCTATTTTATTCAAATTGTCATATGTAAAGCTGTTTATACTACTCTTTAATGTTATTTTTAATATCTATTGGACCTATATTGATTTCATTTTTTTCTTTGTAATTTGTGTACTTTTTCTTTTCTTATTTTGCTAGGATTTATCAATGTTATTACTTTAAGAATAAATTTAGTTGGGAGCTTTGTTGATTTTTCTCTAATGCATGCTATTTTTTCTATTTTATTGATAGCTGAAATAATTATTATTTCCACTCCCTTTTTTTAGCTTCAATGCTTAGTTTGCTTGCTTGTTTTTAGATTCTTGAAATGGAGGCTTAGATGATTTACTTTTAGTCTTGCTTCATTTTTAACACAAATATTTTAAAGCCATGAATTTCTAAGTATTGTTTTGGCTGTATTCTTTTTTGAAATATTGCATTTTTATTATTATTAAGTTCAAAATATTATTTTCTTCATGTTTCTTCCTTGATCCATAGATTATTTAGAAGTATTGTTTAATTTTTTTTTGCCTTTTGTAAGTTTTTTTTTTTGAGATGGAGTTTCACTCTTGTCGTCCAGGCTGGAGTGCAATGCCGCAATCTCAGCTCAGGGCAACCTCCGTCTTCTAGGTTCAAGCGATTCTCCTGCCTCAGCCTCCCAAGTAGCTGGGATTACAGGCACCTACCACCAGGACCAGCTAATTTTTGTGTTTTTAGTAGAGACAGGGTTCTACCACGTTGGCCAGGCTGGTCTCGAACTCCTGACCTCAGGTGATCCACCCGCCTTGGCCTCCCAAAGTGCTGGGATTACAGGTGTGAGCCACCGCGCCTGGCCAACCTTTTAGTTTTTGTTGTTTCCAGCTTAATTCCACCAGTCGTAACATACTCTGAATGGCTTCAATTCTTTGAAATTTGTTGAGGCTTTCTTTACAGCTTGGTATGCAGAAACTGCTAAGGGAGTAAAAATTCACACTGTGGAGTCAGAGAAGGCATCTGAAATTCATAAGTGTCTGAGATATGAAAAGAATTTCTACAAATGAATAAAGAAAAGGCAACATCTTAGAAAACTTTCATTGTCAAATTTGATATGTGTAAATGATTCTTCCTTCCTGACTATATTTCCTCATTCTTTATAAAAAATTTCTGAATCTTCTCCCACACTGACCTTTTCCTGGCTCATATTCCTGTATCAAGTGGAAGAAACTCCAAGGTCTCCACCTTGGTTACACTATTGTGTAACTTGCTCTATTTACTTTCACAGCTTCAATTTTTACCTATATTAATAATTTCTAAATCCGTAATTCCAACCCCATTTTCCTCTTGAGTTTCAGGAATATATTTCCAATTTGAAGTACCTCAAACTCAACACTCACAAACCAAAGTTCATTATCTTTCCTCTCCATATGTGAGCCTCCTAGTGAGTTTTCTATTTTAGTTAATAAAGATAAATTCATCCTTATGTTAATTTACGGCATAATTTTTCCTTTTTGACAGCATGCATCACAACTTAAATTTTTTCATTACTTTCCTGATTATTGATCATCTGTCTCTTTGACTACTCTGCAAGCTTGGTGAAGTCATAAATCATGCCTGTTTGTGATGAACATTTATGTGTCCTAAGCATCAACTGCAGCCTCAGTTACATAGTGGGTCTTTAATAAGTATTTGTTGAATAAATGTGTGTGTAATATATGCTTCTTCTCTATTCCATCTAAAGACATGTCTATAGGTCCATTACCTAGAGCAGCGGTCCGCAACGTTTTTGGCACCAGGGACTGGTTTCATGGAAGAAAATATTTCCATGGATGGGACGGGGCTGGGGGTGGACATTTTCAGGATGATTCAAGCGCATTATATTTATTATTCACTTTATTTCTATTATTATTGCATTGTATTGTAATATATCATGAAATAATCATACAACTCACCATAATGTAGAATCAGTGGAAACCCTAAGCTTGTTTTCCTGCAACCAGACAGTCCCATCCGGGGGTGATGAGAGACAGTGACAGATCATCAAGCATTAGATTCTCAAAAGGAGTGTGCAACCTAGATCCCTCGCATGTGCAGTTCACCATATGGTTCACACTTCTGTGAGAATCTAATGCCCTCACTGATCTAACAGGAGGCAGAGCTCAGATGGTAATGCTTGCTGACTGCCACTCACCTCCTGCTGTGTGGCCCAGTTCCTAACAGGCCACAGACCGGTACCAGTCCATGGTCTGGGGGTTGGGCGCTCCTGATCTAGAGTGTAAATTTCAGACCTATTACATATACTGCCTTCAGAGAATTCAACCTAATAAGTTTTCTAGATTCAACTCTTTTTTTTTTTTTTTTTTTTTTTGAGACGGAGTCTCACTGTGTCACCCAAGCTGGAGTGCAGTGATGGGATTTCAGCTCACTGCAACCTCCACCTCCTGGGTTCAAGCAATTCTCAATTCTCAGCCTCCCAAGTAGCTGGGACTACAGGCATGAGCCACCATGCCCAGCTAATTTTTTGTATTTTTAGTAGAGACGGGGTTTCACCATGTTGGCCAGGATGGTCTTGAACTCCTGACTTCAGGTGATCTGCCTGCCTTGGCCTCCCAAAGTGCTTGGATTACAGGTGTGAGCCACCACGCCCGGCCAAGATTCAACTCTTTTTCACCCTTCCTATACACATGCCTTTTACCTGTGCAGTTTCCCAAATGGACTTATCCTTTGCTTTTCTTTTATTGCTTCCATTTTCTGGAATACTTTTCCATCTTGTCTCTCTAGCAAACATCTGCTTTTCCTTTAAACCAGACTTCAGTGTTACCATATATCCTAAACTTCTGTGACCCTACCTTGAATAACTAATCATTTCTTATTGCTTTATTCTATACAGCTGGCCACAATAAACTATATTGGTTTCATTTATCTATAAGTACATAAGAAATCACTCTAAACATTGAGTGGTTAAAACAACAATTTTGTGATTTCTCCTGGTCCTATGGGCTTACAGTACTCAGCAGCATGGTTCTTCTGCCCTCTCTCTCTGCTTTTCAGGAAGTATTAGCTACTAATGTTTACTAGAGAATATATAGACATAGACATAGACATAGATATAGATATAGATATAGGATTGTTTCAAGTTTAATCCGTACTTTTTTAATGTTTCTGTTTCTTTCCTATTTAGAAGAATACTTTGTTTTCTCATGTAGTGTTAAGGTTCAAATATTTTCATAGTAGCATTGCAGAGGGTCTTCAAGGACAAATAAGATCTTCAAGTGAAAGGTATGATCATAGCTGTGTTGATAAAAATTGGGAAATAAGAATAATATAAGAATTTATGTTTTCAAAATGCCAGACATATATATTTTATTAAAGAGTCCTCAAGAAGTCAGACAGATTGTCACCAACAACCTAAGCCATATGCAGTGCAGCCTACCCACATGGATATTGCAGAAACATGAGAACCTGCACTCTTACTCCCAGCTTTCAACCCCACTCCAGATGATTTTGATCTGATAAGTCAGCATACAAAACTGCCATTTTGGCCGGGCGTGGTGGCTCATGCCTATAATCCCAGCACTTTGGGAGGCTGAGGCAGGCGGATCACCTGAGGTCAGGAGTTTGGGATCAGCCTGGCCAAGATGGTGAAACCTCGTCTCTACTAAAAAAAAAAAAAATACAAAAATTAGCCGGGCATGGTGGCAGGCACCTATAATTCCAGCTACTTGGGAGGTTGAGGCAGGAGAATCGGCAGGAGGCAGAGGTTGCAGTGAGCCAATATCATGCCACTGCACTCCAGCCTGGGCAACAAAGAGCAAAACTTCATTTCAAAAAAACCAAAAAACAAAAAACAAAAGAACAAAAAAACCCTGCCATTTCACAGATGTCCAGCATCATTGGAGATATAATCAGAATTATATTTATACTTCATAATATTTACAGTTTTCAACAAAATATTACAAGATTTGTTTTAAGCTATAATTTTAATGTTGAAGAACTAAGTTTTCATCACAGCTTAGAGTCCTTATGAAAGCCAAGATCAGAATTGCAATATCACTTTGCACACTGGCTACTGAGCCAATGATATTGAATTGGTGTCAAAATGAGGTGAAAAATTAAAAGGCACCCACTATTCTAATAACAAAAGCCTTACCCTTTAAAATGGACTAAAAATTATGGAAAGAATAAACATTTAATTATTACAACATGCAATGAAAGAACAACTTTATTCTAAATCAGGGATAGGCTTTTTTTTTTCTGTAAAGGCCAGATAGTAGTACCCTCAGCTCTGCCAGCCCTGCAGTCTCTGTCACAATCACTCAGTTCTGTCATTGTAGCACAAACCAAAGACTATGCCCAAACAAATGGGCATGCTGTGTTCCAATACCACTATTGTTTTTCCTTTTTTCATAAAAACTGCCAGCGGGCTAGATTTGGCCTAGGGACTGTAGTTTGCCACCTTCTGTTTTAGGTTATAGCAAGCCTTAATTGTTAGCAAAAGCAGATCAAGAAAAGATGAAATATTAAGCATTTACCTTCTATGAAGGAACAAAATTTAATAGCAATTTGCAACAATGGCAGAGTTTCCAAACTTCTAGAAATAATAGCAATTTAAAATGTCAGCCTTTAAATGTCGATCTAGATCTGCATCATTCAATATGGTAGCCACTAGCCACATGTTGCTATTTACATTGAAATATAAATTAACTAAAATTAAATAAAATGTTATATTGAGTTCCACAGGCACATTCACTACATCTCAAGTGGCTTGTATTGGACAGCACAGAACATAAAGCATCTCCATCACAGTAGGAGTTTTATTGGACAGCATTGTTCTAGATGCAGAGAACTTAGATGCAGAGAAAAACAAAAAGAAAAACAGAACAAAACAAAAAAACAGAACAAACTGAAGCTACAAACCACAGGGCAGTTCAGAGGGAGCGCCAGCAGCAGAGCTAAATTTGATAAAGCCAACAAATAAAAGAAAATATAGTTCTGGAAATGCAACATGTAATAAGACCAGATAGAAGCCATCCCAGTTAGATGCAACATTATTTAAGGAGACTTCTGATGCCACTGAACTCATTTAATGATTTTCATTGACCATCCATCCTTGATGTTATCAGAAAAAATAAACAAGAGACCAGGCGTGGTGGTTCACAACTGTAATCCCAGAGCTTTGGGAGGCCAAAGCAGGTGGATCATGAGGTCAGGAGTTCAAGAAAAGCCTGCCCAGCATGGTGAAACCTGTCTCTACTAAAAATACAAAAATTAGCCGGGTGTGATGGCAGGCACCTGTAATCTCAGCTACTCAGGAGGCTGAGGCAGGAGAATCACTTGAACCCAGACAGCAGAGGTTGCGGTGAGCTGAGACTGCGCCAGTGCACTCCAGCCTGGGTGACAGAGTGAGACTCCATCTCAAAAAAGAAAAGAAAAGGGAAGGGAGGGGAAGGGAGGGGAGGGGAGGGGAGGGGAGGGGAGGGGAGGGGAGGGGAGGGGAGGGGAGGGGAGGGGAGGGGAGGGGAGGGGAGGAAGGGAAGATAAACAAGAGAGAGTTTTGTCTTGAAGAATCCTTGTAATAGGAGAGAGAATGCCAAACTCCTGTCTCCCTTTCTCTCTTTCTCCCTCTCTCCTTTCTTCCCTCCTTTTTAGATAAACTGCCTAATTCCAGAAAGTATTCATAATAGCTTATAAATAAATAATATGCTCATTATCTGCCCCTGGATTTAAGTTTGGGAATAGTTCTAAAATTAATTTTAGAAATAATGCACCCAGTCCAAAGTATGATTATGATAAATGAATAATTACCTATTTTCCAGAACAGATCATATAGACTAGCTCATTCATTCATTTCATATAACATTACTAAATGTCTGTAATGCATCAGGTGCATGTTGAATCTTAGATGCAGAAATGATTGGAGGTAATATTCAAAACATTTAACAATCAGTATGAAGAAGCCACTGGCCATTCAGAAATGCTTCTCAACAAATCAGAATGTCTGTCAGCCTATGTGTCACTCCAGTGTAGATATCAGCCCTGCTAGTGGTTCCTAAACTAGAGATGTTAAAAGTAAAAAATTGCTTAGTAATGCAACATCTTCGGAGTAACTAACTGAGGTTCCTTCTCTTGGTACAGGTCTTAAGTTCCTAAGGCTGCTATAACAAAACTACCACAAACAGGGCAACTGAAAACTGCATACATTTATTCTCTTACAGTTCTGGAGACCAGAAATCTGGAACCCACAAACTTTTTAAAGCCTCTAGGGAAGAGTCCTTTCCTGCCTCTTTTACTTTCTGGTGGCTGTAAGCATTCTTCACTTGTGGTTGCATCACTACAATCCCTACCTCTGTCTTCACGTGTGTGTTCTCTTCTGTCTGTTATAAGTACATTTGCCGTTGGGTTTAGGGCCCACCTGGAAAGTAACTTAAATATGCAAAGGCCCCTTTTCTAAATAAGGTCACTCACAAGTTGTGGGGGTTAGGACATTGGCTTATCTTTTACAGGACCAACTTTTAACCTGCTATAGTATTGTCTTAGTCAACTTGGGCTGTTGCAACATAAAACCATAGGCCAGGTGGCTTCAATAACAAATATTTACTCCTCTCAGTTCTGGAGGCTGGGAAGTCCAAGATCAAGATGCTGGCAGATTCAGTGTCTGGTGAGGTCTCACTTCCTGTTCAAAGGTGGCAGTTTTCGCTGTGTCTTTCCAAAGCAGAGAAAGGAAGAATGTGGTCTTGGTACTCTCTTATAAGGACACGAATCCCATCCATGAGGGCGTCACCCTCATAACTTCATCTGCTCCTTCTTACCTCCCAGAGGCTCCACCTCCTAACACCACCACATTAGGGAGTAGGATTTTAAAATATAAATTTTAGGAGGGAACACAAGCATGATACAGTTCATAACAAGTATATGCAGAGATCATATAGGTTTCTGTTATGCATAATTTCCAGTGGCCATCTTTTAACTCTCTCCATTTCTCTTCCATGGATGGTGACCCACATGTGTGTCCCAAAGCTGCGCATCTAGACTTAGAAGATAAGATGCAAAAGGGTGTTTAAGGAGAATTTTCTGATGAGGCACACTGGATAAAGGAAGGCATGGGGCTTTCTGAGCCCAAGAAATTATCTGGGAGGTTATTGCACTGGTCTAAAATGAGGTATATGATATCCTTGATGAACATAGATGCTAAAATTCTTAACAGAATACTAGCTAACCAAATCCAACAACATATCAAAAAGATAATCCACCATGATCAAGTGAGTTTCATACCAGGGATGCAGGGATGGTTTAACATACACAAGTCAGTAAATGTGATACACCACATAAACAGAATTAAAAACAAAAATCACATGGTCATCTCAATAGATGCAGAAAAAGCATTCAACAAAATCCAGCATCGCTTTGTGATTAAAACTCTCAGCAAAATTGGCATACAAGAGGCATACGTTAACGTAATAAAAGACATCTATGACAAACCCACAGCCAACATAATACTGAATGGGGAAAAGTTGAAAGCATTCCCTCTGAGAACTAGAACAAGATAAGGATGCCCAATCTCACCACTCCTCTTCAACACAGTACTGGAAGTCATAGCCAGAGCAATCAGACAAAAGAAAGAAATAAAGGGCATCCAAATCAGTAAAGAGGAAGTCGAAGTGTCGCTGTTTGCTGATGATATGACTGTTTACCTTGAAAACCCAAAGGACTTCTCCAGAAAGTTCCTAGAACTGATAAAAGAATTCAGCAAAGTTTCCGGATACAAGATTAATGTACACAAATCAGTAGCTCTTCTATACACCAACAGTGACCAAGCGGAGAATCAAATCAAGAACTCAGCACCTTTTATAATAGCTGAAAAAATAAAAAATAAAATACTTAGGAATATACGTAACAAAGGAGTCGAAAGATCTGTAAAAGGAAAACCCCAAAACACTGCTGAAAGAAATCATAGACAACACAAACAAACGGAAACACATCCCATGCTCATGGGTAGGTAAATAGAATCAATATTGTGAAAATGACCATACTGTCAAAAGCAATCTACAAATCAATACAACTTCCATCAAAATACCACAATCATTATTCACAGAATTAGAAAAAACAATTCTAAAATTCTTATGGAACCAGAAAAGAGCCCACATAGACAAAGTCAGACTAAGCAAAAAAAAAAAAAAAAAAAAAAATCTGGAAGCATCACACTACTTGAGTTCAAACTACACTATAAGGCAATAGTCACCAAAGCAGCATGGTACTGGTATAAAAATAGGCAAATAGACCAATGGAACAGAATAGAGAACCCAGAAATAAACCCAAATACTTACAGCCAACTGATCTTTGACAAAGCAAGCAAAAACAAAGCGGTGAAAGGACACCCTTTTCAACAGATAGTGCTGGGATAATTGGCTAGCCACATGTAGGAGAATGAAACTAGATCCTCATCTCTCACCTTATATAACAAATCAACTCAAGATGGATTAAGGACTTAAATCTAAGACCTAAAACTATAAAAACTCCAGAAGATAACATTGAGAAAACATTTCTAGACATTGGCTTAGGCAAGAATTTCATGACTGAAAACCCAAAAACAAATGCAATATAAACAAAGATAAATACCTGGGACCTAATTAAACTAAAGAGTTTTGCATGGCAAAAGGAACAGAGTAAACAGACAGCTCATTGAGTGGGAGAAAATCTTCACAATCTACACAACTGACAAAGGACTAATATCCAGAATCTACAATGAACTCAAACAAATGAGTGAGAAAAGAAGAAATAATCCCACCAAAAAGTGGGCTAAGGACATGAATAGACAATTCTCAAAAGAAGATATACAAATGGCCAACAAACATATGAAAAATGCTCAACAACACTAATGATCAGGAAAATGCAAATCAAAACCACAGTGCAATGCCACCTTACTCCTGCAAGAATGGCCATAATCAAAAAATTAAACAGTAGATGTTGGCATGGATGCAGTGAACATGGAACACTTCTACACTGCTGGTGGAAATGTAAACTAGTACAGCCATTATGGAAAACAGTGTGGAGATTCCTTAAAGAACTAAAAGGAGAACTATCATTCGATCCAGCAATCCCACTGCTGGGTATCTACCCGGAAGAAAAGAAGTCATTATTCAAAAAAGATACTTGCACACACATGTTCATAGCGCACTATTCACAGTTGCAAAATTGTGGAACCAACCCAAATGCCCATCAATCAACCAGTTGATAAGGAAACTATGAGAGAGAGAGATATGTGATATATGTACAAATATCACATATATGACACATGTATGATATATGTACACATATCACATATACAACACATGTACGATATACAAACACATATCACATATATGACACATGTGTGATATATGCACATATATCACATACTTGGCACATGTGATATGTCTGCATATATCACATATATGAACATATATGTACATATATCACATGTGATACATATATGAACATATATCACATATATGATACAAATGTGATATACGTATATATGTGATACATGTACATATGTGTGATATATGTACATACATGTGATATATGTACACACATGTGATATATGTACACACGTGTGATATATGTACACACGTGTGATATATGTACATATATGTGATATATGTATATATGTGATGAAATATTATACAGCCATAAAAAAGGAATGAATTAACAGCATTTGCAGTGACCTGGATGAGATTGGAGACTATTATTCTAAGTGAAGTAACTCAGGAATGGAAAACCACACATTGTATGTTCTCACTGATAATGTGGGAGCTAAGCTGTGAGGACACAAATGCATAAAAATGATACATTGGACTCTGGGAACTTAGGGGGAAGAGTGGGAGAGGGGTGAGAGATAAAAGACTACAAATATGGTGCAGTTTATACTGCTCAGGTGATGGGTACACCAAAACCTCACAAATTACCACCAAAGAACTTACTCATGTAACCAAATGCCACCTGTACCCCAATAACTTATGGGAAAATTAGAAATAAATGAATAATTTTAAAAAAATAAAATGAGGTATAAATTTAGAAAACATGCATTTTTAAACTCAAATCCTCGTATACTTGCTTCAATTATCTCCTTTAATTATTGATTCAGGAAAATTATGTGAATCAGAAATAAGGAGACTAATGAACACAAAGGAAGACAAGAGGGAGGACGGGGGTATGTGCAGATGATGCAAAATCAGATAACTAGAATGCCACCATAATTGGCATGGGAATAAATATACATCCCAGAAGTCTCCAAAGGATTCATTTTTGACACAATTAATTGTATTTGCTTTGGAAATCTGAAGTGGATTTGGTCCTCATCTGGATGCAATTGAGTCTTGCCAATCCGAGGCTAGATAGTTACTTTTTTTGCTGATTTTAATATGCTGCCAGTGCCAAAAGTCCTCTGGGTAAATATATCAGATTTATAAAAATGCCCAACAAAATCAAATTAACCAAACACTGCTGAATGAATGACTCACAAAATGTGGTGTTTTCCCTGAATAAATAATTTTCACTTTCCACTATATTTAACTAAGACAAAAATAACAAAGAAAAAATGTGTCCAGATCAAAACACTTTAGTGTGTTTATTATGACCATGTGTATAATACAGTATCAGAATTCCACATACAGGCAGGTGGAGAGGGTGATCCACGATCTACATTATTTGAAGTGTTCTCAAAATACTTTTTATGCACTCCACATTTTTATACACTATTCACAGGGACTCTCTGAAGGTTAAAATACTACAGCATTTGAGTTAGAAAAACATTACAGGACCCTCAGGTTAGGCTATAGAAAAAGTTTGACAAACAGAAAATACATTTTAATTCTGCTATTTACCAGCTCTTAAAAGAGGATCATTTTGAAAAGCATTCAAATTTATCAAGCAAATCGGTGCCAGTTTCTTGGGAAGAAGCAAGAAGTAACAGCTAGTGCTGGTGACTACTTTTAGAACAAACTCGGAAACACATTTATCAATAGTAAGTCAGGGAGATGAAACATATTTTCAGAATTACTTAACCAAAATGGTTTGCATAAATTACTTAGATCTCTATGTCTACATTCATGTCAATATATCATAACCTCTTGTGAATACACACATTCACTTCAACTTCACTAGGTATTGTGTTGAATAAAGCTCTGTTAAGTTCCAGGAAGTCATGGAAGTGCGACAGAGATATAGGTGGAAAAGGGCCAAACAGAATGTAGTTGCTACACTGGGGAGAACCAAGAAAGGAAGAACATTATTTGGGTTGTATGATGAAGATGTTTTATGTATACCAAAGAGATGCCTCACCAAAAACTAAGAGACAAGTGAGAAATGGTTTTGCTTATAGCTTCACATAAAATACACAATTTTCTTGAAAACCAAAGCTCTCCAATATCAGGGGATAATTTGCCAAGGACCTACAAATGGTCACATCAGATTCTTTGCTATCACAATCTTTTCCAGGGACAGTTCTTAAAAATTTTATTAAAGACATTTCTAGACAACAAAATTTAGAGATGTTTGTAAAAATGGATATTCTAGACTCAGTTTTTGGAAGTAGGTTGGATGTGGATTACTCTAACCATGTAGATAAAATGTGTACTTTTTATTATTTGATCAACTTATTTTTCTGTTTCTTGCCAGTATGTGTAAATTAATTCATTTTTATGTTAACTTTCATAAATTCACTTATTAATTTTAATAATAAAAAAATCTTATTTGACCAAGCAAACGATTATGTTTTCCTGGGAAAATATGATCATTTAGCTAATGCAGAACCTCATGATTACATTTGCCTTCTCTCTTTTGTACCGAATTGCTTCACTTTCCCCTCACTTATGCATGGGATTGCAAAATTTGATAAAGTGTTAGCATGTAAACTTTGCTGTAGGCTTGTTTTCTAGAAAGCCCAGGAAAAAAAGCCTCCAAAATTCTTTTTCTATTTAATGACTCCCATGGCCGCCTCCAATTTTAGCCCACTTGCCCAAGGCCATAATGGTAGAACAGAATAAAACTCAGAGCCAGACCAATCTATCTCTCTGTTAATCACCATGCTCCCACTAACCAAAGATTTACCCCCTTACATCTATTCTTGCCCCGTCCTAGTTGCATTCCAAGAAGGCTTTCCTGTCTCTCCTTTGCAACCAATTTTTAAAAGGAGAAAAAAAAAACAGAATAATTGCCTTTTTTCTCATGAACAGCTGTGGGCAGAACTTGTCTTCTGCTGCTCTACAAATGGAAAACACTCAGGCGCTAGTCCTCAGAACAAATGAAGATCTTGCTACGGAATGTTTATTGACAAGATATTTCCTATTTGAAATTCTTTCCTCTCTTGGTTTCTATCTTGCTATCTACTACTCCCATTGCTGTTATACTATAACAGACAATATTCATAGAGACAGTATTTTAGTGTGTAAAATGTGTAAAATTAATGACTAAATGCATAAATTTGTAGAATTAATGACCTTACCTACTCTATCTTCTAGTTTCAAGTTACTTTGCACATTCAATCCTGTCTCCACCCAAATTCTTGGGAGCTTTCTCCATCTATGCCTTCTCCCCAAATCTCTTTAAAGTGTCCATCCTAACGAGAAGACCAAGAAGGCATTTTAGGTCTAATTAAATCGGCATAAACTCAGATTCTGTATATAACAGCTCCTGAGTATTTGGGCATTCTCCTTTCCCCAGTACATAGCTGTCACAGAAATTGGCCACGAGCTCTTTGGGGAAAGAAGAATTTGGGAAATATCTATCCTATTTATTTCTTTTATCAAGCCACTCTTTCAGTCATGTGGCTCTGGGTCTGTGAATTAATTTAAATCTAGAAACAGGTCAAGGAACCTTGAGTTTCCATTACAGCTGTTGACATCATCCTTCAGCTCATTAGACATCAATTATTTTTGATTACATAAATCAAGCAACACGATCACCATCTAAACATCTCTGCCTTTTCTGCCCTCTCCAAACACATTGCCATAGATCCCTGTACACCAAACACTCTGATTCCCACTTTTGTTTTAGCCTTACTATCTAATGTAGAAATCACATCTATTTTTGCCTCAGACAAGTAAGTCCAAGGCTTAACCAGGCTGCCATCTAGCCCGGTTACAATGGAGGGTAGCAGAAACAAACAGTGAGAAAATTGAGACTTATTGAGAGACCTTGCTTCAGATGAGGCCTTTGCACAAATTCCAGGCAAGGAGAGTTTTCTCTTCTGGTATGTGGGGAAGGGACTTCTTTTGCTCTAGTAGAATTCTGGAGAATTGGGGGATTGAGATTGTTTGACTTGCCAATCTAAACTCTCCTATTCCCATACTTTTCATATCAGGTTTGAGTCTTATTATATAAGACCTGTGTGGTGCATTTAATCACTTTTGTAACTCTGTCACACCGATAATCAGATATCAGTTCTCATTTTTTCAAGAGTCTTCCCTGTGTCTGAAGGAAATGAATATTCCCTTTAAAGATGACATAGAAACCTCTGGGTTTTCAGAGTGTGATTTAGATTAGCAATTTAATGCCCCAAGCCTTTCATTTTCTTCTTACAAGTCCCCCAATGCAAACAGAAATATCCACTCCCCACCACCATAATCGTTTTATTTATTTCTATTTTTCTATTTATTTATTTATTTTTGAGATGGAGTCTTGCTCTGTCACCCAGGCTGGAGTGCAGTGGTGCAATCTCAGCTCACTGCAGCCTCCACCTCCCAGGTTCAAGCAATTCTCCTGCCTCAGCCTCCTGAATAGCTGGGATTACAGACTCATGCCACCACACCCAGCTAATTTTTGTATTTTTTTTTTTTTGAGACAGAGTCTCGCTCTGTTGCCCAGGCTGGAGTGCAGTGGCGCGATCTCGGCTCACTGCAAGCTCCACCTCCTGGGTTCACACCATTCTCCTGCCACAGCCTCCCGAGTAGCTAATTTTTGTATTTTTACTAGAGATGGAGTTTCACCATGTTGGCCAGGCTGGTCTTGAACTTCTGACCTCAGGTGATCCGCCCACCCCGGCCTCCCAAAGTGCTGAGATTATAGTCATGAGCCACCACACCTGGCCCACCATAATCTTTATTATTACCATATCCCCCATACCAATAAAGAACAGCAGTCACTTGGCCTCCCAATGTCCTGTTTTCCAACTGTATAATATCTCAATTATCAATAGGTGAAAGCTTTAGTAACTGTTAGTACCACACTGACCATCCATATTACCTCCAGACAGGTGGGAAATCAAGCTCAAAAATCCCATCCCAATGACTTCTTTCTATGATTGTCTTCATCTAGACACCTGGGCTCTGAACTGATTAGAGCAAAGTTTACACTCTGATCTAGTAAAGCAAGAATGAAGGGAAAAGAGAAGCCAAGGAAGAAGAAAATGAATTTATGTTTGTGATTTACCAAGCAGATCATAGCTTCACAGGAAAACCCAGCTGGTTATGTGGACATATGGAATGTCCCCAGTAAGGCAATATGAAGCTCATCTCTCAGAGCATTCCATTGTGGAGAAGAAATGATCAATGAATCCATTCAAATTTCCTCATCTTTAATTGTTCAATGTCAGTCTGTCTGTGTTGCTGCTGAGGAAGCCAGGGTCTCTACAGCTCCAGTTGGGTAGGACCTACATGCTAGAGCTCCTGTATTGCCCATTGCTAAAGGTGCTTGCACCTAGTAAAGACTGTAAAAAGCAATGGCATTAAGAGATATGATGGCATCATGGTGGCGGCTTTATCATCATAGGAGAAACATGAAACGTGGCCCATTTGCTGGTTCCAAACGGACCACGAGGCAGGGCAAGTTTCCATGGCCCTGGGAACAGCCAGGTCTGAGCAAATCTGTGGAAGTGCATGGACTGGGTCCAATAGCTGCATATCATGTTTCCCTTTTTGTAAGCCCAAATTCCAGATATTTAGAAATTGCTCCTTATGAGATGGAATGTCCTCTTTTAATATTTCCTCTTGTGGCTTTGGATCCAACATTACTTAGTGAGTGATCCAAACTCTGGCTTCTCTGTATCTTCTGAGATTTTGTACTCCCATTATCAGAGTATTGAAGAAAACTAACTGCCTGACCTCAATGAGTAATACGTCAGTGGGAGAAACAGTAAACAAATAGATAGGTATATTATACTGCCATGTTATGGCATGCTAGGAAGTAAAGTTAAAAAAGATCAGTGGATAGAGAGTGAGAGATGATGGACATAGGCAGTCGGGGAATGCTTATTTGAGGAATTGACACCAGCAGAAGTGATGGAAGTTAAAATGACATTCCATCAGGAGCATTTGTTCAACACATTTTTGTGGGTGCAAAGGACCCATCAGGCATTGGAAATCAACTGTGGAAAGGACACACATAGTTGCTGCTTAGGAGTTTACAGTCTAGGACTTAACAGAAAAGCAAGGGAAAAATAAGTAGATGTATGGGTTAAAAATGATTACAAGGTTTTGTGTGATAACCTCAAAAATTTGACATGTGTGTAAAGATTTACCTTTTTGTGATTGCATTTGCACACTACAAAAAGACTTTACTTTTAGTGACAATGGTATTTATATGGCCAGAAAATATTAACATATAATGAAGATGGAATGAACTTTGAAGACTAGTCTCAGAGATTTCCGTTATTCTGTGCTCTTGAACTTAACTCAGAGGCCGCTATAATAGGCTTTCTCTTTTAATTATTTCAATAAAGAATATTTCCTTGAAAATGGTATTTAATAAACTATAGCAATTTTTTCACAACTTGACCTTGTTTTATGCTCTATGATATCCTAACTATTCATATACTTAGGCAATCATATGATATCCAAAGTATTCATAATTCTCTCTCTGGGCATCTGAACAGCCTGTACCATCCAATATAAGTAGAAATGTATTTAGTGTAAAGAACTAAACATAACAAATTCATAAAGGATGGAAAAACCAGCTGTATTTTTGGTTTATGAAATGTCTCTATTTTTTAAATAGTTTGGATTAGATAAAACCCAACTAGGTTTTGCCAAGAACGCTTCCCTCTTAATTTTTGAAATCATGCACAATTTTGCAGAAATTTACTCCATATGTTTCTATTTCATTTACACTTAAATCAGAAAAATATTGCTTTGTAAGATCCATTTGATGTTCAAGAAGCCATCTGAATTAGTCCAATACGGTTCTCTTTAAATTAAGATATAACTCACATACCATAATTAAATCCAGTATTTTCTGTGTGTGTGTATCTTCTCAAAGTTGTGCAACCATTACCACTATCTCGTTCCAGAACAAATTCAGGTTTAAAATACAATGTGTACATGAAGAATGTTGGATTTTAACAACAAGAAATTTATAAATGGGCAGCATGGTGAGGTTTACCTTGGTACTCCCGGTCTGAAACTTCATGTGTAGGTAAGAGACTTGCTGCAGCCGTAATATCGCATTCATAAATCAGAACAATTCTGTATTTCACAAAGTGGCTGCAGGGCTCAGAGGTTATCACAATGATGCGTTTCTTTACACTGAGTAATATACCACTGTGGCTCAAGTTGAACATTCTACTGCTTTCCTACTCAGGCCCATTCCCCGATGACATTTTTTTGACAGCTTTTTGACCTGGAAAATCCAAGACCACTGGGTCCTGATCACACAACTTTTGGCTCAAAACAAAAGGTTCCCCTGGCTCTCACTTATGATCCCATCCAGCTAAACCACTGCCAGAAAACTGAGAGACTACATAAGGACGATTTGAAGACAGAATGTTCCCTTAGTTACCTCTGTGTATTGAATTTGGAACTTTCTGCTTAAGATGGAATGAGAATAGTGAGTCATAAAACGTAATTTGTTATCTCAGTGAGGCTTTTCAGATGGTATTTAAGGACATTGCACTGTCAGTTTCTTCAAGGATAAAATAAAGATTCCTGTCAAATACTGATATCCCTCTTCATCAAGTTTAGTTCTCAATTAGATATATTAGATTTGGAACATAGAAAAATAGTGTTAACAACAGATGGAATAAAATAGCATGACATAGTGCATTTAGCCATAATTCCTAGCATTTAGGAGTCATGACACCCAAGCTTTGAAAATTTGGTGTTTTAAGACCTCACTCCTTTATTTTACACAAAACAAAACATACTAAATTAAAAAAATTTTTTTTTCAAGCATCATGTTATTTGTTGAAATAATGGAACTGTGGAATTTTGGAGATTTTCCTTCATTTTTAAGACCCAGTTTTCTATTTATAAAATAGGAATAACAATTGCTACCGAACAGAATTAATGTAGAATAAATTGGATGATAGCCTGCATATGAAACATTCAACAGCACAGCCCCTGGCTCACCAAAGGTAAATAATTACTGAATTTGTACTTGAGTCCTGGCTAGTAAGTTGACTTATGTTGAGACAACTAGAATTAGTTTCTGTATTTGTTCTTCCAGGAGATAAAGGAGTGTTTTAGTAATCACTGTATTTTTTTTTGTGAATGCATTGCTTCATCTATAAAATAAACACAGTGTCGAATAAAAAGTGGTTTGCGTGTTTTCTATTAAGCATTTCATAATGAAACTACCACTTATTATGATCACTATGAACTTGTGGTAGCAGGTTCTTCCAATATGGTCGAGAATTTTTGGAAATTAATTTGATACAGTATCTCATTAATAGTCCTCTTTTCCTATATCAAGTTTAGGGCCAATTCTCATGGTCTACAAATTAGGCAAGTTTTGCTATGCCCTGTTTTTTCTTTTTATGTCCCCTTGGCAGTGCTTTTTATTGACATGACAACAAGCTGTCTGGATGAAAAGTAAAATATTCAATCATCTGGATGTTTTGTCTATACAATGCTACATGTTTTGATGTTATGTAGACAAAACATCCAGATAATCGATTTTTTTCTTTTTATCCAGATGTTCTGGCATTATTTATTCAGAGCTTGTGTCTAGTTTACCAGCTATTGAAAAAGAAATAGAACACAAATATAAGAGGTTACTTCAAATGACACAAAAAACATATTGTACATTAGATCTCAGGTGGGCATTTTTTTTGTATTGAAATAATTCATTGATTGAATACCTATGGTATTTATTCTGCATTGTTGTATTTCACATGTATGAGACATTGCACAGATAAAGATGGTTGGATATACACTATATCATTTAAAATACTGGTTACAAATTATTTAGGATGGATAGGGACAAAGCAAGAAAGCTTACTTTGATGAAGCAAATCCTTTGAGGTTAAGACCATGGAAGACACTAATAATTGCTTACAAAAGCCATTCTGAGCTCTATTTTTTCTTTTTGTCTTCTAATAACGGTATGGTTTGGCTCTGTGTCCCCACCCAAATCTCATCTTGAATTGTAATCCCCATATGTCAAGGGAGGGAAGTGATTGGATAGTGGGATCAGTTTCCCCCATGTTGTTCTCATGATAGTGAGTTATCACAGGATCTGATGGTTTTATAAGTGTTTGAAAGTTCCACCTTCACACCCTCTCCTGCCACCTTGTAAAGAATGCACCTGCTTCCCCATCCACCATGAGTGTAAGTTTCCTGAGCCCTCCCCAGCTGTGCAGAACTGTGAGTCAATTAAACTTATTTCCTTTAAACTACCTAGTCCTGGGTATTTCTTTACAGCAGTATGAAAACAGACTATACAGATATCAAGATTGAAAAGCCAGACACTTTTCTTTCTTGGCCTCTTAGTTACAGATGGGTGACCAAGGGATTCGATTTTAGATAATGAGGCTGTAAAGGGACGTGTATTATGGCATTACTGAGAAACCTAGCTTGCTTATTGATGAAAAGAATAGATGTAAAGAAGAGCTAATTCGCTTTGCTCCTTCCTCAATCTTCCTTCGTTGAGTATGGAAGTGATGCTAGAGCTGCAGCAGCCATTTTGAAACCATAAGCATGAGGAAAACCAGCAAGAGGAGGAGTGAATTACATAAAAGAATAGGTTCTTGCCACCATTGTTGCTGATTTAGCCTTAGTCCTCCCACCTTCAAACTTTTATTAATACCCTTGTGCTTGTAGCTACTGTTAATCATGTATTTTGTTGTATGTATCTGAAAACATTCCTAACTGATACATATGCAGGTATTATGTCCCTTTAATGCACAATAAAACTATAGCAAAGATTGCTAAACTGGCTTGCCCAATGTCATAACTGCAAAATCAGTGTGAAAACCAGGCTGGAGCCCAAGTCTCATGGCTCCTGTCACCAGACGTACTAGGTTTCTGAAGGCACAAAGTATTCACCAGCCAAATGATCAGGACTTAACTCAGAGGGAGTTAAGATGCCACTATCGATAAAAGTAATATAAAAACTGTTCAAAGATACTTAAATCAGCATAGTGGATTCCCCTTTTTTTTTTTCCTAAATATGAAACATATCAGAGCAGCTTTTGACTTTTTGAAAGCTGTAGAAACTAAGAATCAGAATTTAATATTTGACACTCTGTTCCAACACAATATTCTCTAGATCCCTCAAGAAGTTAGCTCTTGAAGAGTTTTAGTGACGTCAGAGCATGTTGAACAGGGGAAAGAAAGAGCATGGGTTTTAAAATAGTCAGATGTGTGTATAACTTACATATTTGCACTTGCCAGAGATAAAATCTCAGGACAGGCACTTACCTGCGTAGTTTTTTCATCTTTAATATGGTGCTAATCCAATTCACCTCTTCAATTCTTGTGAAGATTAATTGGAACAAGGCACACACAGCACCCAGCCCAGTGTCTGGCAAATAGGTGCAACTTAAATAATAGGAGCTATTGTTCTTATGGACTAGTCAAGAAACTGCCAGGTCCAGATAATGTAATACGAATGCCCTGAATAGTCAGTCACTCTCCTAGTCTACCCAGGTGACCTTCTCCAGTGTGGCCATGATTAGATTAAACTTGAAGGTCTTGATAAAAGACCCATGCAACAACTAAGTGCCCGCACATGTATCAGGGATTCAGCCACTGTGGTTTGCATCACCCGCATTGGGTAAAATCGTGGCTCAGGTTAACAAGGTATATCACCTGATCACCCAGTCTTCTGGCTATAAAGATCCAAGGGAGCCATCCAACTACTTGAAAGCTAGATTCTGGTTTTGGTTGATTTACTCACCACAGTGAATAACCTGGTTCCATTCTCCATTTAACAAGCGTCTTGTCAAAGCACCTTGCTGGTTTATATCCTGAAAAAGGAAATTAAAGTACTAACGGTGAGCCAGACGCCACGGCTCGTCACACGCACACAGCAAGCTCTGAATTCTAGTGAGCTCTTGTTTCAGTAAATTCAGCTTACTGTGTCTTTTCACAAAATAACAACTACCGGGAAGTGCTTTCTGTTCTGAATTCTCAAATGAAAAATAAAACCTTGGGCTCCAGCTGAAAGGTGGAATCTGCCATTCGATTCCTAACACAGGGAGTGGAGTTGGAGTGAGAGAACATGAAGCCAGCTCTACAATTTTTGCATTGTATAATGTTTTCCACGAACTTGGCAGAAGCCCACAAAGGAAAGACAGTTGGTGCTTAGGAGCTAGCCTTGATTTTCTGCTTGGGACGGTGAGTATCAGGAATCCATTCTTAATGAAAAGCAAACAGAGGATCACTACTTTCCCCCACACATTCCTTACATATTTATACTTGAACGTACTCTGTAGAGAGAGTTTTTCTTTCTTTCTTTCTTTCTTTTTTTTTTTTTAACGCATTCTGCATTCAGAGGGTGTGCACAGGAAAGCCTCATCTGGAGGGTTGGGGCTAGAATAGCAAACTGGAAGTTAACCCTTGCAGGCAACTATATTCACGCTAGCTTGAATATAAAGTACCATATGAATGGGGGATACTGTGGTATACTAAGACATTTCAAAGAAAGTTTCAAAACTAATTTTCAAATGTTATCCTTAGGGATACAGAAGCAACTCATCCTCTTCTATGGCTAGGCAATCTCTTTACTTCTAAGGTAGGCTTGTTGAAATGGAAAAAGTTCTGAAGAGGTGTCAAAGCTTCAGTCCCTTGTTGTGCAGCTATATTCCCACGAGCTTACCTCTAGCGGGTTCAGTTTTCTCATTTCTAAAAGAGCAGTAGTGGCTCCCCAATGTGTAACCAAATTCTGGTGAAGGATACTGTGTGAAATCACCTGAAAAACGTAAAGTACTGTGTGAATGGGAAGCATTATTTTATGGCATACGAAGACATTTAAGACAGTTTCAAAAGTAGATTAACTTTCAAATATTTATGTAAAAATAGACTCTTCAATTAAACATTTGATTTTGAGATACTTATAGATTTACATAAACTTGTAAGAAATAATAAAGAGAGTTCTGGTGTACCTTTTTCCCAGTTTCTCCCTGTCTTTTTCAGCTCACGCTGCCACAACAAAACACCATAGATTGAGTAGCTTAACCAGCAGAAATTTATTTTCCCATAGTCTGAAGGCTAGAAGTCCAAGATGAAGATGCCAGCATGGCTGGTTTCTGGCGAAAGCTCTGCTCCTGGCTTGCAAACAGACACTCTCTAGCTGGGTCCTCACAGAGTAGGTAGAGAGAGAACAGGTGTCTGGTGTTTATACTTATAAGGACACTAATTCCACTAGGAGGACTCCTCCCATAATTTCAATTAAGCCAAATTACCTCCTAGAGGTCTCGCCTCCAAACACCATGACATTCGAGTTTAGGGTTTCAACATGTGAATCTGGCAGGGGACAAATTCTTTCCATAGCATTCCTAATAGTAACATCTTGCAAATCTACAGTAAAATATCACAGCTAGGATATTTACATGATGCAGTCAAAGCCCCCAAAATTTCCATCATCACAAGGATCCAAGTTATTCTTTTATAACCCATCCCATTTCCCTTCCACCCTCACCTCTCCTTAACACCTGAAACCGTGAATCTGCTGTCCATTTCTATAATTTTATCACTTCAGAAGTATTATAAAAATTGAATCACACAGTATTAACCTTTGGGACTAGCCTTTTCACTAGTCACAATTTTCTGAATATTCCTCTGGGTTGTTGAATGTATCAATCTGTTTCTTTTCCTTGCTGAGTGCTGTTCCAGCATATAGATATAACACAATTTGTTTAACTATTCACCCATTGAAAAACATCTAAGTTGTTTCCAGCTTGTGAATATTACAAATAAAGCTACTATAAATTCATATACAGAATTTGGGTAATATAAGGTTTCATTTTTCTGAGATAAACACCCAAACATGCAATTGTTGGACCACATGATAGAGGCATGTTTACTGTCTGTAAAAAAATGAAATACTGAAAAACTGTTTTTCAGAGTTGATACACCATCTTAGATATCCAACAATAACATATGATTCAGCTTCTTTTTATAACTGCCACCATTAGGTGTTTTCAATATTTTTAATTTTAACCTTTCTGACAGGTGTAATGTTTCATTGTGGTTTTAATTTTCATTTCCCTATTTGTCATCTGTATATCCTCTTCAGTGAAATGTCTCTTATCCATCATCTAATTTGATTGTTTGTTTACTTTTATTATGGAGATTTGAAGGTTTTTTTAAATATTCTAGACATGAGTCTTTTGCCAGACTGGTAATTTGCAAATATTTTCTCCCAGTCTTCCCACTCTTTCAACAAAGATATTCCACAGAGCAGAGACTTTAATTTAAATTTAATTATATTTTAATGAAATGTAATTTACCATACCACTACCAAAAGTATGGCTCATACTTTTGTTTTCAAGCCTAAGAATTCTTTGTATGGCCCTAGATTATGAAGATTTTCTGCTATGATTTTTTCTAAAAATGTTACAGGTTTATGTTTTATATTTAAGTGTGTGATTCATTTTGAGTTAAATTTTACATAAGATGTGACAGTTAGGTTGAGGTTTGTATTTTGCTTATAAATGTTTGCTCCAGCTCCATTTGTTGAAAGGCTCTTGTTTCTCCATTGAATTTTTGCATTTTTGCCAAAAATCAGTTGGACATATTTGTATAGATCTATTTCTGGATTCTCTATTCTGTTCCACTAAGTTGTGTGTCTATCCCTCCAGAAACACCACACAAACTTGATTGCTGTTGCAATATAGTAAGCCTTAAAATTGAAGGGACTGATTCCTCCTACTTTATTCTTTTTCTAAATAGTTTTAGTTATTCTAATACCTTTCCCTTTCCATATAAGTTTTGGAATAATTTTGCCTATATCTACAAAATGGGATTTTAATAGAAAGTGCATATAATCTATACATCAATTGGGGATAATATCAATTGGGGATAATGTTTACTATGAGTCAAGCTATGAAGAGTGATTACCTCCCATTTATTTATATATTTCTTTGATTTCTTTTATAAGTCTTTTGTAGTTTTCAATATTCAAATTCTGTATGTGTATTTATCATTAAAAATTTCATTTTTGAACAGTTACAAATGATATTGTATTTTTAATTTCGAATTCCATTATGTTCATTGCTTGTATATAGAAACACAATTATGTATGTTTATCTTGTGTCCTACAACCTTGATAAGCTCACTTGTTAGTTCTGATAGTCTCAGTTTTCTTTCATCTGAAAATGTCTTGATTTCTCCTTCATTCCTCAAAGATATTTTTACTACCTATAAGATTCTACGTTGGCAGTTCTTTTCTTTCAACCCTTGAAAAATATTGTACCACTTCCTATGGCCTCCATGATATCTGGTTAAGAAAACCACTGTCATTTGTATTCGTTTTCCCCTAAAGAAAAGGTGCCATTTCTCTATTTGCTGCTTTACGTATTTTTTATCTTTAGTTTATAGGAGTTTGACTATAATGTATCTCAGGGTGAATTTGTTTGGGGTACCCTGTTTGTGTTTCACTTAGCTTCTTGAATCTATATATTTATTTTAATTTTTTATTTCCATAGGTTTTTGGGGAACAGGTGGTATTTGGTTACATAAATAAGTTCTTTAGTGGTGATTTCTCAGATTTTGGTGCACCCATCACCTGAGCAGTACACAGTGTACCCAATTTGTAGTCTTATGTATTTATTTTTAGTTTTTGTCAAATTTGTGAAGTTTTCAGACATTATTTCTGTAAGCACTCTTTCAGCCCTTTCACTTTCTCCTCTCCCTCTGAGATTCTTATGATTATATATACAGAGAGAGAGAGATGAGATTTTTAAAGAATTGGCTAATATCGTTGTGGAGGTTGGGCAAGTCCAAAATCAGCAGGGTAGGTTGGTAGGCTGGAGATCCGGAGAAGAGTTGCAGTTCCAGTTGAAAGGTGGTCCACTGGAAGAATTCCCTCTTTTCTTTAGGGAGCTCAGTTGTCTGCTATTAAAGCTTTCAACTGATTGGATGAGGCCCACCTGCATTATGAAGGATAAGCTGTTTTACTTAGTCTACTGATTTGAATGTTAATCTTATCTTTAAGAAATGCATGTAAAATAATTTTTGACCAAATATCTGAATACCATGGTCTAGCCAATTTGGCTCATAAAACTGACCATCACAGTTCCACAGGACCCTGAGGAACAGGGACCTTTATTCATTTTTTCAGTGTATTTTATTTTTATTGTTAAAATTAAGTAATGACTATTATCTGTCTTCGACTCACTCCTTTTCTCTGTTCCCTCCATTCTGCTTTTGGGCTTATCCATTGAATTTTTCATTTCAGTTATTTTATTTTTAGTTCTAAAATTTCCATGCTTCTTTAGATATTATATTTCTTTGGTGAGACTTTCTGTTTCTTCTCTAAGGACTTCTATTTTTCATTTGTTTTAAATATGTTTATAATTGCTCACTGAAGCATTTCTATGATGACTGTTCTAAATCTTTGACAGATAATTCTAACATCTATGTCATCTTGGTACTGGCATCTATTAATTGTCTTTTTTTCTTTCAGTTTGATATCTTCCTGGTTCTTGGTATGATGAGTGATGTTCTATTGAGACCTGGACATCTTGGGTATTGTGTTGTGAGACTATGGGCTATGCAAACTTCCTGTTTTAGCTGCCTTCTCTGGAACCACTCTGGAAAGTGAAGTGGGACAGGGAGCAATGCCTCATTACTTCCAGGTGGGAGCAAAGGTCCAGGTTTCCCATTTAGCCTACTTTGACATGACGGGGAGGTGAGCCTCATTAATGCTGGGCAAACGTGGGTGTTTCCACTCCCAGCTTAGCATCCCAACCTGATTAGAAGGGGTAGCAATCCCTCATTACTGGTTCCTACTTGGCCTCCAATGATACCACAAGGCATGGAGTGGGCCTTGTTATTGCTGAGCAGTGGTGAAAGTTCTGACTATGCCTCCTCTGACATCATTCCAGATGGGAAGTAGAAAGTCTCTTACTACTGCTGGGTTGGAACGAAATCCAGCATCATATTTAGCCTTCTCTAACACTACCCCAGCTAGAGTTTGGGGCACCTCATTATGGCCTGGTAAAGATAGAAGTCTGATTCTCTGCTCAGCCTTTGCTGGAGAGAATCCCCTCTTCCTGGCTCTTTGTCTAGAGAGAGCAACATCTTGTTGAACTTATTTTGTCTACATCCTCGGGCATTTCCAGGTTGCTGTCTTCTTTAACTCCAAGTCTGGGATACATAAGGAAGAAAAGAAAACAAAGGGAATTTATTTCTATGCTGTTCCTTAAATCCTGAGGTCTTGGCCAGAGTACTACCTTCTCTACTTTTCAAAGTACTCTTACGGTTATTTTATATCTAACATCTAGGTTTTTAAGTCATACTTAGCAGGAAGAATAGGGAAAAATACCCCTATTTTATATTCCTTGAAGCAGAAGTTAATAAAAACTCGCTTTAATGAGGGGAATTAAGAGGGCAAACAATATCAAATAATAATTCAATATTGTAACTCCAGTGGAATTATGGCTTATCACTAAGCTAGAAACTACAAAAGTAGCTCCTATTCAAGTGTTCTTACTAGAATAATATTTTTACTTTGGAAGTCTACTGAACTCCCATCTCAAATTTTCTCACTTAAAATATTTTAATTGTTTTATAGTATTTATGTCTTTAGTTTATTATGATATTTGAATGTATTTATTTTAAATTGTGGTATAGGATATGGAAAATATTTAATTCTGTATTTTTATCATAAATTTCTACTTTCTCTGGAGGAAAGTGAGATATTTGACTTTCCTCCCCATTCCTAGCCAGTTCCCAACTTTATCACTGATATCCACAAGTAAAAGAATTTAGGGTCACATTGACTATTCATTTTCAATGAAGTCCTAGATCATACTAAGACCCTCCCTTTGCCTTCTTAACATATTCAAATAATAAGACTGCACATTTTTGGTTTTTAAAACTTCAAGTTTATCTAGGAAATGTTTTCATTTCCAAATTCTAAAATCTTAAAATAATTTTAATAGTAAAAAATATAATAAATTTTATTTCAAAAGTTCAGATTCCTATGTTTCTTATGTATAAATTAAAATTATTAAAATTAATTAATTACAAGAACTCTTTCAATAGTTAACTTTCTATGGTTATAGTTGACACAGCATGCTAGTGGCTGATATGGAATTAGAACTCTCTTATCTCGACCTATACACATCTGATCGATCTTATGTCTAGCTGTTTCTCTCAGGAGCCCTAGAAGGGAAGTGATTTTACCACCATTTTGCATGTAAGGAAATGAGCTCATTGACCAACATCACAAACTTAGTAACTAATGCGTTAAACTTTCCAAGATAACATAATTAGCAACTGGCAGAACTGTAAGTCACTCATTTTCAGTATTCTGACTCCAAATGCAGTGCTTTTTTTTTTTTCTGCATCAAAGCTCTCTCTCTGTGACTGTGTGACTGATTTCAAGCTCTGCTTCCTCTGAAAGGATACACAAATGCAAGCAATGTCCTAGAGTAAGTGTCCAAACTGTTTTCTCCTCATTCTGCTTTGAGTACTCCATGCTCTTCTTAATACCTTACAATGACTTACCTTTGCCTCCATTTGAGATGAAGGCAAAGATCTTTACAGTCTTCCTCAAATCTCTTTATAAGGAAGCTTCTAATTCTTCTAAAGAGTAGTGGCTCCTCCTTAAATAACTAGAAAACAGGACAAAATAGATTATACAATGGTTTTCAGACATTGGACTACTGGCAGTGCCGCACTGTGATTCCTGAGAAAATAAAAACAAATGAGGTGAGCCCTGTGATTTTACCAGCTCAGTGCCTGGATGCAGCTCTAGGCCATAGTGCAAGGAGAATAAATCCAACAGAGGCAACAGTCTTGCTGAGTTGAGCAGACACAATTCAGAGGCTTTGTCCTTTTCATGGAGACAGAGGTGGCTAGAATTTTCAGAGAAGAGTGCCAGAGAGGAGGGAACTCCATAAAGAAAAGTCTGAATATTTGTGGAGGTGATGCTTTAAGTCTTTCACTGATATTAATCTGCATACACAGGAGAAAAAAATACTCAAAGCTGGGGAAAGAACCACTGAAAAACTATAAGCAGAAGAATTGCCAATGTTCACATAAACTGAGTTCACGTGCCCATCAGCCAGAGTAGAAAGGTCCTACAAGGCATGTTTCATTGAGTTTTCACAAAATGATATCACCTTAGTAGTGGGATTAAATTAGATTTAAACTATAGGGTGCTCTGGGCATGCCCTAACAAAGCATAAAAGTGTGCCTCAAAAGGATCATACTGATTCCAAATGATACTAAGTGTGACCAAGGGACGATTTAAAACTATACAAAGGAAAACAGAAAAACTAGCAACCAAAACCAAATTATAAAATTTGTGACATTCAGCATCAAAATAAAATTATCAGGTATGCAAAAAATAGAAGAATATGATTCAAAGCCAAAAGGAAAAATCACTTAATAGACACAGACCCAGAAATGACAGAGATGATGGAGGTAGCCAACAAAGACATTACAACAACTATTGTAAATATGCTCCATATGTTCAACAAGGTAGAGAAAAACATCATTACGATGAAGAGAAAATAAAAGATTTTTTTAAAAACCAAAAGGGAACTTATATAAGCAAAAGATGTAATATCTAAAATGGATATCATACAGGGTAAAATTAGATAAAGGAGACGCTGAAGAAAAAAAGTAGTTAACTCTGAAGCCAGCAATAGAAGCTACCCAAAATGAAGTAGAGATAGAAACAAGACAAAATAATTAATAATGAATCAGTTATCTGAGCAACAATATTAGTTTAATAAACATATAATTGAAGCTCCAGAAGGAGAGGAGGAGAAACAGAAAAAAAAGTTGGGGAAGTGAATACCAGAGTTTTACAAATTTGATAAAACTTATGAACTCATGGATTCAAGAATTATGCCAAGAAATACCATAATCAAATTTCTGGAAACAAGTGAATAGGAGATACTTTTAAATACAACTAAAGAGGAAAAGACACATGAAACATGAAGGAACAAAGGTGAGAATGACAACATATTTCTTGTCAGAAGAAAACGTAACCCAGAAAACAATGGAGCAATGTCCTTAAAATCTTATGTCAGAAAACGTCAACCAAAAATCGTATACTCAGCAAAAATATGTTGCAGAAATAAAGGCCTAATAAAAACTCTTAGACAAACCACAGTTAGAGAAGTTATTTCTGGCAAATCTACACCTCAAGAACTCTTAAGGAAAGTTTCTCAAAAGTGATAACAGATGGGATTCTGAAATTTGCACAAAGGAATGAAAACATTTAGAGATGATAAATATGTGGGTGAGTATAAAATATATTTTCTCATTTTAGTCTCTTCAGAAGAAAATTGTTTAAAACAAAAATAAGGATAATGTGTTGTGTGATTCATAACATATGCAGAAATAAAATGCATCACAAATACAGCACAATAGAAGAATGTGTTATAAGATTTAGTCAGTATAGGCTGGGCGCGGTGGCTCATGCCTGTAATTCTGGCACTTTGGGATGCCAAGGTGGGAGGATCACGAGGTCAGGAGATTGAGACCATCCTAGCCAACCTGGTGAAACCCCGTCTCTACCAAAAATACAAAAATTAGCTGGGTGTGGTGGTGCACACCTGTAGTCCCAGCTACTCAGGAGGCTGAGGCAGGAGAATTGCTTGAACCCAGGAGGCAGAGGTTGCAGTGAGCTGAGATTCTGCCACTGCACTCCAGCCTGCAGAGTGAGACTCCGTCTTCTCAAAAAAAAAAAGAAAAAAAAAAAAGATTTAGTCAGTGTATAACAGTAATATAATAGTATTTGAAGGTAGACTGTGTAATGTTAAAGATGGGTATTTTAAATCTTAAGGAGTACACAAAAACATAAAGCAATATATTACACCTAAAATAGTGGTAGTGGAGACTAAATGTAAGTATTAAAAATATATAAGTAGTTAAAATAATGCAGAAAATAGAAGCTAAAAGAATAAATAAGAGATAGGACAAATAGAAAATGAACAGCAAGATGGTGGATTTTGTGAAAATCCCATCAACAATGTTATTAAATGCAAATGATCCAAGAATTCAAATGAAAAGGGAGAGATTTTTAGATTGGATTTAAAAAATAATGCCATTATATCTAAAGACACAGATGCACTAAAATTAAAAAGATAGAGAAAAATATATTATGAAAACCCTAATCACAAGAAAGCTGGAAATGTTATATTAATATCAAAGTAAATTTAAGAACAAGGAATATTATCAAGATAAAGAAAGATATTTCATAGTAAATAATAGATTAATATATCAGTAAAACATACTAACCCTAAATATTAATAGATTTTATAGCAGAACTTCAAAACATAAAGCAAAACTTCAAACTAAAGGAAAAATAGAAAAAGTTATGTTTGCAAACTTCAACATTCCTCTCAATAATTAATAGAATAAGTGGGGAAATCAGTGAGCATATATATGACTTTTACTTAACCTAGTTGTCAGTGATAAAACAAAAAAAGAATATCCATTATTTTAATGTACACAGAAAGCATTCACAAAATTAGACCATATTCAGAATCATAAAACAAATTTCATCAAATTTAAAAGGATTGTAATCATACTAAGTATGTTTTCTGTCCATTATTAAATTAAATTAGAAATCAATAACAAGTGGATAACTAGACAATGTTAAAATATTTGAAAATTGAAACATACAAGTTTGAATAACCCATGAATTAAAGAAGCAGTAGAACAGTTGATTAGAAAATATTTCAAACTGAAGGAAAATGAAAACATAACATCAATATTTGTAAGGTGTAGCTAATGTAATGCTTTGAGGGAAGTATACAGACAGTCCAGACTTACAGTGGTCCAACTTATGACTTTTCATCTTTGCAATGGTGTGAAAACAATACACATTCAGTAGAAACTATACTTTGAGTGTCCATATACCATTTTGCTTTCCATTTTCAGTACAGTATTTAATAAGTTACATGAGATATTCAATACCTTATTATAAAATAGGCTGTGTGTTAGATGATTTTGCCGAAGTGTAGGCTAGTGAGTGTTTTGAGTGTGTTTAAGGTAGACTAGGCTAAGCTATGATGTTTAGTAGCTTAGGTGTATTAAATGCATTTTCAACTGACAATATTTTTAACTTATAATGAGTTTCTTGGGATGTAACCCCATTGTAAGTGGAGAAGCATCCACATAGAGTTGAATGTTCATATAAGAAAACAAAGAAGGGCTCAAAGCAATGTTCTTAGATCCCACTTTAAAGAGACTAGACAAAAGTAATTAAAGGAAATGAAAGGAAATAATGAAAGGAGATATGAGCAGAAATCAATAATAAAGAAAATAAAATATAGCAAAGAAAATCCATGAAATCTAAAGCTGGTTATGAAGAACATCCACAAAATTTACAAAATTCTACCAAGATTGATCAAAAAAGCAGGGGAAAGAGGCCAAATTACCAAAGTCAGGAATAAAAGAGGGACATTACCACACATTCTACAAACCACATTCTATTGATCTATGAGACCAATAAGGAGCTATTGCCAGCAACTCTATAAACCAATGAATATGACAGTTTTTAACAATATGGACACATTATTTAAAAGACACAAACTACTAAATCTTACTTTAAAAGAAATATTGTGAGTATCCTAAGCATAGTAAAAAACCTTCCCAGAAACAAGAGCTCCAGGAACAGATGGCTTCATTGTTGAATCCTAGCAAACATTTAGCGAACAAGCCAGAGCAATTTTGTTAAACTTTCCTGGAAACTAGAAGAGAAACATACTTTCTAACTCATGAAGTTGTGAGTAAGGCACTCACAATTCATGGACAGACAAGGAATCACAAAAAAGAAAACAACCAGAGAGTATCTATATGAGCACAAGTGCAAAAATGTTAATAAAATGTTAAAAAGATTTATTCCAGCAATATTTTATTGAAATATAAACCATGATCAAGTGAGCTTTATGACAAAAAGGCAAGATTTGTTTAATATTTTAAAATTATCTCAATAGATGCAGAAAAATTATTTGGAAAATTTAATATTCATAACTAAATAAATGATAAAAAGGATTAAAACTTTTGTCAATAAATAATAAAAGGGATCTTCTTTATTACAAAGTCAACAGCTAACATCATATAGATTATGAAAGACTGGACACTTTCCTTGTGAAAACTGGGAAAAAGGCGATTTTCACTCCTACTCTTCAATACCATAATGGAGATTCTGTTCAGCAAAATGAGGCAAGAAAAAGTCATACAGATCTGAAAACTGAATTAAGACTTTTTATCCACAGACAACATGATCATTTATGTGGAAAATCTTATAAAATCCAAAAATGAGCTGATAAATAAGTTTAGGAAATTCATAGACTCTAAAAGATCAATATACAAAAACTAACTGTATTTCTATACAATAGAAAAAAATTGGAAATTAAAATATTTTAAAATGTTACTTATAAAAAATTAAAACTATGAAATATTTAGGTAAAAGCTTAATGAAACTTTTGCAAGACTGTGCACTGAAAAAGACAAAATATTTCTGAGAGAAATAAGACCAAAATAAATGGATAGTATACTATGTTCCTGGCTCAGAAGACTCAACATCACTAAGATTTCAATTCTCCCCAAATTAAAATGTATTTTCAACACAAACCAGCCAAAAATCTTCACAGGCTTTTTTTTTTTTTGACATTAAATCAATTATTTTGTAGACAGTGAAAAGCTTCTCTGTATAGAAATTCAAAGAACCTCGAATTTCCAAAAATAATTTTGAGAAACAAGAACAAAGTTGGAGAAGTTACACAACCTGATTTTGTCTTATTATGAAAATACAGTAATGAAGCAGTGGATTCTTGGTGCCTGAGAGACATAGATCAATGGAACAGAATGGAGACTTCAGAAATGGGCCCATGTAAATATTAAATTGATTCATGACAAAGTTGCCAAGGCAATTCAATAAGGAAAGGACAATCTTTTCCCCAGCCATACTGGAAAGACCAGCTATTCATATGCAAATAAAAGAAAAACAAATCTCAAAACTTAACACATACCACATTCGAAAATTGATTTCAAATGGAGCATAGACCTATATGTCAGAGCCAAAACTATTAAAATTCTATAAGAAAATTTATGAGAAAATTTGGAGACATAGAAAATATTCACCAATTTTAAGGGTAGGTAAAGATTTTTAAATAGGACAGAAAAAGCACAAACTAAAGAAAATTTAATTGGACTTTGTTAAAATTTAAAACATTTGCTTTTCATAAACACTGTAAAGAAAATGATGTCAAGTCACAGTCTGGGGTAAAATATTGGCAAAATGTATATCTGGACTTCTAATCCAAATACACACAGTGGAGAAAAGGGAATGCACATACACTGTTGGTGGGAATGTAAATTAGTACAACTTCTATGGGAAACCGTATAGAGATTTCTCAAAGAACTAAAAATAGAACTACCATTCAATGCAGCAATCCCACTACTGGGTGCCTAGTCAGAAGAATAGAAATCATTTATCAAAAAAATACCTACAACCCTATGTTTTTTGAGGCACTATTTACAATACCAAAGACGTGGAATCAACCTAAGTGCCCATCCCAACTGAATGGATAAAGAAAATGTGGTATGTAGACACAATGGAATACTATTCAGCCATGAACAATAATGAAATGTCTTTTGCAGCAACATGGGTGGAACTGAAGGCCATTATCTTAAGTGAAATAACTCAGAAACAAAAGTCAAATACTGCATATTGTCATTTATCAGTGGAAGCTAAATAAGGTGTACATATGGACATAATGTGAAATGATAGCCATGGGAAGCTCAGAAGGGTAGGAGGTTGGGAGCAGGTAGCTGACAAGAAATTATCTAATAGGGACAATGTACCCCTATTTGGGTGATGGTTACACTAAAAGCCCTGACTTCACCACTATGCAATATATCCATATAACTAAACTGTACTTGTACCTCTTAAATTTACACAATTTTTTTTTTAAAAGTAGACATCTAACCCAATTTAAAACTGGGGAAAAGATTTGAATACACTGAAAATGAATATATGCAAATAGTCAATAAGCACATAAAAAGATGTGCAGCATCATTAATATCTGGACACTGCCGAAGAAAACCACTGAAATACTGCCACAGTAGATTAGCTAGACCCACTAGAGCTATAATTGAAAGGAATAATGGCTAAAAGGTGAGAATAAAACTAAAATGAAAGAAACTAGTGTTGGTGAGGACACGGAACAAGTGGAACTCTTACAGGTTGCTGGTGGGAATGCAAAACAGTTCAGCTGCTTTGGAAAGCAGTTTGGCAGTTTATTACAAAGATAAACATACACCAACCATATGACCCAGCATTTCTATTCCCGGGTATGTATCCTGGGAAGTATATCTATATAAGACTTATACTAGAATGTTCATAGCTGCTTTATTCATAATACTCCCGAACTAGAGAGTTCCTAGATCTCTGTTAGCTGATGAATGGAAGACCATTTTAATCTTATAAAAATGTACAACTCAGCAGTCAAAGGGAACAAACTACTGATCCACATAACATTTCATCCACGTAGAGGAATCTCTAAAACACTGTGCTAAGTGAAAGATGCCAGACGCAAAAGACTACATACTGTATGATTCCATTTGTATGAAATTCTACAAAAGGCAAAACTATGGGGATAGAAAGTAGATCAATTGTTGACAGGTTCAATGGAAAGGGGAAGGGAATGACTGAAAGGGGGGATGAAGGAAGTTTATGGGGTAATGGAAATATTCTTTCTATATCATCATCGTGATAGAGGTTTATGGCCATGTGCCTTGGCAAAAACTCTTCAAATTGAACTCCTAAAATTGGTGAATATTTTGTGTGTAATTTATACTTCAATAAAGCTAATTCTTTTTAAAGTAAAAGATGGAAAAGATATCCTATGCAAACACTAATCCAAAAATTTGGGATGACTATATTAATATCAGACAAAGTAGATTTCCAAACAAGGAATAAATGAATAAAGAGGGCCACTTTGTAATACTAAAGGGATTAATTCATCAAGGGGACATATTAAAGTTTACTTGACTGCCTATCTAGTTATTTTTATAGCTCTTAAAATAGATCTTCCTGGCATTCGTTTACTTCTCTGCAGAAAGTGAGGTTCTCAAATGATTTTTTTATATTGTCTTAGTGTATTTTGGAGTAGGGAAGCTTTTCTTTTCCCAAATCATGTGTCAGAATGTTTCAGGCCAATTTCTTGAGTTCTACTGTAATTATTTTGGCTGACTTTTTTCATCTGCTAGATGTGTTATTAATTGTCTTTTATTCAGAAATCTGAAACTTACTGACTTCATGATGGATTTCTAATGTTACTCAGTAAAAAAGTAATTAAATATGTGTAAAAATTTCTTTCACTTTACCACATATTTTAAAAGATTTCCAAAATGTGTAATATTAGAATATTAATACATATATTAATATATTTTATAATTTATTATTGATGTTATATTTGACATTTTAAATTATTATTTATGTAATATTAACATTAATGCATAGAACAAGTGTTATGATATTTAGAAAGATTAACAAACTTTTATCACCACAATTGACCAAAACGATGGCCAAAACAGCTATGCCTTCAGGATGACTGTGAAATCTTGGAGCTCTTCCCCTTTCAAAATGTGACGATGTGGTTATCAAAGAACTCCCCGCAGCCCTCCCTTCTTTGCCAATCATGTCCTTTTTCTCCAAAATGAATCCTCATGCTCTGTTACTACCACGGTTGTGAGCATCATGGTATCAGGTTATCTGCTACCATGGATCCTGACCACATGCCAGCATTGCCTGAATTCCTACTCCCAAATTCCTCTCACTCTAGCCTGTTCTCCTTCCTGGTCACGTCCGTGCTCTTTCCAAGCTTTGACCACAGAATTCTCCTTTGTGTATCTCAACCTCCTCTTCCTGCCCAGCTGATGATAGCATAGTGCAGTGGATTTGTAACTCACCTTTGCCTTGTGAGACTTACAAAACATACTTTCTTTAAAAAGCAGAGATGAACTCTTTTGAAACGAGTGTAATTCACATGCCTACTGAAGTCATCCAATCACTTGAATTGGAGAAAATGCAAATTGGCTTTAACCCACACGTTGTGGGAAGTCCAAAGCCTCCCTATATTTGCCACTTCCCGGGGGGCTCATGTTCTTCTGGTTCCCACCAAACTCTTGTTCTCACCTCCCAGCATTTCTCTTATTTCTCTGCTTCATACTGAATTAAATATAGAACATCACTCATTTTCTGTGATCCCGCTCACCCCAATAAAAACACTCACACCTAGCATTTAAAATTGTGGCAGATCTTGCAAATGGAGAGGTTTTATTTTCCAACATTACTCAGCTCCTCCACTCACTCCAAACCCCTCTCACATTTTTCCCTTCCCTCCATTTTTCTAGATCTCAGCCTTTAAGAGACTCCAGGAAACTCCTCCCCCTTCATTTGCCCATGCAAAGTAAAGCTCAAGACCCTCTTAATCAGCTTAGGGCTATCCTACATATCTAGAGAGGAAATACCTAATGCAACCTAAATAGAAATAAAGCTCCCTGAGACACGATTCTGTGATAGATGTTATTTCTATTTTCTATCTTGTTACTAAGGACACAATGATCAAGCTTGTAATAGATGAGCAGAAGTTCTCCTGATTCAGTTATTCTGCTATAGTAATACCCAGGGAGGCTTTATACATAAGGATGCTATCTAGTTAACTAAATATTGTAGTCAGGCTCTTTGCTGACCTTTGTGAATGTGGCTCAGAACTGACGAACTGCACATACAAAACTAAAAATACTGGCACTCCTTGACCTTCAAAGATCATGTAGCTACTTGTATTTCTTACATTATGAAAAACCACATCCTCATTTTAGAATAAGAACTAGTTATATATAAGAGACACTAAAGGATTTACACGTTGAGTATCCCTTATCCAAAATGCTTGGGACCAGGAGTGTTTCACATTTGGCATTTTGGAATATTTGCATCTACAGAGTGAGACATCTTGGGGAGGAGATTCCAGTTTAAACATGAAGTTCATTTATGCATCATATATATCTTACATAGTCTGAAAGTAATTTTATATATAATGTCTTGGGTAATTTTGTGCATGAAACAAAGTTTTGGCTGTGTTTTCACTTCGACTCATTACGTGAGGTCAGGTGTGGGATTTTCCACTTGTGGCCTCATGGCAGCACTCAAACAGTTTCCGAGTTTGGATGTCCCACCTGTATTGCGGTTGCCAATATCATCTTGAGTTTCCTCAAATGAAAAATGAAAGAATAATAGCTCTGGTATAGTTTTCATTGTCTTCTGGGTGGTCTAATTTCTTTTTTTGCCTTCTGATTACTTTTTTTTCCCCAAAGCATGGTCTTCATGGAGAGGTCTTTTTCTTAATTTGGGTACTTACTTGTTACTAATCAGAGATATCTTCTGATCTCTTGTTTTTAACCTGACAATTGAGCTGCAGCTTTCTGTTTCAATCTACCCTAAATCTTTCGTGTGTCTACAATCTCTATGATGTGTATCCTCTCTGCAAGACCAGGGTTCTCCTAAGCCCTGCAATAATTCTCTCTCTCTCTCTCTCTGTGAGTGTGTGTGTGTGTGTGTGTGTTGAGATAAAGGGCTGGCAAAAAATAAACTCTACTGGGAGTCCAGATTTGAAGTTAATGTACTGGCTGTGCACCCTCATGATAATTTTTGTATTATAGGACTTTTTAAAATAATAAGAGGTAATGTCTATTCAGCCACTCCATCCTAAGCTTGGATGATTAGGAGTTAGAATATGAAGCAGGATAGATGTGGCTCTCCCTCTGCCTCCAAGTTTGTTCCCGAGCCAACCTGGCTGTGAGAATACAGCACAACATTCATTATTCATGGGAGGATCTTATTAGTATTTATTGGTAGTAGTATCACTATTCATGCTGATCTATTTTTGACAAATCTGCTTTCTATTTATCTTAATGTAATAAAATTTTTAGTAGAATAAATGCTTTATATTATTGGAAAAGCTTATATTTACATAATGCCAAGCATAATTTTTCCAAATTACACCATTAAGATAAATAGTGTATTGTAATTGATATCAAGTAGCGTTTGTTTAAATCTCACCCCTCATTCAAAGTTATTAGTTACTTTACTGAAAAAATATATCCAAAGGTTTATGTTTTCAGGCTCAGCAATTTTCTCTTGAATCATGATGGCATTAGGATCTTAGCTCAAGGGCTTAATGTGTGCCCACCTTGAGGACTCAGACACATGGATTTTTTGCTATGTCTTGTGGGTCTGGTCTTTAAGTGTTCTCTCTACACAGGAAAGAGCCTCCAAGTAAAGAAGTCATCCTATGGAAAGATAAAATGAAGGAGTTGTGAGATCTGTCTGTAACAATTGATTAGTGACAGAGGGGAAATTAACTCTACTACTCAGACTTCTCTGGGAACAGTGGAAGGTATATTTTTCTGGGGTCCACATCATGATGGTGGGAAAAATACAGGCACAGAACGCAGCCCTCAGTTCAGCGGGTGAGGACACTAGGATAATGGACCTGGGAGACCAATATGTGAGAAGTAGAATCATAGTGGCCCAAGGCAGAGAGCCTGACCTTCAGTTTGTCCCAACATGGGTGGAGGGGTGTATTAATTAGATTTTTTATTTTTTGTATATTATGATGTTTTTATATTTTAAAAAATCTTTTTGTCTGGGGACAGACTGGCCCACCTGGGGCTAGCCAGTTCTTAGGAACAGCAAAGAACTCAGCTAGAAAAGTGCTTTAGGCCAGGAGTAGTGGCTCATGCCTGTAATCCCAGCACTTTGGGAGGCTAAGGCAGGTGTATCACGAGGTCAAGAGATGGAGACCATCCTGGCCAACATGGTGAAATCCCATCTCTACTAAAAATACAAAAATTAGCTGGGCGTCATGGGGCACACCTGTAGTTCCAGCTACTCGGGAGGCTGAGGCAGGAGAATCGCTTGAATCCGGGAGGCAGAGGTTGCAGTGAGCTGAGATCGCGCCACTGCACTCCAGCCTGGGGACACTGTGAGACTCTGTCTCAAAAAAAAAAAAAAAAGTGCTTCAATATGTAAACTAGCCAGTTCAGAGCTTTACCTTCTCTATCCTGTATATTGCAGAAAGCAATATTCTTCTGTCTTAATAATCCCGGGGCCACATACCAGACAACCAGAAACCACTCTTCTAGCCTAAAGCCTGCTGGAATTATCCAAACTGGCCAACCCTAACTACTGTGCCTTGCCTTTCCCAGGGACACCCCAGCAAAGGCTATGGTCCAGGATTGCCCCCTCCCTCCTGCTTCTGTCTCCTGACCAACACTGGTGCTTCCCCCATGGCCCTGAATGGCACACTGTGCCTTGCTTTTCCAGTGAAACTGCAAGCAACAACAAACTTTTTTTTGATGGCATTGACCTCTCCGTGCTAACACTCAGTCAGCTTTAGAAATTAAGACTCATACACAGAACAAAGGGGTCCCTGCCCAGGGCCTCCACATGTATCTGCACTTTATGGTAGACTGAATAATGGTCCCTCCTAGGACGTCCACATCCAAATCCCCCAAACTTGTGAATATGTCACCTTGCACAGTAAGAGAGGTTTTGTGAAAGTGATTAGACTAAGGATGTTTAGTTGCTGGGTGATATCGTTTGAATATATGTCCCTGTCAAATCTCATGTTAAACTGTAAGCCCCAGTATTGGAGGTGGGGCCTGGTGGGAGGACTTTGGGTCATGGGTGTGGGTCCTTCATGGCTTGGCGCTGTCCTGGCAATAGTGAGTTCTCTGGAGATCTGGTTGTTTAAAAGTATGTGGCGCCTCCCTGACCTCCCACAGCCCCCTCCTCTCTCTCTTGCTCCTGCTCTCCCCATGTGATGTTCCTGCTCCTGCTTCCACTGAAAAGTCCCTAAAGCTTCCACAGAAGCTGAGCAGATATTGGCATCATGCTGATACAGCCTGCAAAACCCTGAGCCAATTAAACCACTTTGCTGGCCAGGTGTGGTGGCTCATGCCTGTGATCCCAGCACTTTGGGAGGCCGAGGTGGACAGATCACCTGAGGCCAGGAGTTCCAGTCCAGCCTTGCCAACATGGTGAAACTCTGTCTCTACTAAAAATACAAAGATTAATTGGGCATGGTGGTGGATGCCTGTAATTCCAGCTACTCCGGAGGATGAGGCACGAGACTCACTTGAACCTGGGAGGCAGAGGTTGCAGTGAGCTGAGATCATGCCACTGCACTCCTGCCTGAGAGATAAGAGTAAAACTCTGTCTCAAAAAAATAAAAACACCATTTTGCTCTATAAATTACCCAGTCTCAGGTATTTCTTTATAGCAACACAGAATGACCTAACACAGAGGGAGGGATTATCCTGGATTATCTGGATAAATCAAATAGAATCACAAGAGTCCTTATTAGAGGAAGGCAGGAGGATCAGGGTCTGAATGAGAAGGTGTAAGATTGGAAGCCGAGATCAGAGAGCGAGGAGGATGCTGAAGATGGTGGGAGCCAGGGAATGCAGGCAGCCCCTAGAAGCTGGAAGCAGGCAGGGAAATGGATTCTCCCCTACCCCTAGAGCATTTAGAGAGAAGGTGGGCTTTCTGACACCCTGATTTCAGCCCTGTGAAAATGATTTCGCATGTCAGACCTCCAGAACTATAAAATAACACATTTGCAATGTTTTAAACCACTAAGTTTATCGTACTCTCTACAGAGCAATACAAATGAATCGACATTTCATGCTGACAGGGGACACCTTCCATGTGGCGTCTGATCTGAATGGTGCCCTGGAGTAGCACAGTGTGACCTTCTTTCTGGGCTTGGTGTGAGGCAAAGGCCAGGAAAGCTGTGTTGTGAAGGAGTCGAAGAGTCAAGTTATCTCCTCCTTCCGTTGAGCACAAGGGAGGGGCCTCTTTCCCCTACCTGGGCAATCAGGAAGCAGGTGTTGAGTGCTTCCTAAGTATGGAAAACTACACCGTTTTCTGCAGCATAGACATACACTGAGTCAGATGAAGGTGAAGGTGCTATTTGATTGAAGAGCCAGGAAAGACACCAGAAGTAGTGCCAGATGGGAAGACAAGAACTAGGGACCTTACATAATTATTTCCTCTGCGGAGGGGAAACATCTCACAGTGTAAATCTTCGGAGATTGCCTCAGGGGAATACTCTGTCACTCTCAATGTCATCTGTCTCTTCCATTCCTCTCTTCTTTCTCCATTTTCACTTCAAACTCAAGGTCCCTCTCAGTCTGGTGACCCCACAGGTCCCTCAAAAACCCCATTGAGCTATCTGCAAAAGGAGTCCTGACCGCCTTCCCCAGGGCAGGATTTGCAGACTCTCATTCTTCAGGTGGCAGCGCATTGCTTTCCTGAGCCTATTGCTCCAAGAGAATCAAAATGTGGGCTCTTGTCCCCCAAGTGGAGGGGAAGATGGGTGCTTTGTGTCCGCTTTGGTCTCACTGACAACAGGGAATAAGGTCAGCTGACCTCCAAGTGGCTTATGAAAAAATCTACCCCACCTTAAGTTTGTGTTTCTCTGAAAGAGTGCTCTACCTGAATTACATGGGGCAAGATTTTCCCACCACCAGGACTTAGGACTTTATCCCTTAGGTAAATATCACAAAGGTGGACTCTGCTAGGGAGCAAGTAACTCTTTGCCATGACCCTTTGCTAAGGGGCTCCCACATTAGCAGAGAATAATCCAGACACAGCCATCCAGGATGCATGGCACCATCTCCATTGATGCTTTCTGATTCTCAAATTTCTCTCCTGATAGGAGGCCAGGGGTGTCTCAGGACTTCACCCAAAGGAGAAATGACAGAGCACAGAGAGTAAGAATCAGTAGGCTTACCATGGGAGCTAAGGAATGAGAATATGTACTTGCATGAAACAGCCCCAGAAAATGACTTTCTGAACTAGCTGGGAAGAATTTAAAGGAGGCTAAATTTCTTGCAATCCTGTGGCAAGGCCTGAGTCAGAAAAATACTTCTTGTTGCTGTTCCTTCAAAACTGTTTTTCCCCCAGGCTGCTTTATCTGGAGAAACATATGTTAAATATACTATTTTTCATGACAAACTGATAAATCTAATTGTTTGCAATTTGCTTCTTTTTTATTTTTCCTCAAATTTTTATTCATTGAAACAACATATTGTAATAACAATAAAAGAAATAAGGATGGAGGAAATTACCCAGAAATCTGCCTATGAAAGCAGGTCTTTTGATTTTCCATGTTTTCTCCCAGGAATTATCTATATGCTGGTGACGCTATTCTAATGTTACACTCCAGAATGAAAGATTTGAAAGAAAGATGGAGTCTACTTCTAAAGTTGTGAGACATTGCCACATCATTTCAAATCTTGGGTTTCAGTTACCTCGTATTTAAAATGAGAAAACTGGACTAATTGATTTTTTAAATGGATCCTTCCAGTTCTAAAATCATTGATACTTTTATATTTACAACAGAATGAGTTGTACTTGTAGGCATCATATATGGGGGACTGGACATTTTTGAAAGCTGAGAGAATGGTACTGGCAAGTAAAAATGGCAATTAGCAATGCCACAGACAATAGACAGGAGCAGAAACTGAAACTCAATAGCAACGTTTTGATAAACATACTTAAAAATAACTACTCCTTTTGTTCTAATTCTACAAGTCCCCAAGCTTGTTTGCAAAGCTTAAAGTTTTTTGAAATGCAGCTACTGTCATGAAATATACCTATTATTAACTACAGAAATATTATATTAATGTCATTAAAGATCAGTGAATGATGTTCTTTTTTTAAGATTTGCTGATTGAATGCTGTACACTTTAGAATGGTGTTAGAGCAAAGTAGCTGTTGCCCCAATACTGGACTGCTGTTCAAGGCATGCTTTTATTTTGCCTGTTTTGGCTAATACTTTGAACCAAGATATTCTGGCAATAAGAATGGGATCTTATATTTAAAGAGATAAAAATAACAGTGGGTACAAATCATTCAAGTGCTTTTGCAGGCAGTGGAGTATGTCCTCTCCCCAGCAATTTGAAGAGAACCTATGCTTAAATAAATGATGGCAGACCTATTACAGAGTACAATACCTGTCGGTAAACCTGGTCCTAAATTTCATGCGCTGCAAGACTTCCTATATTGAAGCTGAAAGCATGAACGACACGGGGCCAGATAATTATGCTGTTATGTGAATTAAATTATACACAGGAAGTCCTTCCTTTGCCCAGTACTCTGTTAACTGAAATGTGTGCACATCAGAATTATGCCTTTTCTTTGCATGGTTCCCTATTAATGAAGATTAAATCTCAGGGACCATAGAATTGTGCAAAGTGAGGATACAGTTCCAATGAACTGTGTAAAGTGAGGGTTGTTTGTACTACAATTTGGGCTCTCAAGCTCTATTTCAGTCTTATGAACTTGTAACATTAGTGTAAACACAAGATTTACCAGCATTATTAGTCTTTGTTTTGTTGAGAAATCTAAGGTCTGTAACCAGGACTAATGCATGGTAAGGGTCAACTTAGTTTTATTACCAAACGCTGCTGTCAACATATGAATTTTGGCAATTTATTGGATGTTTTAGTGCCTGTGGAGTTTTGAATGAAGCACTTGGGATTGAGTAAATTTGATTATTATAATAAAATAAGAAATGATATTATACTAAATTGACAATAAACTGTAATTCAAGCACCAACTTGGAGTACAGTGTTGAGAAGCATGCTGAGGTCTCTTCTTGGACTCCACGGGGCAAGTATACCCTAACGGAGTGTTTATACATCTATTCTCTGGAAAGCAAGTATTAGCCAAAACAGGCAAAATAAAAGCATGCCTTGAACAGCAGTCCAGTATTGGGGCAACAGCTACTTTGCTCTAACACCATTCTAAAGTGTACAGCATTCAATCAGCCTGGGGAACAGAGCAAGACTCTGTCTCAGAAAAAAAAAAATTAAAAAAGACTATATAATTACATATCATAGTAACACTAAATCAGCTTCTGAGGGACATGCTGTATGTAGAGAGTTCTAGGATGATTCAGATCATATTCATTCATATGTTTTGAGATATATCAAACCCTGCTCTTGCTGCAGAGGTTAAGGTGGTACCACGTGTACATTGTTAGAGGGTCACATTTGAATTTAGCACAGTACTCATAGAAGTTGTAGAAAGGCAATGACCATTCTAGGTATGTTCTATAATTTATTTTCCACAGAACACTTTGCTAAGATTACCATGAACTTTTCTCAGATGTCTCCAGAGCTGCTATCAGTCGTTTGGTTGAACTCTGATTTCAGTAGCAGGTGCAATGGATAGTTTTATTTCAACGTGGATAACTTCATGCTGCTGATGACCAACCTCAAGCATGCACAGGATATCTTTTCTTGCCCATGAACCTGGTCATCTTTTCTTTGGAGGTATCATTTCTTCTCTGACACTGCAGGAGCCTGCTCAGCCAGCTGGGACACAAATATAAGAGTTGGGTTAAAGTCATGGGGGAAATCCCTCAACCAACAAGAGACTGGAGTCACTGGGCAAATATGCATGCCTCCCTGATTCAGATAAACAACTTGGGAATTATTTTATACATTTCTCTTGAAATATCAGTGAAACCTAACCTCAACTGCCTACAATGATAACCTAAATAATGTGCCATTTTGTCAACTTTTCCTCTTTCCCTATTTCATTCTCCCCTCTCCCTCATTCCTGATTCCTTGGATTACCTTTCACATAAATTATCTGCTCATAATGCCTTGTCTCAGGCTCTACTAAAGGGGGACTCAAAATCAAACAGTACACTCTAAAATTGCAAGTATCGAACAGTTAATGTTGCCGAAAGCAACATTTATAAATGGAAAGTCCCAGATCATGCTTCGTGTGGAATATTATACTTTTTATCAATGGAAACAGTGTAAGATCCTGCTAAGAAGGCATAGTTTGAGTCAAAACTGCACATTGACTGCCCATGCCTGCTTGCCATTTCGATACAAATTTAGGAATGACAGAAAAGAGATCCTTTGTTTATGCAGCCATAAAAAGAATGAAATCAGTGTTTTGCAGCAACATAGATGGAGCTGGTGGCCATTATCCTAAGTGAGCTAATTCAGAAGCAAAAAATCAAATATTTCATGTTCTCATTTATATGTGGGAGCTAAACAATGAGTATACATGGACATAAAAATGAAAATAATAGACACTAGGGACACCAAAAAGTGGAGGTAGGGAGGAGGGTGAGGATTGAAAGACTATCTATTGAATAAAATGTTCAATATTTGGGTAATGGGTACACTAGAAGCCCGATTACCACATACACCCTTGTAAGAAACATGTACATGTACTCCCCATTGAATCTAAATTTTTTTAAAAAAGAGAATTCCATTGATGGATCAAATTTTGGAGGAATCTTTGGTCAACAGAGATAGACAAGTGTGACAGCACCAAAGCCAATAGCATATGCCAAAGGTCAGGGGGCTTCCATAGAAGCTCTAAGCCCAGAGATGGGAGGGACAAAGAGCAGGAAGGGAAAAGACAGCAATTCTCTGTGCAATGGTTTTGGTAAACCACAGGAGCAACTAAGAAGTCTGGCCCTTGTCCCTCCCCTCCCCTATCTTTAGCTTATATCTAATGTTATGGTAGACACAAGGGTTCTAGAGCAGTTAGCAGGGCACTAGATCCAGAGAATTTGAGCAATGTCGACATGTCTGAGGATACCCATAGAAGATGGAGACCATCCACGCCAGGCAACAAGGTACTGGCACAACCAAGCAGAATGAGATCCTCCTTCTTAGCAGGATCTTATATTGTTTCTGTTGATATAAAGTAGAATATGACTCGCTATCACCACCCCACACACCATGTCCCCCTGCCGCTCCGAGCCCAGCTCCGCTGCCCGCTGCAATGGAAGAAGAGATGGCGGCACTCATTGACAATGGCTCTAGCATGTGCAAAGCTGGCTTTGCTGGGGGAGCTGTTTTCCCCTCCATCATCTGGTGCCCCCGGCACCAGCACGTGAAGGGGGGCATGAGCCAGAAGGATTCCTACGTGAATGACAAAGCCCAGAGCAAGCATGGCATCCTGACCCTGAGGTACCCCATCGAGCATGGCATCGTCACTAACTGGGACGACATGGAGAAGATCTGGCATCACACCTTCTACAAGGAGCTGTGCATGGCCCTGGAGGAGCACATGTTGCTGCTGACTGAGGCCCCTCTGAACCCCAAGGCCAACAGAGAAGATGACTCAGATCATGTTTGAGACCTTCAACACCCCAGCCATGTATGTGGCCATCCAGGCCAGTGCTGTCCCTCAACACCTCTGGGCACACCACTGGCATTGTCATGAACTGTAGAGATGGGGTCACCCACATGGTGCTCATCTACAAGGGCTACATTGTCCCCCATGCCATCCTGCCTCTGGACCTAGCTGGCTGAGACCTGACCCACTACCTCATGAAGAGCACGGCTACAGCTTCACCACCAAGCACGGCTACAGCTTCACCACCACCGCCAAGGGGGAGATCATGCGTGACATCAAGGAGAAGCTGTGCTACCGCAACCTGGACTTGAAGCAGGATATGGCCACCACCGCATACTCCTCCTCCTTGGAGAAGAGCTACAAGCTGCCTGATGGCCAGGTCATCACCATTGGCACCGAGCAGTTCCAGTGTCTGGAGGTGCTGTTCCAGCCTTCCTTCCTGGGCAGGGAATCTTGTTGCATCAGGAGACCACCTTCAACTCCATCATGAAGTGTGACATGGACATCTGCGAAGACCTGTATGCCAACACGGTGCTGTCCAGCAGCACCACAATGTACGTGGGTATCGCCCACAGTATGCAGAGGGAGATTATCGCCCTGGCATCCAGCACCATGAAGATCAAGATCATCACACCCCCAGAGTGCAAGTACTCAGTGTGAATCAGCAGCTCCATCCTGGCCTCACTGTCCACCTTCCAGCAGATGTGGATTAGCAAGCAGGAGTATGACAAGTCAGTACCCCCACGCCCCCATCGTCCACCACAAATGCTTCTAAATCGACAGCGAGCGATTCGTAGCATTTGTTGCATGGGTTAATTCAAAAGTATAAATTTGCCTCTGGCAAACGTGTACACCTCATGCTAGCCTCACAAAACTGGAATAAGCCTTCTAAAAGAAATTTGTCCTTGAAGCTCCTATTTGCTATCAGCAGTGCATTGTAGAACTTGTTGCTGATTTTGACCTTGTATTCAAGTTTACTGTTCCCCTTGGTATTTGTTTAATACCCTGTACATATCTTTGATTTCAACCCTTAGTACATGTGGCTTGGTCACTTCGTGGCTGAGGTAAGAAAGTGTTTGTGGAAGACAAGTCTGTGGCTTGGTGAGTCTGCATGGCCAGCAGGCTCTGATCTGTGTAGGGTATTAATGTGTCAGGGCTGAGTGTTCTGGAATTTCTCTAGAGGCTGGCAAGGGCTCCTGAGCCAGTGGTTTCTGTCTTGCTGGTCTGTCAGGGTTGGAAAAGTCCAAGCCATAGGGCCCAGTTTCCTTTCTTAGCTGATCTTTTCCTGCCAGAACACTGTGGGCTGTTACTTGCCTTGAGTTGGAAGCAGTTTGCATTATACCTATGAATGTATTCATCCTTTAATTTACGTAAGGTGTTTTTTTTTTTGTACACAATTCTTGATTCTTTAAAGAGATGACAACAAATTTTGGTTTTCTACTGTTACGTGAGAACATTAGCAACACATCATTGTGTAAGGAAAAATAAAAGTGCTGCCGTTAAAAAAAAAAGTAGAATATTCTCCACAAAGTATAGAATGTGACTGTCTGTTTGTTAATGTTGCTTCCCACAATGTTAACTGTATGATACTTGCAATTTTAAACAGTACTGTCTGATTTTGAGTTCCCCTGTAGCAGAGCCTGAGACAAAGAGTTATGAGCGGGTAATTTATTTGGAAGGTAATCCCCAGAATCAGGAGTGAGGGTGAAGGGAGAATGAAACAGGGAAGGATGAAAACTTGACCAAAGGGTACATTGTTCAGGTCATCATTGTAGGCAGTGGGGATTTGATTTCACTGACATTTCAAGAGAACTGTATAAAATACCTCCTGAGTTGCTTATGAGGAGAGGCATGCGAGTTTGGCCAATGACTCCAGTCTCCTGCTGTTTGAGGGATTTCCCTCAGGGACAAGGAACTGGCACAACCAAGCAGAAATGTTATAGGAGTTACTCCTCCCACAACAAATGCTGGCAGCAGTTCCCCAGCATATCCATAGACAGGGTGGAGAGAATCTCAGAAACAAAGCATATAACTAAGAATTGCCAAATATTTTAGTCTGTTAGTATAATGAGACATTAAACTCAGCAAAGGGAAGAACACCCAAGGAAGTAGAATTATTAGCAAATAGAAGAATATGTGAAAGAAATAGAATCATATAATAATTTAGCATGTGACGAATATCGTATTCAATTTACGTGATGAATAGATGGAATACTCAATAAATAAAAAATGTTGGCCAGACGCGGTGGCTCATGCCTGTAACCCCAGCACTTTGGGAGGCCGAGGAGGGTGGATCACCTGAGGTCAGGAGTTTGAGACCAGTCTGGCCAACATGGTGACACCCCATCTCTATTCTAAAAATACAAAAATTAGCCAGGCATGGTGGCTTACATCAGTAGTCCCAGCTACTCGGGAGGCTGAGGCAGGAGAATCACTTGAAGCCAGGAGGCGGAGGTTGCAGTGAGCCAAGAACAAACCACTGCAATACGGCCTGGGTGACAGAGCAAGACTCTATCATAAAAACAAAAAAGAACAAGAAAGAAAGAAAATGTTGTTGGGCTTGCTTCTTCACTCTTTACACCAAAAATAAATTACATGTGAAATAAACTATTAGAAGAAAAGATGGTTAAATATTTTCCCAGTTTTGGCATGAGAAATACCTTTCTTAAAGTGACAAAATCCTAAAAACTATAGAGAGAAGTATTAAATAACTCTACTGCAGTAAAATTAAAAACAGAGTGAAAAGATATGCAAAAGTGGGAAAATATTATGACACATCTGGCAGAAAAAGAGCTAATCTTTTTAAATATGACTACAAATCAGTGAGAAATGACTAGTCATCCATCCAAAAGACAAATGGGCAGAGAATACTGAAAATTTATATAAAAACTTAAATGACTTATAAACAAGGGGAAAACACCCATAAACTTTAAAATCCTCATTCATAAATACTGAAAAGCAAAATAAACAATGAGCCACAATTTCATTTTTTAAATACTTTTTAATTTTAATTCAATTTATTTTCTTTATAATTTCAACTTTTATTGTAGATTCAGGGGTTACATGTGCAGTCTTATTACCTAGGTGTATTGCTTGATACTGAGGTTTGGGGCACGACTGAGCCCATCACCAGGTACTGAACATAAAATTCAACGGTTAGTTTTTCAACACTTACACCCCTTCCCCGTCTAGTATTCCCCAGTGTCTATTGTTGCCATCTTTATTGCCATTAGTACCCATTGTTTAGCTCCCACTTACAAGAGATAACATGTGATATGTGGTTTTCTGTTCCTACATTAATTAGTTTAGGATTATGGCCTCCAGCTGCATCCATGTTGCTGCAAGAACATGATTTTATTTCTTTTTATGGCTGTATAGCTTTCCATTGTGTGTATGTTCCACATCTTCTTTATCCACTCCACCATTAATGGACACCCAGGTTGATCCCATGTCTTTGCTATTGTGAACAGTGCTCTTATTCACATAAAAGTGCATCTATTGAGAACGGGGTATTCATCTCCTCAAGTATTTATCCTTTTTGTTTACAAATAACCCAATTACACTCTTTTAGTTATTTTTAAATGCACAATTATTATTGACTTTACCCTGTTGTGCTATCAAATAACAGGTCTTATTCATTCTTTCTAATTGTTTTTTTGTACTCATTAACCATCCCAGCCTCTCCCCGAGCCTCCCACTACCCTTCTCAGCCTCTGGTAACTATCTTTCTACTCTCTATTTCCATCCATTAAATTGTTTTGGTTTTTCAATCCCACAAATAAGTGAGAACATGTAATGTTTGTATTTCTGTGCCTGGCTTATTTCACATAACATAATGATCTCCAATTCCATCCATATTGTTCCAAATTACTGATTCTCATCTTTCTTATGGCTGAATAGCACTCTATTGTGTGTATGTACCACATTTTCTTTATCCATTCATCTGTGGTTGGGCAGTTAGGTTGCTTCCAAATCTTAGCTATTGTAAACAGTATTGTAACAAACGTAAGAGCACAGATATCTCTTCAATATACTGATTTCTTTTCTTTTGGGTATATAACCAGCAGTGGGATTGCTAGATCATATGGTAGCTCATTTTTACTTTTTTGAAGAACCTCCAAACTGTTCTCCTCAGTGGTTTGACTAATTTACATTCTTGCCAACGGTGCATAAGGGTTCCCTTTTCTCCATATCCTTATCAGCATTTGTTATTGCCTGTCTTTGGTTATAAACCATTTTAACTAAGTTGAGATGATATTTCATTGTAGTTTTGATTTGCATTTCTCTGATGACCAGTGATATTCAGTACCTGTTTATGTCTCTGTTTACCATTTGTGTGTCTTCTTTTATGAAATGTCTGTTGAAATCTTTTGGCCATCTTTTAATTGGATTATTAGCTTTTTCCCTGTGGAGTTGTTTGAGTTCCTTATTTATTCTGGTTATTACTGTCCTGTCAGATGGGTAGTTTGCAGATATTTTTCTACCATTGTGTGAGTTGTCTCTTCACTTTGTTGATTGTATCTTTTGCTTTGCAGAAACTTTTAATTTGATGTAATCACATTTGCTTACGTTTGTTTTGGTTGCCTGTGCTTGTGGGGTATTGCTCAAGAAATTTTTGCCTAGACCAATGTCCTGGAGATTCTCCCCCAAATTTTCCTCTAGTAGTTTCATGGTTTGAGGTTACAGATTTAAGTCCTTAATCCATTTTGATCTGATTTTTGTATGTGGCTAGAGATAGTGGTCCAGTTTCATTCTTCTGCATTTGGATATCCTATTTTCCTGGCACCATTTATTGAAGATCTGTCTTTTCCCCACTGTATGTTTGGGGCACCTTTGTCAAAACAACTTCACCATAAATGTGTGGATTTGGTTCTGTATTCTCTATTCTGGTCTGTTGGTCTATATGTCTATTTTTATGCCAGTGCCATGCTGTTTTGATTACTATAGCTCTGTAGCACAATTTTAAGTAATGTGATTTCTCCAGTTTTGTTCTTTTTGTTTAGAGTAACTTTGGCTATTCTGGGTCATTTGTGGTTCCACATAAGTTTTAGGATTGTTTTTTCTATTTCTGTGAAGAATGTCATTGGTATTTTGGTAGGGATCACACTGGATCTGTAGATTGCTTTGGGTAGTATGGACATTTTACCAATATCGATTCTTCCAAGCCGGGAACATGGAATATTTTTTCTTTTTTTTTTTTTTTTTGGTGTCCTCTTCAATTTCTTTCATCAATGTTTTATAGTTTTCCTTACAGAGATCTTTCACTTGTTTGGTTAAGCTAATTCTTAGGTATTCAAATTTGTGTGTGGCTATTGTAAATGGGATTACTTTTTTATTTTTTTTCACATTGTTCACTGTTGTCATATAGAAATGCTACTGATTTTTGCATGTTGATTTTGTATCCTGCAACTTTACTGAATTTGGTTATCAGTTCTCACAGTTCTGTTTGTGTGTGTGGAGTCTTTAGGTATTTCCAAATACAAGATTATATCATATGCAAATAATGATAATTTGACTTCTTCCATTCCAATTTGAATGCCCTTTATATCTTTCCATTCTCTGATTTCTCTAGCTAGGACTTCCTGTACTATGTTGAATAACAGTGGTGAAAGTGGCATCGTTGTCATGTTCCAGATCTTAGAGGAAAGACTTTTAGTTGTTCCCCATACAATGAGATACTAGCTGTGAGTCTGTCATATATAGCTGTTATTATGTTGAGTCATGTTCCTTCTTTTTTTAAATATTTTATTTTAAGTTCCAGGATACGTGTGCAGGATGTGCAGGTTTGTTACACAGGTAAATGTGTGCCATGGTGGTTTGCGGCACCTATCAACTCAATTACCTAGGTATTAAGCCCCACATGCATTAGCTATTTTTCCTGATGCTCTCCCTCCCCCTCCCCCTAACCACTCCCAACAGACCCCAATATGTGTTGTTCCCCTCCCTGTGTCCGTGTGTTCTCATTGTTCAGCCCCCTCTTCTAAGTGAGAACATGTGATGTTTGGTTTTCTGTTCCTGCATTAGTTTGCTGAAGATAATGGCTTTGAGCTCCATCCATGTTCCTCCAAAGGATATTACCTCATGCCTTTTTATGGCTGCATAGTATTCCATGGTATATATGTACCACATTTTCTCTGAGAGTTTTTATCATGAAGGGATGTTGGATTTTATCAAATGCTTTTTCAGTATCAATTAAAATGATCATATGGTTTTTATCCTTCGTTCTGTTGATATGATGTATCACATTGATTGATTTGCATATGTTGAATCATCCTTGCATTCCAGGGATAAATTCTACTTAGTCTTGATGAATGATCTTTCTAATATATTGTTAAATTCAGTTTACCAGTATTTTGTATTAATATTCATCAGAGATATTGGCATATAGTTTTCTTTTTTTGATGTGTCTTTGTCTCATTTTTGGTATTAGGGTAATACCAGCCTTGTTGAATGACCTCGAAAGTATTCCTTCCTCTTCTATTTTTCAGAATAGTTTGAATAGGACTAGTATTAGTTCTTCTTAAAATGTTTGGTATAATTTAGCAGTGGAGCCATCTGGTTCTGGGCTTTCTTTTAGCAGGAAACTTTTTATTACAGCTTTGATCTCATTACCTGTTATTGGTCTTTTCAGGTTTTGGACTTCTTCATGGTTCAATCTTGGTAGGTTGTATGTGTCTGGGGATTTGTCCATTTCTTCTAGGTTTTCCAATTTATTGGCATATAGTTGCTCTTAGCCTCTAATGACCATTTAAATATCTTTAGTATTAGTTGTAAAGTTTTATTTTCCATTTCTTATTTTATTTATATGGATCTTCCCTCTTCTTAGTTAGACTGACTAAAGGTTTGTCAATTTTAAGTTTTCAAAGAACTTTTTGTTTCATTGATTTTTTTTCTTGTTTTTTTATTTCAATTTGATTTGTTTCTTCTCTGATCTTTATTATTACCTCATCATGGTTTTGATTTGCATTTCTCTGATGATTAGTGATGTTGAGCATTTTTTCCTATAACTGTTGGTCATTTGTATGTTTTCTTTCAAGAGATATCCATTGTGATAGTTAATATTGAGTGTCAACTTGATTGGATTGAAGGATGTAAAATATTGTTCCTGGGTGTGTCTGTGAGGGTGTTGCCAAAGGAGATTAAAATTTATGTCAGTGGACTGGGAGAGGCAGACCCACCCTCAATCTGGGTGGGCACCATATAGTCAGGTGCCAGTGCAACCAGGATAAAAGCAGGCAGAAGAACGTGGAAGGACCTAGACTGGCTGAGTCTTCCAGGTGTCATCTTTCTCCTGTGCTGAATGCTTCCTGCCCTCAAACATTGAACTCCAAATTTTTCAGCTTTTGGACTCTTAGACCTATACCAGTGGTTTGCCAGGGAGTCTCAGGCCTTCGGCCACAGACTGAAGGCTGTACTGTCAGCTTTCCTACTTTTGATGTTTGGGATTCGGACTGGCTTCCTTGCTCCTTAGCTTGCAGATGGCCTATTGTGGGACTTCACATTGTGATTGTGTGAGTCAATACTCCTTAATAAACTCCCTTTCATATATACGTCTATCCTATTAGTCCTGTCCCTCTAGAGAACCCTAACTAATACATCTATTCAGCCAAGTTGCCCATTTTTAATTGAATAATTTTTTTTGCTATTGATTTGAGTTCCTTATATATTCTGGTTATTAATCCCTTATCAGATGGATAGTTTGTAAATATTTTCTCCCACTTTGCAGGTTGTCTTTTCACTTTGTTCACTGTATCATTTGCTGAACAGAAGCTTTTCAAATTGATGTAATCTCATTTGTCCATTTTTGCTTTATTTTCCTTTGTTTTTCAGGTCTTACAGAAAATTTTTTGCCCAGACTAATGCCCTAGACCATTGTCTCAAGGTTTTCTGCTAGTAGTTTCAGAGTTTCCAGTTTTAGATAGAAGTCTTTAATCCATTTTTATTTGATTTTGGTATACAGTGAGAGATAGGGATCTAGTTTCATTCTTCCACATATGGTTAACCAGTTTTCCCAGCACCATTTATTGAAGAGACTATCCTTTCCTCACTGTATGTTTTGGTGCCTTTGTTAAAAGTGAATTGGCTGTAAATGCGTGGATTTATATTTAACTTCTCTATTCTGTCCAGTTGGTCTATGTCAAGAGTGTGATGTATCCTGCTTTGTTCTGTTTGCTCAGAATTGCTTTGACTATTTGGGGACTTTCGTGGGTCCATATAAATTTTAGGATTATTTATTTTATTTCTGTGAAAAAGGACATTGGTATTATATTGAGATTGCATTGAATCTGCAAGTTGTTTGGGGCAGAATTTTCATTTAACAACATTAATTTTTGATCCATCAGCATAAAATACCTTTTCATTTTTTTGTGTCCTCTTTTCAATTTCTTTCATCAGTGTTTTATACTTTACCTTTTATAGAGCTTCCTCTTCTTAGATTAAATTGATTTCTAGATATTTCATATTATTTGTAGCTATTATACATGGGATTAATATCTTCATTTTTTTCAGAGTGTTAGCTGTTCACAGATTTAAATGCCACTGATTTTTGTAGGTTGATTTTGTATCTTGCAACTTTGCTGAATTCCTTTATGGAATTAACTAACCTGTTATTGGTGGAGTCTTTATGTTTGTCTAAGTATAAAGTCAGGTCATCAGCAAACAAAGCTAATTTGACTTCTTCCTTACTAATTTGAATGCCCTTTATTTCCTTCTCTACTCTGATTTGTCTGCCCAGGACTTCAAGTATTATGTTGAATAAAAGTGATGACAGTGGGTACCGTGTCTTGTTCCATATCTTGAAGGAAAGGCTTTCAATTTTTCCCATTCAGTATGATGTTAGCTATGGGTTTCTCATAGATGGCCTTTATTAGTTTGAAGTGTGTTCCTTCTTTATCTAGTTTGTTGAAGGTTTTAATCATAAAGTAATGTTAAATTTTATCAAATAATTTTCAACATCTATTGAAATGATCATAAGTTTTTTGTTCTTGGTTTTGTTAATGTAATGTATCACATTTATTGATTTGCATATGTTGAACTATCATTCATTCCTGGGATGAATCTCACTTGATGATGGTAAATGATCTTTTTAATGTGCTGTTGAATTCTTCTTGCTAGTATTTTGTTGAGGATTTTTGCATCTCTATTCATCAGAGATATTGGCCTCTAATTTTCTTTCTTTTGGTTGTGTCCTTGTCTGGTTTTATTATCAGGGTAGTTCTGACCTCATAGAATAAGTCTGGAAGTATTCCCCCATCTTAAATTTTTTTGAAGAGTTTGAAAAGTGGTGTTAATCCTTCTATAAATATTTGCTACAATTCTGCAGTGAAGCCATCCGGTCCTGGCATTTCCTTTGGTGGAAGACTTTTTATTATGGCTTTGATCTCATTATTCATTATTGGTTTGTTGAGGTTTTTTATTTCATCATTTGCTTCAATCTTGGTAGGTCGTACGTGTCCAGGAATTTACCCATTTCTTCTGGGTTTTCCTATTTCTTGGTATGTAGTTGTTCCTAATAATCTCTAGTGATTTTTTTGTATCTCTATGGTCTCTCTTATATCTCCGTTTTTGTTTTTGATTTTGTTTATTTGGGTTTTCTTTCTTTTTTTCTTAGTCTAGCTAAACGTTTGTCAATTTCATTTGTCTTTTCAGAAAATCAATTTTTTGTTTTGGTAATCTATTTTTATCTCCGTTTTATTTATTTCTGTTCTGATATTTATTACTTTTTTCCTTCTACTAATTTTGGGTTTAGCTTGTTCATGCTTTTCTGTTTACTTCAGATCTATCATTGGATTATTTATTTGAAGGCTTTCTACTTTTCTGATGCAGGCATTTATTGCTATAAATGTTCTTCTCAGTACTGTTTTTGCCATATCCCATAAATCCTGTATGTTGTATTTTCCATTTTTGTTTGTTTTAAGAAATGTTTAAATTTCCCTCTTAATTTCTTCATTGATTCATTGGTTGTTCAGGAACATGTTTAATTTCCATGTGTTTGTGTATTTTCCAAAGTTCCTTTTGTCATTGATTTCCAGTTTTCTTCCACTGTAGTCAGAGAAGATAGTTAATATGATTTCTGTATTTTTTAACTTGTACAGACTTGTTTTCTATCCTAAACTATAACCTGTTTTGGAAAATGTTACACGTGCTGTTGGAAAGAATGTGTATTCTGCAGCAGTTGAGGGAAGTGTTCTGTAAATGTCAGTTAGGACTATTCAATCTAGTATATAGTTTAACTTCACAGTTTCTTTGTTGATTTTCTGTCTGGATGCTCTGTGCATTACTGAGAATGGGGTGTTAAAGTTCCCCACTATTATTGTATTGCAGTCTATCTCTCTCTTTAGATCTATTAATGTTTGCTTTATATACTTGAGAGCTTCGGTGTTGCTGCCTAGATATTTATAATTGTTATAAACATAAATTGACTCCTTTATTATTATATAGTATTCTCCTTTGTCTCTACAGTCTTTTACTTATAGTGCATTGTATTTAAGTATAACTGCTCCTACTCTTTCTTGGTTTTCAGTCACATGGAATATGTTTTTTTACCTCTTCACTTTCAGCCTATATGTATCCTTTCCTTATAGATGAAGTGGGTTCCTTGCAGGCAGCATATAGTTAGGTCTTCTTTCTTTATCCATTCAGCCACTCTATGCCTTTTCATTGGAGAATAGAGTCCATATTTACATTCAGCATTATTATTGATGAGTAATACTGACATTTTTGTTGATTATTTTCTGGTTGCTTTTTAACTCCTCTTTTCCCTTCCTACTTTTTTATTGTCTTCCTCTGTGGTTAAGTGATTTTCTCTAGTGGTATGTTTTTATTTGTTGTCATTTATGTTTAGCAAATCTATCATAGATCTATTGTGATTACCATGAGGCTGACAAAAAACAACTTATAAACATAACATGTTATTTTAAAGAGATGACAACTTATCTTAAATCACAAAGAAAAGAATAGAAACAAAGAATGTAAAAAAGAAACCCTTTACATTTTAACTCTGTTTCCCCCACATTTTTACTTTATGTTGTCTCAATTTACATATTTTATATTTCCTTTCTCTTACCAGGTTGCTATAGGTATTATTGGTTTTGATACACTTATCTACTGGTCTTCATACTAGAATTATGAGAAGATTGCACACCATAATTACGGTATTAGAGTATCCTAGATATATCCATGTATTTAATTTTACCAGTGGTTTTTATACCTTCAGATGTTTTCTTATTGCATGTTAGAGGTTTTTTTATTCTTTCAGATGGAAGATTTCCTTTTAGCCTTTCTTATAAGATGGTGAATTATCTCTGCTTTTGTTTGTCTGGAAAAGACTATCTATCCTTCATATTTGAAAGATAATTTTGCTGTATTCATGAATGGCAGGGTTTTTTTTTCATACTTTGAAAATCTCACCTCACTCTCTCCTGGCTTGTATGGTTTCCATTTAGAAGTATGTTCCTAGAGAAATTGGATGTCCTTTAAATGTTATTTCCTTCTTTTCTCTTTTTGCTTGTAGAATCCTCTTTGTCCTTGACCTTTGAGAGTTTGATTATTATGTGCCTTGGAGTAATCTTATTTAGGTTACATACTTCTTGTGTTCTTTAATCTTCCTGTACTTGCATGTTTATCTCTTTCTCAAATTTTGGGAAATTTTCTGTTATTATTTCTTTGAATAAACTTTCTACCTTCTGCTCTTGCTCAACTCCCTCTTGAACACAAATATTTCTTAAGTGTGGTCTTTTCAGGCAATTTTCTTTACCTTATAGGTAATCTTGATTCCTTTCCATTCTTTCTTCATTTTTCTCCTTTGTATATTTTCAGATAGACTGTGTTTGAGCTTCCTGCTTCTTTCCTCTGTTTGATTCATTCTGCTGTTGAGAGCCTCTAATAAAATTTTCAGATTAGCAAGTGTATTTCTCAGTTCTAAAATTATTTCAATCTCTTTAAGTGTTTCTGATAAATTTCTGAATCAATTTTCTATGCTATCTTAGAAATCACTGAGCTTCCTTAAAGGTGCTATTTTGAATTACTGTTCAGGGATTTTGCATAGGGTTGATCACAGGTTCCTTGCTTGTCTGTTTGAGGAGGTCATGGTTCCTTTGTGGAACTATGGTTGTTTCTTGTGGATGTATGTCTATGTTTTTGCATTGAAGAATTAGTTAGTTATTCCAGTCTTCTCTGCTTGGCTTGTTTTGGTCTTTATTGGATACATTTGCTAAGAGATTCTTTGTAATTAATCTGTTGATTTTATTTTTTTTTACTCTAGGTCACTGCCTCCTTTTTGGCAGTAGATGGTGCCTTAAGCCCAGGTTTGCCTATTTCTAGTAAACAGTCAGACTGCCACCTGTTTGGAATAAGAGAGGTGCCAAAGAGGGTATTCCAGTAGTGTGAAAGGCTGGCTAGATGGTGCCCAGGGGACCAGTGGAACAAACATTTTACAGCATGGTGCTGCTCATCAGCCACTCTGATTTGGCATTGCCTTTGGCCAAGTTAACAGTTTCCAGGGCTGGGGATGGTAGTCCCACCCACCCCCTCTGTCTCTGGCTGTCCTCAGAAATATTTTTTTCTTCTGACACTTCCAGTCCTTCCCTCGGCTAGAAGCAGGGACAGATTTCCTGCTGGGAAATAAGGTAGTGCAGAAGCTTGTTGTTTAACTCTTTTGCCAGTGTAGAAAATGTGAAAGCGTTTTCCATGTGTTTGGTGCTTAGCAATTGGGGGAAGGGGCACTGCAGATATAAAAGTCAGATTCTCTTACCATCTGCTCAGAGTTTTTTTACTTTTCTTTGGCTCCAGATACTGTCTCATCCTCATGCTTATTTCCTAGGATTTTCCTGGTGATAATGTCAGTGCCGTATGTTTGGTTTTGGTTTTCTTTGTGGGAGTAATGAAGCCAGCTAGCTTCTAAGCCACCATTTTGAAAGCAGAGGTTCCACCTCAAGCGTCTTTTCAGGTGATTATTGGTCATGTATAAAGCTTTCTGGAGAAATGTCTATTCAGATATTAGGTTCTTTTTTATTATTGAGTTATAATGGATACAAGTTCCTTATGAGACATATGATTTATAAGTATTTCCCTCCATTCTTTGGATTGACATTTCACTTTCTCTTTTTGTTTGTTTTTGTTTTTTGAGACAGGGTCTCACTCTGTCACCAAGGCTGGAATGCAGTGGCACAATCATGGCTCACTGCAGCTTCAACCTCCTGGGCTCAAACAATCCTCTTGCTTCAGCCTCACAAGTAGCTGGGACCACAGGCATACGCCCACCACATTTTTTTATTTTTACTAGAGATAAGGTCTTATTATGTAGCCTACAACTGCCTTAAACTCCTGGACTCAAGCGATCCTCCCACCTTGGCCTCCCAAAGTGCTGAGATTACAGGTGTAAGCCACTATTCCTGGCCTTATTTCACTTTCTTGATGATGTCCTACAAAGCACAAAAGTTTTTAACTTTGATGGAATCCAACTTATCTATTTTTTCTTTTGTTACTAATGTTTTTGGTGTCATATCCAAGAATCCTTTGTCAAATCAAAGATTGTGAAGATTTACCCTTATGTTTTCTTCTAAGAGTTTTATAGTTTTAGCTCTTTTAAGTCTTTGATTCATTTTAAATTGATATTTGTATGTGGTGTGAGGTAAGGGTCTAACTTTATTCTTCTGTGCGTTGCTATCCAGTTGTTACAAAACCATCTGTTGTAAAGATCAATATTTCTCAATTGGATAATCTTGGTACATTTGCTGAAAATCAGTTGTCCAGAGATTCAAGTTTATTCCTGAAATCTTTATTCTAATTTATTGATCTCTATGGTTACCTGTGTGCTAGAACCACACTATCATCATTACTATTGCTTTGTAGTAAGTTTTGAGGTCAGAAAGTATAAGTCCTTCTACTCTGTTCTTCTTTTTCAAGATTGTTTCATGTATCTCATTTCGAAAAAATGATTGGTCATTGCTTAAAACCAAAGCATTATAACTCTGAGATGAGAATTCCTGTGTGGCACAAGCTCCCACATGTGATGAGCAGGTGCAATGTTGTGTATGCATATGTGTATATATCATAACATAATCATGGGAGTGACATTCCATCACCTTTGCCATATTCTGTTTGTTAGAAGCAAGTAACAGGTCCCTCCCACATTCAAGGGGAGCAGATTATCCAGGGCATGAGCATAGGAAGTTATCTAGGGTTTGTCTGCTACATACCAGCGTGTTTTCTGACATCTATCTAAATGTAAATAGTAACAACTTGCTCTCTGCCAAATTATCCTTCCATTAACGTCTTTGATAATTTCAGTAAATACCTAGTAAAATTAACTAAAATCAGGTGAGTAATAAGTGTAGCTCAAAAATTTCATTCTGAAAAAGCACTCACAAGAATAAATATAAATATTTGTGCATGGAAACACATACACATACAAATACATGCCAAATGTATTACACCACCAGTGCTACGAATGATTATAATCCAAATAGTTTCAAAATCACAATTCATCCTTATACTGAGAAAATGGATTGAAGGAAGAAAATCATCTGATGATTTATTCCATCATTTTTCCAAGTCTTCTACCAGTTTCCTAGTCTTTGACCAATTTCCCTATTTTTACCGGTCATAATTCTTTTTGCTGAATTATCTGGCTATCAGGCCATGATGGTTAATTATGTGTCAACTTGACTAAGTTAAGGAATGTTTGGATAGCGGATTAAACATTATTTCTGGTAGTGTCTATGAGGGTGTTTCAGGAAGAGATTAGAATTTGAATTAGTACACAGAGTAAAAAAGACCTATCCTCACTTGCACGGATGGGCATTATCCAATTCGTTGAGGGCCCAAATAAGAGAAAAAGGCAGAGGAAAGGTGAATTCTCTCTCCCTTTTTGAGCTAAGACATCCATATTCTCCTGCGCTTGAACATCAGAGCTCCTGGATCTCCAGCATTTGCACTCTGGGACTTACAACCAGCAAGCTCCCTGGTTCTCATGGGGGCTTTGGACTTGGACTGAATTACACTACCAGCTTTCCTCGTTATTTAGCAGATTTAGGAGACTTCTCTGTCTCCATAATCATGTGGAGACATAATAAACCTCCTCATATACATGTGTGTGTATATGTATATATATGTGTGTGTGTGCATATATGTATGTGTGTGTATATACATGTGTGTGTGTATATATATGTATATATATGTGTGTGCATGTGTATATGTGTGTGTGTGTGTGTGTGTGTGTGTGTGTGTGTGTATACATATGTTCTGTTTCTCTGTAGAACCCCAATATGCCAGGTCAAGTGTACATTTCACCTTGTCTTATCAAACTACTTTCCAAGTATTTTTATAGTTTCAGATCTTATGTTTAAGTCTGTAATTCATCTTGAATTGATTTTTGTATATGATGAGAGACAGCTGGTCCAGTTTCATTATTTTGCATATGACAATCAAATTTTCCCAGCACCATTTATTGCAAAGGGTACCCTTTCCCCAGTGTAGTATGTTTTTGTCGATTTTGTGAAAGATCAGTTGGTTAGATATGTGGCTTTATTTCTGGTTTCTCTATTCTGTTCTCTTGGTCTATGTGTCTATTTTTATATCAGTACCATACTGCTTTGGTTATTATAGCCTTGTGGTATAATTTGAAGTCAGGTAATATGATGCCTCAAGCTTTGTGCTTTTTGCTTAGGATTGCTTTGGCTATTGGGGCTGTTTTTTTGTTTCACATGAATTTTAAGATTTTTTTTCTAAGTTTATGAAAAATTCCATTGGTATTTTGATAGAGATTGCATTGAATCTGTAGACTGCTTTGGGCAGTATGGTCATTTTAATGATATTAATTCTTCTGATCCATGACCATGGAAGATTTTTTCATTTGTCTGTGTCACCTACAATTTCTTTCATTAGTGCTTTGTAGTTTTCCTTGTAGAGAGCTTTAAAACCCGTGGTTATATTTTTTCCTACATAATTTTTTGCAGTTATTGTAAAGGAGACTGACTTCTTGATGTGTTTCTCTGTGTGATGATTATTCATGTACAGAAATGTGTATTCATTAACACTTGATTTAATAAAGAAAATACGGTGTGTATCTATAAATACACACACACACACACACACACACAACATAAAATACTATTCATCATAAAAAAGAATGAAATTCTGTCTTTTGTGGCAACATGGATGGAACTGGAGGCCATTATCTTAAGTTAAACAGCTCAGAAACGGAAAGTCATATACCACATGTTCTTACTTATAAATGGAAGCTAAATAATGTGTGCACATGGACACAGAGTGTGAAAAGATAGACACTGGAGACTTGGAAGGGTGAGAAAAGTGAGGGGGAGTGAGGGTTGATAAGTTACTTAATAGGTACAACGTACATTATTCAGGTAATGGATATATGAAAAGCCCAGGCTTCATCACTATGCAATATATCCATGTAGCGAAACTGCACTTGTACCCCTTACATTTGTACAAATTTTTTAAAACTATGTTTATTTGTCAATGTAGATGCCACACCTGAGTCCCATATGTGGGCTGCCCAAAGTGTGCAATAGGAAAATTGTACCTTACATGAAAAACATAACTGAAAATTGTTTCTGTGGTAAGCACTACAGCTCCACATGTTTTGCACCCGCTTCTCTGTTGGATGGTGTGTTCTTACACTTTTTCCCTTTACTAAAATGGCAGAAACATCTGTGTCTCTGCCGTCAATTAGTACAATCCTTTATGAGTCCCAGATTTACAAATAGTATCAGTTACATGCAGTAAACCTTATTCTTGGTCTTATTAATTACTTTCCATCAACTTATCCCTCAGGCATTTTGGTTACAAAAGCATGCTGACAATCAACAGTAATGGTTTTAAGTTAGTTCTTTGATAAGTAGGTCTTTTGCAAAGAGTTTCTGGTCAATTATTTAAAGAATCTGTGCCCCAAGAGGCTTTGCTTATTTTTCTGTGTTAAGTCATATTCACTCACCCATCACTGATTATACGCTATTGTCTCTTTTCTCTCTCTCATGCTACAGAAATTTTAGGAGTCTAAGATCCAGGGATTCTTAGGTGCATTACGTTTTTCTAAACTTTTGTATGACAAATTCACTCCAAGTCTTAGATCAGCCTCTGATCTTAGACTCATGTTATTCTGTGTGCATTTCTCTGACATTGTGTTAAAAAAAAAAGGCATAGAATACATTTTCACAGTTCTCTTATCTTGGATGTATTCTCCTTCCATCTCAGTTTTGGGGGAAGATGATGATTAATGAATCACTAAAATGCATATGACCAGAAGTTCACAAGGGGAAAGGGTATATTGGGAAACCTTCTATTCAAAGGTTGTGGGCAAATGATGTGTGAAATTGTTGACAAATTGCCTTCATTAAGTTTTTGAAGTGGACTTTTTTTTCACATATTTGGCTTCTTTTCAAATATAACTGTGCAGATTTTTGAGACATTCACTGTTGAGCAGCAATCTGTGATAATGTTTGTCCTTGAAAGCCTTTATTCCTGGAAAAAATGTGGTAGAAAGTTTAAAGTAGGGTTCTTCTTGATAGTATTTACATGAGCAATAGTCATTCCTGAACAAAACATAGATTAAAATTCTGCCTTATTATCTCCCAGATGCACAAAAGGAAGAGGGATGAAATATAAAGATTTTTCTATAAATCACTGACCTCTCAATAACAAAGTCCTTTCAACCAGGGGTTCCATAATGACACTTAAAATTTTAGTACATTCCAGTATAGCTGTCTCTTTTCAGTGAAGTGTTGTGCAGTGTAGTGGGTAAGACCATAGTCTGTAGCCTGGCTGCTGGAGGCTCAAAGCCCAGCTCTTCTACTAACCAGGGGTGTGACCTCAGGCAAATAGCTTAATTTCTGTGACTCCCTATCCTCACCTGTAATTGAAAATAATAATCTTTACTTAATAGGACTGTGCTAAGAATTAAAATTTAACATAAGAATATGTATAAGATACTTAGCCCTTATCCATAATAGCACACAATACTCTATCAAAAAAATGGCTACATATCAAAAAATGGCTACATGTACTATTATACATTGGAGAATCAGCAGAAACTTTGGTCTAAACTTTGAATTTGGAAACTGAACATTACACAGATTTTGGTAAACTTTTATATTTATCACTTAGAGCATTATTTGAATACTTTACTTTTGATTCCTATATGACCTGTCCATATTTAGGCATTTTTCTCCTTTGGAGAGCATTTTAGCATAGGATAGATAATTATGATAACATATTTATGTAATGATTCCTATTTCTTAAAGGCTTTCCTATGTTCTCTTTTCTTCCTCACGCAACTCTGCAGTGTGTAAAAAGTCAGGCAGGTAATTACTGCTCCATGATAGGTTTTGAATAAATGAATGAATAGATCCTTGTTTCCCAAATAAGGAAACCAAATGACAGATGTAAAATATCTTGGCCAAAGACACATCCAGCAAATGTCTAAAAGTATTTAAATATCCATACAAACAAACTTGTGTAGGCTCTATAGTAAACAGGTTTGAAAGGGGAGAGTTCCCTGACCTCCCTTGCAGGACGTGTGACAGGGCGTGGCTCATCTGTTGGGCCACTGCAGCTGCTCAAACCTCTTATGGAAGGGGGAGCACACAGATGGGCAGGTGCAGGAGCCAGGACGAGTGCTTTTGGGCTCTGGCCCCATGGTGGCATCTAGGGGTGGGTGCCTGTGGCTGCTGAAGCCGCAGTGGGCATGCTGCAGTGTTCTTTTAGCTCTGCCATCTGCAGATGGCTTAAGTGTTAAAAAGCTCAGTGCCCTCTTGGTACCCCAGTTCTTGTCCAATGTCCAGGAAGAATCAGGTCACACATGGACTTGAAGGATGATGGAGGTGGCTCTCAGTGAGATGGATGGGGAGCTGGTAAGGGGATGGAGTGGGAAGATGATCTTTCCCTAGAGCTCAGCTGTCCCACAGCCGATCTCCTCTCCAACCGTCCCTAGCCGAACTCCTCTCAACGTTCAGATGCTCTTTCTCTTCTCTCCTCTGCTGTACCACTCTTCTGCTCCTCTGCTCTGCTCATCTGCTCTTGGAGTCTGGGGTTTGGGGCTTATATGGGTACAGGATAGTGGGGGCATGGTGGACCAAAAGGCAAAATTTGGGCACAAAAACAGTAAAGCCTGTTCCCATTTAGGGCTGTGAGTTTCCAGGCTTGGGGATAGGGCATTTGCCTGGGAACTACCCTCTTTTACCCAGTATTTCCGTCTCCTGTTTGTATCCGTTTCATTGAACAGAGTATATGCTTCCTTATAGTTCACAATCTGAAAAACATAGAACTTTGACTTAGATCTTTAAAGGATCTGGTATCATTTTCCAAAATTAGCTTCATTTTCCAGCCATCAATTTTGCAGATGAATACCCTGTAATCTGAGATGTAGGCCTAAACATAGACTGAATCAGTAAGTGAAATGTCTATTTGTTTTTAATCCATGGTTAGGAAGAGTTGTGTGGTAAATTCCTGCTCATTTCTCATTGTTGTAGTCTATGCACAGTTCTCCTTTTCTTTTTTTCTTTTTCTTTTTTTTTTGAGACGGAGTCTCGCTCTGTCGCCCAGGCTGGAGTGCAGTGGCGCGATATCAGCTCACTGCAAGCTCCGCCTCCCGGGTTCACGCCATTCTCCTGCCTCAACCTCCCTAGTAGCTAGAACTAGCGCCCGCCACCAAGCCCAGCTAATTTTTTCTATTTTTAGTAGAGACGGGGTTTCACTGTGTTAGCCAGGATGGTCTCGATCTCCTGACCTCATGATCCACCTGCCTCGCCCTCCCAAAGTGCTGGGATTACAGGCATGAGCCACCACGCACAGCCTCTTCTTTTCTTTTATATGGGTCTTATCATGCTTATTTAGTAAGTGTCTTATCTTGGAGCTTATGTTTCAAGGTTGAATTTATGCCAGGTATGGTGGCTGACGCCTGTAATCACAGCCCTTTGGGAAGCCGAGGCGGGTGGACCACTTGAGGCCAGGAGTTCAAGACCAGCCATGGCAAAACCCTGTCTCTACTAAAATTATAAAAATTAGCCAGGTGTAGGTGGCACGCACCTGTGGTCCCAGCTACTCAGGAGGCTGAGGAAGGGGAATCACTTGAACCTAGGAGGCAGAGTTTGCAGTGAGTCGAGATCACACCACTGCACTCCAGCCTGGGCAATAGAGCAAGAATCTGTCTGAAAAGAAAAAAAAAAAAAGATTGGATTTAGAGTTTTAACTCCCGTGTTTGACTCCTGATATGTTCTTCAGTGATCAAGCTTGCTGAATTTCGGTAAAAGGAGCAGCAGCAATGGTCAGGAGGTAACATCCAGCTTCATGAGTCACTATTAGACTAACCAAAGTGTCACATGGCAATAGTGACAACATCAAGTGTTTCCTAAATCCACAGATTTGAATGTCATAATGGGCTGAGACATTCAGATCCGTATGTTCCCTTGGCTTGAGAGTCCAAGTCAAGAAGAAACTCCTAAGATGCAAACTTACAGGGAGTGTGTTTTTACACTGGGCTACCACCTGGAGGATTTGAGGGTATTAATTTGGAAAGAAGGTATAACTGTGGTGTTTTATGAGTGTCATTCATTTCCAAGCAGTCTAGAAGAGAAGCAGCTCTTCTCTAGTGATGGTTAAACGTAAAAGCAGAGTATCTCAAAGTGCCTAATTCTTAATCCACAATCTAGCGAAGCTGAAAGATATGAAGAGAGTCAATTCTATGGACCTGCTGTATCATGATACTCCTGGGAGACTCATGTCTGGGTGACCCACAAGGTAAATTAGGGAAGAGGAATCACCAGTTGTCACTATAGGTATATCAAGTTATATATGTGTAATCAGCATCCTACCATTGGCTGCCTAGCTGTTAACTACTTTACAAATACTTGGACTAATAGCCCTGCTGTTAACTGTAAGTTATGTATGTGTAATCAGCATGCTTGCACTGACTGCCTAGCTGTTTGTTAACTGTGCAAATGCTAGGACTAGTAGTCCTGCTGTCAACTACTTTACCTAATTTGGAAAAATCACTCCATGGCCCTCAGTTTTCTTCTCTGTAATCTAATAGTAAGAACAGTTCAGTTCCTCTTAGCGTATACATTCTGTGATCATTTACCACCCTTCTTTTCTTCCACAAATCCCTATCAGGCTGAGTGGCAATTCTATATATTTTGCATTCAATTCTTCTTTTAAGGTGGACATTCATGTTTACTATATTTCTCTGACGGCAAAGACCTTTATGCACTGGGGCTAGTGAGAAACACCAAAGCATCTGCCCCACCTAGGGGGCAGCACTGTGTATTAAACTGGAAGTAGTTTGCGGGCAATTTCCAGCGTTAGAAGTTCAATGTAATGACCGGGTGCGGTGGCTCATGTCTGTAATCCCACTACTTTTGGAGGCCGAGGCAGGCAGATCACTTGAGGTCAGGAGTTTGAGACCAGCCTGGCCAACATGATGAAACCTCGTCTCTACTAAAAATACAAAAATTAGCTGGGCGAGGTGGCACGCACCCATAATCATAGCTACTGGGGAGGCTGAGACATGAGAATCACTTGAACCTGGGAGGCAGAGGTTACAGTAAGCCGAGATCGTGCCACTGCACTCAAGCCTGGGCAACAGAGCAAGGCTCCGTCTCAAAAAATGAAAAAAGAAGTTAAATGTAATGACAGCCTCCCCATCTCCAGGCTACTCAACTGGCTTTCATTTTGAAACAATGAAGTTTCTTTTAAATATAGAATGTACATAAGGTTAAGTGTTGTTGGTGATTCTTGGTGTGTGAATTTTCTGAAGTTTTAGAACCAAAATTGATGAACTTTACAATTTTCTTGACATCATCTTTAACTGGCCCTGGGAATGTTGCAATAAAGTAAAAAAAGAAATAGAGAAGTAATCTTCTAGCCAACACATAAAGGTTATTATTCACAAAAGGTTGAGTAGTTATTCTGAGCAGACAGAGTAAGAAAATGTGCTTCAAATCCCTTGTGAAGTATATATGAGAAAGGATCTACTGGGGTTGTGGTATCCTCTACCTTTTCTGAAGAGCTTTTACATTAGGATAAATAACCATCTGCCCAGAAGAGAATAGTCTCTTGTGATTTCTGCTGACAAAAGATAGATTGGAATAAAATGGATCAAGAAATCTTTTCATTTTTCTCTTTTCTGCTGTACACGTCTATTGCTTTGTGACTTAAGCTATGTCTAGGTGACTCCAAAACTACTGTCAATTTCAAAACAAAATAAACAACCTGCCCAGGCACGGTGGCTCATGCCTGTAATCCCAGCACTTTAGGAGGCTGAGGTGGGCGGACTGCTTGAGGTCAGGAGTTCGAGACCAGCCTGGCCAACATGGTGAAACCCCGTCTCTACTAAAAATACAAAAATTAGCTGGGCATGGTGGTGCACTCTTGTAATCCCAGCTACTTAGGAGGCGGAGACAGGAGAATCGCTTGAACAGGGGAGGTGGAGGCTGCAGTGAGCAGACATTGCACCACTGTACTCCAGCCTGGGGAACAGAGCTAGACTCAGTTTCAAAAAATACACAAATAAAATAAAATAAACAACAGTCAATTCAGGAACAAAACTGGTTTAAGTCTTGAATGGCACTACTCATTATCTGAACAATTTCAATAGTCATAAAGAAAATACAGCTATATTTTTACCCTAAAATAACCACTATCCTGGTATTAATTTTGAATTCTACTTCAAACTTTGTAACTATATTTGTGGCTTTTGTTTTCAGGATCAGATTTCTCTTTTTGACTCCCATTATTCTGCACAAATAATTTTTCTTGAGTTACTGGACACCTTGTGCTTCCTAAAAGATTTGGTCTTCCTGATTCCCAGGTGGACCTCCAGCTAGAAGGTGACAGCATGGCCCACTCAACCTCAGTGAAGTTCCAGAACTATCTCAAACTGTGATGACTTTGTGAGCACTTTCATTTTTCTGAAACCATTCCACTGTTTTGTTCTCTTGAGATAAATCATAGTACCTAAGAACACAATGTATGCCCAGCAATGTATGATATGCTTGGCGAATTGCATCCCTGCCCTCCTTGTCTTTCAAGGTATAAGGATCAATAGCTGAGAAGGAATTGGAACAAGGACAAACTTGTGTATCAGTGCAATTAAAGCATTTTCCCTGATTTATGCATGGGATTGATTATTTCTCCAGACAGTTCAAAGCATCTGCTCATGCCTAAAAATTCTCATTGATTTCTAGATTGCCTGTCTGGTTATGTAATACTTATACTGACTACACCAGGCTACTTTCCAGTTTACTTCCAGATACAATTTTAGGGCTGATATTAATCTGTAACAGCACATGGGATTTGGATTTTGGCAATCCTGAAGACAGCCTCTCTCTCTCCACATCTTGATGGTTGATGTAAGCCAAAGGATACTGAATCATACCTCCTGCAAGCTGGCAATTCCTAACTGATTAACTTAAACCCTGCAATTGGCTTCTACTCATTGGTTTGATGAAGCCAATATTTGCTCTCCTTAAGGTCATGATCCTGAGCACACTGAGATCATTAAGGTGAAGCAGGGAGTGAGATATTTTCTGTACATGACCAGTAATGAGTCTGTGCTACAAAAACTTTTATTTTAACATTATGAAGAAAATAATTTTTAAGGGCAAACCAATAAACCAATTGGCAATACAATTTTATTCAGCCCTTAAATGAAGAAAAGAATAATAGATATTTTTAGAATTTCTTTCAATATTAAACAATGACTATAGTGTCATTAAAGCATATGATAGAAATACAATTAATACTGACTAGGTGTGCTTTTCTTTGGTTCATCAAGTCAGACAAAATTAGCATTTAATGAGTTTTTCTTTTTGATTAAATAATTTACATAATAGGAAATACTTCTGTAAAATTTGAAATTTTTTTTTAAATGGATTCTATATAACCAAAATGCTTTTTCTGTTTGGGGCTCATTTAAAATATTTGAAATAGCTAAAATTAGTTTCAGTCCTGTATGACTTTAATAGAAATCAAGTGTTTTAAAATATTTATGATAAAGAAAATGATTCCATCTGGGCAGGGAATTTATTACTGGAATATTATACCAATTTGAATTGAAGCCACTATGAGATTAATTTCTATTCTGCTGTTGGAATATAAATATGTTCTGACAGCTGCTTTCTATAACCAAAGTATACTTATCTGCATGCAGAATTTTCTACTCAATGAGCCCATATATGACACAGGAACTTTGAATGGCTTCAGCAACAAACAAAGATAGATTATCAATGCAAATGCCAACCAGGGATTTGCTATAAATAACCAAATATTGGCAAGTGCCTGTTTTGAAATCAACACTGGTTATTTAGAACTTTCAGAGAGACAGTCTTACATTTCAGAAGAACTCGCTGATGTTGAAAAAAAAAATAAAGAATTACACACAGGGAGGACGGCCTTGATCAAACACATGTTTTTCAGATTTATTAGCGATTAACATGTCAGGTATTCTCTTTTGGATGACATTCCCTTACACCATGGCTAGAAGCTGACAAGATGAACACTGTTACAGTAATAACATGTCACGAAGGATGTGGAATAATTTAGACATTTAGATCGTATGATCGAAGTCTGAGTAATACAGTGATCTGCTATAATTTAGGCATTGATGGTTAAAGAGAATGATTTCAAAGTAAGAAGCTAAATTTGTCACGCTTTCTTCAGGGAGGGGCCCATGTAATTAATAGGCAATAGATTCAAGCAAAAGGTGTGGAAGTCAGTACAGCTTTAAGATAATGAAAAGAACCAACTGCCCTTTAGAATAAAGATGAACACCAGTAAAATTGAGACTAATTAAGAATAAAAATGAGTCACAAACAAAATGGTACTAAATCAAACTCACTTTAGGTCTCAAAAATCATAGTTATTTATTTTTCCCTCTTAAGGATTTTACAATTAGCCGAATGTTCCTTTGGCTGGCCTTCTTCTCTAAGTAGATCGGTCACTGATGGAGGCACCTAAGGCAATATTGGAGACAGGACAGCGTCAGGTAAGCCAAAGCATAAATGTTAATATCTCTCCGCTAATGAAGATCTTCTCTGGGCCAAAGGAAAAGTTCTGCAAAGAAAGGAAGAGGAAGAAGCATGAAAGGCAGGAAAGAAATGAAGGAGATTCTCTGTATTTAGGTTGCAAAAAAATTTAAGCTCAATTGATTGTCTCTATTCACTGAAAACTACCAAGCCATTCTCAATGGATAACAATTAACCACTGTAAATATTTATAGTGCAAGTGGGCATTGAAAAATGAGAACACATGGACACAGGGAGGGGAACAACACACACCGGGACCTGTTGGGGGGTCGGGGGCAAGAAGAGGGAGAGCACTGGGACAAATACCTAATGCATGCAGGGCTTAAAACCTAGATAATGGGTTGATAGGAGCAGCAAGCCACCATGGCACATGTATATCTACATAACAAACCTGCACATTCTGCACATGTATCCTGGAACATAAAGTAACATAATTTTTTTTTTTAAAAAAAGGTGAAAAACCTCTACAATAAAAACTACAAACTACTAAAAACAAAACAAAACAAAACCTAGATGATGGGTTGATAAGTGCAGCAAACCACCATGGCACATGTATCCTACATAACAAACCTGCACATTTTGCACATGTATCCCAGAACTTAAAGTAAAATAAAAATTAAAAAAAATTCATAGTGCAAGTCGCTGTAGCAAAAATACTGAATCTCTACTCTTCAATGGGGACAGAAGTAACTTTGTAAACAGCCAAAGAAAATGCCATGAGTGGCCAATTAGAGTGAGAATTAGACGAAGGGGAGAGAGAACAATAATAATAGCAGGCTTTTTTACTTGAAGTCTAGGTTACCCTAGAATCACATTGCACTGTTATGTTCCAGATACTGTCATTGTCCATGGTCAGTAGTTGCCACATAAACTACGTTTGAGGCATTCTTGGGAGAATAAAAGGAAGACACTGTATTGTTCAATTATGTAGTTCTTGAAGTTCTGCCTGTACGAATGTGGAGATATATATGAAGTTACAATCTGTATTATTCAGACGTTTTTCCTTTTTCATAGAAAATCAGATGTTCTTGGGCTCTCTGCTGAGAGAATGAAGAAGGAAGAGTCATATTTAGTGCTGACTAATAGCTTTTTTTCTTCCCCTCCCCATTTTCCTTCTCCCTCTTCTCAACTCTTAAGATATAATTTTGGGTGGATCATCAATGGTCTCGTGTAATGCACAGCTCATCCAAGTAAGAATAGTAGCATAGAGACTATGTTCTAAAAGGGCTGCTGCTCAGCTGTTATTTCCTCTCTGGTCACCAGGACCTTGGTGAAACAATATTTTAGGGTTCACCAGAGTCAGCTATGTGCCATTACAATGTTTCCTTAACTTCAGACTCCATAAAGACAAGGAAAAACATGAGGAAGGATGGACGCCCATGGTAGAATGAAAAATACATATAATTTACCAAATAGTTACTGTAAGCAAAATATTGAAACATATATGAGCTATATGTGTTTAAGCTATAAGCTCATCCAACATCCAGTGTGGTGTTCCATTAATTCACATGTAGAGCTACAAGAGCCTGGGGTTGTATTCTAGCCATGTAATTACCACCTTTGGAAGCTATCTTTGTTACTCACAATCTTATTACTCTAAAGTTGCATTACTACACCCACTGGTGTTTGATAAAAAATATCTTGACCCTTCTCCAACCACATGGATTTCTTGGAAATGTTCTTAATTGATGCATAATGTCTATCACATGTAAGAACTATATTGTGATTTCTTTAGCCATTTGATATGGTTTGGCTGTGTCCCCACCCAAATCTCATCTTGAATTCCCATGTGTTGTGGAAGGGACCTGGTAGGAGGTAATTGAATCATCAGGGAAGGTCTTTCCTGTGCTGTTCTTGTGATAGTGAATAAGTCTCATGAGATCTGATGGTTTTATAAGGGGGAGTTTCCCTGCACAAGCTCTCTCTCCCTTTGCTTGCTGCCATCCACATAAAATGTGACTTGCTCCTCCATGCCTTCCACCATGATTGTGAGGCCTCCCCAGCCATGTAGAACTGTAAGTCCATTAAAACTCTTTCTTTTGTAAATTGCCTATTCTTGGGCATGCCTTTATTAGCAGCATGAAAATGAATTAATACAGTAAATTGGTACCAGTAGAATGGGGTGCTGCTCCAGACCCTAGATTGGTAGATGAATCAACAGCTTACACCATGTGCCTGGAAAAACCACAGACACTCAATGCCAGCCTATGAAAGTAGTCAGGAGAGGGGCTATACCCTGCAAAGCCACAGGGGCAGAGCTGCCCAAGGCTTTGGGAGCCTACCTCATGCATCAGTATGACCTGGATGTGAGATATGGAGTCAAAGGAGATAATTTTGGAGCTTTAAGATGTGACTGCCCCATTGGATTTTGAACTTGCATGGGGCCTGTAGACCCTTTGTTTTGCCCAATTTGGATTGGCTGTAATTACCCAATGCCTGTACCCCCATTGTATCTAGGAAGTAACTAACTTGCTTTTGATATACAGGCTCATAGGTGGAAGGGACTTTGGACTGTGGACTTTATAGTTAATGCTGAAATGAGTTAAGACATTGGGGGACTATCGGGAAGGGACGATTGGTTTTGAAATATGATGACATGAGATCTGTGAGGGGCTAGGAGCGAAACAATAAGGTTTGGCTGTGTCCCCACCCACATTTCATCTTGAATTCCCATGTGTTATGAGAGGGACCTGGTGTGAGGTAATTGAATCACAGGGGCAGGTCTTTCCAGTGCTGTTTTCATGATAGTGAATAAGTCTCATGATATTTGATAGTTTTGTAAGGGCGAGTTTCCCTACACAAGCTCTCTCTCTTTGCCTGCTGCAACTAACATAAGAGGTGACTTGCTCCTCCTTGACTTCTGCCATGATTGTGAGGCCTCCCCAGCCATGTGGAACTGTAAGTCGATTAAACCTCTTTCTTTTGTAAATTGCCCAGTCTCGGGCACGTCTTTATTAGTAGCATGAAAGTGGACGAACACACCATTATTCACTCTTACTCCTTTGACAGATAATTGTAGATTTTCTTGCATGTGCTGAGCCTAATAACTCTTAGATCTTACCCTGAAAGAGCTAGAAATTGACTGGGAGACAGACAAATAAAGAGTTTAGGAAGAGGGGCTCACAGACATGTCAGTGGGTAAGAAAAAGAGGATGAGAAAATTGTGGCATTCTAGACTCAGTAATCCCTCTCCTTTTTTTGTGACTCAAAAGAATGAATTGAATGAAGAGAAAACTTCAGATTTAGGAGCTACTTGGGAGATGATAGGACAAAACTCATATTGTACTTTCAGCTAATAAAATCAGACTTTAGAGCCAATGCCTATTGTATCTATATTCTGTCTCTCCAGAATTACGAATTTGATTATTCTAAAAGGGAACTTCATCTTTCTTGTAAATTTTATTAATTTTTTGAGGCTTAGGATTAATACTTTTAATTCCATATTTAGAATACCAGTTTTAAAAATAAAAACACACTTAAATATAAAATTAATTTTCAAGCCAAAGACAATTTTTAAAGGGGGTACATTTTATATAGGGACTATTAATTCTTTAAATTAGTTATTGGTATTTAATTTCCTGTTTAGAATAAAACTCACATTACAAATTGAAAGTAGACCAATATTTTCCCTCAAAGTTTAGATATTACTTAATTTTTTTCTCTTCAAAATACATTATCTTGTCTAGTGATTTTCTTTTTTCTTTTTTTGAGATGGAGTCTCACTCTGTTGTCCAGGCTGGAGTGCAGTGGCGTGATCTCAGCTCACTGCAACCTCCACCTCCCAGTTTCAAGTGATTCTGCTGCCTCAGCCTCCCGAGTAGCTGGGACTACAGATGCGTGCCACCATGCCTGGCTAATTTTTGTATTTTTAGTAGCGATGGGGTTTCACCATGTTGGCCAGGCTGATCTTGAACTCCTGACCTCAGGTGATCTGCCCATCTCGGCTTCCCAGAGTCCTGGGATTACAGGCATGAGCTACTGTGCCAGGCCCCAGTCTAGTGATTTTCAAAATTGTTTATAGCTAGGAATCCTTAGGCAAGTTTCCAATTTCTGTGGGCCTCACTTTTCTTATTTCCAGAAAGTGATTGAAAAGATAAACTCTGAAGTTACTTCAAATCCTAAAAGTTTATATTTCTAAGTTTATTGTAACAGCAATGTCCTATGAACAAATAAGTAAAATAAAACTATGATCTAGTCCAAATTCTTCTCAAGAACTACAAGGTATAAATACTTTGGTGGAAGAAAGTATTGGGGAAACTAGGAGAATTAAGGCAATGGAAGTGTTTCTGGTCTTTCCTGACCAAGAAAACCAAACATTCTGAATTCTTTGCCTGACTGAAAGAAAACAAGCCAGGGGTCCAAGAACAGCTGGATTCCCAAGATCTTTGGTTTCAAAAGTTGCTAAGCCTTGGCAGCCTTCTAATATTCTGTGGGGAGAAATGGCAATACCTGTAGGAGAAAATCATGCTGCTGATCTACCAATGGGAAAGGGTGGCTGGTGGCTCTGAACACAACTTCTTTGATGGCTTAACTATATTAAAACCACTTCCCACATCCTTCCTCTTAGTCCTTAGCAGGAGTGGCTGGGCTCGGCCCTAGGGTGGGTAGAAATTTGCTGTTGGATGGTGAGTTTCCATCTTGGTGGATGTTCTTAAATGAATTTCTGATGAACTGAATAAGTGAGGTCTTTGGCCTTATAGATGACATTTGAGAGACGTCTGTTTTATTATTTAATTTAGTTGCTGCTTAGTGGGAACAAATAAAAATCAGGGACAGTGTTGAGGAGGAGGATGAGGATGGCACTTGGAGACTGACAGTGCACATTAAAGGCATTGAGAAACCCTGCAGGGCAAACCTCTCTAAAGCCCAATGGTTAAACAAGAATATTTTGCTACAGAGACCTTAATTTTCTCCACTCAAACACCTGTTAACATTCCATGGAATTCACTTCAGGAAATTCCCGAATGGACTTTGTTGAGGTAACAAGCAAGATTAGTTCAAGCTACTAATAACTCTAAGGTTATTGAAATAGCCTGAGTCAATCAGTTCAGAAAGAAAATGTTTTTCTTTCCAGAAGCTAGGAGCCAGGTATCTCCTGAGGAGTCAAGAAAGTCTTCACTTTTGAGAGAACATAGGATGACTTGGGGCCAGTGAGAGAAAAAACTCAGGCAAGACAGACCCTCCTTGTTCAGCTGGAAAATCAACAGTCATGATGGGATGAGATATAATGCTTCTTTTTCCTATTTTCTCCCTTGATAAAGAGAAGTTGCTTAGAAGAATTAAGACCAACTGTGTACCAAGCAGAGACTGTGCTGGGCAGTATTTGCTCTGCTTCTTGGACTGAGAACCCTTCTTCACAGAACACCTTACTGCATCTTGGTCTGGAGAACACTCTTTGGAAAATGTGGTTCTTTTCATTTTATGATCTCTCTTCTTGAACATAACAGGGCCCATGTCCCTTATAATGTGCCATGGATCCCCTGCTCTGGGCCAACTATCTTCAAGTTTTCCTTAGCCAACTCCCATCCATAGACAGGCTCTAGTTCTTTTGGGAAAGCAAGTTTCATTTCTCACCTATGGTTGAAAGTCAGCGTCAAAGCGCAGCATGTGTTAATGGCCAGGTCACCATTGTGACTTTCCTCTAAAACCATCTCCTGCCTGCTTGGATTGTAGTTGCCTGTCTTCCTCAAGGATAATAACAGGGTTGTCGTACCATGAGAGCCTGCTTCAATTCTCCATTGCTACTTCCTTTTTCCTCCCTTTTAATGTTGAGACTGTCCATTGGTTCCAAATATGGCTTTAATTATTAAGAACCATGTACGTTCTCTGTTGGCCTGTGGTCACAGTTCCTTTCACTTGTCCTAGGTGAAAATCAACGCAACTATGAGATAGGATCTTCTCAGAAGGAGGTTATAATGTTGATATTTTACATTTTGACCAGTATACTCTACATTCAGGGAAACAAATACTCACATCTTGGGGGTATATAGCTAATATAGCATTTCCCCTTCACCCCAAAGCTTTAGTGTCATTTATATATCTAGATATCTATTTTCTCTTTGATAAATTATATTTCTTTTCTTTTTTGTTAGATGACAAAACCTACTTCATTTACTCTGTTTTTCACAAATGTAACCATCATTTATTGTATACTACATATAATGTGGTGAATGTCAAAGAAAAAAACTGGTCTTTGTCCATGAGAATCTCAGAGTCTAGAAGAAATATAAACAAACAACAAGAATGATAAGTAATAATATCTAGATAGCACAATGTGAACAGAAAAATAAGTGGCTGAGTAGAAAAAGGAGGGAGGGGATTACTGATGTCTTCAACATGAAGAAACATGAAGGAAGTAGTAAAGCTGTTTCTTGATAGAGAAGTAGAAATTCTTCAGGTAAAGAAATATCTGTTGCTTTGTATGTGTTTAGTGGGTGGGAGTGAGGCCAGGAAAAAAGAGGAAGAGTTGTTCTTTGGTGTGCTTCATACTGCTTACTAATCTAAGCAGTGTTAATAGAGACAAACAGAGCCCAAAGAAGTGACTCTTTCCTAATATAATGATTTTTTTTTTTTTTTTGCAGTAAAGAAAGAGAGTTTGTTTGATGTGAGGCTGGCCATGCCACACTGGAGACAAAGTATTTTACTCAAATCAATCTCCTCAAAGGCTCACAGGCTAGGGTTTTTATGGACAATTTGGTGGGCAGGGGGCTAGGAAATGGGTGCTACTGACTGGGGATGAAATGATAGCCATGTGGAAAATGGTCCTTGTGTACTGAGTCTCTCTGTGTGTGGGGCCACAGGATAAGTTGAGTCACGAGTCACAAGTGTCTGGGTGGAGTCAGTCTCAAAGATATCTCAAAAAACCAATCTTACTTTCTTTAATAGTGATGTTGTCTACAGTAGTAATTGGGAAGTCCCAAATCTTGTGACCCCTGGCCACATGACTCCTTAGTGGTAAGGGATTATAGAAACTGCCTACATTTTAACAGAATTCAGGTCTCTCACATAATCCTAACCTTGTTGCCTTTCATTAGTTTTGCAAAGGTGGCTTAGTTTTGGGAAGGGCTATTGTCATCCTTTTTTTAAAGTTAAACTATAAACTAAATTTCTCCCAAAGTCAGCTCAGTCTATGCCCAAAAATGACCTAGTATAATTTGGAGGTTAGAAGCAAGATGGAGTCAACTATGTCAGATTCCTCTTGCTACAACGACCCTTCTTTACCACTACAGCCCTCTGCAGTGCTTTGTCCTTGTTCTGAATATTATGAGTTCATAAGAAAAGACAGGACAATGTAAAATTAAGCCTCTTTGCATAATTAAAAATAAGTATTTTGGTAAAGCTAGAAGCACTCATTTCCCAAAGAAAATGTTAGTGGCATTTAACAAGCTGCTTAGTTCATCAGAATTACTGCACTGTTATTTTACAGTCTTGCTGAACTGGAAAGTCCACTGCCACATTGGAGCGAGGCTGCACTGAAACATTTATTGGAGCTTTAAAAATTGGTTTACAGAAAGCAAATCTTTCGTGTATCATATTTTAGAAAATAGCAGCAAATCTTCGTGGGATGGATGGGAACAGGACTGATATGAAAATGAGGATACTTTTGCAGTTAAAAAACAGTGGCTGCACTCATTCTTTTCTTTGAGACTTGACAGTATTTGAACCTATTAAGAGTTACTCAATCAAACTTGCTTTGTATATATTATCAAAAATACTTAACTAAAGAATTCCTGTTGGCAAACTGCCAAAGCTTAGGAGCCTCTGCAGAAAGGCCAGATACACATAATTAAACTATGCAGTTCTGTGTCTGGCTTTGTAAATGATCAAATATATGCTAAGTATCTGATTTAGTGAATGGCAAAGACAAGCACAGGGATGCACAAGCAATTGGGCAGGACAATGAAGTTAGCTTAACTGGCTTTGTCTTCTCCTGCTGCTGCTGGTATTGCTGCCGTCCTTCTTACTCTGGGACAACTCTGGTTTACCAGAGGAGTAAGATCTGTATTCTCAGGGACACACAACCAAATTGTAGGGTGTTTTTATTTATTGGATCAGCTGTCACATATTTTATCTATCTTTTATTTTATTATTTTTTTTTCTGAGATAGGGTCTCACTCTGGTTGCCCAGAGTGGGGTGCAGTGGCATGATTTCAGTTCACTGAAGCCTTGACCTCCTGGGCTCAGGTGATTCTCCCACCTCCGCCTCCCAAGTGGATGGGACTACAGGCGCACACCACCACACTCAGCTAATTTTTTTTGTATTTTTAGTAGAGACGGCATTTCGCCGTGTTGGCCAGACTGGTCTCAAACTCCTAGACTCAAGCAATCCGCCTGCCTTGGCCTCCCAGAGTGTTGGGATTATAGGCATGAGCCACCGCACCTGGTCTTTTATCTATCTTTTAGAAACCTAGGAATAATATTGGGAGACTGCATGATTGAGACAGTAATTTACAACTCTTTGAAACCCAAAGTACTTTGCAATGTAAGGAGTTCCTAAGAATTGTATACCACTTTCAAACTTGTAGATGTGAAGATCCAGGAGGTATTCTGCCCCTGGGGTTTGCAGGTCTGTGAGATGTGACAGATGATCCAATAAATAAAATCGCCCTACAATTTGGTGTTTGTTCCTGAGAATACAGATCTTCCTCCCCTGGTAAACCAGGATTGTCCCAGAGTAAGAGGAAGGCAGTAACCAGCAACAGAAGGAGAAGACAAAGTTAAAAGCATAGGTAGATAGGACAGGGGATGACAACCCCCACTAAGTCACAGAGGCCAAAAACACCACTGCTGAAAGACGGAAGATGCATAAAGGCACAAAGGAAGAGGGTGACCCTAGACAAAAAAAGGGACAAGTCATAGAAGATGTGGTACTGGGGAGAAGTAGTTGGGGTCTGGGTACGCTGGGCCTGGGGAAGTGAGCAATACAGAGTCTGTGAGTCTGGACAGTAAGAGTCAAGAATCCAGGCTGGGAGCCTGGGAGCAAAGCAGGTAAGAAGTCCATACTGAATAGCAGGAAGGGTGGGCAAATATAGAAATGGCAATTTAAAGAACTTTGGCTGTTATTCTGAATGAGATGGGAAGACAAGAGCTTAGGACAGTGAAGGGACATGACCTGACTTGCTTAAAAAGGATCATTCTGGCTGCCATTTTAAGGGAATTTCTGCTGAAAAATGTATATCAAATGTCAGAAGCAGACGGACAAGTAAAGAAGCTACGGTAATAATCCTGGTGCAAGATGATGGTGGCTTGGACCAGAAAGCAGAGGTGGGCATGACAACAAGAGACTACATTCTTGACGTGTTTGAAGGTAGAGCTAGTATAATATTCTGATAAACTGTGAGAAAAAGAGAGAGTGGGGGAGAAGATGACAATAAAATATTAGTCTAAGCAAATATGAGATTGGAGTTGCTGTTTACTGAGAATATGAGAGAAAAAACAAATTTGTTTATGGGCATGCCAACTTTGGGATATTTATTAGACTCCTTGGCAACACCAAGGAGACAACAAGATACACTGATCGGGAAGTCAAGAGAGAGATTTGAGCTGGAGATGTAATTTTGGAAATAACTATTTTGTAACTAAAAGAGTATAACTGGATTGTTTGAAACAAAAAGAATAAATGCTTGCAGTGATGGGTACCCTATTTACCCTGATGTGATTATTATGCATTGCATGCCTATGTCAAAATATCTCAGATATCCTATAAATATATATATCTACTATATACCTACAAAAATTAAGAATTAAAAAAAGAAAATAACCTATTTTGTAGATGGTATTTAAATCTATGAAAATGAGTGAGATCACTAAGAGAATAAACAAAGATAAAGAAGAAGAAAAAAACACAACAAAGACTGAAGCTTGGACTAAGTATCCTAATGCTTAGAGGCTGAGGGATAAGTAGGAACTCACAGATGAAATGGAGAAAGACCTGCCATTAAGGTAGTTGGAAAATAAAGACATTGTGGGGTTCTGGCCTTCAAGAGAAGAAAGAACCTCAAAAAGATGGGGCAGATCAGTAAGTTGAATGGAGTTGACAGGATGAGTGAAAGGAGGCCTGAGCCTGATGGTCAGTGAGCAGGAAGGACACTGACCAGAACAGTGTTGGTGGAAGAGTGGAGGGGCGAACCCGGCTGGGGAGAAGTCAAGAGAGAATGGGAAGAGAGAAATGGAAAACAGAAATACATGAAACTCCTTCATGAGGGTTCTGGATGTAACCAGATATAAGGAAAATTATGCAAAATGTTTAAGAGATCATGATAAAATTAAGTGGGAATAATTAATGTATTCATTAAGGATTCTCGAGAAACAGGCCCTGAAACAAAGGTTTGAGTGCAAAGTAACTTATTTGGTAAGTGTAGAAAACACCAAAGGCAGGTGGAGTGGGAAAAGCAAAAGCTTGCATTATTAAGCTAGCTACTACTGTGAATCCCTGGAGCTTAATCCCATGGGCAAATGCTGGGAACCAATATAAAACATACACTTCAGAATGGCCCCACCCAGACACAGGAGCAGGGGTATTTATGCATAATTTCCCATTTGTCCTTGGTTGAGGGCTGCTGGGGGTGAGGGAGTGTTAATACCCAGCCAGTATTAATATTCAGACTGCCAAATGTGAGGGTAAAGTGGACTTTCCATTTTGGGGGAAAGACTTCAAGCACAGATGCTTACTGGCAGTTGGAAATTAAACAGAATACATCAGTGGTAACTGTCAAGGTAGGCACTCCCAGCATCTACTACAATTGATAATGGAAGAGAAAGAGGCATGACGGTTGTAGTCATGCAGGTCAATGGGAATGTTATCTAGTGTGCAACTGGGAGGGCTGGCCTCAGCTAGGAGCAGGGAAAGAACAAGAGGCACAAATGCATGTGAATAAGTCATGATGTGAGCCTGGAAATTTCTCTTTTGTTTGCTTCTATTTTCTCAGCAGAGTAAAAAAATAAAATCATCAGCTAAAAATGAGGATTGGGGGAACTGATATAGGTACAGGAGAGTGAAGAAGTCCTCCAGGAGAGGGATAAGAACGTGGAGAGGGGCATGGAGCAGGGTTGCCAGGAATCAACAAAGGCCCAGTTCAGGTTAGTAGGCATGGTCGGGGGCTTGTGTACTTTATCCCAGACATGTTCAGCTGAAGTAGGTACAATATTTAACTAAACAGAGAGTTAGTTTTCTGAGATACAGTTTAGCCAGTTAAGTACAATGACACAAGAGCTGTGCACAGAAGTGAAAATGATTTTTAATACTGCAGGGAAGTAAGGATATCAGGGCAGTTTGAGACACTGCAACGTTGGTCAAATCACTGGACTGTGAGTTCTCAGTGGTGAGCATTGTCAGACTTCAGTGGTGTGAGGTGAGGAAAAACCCAATTGAGGTGTGGTAATAGAGGAAGCGAGCTATAAAGATAAGATGTTACTGGAAATGTGATCTTGAGGTTGAGTTTATAGTGGGTGTCTTAGCCTATTTTTTGTTGCTTATAACAGAATACCTGGAACTGGGTAATTTATAAAGAAAAGGAATTTATGTCACATAGCTTTGGAGGAAGAAAAGTCCAGCATCAACAGGCTGCATCTGGTGAGGGTCTTTCCTGCTGGTGGAGACCCTCTGCAGATTCTTGAGGCATACAGGGCATCACATGGTGGGTGGGATGAGCATGCTAGCTCAGGTCTTTCTTCCTCTTTTTATAAAGCCAGTTCAATTCCCATGATTGCCCACTTCTCCATTAACCCCTTAACTGATTAACCCATGAATGGATTTCTCCATTCATGAGGACAAAGTTCTCATGACCCAATCTCCTCTCAAAGGCCCCACTTCTCAATACTGCCGTATTGGGGATTAAATTTCAACGTGAGATGTGGAGGGGACACATATTCAAACCATAGTGATGTGTTTAAGTGATAGGTAATGACAAACTCTTGGGAATGTTGATGGGTGAAGTTGGGAAGTTGAACTTGGGAATGTTGGGATGAAGTTGGGCAGAGAACATAAAGGAGATTATGCAATTGAGTGGCTAGGGAGTGGGATCATCTGCTTGTATATTGAAATCACTGCTAATATTGATACAAATGAATGCATGCAGGAGGGTCAGTGAGTATTATCATCTGATGATGTAGGATTGAGAACTGGAAGTTTAAGGAGGGTAGGATAAACAATTCAGAAAGTTTTGCAAAATGGGTGTCATTGAAGATCTTGATAACAGCCACTTAAGGGGATGGCTTGGACAAAAGCCAACGGGGGAAAATGGGAAGTGGCAAAGTAAAAACAGTGAATATAGATATGTTTTCAATAATGTTTGAAATAAAAGTGAGAAGAGAAATAGAGCAAGAGGTGGAAGAAAACATATGACAAGGGATTTTTAAGAGGTGTCATGGAGCAGGTTCCCTGGAAGCTATATCAAGATTGGTGTATGTTTATAGGTGTTTTCTTAGGAAGTTCTCTTAGCAGCAATTACTGTATGGAGGGACAGGAAGGAGAATTGGGCAGATGGAGAATTTGGGTGGTGATGTAGCTACAGCAGCAACTGAAGCAGATCAAAGAGCTCTGAGGCTACGATGCATCTCCAGATACATTTCAAATTGAAGCAAGAAAGTCAGGCATTTGTGTGCTGAACTGACCAGTCATTGGAGGTAGGCAGATCTTCAGCTCTTTCTGTCCTCCAGCTGAAGAAGACAAGTTTGTGGTTACATTCTTTCAAAGACGCGGTGCCTAAGTTTGTGATCAGTCGCTCTCAGCCTTTTATTATCTTTCTCCAAGTATCAAAATCCTCTAGTGTCAACTAATTGATTTCGTAGACCTTGTAATTGTGACTTCCTCCAACTTCTCAAACACCTGAGCTATTGCCCAAGCCAGTTCATCCCCTTCCAGCTGTTTCTCATGCCAGTCCACCACTAATAAAGTTTTTGGACAGTTTTACTTATGCGATATGTCACAGTCCATTGGTACTCTATCAATCAGTAATGGGACTCAGCTGGCTGGTGGGTGATCCAGCTCAAACATTTTTAGAGACTGCTTCTTAGGACCACTGTCAAGGTTGAGCTCCCAGACAGAAAATCAGGGTGGAGATATGTGTGCAGTTTGCACGGGAATTATGAAAGCAGGATTGAATAGAGGGAGGCGTTGAACTGAGATTAATTTGTGACAGAGCCTTCAGTTAACTCCAGAAAGATCTCTACAACTGTGATACTCTTTAAACCAGTAGATTTCAACTGGATGTAGTTTCCTTTTCTAGGGGACCTGTGGAAATGTCTGGAGACAATTTTGATTGATGTAAGTGGAGAGGGGTGCTGTTGGTATCCAGTGAGGGAGGCCAGAGATGCTCCTGAGCATTCTCAGTGTACAGGACAGCCCCTCCCAACAAAGAATTATCCAGCCCTAAATGCTGATACTGTTGACTTGGAGAAACTCTGATTTATGGACATCTCTAATCAAAGCAAGGACCAGAGCCTCTGTACACTTTCAGTGGTTTTGGGTTGCCCCCAGGGAGAGGTAAAATGTTGGACAAGGCAGCTCTCTCACCCTTATTGAAATTCCCAGAGCAAGATGCTTCTTTGAGTGTGGGCAGCCTATGCTCCTGGCAGTTAGGGGAATGAGGAACTCAGCCTCAAAGGGAAAGATCAGAGTGCATCATCTACTACATGATGATCGTATGCTAATGGAATGATTTTTCTATATCTATTTCTACCAGTTGCTGAGGGAGCCAGAAAGAACATGACCTCAGGTCTGGATTATAGAGCACAAACGAAGCTGAAGATTGCTGAACAGCCAAACAGGTTCAAAGTTAATTGTACTTGTGATGTTTGGCTCTCCCCTGAGCTGAGCAGTTGGCCAGACCTTCTATAGGCTTTGATGATACTGCTGTGTACCAGCTGAGCTCTGGGAAGCAACCCCTGCTGCAATTCTTACCAGTCTTTCTTGCTCAGCCAGCAAACAGGCAGCCAATCTGGGTTGGGTGGAACAGTAGGAGTCCCAGGCAGGGATGATAAGCATGCCCTTCTGGCACTGTGCCTGGCTACCGAGCTTGTGCATTCCAAGGCATCCTGTGGTAGGTGCTTGGGAAGGTAACTGGACGATCACAGTCTCCCTTTTCTCCGCCAGATCCACCAACTTACCTGCATCTAATTCCAGAGCCTACCTTCCCTCTGTTTTGATGAAGCACCTAATCTTGCTCCTAATCAAGACCAGTCCTTTCTCTTGTATTTCAGGTTCCAATCCTTTTCTTCAACTCAAGTATTTTGCTTCTATCCTATTATATTTTCCTTTCTACTGGACTATTCCCGTTAATATACAAAAATCACCGAACAGAGCCTGCCCATTCAAAAAGCAAAAAACAACACAAACCTGTGTCTTTCTCCTCAATGCACTCCAGTCTTGTCCACACTACTACACTGAAATGGCTTATGATGGGTCTCCTAACAGCTCACCATTTACACCTGCTGCCAAACCCATGGTCTACTCATTGAACATGAACAGTTGGCAGCATTTGACACACTGGGCTGCTTCTTCCTTCCTGAAGCATTTTCCTCTTAGCTTTTCCAAAACCCCATTCTTCTGTGTTTTTTCACACCTTATTAGCCGCTCCTTCTCAATCTCCTTTGCCAGTTCCCTCTCCTCTGTGAGATGGCTAAATGCTGACACTTATTGGGGTCTGTCCTTAGCTTTCTATAATATCTACATTTTATTCCTAATTTCACTTATCTTGGGCCATAGCATTAAATGCTGCCTTTGAGCTGAATACTCTCAAATTGAACAGATAGCAACATTCCCTCTTGATACCCAAATCATCAAGTCAACTGCTGACTAAACAGCTCCATTTTGTATCTGATGGCTGTCTCAATGTTAGCAGTCCCAGAGTTTGGACACAAAAATCCCTTCCAGACAACAACCCTACGGTGCTTCTCCTTCATCTTCCCAGCTGATTTCTACCCTTTGCTCAAGCAAAAAAACCTAAACATAATCTTAGATTTTCCACTTTTCTTTCTTTTTTTTTTTTTTTTAAGAGACAAGGTCTTACTGTCTTGCCCAGGCTGGAAGGCAGAGGTGTGATCATAGCTCACTGCAGCCTCAACTTTCTGGGCTCATGTGACCTGCCTCAACCTCCAGAGTAGCTGGGACTACAGGCACATACCACCATGCCAGGCTTATTTTTTAAAGTTTTTGCTAAGATGGGGTCTTGCTATGTTGTCCAGGCTGGCCTCAAGTGACCTCCTGCCTTGGCTTCCCCAGTGCTGAGATTATAGGCTTGAACCACCACACTTGTCTGATTTTCCTCTTTTCTCCTACAAAACAACCAGGTGAGTTTTGTTGATTCTACCCCCCAAATACATCTTTAATCTGATCATGTTTTACTTGTCTACTGCTATTATTGTGTTAATTGAAGTCAAACTTTGTTCACCTATTCTACTAGCATGGAGACTTCTTCGCAGGTCTCTGGCTTTCCAAGAGTCTCCCCATTCTCCACACTAAATCCTGCTGATCTTTTAAAAATATCAACCAGATCAAATAACTTCCCTACTAAAAATCTCCCTATTTTGTATTGTAATTACAATAAAATTCAGAATGAATTTTTTCATTCTCACAAAACACTGTATAATCTGGCCATTGCTCCTTCTTCCACAAATCTGTAAATTTTCCATTTATTCACAACATTCGGGCCATGCTAGCTACAGTGAATTAGAATATGTTTCTTAATTTTTCACTCCCTCCTCTGTCATGTGACCTTGCAATGCACAAAAGTGGGCCAAGCATCTCCCTCCTCCATTGGATTTGCATTTGGCCATGTGTCTTTATTTTGTTTGTGATGCTTGTGGAATTTTCAAATGCGCTTATGAGGGTTGGCTTGGCCTCTGTCAGCTCTATGGCCAGCCATGGAAGATCATGCTGTAGGGAGCCTTATCCCCTTTAGCCTGGGCTCCAGAAGGACTTGTGGGAGAAACCTGACCTGAATTCTAGGCCAAGTACAAATCATCCATAAGCCTGAATTAAAGTGGCGCCAAGTGATCTACAGAACTGTGAGCAAACACAAAAAGAAGTACAATTGCTTGTATCTTAAGTCACTGAGTTGTGGGACAATCTGTTACATAACATTAGAGCAGTAGCTGACTGATACCCTGGTCCCCTTTCTTGCCTTGGAATATGCCTAGCTCATTCTAGTCTCAGGAACTTTGTATTTTCTTTTCTCTGGAATATTGTGCCCCCCAAAGTTCCACTTAGCTATATCCTCTTCATTGTTCAAGTCTCAGCACAAACTTCATATCCACAGAAATACATTCTCTGATCATCCCAGCTAACGTAGCCACTGCCAGAAAACTCAGCTCCTGTATACCATTATCTTGATTTACTTTCTTCCTAGCTTTTGTCACTACCTGAAACTATTTATTTGTATATGAACCTACTTATTGTCTGTCTCTACTCATGATGATTCTATCTCCATGAGAGCAGGGGCTGCATCTACTTTATTCACTGCTGTATCTTTAGGGCTTGAAACAGTGTTGAACAGATGAACGCATTCTGATGTGTGTATTGCACCATGCTCCACCATATGCAGGTAGGCTGTAAGTACCAGGGATGAGACCCACTGGCTTTTGTCCTGGTGTGGAGTCATGACTGGAAGATAGCCAACTAGCCAGAGACTACATTTCCCAGACTCCTTTGCATCCAGATGTGGCCATTGAATTTGTTCTCACCAGTGGAATGTGAGCAGATGTTATATGGTATGACCATCCCATTCATGTTTTGTGCCTTCTGCTACTGTGTGTGAGTGATGTTATGGTTGGTAGAGCTATACATTTTAAGAAGCCTGGATCCCTGAATTACTTTGAGGATAATAATCTCTAATGAAATAATAGCATGTGTTTGGACTATTTTATGAGCCAGGAATAAATTTCTATTGTGTGAAGCCAGGTCACTAAAATTTGGAGGTTTTTTTGTTACAGGAGTTGACTTTACTTCAACTAAGCCAATGATATGGTTTGGATCTGTGTCCACACCCAAATCACACGTTAAAATGTAATCCCCAATGCTGGAGCTGAGGCCTGGTGGGAGGTGATTGTATCATGGGGGTGGTTTCTAATGGCTTATCACCATCCCCCTAGTGCTGTTCTCATGATAGGGTTCTCATGAAATCTGTTCATTTAAAAGCATGTGGCACCTCCCCCGACAACCCCCTCTTCCTTCTGTTCTGACCATGTGAAGATGTTCCTGCTTCCCCTTCACCTTCTGCTATGATTGTAAGTTTCCTGAGGCCTCCCCAGCCATGCTTCCTGTACAGCTTGTGGAACTAGGAGCCAATTAAACCTCATTTCTTTATAAATTACTCAGTCTCAGGTATTTCTTTATAGCAGTGTGAGAACAGACTAATACAGGCAGTAACCTATGCTTACATCACCCCAGACTCCTCATTTGTTTCTTGTTTATGTTTATGCAGATTTTCCATCATCTTTGTAGAGATTTTTCTCATCCCTCTCCCTATTAGGCAACCAGCAGGAACTTCTTATAGCTTCTCAGATGTCTTTAGCAATACTCCTAATGCCTTGCTTCTAATTTGCTATGTTCTAAGAATCCAGATAGTTAAGCATACTACGACTCTGAATACATGCTATCACGCTCTGAGCTAAGTACATAAATTTTGTGATGCTGATTTGGGCTATTATGGGATATCGGGTGGTTTATTCTCTGATAAAGGATAATTGCCTGATAAAGGAGGGGTAATAAAAAGATGTGGAATTATGTGTTAAATGTAGAGTCACGGCCGATGTGCAACTGTTTGGAAAGTGTATGGCTATTGCAATATTTAAAAGGAGAGCAAACGTCCACTTTTTCCCCAGAGCTTGGAAGGAACCTTGGTGAGGAGATAAAGTTTCAAAAAACTTAGCTATATGGTCTTTCTTTCTGTCTATCTATCTATCTATTTCACGTTTACTGTCTATTTAATCATCTATCTCACGTTTGCTCTCTATCATCTATGTATCTAATTTATCATCTATCTCACATTTGCTGTGCTCTAAGCACTGCACATGCTTATATACTTACATATGTACCCATTCTACTACATTATCTATTTGTGTTATTAAAATGTTTACATTAAATATCTAGCCATTCATTATTATTATGACAACGATAAAGATTTATGCTGCATAATAAATATTTGTTTTGAAATCTAGTTCAATTTCACAGATGTCAAAAGATGTTTCACTCTCTATTAAATACATACACTCTCCACTGAAAGCTGGGCTTGGTCCAAAACCAGGGTAGTATGTGAAGGCATGATATTGGTGACAGAAAGCAGTGAGAAATATCAGAAGCTTTACAAACAGACCTGCTTCCAATCTTGCTGTGCATCATTATGGAATTTACTCAGCTTCTCTGAGCTTTGATATCCTCATCCATAAAACAGTGTCTAGAAGTGCTGCCTGATAAAGTTGTGAGCATCAAATGAGACAAGCAAAGTGCTTAATTCAAAACAGCACAGAGGTGATAATAAAATAAAATTAGACTGTGTTTTTTTATTCTTCTTCATTTTTACATATTAATAATGTACAGAATCAGTGTTTGGTATGCGGGATATAATTTATATGTTTATTTTTTGTTTGCTATAAATGTTAATTTTGCCCAGAATTCAACTTTATGTTTTGATAATAAATCTGTATTGATTAAAAACAGTATTTCTTCTTTTAGAAGATCTCATGCATGCATTTAAACACAGCTCTACAACTGGGCTGCTATTTTCCACTTTAATTGCAGTAACAGAATATGCAAATTAACCATATTCTGAAATATAAAAATAACTAAAGATAAGCAGGTGATTCAGATTTTTGAAGGCAACTCAACAGAGAAGAAAGTCAAAATAAATGTGAAGAAGCTAAAAGCAGAAGCTCTTATCATACAACGGTCTGGTTCATTTTTTCCTTTTACAAACTAATATTTCTTCTTAATTTTTTTTTGTACTTTTGTTAAACCAGGGATTCCAGTTTTGAATGTTTCCCAAGATGTGTTTCACGGGAGAGTTTATTTTGTCTACAGTATCCCCAAGGAAGCTTGTGGTTAATGATGTGCTCCTGCAGGCGCCTGGCAGCCAAGGGGACCAGAAGAACAGAAGAGGCGCCCTGATTGGCTCCTGGGATTACAGCTTTATTAATGCGCTCTGACAGCCTGTCTGTCACTAGCGCCAAGCGGAGAACATTAACTTGAACCTGACAGCTCCACCCCCCAGAGAAAATGAGGGCCTAATGTGTTATAAATCAAGCTGGCTTTTGAAATCAATATTCCTAAAAAAATACTACTGGAAGAAAACACATTCCTATTACTCAGAGTGTTGACATATTTATTAAAGTAGCATAAAGGCCACTGAGTTAGTCACTAAAAAATAGAAATGAAAATGTGACTATCAATTGAAACTTAGACGTTTCTACCTTTATGTTTCTCTTTTTTTTTTTTTTCTGTATCAGGTTCACACATTGCAAAGTAAATGGGAGCTATTTAGCAAATGGCCAGTTCCTTTCATCAATGGAGTATGAAATTCTGGTAGCTCAAGGCTCAAGGCTCAAGGTTTTGAATAGGCACCATTTTTGGCTGACTACTTTGCCTAAATCATGCAGTGCTCAATAGACCTGAATGTAGATAGACTGTACACTAAGAAATCAGTTCTCCTGAAGACATTTGTTCTCCCAGGTGAATGTATGTGTGTGAAGTGCAAACGGGAGGTACAGCAAATAACAGCAGAAAAAGAATATGTAGAAATAGTTCTGACGGAGAGAAAGAAGTTTCTTTCTTCAAAAGAAACTTTATGTTTTGAGATAATTGTAGATTTCACATGCATTTGTAAGAAATAATGCAGTTACCCAGTTTCCTCCAGTGGTAACATCTTGCAAAACTGTAGTGCAACATCCAGACCAGGAGATTGACATTGATAACGTCAAGATACGAACATTTCCGTCACCACAAAGATATCTCATGTGGCCCTTTTATAACAACATCCATTTTCCTCTAGCCTCCAAATTACCCCTGAGAATCACTAATCTTTCTCTACTTTTATAATTTTCTTATTTTAAGAATTTGGGAAATTGTTAGCCAGTATTTCTTCAAGTACATTTTCAGCTCTTCCCTCTTTCTTCTCTCTTTCTGAAACTCTGATGACACGAATGTTAGATCTTTTATTATAGTTCCACATGTCCCTGAGGCTCTATTCATGTTTTTCAGTCTATTTTCTCCGTGTTCAGATGGATAATATCTATTGATTTATCCTCCAATTCAATGATTTGTTCCTGTGTCTCTTCCATTCTGATATTTAGCCCATTCACTGAGCATTTTATTTCAGTTCTATTTTTCAGCTCTGAAGTGCCCATTTGGTTCTTGTTAATATCTTCTATTTCTTTGCTGAAGCTTTCTGCTTTTTCATTTGTTATAAGCATATGTGTAATTTACTCATAGAATAAATGTTTGTACCACGCTTGAAATATTTTTCATAGCTGCTGCAAAATCCTTGCCAGATAATTCTAACATCTCTGTCATCTTGGTGTTGCCATTTATTAACTTTTTTATTTAATTTGAAATATTCCTGGTTCTTGGTATAATGTGTGATTTTTAATTCAAACCTGGACACTTTCATATCATGTTAGTAGACTCTGGATCTTATTGAAAGCTTTTAACTATCTTTTTCTGATACTGCTCTGCCAGTGAAAGGAGGGAGGACACCTTATAATTGCCAGGTGGAGGTAGAACCCCAGAATCCCCCTTGATCTCTGTTGTTCCCTGACCTGAGGGGGTTCCTCCTTACTGCTGGACGTCCACTGTGAGAGTTCCAGCTTCCCACATGGTCTCCACTGACAGTGCAGTAGGGATGACACTGCTACCCTTGAGTGATGGTGAAACTCCTGACTCTCCACCAGGTCTCCCCCGACACCTCCTAGCAGGGAAGCAGAGAAGCACTTGCTTCTGTCCTTATAGCCAGGTGGGGGTGGGTGTTGGACTGAGTCAGCCTGGCCCTTACGGGTACAGGAAGTTTACCACCATTACCATGATTGACAAGCTTTCACAGGAAGCCCATGGTTGAAATTTGGACGAAACAGTTTCCCAAAGTACAGGAGCTGGTGTTAGCAGACTTCCTTACAGGAAAAGGTCCTGAGTGGAAAAAAACATGAGATACCTAGTATATTCTTATTCAGCTTAGGTAATTTTGAATGTTTATTTAAAAAAATCCTTTTAGTGATTGTGGCCTCTTTAAAAAGGCAATGACAGAGAAGGTACAATAACATTCAAGTCACATCATCTCTTTGTTCAACATTCACTCATTCTGCTAGTGTTTACTGAGTGAGTACTTTGTGTTAGCAGCTGTGCTAGGTATTGGGAGCACACTGGTGAAAAACATACCACCCTTGTCTCAAGGAGATTGCCATACTGTATTGAAAGCTGGGGATTAGGTTTGGAAGCTAGGTAAAAAGCTTGGAATTTTGGGTTAAGACATTGGTACAATATCTTAACTTTGAAAATTAAAATATATAAACGTGAATAGGCCTGTATTTGCAGCTGGAATAGTGCTTTTCTTTTTGTTTTGCTTAATTGGCTGTGGCTTTTATAGTGAATAGGCCAACATGCATTTTTATCAACTTCTATGATCAGAAGGATGTTTAAAAATCAAGTATGCTTTCCATTTTGTTTTAAGCTGGAATTTCATAAAATGAGTTATCTCCATTTCCCAGTAGAGTAGGCAATAAAGCTTTGAAAAATATTTACAGAATTTAATTTCAAGAAAGATACATGTAGTTGGTCACCAGAATTTACTTTTCACTGTTGGCTTTAATTTGATATTAAAGACTCTGAAAAGAGACCCAATCGAAAAGGGAGGACAGTGACTCCCAGTTGAATAATGGCCAGGTCCAGAGAGGCAGTGGCGTGGGGTGGAGAGAAACTGAGAAACTGAATCAATCTGGCACTTACCATCTGGGTGACTCTAGACATTTAACTCTTCAAGCCTCAGTTTCTGCTGTCCGTTTTCCCATTTGTAAATTGCAAGGGAGAGACTAAGACCGTCAGGGAAATAATAGCATATAAAAAGCAAATTGTCAACTGTACATCAAACTTCAAGAAGAGCTTCCTTTGTTCTACTACTTTACACCCAGTTTATTTTCAAATATGCCTCCAAAATGATCAGATCCAGGGTAAGTTCCCTGCATGGTGACAGAAGAATCACAAAGACCATGCTATACTTTGAATATTTGTCCACCCCAAAACTCATGTTGAGATTTAATCCCCAATGTGGCAATTTTGAGAGGTGGGACCTTTAAGAGGTGATTGGGTCATGAGGGCTCTGCCTCCCGAATGGATGAATCCATTCATGGATTAATGGATTAATGGGTTAATGGATTTACGGGTTATCACAGGAGTGGGGCTGGTGGCTTTAGAAGAAGAGGAAGAGAGACCTGAACTAGCACGCTCAGCTACCTCACTGTGTGGTGCCCCGTGTGCTGCCTCCACCAGCAGGAAGGCTCCCGTCAGATGTGCCCCTTGAGCTTGGATCTTTCAGCCTCCAAAAAAATAATTTCTTTTCTTTGTAAATTACCCAGTTTCAGGAATTCTGTTATAAGCTACAGAAAACTAATACAGACCAGGTGAGCAGAAATTCGCTTTTGCATGAAGATAAAGTAGACGTCAGCTCCTTTCTAGATTGGATTTATGCTTTCAGGTAGAATCTGAAATAACTCACTCTTCCAAATTTTTGATATCTCTACCTTCTTTAGGGCCTATGACACAGGTTTTAGATATAATTTGACAGACATTTAGGAAGCACATATTATTGGCCAGTGTGCTGGATTCTAGATATTAAAAGATGAATTAAAATAGTCTTTCATCTCTTTGGACCTGGACAGTGGAAAAATCAGCACAATACAAAACATTTGATCCCATTCTTGAAAATAGATTATTATTTTTTTCTTTCAGTACATGATATCTAGATTTAAAAATCTTGAAATATGGATGTTTTATCCCGTTGTTACAAAGGAAAATTGTAGTAAATAAAGGAAATTACCCAAATAGAATCTATAAGAAGTTAAATCACTAAGAATTTCTGCATGTGGTCACAAGCCTTTTAAGAAATACGTAATTACAAAACGCCTGGTTCTGTATTCACGCATCATATGCATATATCTATGTATGTATATCTCTATATACGCATATTTATGTATGTATGCATCAATATACACTTTTAATTTAATTTGCAACATCTAACATCTACAAGGAAAAACTGCTCTGTGCTTGCCTCACTACAAAGAAATTTGCACGGTGAGTGCCCTGGTCTTTATTAGGATGTAATGTTATAAAATTCTAGGTATTTACATGAAAAGGGAATAAAACATTAAGGAGAATTTCCTTTTTCTGTTTAATGCAGCGAACACCAAAGGGCCATTTTAAAGCTGTAGAAGTGTCACATAAATTTCCAAAAGAGGCTATAATGTTTTAAACAAAGGATAACACCAACCACAAGAAAAAAAAAAATCACAGAAACGAGGAGAAAATACATTTCCTGGCTCTGAAGCTGTTAAACATTCTGAGCCAGGAAACCTCCTTCACCGGGGCGGGGCAGGGAAAGTCTGGCTCTCCTGGGACCGACTCCCTGCTAAGTCGCCCCAAGTTTTCCCTCCCTCTGTCTTCCATTTTCCGCCCCAGTCTCCAAACAGGGAAGTCACAGGAGAATGCCAACGCATACACCTGAAAGGTGTCAGAATTAGACACGGATGCGTGTTTATTTTAAATGCCCACGCACTTAAAATAGGCTGTACTTGCAGACAAACTCAAGGGATTCCAAACGACGCCTGGAAGTTCATCTTATAGATTGGGGGCCAAGCCTGTAAAAGAACAACAGTAAAACAGAGCCAACAGGACGTTGCTTCGCTCCGAAGGGTTCGCGCGTAGCGCGCTGAGCCGGTGCCCAGGCTGGGGCCTGGAGCCGCAGCCCCGAAAAGGCGCGCTGCCCCTTTAAAAGGCCGCGCATCTCCGGGCCGGCCTTCCTCCCCGGGGCTCCAGCTGTGATTGACGCTGGGCGGCGAGAGGAGGCGCCTGGCGCTAACAAAAGTCCGGCCCGCGGGCGAGCTGCGCCGGGTCGCTAGTCTTCACTCGCTCCGGGGACCCGCAACAAGTGGCCGCCGCGCCCTCCCCGGGGAAGCCGCGGGCGCGCAGGGGCAGCCGAAGGAGGCGGTCGAGCCGCGGAGCCCAGGGGCCTGCCCGGCTCAGCGCCCACCGGAGGGGATCGGGGCGGGCGGATGGGGACCCGGCGGCGGCGGCGCGGTGAGCCTCTGGGCGGCCCCGGGGCGCGGGCTGTGCGCGGCGCTGCGCCCGCCGGCCCCCAGCGCGGATTGTAAGTGCTGCAGCTGTGCCCGGCCCCGCCTGGAGCCACCGGGGGTGCCAGGAGGGGACGCAGCACCCCCTCCCACTGGAGTGCGGGGACCTCTCCAGGCCGGAGGTCGGCCCCGGAGCTTGGGGGGGATGTGCAGCTAACGGTCCCGTCGGGCGGGCTTTCCTCGGGCCGAGCGCGCAGGACGTGCGCCGCAGCTATGGAGTGTCCCGGGAGACGGCGGGCATGACGGCTACAGGATGGGCGCGAACAATGGCAAACAGTACGGCAGTGAGGGTGAGTGGGCCGCCCGTCCTCAGACTCCCGGATCGCGTCCCTCCTCCCCTTTCCCTCGCCCTCCCGACTGGGAAGGGAGGTTCTCGCCCGCGGCCGTGACGCACCCCATTTGGCACCCTGTCTGGGTCACCACCTTCTCCTTTGGCAGTGAGTGACCAGTGAGTAGGTCAGGCGCCCCGAGGATGCTTTTCCACTGTGGGGGTCTCTTTAAGCAACTTCCCAGTTTGTCTTTGGGAAGGCTCAAGTTGCATCTCTGCTGTGTTTCTGAGCACATATGCCTTAACCTTCCTTCCCTGGGCATCTGGGGTTTAGGAGATGATGGTTTGGCAGATGGCGGAAGACGTTTTTGAAAAATAACTCAGTGAAAACTTTCCCGGGCCTTTGTGCTCCAGCCCCCTGGACTCTACTGTAGCAGAAAAAACTTCTGGAAGGAGAAGTTAAGTTTCCATTCTTTGCTCGCTGCTCCTGCTCTGACAGCTTCATGAAACTAAGCACCTATCAGTCCTGCGAGGCGTGGAATGGCTGGGGGCTTTGTCTGGTCTCTCTCGGGGCTGGAGACGGGCAAAGGACCATCTGTTACGTGGGGCTGGAAATTGCACAGAAATATTGCCTGTCAAGTGGGAACTTGGAAGTTAGGGAAACTTTAAACTCCACCTACTCCTAAAAGGATGATGGATGTCTGGGTTGGCTTCTCCCTTCTCTCTCCTACCTCCTCCCACTCTGCATAAAACCGTAGCGTTGTATCCCAATTAGCAGCTAGCCCCTGATACGCATAAGGCAAAGGCATTTTTCTGCAGTTCAAAAGTTAAGAAGGTTTGTGTCTAGTGGTCTTGGCTGAAGAGGAGTGGAAGAGACCGGGTCAGTTTTACAGCCCGCCCCCAGAGGACAGTTGGTTACAAAGGAGGGGCCAGCGCTTGCAGACTGGTAGGAATGCAGGCTAGCTATTCAGCCTGTGGCCTGGAGGAAACTCTTATCATCCTGTTCGAAACTTTGAGCTGTGGCCACAGAATGTGGGTGTCTCTCCTCGTTTCTCAGCAGTTTTGTGAAATTACAGCAGAAACCGACCCTACAAAAACCATATCCACAAGAACCTTTTCTTTAAGTCATTCTTTTTCCAGATCATCATGTTTTGACTTCCATATGTGCATGTGTATGTGTGTGTGTGTGTGTGTGTGTGTGTATCTATGTATATTTCCTTGTCTTGGGCAGTGATTTGAGTTTTTTTTTTTTTGACAATTTTTTTTTTAAAGTTAAAGGCTGCCTTTTTAGATAGCAAATGTGAAAGTATGCCAAAAAAGATTATTGGAGAATCTGGGCCACTCCCCAAAACGTCTTAGAGTTAATATTATAAAAATGTGAGGAAAAGTAAGTGATTAAGCCTTCTTACTCCGAGTTATTAAAAAGCTTTCAGGATATAATTGTAGCATGTGCTTGTCAGTTCTGGGTGTATGCTAGTTGAACACTGTCGGGGGGAGAAAGACAGCCCAAGGGGTACATAGAATCACTGCTATGAGTTCTTTCTTGAACAATCCCCTGCCCCCACCCCACCCGCCTCCCGCCCCAGCCCTTCTAATCCTCTGCAACTTGTTCTTCTATCCCAGCATTCTCGTATTGTGCAGTGTGTGGTATATGACGACTTCCTGTCTGAACAGCAGAATTTTCAACCCTTGGGAGAGAAAAGGAGAGACAGGGAACTAATGTTCTCCAGCTGTTATCCTTAAATGCTACCTCTGCATTTTCACTTCAGCCGAAGTGAAATTTCACTGGGATCAGATTTAGATGCACTGTGGACTTTTTATAGGAAAAACCTCTTGTGCTCAGCTGATTCAAGAGGACCAATAGGAAGCTTTACAAGGTAACTGTGAGTTTTGGCTAGAGGTACACACTGTGTTTAGTTTTCATCAACTTTCTTCAAATGCATCGAGATTCCTCTGTTACAGGTGAGGAAAACAGAAATAGAATGACCTTCTTTTTTCTTCTCTAAACCCCACCTATACTGTGGCTCCTCCCAAATAGGGATGTAATATATGTAATGGGTTATGGTCAACTTTGTTATTCCATGGTAGATTGCAAATAACCTGCTGGGCTCAGGTGTGGCAGTGCCATCTTTCTTATCTAAAATGTTACATTTCAAAGAAAGTAAAAGCAACCCCTAGACATAGTATCTTTATTATCAAAGCTGACTGAAAATTAAGACAGTTTTATAGAGTTAGTGGATTTTCTGTATGGTATATCTCAAACATAAGGAGGAAATTATCCATGAGTGCATAACAATAAAATACAGTGAGAGATTTATTAAAGTAAAATAAATATGGCTTGAGAAGTACTCTGTACTTCTATATTTGAGTCCCTGTGAACTGCAACCTAACTTAATAGCTAGGCAAGATTGAAAACCTTAGGCTTATGTACCTGTAACAATAGCTGAGGTCGGGCGCGGTGGCCCACACCTGTAATCCCACCAATTTGAGAGGCCGAGGCGGGCAGATTACTTGAGGTCAGGAGTTCAAGACCAGGCTGGCCAACATGGTGAAACCCTGTCTCTACTAAAAATACAAAAAGTATCCAGGCGTGGTGGCGCATGCCTGTAATCCTACCTACCCAGAAAGCTGAGGCAGGAGAATCGCTTGAACCTGGGAGGCGGAGGTTGCAGTAAGCTGAGATCACGCAACTGCACTCTAGCCTGGGCAACAGGACAAGACTCCGTGTCAAAAAACAAAACAAAAGAAAACAAAACAAAACAAAAGCTGAGTCTTGGCCAATCCCAGCAGCCATATTCAACCAGTCATACACTGCTGAGTGTTCAAACTGTGTTTAAATAAGGCAAACGCCAGCCTGTAACCAATCTTGCTGTTTTCTGTACCTTACTTCCGATTTTTGTATGCCATTTTCCTTTTTTTGTCTCTAAATCTTCTTCCACCATGTGGATGTCCTGAAGTCTCTGTGAATCCACTGTGATTCTGGGGGCTGCCTGATTTGCGAATTGTTCGTTGCTCAATTAAATTCCTTTAAATTTAATTCGGCTGAAGTTTTTCTTTTAATAGATAGCTCGACTATAAAATATTAGTGTTTATGTTTCAAAAATCTGCAACTTAAGTATATTTTACTTATTAATGACAGTTGACATCGCTGTGCAAATGTTTGTTGAATATTACAAATATTGTTGAATTATTAGAACTTTTAACACGTCAATATTCTGTTGGTAATCTCATTATCTTCTGCTCTTGGAAAATACCTTTTCATTAAAAACAGTTATTCACGAGGCTTACCTTAGCAGATGTAATGGGCAGAGGCCTCCAACTCAGTGTATTCCAAGGACTAGCGCTATCCGCATCACCTGGGAGCTTGTCAAAAATGCAAAACTACTCCATCATTTATCACGTGCATGTTAAAGTTGAGAGAACTTACTGTGTAGAGTACAGAGCATTGACTTGGGAGTCTAAAAATTTAATTTCAGCATCAACTCCGGGGTGTTTGTTCTCTAAAGTGAAGAGAGAAATTTCTTGACATTACTTGTTATTATGTGTTCCTTGAATGTGTAGTCATTCATTTCATTTTTCTCTTATAATGCCGTAAGGGACCACTTCATAGAGATTAACTTTGGAAAGACATTAACTAACAGGGAAGTTAAGACTGTTATTACCAAGAAATCAGTAAATATTCCTCCCACTTTTGTCATCCTTTTTGATCTCTCGTCTCTGTCTTCCTCACGAACTCCCGCCTCCTCTTCTAACTCAACCAGTCCTGAAATCCTTGCTTTTCTCCATAGATCAAAGGTATGTGTAAATCGATAATGAGTGTTTCCAAAGTGTTTTGTTTTCCTAAGTCCTTAGTGAATATTCAGGTTATTGGACTAATTTGCAGCCCCATCTCCTATTGCTGTTAGAGAGACTTGGATTTTACTCCAGGGATAAAGCTAATATCTACGTGATTAGTATGGTCTGGTAAATTCTTTTATGGAGGAATTTTTTTGTGTGTGTATATCTCTTTCATAAAGTGTAAGTCCATGTGTAGAAATCTGGAGAATAAGTTGGGGTGCTTCAAAGTCATTAGAACCATTAGCTTTGACTCCAGTTAAGCCAAATAAATCTCAGTTCAAGTGGGAAAAGAGAAGCTGCTCTCCCTGCCTTTTAAGGTTTCTGAGCCTCACCATCACTTACTCAGTGGTTTCAGTGTCTTGTTTATTCTGCTTCAGCAGGTCAGAGGCAGTACCATTTTCACTGTTAACAGCTTGTTTGCAAAGCCGAGGACATTGTTGAATTGGGGCTGATGAGAGACCATAGGGAAAGGGCGAGATCCTTGGTAACTCTGCTGCTCTACCAAGGGCAGTGAATTCCTTTCACCATCTCAGATCGGTGCTGTCAGATATGAGGAGAGCCATTTGCCTGAGAGCATAAATCTTCACAAATCCATCGCCACCTCAGGAAACATATCTTGAAATTATAATAACAGTGGCAGCTAACATTTATTGAAAGCTTTCTATGTCCGGGCATAATTCTAAGGACTTGCCATGCAGCGACCCACTTCATCCTCGCAAGGATCTTGTGGGGTAGTTACTTGTAGATTCCACATTTTACTAATGAGGAAACATAGGACCAGAGAGGATGATCATTTTCCCAAGGTCATTCAGTGAGTGTAGGCTGAATGGGGACCCGGGGCCAGCTCTATCTAAGCCCAGAGTCATTATTCATTCATTCAACTTAAATATATGTTAACTTTTTACTTCCCGCTATGGGCCCAGGACTCATAGATTCTTAGGATAAGTCAGTAAACAGATGAAGGTCCTGTCCTTGTCATTCATAAATGCTTGTGTGTGTGTGAGCTTATGTGTTGGGAGGAAGGGGAACTAGAATGGTGAACACCCACACACAGTAATTCAGTAAACCATGTGGTACACTATAAGGGGCTAAGGTCCCTGAATAAAGAAAATTGTCAGATTAAGATGATTGGGAATATGGGCGTAGGGTATTACATTTTAATTAGAGCAGGCACCATGAGCCTTACTGAAAAGTTGGCATTTAGACCAAGACCTGAAGGACATGATGGGCTGAGCTTTGAGGATCCAGGTAGCATGCTGGCTGCTACTTTTAATCACTGTGATGAACCGAGGGACATTCAAGTGTCCCCCACATCCGCTGGGGATGAATTCTGAAAACCCCAGTGGATGCCTAAAACTTGGAGAGTACCGAACCTGATTGCAGTCAGTCGGAACGTTTCTGTCCATTTCTTCAACCCTCAAATTTAATTCCATCTTAATTAAGCACTTATCATGCATGGTGGCTCTAACTTTTACAGTTTGAGGTAAGACAGCAAAGCTAGCAGGAATTTCTTTTTCCTTCTTCACAGTTTTACGGATAGAATATTCATTCTTACTGTAAATCTTAGCAGCCTCAGCATACAATTTTTTTTTTTTCCTGAAGAACTTTCAACTTTTCACTTAAAGGAAGCCGTTTATGACTTCTTGGTCTATTTTAATTGCCAGCATCATTCCTGTCACACTTTGGGGCCATTAAGAAGTAGAATAAGGGTGACTTAGACACAAGCACTGCAATCCCTCCACAGTCAATTCGATCACCGAGATGGCTATTCCGTGACTCCAGGGCAGGAAGTGTCTACAGTGTGGAGTTGCTGGACCTCCCAAGATGGTGTGAGATTTTATCACGCTACTTGGAAAGAACTCAAAATTTAAAACTTAGGAATTGTCTATTTCTGGAAATGTTTATTTACTATTTTTGAAATACAACCATGGGTTGCTGAAACTGAACAGTAAAACTATGGATAAGGGGGACTTCTGTACAGTTTATGCTTGTCTTAGACAGTTCAAGCTGCCATAACAAAGTACCATGACCAGGTGACTTATTAACAACAGAAATTTGTTTCTTACAGTTCTAGAGGCTGGAATTCTGAGATTGGGGTTCCAGCACAGACAGGTTCTGGTGAGGGCCCTCTTCTGAGTTGCAGATTGCTGTCTTCTCATTGTATTCTTGCATGGCTGTGAGGGAAAGAGAGCAAGCTAACTCTCTGGCCTCTTCTTTTAAGGGCACTAATGTCATTCATCAGGGTTCTACCCTTGTAACCTAATTACCTCCTACAGGCCCCACCTCCAAATGCTATCACGTTGGGATTAGAGATTCAGCATATGAATTTTGGGAGGGCACAATCATTCACTCCTTTGCAAAGTGTGAGGGCATAAATTTATCATTTTGCACAAAGTATAACATTATCCGTCTTCTGTAGTCAGCTATTAATCCAATGCAACAGGGTCAGTCTGGCCACTGGGCATACTAGATTCTTTGCTAATATGTTTCATCCACTTATAACAGATAATTTGTGACTTCATTCAAGGGAAGGGAGGAGAAGGCCCAGGGCGTGCTCTTCAAACGTAATATCCTATTATTGCTTTGACTACTGAATGCTGCCTGACTTATTGGATATGTGCATATTGGCCTAAGATATCTCAAAAAATCACCCTAGTTCTGAGTAGAGGTAGGTGTTCATCTTTTGCCTCTAGTGACTAATTTCATTCTGATGCAAGTCAGAGTTAAGTGATACTGTTCCACTGTTAGTTTCAAATAAAAGCATTAGTGCAGCTAACAATAACGTCTTTGGTCTAACAATGAGAAGATATTTTTTCGAGATTTGGGGATCTTTTTGCACATTTAAAACAAAACAGAAAATAGAGGTAGCTTTTCTTTTCACTTGGAAATCAACTCACATAAACTGTCTTAACTCTCTTTGCCTTTTGAAATAGAATGAATTCTGGATTGATTTTGAGTATTAAGATGCACTTTTGTCCTAAGGCCATATCCACTGGTGTCTCTGAAAGCTGCTTAGATAACTTTGCCTGGCTTTTTGGTAGAACTTTCTAGGTATTATGCATTTTAAGATGGCCTTAGGGATGTAATAAAATATGTGACAGCATCTGGAATAAAATCTAGAGTGAATAAATTTCTTGAATGGATGAAGGGAATAAATAAAGTTTAGATACTTATATACAGATGCTCCTTGACTTATGACAGGCTTATGTCCCAATAAAAAAAGTCTTAAGTCAGGTGGGGCATCATGGCTCACTCCTATAATCCCAGCACTTTGGGAGGTTGAGGCAGGGGATCACCTGAGGTCAGGAGTTCGAGACCAGCATGGCCAACGTGGTGAAACCCGGTGTCTACTAAAAATACAAAAATTAGCCGGGTGTGGTGATGGGTGCCTGTAATCCCAGCTACTCAGGAGGCAGAGGCAGGAGAATCACTTGAACCTGGGAGGTGGAGGTTGCAGTGAGCCGAGATCACACCATTGCCCTCCAACCTGGGTGACAAGAGCAAGAATCCATCTCAAAAAACATATATATCTTAAGTCAAAAATGCATTTAATACCCCTAACCCACCCAACAGCATAGCTTAGCCTACCCTACTTTAAATATTCTCAGAAGACTTACATTAGTCTTCGCTTGGGTAAAACATCTAACATCAAGCCTGTTTTATAATGAAGTACTGAATATCTTCTGTAATTTATTGAATGCTATACTGAAAATGAAAAACAGAGTGGTTGTATGGGTACTCACAGTACAGGTTCTACTCAATGCATGGGCTTTTGCACTATGGTAAAGTTCAAAAAATCATTAAGTTGGGACATTATCTGTACCTTAGAAAATGACATTTGAAGAGCTGTCATGAAGAAAATTAGACTTCAGAGTGCTGAACAAAGAATATACATAAGTTACAAGAAGTTATATTTGGCTCAGTCTAAGGAAGATCTGTCTAATGATTAGAGCTGCCCAAATCGTAGCTGGGCTACCTAAGGAAAGAGTGAGCCCTCTCAAATGGGAAGGTGGTAATCACAGTGGAGGAGGTTGTGCTAGAGATTTCTGCATTGAGTAAGGGGATCAACTATCTGACCCTGAACCACGTTCCCTAGGAAACATTCTATCACATAATCACATGTGATTATGTTTGATGAAGGGTTATTAGTTCTAAGTCATGCTGCTACTTTTTCTCTTTAGTACTTCTTTCTCTGTCATATTAGTTACTGATTAGAAAATACTTCCCTCACTTTTTCTGGGCTAATTATGCATGTGAGTGTATTATACATACGTGTTTATATCTATCTAAATATATTTAGATATTAATTTTGAAAATCTACCAATTTTCTTTATTTCTTTGCCTTTGGTGGGAGATAACCTGCACCAAAAATTGGATGTGATAAATGATTTCCTATTTTCAGTGCAGTAATGGATACCAAGTAAACTTACAGCGTTATCGTTACTTTTATTACTGCCCTAAAACACGTAGATCTACTAAACTTGAAGCAAGACCCTTAATTGTGTTTATGGTGAATGACTTGAATAAATCTTTTCACTTCGAGATGACTTTTAATTGATGTTATTGGTCAGTGATATTTGATCAGAAGCTACAGACTAGAACCATACAAAAAGGGCATCTTCCTCAGGGAGCGCTGAGGCACTTTTGTATAGCACAGGGTCTGCTGGGAGGGGCAGAGTGGCAGTTCTTCCTCCTGGTAATAAAATCAGTGTTGGTGGAACTTCCTCAGAATGTAGCTTCTTTCTTTTTTTTTATTCCTGCTATAGCTACAGAAATTCAGATCTCCTCTTTCATCTCTTACTGCATTAATCTCTAGATACAATAAGATGTACTCTAAGGAAGTTCAGAGTCTAATTGAGAAGCTAGGCATGGAGGCCAGTGATTTCCAAACAAGATAATCTTCCTGATTCACAGAAAGACTCTACTTCCCCAGTGTGCTAAATGTGGACATGAGTGAGAAGTGGGAAGTGCGCCTAAGAATTGAGTTACCCTCTAAGTAATGACAACCCTGGACAACGTCTTTAATTCCTGAAATGTCTAAAAGATGTGCCTGTTTTCTAAAAACAAAACCCCAAAACCAACAACAACAACAAAAAAAAGTGAGTAGCTGGGAGGAAGTAGAGTGTAGGCTCTTGGGAGAAGCTAAATATTTTGTTTAGAGATTCTCCCTGGTTATCCTCAAAACCATCATATTCCATTTCTCATATGGCTTGGTCCATGGAAGGTGATTCCTGTGGGTTCCGTGTAAGTGAGGACCATGGTATGCTTTAGCAAATGGGCGGAAAAACCTGGCCTGCCTGGGTGCTTCCCCAGCCTGTGTACCGCAGAGAATAATAGTGGAAGCTGGTGGGCAGCTACTTCTAAAACGTGCTAGTTAATACCCCAGAGAGGGACAGCTTTAAAACTTTTGACATGAATAATCACTGACCATCTCTGAATTTTCCTGGGTAATGAAAAACAAGCACATGGTCAGCATTTTCCCCGTTCCGTAGTTGAAAAAGTGTAGACTGTTTCTGGAACTGCAAATCTCTATTAGGTTGTGAATTACATTTACTCATTCTATCAGTTCCTCTTTAAATTCTTAAACCAGTAACAAAATGAAAAACAGTTGTTAGCACTGCGTGAACTCATAATTGTAACTGTAGAAGCCATGAGCAATGTGTAGAAATGTTATTAAAACATTTTTTGTTTGCTACCCTTTCTGTGGTAAATTCCTTTGCTGCAGTTTCTGTGCAGATGTAGCAGTGGAAAGGGAGTCAAAATTTCTAGAGAAAAATTTCAGGAATTTCTCTGATATTTGTGGATTGGCCCTTTTGCTGCAAGTAAGCCACTTTTTGGCAAGGTGGAGAAGTCAGGAAAAGTCTACTTATATGTGAAGTTGAACCTTTTGGTTCTATTGAGTACTGGGGTCAAGTAGTAGAAGCATCTTGGTTAAGTCCAAGACCAAGGGCAGGTCTTAACACATTCCAGCTGTCAGTGGTAACTCAGACCCCAGGAAGAAGAAGAAGGTATGCAGCTGAGGGAGGGGAGGAAGAAAGAACATAAAAATAAGGAGAGGAGAGAAGAGGACAAATTCAGGGAGATTGGGAATTAGAGCATCAATTGCCCTCTAATGTAAAAAGAACAAAATCAATGTTCTACTTAACTCTCTTTTCTTCAAAAGAAAACTTAGGGGACAAAAATGATTATTAATAGATATTTGGTAAGCTTGGCTATTGCCAAGTTTATTCCATTTTCAATCATTTTAATAATTATAGCTAGCAGTTATTGAGCACTTACTAGGTGCCACTTGCTCCCAGAGCACCTTAAGTCATTCATGTAATGCTAAAGACAGCCAATGAGGCTGGCACTGGTGATTGATCCCACTTTACAGTTACCCACACAGAAGCTTAGATGCCAACTCCCTACCCAGGGCACACAGCTGGTGTGTGACTGAGTCACGCCGGATTTCCCCGTGTTTGCTCTGGAGACCATGCCCCTCCTCACCCTGCCCATCACCCTCATTTTGGTTGCAGCCCAAATCTTTCCCAATCTTTGTTTTGTTTGTGTGTTTAAAGGAATTGCAGTGACTGAGAAGTGGCCCCTTCCAAATGACAGTTTTATGGGCTAGGTGATCAAAAATGAAAGGCATCTTCTGAGGGAAACTTTTAACTCATTTTGTTCCCTTTCCAAAAGAAAAATTAACTGCTCATTAGGAAACAATCTGCTGACAAATTGGCAGGTTATCCAGTGTCTGTAATAACTTTGGCATATAAAATGATGAGCATATTCTTTAGAGTTCACAGAGTGAAAGTAGAGCTGAGAGGGTGTTCTCTAGGTTCTCCAGGACATTAGTAACTTTTAATTGGTCTTTGCGCTGAAACAGCCCTTTACCTGGGGTAGCCTTTGTGCCTACACACAAGCAAAAGCTCATGGAGGGCTGAGAAGAGTGTACACATTTAACTTCTATTCTAAATAGCTGAGAGTTTATACCTCATATTTTCCTCTGGTTTCAAAGCTACAAATTTAAAACAGCAGATGCTATGGGGAATTATCTCAACATATATTGGAGAATTTGCCCTTCTTTCTCACCAGTCCCTGGCCCAGGCTTCTCCATGATTATTTTTGTGAAATTGCTTTGTAAATTATAAGGCATTTCAGGAATTAATCTCATTTATCATCACAGGAATGGTGGCAGGGGCATCTATCATTATCATTAGTTTATAGGTGAGGAAACTGAGGTCTTGGCAGATGAAAATAGGGACCTGCAAAGAACAATGGGGATCCTTTCATCACTTTTGCAGCTGTATTAGGAATAGAGAAGTCTGGGTCCTTATTGGTCATCTCAAAACACAGGGCCAAAACCCAGAAGTGTAGCTTTGAAGTGGTAAATTATTATGAGAATGCGGAGTGAATTACTATAAGACAAAAGATCATGACAAAATGACATTATTCATTACAGTACACTTCCTGCTTAAAACAACTCAGCAGGGGCTCCCTCCTCTGCAAAACTCTGTTTGGGACATTAAGACAAAGTTATTTTACTATTGGGAAGATCAGAGAATCAGCTCTAAAACTGGGGACCCTCAGCATCACCGGAGTCTTTATTTTCTTCAGTCTTCTCTTATCCTTTGTTGTTGAATAACTGCATTTCACAGAGGTCTTTGGAAGTGTTTAGGTCCTGGGGTAAGCCCTTTAGGATGAGTTGATATCAGAACTCATTGCTTTTCTATCATTGTTGAATAGAAATCCATCTTATTCATTTGGTCTTTAATTGCTTTACTTTCCATTCACTATCCTCTAGTTTAATCTCTATTTCTTTTACTGTTTTCTATTTCTTTGTGTTTATTCATTGCTCATCCTTCCGTATATGCACACTCATGTGATTGTAACCCTCCTCACACTGTAGGTCTTCAATATAGTTTTGTTAAATGAATAAATAAGGATGGATCTATAGCCATGATCTTTATTGAGTCTAGGAAAACACCCTATGAATAGCCGTGTCATATTTTCTGGGAACCTTTCTTAAACTTGGACATTTTACCCTCGTAAAAAGAAGTTTCTCTGGACATATGTCTTTTTCTGAGGATATTCTAGTTTGGAACTTTATTTGTATCAACATAATTACACCCTCTTATAGATGAAAATAGTTTTGCTTGTATATTTAAGGAAAAATGAAATATGTGTTTTTAAGCATTGCTGAAGACAGTTGCTGAAGACTCTTCAGCCTCACCCATTTACAGTATTGTTGACCTATTTTCAATGATTAGTATTGAGTAGAATCTACTATGTATTTTTTATTGAAAATTATGTTGTTTTGTAGTATTTGTTTTATCTGACTTGGAAATTGGGTTTATATGGAAACTTCAGTCAATCATTAATCTAGAAAACATTTGTTCTTTAAATTAATAAAATAGTTCTTTGGCTTAATGTTCTTTCTCTGTGTTAAAGAGTCTTAGGGTTATGAATCCTTTTAGATTCATACTAATCAAATGTGGCTTTGTAGCTCTAGTTTTATCCTTTTGTTTTACAAAATACAGAAAAATATTGTGTGTATCTGGTGTGATTGGAATGGTGTCTAGTAGATCTGCCTCTAGCTGCAGCTGCCCACATTGCTAAAATCAGAAGCAAAATAACCAATGTAAGAAAAAAAAGAACAATATTGACCTGTAATATTTATGGACATGCACACATACATGAGAATAGATTTAAATAACCCTTTCCTAGAAATTGAGCAAACTCCATTGTTTCTATTTTTTTTTTCTATCTGTGGTAAGAAATACAGTATCTTTCTACAAGGAATTTAAGAAGTACAATTAAAATGAAAGTGTTATTTCTTTCTTTAATAACATGATATCCATTAGAGGAACAGCTTCAGATAAAGGATCACCATAATAATCAAGCTAGAGAAGAATAAAATAGCCCAAGATGTGAGCTTTTGGAGTTGGAACTTGAGGTGAAGGCAACTGCCTTGTGAACAAAGGACTTGGAATGGTTGCATTGAAGGAATCATTCTGTGATGTGGTATCTGCCTGCAGCTGTATGTTTTAGTTTGTTTCCTGCATGTGTGTTCAGATCAGATGGATGGATGTGATGTCTCATTGGTGGAGGGGATTTTACTCTGCATGACACGAGCCTGGGTGACCTTCATTTTGAAGTGCCAGATGTCAATGCAGATTCATAGGCAACATTCATATTTGTTTTTTTTAGTTTTTATTTTTAAAGATCAACAGCTGCTCCGCTGGTCAAAAAGATTTATGTAGCTTCATTTGGATAATGTATATTGTGCATACTGCTCTGAAATAAATTTCAAGAAATGACATTTCTGTTCTGAATAACATACTTTTCACATTTTATTTTGCATCCACTTTGCTTATTTAATTATATTTTAATACTTTTCTCTCTGTTTTTTTTCTCTCTCTTGAAAGACCTCTCCTGTTGATTACCCTGCAATCCTGTTTGGAGAGGCAGTATTTCCTTGGGGAGTCTTTCTGCACTCCTAAAGCCATAACAACATGAACTGAGCAATAAAAAACCAATTCCCTCCCCTTGGTTGTGCTTCAAATAGTCATTTCTTTGATACTGGCTAATAAAAACAGGAAAAGGATCATTTTTAAATGCTTTGGTTGGGGTTGCCTTACTTCCAATAAGGAAAATTGCCTCACAAGGGGGAGCATGGGTAATAAAGATACAACTAACTGAATAATTGTATTCAATCCAATGTTGAAATTCCCAAGTTGCTGCCTGCAAATTTAATTTAATCTTGGGATAGCTGTGTGTTCACTGTAGTGTGTAGATTTAAATTTTGCTGTCGCTGAAGATCATCTCTTTGCATTCAACAAAGATGAACTTACAAATGCTACTGGAGATTTTTGATGCCCCTCCCCCATTAGGAATACCTGTAAGCTTTTTGGTAGGTAACAAAATGGGACATTGACCAAGAATGAAATACTGAGTAGAATTATGGATGTTATAATGGTGAAGATGACCTCAGAGCACCTTCCAAACAAAGAGGTTGAGGCACAAAGAAAACAGCTTTGCTAAGGTCATACAGATAGCAAGGCCTTGGGATACTAAAATTGATTTTCTTAGTCTAGCTGTGTTTCATTGTAATCCATTTCTCTCTTCCCCATCATACTTCTCCCATTTTTTCCTTACTTTGAGAAGATTTGAGATGAATAGAGTGGCTGCCCTACTCGTCTGTACAGATGGCCTCTTCAGGACTGACATGTCCCTGCCCCCGGCTGCACTGTGTTAGCCACTGAAGGTTCACAGCCCAGTGCCTCTCCAGAAATTACTCTCATCCAAGACAGGGAGGTTCAGGGAGCGGGGAGCCACATGCAGTGACTAGTTTAGGCAGGGGTACAATTTGGGACAATTCTGAAGGGTCATTTTGGGTCCAGAGCGCCCCATGGAGTTTGCAGAGTCCCATGTTGCAACTACATCATAGACCACCTTCTCTCTGTCCAGTTTGCCTTCTCTCCTTGCCTTTCATAAGGTGATCCCACGGGTATTTTCCAATAAACCACCTGCACTCAGACCATCTCAGAGGCTGTTTACCAAGGAACCCAACATAAGACAGCAAAGAAATTGGAACAGGATGCTGTTTTGGCAGTGGCCATGGATGGACCGGATGCCACTGTTAGGCAAGTCATCATCTTCCTGGGAATCTCAGCCATTCTTAAAGGGGAGCCTTCAGCTGACAGTTAAGAGATATGCACTGGTTTTCTGTTTGGGGACCTAGTCTAATTCTTTCATCTTATAGATGAGGAAATTCAAATTCTGTGCACTAAAGTGACTTGACCAATAGCACATAGCTAGCTGGCAAAAGAACAAAAAACAAGCTTACAGTTCCTGGCTGCTGCCATTGGTGCTGTTTTTGAAGAGCCATCATGGAATTTTTTCAGAGTTCTGCTGCTGCTATAACTCAGAATTGACTGCAGATGGGTCTAGAGACCATTTGCCTGATCCGTTTGCTCAACTGGTGTGGAAAACAGATACCTCAATCATTCCTCCATGGTCCTGTTTTACTGATTGTCTGCTGTGCTTTGAAGAGTGATCTCTGAAGCTCACAATAGTTGGTGAGTATTCAGTAGAATACTGAAGAAAAAATACTGAAGAAGCAGCAGATGGTTATAGTTGTTATTGTCTGAAATCAGCATTTCGTGTTACTGGTTATTAAGAGTATTGGGGAATATGCAATGCTTATTAAACGAGGGACCAATGGCAAGTACAGATTCATCAGGTAGAGGAAACAAGCAGGAGTGAGTTGAATCATAAGCAAGATGAAAAATGACTAAAAATTAATATGTACTCATGATTATACTAGTTTATTAGTCATTTTATTACACTCAAATAACATTCCACTGAGATTATCAAATTACTATAAGCTCAGAATCACTATGATACTGAGAAATTTGGAATTAATTTAAAAACAGATGATTAGCTTATTATTATCACTACTACGGGGATCCAGGTTTTATATAGTTTCCCTGGCATAATTAACCCAGCTACTACTTTAGAAAACATTCTTAGACTCCCATTGTCTGTAAATTAACTCAAAATTGTCTGTAAATTAACTCAAAATTCTTTTTTTTTGATACACCGAGTACTTTGTGCCAGATTCTCTTTCTTTCAGTCTGCTCTTCTATATTTACTCTATATTCTGGCCAAACCAGGAAACTCAGTGTTCCCTAAACATACCTTTTATTTTCCTAAATTTGTGTCTTGTATCATGCTGTATTTTTTCTTGGAATATTCTTCCCATGTGATTACCCGTCATGGTATACTCGATTCAAACCCAATTCAATGTTAACACTTTAAAATGAAATTTTCTTTGGTTTCCCTTAGATATGTCTGTTTAAAATACTAAACTTCGTACTTTGAGAAAATATATCAGGTGCTCCTAACTGCATTCACTATGTCTTCCCTCTGAACTACCATGGCAGTTTATTTGTATGGGATTTTTATGTCTTACTTTGCATATAGTTACTTGCATGTCTTTAATTCAATATATTTGTAGGTATCCATGTACCAGAGTCTATTCTAGATTGATATGGTTTGGCTGCATCCCCACCCAAATCTCAACTTGAATTGTAGTTCCCATAATTCTCCCACATGTCGTGGGAGGGACTTCGTGGGAGGTAATTGAAATAATTCTCCCACATGTCGTGGGAGGGACTTCGTGGGAGGTAATTGAATCGTGTGGGTGGTTACCTTCATGCTGCTGTTCTCGTGATAGTGAGTGAGTTCTCACGAGATCTGACGGTTTTATAAGGAGCTCTTCCCCCTTTTGGTCGGCATTTCTCCTTGCTGCTGCCATGTGAGGAAGGACGCATTTGCTTCCCCTTCTGCCGTGATTGTGCGTTTCCTGAGGCCTCCCCAGCTATGCTGAACTGTGAGTCAGTTAAACCTCTTTCCTTTATAAATTACCTAGTCTTGGGTATGTCTTTATTAGCAGCGTGAGAACGGACTAATACATAGATATTGGGTTTTTTATTTTTTTATTTTTATTTTTATTTTTTATTTTTATTTTTTGAGGCAGAGTCTCGCTCTGTCGCCCAGGCTGGAGTGCAGTGGCGGGATCTCGGCTCACTGCAAGCTCCGCCTCCCGGGTTCACGCCATTCTCCTGCCTCAGCCTCCAGAGTAGCTGGGACCACAGTCGCCCGCCACCATGTCCGGCTAACGTTTTGTATTTTTAGTAGAGACGGGGTTTCACCGTGTTAGCCAGGATGGTCTCGATCATATTGGGGGTTTTATAAAATAAAGAGTTGTTTTTGACTTAAGGGGCCCACAGTCTGGTGGGTAGAAACTAATAAAGTACTGGAGGAACCATAGATGGTAAACTAAAGCATTCAGTGAAAGACGCCAGCCTGGCCGTGGTGAGCTTTGGCTGTGGGTGTTTACAAGGGCTTTCTAACTGAGTGTACCTAGAACTGAATCTGGGAAGAATAAGAGCTTGCCAGGTGTGGCTGGGAAGGCAGTGGGGGAACAACATGAGGTCAGACAAGGAGGCGGGAACCAGTCATAGGCTCTGTGGGGAGGAAAGGGTGATGTGAGCTGAGCGTCACACCTGGAGAGGCAGACAGGTTCAAGTGATGATGAAAGCAAAATGAAGGCAGGTGGATGGCAGGAGAGTCTGTGGCAAATGTTTAGCAAGGGGAGCCTTGAATAGATTTAGAAAGGTCACTGAAGAGGCAGGTGGATTACAGGAGTTAAGGGGGACCCTTCTCCACTCCTTATGTTTACTTCCACATGAAGGACCATCATTAATTTAACTCACGGCCTGGAGTACTTACCTGATTTGTGAATTTGGGAGAAAAAAATTGACATCTCAGCTTCATCCTGTTTTCCTCTTTGGAGGGAGCTGCCCTCAGGAAGCACCCTTATCTTGGGGGAGCTCTTCTGCCCATGGGTAGACTAGCATTGGCGTCTTGCTGCTGACACAGGTTCAGTGTTTTTTTGTGTGTGTTTGTTTTCGTTGTTGTTGTTGTTATTTTTGAGACAGGGTCTCGCTCTGTCACCCAGGCTGGAGTGCAGTGGCATGATCTTGGCTCACTGCAACCTCTGCCTCCTGAGTTCAAGTGATTCTCCTGTCTCAGCCTCCTGGGTACCTGGGATTACAGGCCCACACCACCATGCCGGGCTAATTTTTGTATTTTTAGTAGAGACAGGGTTTCACCATGTTGGCCAGGCTAGTCTCGAACTCTTGACCTCAAGTGATTCACCAGTTACAGACATGAGCCACCGTGCCCGGCCACAGGTTCAGTTTTAGCTACTTTGCTGTAGACCTAAAACCACAACCTTCATACTAGACTCACCAGAAGTGAAGGTACCATTTTCCTTTCTACCTGCCACTTATTTTTATTATTTCCTCGGTTTGTTTTGGACCTGGCAGGGGAAGGGAGATGCTATTCGTGAGCCCTCTCGATACCCTAGCAGTGATGTGCAATGGGAGGTAGGAAAGGCAGCTCATGGAGAGCAGGAGAACGTTTGAATTGTGGCTGGGATATAATGCCTGAAGAGGAGGGTGAGGCTTTCATGGGGGAAATGAAGGTAGAAGCTACAGGACTTGGTGACGAATTGGCTGAAGGGATTGAGGAGATGGAAGATTCTAGAGGTCTCCATCCTCCTGTAGAGGACTTTGGCTTGGGCAATTGGGTGCCACATTGGCTCCTGCACCTTAACTTTCTGTTTGACCTGAGTTTCCCTTAAGTTGGTTGTTGAGGCCGGGAGAGTGAATCAGGCCCTTCGTCTCTCCTTGAGACATCCCACCCAGGATCTGAGAGGATTTTTCAGGGACTGATACACTTGGGCATTTGTTCATCTAAATTGTTCATTCCTTTCTTAATTCCTTTGGCTTGCACATATTTATTAATCTCCTTCTATGTGTCAGCGCTTGTTTGGCCCGCCCACGAGAAACAATGACAAATGAAACGTTTACTTGTCCCTAGGAACTTGCAGTCCGGTGAGGAGGCCAGAAGAGCATACAGTGGGAGTTGCTGTTTAAGCAACTTCAGAGCCAACCAGCATGAGTTAGAATCTGGGCCCTGCAGCAGGGCGCGGTGGCTCATGCTGGTAATCCTGGCACTTTGGGAGGCTGAGGCGGGCGGATCACCTGAGGTCAGGAGTTCAAGACCTGCTTGGCCAACATGGTGAAACCCTGTCTCTACTAAAAATAAAAAAATTAGCTGGGTGTGGTGGCGTGTGCCTGTCATCCCAGCTACCTAGAGGCTGAGGCCGGAGAATCCCTGGAACCTGGGAGGTGGAGGCTGCAGTCAACCGAGATCGTGCCACTGCACTCCAGCCTGGGTGACAGAGCGAGACTCCATCTCAAAAAAAAATTCTTACTCTGCACTATTTTTAAATTCTCCCGATGTGGTCCAGTAAACTAGTGAGTTGGCTTATGAATATATTCTGCCAGAGACTTAGAAAACAAAAAAAAAAAACAAACAAACAAACAAAAAAAACTTGTTGAAATTAATTTTTGAGACAGGAACTTCCTGTCTGTGGCTCAAAGAAGTTGTCACAGGAGAGCAAAGTTATGCTCTATTTCTTCCTCCTTTGGAGAATCCCTTCAGATCACCATTTGACGGAAGGAAGTTAGAATGTGACTTATTTTTTGTGAAGTTTTCCTTTGTGGGTACTAATTGCATGAAAAATCTGAGAAAGAGTTTGAGCTACCCTTATGTTATGGCAAATTTGGACATTCCTAGAAGGAGGAGAAATAGTGTATTGGTATGATTTGAAGACAGAGCTGGTGGTAATGGAAGTAGCACTCTGGTTAGTAGTTTCCTATCCCCTTTTGTTACAGGAAAGGAGTCCAGATCCAGACCCTAAGAGAAGGTTCTTGGATCTCTCACAAGAAAGAATTCAGGGCGAGTCCATACATTAAAGTGAAAGCAAGTTTATGAAGAAAGTAGATGAGTAAAAGAGTGGTACTCCATAGACAGGGCAGCCCTGAAGACTCCTGGTTGCCTATTTTTATGGTTATTTCTTGATGATATGCTAAACAAGTGGTGGATTATTCATGCTTCCCCTTTTTAGTCCATATCGGGTAACTTCCTGATATATTGCCATGGCATTTGTAAACTGTCCTGGTTGGGGGAGTGTAGCAGTGAGGACAACCAGAGGTCACTCTTGTGGCCATCTTGGTTTTGGTGGGTTTTGGTTGGCTTCTTTACTGCAACCTATTTTATCAGTAAGGTCTTTGTGACCTGTATCTTGTGGCGACCTCCTGTCTAATCCTGTGACTTAGAATGCCTTAACCATCTGGGAATGCAGCCCAGTAGGTTTCAGCCTTATTTTACCCAGCTGCTATTCAAGATGGAGTTGCTCTGGTTCACACGCCTCTAACAGTTTCATACCATAATGAACTTTTTAATAGTTCTAAAGTTGGCGGGGGAGAATTTCATTGTTCTGAGAGCCCTCAATTCAATGGGAAATAGAATTGTATTTATGTTGTGGGTATGTGTGTTTATGGTTTATATGTATACGTGCACTATTTCAGTAGTCACAAGATCAAATTACATGCTATATGCCAGATTCTGGCACATTTATATCCTGTAGTTTTAGTTAGTTCACTAAATCCAACACTTCCAAAATCGAAAAAGATAGCTGAATTAAAAGGTGGTACATAAGTAGTGATCAAGTTTCCTAACGGGAAATATTTCCGATATTTGCTTTATTTAAAATTACCTTTATTTAGCAAAGAACAAAAATGCCTCAGTTTTTTCCTACCAGTTATGTTTTTTCTGTAAATTGAAAGAAATACAATATCCTTCTGCAAGGAATTTAAAAAATACAATTAAAATTAAAGTGTCATTTGTTTCTTTAATAATCTGGTCCTGTCCTCCAGGGGTTGTGTGGCATGCTTTCATTTGTATCAGAGAAACCTAAGTTTTAAAGCAGGACAGACATCTGTAAATGACCTAGTTCAGTACTCTTGTTCTGGGGACTAACAAGAAGCCCAGGTACCGAAGGCATGAAAGAGTTTTGCAAAATCCCGTATGAGTTACAACAGAGAGCGTAGTTGCTAAGAGCAGACTTGGATGCCAGACTTCCCAGGATTCAAACTAGCTGGACTAATTGCTAGTTGCCCGATCTTGTGCAAGTTTCTTAACCTATCTGTGCCTCAATTTTTGCATCTGGAAAAGGGAGTCAGAAGCAGTTCTTCCCTCCAAGAGTTGTCGGGGGGTGAAATGAATTAGTAAATACAAAGTTATAATGCCTGGCACATAACAAACACTGCTTATTGGTTTACTATGATCTGCAATTCAGCAAATCTAAGATGCTTTGATGCTGTTGCTTTCTTGATCTTAGAAGCATGACTGGAAGGTTTCACACATAGCAGAGTTCTCATAGTGATTGTAAGATTATTGGTTGTAAAATGAAGGTATTAAATAAGCAGTGAGAGATGGTGGAGCTTGGTGTTGATTAAATAGGATGTTACTGGTATTGTCATGATTTAACTTACTTATGTCAGAGTTGGAACTGGAAGCTGCATTGTCTAGTCTAGCCCTTGTCCATTACTCTGCATTGTGTATTTGGGCGGTGGTTATATAGATTTAGATGCTTTCACTTTGGGAAACAGAAACTTTAGCTGTCTATTGTGAGAACACAGAGCCTACTCCTCTTTGGATTATATCATTTAACTTAAAACTGTCGAGACACTGAAGTGTTTAGATCCAAGACGTGAAGATGAGTAAGTGCAGTGCTCTCGTGGGAAAAAGAAGGATAAAGAAACTCTCAAATTCCCTTGAAAGAATGTGCCTCTTCTCCTGCGTGTACTTAACAGCCTAAGGGGGATGATGGAGCTGCATTTATTTTCCTCGAATTGTTCTTGCTTTATGTTGGATAAATTAAATCCTTAAACAACTATACATTTCTTCGTACTGAGCAAAGATGCAGATTCATCTGAAGCTTTTAATAGTAATTAGAAAATACCATTTTCATTGCTGTTATATTTCATCCAAAAATGGAGGCTGGGGTGTCCATTTGTTAAGATTTATGAATACACTCACTCTGGGGCAAGTGCCATGTAAATTTTATACGTGTCTATGTAAATCCCCCATGGGAATGCCTAAATGAGGGCTTTTGTGAATATGTTTAAAACTTTGGGCATGACTTCTCAGTTTGATTGGCTCCTTCATTACTATTTTATTATTCTTCCAGCTCTAGTGGGTCTCTCCTGCCCCTCCCTTGCCCTCACCATAGTTCCCCCTTCTCCCTTTTCCTTATCCTCCCTGTTAGTCCCCTTTTGTCCCACACAACCCCTGCCCCACCATCTTCTGTCTGTCTCCAAAATCTGTATGTATTTGATGGGTGTTTCTGGGCAGTGTGCCCAGTTTGGTTTATTTGTTTCTCATAATTGTATTCAGAGCTTCAGTTACATGTTTCAGATCGATGCTCCGAATGACATTTGTCTCCCTTCTAACATGGGAGGTTTCCTGGAATTTTGTAGTGTTTTAAAATGCAAATGCATACTCGACCTCTCTAATGTGAAGTTTTACAAAAGGAGCCCCCAAACTGTTCAGAAAATATTCCAGACATCCCTGACTTAGGTTTTACTGCCCCAGGTCTCTGTGTAATGGAATAAAAATAGTAACATTAGTTAGCCTGATTGCTGCTGGCTGTGTTGCATTGATCTCTTCAACAAAAGCAATCTGCTGAGTATAGTTTTATGATGAGCGTGTGAAAGAACCCCAGGTGTTCTTCTTGTTGAAATATAAGCTACTGTCAGCTTTAAAATGCCAGTGCAACTCTAAACACTTCATACTTTAGTCTCAGCCCAAAGTCTCTTTCTACTTTGAGAAAATTCTGTATAATTCTTACAACATTCTAGCAAAAACTCTAAGGTATGAAATATGGATGTTTCAATGACAATAGTGGGTCTTCATAGTTATTTGACATTCATAATTTTAGATGTTTCAGACACTATAATGTCCCATACGGTGGCAACTAGCAACTAGCTACATGTGGCTTTTAAATTTAAATTAGTTATGTGTAAATGAAATTTAACTTTGCATTCTCCAGGACACTGGCTACATTCTCCACTACCACATGTGACCACCTGATGGGTGGCACAGATAGAACATTTCCATCATTGAGAAAGTCCTATTGTACCGCACCGTTACAGAGGATTTAAGTTAGGGTAAATGGCACTAACTAATGCCAGATTTCACCGAGTTTATTAGAGTAAAACAGCTGCTTTAACAAGAGACCATAGAAATACAGTAAATGAAAGGATTTTTAAAAATTCACATAGTAGGCTGGGTGCGGTGGCTCACGGCTGTAATCCCAGCACTTTGGGAGGCCAAGGTGGATGGATCACGAGGTCAGGAGATCGAGACCATCCTGGCTAACACGGTGAAACCCCGTCTCTACTAAAAATACAAAAAAATTAGCTGGGTGTGGTGGCAGACGCCTGTAGTCCCAGCTACTCGGGAGGCTGAGGCAGGAGAATGGCGTGAACCCGGGAGGTGGAGCTTGCAGTGAGCTGTGATTGCACCACTGCGCTCCAGCCTGGGCAGCAGAATGAGACTCTGTCTCAAAAAAAAAAAAAAATCACATAGTAGCTTGGAGGTGAGCAGTCCGGATTTCACGTGGGGCTCCTCTTTGTAAGTCATCCAGGGTGAAGGCTGCTTCTGTCTTCTTGGCCTGTTACCGTCCGTGGCGCCTTCTGCACATATGTATCCCAGTTTACAGGGAGAACAAAAGAACTCCAGTGCTGGTGGCTTGCTTATAGGTTGACAGTGACCCAGACGTAGACATCATTTCCACTCACATCCTCTTGCCCCAGATGGAGTTGCGTGTCCACACCCAGCTGCAGTTGAGTCTGGGAAATGCGGCGTTCTGCTGGCAGCATGTGTGCAGCTTAAACTAGCCTTGTGGAAGAGGGGAGAATGGATTTTGCAGAAGAATCAGAAGTTTTACAGTATGAGCTAATGTTGCATATAGAGATGTGATCTTTAAGATGACAGTTCATTTGCCATAGTTAATTTGGGTGTTAGGGGAGATGATATAGGGGTTTAATTTAGATAGTACCTAGCTTTTATTATGTTGTTATCTAACCAAATAAGGACATAAAATGCCACTAAATAACAATAGAAAATTTTATGCACTTTTTTTTCCCCATCTGTCCACTAAGAAGCATGTGCGTATAGTGGCTCAGTTTAGATACCACAGGGCTGTGACTCCCCTGAATGCTTTCTAGTGTTAGATAGACTTTAGGATTGATGACATTGACCATCTCCCTACTCAAAGAACAAAACTTGACCAAAGCAGCCAGGTATACTTTAAAGGAATGGATTTTATCGTCCGTTTGTGTGAGTAAATGACACTTAACTTCTTGGGGGGGCTGAAGGGCTCATTTCTATAATAAACAGACCTCTTCCAAGGAAACCTAAGACATTCATTTCCAATTAGTGGAATTCTATTTTAATTTCCTTTTTCTCTTTTGAATCAAAATGGTAACTGTCATTGCATATCTGTGTGTGTAATTTCTCAGCTACTTCTTGCTGCTGACCCTGACCTCTCTTAGCACAAACTTAGTAGGATTGCAAAGTGTTGGGATACACTTTACAGAGTTAGTTTTTTATTCATTGGTGATAGCTTGGAACAATAAATCATGCTGTTACATTAATTGCTGTGGGTCAGTAAGTTCCCTCTTTTTCTTATTGTTACTGACACATTGAATTTTATCTCTTCTTAGATGATGTGTTAGACTCCATTTTATCCATTTATCATAGGAGATTAAATTATAATGTGAGTAACCCACAACTTGCCTACATTAATCTTTCTGCAGCTATTGTACATTGAAACATAATGTCCTGTCCCATGCTGAAGGAACAAGGAGTGGCCTCTGGCCGGTGGAAAGAGAAGATACTTGGCTGAGATGATTGGTGGACCCATGCTGATGGCTGCACCTGTTCCCATTCATCATCCGCCCTACTAGGTTCAAAGTTCCCAGGGTGTCCACAGAAGCCTCTCTCCATCACATGTGTTTATCATTGCAGAGTCAGAATCCTGGCTTTGTCACTTATGAGTGATGTGACCTTGAGCCAGGGCAGTAACCTCCCTTTGCCTCAGTTTCCCCATCTTTAAAATGAGAAGAGTGCTTAGCTCATAGGGCAATGGTGAGATTTTTAAATGGATTAAACATTCCCAAAGTGAGTTGAAAGTTCCTGGCACCTCCTAAGTTTTACAAGTGTTAACAATTCTTTATTTTTATTCATTTTGGTACATCTTTATGTCAAAAAGTCATGGAACTATTTCTCTTGGACAATACTGGGAAGGCATCTGTCTTAAAATCTTTTTCTGTTTCATATAGTTATTAATGAATACGAATCTAAACTTTTCCATTTAAAAAATCCCTAACAATGGTTTCGTTTTATTGTGATACCTTAGTCCTGGACTCTACCTTCTCTAGGATGTCTTGGTCATGTTTTTCTGTTTTGCAAATGAGGACATTGAAGCTGGAGAAGTGCAATCACCTATGCACGGGTACACAAGTTAAGTGTTTGAGTTGTACCTTAGCCAACTTATCTTGCTTTCCAGGATAGGGCTTTTTCCTCCACACGTCTGCATTGCTGTGTGTGTGTGGGGGGTGGGGGTGGTATAAATACACGTATACATATCCATACATACATATACACACAGGCATGCATCTGTAGCCAAGGACTCTATTGTATGAGAGAAGGCGATATTCTTATATTTAAGAGGAGTCCTCAAAATGTGATAAGAAGAGACTTTTGAACAATTTGAGCTTTGTCAATATGGATCCCATGTTAAAGATTCCAGCCTATGGCATCTCTCTGACTCACCTCTGAAAATGAGCAGCCTCTTCCCTGCAAAGTATTGCACAAGATTATTTGAAGTATTATACAAGCACTACATATGCCTCCTGCTGTTATAGAGCTCTTGGTTTTGCAGAGGACACACACTCATACACAGAGATGTGGACCAGTTCTGAGCATGAAGTCACCCACCAGAAAGTAAAATACTGTTCTGTGTCCTTGTTGAAAATGATGTGGGGGTGATGAAAGACATGGGGGAATGAATGAGGTCATCTGCAATGGTAGGGTGGGGTGAAAGAGGGACTTCTGCGAGGGGAGCCTGGGTTTTGAGTTAATGTGTGAGGTCAGAGGGACTTTGGCTTGGCAGACAGGATGAGCAACATTTCCTGCCAGGGGGACGCAATGTGTGATGCAGGAGGCTGGGTGGGGGTAAGTTCCAATTGTAGGGAATGGCTGGCAGGGTTGGTGGGCTGGCACAGTGATCTTGGGCATGGAGGATATGAGAAGAGTCCACACAGATTACCTCACTCGCTTCTCAACAGAAACCCTCCTGAGGATTCTGTGTCAGGGTAGCTCATTCACATACACCTTGTCTGGGAAGAAAAGGAGAGTGCCTGTTTGTGGGGAACAAGAATTCCAAAGGCGTCTTTCGGTTGCCCTTAAAGCTTTGGTTAGCATCCAGTCCTGGGAGCAATGATGAAGAAGCCATTTAATCAGTGTAAAACAGTGAGTATCTCATGTCAGAATCTCAAAACAATTAGAGCCCTTATTCAAAACAGACTGGGGGTACTCAAAGGAACATGGCAAGTGCTTGCTGTTCCGCTAGAGGGAAGCCTGCTGAAAAATAAAAGTCCACAAATAGAAGAGGAAAGTGCCTGCATAAAAGGAAACTCTAGCTAAATGAAGAGAGTATGAACACATCATCCTCTGGAAGGGGAAACCTCATAATCATTAAACCTGGACTGAGAGAATTAAGGGGTCTAAAAGTTTATACCTCATTTTAGACTGTTCTGAGCACAACTTGTTGCTTCCTGGTGCCTGTGAGGATCATCTATGCCAAGGATGGATTTTGGCCTTCCTAGAAAGTCCTTGAAACTGTTGTAAACTTCCTGGAGTGCTTACAATGTCGGGCTCTCCGTGTCATTCATGGGTTTATTTCAAAATGAATCTCCATTCTTTCAAGGTTGGGTGGAGTTGGCCTAAGTCTTGCTAACTGTTCACATTGTAGTAGTTCAGTTGGTTTATGGACCTCCACCCATGGTGACTTGTCCTTTTAGACCAGTACACCTAGAATAGAAAACGTACACTGTTTTGTTTCTCTCCATTTTCAGCTTTTGTTTTGTTTTGCTTTTAAGCTAACTTGAGCTTAAATTAACTAAATGTAAAGTGAGATTCTTGTTAAGTAAGCATTCGTCAGTAATGTCAGGTATAATAAGACTATTAGGTCTTTTCACTGCCCTACATTTAATTATTATAGTCGAGTATCATAATCCCTAAATTTAAAACAGCTGAGTCAACTGAGGAAGAAAATGAAGTATCTGTGATGGTGATTTTTTTCTTATTATTAGCTTGACAAATGTTAAAATATTTGTCTCCGAGAGTTAGCATATACCAGAAATTAACGTTTTCAATATTATTATGCCATGATGATTTTTAAATTCAGTTCATCAGAGATTAAAACTAACGTGTTTTTAAAGACTTGTGGCTTATCTTTTGGAGACAGAATTTTTCCTTTTACTTTAAAGAGTTTTCTCTAAAATGTTCTGAAATATTTACTGTAAAACATTTAGAGGACATAGGTGAGCCAAAAGTATAAAACTATAATCCCTGTAATCTCACTACCCAGTAATAATCACTGTCAACATCTTAATCCATTTCCTTCCAGTTGTATGGTTCATAAGCTTTACTCATAGAATTGCTTTTAGGACATATTAAAAGGAGTGTCATAGGATCGTAAAGTCGCAGGGAACTGTAGGTCATCTGTACAACCTCTTATCCAAGAAGGAGTATCTTCCATAATACTGCCTTAACCGAACATACCCAATATCTGGACTCTCATATTTCTCCTGTTTCAAGATACTTCCTATGTCAGAACAGACCTCTTTTAAGGGTGGAATGTTTTTTAATTCTTCAAATATTCTTCACTGAGAGAAAAGCCGTTCTCTTGACATTTCAACAGTTGACCATCAGAAACAATATCTAACATGTTTATAATTTTCATATATTACAAGTCCTAATTATTTGGATATGCATTTCCAGTTTCTACTTGGTTCCTTCTTCGAGTAAATGTTTCCCTTTCCTCTTCTTTGTTCCTGTATCCTCTTTCTGGTTTTGAAGCCCCAGAATGCATAGCAGACATTGGATAGGAAGAGTATCGGGGACCCTCCCTAATCTACTAAGATTATCTACAGGGAAACTTCTCCTATGGACCCAGGAGTTTCTCTTCAGCTCATTTACGTAGGATATAAGTCCCTTTAGCTTTTATTTTCCCCAGAATATCTTATGGCCTAGTTTGGTGGAATCTAGCAGGACATTTATGACTTGACTTCTTACCTTTCCTCACATCTTGGTTCTCACATTCTGTATTGGTCCATTTTCATGCTGCTGATAAAGACATACTGGAGACTGGGTAACTTATAAAGAAAAATAGGGTTAATGGACTCACACAGTTCCATGTGGCTGAGGTGGCCTCACAATCATGGCAGAAGGTAAAAGGCATGACTTACATGGTGGCAGGCAAAAGAGAATGAGAGCCAAATGAAAAGGTAAACCCCTTATAAAACCATCAGCTCTTATTAGACTTATTCACTACCACAAGAACAGTATGGGGGAAACTGCTCCCATTATTCAATTACCTCCCACTGGGTCCCTCCCACATCACACGGTAATTATGAGAGCTACAATTCAAGATGAGATTTGGGTGGAGACACAGCCAAACCATATCACATTCCTAACTGGAAATACTGAAGTCTGAAGGCCGGTTTTTTTAAAAATTATTTATTTAGCCTTTAATTGACAAAATTGTATATATTCGTTGCATACAGCATGTTTTGAAATATGTGTAAGTTGTGGAATAGCTAAATCAAGCTAATAAACGTGCATGACCTCAAATACTTATTTTTCTGTTATAAGAACATAAAATCTACTCTCTTAGCAATTTTTAAGTATACATTATTATTAACTGTGGTAACCATGTTGTACGCTAGACCTCTTAAATGTATTCCTCCTTTCTAACTGAAATTTTGTGTGCTCTGACCAGCATCTCCCCGATCCTTCTACCCCCGGCACCTGGTAGCCACCATTCTGCTCTCTACTTCTGTGAGTTCAAATTTTCTAGATTCCACATGTAAGTGAGATCATGCAATATTTGTCTTTATGTGCCTGGCTTATTGCCCTTAACATAATATTCTCCAAGTTTATTCGTGTTGTCACGAATGACAGGATTGCATTCTTTTGAAAGGCTGAAGAGTATTCCATTGTGTATATGCCACATTTTCTTTACTCGTCCATCCAATGATAGATACCTGGGTTGATTCCATACCTGGCTATTGTGAATAATGAAAGCTAAGTGTTGTAACCTAACTTCTTTTTTTTTTTTTAAGACAGAGTCTCTCTCAGTCTCCCAGGCTGGAGTGCAGTGGCGCGATCTCGGCTCACTGCAAGCTCTGCCCCCTGGGTTCACGGCATTCTCCTGCCTCAGCCTCCCGAGTAGCTGGGACTACAGGTGCCCGCCACCATGCCCGGCTAATTTTTTTGTATTTTTGTAGTAGAGACGGGGTTTCACCGTGTTAGCCAGGATGGTCGCGATCTCCTGACCTCGTGATCCACCCACCTCGGCCTCCCAAAGTGCTGGGATTACAGGTGTGAGCCACCGTGCCCGGCCAACCTAACTTCTTACACTTTTTTAAAGGCATAGTTGCAAGAATATTATCTTTCTTTTATGTTTTTATTGCCTTCCTTCTTAATGCTCAGTTTCCTCTTTTTCTTAACTTGCACTAGTATGTTGAAGTATCCCTTCCACAGATGGTGTTGTATATACTCTCGTTGCCTACAACATCCATATCCCCTGCCATCTTGCTAGAAGTAACCCAAATTGGGGTGGTAGTTTGCCAAGTAAAATAGTTTCCCCATAACTAGGGGTGGCTTCACGGTAGCTGTAACCAAGGAAGTGTATATTGATATCTGTGGGAGTTCTGGGAAAACTTAGCTGACATTGCAGTGTTTGGAACTGTAGCAGGAATTTTGTATCTCTTAGATAATACCCTTGATGATGAAATCTAGCATGCTGGAGAAGGTACAGCAGAATGATAGAAACAACTTTGTTCCCTGTGGTAATACTGAGTAGTTGAACTAATGTCAACAATTCCTTACCTCCTTACTTTACATTAAGTGAGAAAAATGAACTTGTTTGTTTGAGTCATTTTTCATGAGGTTTGCCTTTATATTCTGACAGATGCAGGTGGTTTAAAAAACTGTCAACCATCCTGGTTACCCTTCTCTATACAAACTCCATATTGTTAATGTCCTTCTTGGAATACAAAAATAGAATAAGACACTATTTATTGTTAGTGGCTGGTACATAATGAGGCTTAGTACATATTTGTCTAGAGAATTAATAAATGAGCCTTATTTGTTCATTAAGGGATCCTAGATCTTGTTCTTAGTATGGTGCATAATTAGATTATGTTGGAGTTTTGGTCAACTAAAGCTTACAGATTCCCAGATAAGTAGATATGTTAGGGGTCCCTAAGAACACCCTAATGTTTGGTGATTCACTAGAAGGACTCATAGGACTCAGAAAAGCTGTTATGGTTATCGTTTATTGTAGTGAAAAAACAGATTAAAATCAGCAAAGGGAAAAGGTATATGGGACAAAGTTCAGGAGAAATGAGGTACAAGCTTCTGGGTGACCTCTTCCAGTGGACTTGCATGGGAAAAATGTGTTTAATTCCCTAAACAATGATGTGTGACAACATGTACAAAGTATTGGCAACCAGGAAAACAACCCATGCTTTGGGGCCAGCTGGGGAAGCCCCATGACCCTGCATGTTTTTTGCAGGTCTGTCATGCAGCCATGTAACACCCGTAGAACTGATCTTAGCTTCTTAGATTGCAGTCCCCCAAAGAAAACACTGTCATTGACCATAAATCACATTCTTAGAATAAACTTACCTGATCACAGTGAGACAGGATAGCTTAAGGTCTTAGGCACAGATATGCCGTAGATCTATAGAACATACACATTGGAAAAGAATCAAAATCAAGTGCATGAAAATATTATCAAGAGCTATCCCTGATCCAGACATGCGCTACTAGCAAAGCTTCGAACAATATATATGTCCAAAAAAGAAAGACTTGATAAATTCAGTATAGTACAGTATAGTATTGTATAGCATAGTGTACTATACTATAGTAATACCATGGAAGACAATAGATTAAAATGAATAAACCAGATCTATTTGTAAAAACAAACATACAAATACACAAAAAAGAGCTACCTCTGAGTAGTGAGTAGGTGATTTATATTTTATTCATCATGCTTTTTATAATTTTTCAAAAATTCTCGTTAAAATAAAGGACTTAAAAAAGATCATTATGTGTAATGTAGGATGATATAGAGACTTTATATTTACATGAAAGACAACTCTAAAATTTAATGTCAAAGTTTGCTAATAGAACCCCTGAGAGACAGCAAGCTGAGTGTTTCAGGAATGGCTGGTTGTTTGGTCTGGCTATATGGCCTGGCCAACTGGCATGGGAGCAGGCTGACTCTGGCCATAAGAGGGCATGTTGAAGACACAACTGTTCAGCTGTCTGTAAATCCTATTACTCTGAGTGGTTTCTTATAATGTAATTTTAATTTCAGTTTTGTAAAAGTTTCGCTCAGGATTTTACCCCATTTAACCTAATTTCCTTTAATTACACATTCAGCTTAGTCATAGTTTAATGAAGCCTACTGTGTACCTGGCACTAAATCCATCCTTGTACACTGCCATTTTTCTCTCCCTCCCCTGCCTTTTCTAGGACATGAACTATATCCAATTTAATTTATATGCTTCCTCTTCTTGCTGTTCCTCTGCAGTGTGGGTTTATGCTTAAAGAAACCCTTTGCTGGTTCAGGATTAAGAGTGTGTGATCATTGATTAATTACTAACATCTCTAAACCATAGTATCTTCAGCTATAAAATGGAGGTAATTTTAGTGAGAATATCATAGGCTTCTGTAATGGTGTCACATGTTATGTATAAAATGTTAACACCATGCTTGGTACACATTGTGAGTGCTGGATAAAAGTTATCTCTTGTTGTTAATGAAATGAAACCATGTGTGCCTGAATATATTTTTACTGAACGTCTGTCATTAACTGTGTAGTCATTTACATCTTTTTGCAGTGGCTATTTCTCATACACACTAGAAATGGAGAGCCTTGATTCCCTGAATATTCTTAGCCTGTAATGGCGTTCCCATTTTAATAATATTGCCCTACACCCTTTAAAAACTATTTTGAAGTGAAAAATTAATACTTCCCAAATAACCTGGACCTGAACTAATTGGTTGTTAAGAGGAAGAAGCTGTGACTGAAAGCTCTTTCAACCGCATCTGTTATTCTGAATCAAGCACTTGGATAAAGACCACATTTCTAAGATGATTCCATGAGATTGTATTCTGATGGACAAATTATTGTCTGTATTCATCAGATTATTTCCTTGGCTAAGTTGAAAGGTAAAACAATTTAATTAAGGCTAGATAGAAATCATCCCTTCAAAAACTTTACTGACCAACTGGGACCAAAGCTGCCTGGTGGCCAGAAATAAAATGTCAGTGACCGGCATCCTGCCTTATGGACTCTGTTTCTAGCATCATCCCTCAGCATCTGCTCTGATCTTTGGCTGTACCTTCTAGATCCCTAGCCAGAGAACAGAGAACTTTGGCTTCCATGACTTTTAAGGAGGAAAATCCGAGTTAAAGAACACTGATTTCACATCAGCGCCATGAATCCTGTGCAGCCCAAGCAGTGGCTGTAGTGGTGGATGTATTCAAGAACCACTGGGGCTTCACATTGGCAGAGCTTTGCTGACAAATGGGATGTCAGGATGATAAGGATGAAGATGTGGAAGAGTCACAGATGCCTCCCACTTATTTGATGTGGTTGAATGGTGAGTGGAGTTGCCAGCTACTGAGAGAGGAGATGCAGGGAGAGGATCAAGATTTGGGGAAGGCTAATGTGTTACAGACTTGTTGAGTTTGGGGTGACTGTGGGAGACCCGAATGGGGATATCCAGTGGACATTGAAGTCTGAAGCTTGGGGAGAAATCTGGGCCAGAGAGGTTTGGGAGCATCATCTTGTTGGAAATCACTAGATTACATGACATTGGCCAAAGGGAGCATTTCTTGGTGAATCACACTGTGTGTCTAATCAAACCACACTCTTCTCTTAATGCTCTGTGTACTGTGGCTGTTCCATAAATATTTGGTAAAAATGATGAAAAACTGATTGACTCGTGGGGACAAATTGTTTTCTTATTTGGGCTCCATAGAAACGACAAAACATTTTTGTGGTAGGATAAAGAGGGCATGGTGTGTGGTTATGAGTGATATTAAGCATTGTTTACTTGGTGGGGAGCCAAGGGGATTTGTGAATGAGTTTCAGAGAAACTGAAATTAGATACAGAAATGGGTAAAGGAGCCATAATTTTCATCAGATTCTGAGTCAGGATACTTTATAAAAAAAGAACTGATTGAATCAATGCCTGTTATCCTGAAGGCAAATAAGGGGAACAAAAATCACATCAGAATATCGGAGAAAGCCAGAAAAATCGCCTAAACAATGAGGGATCCCAGTTCCTGCGGGCTCTGCTTTTCCTCCCTGTGCCAGTATTGTATAAGATGGGAAGAATTTGGGGTCAAGAGTTTCATAGTGTGGCTTGGCAGAATCAAAGGCCAAAATATGATTAATGCTTGATGTGGATAATCTTGGAAGGATAAGGAATATAGGGAGGATTAGGGTTTTTTCCTAAATCTGGCTACTTTCTAAGCCAGTAGGTTCACTTTCTTGTACACTACAGATAATGAGGCAAAGAAGGATGCTTTGGGGAGTATTGAACAAAACATTCCTAGTTAAAGTGGGAACAGCACCTTTTTTTCCCCCTTTTTTGTCTCTTTATTATTAAGTCTGTTTATTACTTAAATCTATTTATGATTTAAGTAGACTTTACATTTTAGAGCAGTTTTAGGTTAACAGCAAAATTGAACAGAAGGTACAGAGTTTCTGTAGATTCTAGACCCCATACAGGCACAGCGTCCTGCACTGTTGACACCCCCCCACCAGAGTGGTATGTTTGTTACAATCAGTAAACCTACATTGACACATCATTATCACCCAAAATCCATAGTTTACATGAGGGTTCACTCTTGGTGATATACATTCTATGGGTCTTGACAAATGTATAGTGACATGAATCTACCATTAGAGTATCCTGCAGAATAGTTTCCCTGCCCTAAAAATCCTCTGTGCTCTGCCTATTCTCTCCCTAACTCCTTGGCAACCACCAGTCTTTCTGCCCTCTCCATTTTGCCTTTTTCAGAGTGTCATGTAGTTGAAATCATATAGTATGTAGCCTTTTCAGATTGGCTTCTTTCACTTAATAGTATGCATTTAAGGTTTCTTCATGTTTTTTCATGATTTGATAGCTCATTTCTTTTTAGATTTGAATAATATTCCAATATCTGGAAGTACCACAATTTATTAATTCATCTACTGAAGGAAATCTTGGTTGCTTCCAAGTATTGGCAATTACGAATAAAGCAGTTATAAAATCTGTGTGCAGATTTTTGTGTAGACTTGATTTTTCAACTCCTTTAGGTAAATACCAAGGACTATTATTTCTGGATTGTGTAATTAGAGTTTACTTAGTTTTGAAGAACTGCAAAACTGCCCTCCAAGTGGCTGTACCATTTTGCAGTTCCACCAGCAGTGAATGAGAGTTCTTGTTGCTCTACATCCTTGCCAGTGTTTGGTGTTGTCAGTGTTCTGGATGTGGCCATTCTGATAGGTGTCTGGTTGTGGTATGGTTTGGCTCTGTGTCCCCACCCAAATCTCATCTTGAATTGTAATCCCCCATGTCAGGGGAGGGACCTGGTGGGAAGTGACTGGATCATGAAGGTAGTTTCACTCATGCTGTTTTCCTAATAGTGAGTGAGTCTCATGAGATCTGATAGTTTAAAAGTGTTTGGCAGTTAACCCCTCACTCTCTCTCCCTATCCTTGCTGTGGCCATGTAAGATGTGCCTTGTTTCCCCTTTGCCTTCTGCCATGATTGTAAGTTTCTTGAGGCCTCCCAAGGCATGCAGAACTGTGAGTCAATTAACCTCTTTTGTTTATAAACTATCCAGTCTCAAGTATTCTTTATAGCAGTGAAAAAAAGCGAAATAATACAGAAAATTGTTACAAGGAATGGGGTACTGCTATAAAGATAACCTGAAAATGTGGAAGCAACGTTGGAACTGGGTAATGGGCAGAGGTTGGAACAGTTTGGAGGGCTCAGAAGAAGACAGGAACGTGTGGGAAAGTTTGGAATTTCCTAGAGACTTGTTGAATGATTTTGACCAAAATGCTAATAGTGACATAGACAGTGAAGTCCAGGCTGAGATGGTATCAGATGGAGATGAGGAACTTATTGTGAACTGGAGTAAAGGTCATTCTTGCAATGCTTTAGCAAAGAGACTGGCAGCATTTTGCCCTGGCGCTAGAGATCTGTGGAACTTTGAGCTTGAGAGAAATGATTTAGGGCATCTGGTGGAGGAAATTTCTAAGGAGCAGAAATTTCTAAGCAGCAAAGCCTTCAAGAGGTGATCTGGCTATTTCTAAAATAGTATGCTCATATGTGTTCACAAAGAGATAATCTGAAATTGGATCTTCTGTTTAAGAGGGAAGCAGAACATAAAAGTTTGAAAAATGTGAAGCCTGACTATGTGATAGAAAAGAAAAACCCATTTTCTGGGGAGAAATTCAAGCCAGCCGCAGAAATTTGCATAAGTAATAAGGAGTTGAATGTTAATTGCCAAGATGATGGGGAAAATGTCTCCAGGGCATTTCAGATATCTTCAAGGCAGCCCCTCCTATCACAGGCCCAGAGGCCTAGAAGGGAAAAATGGTTCTGTGGGCTGCGCCCAGGGCCTTGCTGCTCTGTGCAGCCTTGGGACTGAGCATCTTACCTCCCACCTGCTCCAGCTCAGGCTGTGGCTTCAGAGGGTGCAAGCCCCAAGCCCTGGCAGCTTCCACATGGTGTTGGGCCTGCAGGTGTGCAGAAGCTAAGAGTTGAGGTCTGGGAACCTCCACCTAGATTTCAGAGTATGTATGCAAACGTCTGGATGTCCAGGCAGAAGTCTGCTGTGGAGCCCTCACGGAGAGCCTCTGCTGGGGCAATGCGGAAGGGAAATGTGGGGTTGGAGACTGCACATAGAATCCCTCTGGGGTACTGTCTAATGGAGCTGTGAGAAGAGGGACACCATCCTCCAGACCCCAGAATGGTAGATCCACCAACAGCTTGCACTGTGCACTTGGAAAAGCTGCAAGCACTCAATGCCAGCCCATGAAAGCTTCTGTGGTGGCTGTGCCCTGCAGAGCGACAGAGGTGGAGATGCCTAAGGCCTTCAGAGCCCATATCTTGCATCAGTGTGCCCTGGATGTGAGACATGGAGTCAAAGGAGATCATTTTGGAGCTTTAAGATTTAATGACTGCCCTGCTGGGTTTTGGACTTTCGTGGGGCCTGTAGCCCCTTTGTTTTGCCCAGTTTGTCCTATTTGGGATGGGAGCATCTAACCAATGCCTGTACTTTCATTGTATCTTGGAAATAACTAACTTGCTTTTGATTTTACAGGCTCATAGGCGGAAGGGACTTGCCTTGGCTCAGATGAGACCTTGGTCTTGGACTTTTGGGTTAATGATGGAATGAGTTTAGACTTTGGGGGACTGTTGGGAAGGCATGATTGTGTTTTGAAATATGAGAGGGATACGAGATTTGGGAGGGGCCAAGGGCAGAGTGATATGGTTTGGCTCTGTGTCTTCACCCAAATCTCATCTTGAATTGTAATCCCATGTGTTGAGGGAGGGACCTGATGGGAAGTGATTGAATCATGGGGGTGATTTCTCCCATGCTGTTCTTGTGATAGTGAGTGAGTTCTTGTGAGATCTGATGGTTTAAAAGTGTTTGGCAGTTCCTTTCTCTTTGTCTCCCTCCTGCTGCCTTGTAAGTCATGCCTTGCTTCCCCTTCATTTTCTGCCATCATGAGAAGTTTCCTGAGGACTTCGCAGCCATGTGGAACTATGAGTCAATTAAATCTCTTTTGTTTATAAATTACCCAGTCTCATCTATTCTTTATAGCAGTGTGAAAATAGACTGATACAAGTCATATCTCAGTTTTGTTTTTATTTTGTGTTTTCCTAATGGCATAGGAAGTGAAATATCTTTTCATATGCTTATTTTCCATCTGTATATCTTCTTTGGAGGAGCAGCATTTTTAAGAAGAAGTTTTTGAGGCATGAAAACACAGTAGATAGGACACACCAAGACTCCAGACCAAATACAGAGTTTTTAATGAAATTTGAAAAGCCAGTTTTATATAAACCCTTAAACCATTCACTGCATAGAAGCTAAAAAGGATTGTGTTATTGAAGATTAAAAGAGAATACAAAAGTGGATATTCTTAGCAAGAGCCGTTCTTCCCCATCCCCTGCAGGATGGGGTTGGTGAGGCAAGAGAGTATGCACATGCCTCTCCTTTCCCTCAAGGCCATTGAGAAGGCTCCAACAGGACAAATTGTTGTGGTCCCCGAAGGGGGAGGGCTCATAGAAGTACGGGGTTTATTCCCTAGCTATAAATCTCCTTTCTGGCTAGCTACTTCAGTGTGCAAAGCAAAGGAGAGAGTGTGTGGCAAAAAGATGTTGATTATTTCTCAAAGACCTAATGTAAGTCTCCCATGAGCAGGAGCCAGGGGCCACTGGTTTTAGATGGTGTCAAATAGGTTCACCTGGGTTTGACCAGCTCTTGTCAGAAAAACTGGTGGTATCATTGGATCTTTGGGTCATGGAAAGAGTTAGTGGCCAGCTAGAGAAAAGGGCCTCATTTGTATCAAGAGAGCTGTCATGAAAGACCCTGAGCTATGGGGAGGATGAGTACCCCAGATAATCCAGAAAAGTGCCTTAAATATCAACTAGACCCAGGTTTCATCAGTACCAGTCAAATCAGATCTCTTCTGCACATCTTGTTTCTCTTCCCTGTGGGACTTAGTTCCTTGAATTTTTATCCAGGAGCAGGAGATAAATTCTCCCCTATTAAACACATTCTAAGGGGGTAGTGGAGGACCAAAATAAATTACACTTTGTGAGTCCTGCTTATTCAGTATGCCAGCTACACATTGAAATTGTGACCCAATGAGAAAAACAGTTTGAAGTGTATAACGACCTACAGGAAAAAATTCCTGATCCCATTTAATACTGAGAACATGATTTTCTTTTGGAAATAAGTTAACTGATACGATACTATTCTTCATCTGCTAACAGTGAGTAGAAATAGCCCAAATTTTGCTTTTCAATGGTTCGTTATTAGAATATTCAAGTGAGGACTATTATCTTCAGGGGGTGAACAGAAAATGCCAATAAACCCCTTTTTGTGTCTTGTACACAACACAATTGTATTGGTAGGACTGGAGGAGGTAGAATAATTGTTTTTTGCTAAATCTTAGGACAGAAATCAACAGATTTAAGTTGACATTGGAAATCAAGTTTTCAAGAAGTTACTGGCATTCATGAGCTCAGAATATTAATGGCAAATGTGCTTTGGGAACCTGATACTCTGTCTTCCTTGTCTCCTGGCAGAGCCTTCTATTTAAAGCTATTTAAATGCATCTGTTCTGATTTTGAAAGGCCCTGCTCAGGCCTGTGTGCACTTGGAGGGCTGGTGGGCAGCAGTGGATCAATGGAATTGTTTTGGTGTGATTCCAGCCAAAACGTGGGAGAAATCAGTTTGTTTGCTTATTTTGAGATTTATACAAACTCAGAAAGCATGTCTCGGTAATTCTTCTGTACAGCTTTAGAGACAGCATCTATTAGAGGAGCCTGTGAAATAATGTAGATGGAGGAGAAAATAAAAATCTATTCTGATGAGTGGTAGAAGAAAAAACTTCTAGAAGATAAATAGGAGAAAAAACACGTGCACTTTTTATTAGCTTACAGAACTAAAATGATTTGCAGATGGTTGGCTGTTTCACATAAAACATACTTATATACCTGAGCTTTTTTTCTGCTCACTTATTTTAATAGCTGAAGCATCCTTCTCTTGTGAACAATTTATTCTAATGGCAATAAAAATGCAACAGTACCATCTCATTATGCCCAACAGCAAATGACTTAGACGGATCTTAGCTTGGTTTGTAGGGTTAAGCTCCGATGGCTGCAGGAATGACGTCAATAGGGATTCATAGTTAAATGGCACATCTTTTAAAATGGGACTCTGCTTTCAAGTTTCTCCTCACCTATACACAACAGAAAGCCCAGGTTGAGGATGCTGGAAAATCTTAGATTTCACACAAGGGCTTTCCAAGACTGAGTAACTCTTAATGGTCTACACTGTACTTGGCTTACTTGCTTCCTCTTTTTAAGCAGATTGTAAGTCATCTGTGAGTTTTCCATTTGGGCTGTGTTGCTTTTTAGCTTGTTTTATCTTCCGTAGAAGCTTCTATTGATGAGGGAGGCAGACTGAGGACTCTTGGTCCCCTAGAAGAGAGATTTTACTAGATATTCTACAACATTATTTTAAGAGGGTATGGGCTGAATATTCCTCCCATAGTTCACACTGCTGGGTCCCTCCTGCTGGGGGGCATTTGTGAAAGGAGCCACTTTTCCAGCTAAATCTCCTAGGCTTTTTTTTTCCCCCTAATTAAAAGATATTGTACAAATAATACTATATTTATTACAGTGGCACTCTGCGTTTAACTCAGGATTATTCTTCTAAAAACTCTTTTTAAAAATTCTTATAAACAATTGTTTATAAGAATCCTGCATTTTATTCTGTTTATGGATTTTTAGAAAATACAAAGTTGGGCGAAAACCTGCTTTCCTGGTTGTATTTCTCATTATTTTATGATAATGGCTTTTTCAAAATGGCTTTATTCTCCATTTTTCACATGTAAAGACGTAAAATAAGTAATTCTGCCCGATTTGACAGTGGTCACTGGAGTAGGATATAGGACAGTTTTGGGGTGATGCAAATCCCAGGGTAGAAGTACCTTCAGCTTCATCAACAAGGAAAATATCATGCAAAAGCTCATGAGTCAGGGTTGTGGTTAACCTTCTGTTCTTGTCCCTCTAATCAAATATTTGTTTAAATGAATAAAATACCCAAGGTGTATATCACTGATCAGTTATGTTATTCTTTTGTAGTACAATTTGGTATTGCCCATCAGAATTTTAAATTTGCATGTCTTTTACTCAGCCACTTCACTAGGAATCTCACCTGCAGGAAGACTTGTTGTGAATTTGTTTGTTCATTCTTCTAAGACAAAGTCCACAGGTGTCTTTTTAGATTTAAAATCTCTACAACCCAATTTCATATCTCAAGGTGCGAACTCCTACCTGCCTCTCTAACTTCTTGTCCCCCATCTCCTACCAATGAGGCCAGCAAGTCCCCAGAAGTTCTTCTAAGCTTGGGGTAAAATTCTATGCAGTGGTAGAAGAAAAAGAATAAAGGTAAATTTATTTTTGATGATGTTCACCTGGTATCTTGTCCATTCAAGATGCTATAACAAAGTACCATACCCTGGGTGGCTTATAGACATTTATTCTTTAAAAAGAGCAGACATTTATTTCTCACAGTTCTGGAGGCTGAACGTCTAAGATCAGGGAACCAGCGTGGTCAGGTTCTGCTGAGAGCCCTCTGCCAGGTTGCAGATTGCTATTTTCTCCTTGTATCTGCACGTGGTGGAAATAGGATGAGAGAGAGCTCTCTGGGGTCCCTTTTATAAGGGCACTGATCCCATTCATGAGGGCTCCACCATCATGAGCTAATTACCTCCTAGGGACCCCATCTCCTGATAGTATCACTTTCAGGGTTAGGATTTTGACAAATGAATTTTGGAAAGATACAAACCTTCAGACCATTGACCCTAGGTTTATTATGTTTTAAGATTTTCTTTCATTTACTTTATCTTTCTTTTCCCTCCTTATCCATATATGTATATGTGTCGGAATGTGTGTGTGTGTGTGTGTGCATATATGTGTGCACATAGGAGTATGTATATGCATATACATTTTCTTTTGGCTAAACTATTTGCAAATGAGTTGCACATATAATGACGCCTCACTCCCAAATCCTCCAGCATGAATCTCTTAAGAATGAGACATTCCTATAAATCATCACAAGTATCCCATCCAGTACTGCTTACATTCAACAATGGAGTTTATTTTTTCTCCTCATTTTGTTCTAATGTAATTGTATTTTTGAATATGAGAAAATACATATTTTGAACACTTACGTGGTTCAAAAGTCCAAACTATATGTATATATACACATATATATATACACACACATATATCCATATATATGTGTATATATATACATATAGTATATATGTGTGTGTGTGTATATATATATATATATATATATATATATATATATATAAAGGTATAGCCACAGAAGTATTGTTCCCATCTTACCCCCACCCCTATTCCCACTCACTCCTCTTTTTTTTTTTTTTTTTTTGAGACAGAATCTCACTCCGTTTTCCAGGCTGAAGTACAGTGGTGCGACCTTGGCTTACTGCAACCTCTGCCTTCCAGGTTCAAGCAATTCTCGTGCCTCAGCCTCCCAAGTAGCTGGGATTACAGGCGCCCGCCACCACGCTTGGCTGATTTTTGTATTTTTAGTAGAGATGGGGTTTCACCATGTTGGCCAGGCTGGTCTTGAACTCCTGGCCTCAAGTGATCCGCCTGCCTTTGCCTCCCAAAGTGCTAGGATTACAGGCATGAGCCACCATGCCTGGCTCCCACTCACCTGTCTTGGTAGCCCTTGTCATTACCTTCTGGTTTACCTTACTTAACCCCTGTTTCTTTTTGTAAAAATACATGTGTAAAGTGTGGATTCCTTTCCTCCTTTTTTTTTTAATTACACAAAAGGACCATGTTATACACACTCTTTAGATGAAGCTTTTTATTCTTATTTTCTTAAAAATACATCCTGAAAATCACTGTCTATCAGTTCCTGGAGATCTTTCTCTAAATGAAGACTCATTTGGTGTCAGGTAATACTCTTTAAGAAATGGTATATTTGAGTCAGAAACCAGAATCGATGCATTATTACACTTTATACCGTGATGTGTCACTGAAAGTTTTTTTTTTAAATACCAATTCATTTAAATGTTTATTTTCAGTTAGTAATAAAACATTTTTGTTCTTTATTTCCAAATAACTTTCTTGCAGATTTGTTTCATTTGCTTTTCACATAATTCTACATGTGATACAGTGTGAGTATGCACATATCAAAATTTTCTTGGTTATCCCATTTTAGCTGATGAATGAATGGAGGTACAGAATGCATAGAAGATTTATTTTTTTGCCAACATCCATCAGACTTTCCTATGAGCATTCTTCTATAAGCCTGCAATAACAAATGATTTTCTGTCATAAGTGATCACACGTTCTATAATTTAATATTTTTTCCAGTATAATTACTATCTACTAGGTTCATACGATCTTCTGTACATTACAAGTATAACTGTCATTATTCCTTTGGCACAATTTCAACATGTGGGAAGAGCCAGAGATTCCAAACTTCTAATTTTGCATTCCCTAAATCACAAATGACCTTTTGTGATGTCAGTAGACATGGAGTGGAGAGATAAACTTCAGAATCTATAAGACCTTTTGCATGTTTTGATTGAGACAAATCTAAAGCATTCTAAATGGGAAATTCCTTTCCTGCTTTTAAAATCATAAGATACATTAAAACATGAACAAGTTTACCCTGTTTTATATTGATGTCCCTATGATTTTAATGCCACTTTACACGAACAAGATCAGAGTTGTGCTTTCAGAGTACAGAACAGCTGGTTTCCTGAACTAAAAGCAGGTTGGGGAATCAGGCAGGGAATGGGGTGATCTACCAGTTGTCCTTTCCATGCTGAAAGGAAATTTAAGGTTCCTGAGCAGTGAAGTTACAAATATAGATTTAATAGATGTCCATTTCTGAGTAATACAGAAAGGAGTTGTCCTTGGAAGAAAGTAATTTTCTTCCACATTTCCAAAAGAAAATCAGTGTATTAGTCTGTTCTCATGCTGCTAATAAAGACATACCTGAGACTGAGTAATTTATAAAGAAAAGAGGTTTAATGGACTCATGGTTCCACATGGCTGGGGAAGCCTCACAATCATGGCAGAAGGCAAAGGGGAAGCAAAGGTACGTCTTACATGGTGGCAGACAAGAGGGCATGTGTAGGGAACTCCCCTTTATAAAACCATCATATCTGTGAGACTTACTCACTACTACCAGAATGGTATGGGGGAAACCACCCCATGATTCAATTGTGTCCACCTGGCTCCACCCTTGACGCTTGGGGATTATTACAATTCAAGGTGAGATTTGGGTGAGATTTTGGCCAGGTCATATCAATCAGCAACCCCAATTTGGTTCAACAATCATAGATGCTGTTGTTGATACACAGCAGGCTTCAAGCTAGGCATGGGAATGGACATTCCCTACTCCTAAGAGTAGTCCAGCAAGGGCTAAATTATGCACTCAAATTTGTATCTCCATGATACTGGAAACATGCAGGGAGAAACTGCTGGTTGATGAATGGGAATTTGACAAGTCAGGGTCTGGTTATCAGTCGCATGTGCTAAACACTAAAAATTAGCTAAGGATCAAGCCAACCTCAGTATAAAGGGCATCGGGTAGCAACAGTTGTTGGGCCATTGAACTATAGATGTTATATGCATTTCTTTTAAAGTCTTCCAACTGTTTTGAAATGGTTCTCAAAGCTAAATAGGCCCGGGAAATAAATGTCCTGTTCTGCCAAATTTGCATTTTCTTTGTGCTCTGTCAGCAGTTGATGAGGTAGGAGGCAAGACTCAACTCCGGAGGTGGGACTGGGGCACCATACCAAATTTAGGACCAGCTAAAACAGGGTGGGAGGTGGGGAAGCAGTTTTCTGTAAGACACGCAGACCGAGAATTTCTGCATAAGCTACCCCTTAATTTGCATGTAATTAAAAGTGGGTATAAATATGAGTGCAGAACTGCCTCTGAGAACCTACTCTGGACACATTGCCGATGGGGTAGCCCTGCTCTGCAAGGAGCAGTGCCTCTGCTGCTGCTCTGACACTGCTACTTCAATAAAAGTTGCTGTCTGACTCAACCAACTCTCCCTTGAATTCTTTTCTTGGCAAAGCCAAGAACCTGCCTGGGCTAAGCCCCAATTCTGGGGCTCACCCGTCCTGCATCAGTTAGATTGCCCTTGCTTATCCATCCAGGCTTCTCCCTTGTTTCAGTACGTCAAGGGAACCTCACATGAGAACTCACTGGAAATACAACTGGCACAGCGTTATGTGATGGTCAAAGGCATCCTTTTTAAGAATCATTATTTCATATGGCCATTTTGACAATTACTGTTTTTCTTTGTCTGGTTTGATTTTGCAGTTGCTCTATGTCATTGAGATATCTGGTAATACAGGCTCACCCATTTTTAGGGTAGCCTGTACATTACACACACACACACACATCCCCCAACCTGCCACACATGCCACCAAATAGAAAAGAAGGAAAAATATATTAACTTTAAGTTTTGGGCCTAGGCTGATGCTCATGATTAATCTCAGAGTAGAGTATGGATACAGAGTTTGCTTGTGAGTAGGGAGATTAAACAGCCCAGTGGGAGGCATTTCTAGCCTGGGAACATTCATTGTGGCCCTTATTGTTTGGGAGCATGGAATAGTATCCTGTTGACTGCTCAGCACAGTTTGGCTTGCTCCATGAATTATGTGAATTGCATCTTCATCTGACTTCATTCTTTTTAGCCGTCTTATTCATTGAGTTTTGGATAAGCAGATTATTACATATCTCCTTTAGCATACCAAGGTAAGACCTTCTAACATTTTATTATGAAGGTTTATTGGGATTCTGTATACACAGAGAAAGAAAGAAATGAATCGTTCTAGAGGCAAAGATCCCAGATTCTGCACTTTCTTTACAAGTGGAGGTGCTGTCTCCCTGCCTTATTGTTTCTGATCCATGGGAATCTCCTTAGAACAATTAGGAAGACTTAAGCTTATTTCTTCTGACTCCATTCTCAATGCTCACATTGGACCCGTATTTCACAACACACATGTCATGCTTATTTTTTATCATTGGAATTCACATCCCAGATCTATCTGGTACCAATTCAGATAACAAACCTTAATTGAGTATTGGCTCTGTGCCAGACACTTTACTAGTTCTCCTAAGTTAACATAAGACTATCTTAGAGGTGGTCTGATATTTTATTAGCGTATCTATTTGCTTATAATTTAGAAAAGGAAATTAGGAGCAATGGAGTAATGAGACTGAATGCACCATGAGCTGAGGATTCAACATGAACAAGACAGACAATCCCTTCTGGACACTACAGTCTAGTGGGTGACTTTGCTAAATAATCATATAGATTATTATTTTCTTCAATTGAATGTCACTGTGTCTTTACTTCTTACAGTTTTTAATGATTTCACCCTCAATTTCCCCCTTTCCTTAATACTGGCATATAATTTATTGGTTTATTGATTTGTCATCAAAAAATTAGTTTATATTTATTGAATGGATATATCTGGCATCATAATAGATGTGCTGGGGACAAAACAGATGTTGCTCTTTATATGTTTGTAGCCTGGTTGTGAAGATAAAATTTATAGTCATGAAATACATGGAATTAGCTAATTGTGCAACAGAGTGTTTGGTTATCAAGTTAATGGCAATTCAAAAAGTAAAAGATGTATTAGGGCTGTAAAACCTAGTGAAACTTTCTTGCAGAGTGGAAGAGTTGAGCTACTCTTTGAATGTTGGGTAGAGTTGACATCTGCACTGACCACTATGATAACTGCTAGCCACAGGTGGCTACTGAACATTTGAGATGTGCCTAATTAGAATCAAGATGTAATACACACACTGGATTTTCAAAACGTAGTATGAAAAAGGTAATGTAAAATATCTTCTTAATATTTTTATCTTGATTACATATTAAAATTATAGCATGCATGTGTTATATTAAATGATACATATTATAATTCAATTTACCCTTTTACACTTTTAAAATATTGTTTCTAGGACAGATGCAGTGACTCACGCCTGTAATCCCAGCACTTTGGGAGGCTGAGGCAGGCGGATTACCTGAGGTCAGGAGTTTGAGACCATTCTGGCCAACATGGTGAAACCCCATTTCTGCTGGAAATACAGAAGTTATGGCCAGGCACGGTGGCTCATGCCTGTAATCCCAGCACTTTGGGAGGCTGAGGCGGGTAGATCACCTGAGGTCAGGAGTTCGACACCAGCCTGGCCAACATGGTGAAACCCCATCTCTACTAAAAATACAAAAGTCAGCCAGGCATGGTGGCGGGCGCCTGTAATCCCAGCTAGTCAGGAGGCTGAGGCAGGAGAAATGCTTGAATCCGGGATGCAGAGGTTGCAGTGAGCTGAGATGGCGCCATTGCACTCCAGCCTAGGTGACATAGCGAGACTCTGTCTCCAAAAAAAACAAAAATTAGCTGGGTGTGGTGGCAGGCACCTGTAATTCCAGCTACTTGGGAGGCTGAGGCAGGAGAATCACTTGAACCTATGAGGTGGAAGTTGCAGTGAGCTGAGATCACGTCACTGCACTCCAGCCTGGGCTACAGAGCGAGACCCTGTCTCAAAAACAAAACAAAAAAAATTGCTTCTAGAAAACTTAAAATTACATATGGGTCTCACATTCTTTGCTCACATCATATTTCTATTGGATAGATACATATGCAGACAAGATGGGGCATTGAAAATTAATTGGGTGGAGGGGCACATAAGGTAGGGGAGAGTGCATAGAGGCCTGTGGTGTGGGGATGTAATCACAAAACAAATTGAAAGTCAGGAAGAAGAAGCTTTTTGAGCACATCGTAGTTGACACACCAATATTTAAAAGCCAGGTGGATATTTCCAGCAGGGCCATGGTTGAGCAGAATACCCATGTCCTTGATTCAGAGGTGAGACCTGGGTCAGAGGTATGGATTTCGGAGATGTGATTTTTGCAGTTAAAGTTCTGGAGTGCATTTGAGGTTGCCCGAGGAGAGGTGCCTTGGAGTAGACCTATAGTGCTCCTGGTTTGTGAGCTCCTTCCCAGGAAGTTTGCATCTGCATACCTGTGCCTTCTTGTTCTGCTTATGTTTGCAATCTTGGGGATACCCCCTAAGTGTTTAGAGAAAATGAAGAAAACTGATTACCTCTTGGGAAAATTTCCCTTTCATCTTAGCAGACAACTGAGCTGGTGTCTGGGGAGCCACGCTTAGCAGCTGTGGGTGTGAAGAGCAGGAGTCCGTGACAGATGAACGAAGGGACCAGTGTGCAGCAGTGCAAGGTGTGAAGCAGTTTCATTGTGCACTGATTACTGACTTGTCTGAGTCTGGTGAGACAGGACACCCCCACACACAAGTTACTTGAAGCAGTTTATTAGTTAGAGAGAGGCAGCCAGGAATGGCAGATGCCTGGGATTCATTGTGAGCTGGTTGCTCCAGAAAGGGGCCTGGGCTGAATAGAGTCTCATCTGCACACACTCCACTTCCACTGCTGCTCAGGGACCTTGGAAAGCAGCCTGCCCTTGATTTTATACCCCAGGGTCATTGGGCCTGCTGGGCTAAAGCACTGAAGGACATCCTGTTTCCAGAGGGAGACCAGAAAGAGTCCGGGATATTCTGGCCAGTCCCTCCTTGCCTCAGGATGGTGTATCCCCAGCACATCCTACAGTTATTCTTGTCAACTACTAGTAAAGAAGGGGATAGAACTAAGTCCACGGTTACCTGGAGGATTGTCCTTTGCTGGGGGAACTTGAAGTCGGCAACATGAGTGATACCACCTGCAGGCATGGTTAGTTTCCTGACCTGGGCTGTCTAGCACTGCAGAAAGATGAGAGTGGGGATGATCCCAGAAAGGATGTAGGTGGCAGATCCTGAAATTGGGAAACATCCTCCACTGGCATTCTAATTTCCCATTTACATGAAAGGATACTAGAAGCTCTTCTTTTCCTAAATCAACAATAGACTATCTTAGGAGTGCTCTAATATTTCATTAACTGATCTATTACCTTATAATTTACAAAGGGAAATCAGGAGCAATGGAGTAATGAGATCAAAAGCCCTCCGTGGAGTTAATAGACCATAGCTTTGAAGGGTGAAACCAAGAACATTTTGAACAATGATGCTTTATTTGGAATGCACAAAGCCTTCCAAGGTAAACTCCTTTGAAGGACAAAATTCATTTTGATGTTTATGTTCTGGAATGTACATTAAAATTCATCCTAATTACTTAATTGACATACCTCATTAACAAGAATAAAGTGATAATAGTTAACATTCATCAAACACTTCATACAGGTCCTGGGTAGTAAGGAGGTGCTCTCAGTATGCCTCTTTCTGTACCTAGGTATTTAACCAGGAGCATTTTGCTTAACCTCACTGTTCCTCAGTCTCCTCATCTATAAAATGGGGACAAAAATGGTACCTTGTTTGTAGAAATGTATTGGCCACTGTCAATAGAGAAAAACCACAAGGCAAGTCTCAATCATTTTAGAAGGTTTATTTGCCAAAGTTAAGGACATGTGCCCAGGAGACAGGTCTATGCCTCTCTCCAAAGGTGATTTTGAGGGCTCCAAATTTAAAGTGGAAAGGGTGGGATATTGAGAAGTATACAATTTTCATGTAAGAGGTGGGTAGGGAAAAATATTCATTTATTTGTTTGGCTCAAATGGAGCAGAGGAAAAATGCAGGGAATCTACATTTTTACATAAGATAACAGAGGAAACAGGATAGGGGAACAACTGGATATGCATTTGTGTTTGGTGGGCACGGGGGTGACTGCACCTGTAAAGATAAGCTATCAATTTACATTGCCATGGTGAAATCTTAGGGTGAAAGCAGAAACACCTTAGGGTAAAGATCTTGCCAGGTCACTAGGAATTTCTTTGTGGGCAAAATATGGGGGAGGCTTGTAGCGTTTCATCTTGTAGCCATGTTATTTAGGAACCAAAAAGGGGAGGCAGGTTTATGTGACCCTGTTCCAAGCTTGAATTTTCCCTTTGGTTTAATTTAGATTTAAGATTTAATTTCCTTTCACATCACTAAACAAGCTAATACATGAGGCATAGCATATTCTACACATAGCATAGAATAATTCCCATCACAAAGTAGGAGTTCAACAAATGTTGGTCATTCATTTGTGGAACACGTACAGTTGGCCTCTTTGGAAAGAGGAGAAAAGTATATCTTGGAGAAGTGAAGTCAGAAGCTGGCAGATGAGTTGTAGCACTAGCATCAACCCAAGCATAGCCAGAATCTCAAGCTTGTGACTGAAACCACCTTGATTTAGTAAATTACATCACGTGGGCCAAATCCTGCCCCTTGCCTTTCTTTGTAAGGCCAGGGAGCTAAAAATGTTTCTTTGCATGAACATTAAAATCCTATTGATGAGAGGAAACACTAATTTTGAATCTCCATTAAGGAAAATGTTATCCCCTCACCAAAAAATATTCACATCTCTCATTAGTCAACTTGTAATTACAAGCAATTGTAGTCAATTATTATTGTATTTGAATTTTATGAATACAAATGTAAGAACTTGTTTTCTCTCTTGTTATATAAGTAGCTACATAATATCCTTGATTCTGACTCCAGGCCCACAAAGACTAAAATGCTTTCTGGCTCTTTCAAAAAGTTTTTGCATGATGCCACTCTAACCACCCTGCATATTGCCTCCATTTCTGTTAGATGCTAGGGTGGTCCCTATGGAGAACCTTTTGAAACTAGAAATCTGGCCATTGCAGTTGGGGTGCAGGGGACAGAAACTGGATAGCCAAGGTGGGTGGAAGGGGATGCTTAGAAACGTAGGCCTGCAGGCAGTCATGGTACTGCTGCATGCAAGGTACCTGCAGAGATTTGGGTAGAAACCTGAGCCCAGCAGAAACTTCTGTACAAAAAGGCTTTAGATAGTATGTTGCTGAAGACCTCTTGTGCTAGAGAATATTGGCTAACTATGTTGAAATACTAACATTCTCCCAGGTTACACTTTTCTTTCCACCTCTCAGGGGTGCACTAAATAAAAATATCCTTGAAGAATGTAAGCCTAGAAACTTGGCAGGACTTTTCGAAAGCAACTTTAAGTATTTTTATTTTCCCTTGAAGGAGGCTTGGAAAACTCATTTATATCACTAAGCTGTTGGGAGATAGCTGGTGGCTGGAATGAAAATCATGTCACAAATGGCTTCTGGGACATATTTAACAGGCTCAGGTAGCTGAGATGGTGTGATTGGTAGCTGAGATGGTGTGATGGGTGACAAGGAACCATGGAGATTTTGATTGTTGCCAAATAAAAATAGGCCAAAGGATAGACTTCTGGAAGGCGCTGTTGGGAAGGTGCTATTGAGGCACCCAAAACTTAGGCCTGAAAAGAGCCAAGGAGAACTGCAGGCTGTGTCATCTTCTTTTCTTCCACAGATGCAAAGATGGGGACTCTGAGAACTCGGGTCATCTCTTGCCAAGCTGCTGAATAGCCAGAGGTAGACCCAGGTTCTTTGCAAACTTCCTTATTTACATAGCCATCAAACTGCTTTAAACCTTTGTATTTCTAAAACTGACTTAACAAGTTAAAACAAGTTCAGATCTCTTTGTGGCAACCCAAGTTCTCCCAAACTCTTGGCTGAAAATGCCTTGCTCATTCCGGGACTGCCCAAAGGTAATGAGACCTCTGTCATCTCATCCCTCACTTGATCCTGACTCCAGTGTGAGTCCTGACTCCACTGGGCCATGGGCCTGCCCACTCGCCTTATTTCTGACCTCCCCTTTGGAGCAGCTGAAACAGTTCAAGACTTGACTTAAACAGTAGCATATGAACAAATGTTGAAATCTAAATCTGGGCTTTTGGCCATGCAAAACAGGGTGGGAGTTATTATTTTTTGCCAATTTGAAGTAAATGAAAATCCACTTTTTTTGGATTGGGCGAATGAGGCAAAAAACCTCCTATTAGGAAGATCCTTCCTTTTGCCCCTCATTGTTTGTGTTGTACTCAGCCCTGCCACAGAATTGTCATGTTACAACATGACAAGGGCTTTATTAGAGAAATCACTGCCTGTGTAGGCCCCTGTTGGTTTGTGCCCATGGGTTTGTGTTCTTTACATGTCCCTTGCTTTCTCAGAACGTGTACTTGACCCGGAGCATCTACGTTGCCATGGAACTCCTTTACTTTAGCTGTTAGGCAGCAACGTTTGAATAGTTCCCCTTTCAAGGCAGAAAGCCTCTGTTCTGTGCAAAGTTCTTTCTACAAAGAATTGGAACACTGCATTATTTCTGCATAATTATCCAACTGGTAGTCACACTGGGGGTCTGTAGTGTATTTATTATGTGGGATATTATCAAGAGCAAGAATTTTCCTCTTTCAGACTTGCAAGGGATTGTTAGCAGGCCCAAGAGGAAACCAGTCCCTGGCGTCTCGCAGTGTGCCTTCATGGCAGCATGGAGATGGACACTCCTGGTTGGGACTCCTGTGGATCTTTATTCATTTATTTAAATACTTTTAACTGTTTTTGATATGGGATAAACCTTTAGAAATTTATAAAACATATTAAGGAATTTTTTCCAAAAAATCCATTTTATGCCTCTTCATTTTTTCTGTATCTGGAAGTGGTGTTACATTTTTGTGTATATCTGTTTCTGAATATGTGTGTGGATACAGTGCTTTTGATCTATCTCTGCTTCTGTCATAGGCTGACACTGGGAGAAGCTCGCAAGTCCAATTTACTCTTGACTTATGTCTCTAGGAAACACCCTTCTTTCTTGTAAAGAGTCCCTTTCCTTCCATTCTCCTCTGTCGTCTTGTTCTTATATGGTCTTGTGTATTTCATGGTTTTGGAGGAATTTATAAACATGAAACAATGCATCCCGTTTTCCAAAGGGAAGAATGATTACTACTTACATTTGTTGAAGGTCTTCTTTTCAGGCACTCTGACATACAGATTGTTTAGTTTGATGTTCACAAAAGTTTGTGAGCCATTAATAACAGTAATCACCATTTTTTCAGGCTATACTACACTATGCTATACATTGTCTTAGAGGAGTTTTGTCAGATATTCAGTTTAATTTCATCATTTATCATCTCATTTGATGAATGCCATTGGCCACTTCTTCCTGTCCTGGTAGAAATACTTTTATCCTCTGGTCCATGACACAACAGTCTCCTGGTCTTGCCTCTGCCTGTCTTGTGGCTCATACTCCTCTGTGCCAGTCACTGACCACTGGACACCCTTTTCTTCTCATGCCATCATCTCTCCCTTGACAAACTCACCTGTTCTCATGTCTTTCAGGAAGGCTACAAATTGGTCTCATTGACTCACACATTTGTATCCATGGCCTAGATTTCCCCAATGGGTTTTATCCTCATATACTCAAGATATCAGTCTCATCCTGGCCATTTCAGAGACAGTCTCATCCTGGCCCTTTCAGAGACAACTCACTCAGTACATCCTAAATCAGACTCATATTTTTCTCCTCTGTATCTGGCCTTCAGGCCCTGGGCTATTGCAGCCACCTTCTGCCTGATCCACCCATCTCCACTCTTGCCTCCCACAGTTCATTTTCCACACTGTGGCAGGCATGATATTTTCAAACGCAGATCTGACTGTGACGTCTTTTTATTTAAAACTCATCACCGATCTTAGGATAAGTACCATAATGATCAAAACAATCAATCCTGGCCAGGTACGATGGCTCACGCCTATAATCCCAGCACTTTGGGAGGCTGAGGTGGGAAGATCACGAGGTCAAGAGATGGAGACCATCCTGGCCAACATGGTGAAACCTTATCTCTACTAAAAATACAAAAATTAGCCAGGCGTGATGGCACGCACCTATAGTCCCAGCTACTCAGGAGGCTGAGGCAGGAGAATCGCTAGAACCCTGGAGGTGGAGGTTGCAGTGAGCCAAGATCGTGCCACTGCACTCCAGCCTGGCGACAGAGTAAGACTCCATGTCAAAAAAAAAAAACAAAAAAAAACCCAACCAAACAAAAACCCCCAAAAAACAAAATAATCAAGCCTGACCCACATAGCCCTGCTCATTTGGACCCCAGCCCTCTTGTCCAGCTTCATTGCCTATCGTGGTTTCCCTTCTCTCTGCAACACCCTGGCCCACTTGTCTTATTTACCATATGCCTTCTCTCCTAGGAGTCTTTGCAAATGATCTGCTCTTTGTCGAGAATGCTTTTTCTCTTCCCTCTTTACCTTGTTGGCCTCTACTTAGATTCCCTCTTAAATTTAATGTTAAGTCATTACCTCTTGAATATGTGCGTATTGTATCTTCAACTTCTCCAGTTGCTTACCCAAGTTGTAATTTTACATTTATTCTTAGGATTAATTTATTCATTAAGGCTTATATCTTCTACTCGACCAGAAGCTCCATGAAGGTAGGGATACTATCGGGAATTTCTAACCAGTGTTTTCCTACTATCTAGCTAGTGCTTCATAAATAGCAGGCACTCAGTAGGTCTTCATTAACAAATGAATAAATCTCTGTTTTACAGATGAGCAAGCTGAGGCTTAAAGAAGTTCACTTAACACTCAGGTTTCTTAGACATGCATTGTTTAGTTGTAAATATAAAAAATCCAAAGCAAAGGAAAAAAAAAGGTACACAGGGTAATTATGCAGAATGCAAGGGTAGGAATTATAGCTAAGCCTTACAAAGGACTTGAACCAAGACGAAAAATCTCTCAGTCACCTGGAGGGAGGCTTAGTGGGTTTCTTTCTGTCCTTTCCCTCTGCTCCTGTTCTTCAGCTCTTTCTCTTCCTCAGTGGGTGGGACTCTCATCTTTGTTTCTTTATGTTTGTCTTCACAATTCTGCTTGGTTGAAATGGCCTTAAAGCCCAATTACTTTCAAAGGAGCCACTGATCCAAGAGTCACCAGGAAAAGTGCAGAAAAGTTATCGTCTGATTCAATTCCTGGGGGAGAGAGAGAATTGGCTTGATATTGCCTCTGAATCATTTCTGCCTATTAGGTGTCCATCCCAGACCCACTCCATATCCAGTCTGCCCTGAGGGGGCCAGAGCCTCCTGGTTCCCATCTTGAGAATGGATTTGTTGAGGTGGTAGGCGTGGGTGAGCCGCCATCCCTGAGGCATATTCTGTCTCAAGGTCATGGGGTTCTTAGGTGGCAGAGCTGGAATGGGAAGTCCATGGTCTTTATATCCTTCCTCACTCTATATCTCCCCAATTCAAGCAGATCCCTGTCTAATTCACTGGTGAACATTGAAGTCCCCAGTAAAACTTGTGCTTCGATTTAGAACAGTCGTAACTACCAACTGTAAACACTCCTTATTTGCCAGTCATTCTAAATGTATTTAAATGCTTTCTGTCATTAGACCTCAAAACAGCCCAGTGAAGTGTAGGTACTTTTCTGTTTTTATATCCCTTTTGTCAGATGAGAAAACCCAGAATAAAAGAAAGATAATTTGCTGAAAAAATTTGGCTAACTCTAAACATTGTAGTTGCAAATAAAGTGTCAGCCTTGCCTGAGAGTTCTTTACAAAGGGAGAGCCTCAGGCCCCACCTGAGAACAGGTGGGTCAGAATCAGCATTTCTACCAGACCTCCAGCTGATCCATCTGCATATTCAAGGTGGAAGAGCACTGGGTTAGAATTCCTGGGATCAGATTCTAATTGTGATCTGAGTGAGACTGTCATGGGGAAGATGTTTGACATCATAACGTCCCCTTTCACTCATCTGTAGGAAGGTGATACAGAGGAATATGAACAAATGCATGTAAAAGTATCTGGTGCCTAGCAGGTGTTCTTAAAGGGGAAGTTGAGTCAGTAAAGCACATTTAGAGAAAAAGTCAGAGTCACGCTGTGAAATATGTAAGTCCTTGGTGAAAATGAGTATTGTTTTAGCTTAAATATGACTCAAAGCAATTGGACAGCATAGGCATTTCAAAATATATTCTCCTGTATTCTTGCTTGTGAGGGTGTCAGACTCTGGAATATTGACAACAGAATGTTTTCCATTCATCCAAATTTAACTTATAGTAAATAAACTTTCCACTGGTTCTTCTGAAAGTTAAACACACAAACTCACACATGTGTGCACGCACAGACACACAGACAGACAGACAGACACACACACCCCCCACAGAACATCCAGTTAAAGGAAAAATACCAGTTTCTTACTTCCGGTACAGAGGCCTCTCATGTTTCTTAGAAATCAAAGGCCTGTGTTGTAGGCCTGGCCATACAGCAAAAGCACAGCTGTCTAATAGTGTGGGTGTGTGGGAAGCAGGCATCAAAGCCAGTAACTGTGGAACAGGTGGGATCACTTTGGTTACAAGCCGTAGTTGGGCTCGCAGTCTTTAACACAGTGGGGCTTTTCTGGGGACCTTACCCGGCATCCTGGGTTGGGCAGTGGCAGCACAGTTGTTGCCTGGCTGAAGGTGTATGTCCCTCCATGATTTTCTTGGCTTTGCCCCTTAGACACAGTTGCTGTCACACAATTGTGTTCAGGAGAGAGTCAGGAAAGGAAATTTTATACCCTTTTTTTCAAGAAGAAAATATTGTTCCCCAAACCCTGCACCTCCATTCTCCTTTGTCCCATTGCAGTCCTCTGGTTAGGTCTGTCACAGTCTTAAGATAAGAGCTATCTTCTGGTACCTGACAAAATTGGGGATTGGTTAGTGGAGAAGGGTAGATGAGATAGATAGATAGATAGATAGATAGATAGATAGATAGGTGATAGATGAAAGATAGACACAGCAGTGCCCACAGAAAGGGAGATTCCTTCATACTTGATATAATCTCTAGGCATTTTAGTCAGGGTTCTCCAGAGAAACAACCAGTAGGATCCATCTATCTATCTGTCATCTATCTGTCATCTGTCTATCATCTATCTATCTATCTATCTATCTATCTATCTATCTATCTATCATCTATCAGTCTATCATCTACTTATCATCTATTATCTATCATTATCTTCATCTGTTTATTATCTATCATCTATCTATCTACCTATCTATCTATCTATATTGATCCATCAATTGACATATAGAAGGAGCTTTACTCTGAGGTATTGGCTTATGTGACTGTGGAGGCTGGGAAGTCTCACAGTCTGCCATCTGGGAGTTGGAGGCCCCGGAAAGCTGGCCGTGTAAGTCAAAGGCCTGAGAACCAGGAGTCCTAATGGTGTAACTCCCAGTCCAAGGGCAGGAGAAGACGTGTGTCTGAGCCCAAGCAGCCAGGCATAGAGTGAGAATTCAATTCAGTCTTCTGCCTTTTGTTCATTTCAGGCCCTCCCCCAGTTGGATGGCACCCACCCACATGAGGAGGGTCATCTGCTTTACTCAGTCACCAATTCAAATGCTGATCTTTTCCAGGAACACCCTCACAGACATGCCCAGAAATAAAGTTTTACCAGTTATCTGGGCGTCCCGTGGTCCAGTCAAGTTGACCATAGAATTAACCATAACACGAGGTTTGGGATGAATCCCAAATAGCAGAACAGAAAGGATAATTAATGCTGTATTTACTACTGTCATAACATACATATATGGGAGTACTCAGAACAGAATTAATACTTTATATTTAATTCAATCAATTTTTAGACTCCTCTTCATCTTCTATTTGCATGACTGTGCCAATCTCTCAATAAATCATCAGCTGAGAATATTGGCGTTTTTTGACTGTGGCAAATAAAAAAGGAAGTAAGGTATATTTATTAACCTGGTTTTGGAACTTTCTCTGATCTTGATGATATCAAGGAACAGCCACTATCTTTTTTGTTTAGAGCTAGAGTTTAAGTGGTGTTTTAAAGCCAGAACCAATCATCAAGGTGAGAAGTGACTAAAGAAGCCAGATTGTGGTTTTTTTTGAAGGAGTCTTGCTCTGTCTCCCAGGCTGGAGTGCGGTGGCGCGATCTCGGCTCACTGCAAGCTCCGCTTCCTGGGTTCACGCCATTCTCCTGTCTCAGCCTCCCCAGTAGCTGGGACTACAGGTGTCCACCACCACGCCTGGCTAATTTTTTTGTATTTTTAGTAGAGACGGGGTTTCACCATGTTAGCCAGGATGGTCTCCATCTCTTGACCTCGTGATCCCCCAGCCTTGGCCTCTCAAAGTGCTGGGATTACAGGCGTGAGCCACTGCGCCCGGCGGAGCCAGATTGTTAATTCAACCTGAAATACATTCAGGCACAAGGACCTTGTGTTTATTAGGCTTTATTGGCCTTGCTGCTAAGCCCTACAAAAATGTTAAATACAGAAGTGAGACTGTAATATTATAATTAATAAATGTTTAATTAAGAGTCTCCAAACTGTATCCTTAACTCATCATGGAGTAACATTTGTATATAATTATATTTAAAGTGAGCCGTGCATCATTTTAATGTGATATCCTATGGCATAAGGCTTCTAAAAGTAAGATGTGTAAGGCTAATGAAGATGTTACAATGACCCCATTACACTGTTTCATAAAAAAGAGCCTTATTTTACTTGATATTAGCTGCTCCATTAGTGCTTTGGACATAAGAGTTGTTTAGCCTGCTTCGTGAAGGGTAAGGAGGCCTGAAGACTGCAGAGATAAATGAAGGAAAGTTGCCAGAGAGCCTTGTATTTCAGCCTAGTGGAGCAGGCTCTTGGGATTGCTCTTCCTGTTGGATCAATGGAAACCCAGGGACCCCTGAGGGGTGAGATGACTTCCTGGTGGTCAGGCAGTGGGAGAGAACTGGAGTCCTCCTCAGTTCTCACTGCTCTCTGACCACCTGGTGAAAAGTGCTTGTATTTAATTGTGCTATGAATAGATTATCATAAAAATCTTAATGTGACACAAATTGTGTGATTTCACTTATAGGAATTACCTAAAATAGGCAAATTCATAGAGACAAAAAGTAGATCCAAGTTGCCAGGGGCTAAGTGGAGGGGGAGAAGGAAAGTTATTGGTTTACGGATATAGAGCTTCTGTTTGGGGTGACGGCAAATTTTGGAAATGGTGGTGATCTTGCATAATTTTGTGAATGTAATGAATACCACTGGATTCTACACATAAAAATGGCTAGAATCACATGTTTTGTTATATATATTTTACCAAAATTTTTAAAAAGAAAGAAATACAAAGGAAAAGAAATCACAGTGGAATATTTTACTCAGTGATGATCTTATTAACAGCACCATGCACGGTTTGCAGGGCCTTAGCTGTTCTCCTTTGGAGCCAGAGAGGATTAGGTTGATTTTTCCTTTGCTTTCCAAGAGGATTAATCTTCACTTCCCTTTTCTTTAACACAGAAAGAATCATCACTCAAGCCCAATTTCTCTTTCAAACCTTAGAGCACAGGGCATGGATTCTGGCCCATGCCTGTCATTTATTGCTGCTGGGCCAAGGGGAGCCAGCCAAAGGAATCACACAGGTGCCAGGCCACATTTGACTCTAAATGGCATATATGGTTTCTGAGTACCCAGCTCACTGTTCCCAAGGGATTTACTTTGGAAATAGGCAGTTCTCTACCTCTAGATTCAAAAATAAACCTGAGGTTCCTAAATAAACTGGAGCTGCGCTTCAAAATCCAAGCAATGGCAACTTCTTGTAGGTGAGGCCACATATGAAGCCTTTTGGGTATTTGAAATTAAACCCACATTGTATAGTGTCCAAGTAAGATTCATTTTATAGAGAATTATTTTCTCCTCTCATACTGAGGTTGCTTGTCTATTCTATGGAGTCTCATACATGAATCAAATTTGTGTGTGCCCATGAAAGCATCCAGAGTTCTGGCAGTTGTCATGGTAAGCCAGGAGCATGCACTCTGTAGCTGGGCTGTTAGTGTCAAATCCCGGGTGCTTTCTGTGGGAGCCATGTGATCTCCACAAGGTACTTAACTCGTCGTGGGTCATGACAGGAATCAAATGAATTAATACAAGTAATGTACCAAAGACGGTGCCTGGCAGAGAGTAAGTACACAATCAATATGAACCATTCATTATTACTGCTAACAGTAGTAGTATGTTTGTTTGTTTAGACACTGTATAAGAAGCAAGTTGCATTTTGGGGAGAAGAATGCACAGGAACATAAAAGATGGAAACTAAGGACATATCAGGAAGACATGAAGCATTTTCTAGAGACTGTCGAGAGGAGACACATGTCTGAAATAACTGGAAACTCTTCAACCAATTCCATTCAGTTTAATCTAAAGTCAGATTGTGAAAGAGTTATGGTCCCATTCAGATAACATAACCATTTGAAGCCTAAGAGTCATGGAGCTCACAATGAAAAATAATAATGTGATAGAATCTCACAACTGTGTGCATATTTATGGATGTGCACATGTATCTGTGTGAGTGTGTGTTTTGTTTAAAAAGGTCCCTGAACGTGTAGTATAATTTCCTTATATTACATTTAAATTTATAAATGGAGAAATGGCATCAGAGAACCGACGTGACTTGCCCCGAGTATTATTCTCTAAAAACGATCCTAAAATCTCTTATAGAAGACCATTTTCACTATTCTGTGGACTGGTTTTCCACATGTTCGATGAACAAGGGACAAAAAAAGTTATTTTGCCAAGTTCCTAATAGGTGAGAATATACCTAATATTTGATAAAGCAAAACATCTGTAAAACAAACAAAAAAGAAGACAAAGATTAGTGGAGTTAGGGCAAAGATTTGTAGCATGTGTGTAATTGCTTTGGCAATAAAACGCCTGGAGGCATGATTGATTACGCATTGATGTTAAGAGTCAGAATCAGTACTGAATAGTGTAATGCAAGGCACCATTTAGCAACGCACATTAAGTTTTATGTGTTTCTTTTTACTTTGCTTGGGAATGAACTATCTCTACTTGTGAATTCATGCAGAATCCAGTTACACGCAATCACTTTCATTGTTTGAAGGTATCCCTGGCACCTACACTTACGGCATGATTGTTAGGTACATGCCTCAACACTAGCATTATAAGCACATTGAAGGCATCTTACAAATATTTGTACCTTCCCTTGGACCTAGACAATATCTTGCATATTGTTTTTACTCAGTAATACTTTGTGAATGCATAATGAATGAACATGCAGTAAACAAACTTTGAGAACAGATTGATCCATACAGTTATAGGCAGTTGATCCTTAATAGCATCTACCCAAATGACCTTAATAATACTTAATATTTCTTCTTGTCTGTGCTGATTCCTCTTGACCTTACTGATTCTGCTTAAGTAGGGTGAGATTTCTTTTAAAAATGCTATAATAGTTAGTTAAAATGCTTATCTTGATAATTGACAGTAGCCAGTGAGCCATAAGTTAAAAAATACATAAATCAAGTGATGCTTGGAAACCAGTTCCCTCAACCACTGCAAAAAGGAGGAAGCATTCAGAACTACAAATGGTTCCAAATTGACCAGCCTCCTGGGCTCCCAACAGCTCATGCATGTGTCTCTGTCTCAGAGTTCTTTCCTAGGTGCTGAATTAATCTCTTTTCAGGTGCAACTTCCCGACCAGATAATGGACTCCTTAAGTGAATTATGAAATTCAGAAGCATGTTTATTACACATGTCAGGTATGAGCAATAATAATAAAATGCAAAACTGTATGCCCGTGACCCAGCTTAAAGAATGGAATGTTAGCAGTCTCTTTCAACTTCCCTCTGTTCTTCTGCAATTTCATATTACCAGTCTCTTTCAACTTCCCTCTGTTCTTCTGCAATTTCATTGTCCCCGCTGGGATGTCTCCATCATGATTTTGTTGTGCTCATTCCAGTTTTGCTACTTACATATGTATTATAATATTAATGTTGCAGGTTTGGAGTCTAATGCAAATTGACTCATACTGTCTTCTTTTTGGTTATCAAAGAATTTCATATATATTTAAGGTGTACAATGTGATGTTTTATTATATGTGTATACATACTGTAGTCATTACTAGGGTCAAGTAAATTAACATATCCATCATCTCACATGTTTCCGTTTTTTGTGGAAAGAATTTCTAAAGCAAAGAGTTTTAAAGTAAAGAGTTAAGAGATCTAAGGAGTTCTGAAGTAAAGAGTTTCTTAGCAGTTTCTTTATATAATACAATATTATTAACTGTAGTCCACATACTGTGGTTAGATCTCTAGACTTCATCTGCTATAACTGCATCTTTGTACCTCTTGACCTCTATCTATTCCTTCTTCCTCCACTTTTGTTAACCATGTTTCTACTCTGTGTTGCTATGTATTATTATTTTTAAGATTCCACATGTAAGTGAGATCATGCAGTATTTGTCTTTCTCTGTATGGGTTATTTCATTTAAATAATGTCCTCTGGATTCATACATGTTGTTGCAAATGTCAGGATCTCCTTTTTTAAGGCTGAATCGTATTCCGTTGTATAAATGCATACCACATCTTTATGCATTCATCCGCTGATGGATATTTAGGTTGTTTCCATATCTTGGCTATTGTCAATAATGCTGCAATGAACATAGGAATGCAAATATCTTTACTACGAGGTGATTTCATTTCCTTTGGATATATACCCAGCAGGGACTACTGTGTCATGTAGTAGTCCTATTTCTAATTTCTTTAGGAATCACCATGCATTTTTTTTTACAGTGGCTGCACCAATCTGTATTCCCATCAAGACTGTACAGAGGTTCCTTTTACTTCTCACCCTCACCAACACTTATACCTTTTTGATAACAGCCATCCTAACAGGCATGAGATGGTATCTCATTGCAGTTTTGATTTGCATTTGACTGATCACAAAAAATCCCAAGTAGCCAAAACAACCTTGAGAAAGAAAAATAAAGTTGGAGGCATCACATTTCTTGATTTCAAATTATATTACAAAGCAAAAGTAATCAAAACAGTATGGTACTAGCATAAAAGCACATACATAAGCCAATGGAATATAATAGAGCCTAGAAATAAATCCAAGCCTAACCAGTCAACTAATCTTGGATAAGGCCACCAAGATAATGCAGATAAGAATAGTCTCTTCAATAAATGGTACAGGGAAAACTGGATATTAACCTGCAAAAGAATGAATCTGGGCCTTATCTTACACCATACGTCAGTTCAGAATGGATTAAAGACTTAAGATGTGAAAATGTAACATTCTTAGAATAAAATATAGGGGAAAATCTCCTTGATATTGGCTCCAGCAATGATTTCATGGATATGACTCCCAAAGCACAGGCAATAAAAGGAAGAATAAACAGTGAGGTTACATCAAACTAAAAAGCTGTGCACACCAAAGGAAGCAGTCAACAAAAGGAGAAGACAGCCAATGGAATGGGAGAAAATATTTGCAGACATTATATCAGATAAAGGATTGATATCCAAAATATATAAGGAACTTATGTAACTCAATGGCAAAAAGAAACCTGTTTATAAAATCAGCAAGTGACCTAAACAAACATTTGTCCAAAGAAAACAGAAAAATGGCCAACAGGTATATGAAAAGGTGCTCAATATCATGATGTATTATTTTATACCTCACTTTTTTTTAGTTGGCATTATATTCATGAGAATTGCCCATGTTGCAGCCTGTAGCTATAGTTCTTTCATTTTCATTACTTTTCTTGCTCGTCTGTCTGCTTCCCTCCCTATATCTCTCTCCCTCAGTTTCTCTCTCCATCCCTTCTTCTGCTCCTCCCTTCCTCTCTCCATTCATCCCTTTCCCCTCCTCCTTCCCTCTTTCTTTCACACATATTTATTGCATTCTTTCCATGTGCCAGACACTGTTCTAGGTTCTGAGGACAGACACAGCAGTAAATAAAACAAGGTGAAAATCCCTGCCTTAATGGGACTTAAGTTCCAGGTGGAGACACAGATGTTAAACAAAATTATTACAATATTCATACATTAGCCATTATGAATTGTTATGCAGAAAGGAAGAGTGAAAAGGGATTAGGGGAGCCTGGTATACAGAGATGGCTTTCAACATTAGAAAGGATGGTTGGGGAAAATATAGCAGAACTTACTTATCTTTTCTTCTGCTGATAGACACTTAGTTGTTTCCTTCTGGGGCTATAATGAACAATGCTTCCATATGTCTTCTGCTGGAAAGGTGCAGAAGTATCTCTGAGGTGTATGTTCCTAGGAGTGGAATTTTTGAATTTCTTAGAAAAAGGCAAGTTGTTTTTCAGTGATAATGATTTATTCCTCTTTGCATCTTCAGTACTTAGTATAGTGCTTGGCACCAAGTTGGGCTAACACTTGCTTGAGCAAGTGGAACTTTGTTGTAGAAACGAGAATAGAGGCTGGCACTCCATACCTACTTCATCACGTTAATTGCGCTCTGCTATTTAAACGTTGACCTTGCATGGAAAGCAGAGACCAGACTTTCCTTTATTTTCTGTGCGAAAGTTCTCTTAGGAAATGCCTTCTGACATTTGTTGAGTTCATGCTGGCTGCAACCACTGGGGCTGCTAAAGCGTCTTTCACAGTAGAGGAACACTGGAGGTAGAGTCTAGCTGTTTATTGCAAGTATTTCTCACTCTCCTGTTTGAAACAATCCTCAAGGAAGCCGAGTTCTCTTTAGAGGATGTCATCCCTCCTTCCTTCTCTGCTCCTGGCTCCTAATGCTTGCCTAAAGAGTTTGCTCTTTCCAGCTTCCTCTATGGAGTCAGAAGTCTCCACTTGAACTTGCCCCTTTGAAAGTTCCTGTTGGGCTGATGTTTTGGCAAGCAGAATGTTGCACTTAAAATTGATCCTTCCTTGCTTGTAGAAAATGCATCTAAGGTACTTAGGGAATTATTTGGGGTTGGGAAGGCTTGATGCCTCATAAAATGAAGCTCTGGGCTGAAATACTGTTGAAATATGTCAAGCTCCAGAGTTGTGCCTTTACTTTCTAAATATTTCAAAAAAAAATGGGTGCTTATATCCAGTCACTTTGTGTATGAGTGTCTCACCAGGTTTTCAGTGTCCAGCCTCAGCATTTAAAATAAATTCATGTCTTATGAAGCCCTTTTATCGTTGGAAACCATTCTTCCTGGTTCACACATGTAACAGATGATTTGTGAATGTGTTTTCTGCAGTCCTTTCTGGTATATACTGAACCATTTGGTTACCAGCTAAGTTTATTAAAAATTAGGATAGAATATTCTTCCTATCAAAGGGCTCTGGAGTGTCTATTATGAGATTCCTGTCTATTTCCCTTTCTCCTCCATTATTAAAAAATTCATAATTTACATTGGTGTCATATTAATGCAAAACAACAGGTTTTATGATTTTTGCCATTTTAGTATAGTCATTCTTACATTTTGTTTCCAGCTTTTAAAAATAATTTTTGCCATCAGTTGAGTGAATAGGACAATTATGATGTCAGTAATATCTGTGTGTGTGTGTGTGTGTGTGTGTGTGTGTGTGTGTATGTGTATACAATATGTTTAGTCAACCCCATTCTAGATTTTCTCAAACAAGACAGTAAAACTAAATGGCAGTGTTCATGGGATTTATTGAGTAAATATATTTTAAGTAGATATACACGCCCAATATTAGCAATAGCAGGAAATGAAAAAGGAGTAAAAAAGAAAAAAGAAACCAACAAAACCTTGGACTGCAGTTCAGTAAAGAAAGAAAATCTTATTTATTATTTAACTGCTCTGTGATTTCAGTTTCTTCTTCTCTCCTTTTAGTTTGAATCTGGTCCAGTATCCCGGATGCCAAATGACTTTCAGGAAGGTTTCCGACACTAAATCTACAGAAATCCATTTAGCCAGAGTTGTGTGTATGGATATACAATTTTGTGCACAATATGCCTGAAATACATTCAAAATGTTATGAGGTTTGCTATTTTGGCTCCTGCGCTAATGATGCACAGCACTGATATTAAAAGCTCCACTAACAGTTATGTGGTTTTTATTTTAAAATAAATAAAACATTTTAAATCTTTCAGCTAGTAAAAATGCTACAATGTATTTGTGTCTTTTTTTAATATAAAGATAAGGTTTTAGAATAGTAAATAAAACCAAACATTTATAGGTGTTTTCAATATGCTGCTATTAAAATAATAGTAATAAAAGTAGATTTTCCTGTTTTAGAAAGAAAAAGGCATATGATCATTCCCACTAAAATGAATGGCAGTTGGCTGCATTTTCCTGTCTTGCTGATACAATTTTTCCATGCCATAAAAATATGATTAGCTTGTGCTTAAAAAAAGTTTGTCAAGTCTCCATGAAGAAAATATCCATTGAAATCTAGACTGTTTCTAACATAACACCATGTTTTTACAGTAAAAATGTGAGGAAAGGAAATACTCAAATGAACGGAAACCTTCATCCTCATTCAGCCAAACTAACTCATGGTTGGGTTCTAAGTATTTGTTAAAGGAGTAAAGAGAAAATGGGGTCTTTGTTAGAGACCCTCTAGGTCATGTTGTATTAGTCAGGTTCTCTGGAGAAACAGAACCAATAGGAGATGTATGTCTATAAAATAATATATAATAAAACTAGGATATATATAATCCTCTATATATTTATTCTTAATTATAATCTTTATATATATAAATTAATAATTGTGCCAACTTCTTACAATAAATCTTGCTCTCTCTCTATATATATGTATATATATTGCACAATTATGGAGGCTAAGTCCCAATATCTACAGTCAGCAAGCCTGAAACCCGGGAGAGCTGGTAGTTTTAGTTGAAAGGCCAACAGGCTTGAGACCCAGGAAAAGCCAATGTTTCAGTTCAAGTGTGAAGGCATGAAAGAACTGGTGTCTCAGTTTCAGATAGTCAAGCAAGAGGAGTTTCTTTTACTAACAGGAAGCTCAGTCTTTTTCTTCTATTCCGGCCTTCAACTAATTGGATGAGGGTGACCCATATGAGGGAGGACAATCTACTTTACTCAGTCTACTGATTCAAATGTGAATCTTATCCAAAAACATCCTCACAGGAACATCCATATAATGTCTGACCAAACCTCAGGGCACTCCATGGCCCAACATGTGACATAAAATGAATCATCACACGTGTAAAACTTTCCTTTTTTTTTAAGGATAGGAAGAATAAAATATAGATGGCAGGAGATTAATGACATTTACAGGAGTCTGTCTTGGAAAATTCACATCTCTTCTATGTCCTGTATTGAAAATAGATAAAAGATGGAGGAAAATGCTTTAGAGATTAGACACTTTTAGGTTTTAGAGAGAGAAGAGGGTGGGGTTCAAGCTTGCTATTGTCTTGAAAGACAATTTGGATGGGCATAGGACTGAAATTGAGTGGGCTTTCCCCGGCCTGTGCTCCGCTGCCTTTTTTATTGGAGCTTAAGTAGTAAAACTGGACAACCTGCCTTTCAATTATAAGTTGAGTTGGCAGAGAAGCGCTGTCTTCTTCTGTTTTATTTAGGCAAACCAACTTAAGAATACCAAACAATAGTTGATTAATTTTCCCCAAGGATGTCTGTAAAGCATTTAATTCAGTTCAGTCAACTTGAGTAACTACCATGTGCAGTGCACTGAGCTAGGCGTGATTGCAGGGGACATGACTCAGAGCAGACACTGGGAGAAAAGGACCTTGTCTTTTTTAATGCGAAAATGAATTTTGGGGCCTAAACTCCATTTCCAACATCATAAATTACACATTTCATACAAGAAGCAACTTTTTGAGAAGCATATTTTATCGCAAATGAATAAATAATACTAAAAGCATTTGGAAAAGCAAATGATTACTTTTCTGCAACCTTTGAAAGATTCAGATGGCACAGACTTCTTAACCTGAGTTGTGTGAAATGCAGGGTCCTACATTGTATTTAATGCCTTTCTGGACCTATTTATGGTGACTTGCCTTCCTGTTGGGGACTTGCAAATCACTTTTGAAATAAAATGTTGCATTTGTACCTGTAGAAAGATTGTCAGTGAAGGTTTATTGCAGAGCTATTTATTCCTCCCAGTTAGACAGTGAGTCACACAGGATTCTTTCAATGGGGGATCTGAGAGAACAATCACTTTTGTCAAAGGGATGTGCATCTACTACTGCTCATCTGCTTCATATGATCTTACCACACTCATAACAATTCTGGACCTGTTGCACCAGGAGGGCAACAACATCCTGAATTTTAACTCTTCTAGCAGCTCATCAGCATCATTTGCTGGAGTTTTTTTCCTATAGACCAAAAGATGTTTTTAGACATATTTCATTCATATTTGGGCAAACCACCTAATTTTCCTGGCCCCTGTTTCCTGATGTGTAAGATGAAGGGAGTTATTTTAGTACTCATTAACTTCCCTTCCAATCCTATGCTATGATTTTACAGATAATTAATGACAGCTGTACTTCTAGATTTCTACTTAGGTCATAAATTTTAGCAATATAAAAAGATATTTGTTTTTTCTTCCAAGCTGTAAAGTAGAATATTAAATATTTTTGAAATTTTGCGTTTCTCTCCCTTTATTCTTCTTCACAGTGAAACAGTGTGAGTTGAATTAATAATTGGAAGAGTGGGTGTCTGCTTGCACATCAGCATTCAGTGACCGTTACTTGGGAATCTAGATAATTTTCACTGAGAACCTTTTGCCCTTAAGTCTGTCTCTTTCTTCTTTTTTTTATATATATATATTTTTTATTATACTTTAAGTTTTAGGGTACATGTGGACAACGTGTGGGTTAGTTACATACGTATACATGTGCCATGTTGGTGTGCTGCACCCATTAACTCATCATTTAACATTAGGTATATCTCCTAATGCTATCCCTCCCCCCTCACCCCACCCCACAACAGGCCCTGGTGTGTGATGTTCCCCTTCCTGTGTCCATGTGTTCTCATTGTTCAGTTCCCACCTATGAGTGAGAACATACAGTGTTTGGTTTTTTGTCCTTGCGATAGTTTGCTGGGAATGATGGTTTCCAGCTTCATCCATGTCCCTACAAAAGACATATACTCATCATTTTTTATGGCTGCATAGTATTCCATGGTGTATATGTGCCACATTTTCTTAATCCAGTCTATCATTGTTGGACATTTGGGTTGGTTCCAAGTCTTTGCTATTGTGAATAGTGCCACAATAAACATATGTGTGCATGTGTCTTTATAGCAGCATGATTTATAATCCTTTGGGTATATACCCAGTAATGGGATTGCTGGGTCAAATGGTATTTCTAGTTCTAGATCCCTGAGGAATCGCCACACTGACTTCCACAATGGTTGAACTAGTTTACAGTCCCACCAACAGTGTAAAAGTGTTCCTATTTCTCCACATCCTCTCCAGCACCTGTTGTTTCCTGACTTTTTAATGATCGCCATTCTAACTGGTGTGAGATGATATCTCATAGTGGTTTTGATTTGCATTTCTCTGGCCAGTGATGATGAGCATTTTTTCATGTGTCTTTTGGCTGCATAAATGTCTTCTTTTGAGAAGTGTCTGTTCATATCCTTTGCCCACTTTTTGATGGGGTTTTTTTTTCTTGTAAATTTGTTTGAGTTCATTGTAGATTCTGGATATTAGCCCTTTGTCAGATGAGTAGATTGCAAAAATTTTCTCCCATTTTGTAGGTTGCCTGTTCACTCTGATGGTAGTTTCTTTTGCTGTGCAGAAGCTCTTTAGTTTAATTAGATCCCATTTGTCAATTTTGGCTTTTGTTGCCATTGCTTTTGGTGTTTTAGACATGAAGTCCTTGCCCATGCCTATGTCCTGAATGGTATTGCCTAGGTTTTCTTCTAGGGTTTTTATGGTTTCAGGTCTAACATTTAAGTCTTTAATCCATCTTGAATTAATTTTTGTATAAGGTGTAAGGAAGGGATCCAGTTTCAGTTTTCTACATATGGCTAGCCAGTTTTCCCAGCACCATTTATTAAATAGGGAATCCTTTCCCCATTTCTTGTTTTTCTCAGGTTTGTCAAAGATCAGATGGTTGTTGATATGTGGCATTATTTCTGAGGGCTCTGTTCTGTTCCATTGGTCTATATCTCTGTTTTGGTACCAGTACCCTGCTGTTTTTGTTACTATAGCCTTGTAGTATAGTTTGAAGTCAGGTAGCGTGATGCCTCCAGCTTTGTTCTTTTGGCTTAGGATTGACTTGGCAATGCAGGCTCTTTTTTGATTCCATATAAACTTTAAAGTAGTTTTTTCTAATTCTGTGAAGAAAGTCATTGGTAGCTTGATGGGGATGGCATTGAATCTATAAATTACTTTGGGCAGTATGGCCATTTTCACAATATTGATTCTTCCTACCTATGAGCATGGAATGTTCTTCCATTTGTTTGTATCCTCTTTTATTTCCTTGAGCAGTGGTTTGTAGTTCTCCTTGAAGAGGTCCTTCACATCCCTTGTAAGTTGGATTCCTAGGTATTTTATTCTCTTTGAAGCAATTGTGAATGGGAGTTCACTCATGATTTGGCTCTCTGTTTGTCTGTTATTGGTGTATAAGAATGCTTGTGATTTTTGCACATTGATTTTGTATCCTGAGACTTTGCTGAAGTTGCCTATCAGCTTAAGGAGATTTTGGGCTGAGACGATGGGGTTTTCTAGATATACAATCATGTCATCTGCAAACAGGGACAATTTGACTTCCTCTTTTCCTAATTGAATACCCTTTATTTCCTTCTCCTGCCTAATTGCCCTGGCCAGAACTTCCAACACTATGTTGAATAGGAGTGGTGAGAGAGGGCATCCCTGTCTTGTGCCAGTTTTCAAAGGGAATGCTTCCAGTTTTTGTCCATTCAGTATGATATTGGTTGTGGGTTTGTCATAGATAGCTCTTTTTATTTTAGATATGTCCCATCAATACCTAATTTATTGAGAGTTTTTAGCATGAAGCGTTGTTGAATTTTTTCAAAGGCCTTTTCTGCATCTATTGAGATAATCGTATGGTTTTTGTCGTTGGTTCTGTTTGTATGCTGGACTACATTTATTGATTTGCATATGTTGAACCAGCCTTGCATCCCAGGGATGAAGCCCACTTGATCATGGTGGATAAGTTTTTTGATGTGCTGCTGGATTCGGTTTGCCAGTATTTTATTGAGGATTTTTGCATCAATGTTCATCAGGGATATTGGTCTAAAATTCTCTTTTTTTGTTGTGTCTCTGCCAGGCTTTGGTATCAGGATGGTGCTGGCCTCATAAAATGAGTTAGGGAGGATTCCCTCTTTTTCTATTGACTGGAATAGTTTCAGAAGGAATGGTACCAGCTCCTCCTTGTACCTCTGGTAGAATTCGGCTGTGAATCCATCTGGTCCTGGACTTTTTTTGGTTGGTAAGCTATTAATTCTTGCCTCAATTTCAGAGCCTGTTATTGGTCTATTCAGAGATTCAGCTTCTTCCTGGTTTAGTCTTGGGAGGGTGTATTTGTCGAGGAATTTATCCATTTCTTCTAGATTTTCTAGTTTATTTGCATAGAGGTGTTTATAGTATTCTCTGATCGTAGTTTGTATTTCTGTGGGGTCAGTGGTGATATCCCCTTTATCACTTTTTATTGCGTCTATTTGATTCTTCTCTCTTTTCTTCCTTTTCTTCTTTATTAGTCTTGCTGTCTCTTTCTTCTTATTGTTAGAATTGTGCTTTTCTGCTGAATATACAACGAGCAAGTCTAAGATAAAGGAGGTGGCCAGGGTCTGTGACTGTTCAGCTCTATGCAAGGTACAGACCTGAGCCACCTCATCCTGTAGCAGCCCGTGTGTGTGCCAGCATTAACAGAAGTACCTTCCAGGGTGGTTTCCTGCAGCTCCACACACGGCTCGGCCTGGACTTGGGAGACCAGTTGCCCCTCAGCTGACTGAACTGTGTGTGCTGGTTCCTCTTCTGGTTTATAACTGTGCTTTAATTTTTATGAATTGAAACTGTGTCTCATGCCTGTAATCCCAGCACTTTGGGAGGCCAGGGCAGGCAGATCACCTGAGGTCGGGAGTTCGAGACCAGGCTGACCAACATGGAGAAACCCCATCTCTACTAAAAATACAAAATTAGCAGGGTGTGGTGGCACATGCCTGTAATCCCAGCTACTCCGGAGGCTGAGGCAGGAGAATTGTTTGAACCTGGGAGGCAGAGTTTGCAGTGAGCTGAGATCATGCCATTGCACTCCAGCCTGGGCAACAGAGCAAGATTCTGTCTTTAAAAAAAAAAAAAAAAAAGAAAAAAGAAACTTTAAAATGTCAATGTTTGAGCAGCTAAACATCCTTGTTCTACAAGTGGATTCTGAAATCATAAGACCTAACCATGAGTTTGACTCTGCCACTTAAGTCAATGGCCTCTAACTTTTTTTCTTTTCTAAACAATGCCGCCTCACTAGCAGTATAGAAACTGTGATAAATGGCCTCAGTTAGTCATCCTTCCTTTAAAATTATACTAGCAACAATGAAAGGGGCTTTTGTTGGGAATCTCCAAAAACTTCTAAACCTTGACCCTCCAGGGTCCTGGGAAAATGAAGAGATGTAGGATGTGAAAAGATGAAGGTGTTTGCTTTAAGATAGTCAGGTGGAAATAGGGTTAGAGAAAGTGATTTGAACCCAGTGGCTTTTCCTCTTTACAAATGTGTAAACTAAAATGATTTGACCAGGTGAGAGACATTTTCTTGGGAAATATTTTCCCAAGAAAATATCACTGTTTAATGAATTTAAATCACTGTTTAAATTCATATGAGTTGGTAGCCTGGCATTGTTAAGCAGATGACATTTCGACAGAGTTGCTGTGGGTGGGTCTGGAGTTGCCCTGGGTCCACCTCAATGCCATAAGGGAAGAGTGCTTGGAGGCTTTTGGGTGAGGTATTGTCAGTCACTGGTGGACATGTGCCTTCTCCATGGTGCTTGCTCCCATTGCAGAAGGGTTCAGCCGTGCCGTCGCAGATGCCAGTGCCCTCAGGGAGGGCAGATAAAGTGACTGCGTGCATCATCTGGGGTAGTGGTGGGGTGGTTCAGACTGTGGCAAACTAGCCCACACATGCCCCATCTCTTACCCGGTTATGAACACACAGAATTAGCCCAGAATTATCAGAGCTTCCAGGTTCCGATTTTTCAAGCAGGTCTATTAATCTGTATTCATATGTGAAATATCTAACCTTTAAATATTTAATTTTGTAAAAGACATCCACTGGGCTTAACCAAAAATGTCTGTAAGTCACCAGGTTTTTGACTTTGGGTATCAGAGCTCCTGGGTCTATCCAAAAGCCATGAACATTTACTATCTGAGTATATTTGGCATAGTCATTTAATCTTCCTGAGGCTTAGTTTTTATTTTTCAGAGTTGAAATAATGATACTTGCTCTAGAAAATTATAAGGATAAAGTCAGAGAGGGAAAATGGAAATGATTTGTAATTGCAAAGTCTTTTGGTGGTTTAAAATGTTACATGCAAGGATAAATCATGCTCAGGTATGGAGGAGCTTTAGCAGAAACATCCATCTGGTTTCTGCTAAAAAAAAAAAAAAAAAAAAAAATCTTGTTCAGGGTTCTTGTCACATACTTTACAGATGTGTTCCACTGGCCGAAAGGTGTACTGCCCTCAAATGTGCAGCAACCCACCTAACTCCTCCACTGAAATATCAAGCTGAGGCTGCTCACCAGCAGCTCCTGTCATCTTTGACTTTGAAAAAGCAGGTTGTGTCTAGATTGTGGACCAGCAGGCGTAAGGGCCTGTGTGTGCCTCCATGTGGGAATTTAGAGCCATGGCTCCAGTTCTGGGCTTTGATGGGGTGGAGATGGGCCCATGTCATGCTGGTTTTCTATTGTGGAACATTGACTCAGAAAGCAGGTTGCTTAAAGAAGGATTAGGAAGAGGACCTGGAGGCTGCAACCTATAGTCTGTCTTCTCCCTTCATGCCCTTGTCCAAGCAGCGTAAACCACAAACTCTCCCACTGCCCCATACACCCCCAAGATACCAGTATATATACCTCACCCTTTGTGACTGCTTTTCCACAGTTAAAGGAAGACCTCTCTTGATTTATGTTGAACCAGGTTTACCCCTGTAAGCGTAGAATTTTTCTTTGTTGGGAGGAGAATCAGGAAGGTTTTCAGGGAATATGTCTCACTCTGGATTTTAGAGAAGCCCTGCCAGATCCCAAACTCATCAGGCAAGGTTAATCACCTCCCCTTCCCCCAAAATTGTGTCCTGCAGTATCTGGACACATCTCTGTGATTTCACTTTTTTGTTTACTGCAGGTGTTTGTCATCCATAATAGACTAAAATCTTCAAAGGGAGACAGTACAAATGTTATTTATTTTTAATTCTGCGGCCCAGTAAGCAGCTCAATAAATGCTGGTGCAGTTGCACTGAGAGATGCTGAGCCTTCCATGTCTTTGAGTCTCAGGAGAATGTAGAGTGTCTACAAAAGCATGTGCATTCCTGTTTAGAGAACTAGAGAGAGGAGGAGGCAAGGAATATTACAGCACAAAGTTTCAAAGAATCTTGCCAATAAGATGGTCAAACCAGCTCAAAAAAATAGATTTTTCCCTTTTTTAGTGAACTTTTGAATCAAAAGGAAATGATAGGTTTAGTTTGGTAAAATAAAAGAAGGGGGAAGCTATAACAAGTCTTTTTAATGATGGTGATGTTGGCCGAAGAAGGGATTTTTATGGGAGGCATCACTCAGTTTTACAAAGGAAGGCAGTGTAGAAGTCACAGTTTGGAATTTTCTTTGTCTTCCTCAGGAAAAAAGATGTTCTTGTTAAGCAGTGACTTCTGCCAATGTCAAGCAGATAGTTTCTGTTGTTAGGGAATGCTCGGGTCACTTAATCAGATACTCTGCTTCAGCCAATCAGTACTCAGGAGTAATGTCAGTGTGCCTTGGATCTCTGCAGAGCATGAATGTGAGGTCATCGGTACAAATTAATAGTTTATCACGAGGTCCTTGACTTGTACTATCATAAATGTAGATGATTGTTAATGAACATCTGTACCACTTCCGTCAGCAACCCCACTGAAAACAAAAAAGGTAATAGCTGGAAACTTCTGAGTCATATAAACATAAAGCTGATATATAGAACTGAGCATTGTTCTTACATTCAGTATATTGCTGAGCCAGAACAAAACCCCTAAGTTCTTCTTACTTAACTCTTTAAGACTTCTGAGTGGAATTCATTTTCCCAGAAGTCCTTTGGTAGCTTTCTATTGTCTATACCTGTCATTATTATTAATTCAAAGCCATTACAAATATCCAGCAGCTCTTACAGGTGCAAAATCTGTAATAATATATGTTTTCTAAAATTCAGAAATACTTTATGAATGAATAAACTCTGCCATCTCCAGAATGGTTTATCATATAACAGTTTTGACTTAAAAATAAACTTTAATGCCTCCACTGTAAAAGTGCAGATAGATAAAATATGCTTTAACAATAGAAATGCTTATTAAGCAATAATTTACCAGGTTCTATAAAATAACTCGGGTTCAACCTAATATTCAGTGTAAGAGAAAGATATTTTTTAGGATGAAATAAATGCAAATCCTAGCAGACTTTGGATATGTACTTCATTATTTTATGTAGAAATTTACAGATAGTAGGTGCAAATATTTCTGCACTATTGAAATTAGATTAAGACTAAAAATAAACCATTTTTAAACATTCATAAACAGTGAAGAACTGAAATAAGCCAGTAGCTTCGTTATTCATGGGTATACTGGACATTTATACATGAATATAGCTCTGTTTGCTTCAAGGTAACATTTCACTCTATGCTGGTATTTAATATGTAATGGAGAGAGTGAGAGAGTAAGCCTGCCCGTGTGAGGTGCTTGTAAGCCTGTATTGAGTATTACCCTTGGGCTTTGGGCTGGAGCGTTCTGGTAGCTACCAACCTTAGGTCATTTGCTTTAAATGAAATACTAGTGCTTGTTGATGTAGGAATTGGAATTATGGAAAGTAAGAAAACAACATAAAAATGAAATTGATCTATTGGAAGCAGGATGGGTCCTCAACTAGTTGCTCATATCTCTTAGCCATTCTGACTTGAAATCTTTGTAGTCATTTTCGATTCTTGGCATTAGTTCTCAACCAGTGCAGTTTTGCCTCCCAGGGGACATCTGGTTATCCGGAGACATTTTTTGTTTTCACAATTGTGGGAGAAAAAGTGGGGAGTGCTGCTGGCATCTGGCATCTAGTGAGTAGAAGTCAGGGATGATGTTAAACATCCTAAAATACACAGGACAGCATCCACAACAAAGAATCATCCGGTCTGAAATGTTACAGCTGGGAGTCCCTGGATCAGAAAAAGCTAGCTCCAAGAAATCACATTTTGTTTCTTTCAACCTGAATTACAGAGTAGTCCAGGTTTGTCTTTAACTTATTCTGCCATGGAGATGTGTTTTCATATAAACTTGTCTCTTTTTGTGGACTTATTTATTTACTTTTATCATTTGTGTTTGCTTGCTTTGTTTTTTTCCTGTAAATGTGAAACAGATCTAGAGTTTGATTCTTTGACGAGCGCAACAGGGAATTGAAAATCACACAAACAAGAGTGTTTTCTTGGTTGTTTTTGGTTATAATAGCTTTCTGTTTTTAGTGATCAGAAAAGACAGATCCCTTTGAGTTCTGTTGTGTTAGAGGCATAAATGGATGGCCATTTTATTTTAGATTAGATGTTCCCATTCTGGTGGCTTCATATTATAAGTCTGTGATAATAAGTGAGTGTTCCTTTACTTTAAAACATGTTTTTGTTTCTTTGTGCTTGGTTTTTGGACTGCTTAGCAGAACATTTCAGTTGGCAACTGTAGCTTTTTCTTACATCTTATACTTCAACTATTTTCAAACTGGCATGCAATAACATAAGCAGAATGAAATGTATTAAGTGTGTGTTTATGTCTATTGGGAAATATGGTGTAATCTGTAGCTACTTATTCCTTTTTGTTTTAGCACAATATGCCTGTCTCATTGTACACTGTTCTAGGAGCAAATAACTAGTTTCCACAAAGAACAAGGAACCTATCAACATAGAGGTAAATTATTGGCAATTGACATTCCTGGCCTTCAAAAATACATTCTCCATTCCCTGCTTTAGTCTGCACTGTGTTTTTTTGTGTTTGATTTATATTTGTAAATGGTAAGTGAGTTTAGTGATTCATTAAATAATGTCAAAAGTAATGGTTGCCAGAGAATCTCATTCTTTTTTTTTTTTTTTTTTTTTTTTTTTGAGATGGAGTTTTGCTCTTGTTGCCCAGGCTGGAGTGCAATGGCGTGATCTTGGCTCACTGCAACCTCCACCTCCTGGGTTCAAGCAATTCTCCTGCCTCAGCTTCCTGAGTATCTGGGATTACAGGCATGAGCCACCATGCCCAGCTAATTTTTTGTAGTTTTAGTAGAGGCGGGGTTTCTCCATGTTGGTCTGGCTAATCTCAAACTCCTGACCTCAGGTGATCCACCCGCCTTGGCCTCCCAAACTGCTGGGATTACGGGCATGAGCCACTGTGCCTGGCTGAGAATCTCATTCTTAATGTATCTATTTTAGCATTAGGCTGGGTTTATCCTGAAGCACTTTCCCAGAATATGAAGGGAGGTGCCTTATGAATCTGAAAAAAGTTTTGTAGTAGAATGATAATATTCAAGTAGCTAGAGTTTATTAATGAGCAAGAAGCTATATCTTTGGAAAGTAAGAATAATATTTATGTTGTTACTGCTCAGCATATGGCAAAATTCACCAAGCAAAGAAGCAGTGGATATTAAAGGTTTGCTTAACTTAATGGCTGGTGTGGATCACTGACATTGAAGATACCTTTAAAAAGATTGATTTTTTTTTTTGGTCCTTAATAACTTGATGAAACCATAAAGTTTAGATGAGGTAGTTGGCCGCCTGAGGTTTGGGTCATTAGCTTGAATGATCATTCCCAGGTGTTTATACATCTCATTACAACAGTCATCCACCATTTTTCTGCTACTCTGATTATCTGTTTATCTGTCTGTCTTTCCCATTATTTTGTAGCTGCTCTAAGAGAGGAGGCATTTTCTGATCATCTTTGTATCCTGGGCATTCCCTAACACAGTGGTGTGAATATAGCAAAGATTAAAATTTTTTTAAAGTAAAAGCTGAGTTGAATTGAAAGAAAATAGTATCAATTATTTTGCCATAAAGGCTTTATTAAACATGAAGATTCCAGTGTCCTGAGATTTTATGTGAAATCTTCTGAGAAGCAGCCTGGATAACAATGCGTCCTAGGAGCCTGGCTTCATTTTAAACTGCCTACCATGAAATGACTTCTGACAGGCGTGGTTCACTCTTTACGGTCCGGTGACTAGCTGTGTCCCTTCCTGAGAACTCTGGGTCAGCGTGGCCTCTGACAATGTCATCCACGTCCTCGTGGCGTTAATTATCTACACCATGGTATCTGGGTTCTTCAGAGATTGGCCTCTATTGTCCCCAGGGGCAGGGGGGCATTTATTTTCTTCCCCATGTGAGTGTGAGCTTCCTGTGAGTGCCACTGTCTTATCAGAGAAGTCAGGTAATTATGGAAAGTGTCTATGTGACAGAGAGTGACCGCTTTCTATTTAGCTAGCTGCATTGCATCATCGTTCGTTGCAGCTTCTGGAAGGGATATGTTCTGGGGGACACAATCATTTTTAAGTAAATTAAAATATATTCTAGTTGTTTTTGTTCTGATTCCTATAATGAATCATTACTATGTAATGCATTTTGTGTGTGTGTGTGTGTGTGTGTGTGTGTGTGTGTGTGTGTGTCTATTTATAGATTAAGGAGGCCTTGAGGTCTAAAGATACCTTTTGATCAAATTTGTGTTCTAAAGTTGTTAAGAAAAATGAACCCAGAGGGTCTGGATAAATATTTTGCAAATGTAGTCCATTGTATTTGTCTGCCACTGTCCGTCTCCAAGGAACTCTGCCTTCCTGCTTTAATCTGTGGTCATGTTTCATCCAAACCCCATACATTATAAAAATAATCATAGGTTATTGGGGTTGATGTCCATGTTTCCTACCTGTAATTATACCCTTGTTATCTTGTTTGTTATGAAAAGATTGTTGCATATTGCAGATTGACATGGAGCTGTTCTTCTGCAGCACCTGTGGGCTTTGTTCTTTGGATTCTGGGTCCTTGTTTATGGGATGTGTGGTCATGGATGTAACACGGGAACACAGGGCTATGCAGGTGTTTCCCTTGGCTGATAGGAAGGCTGCAGTTCGTCCACAGAAATATAGATGTTAACTGGCCATCACCCATAACATAAAATGCTTCTTTATTATACTGGGAAAGTGCCTAGAGACATTCTTGGGAGAATAGAGAAATTTCTGCAACTTTCTGCCAAAAACAATCTTATACAAAAGAGATGAGTGGAGAACAGTATGTAGTTCATGTTTTGAAATAACGAATGTATTTCTTGAGATGAGACATAGCAATGTATTGAAAAAAAAATCCCCTTTCGGCAACAATTAGGATGTCGCTCCCAAGAGAGAGAGACATGATCTCAAAGAAAAACAGTGGTGCTTGTATCATGGCACCAAACAGCAAAAAGACATTGGGAGTCTGACAGATAAGCCTTGTGGTTTTGTATCAAACTGGTGGATTTTGAAACTTCTGAATTTCCTTAGAGAAAGTCTCAACACACTAACCCATAGATATGGCCTCAGGTGTGGTTCTGGAACGTGAGTGCACTAAGTGTCTGCATCATCCAGTGTGTTTAGTATTGGATCCCTCATGAGATTTTCATGACCCCCCGTGATGCTACAAGGGATCCAAAACACTTTCATAACTTGAGCAGGAAATAGCCCAATCACCATGTGTTTAAAAGGAAAGTTGACACAATTCCAGTCCATTCTGAAGCAAACACAGGTGTACTAATTCTGCAAAATAAAAATGTTAAACTTCTCCTGTCTCATCCCATAGCCCTCCAAAATAAAAAAGTTTGGTGGCTAAATTAACTCGAGATGGAATATCTTTGGATTGGATAAGTGTTTATATATGGTTTTGTCATCCATGACATGGAACATTTTGATGAAAAATAAATTATTGGACTGTTTTAGTCTTTCATGGATTCCAAGTGAGCCTGCATGTTTGCCATCAAATAGATACATGTAGATATACAGCCTTTGCCAACCTGCATTGCTTTTTAGTGGATATTAATGTGCTATTTGGGTGAGATTTAACAGTGTCACGTTCTTTAACTTTCATCTTTCCAGATCTCTTGGACTCAGTGCCTTTAGACTTACAGGTTCCTAAACACAGGTGGGAGGTTGACAAGGTAAGGGAGGAAAGCGGTGCTGTTTCTTACCTTCATGGAAACACGTAGGAAGAGGTTTTCTACCTTCTTGCTTATGTGTAACCACATTTAAGACTTACTCCCCCAGGCTGTTTTTGGCCATAGACAGTGTGGGAAGTGGATTTCTGGAGGGGAATTTGAATGTATTACTGTTGGGCTCTGTGAATAATTGGCATCCTAGAGGGACCTGGGACGCCAGATGCTGCTTCTCCCACAGGCCATAATTTGTCCATGAGTATGTGGCTTTAGAATATAGTCCATAATTCCTTATCCAGAAAATCAGTATGTCTGAGATGAAATAATGAAAGTTACGAAACACAGATGCTTCCCTCAACTAAACAATATTGCTTTACAAAAGTGCAAGAAATCATCTTTCCAAATAAGATGATTCTGGTCTGTTTATCATTGTGTGGCAGCATGTTCTAGTTACTTTTGCCACATTCCAGACAACCTTAAAAGTTAGTGACTTAAGCAACAGCCATTGTTTTATGATCTCTTTCAGTTCTTGTGGGTCAAGAATGTGGGAAGGTCTTGGTGGAGTGGATCTGGGGCCAGTCAGTGGCTGGAGCTGAGAATGGCAGAACTGGACAGGACCAGCTTTCCCTCTCTTTTGTCCTCCCTGTCTCTCTCTTCCTAGGGTGTCAGGCCTCTCTGTGTGGTCTTTCTGCATGGGCTACTTGGGCTTCCTCACAGAATTACTGTCTCAGGGCAGCCAAGCTGCTTACATGGCAGGAGAAGCTTTCAAGAGTTGCTTATTCCAGGGAAGCAGCATTGGCTTTTATGACAGCCTGGGAGGTCATGCAGTGTTACTTCTGGGCATTTTATTGGTTCCACTAGACTGAATGTTTGTGTCCCCCCAATTCATGTGTTTAAGCTCTAACCCCCAAGAGGATAATAATAGGAGGTGGGGTCTTTGGGAGGTAATTAGCGTTAAAAAAGTTCATGCGAGTGTAGCCCCCATGATGGAATCAGTGTCCTTATGAGGAGACCAGAGCTCCCCTCTCTCTGCCATGTGAGGATACAGCAAGAAGATGGGCCTCTGTAAACCAGGAGGAGGGCTCTCACTAAGAACCTAACCCTACTGGCACCCTGATCTTTAACTTCCAACCTCCAGCACTACAAGAAATAAATGTTTGTTGTTTAAGCCCCCCAGTCTATGGTATTTTGTTATAGCCCAAGTGAAATAAAGAGGCAAGTTAGAAGTGAGTGAGGAGGCTGCCTGGATCCAGGGAGGAGAATCAGACTCCCTCTCTGGATGGGGGCATGGCAAGGTCTAGGGGCCATGTGATCGTGTGTGGTCATCTTTGGTCAATATGCCATACACTGGTTTATAATTACCTAAAAACAGAGTTTTAGTCTCTGTTCCTGGATAAGCAAACCAAGAAGCCACTCTCTTTTAGTCTTTAAACAAATCTTGCACTATTTGACTCCTTTCTTTTGTAACAGGCAGATCCACAAGCCATGCTTGCCTGGGAGAAAATATCAAAGGCAACATGAAAATTAACCTCTGGGTCCGGGAGTGCTGAAGGTGCCAGAACAGGAAGGGAGGTGGTGAGCCTGAAGATCTCACAAGCTTCCCTCCTGGTGTGTGTTTCCAGACCGTCAAGGGTCCTGGCTGCTCATGGTCTATCTCAGTTGCCCAGGTGAGCAGAGTCATGGGCCTGGAGACTATCCCAGCGACACTGGTTGATGCATGGCTGGAAGGGGCATGGAAGACAGAAGGTTGGAATCCTGTGATCCACTCTTAGCTAGCCGGGTGACCCAGCAGAGGCCTCTCTCTAGATCCAGGGATTAGGAGTTACGCCAACACCAGTCATGGTTGATAGGTTCCAGTACCTGGGGACAGATGCTGCTAGCTGGTGAGCGGAGCCCACTTGCTTCCTTACATATAATTGAGGTCACACTTAAATGGGCATCATATTTGAACAGTTCACAAAAGTCATATTGGAAGCCAGTTCAATATATTGATCCATTTTACCTCGAAGCCTACTGAGTACCACATTAGGCATGTCAAATATCATTTTTAATGATCAGATCAGCAATTCTCCTACTGGCAGATTTATTGGCTATTCTTTATTATGTCATTAAAAAAAATCAACTTATTTCAAATTAAACCCTTTCCCAGGAACTTGAAAATGCATGAAAGACTAAATTCAGATAACCACTGGCTGATGCCCACCGCCCATCCTCCATCTCCCCACCCCTCACCCCCGGGCTGTGCCACAGTCAGGCCAGTCCTGCTTAGCCTGGTGCTGCCGCCATACAGTGCTACTAATGTTGGCTAGTGGGACCCTCCACTTTTCCTCTGTGATGTGTTCAGCATGCTGCCTTTCAGAGAGAAAACAGCCGTTAGGGTCAACTGGAACCATAGCAATGGGGGAAAATTGTAGCAGATTTTGCTCGTTTTATGGAATCTTCTGTCTTTGCTCTGGAAAGTTCTCCCAGAATTGAAACACTTAAGTCCTACTCAGCAGACTGTCCTGATGCAGCTGCAAGATTCTCAGACTTTGGTCTTATAAGTTAGACTCTCTTGTCTTTTGGTCTGTCTCCTTCTTTCCCTCTTTCCCTCTGCTTGTTTATGTGCTTGCGCAAGCATTAGTGGGTGCCACACAGTTGTGTGTGAATTTGTGTGGTGGGGAATATGGATGAGAGGTGGGAAAGCAAGCTAGTTTCTGTCAGATACCCGGCTCCCTCCCAGAAGTCCAGACCTTGCAATCTGGACATGGTCTTGCTCTGACCATACTCTTTGAGCTAAAATACATTCCAGATAGATGATTTCTTTTTTTGAAACAGGATCGCATTCTGTGTCCCAGGCTGGAGTGCAGTGGCATGATCTTAGCTCATTGCAACCTCCATCTCCCAGGTTCAGGCGATCCTCCTGCCTCAGCCTCCCAAGTAGCTGGGATTACAGGCATGTGCCACCATGCCTGGCTAATTTTTTGTGTTTTTAGTAGAGATGGGGCTTTGCCACGTTGGCCAGGCTGGTCTCAAACTCCTGACCTCAAGTGATCCACCCACCTCAGCCTCCCAGAGTGCTGGGATTACAGGTGTGAGGCACCACACCCAGCCCAAATAGATGAAAGGTTGAAATGCATGCACTGAAAATTGAAGAGGTACTAGAAGAACATAAGCAGAGACTTTTTTCTACTCTGGATAAGAGAAATCGGCTTAATATTAGGATATGCTGAATCATAGGAAGCGATGGATCAATTTGATCTTCTCTGTTCTTGTATGATGGAAAAAAGGAAAGAGAAATCTCCTATATGTTCATACAAGGGTAACTACATATATGCCACTCCATACCTGTGGAGTTATCCCATCTGTGACCTCTTTTCATTCAGCAGTTTCATAGACAACATTGCCATGCCAATGAGAGCATCAGGACTTCCTCGAGATGTCAGTGACAGTTTACTTGACCAATTCCATGTTATTCTTCCTCATTTCTTCACTCATATAAATGATTAGATAAACAGCTTTGAGTATAACACCTTTAGAATGTGTGCAGTTTCTTAGGTTAAATTCTGGGAAGTCTTAGGTGAAAGACTCTGCTGCGTTTACATTCAATACATGATGTGCAATTGCCCTTCATTTCCATACTACTAGAGGCTACCAAGTGCTTGAGCCCCCTCACCCTACTAATGAAGTTTCAGTCAATCTTTCCAAATCTTTTATAGTCTGACTAACAAAACAATTTCCTTTTATATTAATCATTATCATCATCGAGACAGAATATTGGTGACTCACCTAATCCTCTCCTTGGCTCATGTTTTTTTTTTTTTTTGTGGGGATGTTGTATTAGTCTATTTTCATACTGCTATAAAGAACTTCCCTGAGACTGGGTAATTTACAAAGGAAAGAGGTTTAATTAATTCACACTTCAGTATGGCTGGAGAGGCCTCAGAAAACTTACAGTCATGGCAGAAGGGGAAGCAGGCATGTCTTACATGGTGGCAGGTGAGAGAGAGCAGGGGAAACTGCCACTTATAAAAACATCAGATCTTACGAGAACTCACTCATTATCACAAGAACAACATGGGGGAAACTGCCCACATGATCCAGTCACCTCCCAGCAGGTCTCTCCCTCGACACCTGGGGATTACAATTTGAGATGAGATTTGGATGGGGACACAGAACCAAACCATATCATTCTGCTCCTGGCCCCTCCCAAATCTCTTTCCAACATTCCCCCAAAGTCTTAACCCATGTCAGCATTAATTCAAAAGTCCACAATCCAAAGTCTCATCTGAGAGAAGGAAAGTGCCTTCTACCTGTGAGCTGGTAAAATAAAACACAAATTAGTTCCTTCCAAGATACAATGGGGGTGCAGGCATTGGGTAAACATACTGGTTACAAATGGGAGAAATTGGCCAAAACAAAGGGGCTGTGGTCCCCATGCAAGTCCAAAATCCAGCAGGGGAGTCATTAAATCTTAAAGCTCCAAAATGATCTCCTTTGACTGTATGTCTCACATCTAGGGCATGCTTATGCAAGGGGTGGGCTCCCACGGCCTTGGACAGCTGCTTCACAGGCTGTCGTTGAGTGCCTGCAGCATTTCCTGGCACATGATGCAAGCTGTTGGTGGATCTACCATTCTGGGCTCTGGAGGATGATGGTCCTCTTCTCACGGCTCCACTAGGCAGTGCCCCAGTGGGGACTCTGTGTGGGGGTTCTGACTCCACATTTTCTTCAGACTGCCCTAGCAGAGGTTCTCCATAAGGGCTTCACCCCTACAGCAAACTTCTCTCTGGACATCCAGGCATTTCCAAACATCCTCTGAAATCTAAGAGGATGATCCCAAACCTCACTTCTTGGCTTCTCTGCACCCACAGGCTCAGTATTGTGTGGAAGTCGACAAGGCCTGGGGCTTGCACTCTCTGAAGCAGTGGCTCGAGCTGTACCTTGACCCCTTTTAACCGCAGCTGGAGCTGGAGTGGCTGGGATGCAGGGCACCAAATCTTGGGGCTGCACAGAGCAGCTGGGCCCTGGGCCTGGTCCACAAAATAATGTTTTCCTCCTAGTCCTCCAGGCCTGTGATGGGAGGGACTGCGGTGAAAGTCCTTGACCTGCTCTGGAGACATTTTCCCCATTGTCTGGGAGGTTAATATTTGACTCCTTGTTACTTATGAATTTCTCTTCCAGAAAATGGGTTTTTCTTTTCTACCACATGGCCAGGCTGCAAATTTTCCAAACTTTTATGCTCTGCTTCCCTTTTAACCATAAGTTCCAATTTCAGACCATTTCTCTCAAGTTCAAAGTTCCACAGATCTCTAGGGCAGGGGCAAAGTGCCACCAGTCTCTTTGCTGAAGCATAGCAAGTGTGACCTTTGCTCTAGTTTCCAGTAAACTCTCATCTTCATCTGAGACCACCTCAGCCTGGACTTCATTGTCTACATCACTATCAGCATTTTGGTCAAAACCATTCAAGTCTCTAGCAAGTTCCACAGATGACCACATCTTTCTTTCTCTTTCTGGGCTCTCCAAACTGTTCAAACCCTCTGCCCATTACCCAATTTCAAAGCTGCTTCCACATTTTCAGGTTACCTTTATAAAAGTACCCCACTCCTGGTACCAGTTTACTGTATTAGTCCATTTTCACACTGCTATAAAGAAATTCCCTGAGACTGGGTAATTTACAAAGGAAAGAGTTTCAATTGACTCACACTTCGGTATGGCTGTAGAGGCCTCAGGAAACTTACAGTCATGGTGGAAGGGTAAGCAGGCATGTCTTACATGGCAGCAGGCAGGAGAGAGCAGGGGAAACTGCCAATCACATACTATTACAAATTAGTTGTGTGGAGTTGTTAACACAGGTGCAGCAAAGCTTCAATTGGTATCCCTTTCAACTACTCTGCTGCCTGGTACTGCAAATAATTTATGATTTATAATTTATAATTAATTATTAAGAATTAAAATTTCTGTTAACTTCTCCTTAACTTAAAATGCAGATCTGTTTAAGCAGTGCAGTTTGGGAGATAGAAGGATTGCTCTCTGTGAAGTCTGAGAGCCTCCAACACATTCTATAAGAAGGGGACACATTTGTAATTTGCATTAGATGAAAGGAAAGACAGAAATGTACACTGAGACCAAACCATGAACCTAATTGTAATGCATGGTTACTCATTGTCCATGCTTGTAGGGAGAGATGAATCCAATTAAATGAGTCATATAAAAGATAAGATTTAGAAATGATGACAAATAAGAGTCATGTTTGTTCCAGGGATAGAAGAGCTACCTACTTACATGGAAAATTCATCACCTTAACACACCTCAAAGGTATTTTGCAGAGCAAAGAGAATGAACCGTTCAAAATTAAAAGTTAAATTTCAAAAGTGCCAACAGTCATCGTTAGCTAACTCACTTTACTATAAACATAGTAGTTTAAATAACATTTTCAATCACATTTTTCTTTGGGGTTTTAGTAGAGAAGCTCATGATTGTATGCCTGAGCTATGTTTATAGGAAGAAGGGAAATTTATACTCATTTTTCTTCTATCCAAGGCTCAGATACCATTAACTCTAACTCCATCAAGTTGCTAGCTGTGCCTAATGAATCCTGATGCCTTGTTAAAAGTGATATAGTTTTATGTTAGAGTTGTATCATATTAAATATTTTTTCAGACCCATTGGTATGCATTACACATGAGCATGTATCTTATTAAACGCAAATCAAATTCTTGTTCAAGGCTGGTCACACAAATGTGATCTTGTTTTTAATTGTTAAATGCCAGTGAATGGCTATTCCTGGAGGAAGCTTCCCTTTGGCTTATTTTAAAGTAGATGATGTAAAAATGATTAACTTAGGAATCAAGAAAATATGTGAAACTACAAGGCCTGGAGCCAGTCTCCTTAGTGAGAGCCCAATAAGCCCTTAAAAATATGTGCTGTCATTGCAAAGCTCATTTTTCCAAGTTGGGCTCCAATATTTGGCTAAGAACTTTCTTTTCTTTCCATGTTTGCTCTACACAGAATCTGGGGGGTATTAAGATTGATGAGGGAATCAGAGCTTGAGGTTTGGGAGCCAGCGTTAGCACTTCTGGGTGATGACAAATCATGTCTTAACTCCCTCCCTTTTAAAAAGTTTCTCCCCTCCCCTCCCCTCCCCCCTCCCCCTTGTCTTCTTTCTCTCTCTCTCCCCCCTCACCTCCCCCTCCACCTCCCTCTCCATCTCTCTCTTTCTCCCTCTCTGTTTCTCTTCCCCTCCCTTTCTCAATCTCTTTCTCAATATCTCTTGCCCCCTCCTTTTCTTTCCCAAAGCACAAAGTGATGGGTTGGAATGGAAACATATAACTTTCATGAAGTGTTCCCTACTTTAACCTCTGGGTGGAAAGCTGAAAACAAGGTTATTACTTTTGGACACTTTACCAAGAAGCTATGATGGAGAAACCTCTTATTACTACCCCTGGTTGAACCAGATCTCTAGCTCATGTTTCAAAAAACTACTCAGAATTCCATCTAAAGTGAAAACAATGAAGAATTGTCTACAGTCCAGGGATAGCACCATTACACATATTGAATTTACTTTCTAAATAACTGAGTCTTGCAGCTCTCAATCTAAACTACACATAGAAGTCAGGCTAAACTGTCAAATCAGTTCATGACTGTAAATCATCCTGGTAAAAACACTTTAAAAATTTCATGAAGAGAGCTATCTGGAGAATTTTAATAGAATAGAGACCGTTTAAATTTTCTTTTTAGTCATTTATCTGGTTAACGTTTACACCTGAGAATAGGTTGCCAAGACAGACCTTTAGGGAGATTTCGAGAGGTATCTCAAGTTCTATCTGTTTCTCTCCATCTCCACAGTCATTACCTGTGCCAAGCCACCATCATCTCCCACTGCAATGGCTTCTTTCACCTCCCTGATATTTCCTTCTGAACCTCAGTGGCCCGTTCATTACTCAGCAGCTAGCTTCATCTTTCATAACTAAAACCTGCCATTTGTCCTGCTGGAAAATCCGCCTGTGACTTCTACATTCATATGGACTACAGACACAATCTCTGTTGCTCCTTTTGGGTCTTGCATGATTCATCTCTTCCCAGTATCTCCCCACTTACTGGAATGCACCTGGCTGATGCTAAGATCAGGGCCTTTTTGTATTTCAAATCCTTGGCCTAGAATGGGCTTGCTTCTTCACTCTGCAGGGCTGACTCCTTCTCATTCCTTAGGTCTCAGCCCAAAGGTCCACAACTCAGCAAAGCCTTTTACTATGACCCCTTTATCTAAGGAGGCCTCTCTTTCATTGAGTAGTATCCTATGCATTTTCTCCAGGCACCAGGCAGGATTTGAAATTCCATGTTTATTTATTTTTGTTTCCTAATTATGTACTCTGTGTCTCTGAAGGTGGGAATCCGGTTTCCTTTGCTCATTATTGCAAACCTCAGCTTGGGCATTGTGTCTGAGACAGAGTATGTGTAGTTATCGTTCAAGAGTCCTGTGAGTTATGTATGAGTCTTGTCCCCCTTTTATAGATGAAGAAACTAAGGTACCTCAAATTTAAATAATTTTCTTAGGGTCCCAAAGCTATTAAGAGATGAAAACACTATTTGTTTTAACATAGATTGGATGAAACAATGAATGAATTGATGAATGTATTTTTATTCATCCAGCATGTGCCCTCTAGAGATAATAGTTTTAAAGATTAAAAAAGAAAATCTTAAAATGGGTCAAATAAAAGAAAAAGTCATTAAATAGGATATTTTTCTAGCTAAGGTGAAGGCTCTTCACATCCTTTAATTTCTCCATCCCCAGCTGTTTAGCATATGTTTTTGTTTTTCAAACTTTTTTTTTGGTTGTTGTTCCTAAAAACTCTCTGAATTCTGGGATCCTTGACAAAACCTCACTGTTATGCCAGGTTGAAACTCAGCCACCCTTATTTGCTCATTTTGCATCAGATTTAATGTCCAGCAGAGGCAAAACTGAGGTCACTGAGGTAAAACTAGACTTTTACTTTACAGCATTATGTCTGGTGTACAGTTGAATCCAAAGATTTATTGCTCAATGGTGGTAGATTGTGGAGACACTGTCTGGTGATTTATTTACTGTCAGAACTGAATGGTCATGTTTTTAACATGAATGCTGTTATTCCCAAAATAAGCTATCACTCTGAAATATTTTAGGCTGATTTTACTGCACATTGTAAATTACTGATGTGTAAATCAGTGACTTCACTCATCACACAGAGAAACTGTGGCACATGGCAAAAGCTATGTTGTAATTTTTTTTTTTTTTTTTTGAGATGGAGTTTCGCTCTTCATTGTCCAGGCTGGAGTGCAGTGGCACGATCTCGGGTCACTGCAACCTCTGCCTCCCAGGTTCAAGCGATTCTCCTGTCTCAGCCTCCTGAGTAGCTGGGGTTACAGGCTCCCACCACCACGTCTGGCTAATTTTTGTATTTTTAGTAGAGACAGGGTTTCAGCATGTTGGCTAGGCTGGTCTCAAACTCCTGACCTCAAGGGATCTGCCCACCTTGGCTTCCCAAAGTGCTGGGATTATAGGCGTGAGCCACCGCGCCCGGCCGCCATGTTGTAATTTTGACTCATTAACAGGTTGTATGAAATCGGGATATTTGTATTTAACTTTCTTCCCAATTGTAATGTGTATCTCTGACTTCTCTAGATGATCTGTTTCCATGCAGGTTATGGTAAAATTATTAAACTATGAGTTTTTGAAGGTCTATACAATTAGATCCTTACTTTGTTCAAACTGTGAAGATTTTAATCCAACCTCTTTCTTTTTTTAAAACTCAACTTATTTTTGTGTTCCTTCTAACACAGCTAATCTGTTTTCTTTATGTAGAAATCAGTGAGCTACTGTGGATCACAGAAGCCCTTTTCCTGAGAAATTTCAGATGATTTCTTGTTGTTGTAACTAATAGAATGACGTACAAAGTATGCTAACTGAGAAAGAAAGGTGGATATACAAGAGGAAGAATAGCGAGAAACTCCATGCTCCTGACCCAGCGTCTAGTAACTTTGGGTATTAGTAAGCAAACCATTTGTTGTCTGTATTTCTGCCTGGACACTGTGGATGCAGTGAGGGGTACATCATGCTGTATATTTGATATGGTTTGGATTTCTGTCCCCGCCCAAATCTCATGTTGATTTGTAATCCCCAATGTTGGAGGAGGAGACTTGTGGGGGATGATTGAATCTCGGGGGTGGATTTCCCCCGGCTTTTCTCATGATAGTGAGTTCTTACAAGATCTGGTTGTTTAAAAGTATGTAGTGCCTCCTCCTCCTCTCTCTTCCTCCTTCTCCAGCCAGGCAAGTTGTGCCTGCTTCCCCTTTGTCTTCGGCCGTGATTGTAAGTTTCCCGAGGCTTCCCCGGCTATGCTTCCTATACAGCCTGCAGAACTGTAAACCCACTAAACCTCTTTTCTTTATAAACTACCCAGCTTCAAGTATTTCTTTATAGTAGTGCGAGAAGGGACTAATACAGTATTTGTGCATAAAAAGTCTTGATGAATTGCATGATTTATTTTTCTATTCTTCAAATCAGAAGAAAAGGCTTTGGAAGTTATTATCTTAAGAAGCTTAAAAGAGAGGGTACCTTGGTGGGGTAACATCAGGCCATGCATTGATGTTTTTGTTTTCTGGATTCCCCTGTTGGTTTTCCAATCCAGCCATGGCATAGCCAGCGTGTCCTCAATGTCATCATCAGAGGTGATGATGCACAAATGAGATTCAGGCAGTGGCTGTGGAACACTATGGGTCCACATGCTTCAGTGGCTTCTCCATCTGCTCTGCAGCTCATGAATGTTGCTGTGAATAATTGCCTTCACTTGATCCTCTGTGTTTCTAAAAACAATGAAGGTTGGGACTTCATTCACCATCCCATGTTCCTACCATGTTTTTTCTTAAAAGAATGATCTTTGTTTTCAATCTCTCTTAAGATATCTTTGACCTTGGGAGTAAATGGTGTTAGGAAGATATGCTTGGAAGAGGGAAGTGGGAGAGAGAAGAGCTATGGAGTAATGGACAGACTGGGCCACGTTTACTCCTCTGAACACTTGAGAAAATCATCCTAGGTGCCACCTGGAATTTATCTGCTGCCTCATCTGTCCAATCACAAATTCCTTGTGTTTCTACTGGATTTACATCTCTTGGATTTATTGATTTATTTTCAACCATCATTGCTACCTCCATAACAGCTTTCTAACCAGACTCGCTGCCTCTACTTTTACTACCTCCAGTCCCTTCTCTAAGCTTGACCTAGCTTTCTGCAATCTGATATGCCAGTCTGCTTGTTATAATCCTTCAAAGATTCCTCACTGCTCTCTGGATAGAGTTCAAGTTCCCTACCATGGTCTGCAAGACTTCAAGTTTCACCTCTACCTCCCACCTCCTTTTTCTCTTTTATCTGTCTTCTCTAGCCCTAGTAAATAATCTGTGGTTGTTGAATGCTCAATGTTCCCTTTTGCTTCTGGGCCTCTCATTCTCCTTGGGATGCCCATTTTCTATTGTGTAACTTTCCAGACCACCTTATTGCCCCCAATCAGGTCTGAGCAACTTGCCTTTATTTATAGCCACTGTAGTGGTGATTACAGTGATCAGATTAGTCCTCCCCTGGACTGTGGATGTGTTGAGAGGCGTTGAGAGCAGAGATGATGCCACTGTTAGGTTCCCAGCTCCTAAGTCCTGCTCGATAAAGCAGGAACTAGATCAATATAAATTACTGAGTCACATAGCTTTATTGGGGAAAATGCTTCTAGTTAACCTAAAAGTTGTATTATTATTTTATGTTCTGTCTCTTTTTCCTTTCTATTTTTATAGGATGAAGAATTCTTTATAAAGAAGGCAGATTTTTAGTTGTGTAAATAACAAGTCTAGGACCACAAGGACCACAGCTTGCCCTTTTTATTCCCATAGTATTTCATAAATTCAGGTCTGCATCTCCTCAGACTTGAATGATTACAATTCCATTTTGCCCATGGGTGGTAGCAGATTGTGACAGTTTTTCATTAAGAGTGGAGAATTTAGGCCAGGCGCAGTGGCTCACACCTGTAATCCCAGCACTTTGGGAGGCCGAGGCGGGTGGATCACGAGGTCAGGAGATGGAGACCATCCTGGCTAACATGGTGAAACTCTGTCTCTACTAAAAATACAAAAAGTTAGCTGGGCATGGTGGCGGGCGCCTGTAGTCCCAGCTACTCGGGAGGCTGAGGCAGGAGAATGGTGTGAATCCGGGAGGTGGAGCTTGCAGTGAGCTGTGATCGCACCACTGCACTCCAGCCTGGGCAACAGAGTGAGACTCTGTCTCAAAAAAAAAAAAAAAGACTGGAGAATTTTACCATGGGGCTAGGCATTCAAGTAGAAATTGCACCTTATAAAATGAAAATAATATTCTTGTTAAAGGTTTGGGCACCTAGGAAGGCTGAGGGTAAATGGAAGGCCTAGGACCAAAGCCCGAGTCGAGAAGTGGCAGCTTCCATTTTTCTCCCACAATTGGCAGGGACAGGAGCTCAAATAACATCAGTCCCCTCTGCCCCAGATCTTGTGATGTGAGTCTTGAAATTTGTGAGGAATAAGGTTGGCCTCTTATTATTTATTTATTTACTTTTGAGATGGAGTCTTGCTCTGTCACCAGGCTGGAGTGCAGTGTCACGATCTTGGCTCACTGCAACCTCCACCTCCCGGGTTCAAGCGATTCTTCTGCCTCAGCCTCCTGAGTAGCTAGGACTACAGGCACGCACCACCACACCCAGCTAATTCTTTGTATTTTTAGTAGAGATGGGGTTTCACCATGTTGGCCAGGATGGTCTTGATCTCTTGACCTTGTGATCCGCCCGCCTTGGCCTCCTGAAGTTCTGGGATTACAGGTGTGAGCCACCGTGCCCGAGGTTGGCCACATCTTTAGCCATCTGGCTACTGTGGTAGGAGGGTCACTCTAAATCCCACTACACTGAAGCATCTCAGAGACACATAATAACCTTTGAGCTGAACAAGTCTACATTGGACACCTACTGTGTTCATGCTCTGAGGAAATGAGGCTCAGAGAACTTAAGTCTCTTACCTGCAAAATTCTAGAACGTGGCCTAGGATTTAGGCCTTCTATCTGTCCATCCTCTGCCCCAGTTTTATATTCTTCACCCACAAACTTGATAGGTCATCTGTTTAACTTTTGATGGAACAGCAGCAGCATGGAGATGAGTTTTGGAGTGAGATGCACCTGGCTCTGGGATACAGTTGCCCAGGGATCATGGGCAATTTAAGTTCCTGCGCTCCAGTTCTCTCACCTTGAAAATAGAGAGCTTAGCCCATAAGCTCATTGTGAAGATTTAATGTCAGATTATATATATAAAGTGCCAACTACACAGCTTGACGCCATCACAAATATTCTTTTTTTTCTATAGAGTGCCTGACACCTACACTATTTTGCAGTTTAAGTTCAGGCTTTCCATTTTAAATGTGAGTACTGCTGACAGCCTCATGGAAATGTTGTGCCATTTGTCCCTAAGTGTGTTTTATAATAACGGATTTGAAGACCGGGCTTATCAGAGGGAGGAGAAGATTTGTATACACATCTAGTCCGGACCTTTAGTTTTTGGAGTTGTTTGTTTTCTGTATAAATTTAAAATGGAAAATTATGCTCCTAACCTTTAGGTCACACAGAGAAAAGAAGTTTTATTAGTGAGAGGTCATTATTTGAAGTGTATAATGGATAGTCTGTTTACCTCAGATTTTAGCCTCGAGCTAAAATTTTGTTTGTACTTGTAAATGAATAGCAAAAAGAGTAGTGATGAAAGACAGAGTCCAGGATAAGATGCGTATCACACACAAGGGAAGTATGATCAGCTGTAGGCTGCTGTATGGTTAGGCATTTGGTTGAATACTGGGAAATACTTAAGGCGAGGCAGTAAAACGATTCTCCTGATAGAGTACCAGTCCTAGAAAACATTTGAAATTTTAGAGCCTTTAAAGTGAAAAGTGGACAGACTGAAGCCAGTTAGCTTTACAGGGATCAGCTGGTGAATATTTGCTTGACATTTTGTTCCCTGCGTGCCCCTTCCTCCCTCTCACTTCCTCTGGATTGTTTCTGCTAGTTGCCTCTCCTTTAGAAATAAGCAGGCCTGGGCAGGGTGCAGTGGCTCACACCTATAATCCCAACACTTTGGGAGGCCGAGGCAGGTGGATCACCTGAGGTCAGGAGTTCAAGACCTGCCTGGCCAACATTGTGAGACTCCAGCTCTACTAAAAATACAAAAATTAGCCAGGTGTGGTGGTGGGTACCTGTAATCCCAGCTTCTAGGGAGGCTGAGGCAGGAGAATTGCTTGAACCCAGGAGGCGGAGGCTAGAGTGATCTGAGATCGCCCCACTGCACTCTAGTCTGGGCGACAGAGGTAGACTCCATCTCAAAAAAGAAATAAGCAGGCCTTAGTCTTTCTCTGCTTGGTGTGGAATTCTCATTAAGTTTGCTGGTGCAAAGATTTAGATTAGCACTTAATAGCTGATTTTCCTAGCTTTTATAAAAAGCTAAATAGTTTAAGAGATAGACATAAAAATGTACAGGTTTTTTGTTTTAAATTTGTTTAATTTGTGTAACAAATATTTTTTATCCCTTTTTGGAGTTGGTGAATTTGTTCTCTTTTTGCTGAATATATGCTATTTCTCTGTGCTAATTGGCAACTCACTATGGATGGCACTATATACTCCAGAGAAAAATTCAGTGTATGTAACTACGTCTTGGGCACTATCCAATGAAATTTAGTTATTTTCATATTCAATACCAACCTTGGAAGGTAACCCCAAAGAAATGTTTATAATTAGTTTGAACCATATGACAGTGTTGATTTTGAACCTTTTTAACCTATGAAAATGGCAATTTCTTATGGTTCAACATTATACTAAAGATTCATTCTACTCATTTCTTTCCTTAGACTAAATGACTTTGTCCAGTGCTCACAATATGTTCTATATACATTAGACACTTAGTATTTATTTGTTGGTGGAGTTTATTTGAGTGATTAATTGGGTAAGTTTTTAAGGCATTTGCCTCCACTGCTACACCATGCAATGAAAGGGAAATATTGTCCTTTTGAATGAGGTTGAGAAGGCTAAACAGGAGGTTTCACATCTTGGTTTTCCAGGCTTTTCATTGAACGTGGAGGGCGGACATATGGTGGGTCAGAGAGGTCAAGAATTTGGTAAGGCATTTGAAAAGAAAACAGTTGAAAAGGTTAAAAGTGTATCTGTTCTGATCTTGGGCGGTCCACGCTAGAAAACTACTCTTTGAAATGGTGTTTCCATTTCTTACGCGGTGGTAAGGGAGGTATATTTTGCGTGAATGATGGGAGTACCCATTGGCCTCTCACCAGACAGTCTGAATTCCTGATGTGTGTCGCCCAGGGCTAGAAACAGGAGCATGACTGCTACTCCCAGCTCACACTGGGGATGGAGGTGGGAGATAGTGGGCTTGTCCTTGGTATTGGAGCTGCAGTACGGCTTCAGAGACCTGAAGAGGCTGCTGCTAGAGAAGGGGCCAGTCCAAAATAGAGACTCACAGACTGCTTTGGAAATGTTCCGGGAATCAGGTTTTCAGAGTTATAGACTGGCTCTTTGCGTATAACCTGTACCAGTGACATACTATATACTCCAGCTATTGCTGACAACAATATCAGAATGACCTCTCTTCTTTGCATGTTGCAGAAGTTCCTGATTGCAGGAGAAACGCTGTCTTCTCTCTGATTCTCTGTGTGTCCATTCCCATTGCTAAGTTTAGCTGCCTTGCTATGATCCTCTGTGCATCTGTCATAGTGATGTGGAATCCTAGTCAGTCTTACATTTAAAAATATATACCTGTATGTGACAAGAGGTTCACCCTGACCTTTTTGCTTTTGTTTCCCAGTATCTAGAACATTGCCATCAGCAGCAGTAAACTTCTCCCATGGGCTCCACGTGTAGTCTTTTCGCCAGCTGCAGTGTGTACAAGACTATGATCCCAGGGCATGTAAGAAGATAGGAATGCAGTGCAGTGAGAAAATATACATAAAAACAAATTGGTATAATCCCAAGAGTACTATAAGTGTCAGTTGTGATTATTACTACGTTAAGTGCCAAATGACTGTAAATGGTACAACATTCCAAGTGGGGAAGGGATCTCAGAGACCCAGAAAGGCTGCTGTGGAGGAGTTGAAAATGGATCGGGAGGGGAAGAGATGTAATTCGAAGCTTGGAAGAGTTGGAACAGGGGTATGAAGCAGTGCTGCATGTGACGAGTGTGGGGAATTGCAGGCAGACCAGATCGGCTGAGGTACAGGGAGGAAAGAAGCACCTGGAGAGATCTGGCCTGAATTCTTTAATTTGATAATTAATTCAGAATAAATTATTTAGATTGCAGGCTGAGGGAGGGATTTAATTTTGAAGTATTATACAACTGTATTAATCTGCACTCTTGCAACAGTATTACTAGGTAACATTTGTTGAGCACTTACTATGTGCCAAGCTTCCAACTAGGTGCTTTACATGTGTTAATTCATAGAAAATCTGGGATACCATTTTATAAATAAGAACACTGAGGCAGAGAGTTAAGCATCTTTCCAAAGTCAAGCAAATGAATAGTAGCAAAAAGATGTAAATCGAAGTGCATTGACTCCAGCATCTGGGCTTTTCATCCAAGGCTACAGTAAAAATCTAAGGAGATGATGTGGTGTGGTGGTGAGGTCTCTGATGCCTGGAGCTTTTTCTTACAAGCTCTGGGACAGTTATACAGTCCTTACCTTAGTTTCTTCATGAGGTCAATGAGAGTAGTCCCAGGGGTCCTATCTCAGCAGGTAGATGGGATTTGGTGAAATAACATGAAATAACAAGATCGCAGAACACACTCATTAGGGCTGCTGTAAGAGTTAAGGGGACATCGCAGTCCTAATCCTCTTGCATGACAGAAGGGAAAAATGGAGACTTACAGATATTAAGGGGTTTGTTCAAGTACACAGTTGGAATTAGAATGAAGCACTCTTGTCTGTAAAATCAAGGACTGTTGACTCAACTGCATTAAACCAGTTAAATCAGAATGAATGGTCATGCCAAAACCGGGCTAAGGTATGCTTCTGAAATAACTAAGAAAAAGGCATTTTTAAAGTACATTCTGTCTTTAGATTAAAAAAGCATGGTATAATTCATTTTTGTGTGGTATGTATAGAGTCTTTTTTGTTTTTAATAGATGAGTAATTATTCAGCACTAATTCTTGTCTCCTTTTTTTATATGGGTTTTCTTCACATTAAAATAAAAATAAATGTCAACTCAGAATTTAGGTAGGCCAAGGCAGGAGGGATTGCTTGAGCCCAGGAGTTCAAGACAAGCCTGGGTAACATAGTGGGACCCTGTCTCCACAAAAATAAGTAAGAATTTGGTAAGGCACTTGAAAAGTAAATGCTTGAATTAAATTAAGAAAAAAATTTACAAAGTTGTGCATACCATATATTCCTATTCCAAACCCACAAGGGCAGTGCCTGCCTGAACCAGAGTAAAAGACTGACTTTATTTCCCCTACATTCTGGGCACAGAATCCCCAAGGCGGGGAGAAGGGCTGAAGGTTGAGTTGATCACCAATGGCTAATGATGAAATCAATCATGCCTATGTAATGAAGCCTCCATAAGACTCAAAAGGACAGGGCTAGGAGAGCTTCCAGAAAGCTGAATGCATGGAACTTCCTGGAGGGTGGTGCACCCAGAGAGGGCATGGACGCTCCATGCCCCTTCCCACATACCTCGCCCTGTGCATCTCTTCATCTCTATCCTTTGCAATATCCTTTATAGTAAGCCAGTAAACCTAAGTAAGTGTTTGCCTAAGTTCTGTGAATTATCCTAGTAAATTAATCAAACCCAAGGAGGAGGTCATGGAAACCTCATTTTGTAGCCAGTTGATTAGAAGTATGAGTGGGCTGGACATGTGATTGGCATCTAAAGTGGGGGCAGCCTTGTGGGACTGAGCCCTTAACCTGTGAAATCTGACACTATCTTTAGGTAGATAGCATCAGAATTGAATTGAATTCTAGGATACCCAGCTGGAGAATCTGCTGCAGAATTGATTGCTTGCTTGCTTGTTGGTGGGGAGAAACCACCATCCGCACACATTTTGGTGACCAGAAGTCACAGAAGCAACTGTGTTGTATTGAGAGCAGAGAATAAAAATACAGCAATTTGGTTTTGCCTCTATTTCCTATATGTTAAAATGGGTGCCAGGGACAGGAGGGAAAATACTTAGGCCCAAATACTTGATTGCATCTCATTTTTATAAAAGATATATAAATCTTGAAGCCAGTAAGCTTATTCTGCCTGTCCCAAACCATATATGTGAAAATATCTCTCTAGATAATATCATTTTGTAAAAAAAAAAAAAAAAAAAAAAAATCTGAAATGCCTGAAATTCTTTTAATTTCAACGAGTTGAAGGCCTACAAATTACGTTCCAACACAGTTTTACAAGAAGGCGTGTGAAGAAGGCCTAGAGCAGAGAAAGATTTTAATGTGTAGATTGAAAGCTTCAATCCCTGGCCCTGTTCTTCCTTTAGACTAGAGGGAAAAGTAGTTCGAATGTTCCCTTCACCTTTATGGATGAAGTGATGCCTTCATGCTAGAAGAGTTTGGGAAAAGAATTCTCAGGAATTTTACAATTATTAATCAAGTCTCAGTACATCAAGAAAAAGAATGAGAAAAGGAATAACAGCTATCCCTGGACTATTTGATCTATTCTGGCTCAAAGGCAAAGCTATTATATTTTCAAAAGAGAAGAGAGATTAGCTCCTAAGTTGTTATATTCAAGAACTATTCCAGTTTCAGGCAAGATTTATTTTGCTTAATGTATCTCCTTTTATAGAAGCCAGACCTTTCCCTTCACTGGCTGCTGCAAACCTTAACTTAGGTTATGACCGCAATTTATATGATAAAAGGGCTGTAAATGCAAAATTTAGGGGGAGTGATTTTTTAAAAAATGCATAAAGCTTTGAAAAATACATCATAGATTATAGGTGGAAGCTGAATTAAAGTTTTTCAAAGAGGAAAGAGACCTACCAGGTCATCTGTTTATTACCCAGAGTACATTAAACTGTTTTCCAGCCTTATCAGATTCATCATGTGGCTAAGTATAATGCTTCTTATTTCTACTTGGTTGTGCTTATTTAAAACATTACAATCCATCACTCTCAAAATTATTACTTTATACTTATTCAACCTTTCATAGAGTCAGTCTAAAATTAAAAAATGCTCTTTTCATATGGAAAAAAGTGTCTTACTTTAGGATGAAGATTTTTTTTCCCTTGAATTTGAGATACACCTTTGGTTAAGCATAAAATTGCTGCAGTTCCAACGTTTACCACCAGGTGCAGCAGACAGACTGTCTTTTCTGGGTTCACATAACTGAGAAAGAAGTCCAGTGGTAGGGTGGGTGTTGGGACCCATTAACTGGTAATGGCTCAGTGATATCCTTACCTGATTTTTTTTGTCATTGTTTTGCCATGTGCATTTTTATTGAAATTGTTGACTCTCCTTTGTAATACAGTATGGCGTCCAACAAGGCCTATGGTTATATCCAGAGAGAGAGAAAGAGAGCACGCATCTCTTTCTTTACCAATGAATAACTTTGATCATTTATCTGCCCCTCACTCCCCCTCCTTGTCTTCCTGAGCAATCACTGGGCAATGAGGATGGGTCTGTGTTGATGGGCTTAGGGTAAATAGAGCTCCTTGATAGAATAGAGGTGACATCAGTCTCACCCAACCATGTGGCAGCAACACAAAGTTAGGGATGAAATGGATTCAGAATTGAGGGCAATTGCTGCATTCAGTGTACTCTCGTAGCTCCTCCTTCCTACAAATTGTAGTAGTAGAAAGATTCTGGTTATCTGTGAGGTACTCTGTAGCTGCCATTTATACTTTCTCTGTTTCTCTGTGCTCAGAGATGCCTACTGGTGGACGTGATCACTTTTACTCCTGTTAAATAGAATTGCAGCTTCCCACCATGGGCCAAAGGAAGCCTCCTGCTGCAAGGACAGTGGAAGAGACAGGGAGGAAAATAATGATGCTCTTAGGGGACATAGCAGGTAATAAAATTGGGACCTTCATTTGGGGACTAAGAAGATCATATTAGATTCTCAAGTTCAAGTCACACCCCAAAGAGAAGAGACAGCAGTGAAATAATCCAGCTATGCTTTGGTGGCTGAAATACACATATGTGGATATGTGTGTGTGTTTGTATGTGTGTGTATGTGTGTATGCATATATATATTTATGTGTGTGTGTACATGTTACAAACAGAAAATTTCAATTTAGGAAGAGAAAGTTGGCTAAAAACCCTATCTTATCCATTCTTCCACTTAGCTTTTAGGTCTTTTTGGATCATGGTTTGGGATTGTAAAGTGGTTTGTAGTTTTGCTAGAAGGCTGACGACATTTTGGGCAGAGAGAAGTGAAGAATGTGAGTGTGGAAAGCTGAAATGGGTCTTGAAGATGATCTCCTCCAGTTTTCCTTTCCCCAATCAGAGGTACAGAAATAGATGTTGAGAAGCATTAAGGTAGCTTACTCAGGGCTCCCCCAGTTATTAAGGGAGTCAGTGTGAAATTGAGCTGTAGATTTCACTTTCTCCATTTCACTGCTTAGCTATATTTAGTTTTCTGTGGTAGGAAAACTTGTTTGTTATGTCAGCTGAAAAATGACGAGGTTCATAAATTTGGAAAGGAGAGCTTTATTTCTCAGAAAGGGTTGCAGCCTGCAGGGTGGCCATTATGACAGGTGGGGAAGCATAGCCTCTGCTTAGAAGCCAGAAACAGACATGTCAAGGGTGGGAAGAATAACACAGGGATTTATACTGAATGAGATGGCCAAATACACATATTCAATAAGAAGCTATAGGAGCAGTCATGAATATTGATGAAAGGAGAAACATGCACATGCTCAAATGAGCTTCATGCTGCCTCATAGGACGCATGTTCAAAAAATGGCAGCATTAGGATTATCCAAGGGTGGTGTTTTCAGCCATCTGTTGTCAAAAGGTGAAGCAGAGGACATGAAAACCTTCACTGCGTATCCTCTGTAGACTGGCCAGAACCACTCTGTGGTCAGTGGTCTCTTATCAGGAAGGAATGCTGGTGGATTGGATTGTCAGAACCACAGAAGGGAGGGGCACCGTCAGGCAGTTAGTTGATATCAGTGGTGCAGTCTTTTGAAAAGGCTTATTTCTCTTTAACCCTTGGGGAAGAAAGTGAGGGAGGGGTATAACAAGGCATGCCCACCCTCCCTTCCTGTCATGGCTGGGAAATCGGCTTTCAAGGTTTTTCTGGAGTCCCCTTGACCAAGAGTGGGGGTCTGTTCATTTGGTAGGGGGCCTTAGAATTTTATTTTTATTTCTCAGTTATAATTCTCTTTACCAAAAAGGACTGTTTGAACCTTCTCATTTCTTGATACAGAATTTTGATAGTCAACTTTTGCTTATGATTGTTTGATAAATGGGCAATGGGAGGTGGGAAACATAGCGGGATCTTAAAATTGTTTTGCATTAAATAAGATTAAGATCTTACATATATAATCCCTTTTTCTCTTGTGCTGTTGGTAGGATTATACCATGCATGAAAGGAGGAGAATCAATGCCTTTTAAAATTTATTGTTCAGAATTTTCACTAATTTAGACTGATCTTCAGTGATAATTAAGGTAAATATGCTTTGTATGAAAACCCTCAAAAATCAATGAGTGACAGTAAGGCACAAAGGTCTGTAACTGTCTGTCTGTCTTTTGCTGGGGTTGAGCCACCTCTAGCCACACAGACTCAAAGGATAATGCTGCCTCTCTTTTCACTACATTCTCTGTTGAAAGGTGATACTAGTATTTTCTCCACTGTTTCCCTGCTCCCAAAATCCTGCAAGAAGTAACCTTTATGGCTGAGATGGCTTGGTTATGGAATTGTGTGTAACATGGGATGCTGAATGAATGAATGAGTGACTCAGAAGAGGCAGTTATGGATTTATTGACACCAGAGGCTCTTGATGCCAAGAAATGAACACATGGCTTCTAAGGTGCTCCCAGATTGTGTAGAACCACCAGTGAACTTTAGAAAGAACACTGGTCTTTTATTATACATCCAGATTATGCAAGACACAAGTCTTTTCATGATCTGTGAGATCTTGGGAGTGGTGCAAATTGTAGTGATGTTATTAGCGTAAAAATGACTTTTGATTGATTTGTATTACAATGGAAATTCTTGTGTTAATGCATGTACCCTTAGCCCGTGCAGCACTCTGATCTTCTCATTACTCTCTTCAGAAACCCAGCTGTGAAGCACCATCTGTCAGCAGCCGCAGCAGCATCTGTCTCAGTGTCAGCTGGCATCTGTGTTAACTCTTGCACAATTGCCTAAAGGCCTGTAGGTGGGTGTGTGGGAAGGGGAAGCTCTGCCCTGGTACCTTTAGTGACATATTGCCTGCTCTTTTAGACTTGAAACCACCCATGCTGGGGTGCCAAGTGCCTGCTTTTTCACAAGCTGGGGGACTCTTTGAGATTTCTAGCATTCCACGATACATTCAATCTTACTTGCTCATCTTTATTTTCCACCCGTAATAATACTGCCATTCAATGAAACTTGAACAAATGATCATTTGAGAGACTCAGGGTAGGATTTTCTGCTATTTAATTCGGCAGAAAATAATGTTGGAGTATCTGCTGGGTTGGAGAATGTCCTCCTCTTCACCCCACAATGTATGTCCCTCCTGGAACATCAGCATGTGACCTTATTTGGAAATAGGGTTGTTGCACATAAAATTAGTTTTAAGATAGAGACATACTGAGTAGGGTGACCCTTGATCTAATATGACTGATGTCCTTATGAAAAGAGACACAGAGGCACACAGAGGGAAGACAGCCATGTGATGACTAAGGCTGCACCTGGAGTTCTGCTGGCACAAACCAACCAATGCCAAGGATTGCTGGCAACTACGAGAAGTGAGGACAGAGGCATGGATCAGAGTCTCCATGGAGCCCTTGCAGGGAGCATGGCCCTGATGACACCTTGATTTCAGACTTTTAGCTTCCAAAACTGTCAGATAATAAATTTTTATTATTTTCAATCACCCAGTTAGTGGAAACAAATACGGAGTACTTTACAGCATGTCACCACGGGGACTCTGTAGGTAGTTCGGAGGTTCTACAAGTAGCCATTGTGTAAAAACTCTCTTGTTTCTTGGTGGGTGGCACAGAGTTGAATGGTGCTGGTAAGGAGGGGATAGTGCTTATTAGAACATGTTATGGACCAGGGATATTCCATTAGGAATAAATTTCTAGTTTATTCATGCAGTTACTTCTCTTATTTCAACACATTTAACATACCCTGCACAGTCCTACTTTTGGAGATGTGGGAGGGGACAAGGCAGACATGGAGCCTACTCTCATGGAGTTGACCATCAAGTGCAGAAGACAGGCTTGATTGTTTCTAATCAACCTAAATATTTTTATTACCAATGTTTAAAAAAGCAGTCGTACTAAACAATAATGAAGTTTTGTTAAGAAACTAGTATTTGTATGTTGGTCAACCCTTTGACCTTGGACAAGTATCTTCAGATCCCAAGTCCCTTTACCCTCCCCCCAAAAAGAAGAATAAAATACTCTTAAAAAAGAAAATAAAACAGTGTTTGAGAATGTCACTTAAGGATCCCATTTTGAAACTAATCATACTGGATTTTTAAAAATTTATTTTTATTTTTTAGAGACAGGGTCTCTCTGTCACCTAGGCTGGAGTGCAGTGGCACCATCATGGCTCACTGCAGCCTCGAACACTGGGGCTCAGGGGATCCTCTGGCCTCAACCTCCCAACTAGCTAGGACTACAGGTGCACACCGTCACAACTGGCTAATTTTTTTAAATTATATTTTTTGTCAAGACATGATCTCGCTATATTGTCCAGCTGGTCTTGAACTCCTGGCCTCAAATGATCTTCCTGCCTCAGCCTCCCAAAGTGTTGAGATTACAGGCAGGAGCCACTGCCCAACCTCATACTGCATTTATGTTTCATTCCATTTATTTGTCTGTGCTTTATCTCCCTAGCCTAATATGAACTGTGTCTTGTTTTTTTTAGTGCTAACCGTAATCCTTTGCATACAATAAGTTTAGCATGTATTTTTTGAATTAAATTGAATTATTGATTAAGAATATTAGGATGATTAATAGCTAATTGATTATTTATGTGTGTACCATTCCAAGCAATTTACTTGCAATTTACTTATTTACTTCATTTTTTTTCTCATGATACTTCTATGAGTCTATCTTGACTATTACCCATTTTACAGATGAAGAAACTGAGGTATGGAAAAAGTAAGGAACTTCCTCAAGCTCAACCATCCAGTTAGTAAAGCCAGAATTCAGGCCCAAGCCTTACTTCTGGCTCCATGCCCTCCAGTGGGAATTCTCCACTCTGTGTAGGCAATGAGGTCATGGCTTATAGCGATTTTAAAGAATTCATCTGTGAACTGCATCCTGGATCACTCCAGTTATAGACATGGGTATTTTTCTCAGTGGCCCCGATGCCACTTATTAGATGGTTTGGCGTAAAGAAAGTACCAGTTAGGACATTCAGTGTAAAGAAAGTACTCGTTAGAACATTCAGTGTAAAGAAAGTACCAGTTAGGACATTCAGTGGCTTGAAAGGAAGAAAGGAAAACATGACTTTCAGCCTTCTGCTACCTTCTCTGGGTTTAAGAGGACGTGTGGGGCCAGGTGTGGTGGCTCACACCTGTAACCCCAGCATTTTGGGAGGCTGAGGCGAGTGGGTCACTTGAGGCCAAAAGTTCAAGACCAGTCTGGCCAACATGGCGAAACCCTGTCTCTACTAAAAATTCAAAAGTTAGCTGGGCATAAGGTGCATGCCTGTAATCCCAGCTTCTCAGGAGGATGAGGCACAAGAAGCATTTGAACTCGGAAGGCAGAGGTTGCAGTAAGCTGAGATCCAGAAGGTAGAGGTTGCAGTGAGGCGAGATCATACCACTGCACTGCAGCCTGGGCAACAGAGTGATACTCTGTCTCCAAAAAAATAAAAGGGAGGACTGTGTGAAAGTCATGTTCTTTTCCTCTTTTCATTATTAGCTATTACATCCTCTAGGAATAATGCACAATGGATTGATTTTAATTGAGATTTTTGTCTAAGAAAACCCTTCTCCACCAATAAAAAGTTGGTATGTGGAATGATTGCTGATCAACTTAGATAACTTTTATTTTATTTTATTTTATTTGAGACAGAGTCCTGCCCTGTTGCTCAGGCTGAAGTGCAGTGGCACAGTCTTGGCTCACTGCAACTTCTACCCCCCGGGTTAAAGAGATTCTCATACCACAGCCTCTGGAGTAGCTAAGACTACAGGCGTGTGCCACCACACCTGCCTAATATTTGTATTTTTAGTACAGACAGGGTTTCGCCATGTTGGTCAGGCTGATCTCAAACTCCTGACCTCAAGTGATCCACCTACCTCGGCCTCCCAAAGTGCTGGGATTACAGGCCTGAGCCACCACGCCCAACAGATGACTTCTATTTAATTCTTTCTCTGCTTACCCTTTAGCTAACTCGACTTAAATGATTTCTATGCTTCAAGGCCCTGTATGTGTTAAAGTAGGAATTTCCATTTCACATTTTCGTTTTGCTTGTGTGGTATTGAGTGGGACAGTCCTTCCGGCTCTCTCCATCTCAGTTGAGGCTGTAGCTCTGGCCTTTCCCACAGAGAAAGTGATGAGTCCCCATTTAGGCAATAAGGGGAATCCCCTAGTCATCCACTGGCTGTTGAAGAGGGGCGCTTTGCAGCAGGTGTGTGCAGGGATCCTGTGATCTGCATCTGCTCTGTTAGCATTTGTGACATCTCCTGCTTTGCTGTTCTGAATTCACTGTGGCCAGTAGCACTGGCCGTACAGCCCTGCTCAGAGATAACACTATACTGGGTGGAATCCTTTCCCTAAACCCAAGCTCTCTGCCTATCCTGGGGCTGCAGCAGGGCAGTTGCTGACTCAGCAGTGGGACTGTCTCCTTTCTCTCCAGGAAGACTGCTGTGTGCCTTGTTCCTCTGCTCCAGCCACAGAGCTGGATCTGATTTCAGCTGGAAACAACAAGCAGTAGAAGTTCAAAAGTGAAAAACCACAAGCAGTCAAATTCCAGCACTCCGTCATTGCAGCAGCATTCACAATAGCCAAAAGATGGAAGCACCCCAAGTGTTCATCAGCAGATGAATGAATAAACAAAATATGGTATACACACAGAGTAGAATATTATTCAGCCATGAAAAGGAATGAAACATGGATATATGAAACAATGTGGGTGAACCTTGAAGACATTATGCTAGGTGGAATAAGCTAGATACAGAAGAAATAATATCGTGTAATTCCACTTGTATGAAATATCTAGAACAGGCAAATTCATAGAGATCAAAAGCAGATTAGATGTTACTAGGGGCTAGGGGAGGGAGGAATGAGGAGTTATTATTTAATGGTTACAGAGAGCTTCTTTGGGGTGATGAAAACATTTTGGAAATAGTGAAGATGGTTGCACGCATTATGAATGTAATTAATGCAATTGAGTTATATCCTTACAACAATTACAATGGCAAATTTTGTGTTATGTACATTTTACCACAATTTAAAAAAATTAAAAATAGCAAGCACCCTAAACCAGATCTTGCTTCTGAATGGTGGCTTCACTTTGTCATTTGGCAATGGCGCAAATGCTAAAATATGTCTTTGGCCTTCTTAGACTGGACATAAACCCAGTAGAATGACAGCATCTTAGGGGAAGAGACCCTGTCCCAAGTCAAGTGCTAATGTGAAATATGTGCTCAATCATTGTAAAATATATGTATATCTGATTATCACATAATACACCTTAAATATGTAATTTTTATCTGTCAATTAATTATTTTAACATTACAAAAAGAAGAGGCTGATAAAATTGACTCAGCTGGTCCCATGTAACAGGGCATGGTTATTCTTATGAAGGTTTCAGTTCATCCTTAGAAATATGCTACCTCACTAGAGGGCTATCTTTTCTTTTTCTATTTTATAGGTTTTTTGATCAGTTTTCTTTCTAGAGGTTAACTCTGACCCGTTATCCTAGAAGGCCTTTATCATGTCTTCATGCTGTGACTCTAGCAGAACACACATACATGCGCACGTGCACACACACACACACACAATGTACATGTATGCGTGTATGATTATGTATATTCTCATGCTTGCATAAGCACAGTGACATAGCAAGACAGCAGCTGTGGTGGGAATTCTCCGCTCTATGTGTAGGCAATGAGGTCATGGCTTATAGCGATTTTAAAGAATTCATCTGTGGACTGCATCCTGGATCACTCCAGTTATAGACATGGGTATCTTGCTCAGTGGCCCTGAGGCCGCTTATTAGATGGTTTGGTGTAAAGAAAGTACCAGTTAGGACATTCAGTGTAAAGAAAGTACTCGTTAGAACATTCAGTGTAAAGAAAGTGCCAGTTAGGACATTCAGTGGCTTGAAAGGAAGAAAGGAAAACATGACTTTAGCAATTTCCCTTCTGTTTCGTTTCCTTTCCTGCCCTCTCCTTCCCCAGCCCCTGCTTCTAATCTTTGCCGCGTGGAACAAAGAATACCAGAATCAAAAACAAAGGACACTGTCTCATGTTTTTTGCTCACAAGAAAATGAAACAGAGTGCTTAGGATTCTCTGCCTCCTCATCTCGCCCCACTTGAAGGCCTCCACCCCTGGAGAAGTCATCTATTTAATCACTCCCCTTTGGCTTGAAAGAGCTAATACACTTTTACAATATGTATTCAGTTTCTTCCAAAAACTAATATGCACCTGGGCCAGGAACTAAGCCAGATCAATTGTTTGAGATAACCGATGTTATATTATGCTGTAGGGACAGACATTGAACTGTGGATCAAAGAAGATAAGAAATTATTTCAAGATACCAGTCAGGAAAATAACAGTAAATTCAACACACCAATATGACCCACCATTCCCTTGATCTGATTCTGAGATCTTGAAAAAAATTCACTTACCTTTGGTATGGACACTTAGTATTAAATCAGGTTCTCATGGTGCACCAGTAGCAGCTTGAAAATAAGACAGTGGAGAGAAGCAGGAAATAAGGGGCTGAGGCCTCCACCTGGGTCCGTGTACTTGTGTGTGGATTTTGTGTTAGAAGTCTGCAGCTGTAATCCATGTAACCAGTGCAGTGCGTATGATCTGGAATAGATATCATGAATCAGTTTTGCAAGAGATGTCTTAGACTCTTAAGAGTGTTGGTAACCATATGACCCCACTGATTTGTTTTCTGTTATGCCCTTTATCTTGCTTGTGTCATAATATTAATAAATTAACTGTCTTGAGCACTAGAAATGAGAAAAGAGAAGAAACTTAGTTTTGCATAGTACCTATGGGAATTCTTAAATTAAAAGAAACGTAAAGTCCCTCACTAAAAGGACTCCCCATTAAATGAACATTATCTTCAAGCCTTAGGAAAACCTGGCACGCTCTAACAGACAGCCCAAGGGAATGCGTGATAGGAAGAAAAAACCAGGACATTCTTCTGCTAACATTGCTGAGTTAATAGTGTGTCCCATTTGACCAAAATTATCGATCCACTAACTGATTTCAGCGGCTCAGAATTGTATGTGTATATATTAGCCTATTACAGATAACATTTACCAAACTTAGTGTGTTCGTTTTCCCTTGCTTTGATGTTTGTTTGTATTTGATACCTACTTGTTTTTTCATTTGTCTTCCTTTGGGCCTTTGGCCCACTTGCGAGGAAATTAAAGAAGGCACAAAATTTTACTTTACCGAATCTGACCAGCACAGTTCCAGTGTACTAATGGCCCCTAATGGGGGTTTAGCTATTGGTCAAATAAACAAATAAACTTTCATGTGTGTAAAGCAGTTAGAAAGAGTGGATTTTTCCTGGATATTTAAATTATGTATAATGTATGTGCATATATAATATTTATTTTATCATTTATCTAATAGTAAAATAATTATTTTAAATTTCCTTTCTTAATTTGTGATATAAATTGAAATAATGGGTCAATATTAATAACTCATAGTGTGGGTTCTCACAGGCATTGGTCATGGTTTCATGCTTTACCTGCCAGGGTTCATTTTTTTCTCATAGCAGCCTCTCCCAAACCCTGCAGGTTGGGTAATGTCCTCCCCATTTTTGGTAGAGCTAATGGCTGTCTTTTGTTTGCGTGTGCATATCTTTATTTTATGGTTGACACAAGAGTGCTTGGAAAGTTTGAGAGATGTTCACCTGAGCATGTTGCTTGGAAGTGGTAGCTATGGAATTTAAATCCATATGGGTCTGTTGCTGTGGTGGTTACTTTTATGTGTCAACTTGGCCAGGCTATAGTACCAAGTATTTAATCAAACATGAATCTAGATATTGCTGTGAAGGTATTTTGTTAGGTGGTGAACATCTACAATCAGTGGACTTTAAGTAAAGGAGATTATCTCTGAAAATAATAATATGGATGGGCCACATCCAATGACTTGAAGACCTTAGAAGCAAATCTGAGGTTTACTAAGAAAAAGAAATTCTGCCACAATCCTGCAGCCTCAACTTCTGCCTGGGTTTCCAGCCTGCTAGTATAACCCACAGATTCGAGACTTGCCAGCCCCAACTATTGTGTGAACAATTCAAGTTTAAAAAATCATATATATTCACACATGCATACACATACACATATGTAACCTCCATTGGTTCTGTTTCTCTGGAGAACCTTGACTGATACAGACATCAAAGCATGGGCCGTATGATACCCATTTACAGAAGGTGAAAGGTTTTTATCCCCGTGTTACTGGCAATGAAACAAGACTTAGAGTTTGACAGACTTGCACGTGAGCATATGTGTGGCGTGGAAATGGTTGAGGTGGGGTTTTAAGCCAACTCTGCCTCCAGAAACAATGCTGTTTAACACTGTAAACCACAGATTCCCCATCACTCCAACTGCACATGAAGCAGGCAGCCCTGATGGGTGATATAACAGTGGCTGATGTTTATTACACACTCCTTAGTGTGCTACTCACTGGGCTGCCCATTTCACCTGCATCATCCTGGGTTCTCAGTACAGCTAATGGAGAGGTCAAGCCGCTGCCTGCTTCTCACACTTGATGAATCAGAGCCACCTGAAGGGCAGGTTGAGGCACAGGTTCAACCCCCAGAGTTTTCTTCATTTAAGGGGAGGGAAATGAGGCTTCAGCCTTTGAAGTGGGAATGCCAAAGAATTTGTGGACATATTTTAAAACCAGCACAGCTTAGTTATTGCTGGTGTCTTTTGTGAGTGTCTTTTGTGAGTGAATGTGCTGGTCCTTTATTCTAGTCAAGCATCCTTTCATTCAGTTTATCACTGTGCCAGTGTTTCTTATTGTTTCCTAATGCCAAGTTCTGACTGTGCCTCCCAGTTGCCCCTGACATGGCAATCTGCTCTCTTGTTGCGGCTAATAGAAGCATCTCACTCCACTGTGTTGACTCCCTAAGGCAAGCCCCCAACAGACTTTCCTTGACTTGTGGTCATGTCAGTGTCACCATGAAACCCAGGTGACTCCAGAAGCTGCAGCGAAGACTGCCCTGAGCTGGACTGTGCTACCCGGCAGCTTGATGTAGCCATGGTTCTAGCTGCTGGCTGAGCAGTCTTGAGGGCAGGTGCTATGCAGCATCCTTAGCATAGGGACTGAGGTGACAGCAATTCTACAGCCTCTAGAGTTGCTCTCTGTATTAGTCTGTTTTTGCGCTGCTGATAAAGACATACGTGAGACGGTAATTTACAAAGAAAAAGAGGTGTAATGGACTCACAGTTCCACATGGCTGGGTAGGCCTCACAACATGGTGGAAGACAAAAAGCACGTCTTACATGGCAGCAGGCAAGAGAGAATAAAAGCCAAGTGAAAGGGGAAAACACTTATAAAACCATCAGATCTTGTGAGACTTCTTCACTACCACAAGAACAGTATGGGGGAAACCACCCCCATGATTCGGTTATCTCCCACCAGGGGTCCCTCCCAGAACACGCGGGAATTTTGGGAGCTACAATTCAAGATGAGATTTGGGTGGGGACCCAGCCAAACCATACCTTCTCCAACACACCCTCTTTTTTCTCAGAAGAATCCCAGAGAGGGAAACCAAAGTGCAATCTGGCTGCTCCCCTCCTGTGCCTCTCTTGCCCCTGGTCATTTCCAGTGTCACCATGGGGTGGCTTCCTGTGCTCTTCACACCACCTCCCTCTTATCTGGACTTTCCGTATGTACAACTCCAGGGTCTAATCTGACATTCTCACTCTTGATTTTCTAAAAGGGCTGAGAATGTAGGCAGTTCCTTCCTGAGACAATAGCTTGACTTGCAAGAATGTCGTCATGCTGCAGACTTCAGCTGAATATTCCCCTTGTTTTTTCCCTCTGAATTCCTTCTGTAACATTTCTTCTCTGAGCACCACCCTCCCTGCCTCCCTCTCCACTTGAACTCAACAAGGAGATGGTTATTGCTTCCAGAAGCAGGGCAGAAGAGCATATCATGGTATCCAACATAGGAACCTCATTCTACAAAGATTTGTTGGTTATTTCCTAGGTGTTCACGATATCCTAAATACAGAAACTGAATTATTTTTCTACAAAGATTTGTTGGGTATTTCCTAGGTGCTCACACTACCCTAAGTACTCAAACTGAATTATTTTATTTAATTTTCACAATAACCCTATGAGGCAGGAATTGACCCTCCACCCAGCCCCATTTACAGCTGAAGAAACAAAAGAAACTACAATAGAGAGGGTCTATTAATTTGCCCAAAACTAATAATTGGCCAATCCAGATACAAACCCAGGCCTCTTCACTCCAGATCTTCCATGCTACCTATCCCCATCTACATGTAAGCGGGCTGCAAGCTGCAAAATCACATGTAATACAAGATGACACAGTGTCAGTCCTCATTATTTGTGGATTTCATATTTGAGAATTTGCCTACTTGCTAAAATTTATGTAATCACCAAATTAATCCTTGAGGCACTTTTAGGGTCACTCACAAATACATGCAGAGTGGTGAAAAATTTGGGTTGCGCAACACACACCTTCCCATATAAGGCTGAACAAGGTGACACTCTGCCTTCCTGTCTCAGCTCTCCTACTATGCACAGTGTTCTTTTTGGGGTCCATGTTTTGCCACTTTTTTTTTTTTTTTTTGCTTTTTGTACTTTTTCTTGCTGTTTTCATTAAGATGACCCCCAAGTGTAGTGTTGAAGAGCTGTATAGTGTTCCTAAGTGCAAGAGGGCTGTGATGTCGCCAATATGTGTCAGATAAGCTTTGCTCAGACACGAATTATAGTTCCATTGGCATTGAGTTCCATGACAGTGCATCAATAATATGTATTAAATAAGATGTCTTTAAATAGAAACACACAAAAACCAAATTGATATTGATCAATTGATAAAATTGTGAGCAGAGGCTCTCAGGAACCTAACTCTGTTTCCCTTTGGGTCAGTGATTTGCTAATTTAGTGTTTATGGTTACTTTATAGAACCTAAATATCTCAAGTTATGAGAATCAACTGTATTGGCCAGGCATGATGGCTCTTGCCTGTAATCCCAGCACTTTGGGAGGCCAAGGTGGGAGGATTGCCTGAGGCCAGGAATTTGAGACCAGCCTGGGCAACATAATGAGACCTCATCTCTATTAAAAAAAAAAAAAAATGCTGGGTATGGTGGTGTGCCTGTAGTTCCAGCTACTTGGGAAGCTGAGGCAGGAGGATCACTTGAGCCCAGGAGGTTTAGTCTGCAGTGAGCTGTGATGGTGCCACTACACTCCAGCTTGGGTAACAGAGTGAGACACCATTTCAAAAAAAAAAGAAAACAAAAATAAAAACAAAATCTTTACTTCCTTAATTAATTAAATTCTCAGGCATTTAAAAATGTTTTACTTATCAAAGGACATAGATTTTCAGTGGTGGTGATATTGCTCCTAAGGGGACACAATCCACCCCCCCAAGAAACAATGTATTAAGCAGAATCACATACATAGTACATAAGAGATATACAGTATATCTGTAGTGTTGCGATTTCACTGGGGGTGGGGTACTTAGGGAAAAAAAGTCTAAACAGTTTCCTTGGAGGGTAAAATAATGAGAAAATGATTGAGAAATACTGTCATAGGGCATAATGACTATTTAATAAGAGAAAGCATGTAAAGCATTTATTAGAGTGCTCAATGAAACATATGCACTTAGTGTTAGCTATTATTATAAATAACATTATTATTTGTTTCCTCAACCTTATACTCTTTCTTCATAAACAAGCAATTTTTAAATTGGAGTTTGCAGCCCTTTGAGGGATCAGCACACATGTCCTCACGTGTGTCTGAGAAGTTTCTCTGAAATTTGTTGTTTTATTTTGTGCTTTCATTTTCATGATAATCTTAAAAATAATGAATAACTGTGTACTGGTTCCCCTTTATAAGAGAGTCCTGCCATGAGTTATATTGTCCAAGTTTCCCCATGTTTAAAGGAAGGCGCTCTACTCCAGTGTTTGTAGATGGATAAGCAATAAAAGAGCAGTCTTAAAAATGTGCCCGATACAGTCAGACTCAGTGAAGGCCACCTGATGCCATCTCTTTGTAGGAGGGAAGGGTTCCCTGAGTTCGAGTAGAGGAAAGTGATATGCAGGTTGAGTCCTCACGCAGCCGGGAGTGGGCACGTGCATGCCAAAACAAAGAGAACATTGGCTTTAGCAGTGAGTACTGTATTTAAATTTTGAAAGACAGTTTAATCTCAGCAAAATAACATCATCAATCATGTTAAACTAATGCTGTTAATTTGAATGTTATGGATCTTATTGTTTTTGCATTTAATTTGTTATTTTGTTTTAGTTTTATTATTGAATCAGAGCTAGAGCATATGGAGTTTATTTCTAGTTTTCCATTTGTGCATCTCTAAGCAACAATATAATAAAAATAATTTAAGTCTACATATTGGTGTTGCACAATAATGTTATTTGCCTTATTAAATGGAGTGGTTTGGATTACTGAGGTTTGAGGAATAAAGTAATGGACTCAAAGAATTATAGACTGAGCTGCTAGGAATCATTTTTCCAGAAATTTCCCCTACCAGATACAGACACTAGGCCTGCAGAGTGAGAAGTGAATGTCAAAGGTCAGAAAGCAAGGGAGTGGTAGACTGGGGTCAGAGGCCAGGTGGACATACTTCTAACCAGGTGCCCAGTCTGCCATGTCAACCCACTTCCAAAGATGAACCATGGCAGATAAATGGCCACAGCTGCCAGGCCACAAAGGCTGGTTAGGCAAAAACAAATGGAGAATTGCTGCATTGTTTTGGTTAACTCTGAGGGTAGAGGCTGTGGAAGGGGTGGGGACGAAGGGAATAACAGATTTGTTCAGAGCCTAAGTCCCAATGAGCAATGGGTGATAGTGAGAGGAAATGATGGCCATTTTTCTGAGTTCCTTGGTATTCCCATGGGTAATATCACCTGAGCCATTCCCTCCTCAAGTGATATTAACCATCAGCCTGTATTGTTCGGTGACTTTCATCATAAGGAAACAAAACTCCAAAGTCTAAGGAGTTCTACTCTGTATGAATTTAGACTGTAAGCTTATGCCACCTAACTAGAGTTCTGTACTGTCTTAGTCCATTCGGGCTGTTATAACCAAATACCATAGACTGGGGGGCTTATAAACAACAGAAATGTATTTCTCACAGTTCTGGAGACCGACAAGTCAAAGATCAAGGTGCCAGCAGATTTAGTGTCTGGTGAGGATGCACTTCCTACTTTATAAACAGTCTTCTACTGTGTCCTCACGTGGCAGAAGGGGGCAAGGAAGCTCTGTGGGATGTCTCATAAGGGCACTAAGCAGAGTCCTCATGACCTAACCACCTCCCAAGGCCCCACCTCCTTATACCATCACCTTGGGGATTAGGATTTCAACATGTGAATTCTGGAAGGACATAAACATTCAGTTCATTGCATTTACCACTGGGAAGAAAAGACTGTTGGAAAATGATGTTTCTCAGCTGCACATCAGAGTTTTGATCATCACTTGTGGAGCAAAAAGAATTCATCTGTGATATAACTAGTTGGTCATTAGCAATAGCTTGCGTTCTTTTCTTTTCTTTTCTTTTCTTTTTTTTTTTTTGAGACGGGCTCTCACTCTGTTGCCCAGGCTGGAGTGCAATGGCGCAATCTTGGCTCACTGCAACCTCCGCCTCCTGGGTTCAAGTGATTCTTCTGCCGCAGACTCCCGAGTAGCTAGGATTACAGGCATGTGCCACCATGCCTGGCTAATTTTTCTATTTTTAGTAGAGATGGGGTTTCACGATGTTGGCCAGGCTAGTTTTGAACTTTTGACCTCAAGTGATCCATGTGCCTCGGTCTCCCAAAGTGCTGGGATTACAGGCACAAGCCACCGCGCCCATCCAGCAGTAGTTTTCTATTGCTGAGTAAAAACATTACCACACACTTAGCAGCTTAACATAGGAGCATTTATTATTCCACAGTTTCCTGGAATCAGAATTCTGAACATGCATTAGCTGGATCTTTTGTTCGGGTCTCACAGTGCTGCAATGAAGGCATTGGCCAGGGCTAGGCTGTCCTCTGATGCTCAGGGTCCTCTTCAGTGCTCACTTGGTTGTTGGCAGAACTCATTTTCTTGTAGCTGCAGAACTGATGGAGGCTTGCTGCTTCAAAGACAGCAGGAAGGGTCTCTCTCCTCCAGGCCCTCTTTTAAAGTACTCACCTAATTAGGTCAGGCCCACCCAGAATAATATGCCTTGTCATTAATTTAGTTAACTTCTTAGGGACTTTACATCTGCAAAATGCCTTACCTTCACGATAGCCTGTTGGTTAGAGGCCAGTCACAGGTTCAGCCCACTCTCAAGGGGGAGGAGATGATGCGGACATGGATACCATGAGGGCGTCTTAGGAATCTGCGCACCACAGTCAGTAGGTTTCTCCATCACTGGGCAGTAGAGTGTGGTTCATATTTACAGACTTTCATGTGACATCTGAAGAATGTTTGGTAATATTAATGTATATGATTATATTAAAGGTTAGAAGAGTAGAAACTCAGCCTTGAGCTAAGATTATTTAGACCAGGGATTCTCACCCTTGGTACCATTGACATTTGGGCTGGATAATTCTTTCTTGTGGCGGCCGACCTGTGCATTCTAAGACGTTTAGCAACATGCCTGTCCTCCACCCACTAGATGCCAGTTGCACCTCCTGGCTCATTTGTGACAACCAAAAATGATACCAGATATTGCTAAATGTCCCCTTGAACAGAAAAATCATCTCCAGTTGAGAACTGCTGCATTCGAAAAATGAAATGTTTTTTGTTGTGTTTTGTTTTTGAAGGAGGACCTATTAAAGCAGGGAATTCATTTTTTGATGTGACGCAGCTATTTGGAGTTAGCGGCTCTTGCTCCTCTGATTATGCCTTATTCTTTGCTTATTTCCTTTACTGAGAAATGCATAATTTATAGTTGCAAATAAAAAATTAATGCAGGAGATGTGTTCCCCACATGTACTTTCTTATTCACATTTATGCCAAAAAGAGATTATGTTATCATATTTGACTACGTTTTATAATCTTGTCTGAGTTTATAGTCAAGCTATATTATAAGAAGACTTTAGTTCTCCTATAACATGGATCAGATATTTCCCAAAAGATATTTAATGCATAAGGCAAAAAAAAACTTAATAAACTCCATTCTTTGTATTATAGCTGCTTTCTTGGAAACTGGTGATATGGCTTGCTGTGGGACCGAGTGGAAGGCATGGTCCAGGTCTGAAATTACAAATCTCAAAAGCTGCTCATTCCTGTTTCTTCCAGGCAAAGGCAGCTCGAGCATCTCATCTGACGTGAGTTCAAGTACAGATCACACGCCCACTAAAGCCCAGAAGAATGTGGCTACCAGCGAAGGTAGGCAGCTGGTCTTCATTATCTCTCTTTCTTCTTCACAGGGCTGGCTATTTTTGGAACAGAAATAAAGTGTGGGAGTGTTAGTTCTATTCTCCTGAGTGGGAGCATATGAGATCTTAAAAATGAGGATGTTCAGGGTCTCCTAAGTTTTGTTGTTGTTGTTGTTGCGCTGCAGTTACAGTTCATGAAAATTGATTTGACGGGATTCAGGTGCCTCAATTATAAGGCAAATGTTGTTTTGTGAAAATGGAATAGGCTGAATTAAGGGAAGGCTTTACAATATCATATACCTTGTCTTTCCGTATAAAAAATGATATTATTTTAAAATCCTTGTGCTGTAGTTGAATGTTCCTGGAGGAACTTTCAAAATAGGCACACCTGGAATTCAAGATTTTGACAGTGGCAATATCATAGTCATGTTATTTGTAGAACTTGAGTTAATCTCCAAAATTTGGGAGTAGGAAAAAAGGGGGTTTCTTTATTATTATTAAAGAATATGTAAGAGGTCCTTCCTGTCAGGACAAAGATTGGTCGCAGTGATTTTCTTGATGAAGAATTTGCATGTGGTAATACATGTTAGAATTCCACTGCTTTTCAATATGGAAGCTTTTGAGTTACTACTTACTTGTTTGAGTGTGGAATTAATTGTTTCTATTGTAATTATTTAGTGGAAAGTTGACCCAATTATAGAATCAGCTCTTTTTATTTTAATGTTAAACATGATTAAATGACTTTCTGTCTGAAAATGAGTTGTTGCTAAACTAATTGTTGGATTAAAGTCCAGTTTAAACATCGACGCCATTGATAATGAAAGACCTTGAGCTGTCAGCTAATTTTCATGACATTGTGTAGCGCCTGCTTTCCTAAAGTCTGTGGGATGTTGCGGAAGCACACTTCCAGTTTTTTGTTTCAGATATTTAATTTCTGTTGGTCATAATATTGGGCATGTACCCATGGGCTGACATTGGCCATCTGAGATCCATGATTTCTCTCTATCTGCATTATAATTTATGTATTGTAATTGTATGTGGTTTACATCTGCTGGTATGTATACGTCTTCTCTTTGATATGTTTTGTCTTAGTGTGCTTCAAGTAGCAAAGAATTACCTTTTCTGGGTTAATAGCTTTACAACTGGATTATATTCTCCATGCTTAAAACCTTAGCACTGTTTGATGCGTTTTCCCAACATCGTAAGGCTGGCAGATTGGAGTGTTCTTTCTTTTCAGTGTATGGAAGCACCAGGTAGCAATCCAGTTTTAATTTTCTGCCTGTTAATTCAGGTATGGGCATTAGATCATTAATGAAATTCAGTTAAGGTAATGTACAAATCTCGTTAACTGATTCTAGACATTTATTTATTTATTTATTTATTTATTTATTTATTTATTTATTTATTTATTTGAGATGGAGTCTCACTCTTTTGCCCAGACTAGGGTGGAGTGCCGTGGCACGATCTTTGCTCACTGCAACCTCTGCCTCCCGGATTCAAGTGATTCTCCTGCCTACAGGCACCTGCCACTATGCCCAGCTAATTTTTGTACTTTTAGTAGAAATGGGGTTTTACCATGTTGGCCAGGCTGGTCTCAAACTCCTGACCTCAGGTGATCCACCTGCCTCAGCCTCCCAAAGTGCTGGGATTACAGGCATGAGCCACCATTCCCGACCTGACATTTACTTTTGAAGCTTTCATTCTTAGGAGCCATAGTGGAAATCATTGCAGTTACACATAGTGCAATCCTCTCTAGTCAGAAATCTGTTTTGCCAGATTATCTATGTTTTCTACCGTTGTTTTACAGTCACTCTTGTCACCATAACTTGTCTAATTTGAATGGCTATCCAAATAGAAAGTTAAAAGCAGGTTAAATAATCTGTTTTTTTAAGCTTTCTTATTTTTTCTCCTTTTCAAAAATAGAAAATACACAACTATATCAGCTGTGTTGCAGGGGTTGGGGGAGGGTAGTGTGGGACCTCATGCATTTAACAGTGTCTGCTTTTTATGCTTCCAAAGGGGGAAAAAATCTCTGTAGGGGCTTTAAATTTTCATTTTCTTGTGCCTTTCCCTTATGAGGAGGTGCAGGCCCAGCCAATGTTTTATACATTTTGTCACAATGTATTTTCTGTTATTCTGAGGGTAGAATCAGGCGAGAAAAATAGGAAAATGTTATGTTCATATGGAAGAGTTTTGAGCAACTGGGCTAAATTAGTGAGGAATTTCCTTCTAGCTTTTAAGTAGAAGAGGCTTGTCCCTATGAAAGATGCTGCCCATTCCCTTGCATAACTGAAAAAATTAAAAAAGAAAGTATTAAGTTCTGCTATTTGTGTGTCTGAATCCTTTTTGCTGTAGTTTTTTTAATCAATTAAAACAAAATATTAAAAAACATAGAATAGGTGTGGGCACATGTTACATTAAAATGTATTTCAGGGATGTTTGCGGGATGATTAGTTTCCTCTTATCAGGCTGCTTTTTCAATATGGATCCAGAGTAGCCAGTGCTAATTTCCTCCACGCACAGGAGACATAGTCTCAGGAAGAGACCATTCAGGATAAGTGATTAGGGAAGTATTCTCTGACCTCTAGAGGGTGGATCTCAACTATGGTGCATAACTTTCTTCTCACTGGGAAACACCTAGGAAACCACTGAGGAAGAAGCAGAAGGCAGACACTGACTTCTCACTCAGACTGTTAGCACTGGAAGAGATCTGAGTTACCCCAAATTACCAGCGGCCTATCCCGACGGGTCTATAGCAACTTCAGTCCTTGCCTCCTCAGAAGAAATAATTCGACTGAGGGACATAAAACAGAAAAAGAAACCGAGGCAAGTTTCAGAGCAGGAATGGAAGTTTACTCATATAGGCCTTAGAAAAGGAAAGAAAGAAGGTGCGCTTGGAAGGAACTCAAGCAGGCACCTGAAAATTAAAAAGAGAAGTTCATGTGCCCCCATTTAACGGTGATCCTAGGACTTTTATAAGCTCACCTCTTTCCCATGATTCTTCCCTTAGGGTGGTCTTCCTGCATGCGCGGAGCCCTCTTTACCCTTAGGAACTGAGCATGCGCAGTGTGTTTAGGGAGTTGTACGCATGCCCATCTGAGGATTTCTTCCTTTTTCCCCGGTGGCATGGAACCGGAAGATCATACTTAGCCATTTTTTGTGTTTTAATGTGCATTCCCGGGAAGCTGTTTCTCCCTGGAGTCTGTATTCAGTTAACAACTTTTAATGTTAACAGGTGTGGACCATCAGGAGATTGTCTCTCCCTGGTTGCGGAATTACACTTTTTAGAGAGACAATGCCAAACCGTCACCGACATTTCTAGTTGGGGTGGGATGGGAAGCCGTCTCCTGCCCTGCTCACGCCTACCTAACTACCTGTAACAAGACTGCAGAGGAGCCAAGCTAAAACTGCTTCTCGGATTCTCTTCCCACTGTTTTCTAGAACTATGTTTAACCTTTGATGTTAAGAAAATATTGGATGTAATTGGCTTTCCAGTAGCCAGTTGATTATGGTTATTTTCTTCAATTCCTTGAGCTTCTCATGATTTTTTCACCTCTGAATTCGCCAATATCACCTTCAGGGAGCACAGGCAAGATTCTTAGTTTAAAGGTCTGAATGGTATTGATTTTTTAAAATGACATATATTGTAAAGGATAATATTCAGTTTTCCGGCAGTCTTTGAAAACCATGGCTATACCTTTAATAGCCAGGTTGGAAGCATTTTGCAGAAGTGTTGGCCTTTTCCCTGATGGGATGGATAGGGAGGGTTCACATTGCTTCCCTGGTTGGAGGTGTATGTATGTGTGCATTTGTGTCTGACATCTACATGGTAGCTAACCACACAGGTGTTGTCACTTCGTAGAAAACTCATGCAATTGTGCTGGTAAATAAAGTGAGGACATGGGGATAGAGAAAACAGAGGGCCCTCACATAACCTGGACTTAACCTCAGCTGCAGGTGGGAATGGGAATTAACTGTAAATGGACAGGAAGAATGTTACTGGGGAGATGACAATGTTCTGAAATTGGATAGTGATGATAGCAGCACAGCTCAGTAAATTTAGTAAAAAGCATTGAATTGTATGCTTAAAAAAGAGTGTTGGGGCAGCTACCACTTCTGCATGATCTTCAGACTTATATCTGAGTCATCACAAACTATTCTTTTTTTCTTTTTTTTTTTTTTTTGTTGAGACAGAGTTTCACTCTTGTTGCCCAATCTGGAGTGCAGTGGCTCAATCTTGGCTCACTGCAACCTCCTCCTCCCAGGTTCAAGCGATTCTCCTGCCTCAGCCTCCCGAGTAGCTGGGATTACAGACACATGCCACCACGCCCAGCTAATTTTTTGTTTTTTGTTTTTTTTTTTTTTTAAGTAGAAACGGGGTTTCACCATGTTAGCCAAGCTGCTCTCGAACTCCTGACCTTAGGTGATTCACCCGCCTCGGCCTCCTAAAGTGCTGTTATTACAGGCGTGAGCCACCGCACCTGGCCCACAAACTATTCTTTGAAAATGCTTCTTGCAACTGTGGGGAGAGATCGGGCCAGCAGACCCGTTCCGAGGGGAGGATTGGCTGGTGTATAGAGCAGGGTTGCACGCTGGCCCCAAAACTCTCCTCAGATGCTCCAGCTCTGGGGCGGAACTGGCCTGAAACTGATAGTGAGTTCCTGGACTAGTGTTCCCAGCCTGGCACGTGGTGCCTGGTTAGAACTGACTCATCATGGTAATATTTCCTGGAAAGTTCTGGAAGAATTGTGAGATTGTAGAGTCATGGGTTTCCCAAACATTGGTTTTGGTTTCTTTTCTTGGCTTTCCCTGCGTAGTCTCTCACCTCAGCTCCGATTTTGTGTTCTAGCACCCAACCCTAATGGTAAAGACATCGAATTTATCCACTCCAGTAAGTCTGTTTCTTTGCTAATGACTTTATGATCTTCCTGTCTATCCAGTGTTCCAGCTAATCCACTCTGGGTCGTAAGGCTGTTCCCCTAGGCACAGTGGGCACATTTTGGTTTTAATTCATGAGAGAATGGCATTTTTGACCCACTGGGAGTGTTCCATTCCAAAGTCTCATGCCAAAGTTCTGGGCATCTTAATTTTGAGACTAAAGCCACAGCCCTTGTAAAGAATTGGCAGTCAGCAGGGCTTTCTCCCTGATAAGTGGTGTAGACGTTCTTTACAGCCCATTGTATTTCTTGTGACAGTTTAAGTTTCTAATTTCCTGACACTGTAGGGGGGGTTGGGTTCCAGTGTAGAAGGCTGGAAATTTTCCATTTTTTCCCAACATAATCTACATTCCAACATTGTAAGACACAGCTTAATTCTTTCCAGTTGTGTTACTATTCTTTCTCTTTCATATTTTTCAGTCTTTCTCATTCATGGGGTATTCTCTCCTATACTGGAAAGAGGGGCCTTTGACCTTCAGTTATGAAAGTCACATCCAGCCCATGGTTGGAATAGAGCACACAGCAGAGCATGTTGAGTAGAATCAGTTGGATTAGGTTAATTAGGAAGAAGCTTCCTGAAAATAGCAAGCTGAGCCTCAGCTTCTTTCATAGAACTGAAAGGTATGAGGCTATGGCTCTATGGGCGGGTGGCTCAGTCTTTTCTGGAGCTGGGGGAAGGCAAAACTGTCAGTTTAAAGGTCAAATTTGATTGGCTGATAAAGAGTCAGCTTTGGCCAGCTGTTCTTTAAGTAGGACGCATATTCAAATATTGAACCCATCTACAGCATGGGCTATTAATATGATATCTTGGTTCTACACATTGGTTATCAAACCAGACAACAATGCAGCCACGGGATTTTCAGAGTTACAAAGGGTCTTGTCAATTTTTGGATCCAATACACTCATTTTTTTTTACATTAATTAATGAAATCACCATCTGTTTATTGAATATGAGTCATTGTGTTACGTGCTAAAAGATGCAAAGATAAATGAGAAACAGTTATTGTCAAGGAACAGCAGTAGAAAGACATGCACAAATAGCTAGAATATGAGGTATCATTTTGTTATAAAACATGATAAAATGTATAATATATATTGCATGTTATTATTACTTTTTATATTGGGCCTGATTTATTTCAGTATCCCCACATATAGCACAATTGTTTCACATGGTGTATTTGCTCAATAAATACTGATTAAATGTGAAAAATAGAAAGGATATAAACCAAATGCTTGGGCAGGACTTTTCTTTTTTATTTTATTTTATTTTTTATTTTTATTTATTTATTTATATATTTTTATTATACTTTAAGTTCTAGGGTACGTGTGCACAATGTGCAGGTTTGTTACATATGTATACATGTGCCATGTTGGTGTGCTGCACCCATTAACTCGTCATTTACATTAGGTATATCTCCTAATGCTATCCCTCCCCGCTCTCCCCACCCGACACAGGCCCCGGTGTGTGATGTTCCCCTTCCTGTGTCCAAGTGTTCTCATTGTTCAATTCCCACCTATGAGTGAGAACATGCGGTGTTTGGGTTTTTGTCCTTGCGACAGTTTGCTGATAATGATGGTTTCCAGCTTCATCCATGTCCCTACAAAGGACATGAACTCATCATTTTTTATGGCTGCATAGTCTTCCATGGCCAATACACTTATTTTTATAAATACCTGTAGCACAGAGAAATGAAGGGATTTGCTTATTTTATTTTTATTTTTTGAGATGGAGTCTTACTCTGTCATCCAGGCTGAGGTGCAGTTGCATGATCTCGGCTCACTGCAACCTCTGCTTCTTGGGTTCAAGCGATTCTCCTGCTTCAGCCTCCCAAGTAGTTGGGATTACAGGCATGAGCCACCATGCCCGGCTAATTTTTGTATTTTTAGTAGAGATGGGGTTTGGCCATGTTGGCCAGGCTGGTCTCAAACTCATGACCTCAAGTGATCCCCCCACTTTGGCTTCCCAAAGTGCTGGGATTACAGGCGTGAGCCACCATGCCCAGCAAGGGTTTGCTTATGATTACACACCTAATAAATTGTCAAGCAGGAGGTTGGTGCAGTATTGTTTCGATCAAATTAGAAAAAACATAACTTTCGCTATTTAATTCTCTTTTGCTGCCTGATTTCTAGCAGTCTGTTTTGAGCTGGTTGCAGAGCTGAAGCAGCCTGTTCAGAATAGTTTGGGAGAGGTTGTTAAGCCCAAATCCTTTGGCCCAAGACCATTATTCCCAGTAGGAGGAAAGGATCTGCCCCGTAGGTAAAAGATTCTTAACTTTCTTCAGTAGATTAGCTGGTTACCTAGGGTTGGAAACACATTTCAGTCAACTCATGATTTTATAATAGCCTTTCAATATTCAGTTAATACCGCTTTGCGATATTGTGTAAGTCCTTGCGAGGAAGTCATTTTAAATGTATCATTGGAGGCTTGTGAAATTATTTGATTTCTAAAGAATTTATGGTGATATTTGTTCCATGGAATCTAGAATCACCAATTTGAAGTCATGAGTTCTCATGTTTTCAGTGCCCAAATTAGATCAGTTCTAAATAGGATTATTTTGAAAATGCCCAGACATCTGGCTTTGCTTTCGTTCTGTTGTCCTTATATCTTTATATTGTCTTCTTTCTACTTCTTCTTGAATATACTTTTCAAACAAAATTTACATGAATCATCTAGGGAAGGAAAAATGATGCTTTTAACTCTAGGTGAATTCTGTTTCCCAAAAAGCTTTTCAAAACTCTACAACAATTCAACAAACATTTTTGAGACAATTATTATTTCAGGCTTTCGTGAGCATTATTGCATTGAGCATTGTTTCACCATTACACTTCTCTTGAGAAGGCATAAATGTTTTCATTTTGCAGATGAAACAGGGAAACTCAGAAAGGATCAGTTGGGCTGTATTTCATGTAAAATTAGTAGGTGGCAAAGATTATATCAGGGCTCAAGACTACGAGCCTTGACATAAGATGTGTACTTAATGCTTATTTTGTCATTGTCAGCGAAACTGAATTTCATGCTAATCATTTTTCTAAGTTCCTATCAAAGTATATTTTTACTGTACTTAGGAGAAGTGTGTTTTCCAATTTCAACTCATAATTGTGTTTAGCTTGTCAGTATTATATATGCAGATACTTCTGTGATCCATATAGGGTCTAGAAATTGACTTTAAATCCTTAGTTATTGCTATGGTTTGGATGTGGTTTGTCCCCACCAAAACTCATGTTGAAATTTGGCCCCCAATATGGCAATGTTGAGTGGTGGGGCCTAATGGGCCGTGTTTGGGTCCTGGGGCAGATCCCTCATGATTACCTTTATGCCCTCTCTCAGGGGTGAGTTCTCTTGAAAATGGGTTAATTCCCATGAGAACAGATATTTTAACTGTTTTCCCATTTGTCCTGAGAATCCTCGCCTGCACTTGTTGCTGCAGCATTTACCCGAAGATAACTTTGCCATGAAATAGCTTTTGCTTTTATTATTATTTTCAGATCACTCTAGTGTATTGACTTTGGAAACAAAAGATAATGTTTTACTTACAGAATTCTGTTTTTAGTAGTGGTATTTACATTTACAAAATACAGTAATTCTTGATTGCTGAAAGTGTCAAATCCTAGAAAATGTAGCATTCCTACACTTGAAGTTAACATCATTTTCGAGCTGTTGTTGGCCAAAGATTCATCTGATGAATTCAGCTTTTCTGAAGTAGATGATTCTGATGATTCAGATGTTTCTGATGTTAGTTTTGTTTAGAAATAACTCCAAGAACAGTTTTTATATTTTATTTTCACATTGAAAATCAGTCAGATTTGCTTCAGCCTCAAATAACTGTTTATGTAAAATTAAATGAGTGTTGGCTGTGAGGTACATGTTTGTTTTTTTTTTTTTTTCCTAGATGAGAAAAGCATTAAAAAGAGTCTGGCTTCTTGATCTCTCTCTCTCTTGCTTCCTCTCTTGCCACTTGATCTCTTTGCACATGCCCCCTCCCCTCCTGCTTTTTCCCATGAGTTGGAGTATCCAGAGGTCCTCACCGGATGCAGCTGTCATTCATTTTTGGACTTTTCGGTGACCAGAATTATAAGCCCAATAAGTGTCTTTTCTTTATAAATTACCTGGCCTCAGACATTCTGTTATAGCAACAGAAAATGGACTAAGACAGTTATGGAAGGCAAATATTAGTATTCTAAGCTGCCTTTATACTTGAATTGTTGAAGATTTAGTCTGCAAGTTACCACAACTGTATTCTTAACACATGGCAGTCAGACTTAGTAAAATTAATATTTAAGTTAGTCATTATATAGGATCTAAAGTATATGTAATAAAAAATTACTGAATAGTTATTTTACTGATTTTCCCTTTAAAAAAAACTGAGCCACAGGCTGGGCACGGTGGGTCACACCTGTAATCCCAGCAATTTGGGAAGCCGAGGTGGCCGATCACATGAGGTCAGGAGTTTGAGACCAGTTTGGCCAATATGGTGAAACCCCGTCTCTACTAAAAATACAAAAAATTAGCTGAGTGTAGTGGCATGCATCTGTAATTTCAGCTATTCAGATGGCTGAGGCCCAGTAATCCCTTGAACCTAGGAGGCAGAGGTTGCAGTGAGCCAACATTACACCACTGCACACCAGCCTGGGTGACGGAGTGAGACTCTGTCTCAAAAAAACCAACCAGCCAACCAGACAAACAAACAAAAGCCAAATCAAAACTAAAACCCAACTGAGCCATGGAATTTTTCTTTAATTGGAAATATATGAAAGTGGAAGATAATAATTTCAGCATGTACCTTAGGAGACTGGAAATATACCTTGAAGCTGTCTATTACAATAGAAGGAAACTCAATCTATGACACCAAAAAAGTAGAGTAAAAACATGTAACATAGGAATAGGAATAAAAAGCAAAGAATGAGAGAAAGAAAATGATGCTGAAGAAATCTCTTAAAAAATAGTGCTAAAATGACAACTATTGCGTGGGGGGCCTTAAGAGGAAGAGATTCTGAAGTCAGAAATGTGGTATTAGGAGCTTTTAGTCTGTGTATGAGGAAGGTGATGACTGATTATTATAAAGGTTTGTTTTCGTCTTTAAAAATTAAATTTTAAACTTAACTATCTTTGGAATTCTCAGGATCATTTAGGAAAGCTTTGCAAGACTTTAGCCTTTGAAGCTTAATGTGTTTTGGTGATTCAATGAGCAATTCACTGCTTCATGACCAAGTTTATTTTATTGTTTAAGCTACTGCCCAAGTATAAGTTAGGTAACTTTTGAAAAACTGCACCACTTACATCTGGTGATTTGAGCATGTTAATGTTCAGTGTGCCCAATTTAATAAAGAAGTCAAATTTGCATCCAAGAATCTTTTAAGCAGTGGAAAGCTCATCATCTCAGTGTCCAGAAAATTGGTTTGTAAGCCTACAAATGTACAATAAAATGCTAAATACCATTTCAGACGCAAGTAATAAGTTTAATTTCTTGAGGGAATTATCTTCCAAAATGCATCATCCAGAATGACCAGAATATCATATGATAGTCTTAGAAGAAAATTCGTTTCCTGTGTGTGTGTGTGTGTGTGTGTGTGTGTATGTGTACACCATGCACTTAAGGAAATTGTAAAGTAATATTTAATCGAGATGTCCAGAGCTCTCAGTGCCTTTATGCAGATGTTGGAGAGAGACAGGTTTAGGTATTTAATATTCTAATTCCATGTCCAAAATAATTCTATGTTTATTTCTTTCACCTAGTTTGCCATTTCCAAAAAAAGCACCAAAAAACTAATCATTGTATTTCAGCCATAGACATTATGGTTCATCTAAGTACATCTAAGTGTATTTGTAATGAAAGCTTGCATCATTCCTAATTTTTTTTATCAGTAATTTCAGTATCTTAATTGAGTGGGAACTTATTAAAGAATATAGTCCAAATACATGTATTTAGTCTCTTATGGAGAGCTCACAATATGTCAGTCAGGGGTCACCAACTGGTAGCACAGAGGATGATTCCTCCCCTTAGATGGGTTTTCTTCTCTTTAAAGAATTTTCAAAAATAATTCTGGGTTTAATAATGATTTCGGTGGAGCATGCACCCTGCTATGACTGAATCCCCACCATTCCCAACTGTCTTAAACAAACTGTCATCTAAATATTTCTGTTAGCTCTTTGGCTCCTGAAGGAATTTGATTTTATGACAAGATCCACTACTTCCAGAACTGTAGCAATTACTGGGGCAAGTAAACACTTGTGTAGCAGTTAAATAGCCATTCAGGGCGGGATAAAATTATGTCTCAACAGGTGGTCTAAAGCAGAAGGGAGTGGGTGTGGGTTGGAGGAATCAGGACACCCTCATGGAAGCCTGGGACTGTTGGCTTTTTGCTGTGTGAGTAGTCAGTGGAAGCGTGGAAAGGAAGATAGCATGATGTGTTAGGGTGTGAAGAGCTGGGAGAAATCTCACTGGGTCCATGTAGGGAAAATGGAAGCTTCAAAACAACCACCTCCCTGGCAACACTGAATAGGCTCACAAAGTGTGTTAAAGGACAGTCTTTAACTAAAACATGGGGTTACAGATTGCGTGGCCACAGTGTTCTTTGTACTAGGGTTTCAATGGAGCCCATATTTTTGGTGATGTCAGTGACAAATAGGCCATTCTGCATCCACGAACTTTCTTTAGTGTACTGGGGAGGTTTTACACTAAAGCACCATCTTCTCAACTCTTCTATAGTGAAGAGAGACTATAGAGGAACTTGGGGACCAACATTTTAGGACAAATAATCTGATATTGGAAATATTTGCCCTTTACAGTCACGGACACAGTTTGACCTTAACAATCTAGTTAACATGTCTGTTTACTTCCTCTTTGACTAGGAAATAACTTCTCATGGATAAACTAACTTCCTGAGGAAGTCCCCAACTTCCCTAGGTTGTTAGACTAATTAACAAATCAGCAGAGAGAAGCACTTTAGTAGTAAACGGTGTCTTTGCATTCTGTATATGTAAAAAAGAAAAATGTAGAAAGTCCACACTGTGGAGGGAATAATATACAAGTAGTTTAAAAATTGTGTGTAAATCATTTAGAGATGGTTGAAGAATTGTAACGGGTGAAGTCTATGGGAATTAGGTGGCAACAGAGTTAATTATTTTATATATATAACAAAGAAACTTTCTGTTGTTTATAGCGGCTAGTGGTTTTCAAGATGGGGTGGGGCATCTGGTACACTGAGGGACATTTATTCTTCTAAATAGTGAGACATGTTTGGTTATGTGAATATTCAGATGTGGGCTATAGAAAACCAGATTTCTCTGCCCAGAAGAGAGATTCTGAGCTGCAAAAGAAGAAGGTGTAGGAGGATATCCAGGAGGGTGAAGAAGGAGATGGACCCAAAGAAGATGGATGGTGGAGCGAAGATGTTTCCAGTATCTTGAGGGTAGTGGCCCATAAGGTGACATGTTCCTGTGTCCCTGAAATCTTTAGTCAAGTCTATGAAACTCACAACATGCTTGGTGGGGATAGATTTACTGTGGAAATCAGTTTAGGGCTGAATTTTGAGATTGTTCATTTGCCTTTTGTGTTGTCACCTGACTTTCACAGACACAACTAAAGCCAACTTCTGAATAATCCATCCATTAACACGTCCATAATATTCAATGTGAATACATTTAAGCATGCTGTTGTTACATGCTTTTTCTTCCATCATATATAGCAGTATTTTCTATAACATTAATTTATGCACTGTATATTAACTGCTCTCTTTTGAGTATAATTTTGAACTTAACATTATTCCCATTATTAAAAATTACTATTCTTTTTATGCTTGGCTTTTTACAACTTCTTCTGTGGATAACTTTTAAGCTTCTCCCCTGTACCTCCAACATTATATTTCCTGCTATAAAACCACCCTTCCTTTTGGCCACAAAAGAATGCTCTAGACCCACCTTAGATATATTTTTTCTGCTGAAGACAGAATCAGTCATGTCCTCAGAGCATCTGGGTTCTTTTAGTAGAGAAATATGGACCAAGCATGGTGGCTCATGCATGTAATCTGTGCACTTTGGGAGGCTGAGGTGGGAGGGTTGCTTGAGGCTAGGAGTTCAAGACCAGCCTGGGCAACAGGGTGAGACCTCGTTTCTACAAAAAAAAAAAAATTGAGAAAATTACTTGGGTGTGGTGGCACACACCTGTTGTCCCAGCTGCTCAGGAGACTGAGACATGAGCTCAGGAGTTTGAGGCTTTAGTGAGCTATGATTGCACCACCGCACTTCAGCCTGGGAAACAGACTCAGATCCATACTCAGAAGAAACGGAAATATACTTGAGACACAAGTATGGGAGTCAAGCAAAGGGTTCCTGCTGCCGTGGGCTCACTTTTATCAAAGTTAGAGCTAGAGACTATGTGCTGATTTAAGGAAGCAGTACACATTGATTTTATCAATTTCTAGTATTGGGTACCATAAATTATTATATGACATGTTTTATTATTTTATTATGAAGCTTCATTGGCTGCAAGGCTTTCTACTACTCAGAAACCAAACATATAACTTATATGGGGTCTTCCTCACCAGACCTGCAAATATGCCCAGACATGCACAATCCACAGCAATGCCAGTACTAGGCCACAGCCCAGTCAACATATCCCTGCATGAGAGTTTTGTGTATGCTTCCTGCGATGCCTCAATGGTATCATTCCTCCACTTGGTTGAAGTCTTTTGAGGTAGGAATTGTGTTTTTTTCAGCTCCGTATGCCTGGCGGCTACTGGAGTATTTGTCATTTAATACACATTTGATAAACGTTTATTGAATGGATGAATGTATTTTTATTCAAGATTTTAAGATGGAATAACCCTCTTGATTAACTTTTCCAACTATAATCATAAAGATTATGACTTCAAAAGCTATGGAATATCAAGATAATAAATGAGAGATGTAGTTACTTTTTTTAAAAAAAGCTTAATGTTACTGCTTATGGAAACTTGAGGTACATCATGGGAATATTTGGCAGTTATTTACTCTTAGTTGTCTCTTGTGTTAAGGGGACAAACAACTTTAAGCAGAATAGATACTTTGAAAGGAAGGTGGAACAGAAGATACCATTTCTATTTTACATTTTCAGCATTTTAAAACCAAAAGACAGTTTATTGTCTATGAACTGTATCTAGCTCTATAAATAACCAGTTCCTCTCAGAAAGTTTTTAACATTCTGAGTCACTAAATGAGATATACTTAGAAGTCTAAAAATTCTAAGGCTATTCAGCCCTCCCACATCAATTTCAAGGACAAAAGAAAAATGTTATTCCTTCCTCAGCAATTTAATTTTACTAAATCCTTTCTCAGTATCTTTTAACTTCAATACATTTAATTGTTTTAATTCTTCATCTGCTGATATCTCAAAGTACCAAATTAGAGCTTGTGATTTTTTAACTGATGAAATTGGAGAAGTAACTTTCATTTTATTGGCACAAAATATGGCTGAATTGGTTTGTTTAATATGTGTGCTCAGATTTTTTTTTTTTTTGGTTCACTGATTTGTTATGGAGAAAAAGTTAAGACAAACATTCTTAGAGAAGAAAATAATACTATTCTTTCCTTGTTTTATTTTACTTTTTAGTATTATCCTAGAAACAACCTTGGCTTCAGATTATCTTTTGCAAGTGATATTCTGTTTCCTGGAAACTAGGACAGTGTAAAGCTCATGTTTTGTTTAGCTGTATTGGAACTGGACAGGACAGAAATTGGGAAATGAATTCATCAAATCTCAGAAATTTACAAAGGTCTAAAATCTGATTAATGGATTCACCAAAACATGAAGTAGGAGGTTGAATTCATCATTTAATCTGGATGAGAAAACAAAAGCTGTGAAACAAAAATTTTGAGATTTTTTTTTTTGCTTTCATTTATGTGTGATACAAGTAATTTTTTTCTCTTTAAACAATGAATAATAAAATTACCTACCTCCTGTGTTTTTTGTGAGGAGTAAATTAAAAAATTATTTCCAGTTCTTCTCCATATGCATTTAGCTTGTTTACTTTTATAATCTAATCACAGCCACTTCATGTAAATAGTATATCTTTAACTTGTTGAGAGGTGAGTAGACTTCATTCCCATGGCAAAGTCTTCCTTAAATGAATTCAACACAATTCCTATTGAAATCCCAACAGGGTTTTAATGTTGAAACTTAACCAAATTTACTTTCTTTTCCTGGAATAATAAATCCAACATCTCTAAGTACTTAGCATATATGGACACTGAATTCAATTCAGTTATATATGTATGACATTATATATGTTGAATTATATGTATATGTTGAATTCATTTGTAAAATGATACATGTACATGTGAGGACGTCCAGGATAGTTTTGAAATGAGAAATGAGAGCAGCATTTCCTTGGTGTCGTGAAAATATATTATACATTTATTAAATATTGAAGAAGTGTGGGCTGGGCGTGGTGGCTCACGCCTGTAATCCCAGCACTTTGGGAAGCTGAGGCTGGTGGATCACCTGAGGTCAGGAGTTCGAGACCAGACTGACCAACATGGTGAAACCCCGTCCCTACTAAAAATACAAAAAATTAGCCAGGCATGGGACAGGAGGCTGAGGAAGGAGAATCACTTGAACCTGGGAGATGGAGGTTGCAGTGAGCCGAGACTGCGCCATTGCACTACAGCCTGGGCAACAAGAGCGAGACTCCAAAAAAAAAAAAAAAAAAAAAAAAAAAAGGAAGTATGGTGTGGTACAGCTTAGTGCAGTGAAAAAGAGAGTTCAGAGGTAGACTGAATTGTGTGTGGTAATTTAGGGTGGGATAAAAAATGGCATTTTAAATGGATAGGGGAGAGAAAACTTTATAACACATCCTGGTCAGAAACCAACTTCTAGTTTTAAAGAAAAATGAACATGGAGGACCTAACATGTTCCTGATGCCAAAATAAATGCTTAATGGATGAAATATTTAAATATTCAAATTGAATATAGATAGTAGTTTTAAGAACTTGAGGTAGAAAACCTTTCAAAGCGTAACAACAGAGTTACCCTAAAGCTAAAGGCCGACTACTTGCATGCATGCTCTAGGAGATACAGTAAGATCTTTCTGTTGTCAAATATGTTTCTTTTTCCATTGCACAAAGCTAAATACAGGTTTCTTTTCTATTACTAGACTTTTCAGAGCTTTTCAGATTTGTTACTGTGTATTGTTAATCATCAAATGGGGATATAATATGTTTTGTTTCTCAAACGTCCTTTATTATACCTTACAACTAGGAAATGCTAAGAAATGTGAATTCAGAGGACCTAGGAATTTCACTCTAGAAAATTTTATTTTTTTTATTTATGAATATATTCTTCTTATTTTTATAACAAAAAGACATTGCTAAAATATTTTATTGAAACATCTACATGTGAAAGTTATATTTAGCCACTAAAAACGTGTTAGATGCTTATACACTGTTGGTGGGAATGTGGACTAGTTCATCCACTGTGGAAAGCAGTTTGGAGATTTCTCAAAGAATTTAAAACAGAACTGCTATTCGACTCAGCAATCCCATTACTGAGTATATATCCAAAAGGAAACAAATTGTTCTACCGAAAAGACACTCATATGTACATCACAGCACTATTCATAGTAGCAAAGACATAGACTCAACCTAGTTGCCCATCAATGGTGGAGTGGATAAAGAAAATGTGGTATGTATACACCATACCATACTATGCAGCCATAAAAAATAACAAAATTATGTCCTTTGCAGTAACATGGATGCAACTGAAGGCTATTATCCTAAGCTAATTAACACAGGATCAAAAACCAAATACTGTGTGTTATCATTAGTGGGAACTAAACATTGAGTACTCACGGACATAAAGATGGGAACAATAGACAATGGGGAATATTAGATGGGGAAGGGAGCAAGAGTTGAGAAACTTTGAGGTACTATGCTCAATATACTAAGATCAGTCATATCCCAAACCTGAACATCACACAATATACCCAAGTAACAAACCTACACATGTACCCCCTGAAGCTAAAACAAAAGTTGAAATTGTAAAAAGAAAAAGTTAAAGAACAATGTTTAATGATGTGGGAAAATATTTCTAAGAAATGCAGATTATGAAGCGGTATTTCTTACGTGATCCCAATTGTGCATAGGACTATATTTGAAGAGGAAAAAGATGAGAAGGACATATTTCATGAGGTTATCAGTAGTTATAATCCTATGAGTGTTAGGATTATAGGTTATTTTTATTTTGTGTTTTCCAATATTCTCTAATGTATAAAATTCAAGTTGGTTCATATTCAAGGGCTGAAAATACCTCTTTGGCCATTTGTTCTTAGAATTTTGTTGAATGTGACTTGATCAAAATTCAATTATTTGATTTTGTCAACATAAGTTTAGATTTTTGAATAATAATCAATGTTTCTATTTCCCATCCCTGATACTCAGATATTCAATACCGACCTGTATAGCAGTCACTTGCTTTCATTCTAAAAAAATAACCAATCTAAAAAAATTTTTTTAATCTTAAAATTTTTTGCCATTAGATGCACATACTTCCAACACATTTTTTTTTCTGTTTTATATACATTTCCAAACTGAAGTTCCAACACAAGGTTTATACTCGGATGCATCTGCATTTATTTAACCAGTCATGTTCTCACTCATCAAATGTTTCCTAAATGTCAGGTATTGTACTTGGGTAATAGGGATTCACTGATCAGGCAGATAGACTAGGCCTGACCTTCTGGAACTTTTAATCATGTAGGGACACAGATATTATTATTATTATTATTATTATTATTATTATTATTATTTTATTATTTTATTATTTTGAGATGGAGTTTTGCTCTTGTCTCTCAGGCTGGAGTGCAGTGGCACGATCTCGGCTCACTACAACCTCCAACTCCCAGGTCCAAGCAGTTCTCCTGCCTCAGCCTCCCGAGTACCTGGGATTACAGGTGCCTGCCACCACACCCAGCTAATTTTTGTATTTTTAGTAGAGATGGGGTTTTACCATGTTGGCCAGGCTGGTCTCAAACTCCTTAACTCAGGTGATCCACCTGCCTCAGCCTCCCAAAGTGCTAGGATTACAGGCGTGAGCCACCACACCCAGCTGGGGCAAAGATATTATGTAATCTCAAAAATAAATTACATTCTACTAAGAATACATTCTTTAACGCATGCTAACAAGTAAAAATTTAGGTTGAATTCTGAATAATGAACAGGAATTAGCAAGGTAATATTTGTGTGCACACACCTGTGTGGGGAGGTGGGATGGGAGGAAAAGTTCTGTCTTCATTTTCTATTATTGCATAACAAATCAACCTAAAACTTTATATGTTCGTTTCTTTTTTTTTTTTTTTTTTTTTTTTAAAAGACAGAGTCTCGTTCTGTTGCCCAGTCTGGAGTGCAGCAGTGCGATCTCAGCTCACTGCAACCCCCGCCTCCGAAGTTCAAGCAATTCTCCTGCCTCAGCCTCCCGAGCAGCTGGGATTACAGGTGCCCACCACCATGCCTGGCTAATTTTTGTATTTTTAGTTGGGGGGGGGGTTTACCCTAGGGCCAGGCTGGTGTCGAACTCCTGACCTCAAGTGATCTGCCCACCTCAGCCTCCCAAGGTGCTGAGATTACAGGCGTGAGCCACTGCGCCTGGCTTTATGCATCAGTTTCCTGATGCTACTATAACAAATGATGGCTAACTTAGTGTCTTAATACATCACAAATCTGTCTGACAGTTCGGGAGGTCAGAAGTCTGAAGCGAGTCTTAGAGGACTAACATTGATGTGTTTGAAAATCTGTTTCTTCTGGAGGCTGTAGAAGAGAATTCATTCCTTGTCTTTCCCATCTAGTTTCATGACCCTCTCCTGCATCTTTAAAGCCAGTAGCATAGCCTCTGCAAGTCTCTCTGACTCTCCTCCTTCTCATAAAAAGCCTTGTGATTACTTTGAGCCCTCCTAGATAACCCAGGATAATCTCACCATCTCATGATCTTGAATCACATCTGCAAGTTCCCTTACCACATAAAGTAACATATTCATAGGTTCATGAGATTAGAATGTGGACAATTTTTTTTTTTGGAGGGGGCATTATTCTGCCTACCACACAGTTACTTAAAATAGCAGCCATTGGATTATATAATAGCTCACAAGTTTTTTCAGTGAGAAATTTGGGCTGGGCTTGACTGTGATTTTTCTGCTGCTTGTGGCATGACTGAGGTCACTGCTGGTTTATAGCTGGTGGACAGGCTGGTCTAGAGGGCCACTGATGCACCCTGCCTGGGAGGGCTGGATAGCTGAGCTCAGCTGGAACTGTTGCTCAGAGAGCTCACAGGGACTTCAGAGACTCCAGCAGGATGGTCTCTAGGTAAACAGACCCTATATATGGTTGCTCAGGGCTCCAGAAAGAGTCTTCTAAGAGACCGAAAGTGGAAGCTGCTGGTTTCTTCAAGCCTGGGCTCTGAAATGGACACAGCATCATTTCTGCCATGTTCTGTTAGTCATAGCAGTCCCAGAGTGACCCTGATTTCAGGGAGAGGGAATTGATGACCCTGCTCCATGGGATGAAAGCTGATGTATTTCAGCTATTTTTAATTTATAGAGTGGATGGGTGGGGCAGGAGTCCATGAAGAGGGAGCAATATAGGGGTAGCCCTAGAGCTGGAGGGAGCTTAGGGCTTTTTCAAGAAATGCCTGTGTGTATTTACAGCATAGTGATGAAGATGGAGAAGTAGGCAGGGGACAGTTCATATAGGACCTTCTAGGACATAAAAAGGATGTGGATTTATTCTAAGAGCCAACACGGTACTTTGAGAGAGGACAAACCTGCTCAGACGTCTGCGTGGCCCTGGGAATGGGCAGTGAGGGCACCTGCCACCTCCGTAGGAGCTGTCTTGGGACCATGTGAGAGAGAATGTACTTTGGGCTACTGTGGTTCTGACCCATTTTTAGCCTTTTTTTTTTTTTTCTAGCAGCTTATAACAGAGCAGCAATAATCAATGTGAGGTCAGTAATAGTCTCTGAACTATTTGTCTATAGCAAGGTTAGTAGAGAATTTGAGAGTGATTATAATCCTTTATAACAAATTAACATTACTGCACCATCCACACGAGTGGGCAATGGGCTTGGCTTTGTATATCTGTTTTTTTTTTTTTAATTTTCTCTTCATTTTGTTCCATTTTATAAAATATTTGTATAAATTGGAAAATTTTAAAGTACAGATCCTTTGCAGATCAAGAAATTCTCTTCTAGAACACAATCTATTATATTACCACATACTGTATCTTTCCTCTGTGTCTCCCTTGTGTGCCCTCAACTCTCCTCATCTACAGCTGCATGTGCTGAGTTTTTCAGACTGAATTGCTGGTCACATTTATTCTTATTTGCTCATTTAATATATGGCTGCTAAAGACCTGGATAGAACAATTTTTTTTCAGCAGTCTATGAACACCTCTAATATGATTGCTGTTTTGTAACATCTTGCCAGTATTTTATTCATCGTATCTTTCACATTTGCATTTTAGAATTAAGTGTTCTCTGATTGAATTAACAGTGCAGGGCCTCCTAGTCACAGTAACAGCCAATTTGGCTGATGTTTAGAAAAAGTAGATTAAAGCAGGGAATCATTTATAGTTTAGTATGTATACTGTGAGCCTGTTCTTTTACCTGAATCATATCATTTTATGTTTATTCCTCTATCATTTGTAGAAGGGCTAAAACCTTTTTTTTTTTTTTTGCATATGTGGTCGCTGATTATTTATGTTGGCTTTTTCTTTCATAAATCATAGAGCAGAATATCCTTTGTGATTTTTAGTTTGGATGTCTTTAAACTCTGTAAGGTTAAAATATGCTTTTATTTTTTCAGAAGTAACAGATCTAATGGAAAGAATTGGGAAAATACAGTAAAATGATCTGATACATTCTTAATCAGAAATTCACATAGTTGATATTGGAAGTAGTGCATTTTCATCAGGATGAAAGGAGAAAGAAGCAGAAATTTTTTTGTTGTTTTGTTTTGTGAGTATCAAGTCTATGAATGACACAGCCTTGTATTTTGGCAGAGAGGAAAGATGAGTGATGGGCAGCCCAGCTCTTCCAATGACTCCATTCTCATATGCTAATAAAGAGCATCTGTAAAATTCAGACATTCTTTGCTCATGGTTTTATCTGTCAGAAGTTAGAAAAAATAATGATAGCAAAGACTTTAAAATAAAAAATATAAAAAATGAAATTCTAGTCATATAACGGTGGAACTTTCCAATGGGCAGAAATTGGAGCCAGTGTGAAAGTTTCTCCTTTGAGCTCAGATGTAAAAGCCCATATACAAGGGGAATGGCAGGCACAGAGTCCAGGGACCAGAATACCACATCTTTGGGGATAGTGTCAGTAGGAGGAAATCACAAATGATCTAAGACAAACAAGAATGAAAAAGCAGAAAACCATAAGCATATTTTTTGAAATTATGTAGGCAGGTAATGTGGGAAGCATGTCAAAGAAAGCAGAAAGCAAATGACAAAAGTATCATATAATAGGACAGAGGAATGACAGAGCAGCACAAACAACTGTCTTCAGTTCTTTCAATGGTAAGAGCACATGGCTTTATGCGAAAGGCATGAGGATAGCAACAGCTAACCATTCTATATTGGTTACTTTGTGCCAGGCATGGTTTTAACTGCATTACATATATTCACTCATTTAACCCCAGAACCAATGAGGCAAGTACTATTATTATAACCAGTTTAGAAAAGAAGGACTGGAACAGAGAATGCAAATAATTTGCACAGAATCATACAGTTAAAAGTGCCTTTTACTAAGGCATCATTCTCTGGACTCCATTCTTCATAGTAGAGATCTATGATTTAAAATTGCAGCCCAGCAAAAGCGATGTCATATTTTTAAAAGAATTTCTAGAACAAGTACAAATCAACAAGTGTGGACCAATCACAATGCAAGGGACTGAAAGAACTGGAGATTAGCCAATTATCTTTGAAAACTGGGGGAAGTATAAGCTCCTGACAACACAACCTGTTAAGTCTGATTCATTATTCAGCTAACCTAGTTTAACACCTCCCCTAGGTCAGGCCCCTTGCAAAGTGTCAAAGATAAGAAGATGCATTTGATGCCAATGTCACCACCCCCCAGGTGATCAGTCTATGACAAAGGCAAAGGAAGGAGAACAATAATTCAATTTAAGGTGATACTTAGAAACCACAGCAGACCCAAAGGAAAGAGCCATGCCTGGGAACGAGGGGGATCTTGTAGAGGCTTCACAGAGGAGCTGATGTCTGATCCAGACTTTCACGTGCAGTGGAGTCACAAGGGGGAATTGGAACATAGGGTTGTTCCTGTGTGTGAGGAAGGCTCAGAAGTGTGAAAGGGCCAGGGAGTTTGTGAACATTGGTCATTTATCCCCAGGCTATTCAGTGTGGGATCTGGGATCAGCAGCATCCCATCCCTAGAAGCTGTTAGAGACACAAAATCCCGGCTCCACCCTAGGCCTGTCTAATGAGAATCGGTATTTAAATATAACTTCTCCAAGTGACTTGGATGCAAATTGAGGTTTGAGATGTGCTGTTGTTGAGCCATTGCATAATTCCAGTGTCGAGTGCATGCAGTAAGTGATGGAACGGAGGACAAGTTTCTTGCACATCTCGGGGGAGGGAGCGGGTAGGTAGGGTGGGGGTGATGCTGACTTCAGACTTTATCCCCAGAGCAATAATGACCTGTCACAAAATCCTAGTGCAAGCTTAGTAAGCAGTTTGTACACCTGGTCCTTGCAAACCATCGGTCCGTATATCAACCTGTTTGTGGTTTCCAGAAATGAGTATGCTGATTGCTAGAAATTTCCAGGCTACCAAGAGTAAATGCTGCCAATGTTAGTAGCAAGCAATATTTCAGACTTTGTGATACTAGAAACTAGATCGAGAGTAACAATGACCCTCTGGAACTCTCCTTTTTTACTGAGCTCAACCCTGAAGTTCAGTCGGAGCTACCTAAACCAAAGTTGGAATTCTCTACCTAGTCTGGTTTTTCCTGGTCGAATTAGAAAATGAGCCTTCAGTGCGATCTTCTCAGTAAGGAGTGTTATTTTGTATTTTGGGGATCTCTCATGTCTGAGAAACATTTTGATGAATAGCTGTTGAGGAAAGCTTGTACTTTTTGTTCATCTCTGGCACAGTGATTTATTCTTAGGTTCCCAAATTGCATAGTACACCTGGATCTTTGTATCCAGAAATATGTTCAAGACTGAGCTGGGGCTTTAGACTCAGACAGCCCTGGGCTTAAAATCAGGCTTCTTGATTTATTGGACACTGATATGGTTTGGCTCTGTGTCCCCACCCAAATCTCATCTTGTAGCTCCCATGATTCCCAGGTGTTGTGGGAGGGACTTGGCAGGAAATCATTGAATCATGGGGGTGGGTCTTTCCCATGCTGTTCTTATGATAGTGAATGAGTCTCACAAGATCTGATGGTTATATCAGAGGGAGTTTCCCTGCACAGGCTCTCTCTCTTTGTCTGCTGTCATCCATGAAAGATGTGACTTGCTCCTCCTTGCCTTCTGCCATGATCATGAGGCCTCCCCAGCCACGTGGAACTGTGAGTCTGTTAACCCTATTCTTCTTCCCAGTCTCGGGTGTGTCTTTATTAGCAGTGTGAAAACAGACTAATACAGACATATACAAAACTCAAGTTTCTCATTTGAGAAAATGGAGATAAAATGCTTCTCTTGCAAGTTATTGCAAGGATTTGAATATAATACATGTAAGGGCTACTAGATTACTGCCAGACACATGGAAAATGCTCAATGAACATTATTCTTAATAAGTTACAAATTTAAGTTTGTTGAAGTACTTTAGGTCAGCAGGTAGAAGGATCTGGAAGCTGGGGCCGAGGGAACACAGACAATGCTGGGTTGCTGAGTTCTATTGTTCTTGCTTCCTTGGCCAGCTCTGTGCTGCTTGTTCTTTTCACCCAGCTGTAGACTGTAGAAAGGTCTTTTCCGTAATTGAGGCAGGGGCAGTTATCCTAGGATATTTAGAAAAAGGCTTATTTTTCCTTGGATTGCATTTCACAATGTCTTAAGGAACCTCTGTGCATGTGCTTGTCTGGAGTGGTAAAGATTGTTGTATTAGTCTATATTCATTTCCTAGCACTGCCATAACAAAGTATAATACCACACGTTGGGTAGCTTAAGACAATAGCAACTTATTGTTTTGTGGCAATAGAGTCTAGAAATCAGAAATCAAGGTGGCAGCAGCCGTCTTCCCTTTGAGGATCTGTAGGGAAGGGTCCTTTCTTGCGTTTCTCAGCCTCTTTTGGTTCCCGACAGTCCTTGGCATTCTTTGGCTTGCAGCTGCGTCACTCCAGTCCCTGTGTCCTTCATCACATGGCATTCTCCCTGCATGTCTGTGTTTCTGCAACTCTTCTTCTCTTTTAAGGACAGCAGTTATAGAATTGAGGGTCCACTCTGCTGCAGGATAATCTCATCTTAACTAATGACATCTGCAATGACCCTGTCTCCAAATAAGGTCACATTCTGAGGTACTGGGGGTTAGGGCTTTGTTTTTTTTTGTTTTTTTTTTTGAGGGAGTCTTGCTCTGTTGCCCAGGCTGGAGTGCAGTGGTGCAATCTGGGCTCACTGCATCCTCCACCTCCTGTGTTCAAGTGATTCTCCTGCCTCAGCCTCCAGAGTAGCTGGGATTACAGGTGCGTGCCACCACACCCGGCTAATTTTTGTGTTTTTAATAGAGATGGGATTTCACCCTTTTGGCCAGGCTGTTCTCAAACACCTGATCTCAAGTGATCCGCCCACCTTGGCCTCCCAAAGTGTTGGGATTACAGGTGATAGCCACCGTGCCTGGCCGGGGTGAGGGCTTTAACATATCTTTATAGGGGACACAATTCAATCCATAAAAGAGCCTTGGGAGTTGGTCTGCTTTCTTCGCATCCTTTGCCTTCCTCACCTGCATCACCAGGGTAAGAGGAGCCCGTGTAGCTTAAGGACATGCTGCAGCATCTCACATACTAGAGCTGGGTCAGCCCAGCCACTATTGTGAATAGTCCCACGCTGGGATTTACTGAGTTTCTTGTGGCCTGAGCTTGCTAATACACCCCCAGAGTGAAGACAATCAAGGCAAGTCTCCAAAGAATTGCTACACTCTCCAGGTATTTTATATCCAGAAATCCATTATCTGTTTCTTTAGGTTCCTGGTCAGTGAACCAAATGTTAGACTTTTAGGGACTCCTGGAGTTGACCTAGTCCCACCTAAACCTTTCCATGAGACTGAGACTTGAAAGGGATGAATGCTTACCCTACAGTTGGGTACATTTGTGTAGAGAACCCAAACAAGATGGAGTCCTGCACACCCAATTCCTTCTTCCAGACTCTACAACCAATTAATTCACTTCTTCTCTTCCCCTGGTATGAACACAGGAGGCAGTAGAGACAGGTAGGAAGTTCTTGGTGCATGGAAATTCCTCCACAGGGAAACCAAGAGGAATGGGGAAGATGGAAGTATCCCTCATAACAGTTATGACTGCCATTTTTTTTTTTTTTTGGTGGCAGTGATTAATATTATGTGTCAACTTGACCAGGTCATAGAGTGCTCAGACATTGGGTTAAATATGATGTCGGGGTGTGTCTGAGTGTATTTCTGGATGACAGGAACATTTGAATCAGTAGACTAAGTAAGGCAGATTGTCTCTCCCAGTGTGGGCGAGTCTCATCCAATCTGTGGAAAGCCTGAATGGAATAAAAGGCTGAATGAAAAAGAATTCTTTCTGTCTGCCTGACTGTCTTTGATCTGGGACATCAGTCTTCTGTCTTTGAAGTTGGCCTTGAACTGGAATTTACGCCATCAGCTTGGATGGATCTCCTCTAGTTTTCTGACTGCAGACCTTGGGACTTTTCAGCCTTCATGTTATAATACATTTTATATTATAGATACATAACATAGTATATGGTAACTTAACATAAAACCTTGTGTGTGTGTGTGTGTGTGTGTGTGTGTGTGTGTGTGTGTGTGTCCTATTGGTTCTATTTCTCTGCAAAACCCCAATACATTAGTAAATGTGATGTGATCTCTGGCATATTTTAGGATTCAGTGAGACTTTAAAAGAACATAATGCCCAACACATGAATTTGAGAAGTTTAGCAGTGAAAACACTTGGTATTTTATGGCTTCCAAGAAATCTCAGGGACATTCTAACCCATCCTTGATCTGGTGATCTCTTTCCACTCCTCCCTCTGCTATTATGTGCTTAAGTGTGGAAAAATTAACAAAAGGATAACTTCTTATGTATTTTTCCAATGTTTTCTGTTTGTTACAAAACTGAGAAAATTAAACCTCTTGGGAAATGGCCAGGATATGTAACTCTCCAAGGGTACCCCACACACACAGCCAACTTGAGCAATTTCCAAGGGTCCCAGATTTCAGAGCTAATGCACCTGTTCAACTCACAGAGTAAGAACGTTATGCCTTACACTCAATTTCTAAAACATAGAAGCTTGCAGTGGTTGGCATGACCAAGAATTTGTCGATATTTGAAAAGTAAAAATTTATAGTCCATGAAACCTGCTCTTCCTTACACCAAAACCCAAACCCCACATGATGTGAGAACTAACTGAGCCTTTCAGGTGATACTGAGTAAGATGAGATTTGGATTGCTCTAGACTCAGTGGGTTGCCATGGAGCAAACTAGGCTAACCTTTGTACTCTTAGATAGGAGACAGACCTAGATAGGAGACAGACCTAGATAGGCCAACGGGGAAGCAGGGTAGGTGGGAAGAGGGGAGAAGGAATCCATATTAGAGCCTTCATCTGGTGCTTGTCTCACATTCCTAGTCTCCTAAAATTCTTACATCCCACAACAACAATTTGCCTACCTGTTCAATTCATTTCATGATCTTAATTTAAAATGAACTGTTGGATCTCTCTTTCATAAATTAAGTGCAAAACTCTACTTTCTGCCTTTCTTCTTGTGACCAGAGTACCAGTTGACTCATCTCAGTTATAATTTGTTTAACAGGTTTCATTTGCTTTTCCCCCTTAATACATGAATCCTTTTATGTGTTTAACAGTTATTTGTTTCAGAGGGTCTGCATTGCATAATGCCATGAGCAGCCAAGGTTTTCACGTAATGATTTTTTATGAACCATGCAAAGACAGCTCAAGTTATGTAAATCTCAGTGAACTCTCTAGCGACAAGAGTCCCAATCCTTAGGCTTCATCATGGAGCTGCTTCTCTCTCAATGTATTTGAATTATTGGTCTAGCCAACCTCTTCTTTTCCCCTTGCTGCAGTATTTTAGGAGGAAGGAACAGGCTAAATCCTAGCTAGACGTGCGCATGCATTCTGGTATTTAAGAGCCAATAAAATATAGCCAGGAATCACCTTGTCTCCTGTACCATACTTGGATTTGTAGTTCAGATCTTCAATGTAGTGCTTAAAAGAAACACACACTGGGGTTTTCATGGTGAAGTCCAAGGCAAGGGCATAGAAAGACCACTTGACCCTGGATGGAACAACATGTGGAAACCCTCCTTGCCCTCCTTTTTATCTTCTTTACTTTTTTTACTATGGCCAGGGTTGGAAATGTGGGTGGATGATGGGTTTTACTTCTTTGAAATGTTAAGTGTGGAACTTTGAACCATGCTCGGTCTTCCCTGGATTTAGCAAGAATTGAAGGCTGTGCTCAGAGAGGTTAAAGGAAGCATCTGCTTCTCTCAATACAAGGTTGATGGAGATGATTAGTGTGGTCAAGGAAGAGGAGATTGTTTCTGCCGTGCAGCTAATGGAAAGTGCTTTGGGAACATTGGAAAAAAGCATCTCTTGCTAGAAGACCTTGATCATCTGTCTCTTGGCTGTAGAGGTGGCTCCTTGGGGTTCATGTGAGGCCATGTCAAACAGAAACAGGGAGAAATTGTGTCCAAATTCGTGCTTAGATGTGTGTCTGACTCAGTGTTTTCCTCCTTTATAAAGCCAAGATAAATGATTTTTGAATTAAACATTGTTTTGGCACTTCGTACTTTCATTCATTAAGAGGGATGATGAACCTGTCAGGCCATAATAGCTAGCCTGGAATTTTCCTTGCCAAGTCTGTCCTCCTTGAATAGTTTGCTATTTATGCTGATGATTTGGAGCAAGGAGGTAGAAAATAGTCATATTATTTGTCCCTACAAGGGAAAATACAGCAGCAATGTTAAAATGATAATGACGCCAGGCGCAGTGGCCCACGCCTGTAATCCCAGCACTTTGGGAGGCCGAAGTGGGCGGATCACCTGAGGTCAGGCATTCAAGACCAGCCTGGCCAACATGGAGAAACCCCGTCTCTACTAAAAATCCAAAAAAAAAAAAAAAAAAAAAAAGGCCAGGCGTGGTAGTGCATGCCTGTAATCCCAGCTACTCAGGAGGCTGAGGCAGGAGAATCACTTGAACCCGGGAGGCAGAGGTTGCGGTGAGCCGAGATTGCGTCACTGCACTCCAGCCTGGGCAACAAGAGCGAAACTCTGTCTCAAAAAAAATGGTAATGACTTCTCTCCTGCCACATCAAAGGTGGAACGTGGGTGGTGGGGGGACAGAGAGAGAGAGAGAGAAGGGGTACTTATTCATCACTTTTGCCCATTTGAAGAATGCTTTATTTCTAGGGGAACACTCCTTCAGTCTCAAGATGCCTTCAGTTTGACTTTTGCTTTTAGGGAACTGGATTTTAGTACATTATGGGTGTATGAGATGATTGGAGCCTTAATGAATCATTACATGCTATCATTGAGGCGCTCCTCACTGTATGGTTTTCAGATACAGAGAACCTAGTGTATGCATGAGAAAGTAAATCTCCTCCCTTCCTTTGCTGGAAGGAGGAGAGCAGTTGCCACCCACCAGTGCCCTGGTTGGTCATAGTGCCTTCCCCTTTAGATGGACTCAGGACAATGGCAGAGCAAAAGACAGTGGAAGCCCACAAGCTCCCTGCAGATCTGCAGCACCCCTGGGACTTTATATTCACCTTGTCCCCTTCCTTGCTTGTATGTTGACTGACCCTGATATTTAGCAATTTTCATGGGCTAAATGATATACAAGGCTAATATGGGCCAGGCAGTTTTAACCACAATCTGGACACATTTCCTTATGTGGAAGTGGATTTTGGAAAATCATTTTCTGTTTTTGTTGTTCCCTTCTCATTAAGCCAACATGTATATTCATAATTACACCCTTTATGTCAATTGACACACTTTCCTACCTTGATATGGACTGTGAAAGGAAAATAAATCTTGGGACCCCCAAATCGCTAAGCTAAAGGGAAAGGTCAAGCTGGGAACTGCTTAGGGCCAACCTGCCTCCCATTCTACTCAAAGTCACCCCTCTGCTCACTGAGATAGATGCATATCTGGTTGCCTCCTTTGGAAAGGCTAATCAGAAACTCAAAAGAATGTGCCTGTTCTTCTCTCACTTATCTGTGACCTGGAAGCCTCTTCCCTGCTTGGAGTTTTCCTGACTTTGCTTCAAGCTGCCCTGCCTTTCCAAACCCAACCAACAAATGTACTTCTTACGTTTCTTGATTGATATTTCCTGTCTTCGTAAAATGTGTAAAACTGAGCTGTGCCCCAACTACCGTGGGCACATGTCATCAGGACTTCCTGAGGCTGAGTCACGGGCACATGTCCTCAACCTAGGCAAAATAAACTTTCTGAATTAACTGAGACCTGTCTCAAATTTTCTGGGTTTACAGGACCTGCATGATATGAAAGCTATTTCATGATTTCTCAGATTGTTTCTGAAAAGTATCATTGTAACTCTTCATCCTCTTTGCAATAGGCTTATTTGGTTCAGTTCTATATGAAGGTTTTCAGGTTGAAAGTTCTGCCAGTAACAAAATGACTTGGCTGTGTTGTTCACTTGAAAACGACAATGTTGTTGCCTAGCCTTCCTGTCGAAGATTGAATTTTGGCTTGTTGAGAGCTTGCTCTCTGTTCTAACAATCATGTGCGGCCAGTTGCTTCATTTGTGTTTCTAAAGAAACTCTTGGAGTCATTGAGGTTTAATGTGGGTGGGTAGAGTTGGAGGAGGGGACTATGTTTGAAACCACAATTAACCCACCAACATGGTTAAGCCACCAACCTCTCTGATTCTCAGTCTCTTTGCTTGTAAAGTGGGGATAATAGTATATGTTTCACATCCCATGCAAATTGAATATATTAGTTTGGCACACTATAAAGAACATATAAAGAATAAAAATTATAATAATAGTTAATACATAATAAGTAACTACTTCCTTTCTGGAATTATTCTAGTTTCCAGTATGATCCTGACAATATCCTAATGAGGTAGCTTTGTTATTTCCCCATTTTACAGATGAGGAAACTGAGGCAAAGAGGTTAAGGATCTTGCTTGGGGTTCTAACCTTAGGGTTATATTGCTAGTAAGTGGTCAACTTATGAATTGAACCCAGACAGTCTGGCTCCACAGTGAAGAACTTGAAAGAATGCCAGGAAATAATTTTCACCAAGTTGAGCTGGAACCAGGCTTGAAAACTGTCTCACATACTGCCTCTATGGCTACAGCGGGGTCTGAATAGATACTCCTACGTTAATGGAAATTAGACATTCTCTTTGGCTGATCTTATTCCCCAAATTGTTTACAGCTGTTTTGGAGCTTTGGAATTGCTGGAAATGTTTAAACACTACACTGTTGATTTAGCTTATTTTGTTGTTTTGCAATCCCCTAAATTCTCGATGTTAATGTTAACGGTGTGTTACCATGTGATATTAATGGAGGACTGTCACTCTCACAGGTTGAGACCTTATGTTCTGGACTATATGAGTCTCGGAGATTTAGAATGTGTTATGGTGACAGTCGCGTGGGGAGTATATGACCAAGGGATACTCCAGAAGAAACAGAAACCTGGAGTGGCCTGGTTGATTCTAGAATGTATTGAAGGTTCAGATCACTTTTTGAAGAAGTAGACTGGCCAGAGATAATGTGTCCTCACTATGTGTTGGCCCAAATCACAGGAAAACCGCTAATTTAGTCTGGTCTTCAAGTATTAAATGGCATCAGCTAAAGTTCTCTGATTACCATTTCTGGTAAGCCTAGGGACTGTGGAACTCTTATATTAGATTTGGTTAACTTTAGGAAGAAAGCAAGACTGCAATATGAAGAAAATAATTCCAATGTATCTGTGTAACCTTATAATGACAAGAATGGTGTCAGTCATTAACATTTATTTAGCACTTGTAAAGAAATATCATTAATAAGTGCATTTGATCCTCACAAATTCTTATGGTTTAAATCGGATAAGCCTAATAGTTATTCACATTTCTAATGTGGTAAGTAAGACACAGAAAAATCAAGGCAATGAGTGTTCTGCTGTGGACTTAAGCACAAGCTGCAGACACCAAGTCCAGTGCTCTTCTCGCCATTCCATGTAGCATCTCTTATTTCTTATTCTCACTCAGTACTTCCGAGGCCACTGTCAGAGTTCCATCTGTCTCAAATAGTAGAAATCCAAATAGACCACAGCAATGTCTACAATCCAGGAGACAAAGAGGTTTGATGGCTAGGGGAGTGGAGTGCTAATCCAGGACTAATAAGGAATGAATGGCCGGGGATTGCGGTGAATGTAGTGAATTAATATAATTTACCCTTTCATACTTACTTCTTTTCAATATTATGTACTAGTCAACAATTGGAGTCCCAGAAAGAAGAACACTTTTTAATCTAATTTCTTTTGGACCAGTAACAGAGGAAGAGGAAATAGAGGAGCATTAACATTTATTGGAGTATTTTTGCATGTCATGGATGATATATAAAGGTTGTATTTCTTTGTCTTTACTACAACTCAAGTAGGCAATAGTTTCTCATTTTACAGATAAATAAATTTAGGATGAGAGGCAGAAGTACTTTGCCCAAGCCCATGCAGCTGACAGTGTCTGCACCAGAATTTGAAACTGGAACATCTGTTACTTCTCTTTTCTCACACTGCCTCTGTGAAGCCTGGGGGTGAGAGTAGGTGCCAGTAGGCACTGGAATGCTCCAGGAGAATGCCCGTGTCTAATGACACCTTATAAACACTTGCCGCCAGCACACATATGTGATAAAAACTTCAATAATGGAAACGTGACATGAGGTGGATAGAATGAATGGACACTTTTTGAATCAAGCCTCTTCATTTTCTCACTACTACCTGCTCTGCATCTAATTTGTCTTGAGTACACATTGAAAATGTGTTTCCACTAATATTGAACTCATTGAAGAATTGAAGATGAGATGCTAAATTTATTAGTTTCGTGGATCTTATATGGTGTCTTCTTAAACCTTATGCCTCATTTTTAATTTACATGTGAGTTGGAAGTGACTACACCTGCTTTGTCATTGAAGTCTGCATTTTTAAGTAAAGGTGAAAGGGTGTGTATGAAAACTTCTGAGATACAGAAAATGAAAGAGACTGATAGTCGCTTATTAAGGGACACCAAATTCTACCATGAAGGTTTTATTTTTTCCCAGTAGCATAACATGGCTATTTCTACATTTTAAAAAATCTCTGAAACATTCCTGTGGTGATCATTTCTTTTGCCTGTCTGAACTAAAGCCCAGTTGAACAGTTCAATATTCACAGTGCCAAGCGGATCAGACCCCATGATGGCTTCAACCTGGCCAATTGAAGGGGCAGCATTGCTGCAAGATAAAGTCTCTGTTACCAGCTTCCCATGTGTTTGTGCAAAGCTTATTTTTTCATTCAAGCTCTTTTAGCCACAGTAATTTTCCATGCCTCCCATCCTCTAGCCTTATGCCGTGTTGAAGACCTCAGTTGAACGATGAACTCCAGCTGAAATGATCTTCCTGAGAAACTATGGAGAAGTGACCACTTGAACTCAGACTCTAAAACTGTTTTATTGTCTCAGACTGTGCTCTTCGGTGTCCTAGTCAAGTCAATTTCAACTTTTTTTTTTTTTTTGGAGCCAGATTTGTTCTTACACTTTTAGGAAAATGGCCATATTTTCATTTCCTTTCCTGATCTACTTATTTTCTGTTTTTTGTTTGTTTGTTTGTTTGTGTTTTGAGACCGAGTCTCACTCTGTTGCCCAGGCTGGAGTGCAGTGGCATGATCTTGGCTCACTGCAACCTCTGCCTCCCTGGTTCAAGCTATTCTTGTGCCTCAGCCTCCCAAGTAGCTGGAACTACAGGCATAAGCCACCACACCCAGCTAACTTTTATATTTTTAGGAGAGGCGGGGTTTCACCACGTTGGCCAGGCTGGTCTCGAACTCCTGACCTCAGGTGATCCAACCACCTCAGCCTCCCAAAGTGCTGGGATTACAGGTGTGAGCCCCTGCACCTGGCTGATATATACTTATTTTAACACAGTAAATCTATAATTTGACATTGGAAATCTAATATGCCTTCCTTATTGGTTGCTGAAATAGTATATTACTGGTTCAAGTTATTAATGTAGACAAGTCCTGTAGTTACAAAGCCTATGCATACACCTAGAAAAAATAGAAAAGCTAATAAGATTCATGGGCAGTGAGGACAGTAATGCTGTGAGGTCCGCAGAGAAGGGAACAAAAGAGGCCACCGTCTTGTGGCAGGATAACTCTAAGCTAACTAAACTCATCTCAGTCATCCCATTTGTGTATTAGGCAAGTATATTTGTATGGTATGCCATCATAGCTGATGAAAGCAGCAAGATATAACTTGCCCTTTTCACATGACTGATCTGCAAATCTTTAAATCTTTCTTTTCTTTTTTTTTTTTGTACCTCACTATGTCACCTCAGTGCCCATCTTGTACCTGTCTTTCTGTTTTCACTTGTTCATTGCTCATTCACTTGTCTCTGTCCCCTCACTCACTTCTGATTATCTCTAATTTCTTTGACTTTGGTAGAAGTAGCTTGTGCATTACTTTGACACCAAATGGCTGGGTAAAAAGTGATAAATCATCCACTTCAGGTGGTAAGCTTTTCCTACATTATCTAAATGTAGTAATGTTTCTGTGAAGCAGTGCTCGTATTGATAGATAAGTGTTTTTGTTTTTGTGGCTCTTTGATCAGATATTTCCCAGTCCTGTAATAGAGCCGCACTAAAAGTCACTTCAGTGCACTGCCTTCGGGCTCATCTTTTCTTCACATTTCTATCATGCTTTCTGGAGTATAAAGGATTTTAACTGAGCCACAGACCAACATCTCAACCTCCTGCTTCACGCACAATTGTATGAGCTTACAGGGATATCTTAGAGATACTGCAGGTTTGGTTCCAGACCACCACAATAAAGCAAGCCACATGAAATTTTTGGTTTCCCAGTGCACGTAAAAGTTATGTTTACACTATACTGTAGTCTATTCAGTAGACAGCAGCATTATGTCTAAAAACAATGTATAGACCTTAATTTTAAAATACTTTATTGCTAAAAAGTGCTGACGATCATCTGAGGTGTCATTGAGTCACATCTTTTTGCTGGTAGAGGGTCTGTTTCACTTCATCGTTGATGGCTGCTGACTCATCAGGGTGGTGGTTGCTGAAGCTTGGGGTGGCTGTGGCAATTTCTTAGAATAAGACAACAGTGAAGTTTACCACATTGGTTGACTCTTCCTTTCAGGAAAGTTTCCCCTGTAGCATGAGATGCTGTTTGATAGCATATTATCCACAGTAGAACTTCTTTCAAAATTGTAGTCAATCCTCTTGAACCCTGCCATGCTTTATCAACTAAGTTTATGGAATATTTTAAATGTTTTCTTGTCATTTCAACAACGTCCACAGACTTTTCACCAGGAGTAAATTCCATGTCAAGAAACCACTTTCTTTGCTCATCCATAAGAAGCAACTCCTCTTCTTTTCAAGTTTGATCATGAGATTGCAGCAATTCAGTCAAATCTTCATTCTAATTCTAATTCTCTTGCTATTTCCACCACATCTGCAGCAACTTTCTCTAATAAATGCTAGAACCCCTCAAAGCCATCCATGAGGTTTGGAATCAACTTCTTCCAAACTCCTGTTAATGTTGATATTTTGACCTGCTCCTTGAGTCATGTTCTTAATGGCATCCAGAATGATGAATTCTTTCTAGAAAATTTTCAGTTTTACAGATTCATCAGAGAAATCACTCTATGGCAGCTACAGCCTTACAAAACATACTTCTTTTTTTTTTTCTTTTTTTTTTTTTTGTGATGATGTCTTGCTCTGTTGCCCAGGCTGGAGTGCAGTGGTGCAATCTCGGCTCACTGCAACTTCCACCTCATGGGTTCACGCCATTCTCCTGCCTCAGCCTCCTGAGTAGCTGGGACTACAGGCACCCGCCATCATGCCTGGCTAATTTTTTATATTTTTAGTAGAGACGGGGTTTCACCATGTTAGCCAGGATAGTCTCCATCTCCTGACCTCATGATCTGCCCACCTCGGCCTCCAAAGTGCTGGGATTACAAGCGTGAGCCACTGTGCCCGGCCAACATACTTCTTAATAAGAATTGAAAGTCAAAATTATTTCTTGATTAGTGGGCTATTGGATGGATGTTGTGTTAGCAGGCATGGAAACAACATTAATCTACTTGTGCATCTCCATCAGAGCTCTTGGATGACCAGATGCATTGTCAGTGAACGGTAATATTTTCAAAGGAATATTTTTATTGAGTGGTAGGTCTCAACAATGGGGTTAAAATATTCAGTAAACTATACTAAACAGATGTGCCGTTATTCAGCTTTGTTGTTTCATTTCTAGAGCACAGACAGAGTAAATTTAGCATAATTCATCAGAGCCCTAAGATTTTCAGAATGGCAGATAGCATTGGCTTCAACTTAAAGCCACCAGCTACATTGGCCTCTATCAAGAGAGTTAGCCTTTAAAACTTAGAAGTTTTGAAGCCAGGCATTGACTTCTCTCTAGCTGTGAAAGTTCTGGATGGCACCTTCTTGTAATAAAAGGCTACTTCATATGCACTGAAAATCTGTAGTTTAATATAGCCATCTTCATCATTGGTCTTAGCTAGATCAGCTGGAGAATTTACTGCAGCTTCTACAACAGCATTTGCTGCTTCCTCTTGCACTTTTATCTTATAGAAACAGCTTCTTTCCTTAAACTTTATGATCCAACCTCCCTTAGCTTCCAACTTTTCTTCTGCAGCATTCTCACTTCTCTCAATCTTCATAGAATTAAAGAGAGTTAGGGCCTTGCTCTGGATTAGGCTTTAGCTTAAGGGAATGTTAAGGCTGGTTTGATCTTCTCTTAAGACCACTAAAACTTCTTTCTCTGTATCAGCAATTAGGCTATTTCACTATCTTATCATTTGTGTGTTCACTGGAGTAGCATTTTTAGTTTCCTTCAAGAACTTTGTGTTTTGGAGACAGAGTCTTGCTCTGTTGCCCAGGCTGGAGTGCAGTGGCGTGATCTCGGCTCACTGCAATCTCTGCCTCCCGGGTTCACGCCATTCTCCTGCCTCAGCCTCCCGAGTAGCTGGGACTACAGGTGCCCGCCACCAAGCCCGGCTAATTTTTTGTGTTTTTTGTAGAGATGGGCTTTCACCGTGTTAGCCCGGATGGTCTCGATATCCTGACCTTGTGATCCACCCACCTCAGCCTCCCAAAGTGCTGGGATTACAGGCGTGAGCCATAAGCCTGGCCAAGAAATTTTTCTTTTTCATTTACAACTTGGCTAACAGGAGGCCTAGCTTTTGGCCTGTCTCAGCTTTTGACATATCTTCAAGTGAAAGATGTGTGACTCTTCCCATCACTTGAATACTTAGAAGCCATGATAGGGTTATTAATTGGCTGGAATTCAATACTGGTGTGTCTTAGGCAATAGAGAGAACTAAGATGGCTGCTCAGTGGAGCAATCAGAACACACACATTTATTGATTAAGATCTGGTATTTGATAGCCCAACAGGGTGACTGTAGTCAAAAATAATTTAACTGTATATTTAAAAATAACTAAGTAAGCATATTGTTTGCAACACAAAGGATAAATGCATGAGGTGATAGATACTCCATTTATCCTGATGTGATTATTACACATTGTATGCCTGTTTCAAAGTATCTCATGTGCCCTATAAATGTATACACTTACTATGTACCCACAAAAATTAAAAATTAAAAACAAAAACAAAATCCCAAACCTTTATTGATGAAGTTCGCCATCTTATGTAAGTACAGTTTGTGGTGCTGCAAAACAATTACAATAGTAACATCAAAGCTCATTGGTCATTGATCACCATAACAGATAGATAAATTAATAATGAAAAACTTTGAAATATTGTGAGAATTATGAAAATATAAGAGAAAAGCACAAAGTGAATTCCTGCTGTTGAAAAAATGGTGCCAGTAGACTTGCTAATGTAGGGTTGCCACAAATCTTCAATTTGTAAAGAATGCAGTATTTATGAGGCACAATAAAGCAAAGTTACAGTAAAATGAAGTATTCTCTTATTTAGTTTTTGCATGTGGAAGTTTCTACTATTACCCACAGGAAAGAAACCCCCTAAGACTTCACAGTATATCTGAATTACTGATAGTCTTTATTCAGAGGCTGCTGTCAAAGAACTTGTCTGTGGGCCTGATTTTCCTGATAGGAATTATGTTTCTGATAGCAAGGCTATCAAAATTTACCAATTATTTATCAAGGTAGCTACTAGTTACCAGTTATCAAATATTTACCAGTTATTTCATCCATCTGCTGCAATGTGCTCCAAAACCACTTAAGCTTTTGAGGAGCATGATAAAATTAAAGACAATATGTAAAAGCCATTGACCAGTTAAAAGAGAATGATAAAATGTGAAACCAAGTCCAGCTCTGTTAAAATGTTGGCTTTAATGGAAAAAGTTAATGAAATGAAAAGAGCTTGTTTTATTCATTTGTCCTCACTGCATTTATCTACAGTAATCTCATCATTTCCCTTGGGGAGCTCTGCACAGAAGCTACCAGTAAAGACATGCACCTTCAGTTTTCCTAACTTTGCATGACCAAACTAATTTTGTTTTTCTTCAGTGTGGTATTTATTTACAGAAACTTTCCCATTTACTGAAAACATTAAAGACTTTGACTCAAACTTGGAAAACTAGTAAACATCATTTAGCAGCAATGAACCTGTCAACACATGGAAATAAGGTTTACAGTCATGCAAATGTCCATTTAACTTTGTTTGAGCCAAACAAATATAACAGTAAACTAATTAGACTGGCTTACATCCCCGTAGACAGTGAAACCAATTATTTCTTAAAGAAGGGTTTGCTTGTTTTTACTCTAGGGCAAAGGTGCATAACTTCTTGTAATACTCCTGAATAGTTCTTCAAATCAGGACAGATAAAGTTGGCAACTGATGGAATAGCTACCTTGATGTGCAAATGGTTGGGTCTTTAATTAGGTTCATTTATATAATTGAGAAAGAAGCCAGGGAATGCATTTGTGCAAGGATGATTTTAAAAGAAGAGGGATGGTCTGCCTTTTAATTCTGTATGGGAGGAAAATTCATAAAAAACTGAAAAAAAAAAAAAAGGCAAAACTGTTTTTTCTAACAATCTACTTACCACTAGCCATGGATTGCCTTTGTTACAGTTTGGATGGCTGATACATATTCGGAAGCCATCTCTCTGTTTTAATATGTTTGATGTCTATTACTAATGGGTCATTTTTGTCTCGAATTTAGTACCTGAAAGATTCAAGGTTTTTTAAAGTATTCAAAACCTCTAACTATTCCCTAAAGCTTTAATCTCTGAAACAGAGAAACTTCCTGATTAGAAAAACAGGCGCCTAGTTTGGCCTCCTGTAGCACTGAACTATGAGAGATATTGTCCAACATTTTTGGTGGTTTTTCTCTGTGTATATTGGATAAATTTTGGATGAGTGGGGCTAAAATTTTATTTTAGATTTTTAAAAAATTCATGTAATAGGATTCTACCATAAGTCTTACTTTATTTTTATATATACATGTGGGTTCTGATTATAAGTCTCTATAAACTACATGTTGAAAATTGTGAATATTCATTTCTATGTTTGCATAGTATGTACACGCTAGAAAATTTCTCAGAGTGACTGTGGCTCACATGAATCTTATGCTAAATGGGGATATGGTTAATTTGCCCTGGCATGTACAGAGTCCTAACTTCAGAAACACTTGTCTTTCTGGTATGGCCATATTAAGATAGCTACCAATCTCTGCACACATCTTAGTCTAGCACATTTGAACATCCTTGTGTCTACCAGTTGAAGGTATGAAAATAAGCAAAGGTTACACTTCTTTCTGTGGTATCAGAAATGATGTAGAAATATAACTTTTGGCTGGGTGCGGTGGCTCACGCCTGTAATCCCACTACTTTGAGAGGCCGTGGCGGGTGAATCACTTGAGGTCAGGAGTTTGAGACCAGCCTGGCCAGTATGGTGAAACCCTGTGTCTACTAAAAATACAAAAATTAATTGTGCATGGTGGCACACACTTGTAGGCAGCTACTTGGAAGGCCGAGGCAGGAGAATCGCTTGAACCCAGGAGGTTGAGGTTGCAGTGAGCCGAGATCTCGTCACTGCACTCCAGCCTGGGTGACACGGTAAGACTCTGTCTCAAAAAAAAAAAAAGAAAAGAAAAGAGAAAGAAATATAATTTTTGACTAAATTAGTACTTCCATATGTTTGTTAGCATGGTAAGCGAAGATCCAGACTACAGTAGAATGTCTTCATAAATAAACTATGGTTGATTAGTTTGCCTGAATGTTTCACAGCGCCTGAAATAATTCTGTTTATGTGGATTCAGATGTGTTAGCCATTTCTTGCGGTCTTAGGAGAGCAGCAGAAACACTTAGATTCTTAGAACATGAAAACTGAGAGAGACTTACGTGTCCATTAGACTAACACACTCGTTTCATATTAACTGCATATCAAGAAGGTAAGTGACTCACAAAGCCTCAACTCAAACCCTGGCCATTTGACTCAGGTTATTGCTGCAAACACAGTACTGTTATTGTATCTGGAGTGCTCTAGTCCTTACAAAGTACTTTCCCTGCCAGAACTCTGCACTGTTGGTGCCTGGACCTTTAGTCTTTATCATTTTGTGCATAGGATAAGAATTATTTTTGTGTGCTGCCGTGTGTGTAATCCATGTTTGTTTAAAATACTAAGAACTTTTATTTTACATAAAACATTTCTTGGTTTATGTGCTTACTGTTGAGCTCATGATCAACTGAAATTTTTAGCTCTTGGTTTGCAATAGAAACTGGAACTATCTGCTCCATACAGAGAAACAGATATTTTCACAATGCTTGCTAAAGCCTTACGTGTTTAGGCCTAGTTCAAAATAAACTTTGTGAAGTTGTGAATGCATGGTGTCATGTGAATCATAGTAATTTATGAACATGTCAGTTGCAAGATGTATTAGTTCATTTTCATGCTGCTGATAAAGATATACCTGAGACTGGGCAATTTACAAAAGAAAGGTTTAATTGGACTTACAGTTCCACATGGCTGGGGAATCCTCACAATCATCACAGAAGGCAAGGAGGAGCACGTCCCGTCTTACATGGATGGCAGCAGTCAGAGAGAGAATGAGGAAGATGCAAAAACGGAAATGATAAAAACATCAGATCTTGTGAGATTTATTCACTACCATGAGAACAGTATGGTGGAAACTGCCCCCATGATTCAGTTATCTCCCACCCGGTCCCTCCCACAACAATTATGGGAGTTACGGCAGCTACAATTCAAGATATGATTTGGGTGGGGACGCAGAGCCAAACCATATCACAAGAAAACATTGTTTTGTAAATAGTAGGTTGTTATAATAAAGACAAAAGGGAACTAGAAACCCTAGATGATGAATATCTAATAGCCATGTATAATTTGAAAAAAAAAATACAGCTAATGAATGAGAATTTTAATTAGGAAATGGTCATCTGCCTCATCAAACTCATTTTATATAAAATGATTAATTTATTAATATAAATCAATCTGGAAATGACTTATGTAAATTGTAGCCTGTATAGTAGAATCAAATGCAGTTAGGAAAGTTGGCTAAATTGATACAATAAAAATGGAAATGAGAAAGATCTCATTCATAATAATATTGGAAAAAAAGTCATGAAATACCTAGGAATGAATTTGCTGAGAAAGACTCTCTGAAGAGAACTATAAAATTATATTGAAGGACATAAAACAAAACCCAAATAGATGGAGAGACAGACCACGTTCCTGGATAGGAAAACTTAATGTTATAAAAATGTCACTTATTTTGAAATTAACATATAAATTTAATGCAGTTCCAATCAGAATTTAAGTCTTTTTTTCTTTTGGAATACATGAAGTGATTATAAAGTATATATGGAAGAATAAACACATGAAAATTGCCCAGAAAATGTTGCCCTACTTTAGTAGGCAACTTTAGTAGGCTGTTTGCCCTACTTTAGTAGGCTGTTTGCCCTACTTGATGTTAAAATCTTATATAAAACTACTTTAAACAAGAAAACATAGTACCGGCCTGCAGTAAACAAATAATTCTATAGAACAAATCGAGATAATTTAGCATATAATTAATGAGGCCATTATAAGTCAGTGAATAAATTATTCATTATTCAGTTAATGAAATTGAGAGAACTGGCTGTACTTTTGGAAGAGATTAAAATTTTATTTCCAGCCTGGCACAGTGGCTCACTCCTGTAATCCCAGCACTTTGGGAGGCCAAGACAGGTGGATCACCTGAGCTCATGAGTTCGAGACCAGCCTGGCCAACATGGTGAAACCAACACTGTCTCTACTAAAAATACAAAAATTATCTGGCTGTGGTGGTTGGTGCCTATAATCCCAGGTGTTGGGGAGGCTGAGGCAGGAGAATTGCTTGAACCCAGAAGGCGAAGTTTGTAGTGAGCCGAGATCACGGCATTGCACTCCAGCTTGGGCGACAAGAGTGAAACTTTGTCTAAATTAAAAAAAAAAAAATGTAATGGACATTTAAAATATTTGCTGACTAGGGAGCAACTTTTGAATCCCTTCATATGCTTGGAGAATTCTCCACTTTATAAATTCTGCCTAAGGTGGAAGCCGGAAATCCACTTTATGAGCCTCTGTGACTTTGGCCCCAAGATTAAGATGTACCTTGTAAACTTTGATTCAGGAAAGAGTGATGAGAACTAGGAGGTGCTTTATGGAATTAATTTTGTTGAGGGTGGCAGAAAAGCATACAGCTGTGGGAATCAGCAATGGAATGACACTGGGGGTTTGGAAGGAGTACAGTGTCCTGTGGAACAAGATGCATCAGAGTAGGAATATTTTCTCCAGCTTTAGATCCAGAGAGCAACTGAGTGCTTCTCCTTGAAACTTTTGCCATCTAATACTCTTTAATACATTTATTTTTTGCTTAAACTAGTAGGAATTAGTTGTGTTTGAAACTAAGAATTTTGACTGAATGATATGGTTTGGCTGTGTCCCCACCAAATCTCATCTTGAATTGTAGTTCCCATTATCCCCACTTTTCGTGGGAGGGACCAGGTGGACATAATTGAATCGTGAGGGCAGTTTCCCCCATCGTGTTCTCATGATAGTGAGTTCTTGGGAGATCTGATGGTTTTATAAGGGGCTTCACCCTTTGTAGCAGGAGGAGCTGCAGACAAGAACCCCTCAGACACTGAGTTGTAGAAGGAAAGGCTTTATTCAGCTGGGAGCATCGGGAGACTCATGTCTCCAGAAACCGAGCTCCCTGAGTGAGCAACTCCTGTCCTTTTTAAGGGCTTACAACTCTAAGGGGGTCCACTTGAGAGGGTTGTGATCGATTGAGCAAGCAGGGGGTATGTGACTGGGGGCTGCATGCACCGGTAATCAGAACGGAACAGAACAGGACAGGGATTTTCACGATGCTTTTCCATACAATGTCTGAAATCTATAGATAACACAAGGAGTTAGGTCAGGGGTTGATTTTTAACTACCAGGCCCAGGGCACGGTGCTGGGCTGTCTGCCTGTGGATTCCATTTCTGCCTTTTGGTCTTTACTTCTTTTTTTGGAGGCAGAAATTGGGCATAAGACAATATGAGGGGTGGTTTCCTCCCCTACCTTCACTGGGACTTCTTGCCACTGCCATGTGAAGGAAATGTTTGCTTCCCCGTCCATCCTGACTTTTAAGTTTCCTGAGGCTTCCCAAGTCATGCTGAAGTGTGAATCAGTTAAACCTCTTTCCTTTATAAATTACACAGTCTCGGATATGTGTTTATTAGCAGTGGGAGAACGGACTGATACACTGAGTTACCCTTATAAAAAGTTAAATGGCAAATTATTAACTGGGAGAAGATAATTATAATCCAAATAACAAACAGTGAAAACAACTAAAGAAGAAAAAATATGCAAATGATCTAAACAGGCAATGCAGTGAAGGAAAAAAAAATGCAAGTAGAAAGCTACATAACCTCCCAGATAATTAGAAAAACAATAATTAAAAAAAAGTTTTAACAAAGTTGCTGAAACTAAAAATATCATTAGTTTCAGGGCTTGTGTGAAGGTAGGAAAATAACTGGTCTTACAGTGTGTTGGTGGACATGTACAGGCTTAGGGCCCTGTGACCTGATAATACTCTACAATTAAAACGTGACTATTCATTGATTTATTAGTTTCATTCATAAGGACTTATCTAAAAAATAAAAACAAAAACATGGGGATTTAAAGATACACAAATGCATCCACACATAAATACAAACAAGGATATTTATCACAGCCCTCTCTGGAATAGAAAACATCTGGAAACAACTCAAGTGACCATCAGAAGGAGAATGATGGTGTAAGGAGTATAATGCCCACGGTTGAATTCTAAAGCACTGTTAAAATAGGGCTGTCTGTATCAGCTTTAAAGTATTTTCTAGATATATTATTAAAGGAAAACATCCAATGACAATGTCGTCACCATATAAAAGATTATATGTATAATCTAAGCAAAGTTAATATTATAGAAGATATACACCAAATTGCTAATAGTGCTTATATTGTGGAGGAGAGATTGAATGTGGGAGGGAGAAACTATAAACTTTATTTCAGATATTTCTTTATCGTTTACATTTGGCACTTTTACTTTTGTAAACCAAATGACTATGAAAAATGCATGATAGTGAATTCCATACCACCATCACAGTTTCATCTAACAGCTTGTTATTTGTAACATGGAGAGGTCTGCTTATTCACTTTATTTTTCCTGCTTTAACTCCTTGAGGAGTGAGCCACATTTCCATCAGCAACGGTGTCCCCTTTAGGCAGGGATACTCACTCCTAGGCCAGCTCTGGTAGAAACATCTTGATTCTTCCCACTCCCATGCCCTCTGTAAGTTTCCTGCTTCTTTCTCAGTTTTGACTTTTTCTCAAAGAAAGTGGATACTTATCATTAACAATCACTGAAGCAGCTCAAAGTTCAGTTGTAAAAGAGAAATCTCTTGGGAGAAAAAAAGGCCCCCACTCTAGCTTCATTGTAAATTTTCTTTTGAGATGGAGCTTCGCTCTTGTTGCCCAGGCTGGAGTGCAATGGCGTGGTCTCGGCTCACTGCAACCTTCACCTCCTAGGTTCAAGTGATTCTGCTGGCTCAGCCTCCCAAGTAGCTGGGATTACAGGCATCCACCACCATGCCTGGCTAATTTTGTATTTTTTTGGTAGAGACGGGGTTTCACCGTGTTGGTCAGACTTGTCTCAAACTCCTGACCTCAAGTGATCTGCCCGTCTTGGCCTCTCAAAGTGCTGGGATTACAGGCGTGAGACACCGTGCCTGGCCCATTGTAGATTTTCTAAAGCATGTATAACTTCCAATTTATCTCTCCAGACTCCCACTTAATCATAAGAAGGCATATAAGTTCATTGTTAATTTAATGTTATTACTACCTACATATTAGCATGAGGTTATATTTATGACATAGCCAAGGTGGGCTGTTAAGATGATGTATGTTCACTTGATAGTACACCGAGGTCCTTCCAGTAATCTAACCACGTGGCCCATTTTGTAGAACTTGGAGTGTAATCTAACTATTTTTTTTTATGATTCTGGTCCCTCTTCTTTTGTTTTTGCAGCATTTCCTATGACACATTGTGGCTTTGTCTAAGATTGAGCATCTTGCTTTTGTCACTTCAAATTCCTTTCAAGGAATTCACCATTCCAAGGTGAACCACCTGTATTTTCTTGAAGCTGCTAGACAGTCCATGTAATTTTTCCATATATCTGACTGTTAGGAAGCAGTCTTTTATATTGAGAAAGTCATTCATTTATTTCTACTTTTTTTTGTTGGCTTTAGGATGACACAAATTCAAATTCAAATTATAAATGTTTATTTCTAGTGTATAGAAACACAGTTGAATTTTATGGGTTGACTTGGATCCTGTGTCCATGGTAAAGTAATTTATTAGTTCTAATAGGTTTTTTTGTCAGTTCTTTGAGATTTTCTATGTAGATGATCATGTCATCTGCAAATAAAAACATTTTTAGTTCTTCCGTTCTAAGTTGTATCTTGTTTTTTTTGCTTTTCCTTATGGTTAGCTAAAACTTCTGTGTAATATTGACTAGAAGTAGTGACAGCATACATCCTTTCCTTGTTCCCAATTTCAGGAAGCAAAGCATTGTCTTCAAATAATATATAGTTAGTTATAAGTTTTTTGATAGATATTCTTTTATTTATTTATTTAATGATATTTAAGTTTGAAGTTACATGTGAAGGTTTGTTACATAGGCAAGCTCATGGGGTTTGTTGTACAGATTATTTTATCACACATGTGTGAAACCCAGTACCCAGTAGTTATATTTTCTGCTCCTCTCCCTCCTCCCAACCTTCACCTTCAAATAGGTCCAAGCTTTGTGTTCATAAATCCTCATTATTTAGCTCCCACTAGAAGTCAGAGCATACAGTATTTGGATTTCTGTTCCTTCATTAGTTTGCTAAGGATATATTATGCCTCCACCTCCATCCATGTTTCCACAAAAGACATGATCCTGTTCTTTTTATGGCTGCATAATATTCCATGGTGTATATGTACCACGTTTTCTTTTGCCAGTTTGTCATTGATGGGCATTTAGGTTGATTCCATTTCATTGCTATCAGAATAGTGCTGCAATGAACATTTGCATGCATGTATCTTTATGCTAGAATGATTTATATTCCTGTGGGTACAAAGCCAGTAAAGGGATTGCTGGGTTGAATGGTAGTTCTGCTTTTAGGAATCGCCATATTGCTTTCCTTAATGGTTGAAATAATTTACACTCCCACCCCAACAGTGTATAAGTGTTCCCTTTTCTCTGCAACCTCACCAGCATCTGTTAATTGGTGTGAGATGGTATCTCATTTTGGTTTTTGATTTGCATTTCTCTAATGATCAGTGATATTGTGCTTTTTGTCTATGTGTTTATCAGCTGCATGTATGTCTTCTTTTGAAAAGTGTCCGTTCATGTTCTTTGCCCAATTTTAAATTTAAAGGGTTTGTTTGTTTTTCTCCTATAAGTGTGTTTAAGTTCCTTATAGATGCTGGATATTATACCTTTGTCAGATGCATAGTTTTCAAATATTTTCTCCCATTCTGTAGGTTGTCTGTTTACTCTGTTGATAGTTTCTTTTTCTGTGCAGAAGCTCTAAAGTTTAATTAGATTCCACTTTTCAATTTTTGCTATTGTTGATATTTTAGTGTCTTTGTCATTAAATTTTTGCTTGTTCCTATGTCCAGAATAGTATTGCCTAGATTGTCTTCCAGGGTTTTTACAGTTTTGGGCTTTACATTGAAGTCTTTAATTCATCTTGAATTCATTTTTGTATATGGTGTCCAGGAGGAGACCAGCTTCAATCTTCTGCATGTGGCTAGCCAGTTATCCCAGCACCATTTATTGAATGTGGAGTCTTTTCCCTATTGTTTGTTTTTGTCAGCTTTGTCAAAGATCAGATGGTCATACGTGTGTGACCTTATTTCTGGGCTCTCTATGCTGTTCCATTGGTCTGTGTGTCTGTTTTTGCACCAGTACCATGCTGTTTTGGTTACTGTAATCCTGTAGTATAGTTTGAAGTCAGTAACGTTATGCCTCTTGGTTTGTTCCTTTTGCTTAGGATTGCCTTGGCTATTTGGGCTCTTTTTTTGGTTTCATGTGAATTTTAAAATCGTTTTTTCTAGTTGTGTGAAGAATGTTTTTGGTAGTTTGATATGAATAGCATTGAATCTGTAAATTGGTTTGGGCTGCATGGCCATTTTAATGATATTGATTCTTCCTATTCATGAGCATGGGATGTTTTTCCATTTGTTTGTGTCTTCTCTAATTTCTTTGAGCAGTGTTTTGTAATTCTCATTGTAGAGATCTTTCGCCTCTCTGATTAGCTGTATGCCTAGCTATTTTATTCTTTTTGTGGCAATCATGAATGGGATTGCTTTTCTGATTTGGCTCTTGGCTTGGCTGTTGTGGGTGTATAGGAATGCTAGTGATTTTTGTACATACATTTTGTATCCTGAACTTTACTGAAGTTTTTATCAGCTGAAGAAGCTTTGGGGCAAGTTTTCAAGGGGAATGCTTCCTACTTTTGCCCATTCAGTATAATGCTGTCTGCAGGTTTGTCATAGATGGCTCTTATTATTTTGAGGTATATTCCTTCGATGCCTCATTTATTGAGAGGTTTTAATATGAGGTCTATTGAATTTTATCAAAAGCCATTACCCTGTCTATTGAGATAATGATGTGGGTTTTGTCTTTAGTTCTGTGTATGTGATGAATCACATTTATTTGTTTGCATATGTTGAACCAACCTGGCCTCCTGGGATGAAGCCTACTTTATCGTGGTGGATTAGCTTTTTTATGTGCTGCTGGATTTGGTTTGCAAGTATTTTGTTGAGGGTTTTTGCATCAATGTTTATCAGAATATTTGCCTGCTCCTTTATTATTGTGTGTTTGTGTTAAGAACACTTAATGTAAGATCTACCCTCTTAGCGAATTTTAAGTATACCATACAATATTGCTATTTATAGGCAGGTCTTGCTTTCTGAAAGTCAGTTATTATATCTTTGATGTCTTTTTTTTCTAATTGGGGTGTTTGTACCATTTACATCTATTGTAATTGTTGATATGGTTGTATTCTTATCTACCAACTGGCTACTTGTTTCCTCATAATCCTGTCTGTTCTGTTTTCCTTTCTTCTTTTCTTGCCCTCCTTTGGATTATTTTGCTGTTGTTTTTATGATTACATTTTATCTCCACTCTTGCTGTTTAGTTATATCTCTTAGAAATTTTTTTATATTGGGGTTTCTCTAAGATGTATAGTATACATAATTAGCTTACCACCATCTACTTTCAGATAGTATTATAAGATTTTACCTTATAGCATGAGAAACTCACAGCAGTATACACGCATTTTTCTCTCTCTCAGTCTTTGTGTTATGTGGTCGTGTATTTTATTTCACATATATTGTAAACTCTACAATCTATGTTACTCTGTTACCTAGACATACAATTGTCTTTAGAAATGATTAAAATAAGAAAAGTATCTTTAGTATTCATCTTCACTTTTATCTTTTCTGGAGTTTACCGTTACCTTGAGAAGATTCAAATTTTCTCTTTTTTTCTTTTCCTTTTTTTTTTTTTTTTTTTTTTGAGACAGTCTTGGTCTGTCACCCAGGCTGGAGTGCAGTGGCACGATTTTGGCTTACTGCAACCTCCGCCTCCCGGGTTCAAGTGGTTCTCCTGCCTCAGCCTCCCGAGTAGCTGGGATTACAAGCAGGCGCCACCATGCCTGGCTAATTTTTGTATTTTTAGTGGAGACAGGGTTTCACTATGTTGGCCAGGATTGTCTCGATCTCTTGACCTCATGATCCGCCCACCTCAGCCTCCCAAAGTGCTGGGACTATAGGCCTGAGCCACCATGCCCGGCTTCAAATTTTCTTCAAGCGTCCTAACTCCTTTCTGAAGAAATTCCTTTAACATTTTGTTGTGGTTTTGCTTGTGTTGCTTTGGCCTTTGGTAGTAAATTTTTTCAGTTTTTTTTTTTTTGGTCTAATAAAATCTTTATCTTGACATCATTTTTGAAAGATGTTTTCACAGGTATAGGATTCTGGGTTGGCAGTTTTTTGTTTTTCTTTAATACCATAAAGATGTTAATTGTCTTCAGGCTTACATTGTATCTTACAAAGAAGTTTGCTGTCATTCCTCTCTTTTTTCTTCAGTATGTTGAGGTACTTTTCTCCCCTTAGTGCCTTAAGCCTTATGCTTTTAATAAAAGAGAGATTCAGGGAAATGGGTGATGATTCATGCTTGCTCCCAGCAGTAGCTATCATTTCTTGAATACCAGCACCACTGAAATAGGTTCTATCATTCTCCTTCCATACCCCCCAATTTTTACCATGAGCCCCTGGGGGAGGCCAGTGAAAAAGCTTACTAATGAGTGAAACTCTTCCTGTCTCCTGGACCTTTAGCTTTGTAAACTAACCCTCTAGTCCAAACTTGGTCTTTAAAAAACCATGACATTTTACGTGATTTCTCTCTACCTATCTATACGGTGGCCACTTCTTCCTCCTGTGATCTGCCAAAGTTAAAAGGATTCTTGTCTCCTGTCTCTCCTTGGAATTCAGTTTAGGTTGCTTTATGAGTTCAGTTCTTAGATGGGGTTTACAATTTCTTGGCTTTCTCTCATCACCAAAGTGGGAACACTTGCAACTTTCTACACCCTAAATTGTTATGACTTTGAAGTTGTTTACCATCTAGATGCAGTTTTATGAACAGACTACGATTTGTTTATAGCCCATTTAAATTAGCCCAAAATAAAAATAATCCTTCAGATGAACAGAGTAGAGTAGTTCATATCCACAGCTATATACCTGTCAGTGTGAATTCAACTTTTACTGGGTCTCAGGAATTATTAGATCATAATGTATTTGCGCTCAAAGTATCTGCCAAGTCATTTTTACATATTCCATCATTGCTAAGCCATTTGTTCCCAACCTTGCACTTTGGGTTGCTTTTTTAATCCCCTGAGCAAAGTTTTATATCATTTTAAATGATAGTTTTAGAACTATGTAATCTTTTTATCTCAGGATCTGTATCTATATAAAGTGAACTATAGAATCAGGATCTATATCTATACAAAGAGAATAATATAATCAGGATCTAGAGGATCCTAATCTGTCACTCAACAGAGTTGCTGTCCCTTCCATTAGTCATTGATAAAACTATTGAATAGGTCATGACTGAGTCCAGAGACCATTCTGCCCAAAATAGCTCCTCCTAAAGTTGGTATCGATTCATAAATTGATACATTTAACTTGATAAAATTCACTTAATTAATCTTGTTTTTATTATTATTTTTGGTTGTAATTCTGAGTTGTGTTTTTTGGAGGACCACATATATATTTTTAAATGTTTATTATATTTTTATTATGGCAAAATACACATAGCATGAAATTTACTGTCTTAATTATGTTTAAGTGTGCAATTCAGTGGTAGTAAATACAGTCATAATGTGCAATCATCACCATCTATCTGCACTATCTACTATATTTACAAACTATATTTATTTCTGCAACAACTTTGTGCAAGAAGAAAATGGTGTCAGCTGTACATAGTAAAGCCATGCTAGCTATTAATGATCACTACTTCAACTTATAGACACTTTCACACCATCCCTTAAGAATCCATAGTAATCTCTACAGTTTGGGGAGTGTACTTGCTCGTTTTTTGACAATCATATCATAACATTGTCTTATTCTTCTGGCATCATTCCCATTTTCCACAACTTTTCAAATGTTATTTTCAGTGATTTTAGGTAAACGTTCTATTGGTACTCCAGAACAATTTTAGCCTGAGGCAGAAAACTGGAACACACTTGGATCATATCACAGCTATTCTCTGACTTTCTTTATTCACTTTTGGATTTGCAATATTTACCTATTTTTGTTCCTCCGTTTTCAAATGGTGGCTCATCTGCATTGTTAGAGAAAACAAAAAATAAAGTGAGATGGCTCTGTCTTTGTCATTTCTTATTATCTCTTGGCTCCAAGAAGAGCTTTTAGCCCTGCCTTGGTCTTAGTTGATCAATTATTAGTGTGACGTCAAGTTTTTATTTTAACAGCAGTAATCTTTTATAAGAGTTTTAAGTATTATAACCTTGTTTGTGGGATTACTATGTGGTGAAAATTGGAGACTTCCTGTACTTTAACTTTTTAAGAAATAAAAGAGAAACTTTATGGGGATATATTGATGGTAAATTGTAGTCACTAGTGCATAATATTGGAAGTTTAGAAAATGAATGGTATGTGCCAATAGCAATCCTAGGCTAACATTTCACATTCAAATTAATTGAAGCAGGCACACTTTGATTTGGAGTATGTTCTTTTCTTTTTATGGTGATAATGCCTGCCAGAACTTTGGTCTCAAACTTAAGTTCATTTCTTTCAGGCCAGTTTCATCTGATGGAATCAGCTTTACTGTCTGAAGTAGGCAGACAGTAGCAGGAAAGAAAACACCATCAAATAATAGTGTACTACCTGTGAGGCACTTCTTTCTAAAACTTTAACTTCTTACTTTTGGAAAAGACTTGAATGTCTTATTCCTGGAAAGGAATACTATGCTTGATAAACCTAAGAAGAGTTTCTGGGAAGTTAGGATGAGGATCACCCTAAATTTGCACTGTGGAGTGTAAATTTCATTCAAATACCCGCCTATTTTGATTCTGTGTAAGAAAGTTGGTGGGCCAGTTCATTTTCTTTTGGCATTATCTGTTTTTGGCAGGCCCAGCAGTATAGCTGCTAATTCTACTTTGACATAACACACATCCTTTATTTTCTTCTCCAAGCCTACTTCTCTTCTGTTCATTCACCCTATCTTGTAGGCTTAAAATCTTGCTGGGTTTTCATTCTTCCCTCCTGTGTGCCAACATTCAGGTGATATCCAGTCCTGAGATGTGCTCCATATTATTTTCTTTCTAGTCACTAGAAACTTTCGTTTGGGCCTTCATTTATTTTTGCTGGTATTAACCTTCAACTTGGATTCATATCTCTGCCCTGTAGTTGTGTGGCCTTGAATCACCTCTTTGATCCACTGTTTGTGCATCTTAGAAATGTTGACAGTAATATTACCTCTTCATAGGTTGCTGGAAGCGTTAAGTGAGCACAGTATGCAGACTAGTAAAGATTCATTGTTTGTATCATTACCTCTGCCACCATAACTACTACAATTGCCAACACCTTGCCACCCCATACTGCAGATCCAACCTGATGAGCCATCTAATCCAGCAGGGGCTCTAATCAGCCTCGAAAACTGATTCTAACTCCTTAGTTAGGCACAAATGCCCTTCTCACTCTCAGCTCCACTGACAGCCACATCCCTGACTACATTGAACTGTTCCCTATGTCTGTATCTTTGCATTGTTAACTGAAAAATCCTATACTGACCAGCTTCTACGTTTTTCCTCAAGATCATGTCAAAACCTCTATTAGCTTCCTAGTATCCATTCCTCCTACTCCTTTATATTTGTGTTTGTGTGTGTGTGTGTGTGTGTGTGTGTGTGTGTGTGTGTGTTTTCATGGCTCTTGTTTTCCTGGAATAAAGAATACATTTCCTAGAAGCTGGGTATGGCCATTTGACTAAATTGTGTCCAGTGTTAATAAGTGGATGCTGTGCATGTGCCTTCTGGAAAATGTCATTAGATGGAGGGAGCATGCCCATTTTTCCTTATTCTCCTCATTTTGACTGATGGCTGGATCTTGAGCAGCCACCTTGGACCATGAAGTGGAAGGCCATATTTTGAACACAGCAGTACAGCAAGATAGAAAGAACTTGGATCTCCATTTGCCCTGGCCTGCTAACCTCCAGGCTTTTTATATGAGGAAAAGTAAAACTCATCAAGTTTATAATGTTATTTTGGATTTCTGCTAGGTGCAGCAGAACTCAGTTCTAACTTATGTAAAGACCTAGGTCAGGAGGTATCCTTCATCTCTGCTCCCAACATAATTTGTATACTATGAAATTATATTTCTTGTCAAATTACATGTCTGCATTTTAGTTTTTCCATTTGTAAAATGAGGATGAAAAATGAAAGCCTCTATCTGAGGACTGTTACCATGAGTAAATGAGATAATACATATACAATGCTTAGAGTGAGGGATCAATAAATATATGGCCTTATTGTTTCTGCTGCTGCTGCTGCTGTTAGTACTCCTGTGTCACACATTGTACAGTGAGTGCTTCAAAATCCAGGTCTCTGTGTTACTCATCTTTGTGTTCCTTCCCAGTGTTCACGCTCGAATTTGACATATTGAGCAGATGGTAACTAATTGTAGCCTATCAATAATTTTTTTTAAAAAAAGGAATGGAACTTTTCAAAAGCATCCAAGTGTAGAATGTTTTCTTATTGAGGTATGATTGACCTACTAAAAGGTGTACATACTTAATGTATACACCTCGGTGAGTTTGAAGATAAGTTCAGGAATTTTAAGCACCAAGAAAATGCGCTTCTCAGACTCTTACTGAGGGGGAATAATTGACTGATGGCCCCAGTTGCTGTGCTCTGACCCAACAGTGCATTTATCCCAGAGTTGTGCTGAGCGTGGCCAATGATTGATCATGGAGGAGACACTAGCGTGGGATGCAGGACTGCTCTTACATACGTTTTTAGGCTCTGTGACTCTTCATTGGCTTTGCCAAAACTCTCTTAGAACTACACTCCTCCTACCTTCCTTTCTCCCACCTCTCCACCACAGGGATCAGCCCTGCATCTTGTTCTGACAACTCTCTGTCCTCTGCAGCTCCTTCCGTATTCTTCCTAACAGGTATCACCCGTGCTCCCTCCCACCCATAAGTTACTTGAACATCTAATCCTGTCACGGTAAGTTTCTCAGAGGACACAAACTAACACATACAATGATCATTATTAATGTTAATGTGGATTAATACAGGAACCCTCTTTACAGGAACTTGAATGTTGCAGTAAATTATAGTATTGTTTCAAAATACTTGCTGTCCCTTCTTGAGGGAAGAGTATATATCTCCATTTCACTGATGTCAGACTCCTTCATGTCACTTCTCCTGCAATGAAATGTGAGTGGAAGTGATGTGTCACTTCCGGGTGGAAGCTTTCAGAGACATCATTTGGTTTGTCTCATTCTCTTTTTCTCTGCCACAAAGACCACAGAGTATTGATATGGAGACTGTGCCATCAAGATAGTATGTAGCAGATGTGTAACATGAGTGAGGGAAAGCGGGTGTGTTGTTTTGGGGATTATTTGTTACTACAGCATTACCTTGGTTGAGTAGACTGATAAATATGTTGATATTTAATTGCATAGAGCAATCAACTGCAACAGAAAAAGTCTATCTTAAGAGCTAAAAGCTCTTTCTTCCATCTGAATGAAGCACAGAAATTAAGTTTCTTATAAAAATAACTAATAAAACTTCTAATTTCATCATCGACCATATGACTGAATCATTGTTCCTCTCTATTGTTTAAAATTAAAAGTCTTTCTCCATATGGTTTACATTTGTGTTTGTGCTTGGCATTGGATCACCTACCTGACCCCTCTAACTTTTCCTTCATTACAGCAGAGCCATCCCACTGGTCAGGGGACATAATACATAGCCCAGATCTTTAGTTTATTGTCTACACTTACCAAAGTCAAAGTTAGTGGAATAGGCCAGGCGTGGTGGCTCACACCTGTAATCCCAGCACTTTGGGAGGATAAGGCAGGTGAATCATCTGAGGTCAGGAGTTCGAGACCAGCCTGGCCAACATGGTGAAACACTTTCTCTACTAAAAATACAACACTTAGTCCGGTGCAATGGCATGTGCCTGTATTCCCAGTTACTCGGGAGGCTGAGACAGGAGAATCGCTTGAACCTGAGAGGTGGAGGTTGCAGTGAGCCAAGATCATGCCACTGCACTTCAGCCTGGGTGACAGAGTGAGACTCCCACTCAAAAAAAATAAAAATAAAAATAAAAAAAAAATAAATAAAAAGTTAGTGGAATAAACAACTCAGTTCCCCTCTTTACACACTCACAGCCCTTTCCTCACTATCTAGTTCTTTATCTGCTGCATCAGTCTTTCCAAACATCCTCAGCTCTTATACCCTGGTGGAGCTAAGTGAAACATGAGTTGCTTTGCCTTCTCCTTTAATTATTCTCTGACTTCATTTGCACAGATCTTCTTTCATTATTATGTGAGAAGGAGGGCCTGAAGTCAAGGCAACCGAGAGTGGTGCATGCTGCGTTCCACTTGAGCTGTACCTTTACTCCATTTGAACAATTTCAGGTGTGTGCTCAGCTCCTCCCACTTTTGTAGTGGGAAGAATGCAAAGTTGCTATAGTTCTGTACTCTATATTTTGTCTGCTTTTTTTACAAGGTCGTGTAGAATGATATACTGGTTCCTAAGCTCTTTCACTGTATCCCTTTAATTTCAGCTAACTAACTCTTGCCCCTTCTTCAGTATAAATCGATTTCACTTGAATCAATAATGCCACACTGAGCACTGGATATTTTCTCTAACATTTTTGCTCATTCAATAAGGCCTCTGCTATGATAGGTAAAAATTTACCTACTTATGCTAGGTGAGTTAAACAATTGGTGTTTTTTTTTTTGTTTTTTAAAAAATAAGTATCAGCTTAGGCTAATAAATATTCTTAGTTTTTAGGACTCATGATTAATAATCCCTAACTCTGATATTGGTTTTACACTTGATCTTAGCCGAAAGGCTGAGAAGCAATGACTTTGTTTTTGAGATGAAACTAATTCCTCTCTGCCTCAGGATGATTCTATTTTGGTTTAGTTACCACAAGGATATTAGTGGTTATGATCAATGACTATGGTTATAGGTGTAACAAAGTCAAACAGTTTCAGAATTTTGTCAATGGTGGTATAATTTAGAGGCTCAGTGTTGCATTGAAACCAAACAATTAGATGATTTCGTTCATTTAAGAATGTCAAGATCCAACTTTGATTTTCTTTGTCATCTTGAAGGCTTGGTCTGATCAATCTCATAAATGGGATATGGGCAGAGAGAAATATACAACCTTTGAAAGGCATTTTGGGTTCCTTGGGTGAGAGTGGCATCTTATTAACAAAAGAATGTTAAATGTTAAACATAAATGTTTATAGTAGGTCTGAAACTATCCCTGTTACTGGGAGCTTCTAATGCTAATAATGTTAGTTACTGTAAAAATTCTCTCAAAATTAGATAAAAGCAACCTGAACTCATCCCATGACTATACTCTGGGTTGTGTCAATGAAAGGAGCCTCTGCTTTATTTTGCCTGCCTTTTAGGGAAAGAAAAAGCCATGGCACTTACTCTCTGTGTCTTTGTAGGTATCGTTTGACCATATAAGAATACAGCAAGGAGGGATATTTGCAAGACATCTTAATGTCTGTAAATGGATTTCTTCCAGGAACATTAGCAAGTAATGTCTTTAATGTCTTTAAACTACTTGAAAGAGGTATTATGTTAAAGATCTTTAACTCCTCAAAATATCCTCAACGTTTATTTTATGTGGTTAAAAACACCTTTGGCTAGTATTGCATCTCTTTTTCCTCCTATTTAAAGTTAGCTATATTAACAGTGTTTTCATTTAGTTTCTAAAAACGATTCTGTTTTCATAGATTTTATGCTGGAAATAACATTCTAGGAAGTCTTTTGAAATCTGAAGTTATACATTCAAATATGATTTTGTAATCTTTTTCTTTTTTTTTTTTTTTTTGAGATGAAGTCTTACTGTCGCTCAGGTTGGTGTGCAGTGGCACGATCTTGGCTCACTACAACCTCCGCCTCCCAGGTTCAAGCAATTCTCCTGCCTCAGCCTCCCAAGTAGCTGAGACTACAGGCGCATGCCATCACATCTGGCTAATTTTTTATTTTTAGTAGAGATGGGGTTTCACCATGCTGGCCAGGCTGGTCTCTTAACTCCTGTCCTTAAGTGATCCTCCCGCCTTGGCCTCCCAAAGTGCTGGGATTACAGGCATGAGCCACCACACCCGGCCTGTAATTTATTTTTCTAAATTTAATGTCTGTCAATTGTCCACCTGTCTTTTTTCTTCTCTTTTGCAAAATGTATTTGGGTGCTATTTTTAGCCTTATTTGACCGTTCCACCAGATTTTCCAGATGAGTGAAAGTACTTGTTCTGAACGGTATTCCGTGGAGTTTCCTTGGATCCTTAAAACCCATATAGTGGCCGGGTGCAGTGGCTCACGCCTGTAATCCCAGGCCGAGGAAGGCTAATCACCTGAGGTCAGGAGTTTGAGACCAGCCTGGCCAACATGGCAAAACCCCGTCTCCACTAAAAGTACAAAAATTAACCGGGCCTGGTGGCGGGCACCTGTAATCCCAGCTACTCGCGAGGCTGAGGCAAGAGAATTGCTTGAACCTGGGAGCCAGAGGTTGCAGTGAGCCGAGATCACACTACTACACTCCAGCCTGGGTGACAAGAGCGAGACTCCATCTAAAAAGAAAAAAAAAAGAAAAAAAACCATTGAAGTTAGAGAAAAATGCTAAATAATCAGATTGAAAGTAATACTCTCAACCCTATGGATGGCTTCTAGTGCTTTATAATTAAGGTCATCTAGTAGTAGTTGCTACAATAAGGTTTTGGAATTGAGTCTTGGTGTATAAACTGATTGTAAACATTCACCATGGAACACAGAGACACATTTTTAAGCAGGCGTTATTCTTCCAAATGAATTTTGTCCTTTGGAGTGGTCACATGGTAAGAATGTGCACAGAGTCCAACAGTGTTACCATTGCTTAAACATTTTTGGATCTCCTTGGGATTGTCTTCAGAGTCTCTAAGCCACAGAAAAAAGTTAATCTTGTCCTTTTAGTTATACCTCATTTTTGACCCCTATGAGTATCCCCAAGCCTGATCATCTACTTTATTTGTACATCTTGGCTCTTAATTATTATTATTATTTTTTTTTTTAGTATTCAGCCAACACAGCTTTAAAGAACAGGGGTCTTCTGCCATTTATGTTTTAAACCTCAAAGTTAACTCCAAAAGGGAAAGATCCAAAAACAATGTGACTCAAAGACAACTTACTGGAAAAAGCATGCAATTCCCTGAGCAGATTATCTTGCAAGTGAGAACGTGCGTTTGGATGTAAATCTGCAATGTTGGGAAAATCAATCACATTGTGTTCTACCGTTATAGAGGGAAAACTAAGTATAGGCTTTAGAGCCTTTCAGGTTAGTTCAAAAAGAGCTCCACTACTTACCATGTGGTATCAGGTGTCTTTTTGAACCAGCATTTCCTTAGCTTTGAAACAGAAGTGTGATAGCAGTCTCAGAGACTAGATTAAGAACTAGTGATAATTCATTGCAATGCCTGGGATCACGCCAGGCTCAATAAATGGCACATATATGATGTTAATGTTATCACAATATCTGTACGTAGTTCACAGAACAGTTTATTTAGCTGTTGATAATAGCTGTGTTATTGAATATCCTTACATTATAGAAGTATGTAGATGTATGATGAAGTTTCATGAAAGGTTTTACAAAGGGCCAGACCTGACTATTACTGATTGCTCAAAAGGTTTTGAAGGAAAGGCACTGATAGCAATGACCATATTGAGAAAAGGTCTGCAGAGATAGTTAAATTAACATAGCAGATCCAACCAGGTTGGCTATAGGGTTTCTATTCAGAATGCAAACTCGCGTTATGAATTATCCTCTTCCTTTGGAGAATAGCAGCACTCTACAAAGTTCATTATCATAACTCATAGGGTTTGTAATTTTACTGTTTGGGTTAGGAGTTTTTGGTTTTAACTAAAAAAACACGGAGACAATTACTAAATTTAGAGCTATAACAGAATCCTTCCTCCCCCTAAAATTGGGTTAGAATTTAGCCCAATCTCTCCTAATCACAAAAACGCAACTGATAATTATCTCAGGCAATTCTGATATTTTGCCATCTGTGGATTTTAGTGTTTCCCTGTGTTATCAGAAAGAGTTAAGAAGTTGTCTTAGTGAACTGGAAAATTGTTGTTTGACCTGATAAACTCACAGCATTTCTTCCAGCTAGATCATTAAGATTCCAGGACTGACCTCAAGAAGACCCTCTGGAATTCACAGCACTGCAGACATGTCAGTGGTCAGTCTGTGTTATGTGAATGAACCTGATATCAACAGAGTTTCCCCCAAGACCTCCTTGAACTGCCACAGGCGAGGTCAAATAGATTATCTGCATTTATTTTGGAATCCAAACTAAATCAGCAATCAGATGAATAATGTATCAGTTGTAGTGCCTGGAATGGGATGCCAACTCCCTAAAAAATGCCACTGAGCCAAAATACACTTTATCTTCAAAATGTTATGTTTTATCGTACTCATATATTAATTGAAAGTATTTTTGCTGTAGTTGAACTTTTAGAATCAGATTTCTTTTTATGAAATATACTTGTATCCCCTGACTGTTAAGAAATCCTGTAATGCAAGGTTTTGTCCTGAATCTAGGCATTATCTGAAATAAATAATGGAAGGTGTACAACTTACTGTCTGATAAACTTTAACAAATAACACAATCTTGTATCATCTAATTTCTTCTAGATATACTGGAACAAAGTGTTGGCCTTTTGAAGGCCTGAAAAGGCTGTTGAATTGCTTCCATTCACCATTTCAATGAGCTTACATAAGTCTCAGCTAATTTTATCTACTTACTGAACTGAGATATAATGTCTTATTTTGCATGGATTGGGAAGAAATGCGCAGCAGGAAAGCTATTGACCATGTGGCTTTGCCCTCTCTCAGGGGGCTTCCATTCCCACCACTGATCACAGATTTGTTGGATTAAATACCTGCTAATATGCGGTTTATAAAATTCCCCTTCTCTAGGTTCTGAGCAGTCTATCATCTTACTAAGGATGCAATTTGAAAGATTCTGAATGTAGTTTGAACGCTTTTAATAGGACCATTCATTTTATCATTCCCTGGTTTGAGTTAGATTTCTTTCGACACCGAAGAGAAGGACTGTATAATTGTGTTATTCCTTAATTATTTTTCTTCTCTTTTTGAGTGATAGAAATTGGCCGCTACAATGAAGTCTGGAAGTGGCATCATAAGAACACAAAGCAACATTAATGGAGACAGGGTCATTGTAGGTAGAGTTCTCACTGCTTTCAACTAACTGCTGTATGTGCTCTCCATAAATCATGTCCTCCATATCATTGATAACCTCTAAATTACATCAGTCCCGCTTCCTGGATCTCCTCTCCCGATCTGGAATTAAACTGCCCTGCTTAGGCCTCATTTTTTCTTTATTAGGTGTTAACTGCCTCCAGTGTCCTCTCCTTAAAACCATTCACCAACTTGGCTGGGGGTGGCTCACGCCTGTAATTATCCGGGGGGCCCTTTTCAGCTCTAAAATTCTATCTAAACCATCTTTGTAGATGTTTTTTAAGTAATGAGTTGGTTTAAAAGTGAACAAGGGAAGACTGATAAATTTTTCTTTTTCACTTTTCTGCTGTCATATCCGATTGGCTAAAAGTTTTTCTTGACCTGACTTTTTGATCTTTAAAATGCAGCAGGGTATTGATGCCAAGGTTTTCACTGGACTTTGTAATTTGAGAAGCAGAAAATATGGTTATGCCTTTCAAAAACATCTGCAAAGGTTTTTGTTTTTGTATTTTTTAAAATCTTACTCAAGCTTTTCAAAACAATAACTTTCTGGTTCTTAGTGGCTATCTCAGACAGTTTTACGGAAAATATTTCTTACAGAGACAGAAAGGATTCCCACCCAGTTAAATGTTTCATCTTCTGTGATTTGCCCTGCAAGGAGCTCATCTGTGTGTTGAGAGGGCATCTAGCTTTGGGCTCCAATTACAAGAGCAGGGCCATAGGTGGCCATGCTGCAGGGCACTGCTGTTCAGAGGGGGCTGGCCAAGGAAAACACTTTCTTGAGCATTTGAAGCAGAAGATGAAACAGATGGTTTTTAGCTAGGAAAGCACTCATGAACGTGTCCCCAAGTAAATGTTCCATATGTTAAATCCTGACTGCAGTGGAAGCAGCTTGTCATTAAGTATGCTACCTGGGAAATCTCCAGTCAAACACTCCATACCTGCCATTTTATATTCTTTGATTGGAAAGCCACACATTAAATATGGTTCTCAACTTTAAAAGCAGCACTTTCTAATGCAGACATTAAGTGCTTGTGGTAAAAATGGAAATACAAACAAACCTCTTTCATGTTGGCTGAATCATCATCGTTCTTATTATCATCAATAGCAATAGGAAAAATTTATATCTCACCAGTAACCCTGCTGTTCTTTTTGGGGTAGAGAAGTAGTTATGAAATTTAATTCCTGTCTTCAAGAAATTTCTAGGCTGGGCGCAGTGGCTCACGCCGGAAATCCCAACACTTTGGGAGGCCAAGGCGGGCAGATCTCTTGAGGACAGGAGTTAGAGACCAGTCGGGTTAACATGGTGAAACCCTGTCTCTACTAAAACAAAAATTAGCTGGGCGTGATGGAGTGTGCCTGTACTCCCAGCTACTCAGGAGGCTGAGGCAGGATAATTGCTCGAACCCAGGAAGTGGAGGTTGCAGTAAGCCAAGATCGCACCATTGCACTCCAGCCTGGGCATCGCAGCAACACTCCAAAAAAGAAAGAAAGAGAGAGAGAGAGAGAAAGAAAGGAAGGAAGAAAGGAAAGAAGGAGAAAAGGAGGGAGGGAGGGAAGGAAAGGAAGGAAGGAAGGAAGGAAATTTCTAGACAGGAGAGAAACTGAACATGTCAACAGAAGTTGTAAAAGGTGTGAGCACTAACTGTAATTTCTCAGTGAAATCTTTTTTAGTTTGGGGAGAATTTTATTAAAATCATTGATCAGAGTCAGAAACAAAGTTTTTCAATAAAATAACATGTCTCAGGATATATCTTAGGCTACCGTGTGTATTTAGTTTCTGAACCACCACCCTAGTCAGCCATTTAAAAAATACTAACATTAGTGGTGGAGGTAAAGGATAGTGGTAAATTGTGAATTTCTGGTCTTTTTAAGGTCTGATTATTACCCTAACCCCTCTTTTTCTATAGCTTCATGTCCTAAAAAAGGTGACACCTTTCTTAAACCACCTTTCACCTTCCTAAGAAAGGGCACCTTTCAGCCGGAACATTACGTTTGTCAACTTCTCTGCAATGTCTTGACCAAGAATGGAACACTCTGACTTTGTTTCCCATATGTCCTTCTGTCTCCTGCATGGGAAATGAAGCTGTCTTTGCTGCCTCTGCTGAGGGCCCCTCTGAGTTGGCCAAGGGAGGCTGGAGGGATATACATCACATTACAACCTTCATACTGCCAAGTTCTAGTTAGTTTCTGCAATGTATGTGAAACCTCCAAAGCAAACAGAGAGAGAGGAAATCAAAATTAAATTAATCCTCTCCAAGGATAAATAAAGTATGCATGTGTTCCTCTTGAGCTGACAGGGTGGAAATCAGAAAGACCCCTTTGCTTGGGATTCGGTGATACTGATGTTCAGATTTCTGACTCTTCAGCCCAGAAAACAGAAGTGCTGTATAGAGCTACAAAAATCTTAAATTGCTTACCGGTGTCATATATGTAAGAAAGCATGCCTTGATAGTTGAGATTTGTGGACATCTTCAAGATGGTGTATGTGGGTTAGCAATAGAAAGCTGTCCTGTGAAAACAGCTGTTGTCTTGAGAGAAATCAAACTCTTTCTTTGATCGCATGATCTTATCACAGTTTGGCTGTGTCCCCACCTAAATCTCATCTTGAATTGTAGCTCCTATAATTCCCACATGTTGTAGGAGGGACTTGGTGGGAGATAATTGAATCATGGGACTGGTTTCCCCCATACTGTTCTCATGGTAGTGAATAAGTCTCATGAGATCTGATGTTTTTATAAGGGATTTCCCTTTTCTCTTGACGCTCTCATTCTCTCTTGTCTGCCGCCATGTAAGACATGCTTTCTGTCTTTCACCATGATTATGAGGCCTCCTTGGCCATGTGGAACTGGGAGTCCATTAAATCTCTTTCTCTATATAAATTATCCAGTCTCAGATGTGCCCTTATCAGTACTGTGAAAATGGACTAATACAAATGTCGAAGAACAAAAGTGCATTTGAATATCATAAAATTTCAGGCAGCTACAAAGGGCTTTGATTTCTAGTCTTCATTTTTATGAATTAACAAAATTGGAGCAGAGGAGGAAACCCAGCTTTTCTGCAGACTCTCTGCCACCACACAGCTGAAAATTGCATTGTCTCTTTCAATTTTGATGATCACCTGAAATGATTCTGACTAGCATCCTGACTCTAGTTTTTTGATCAACCTCTGCCAGGGCATTATAGACAAACCCCAGCTATCTACGCCTCTGCTGGGAGAAGCTGAGTTATTTTTGACCAGCTTACTTGAAACTTGGTTGTTTTTTCAACAATCCTCCCTGAAAGACAAGACCAAAGAAAAACCTCATTTGGTTTTACTCAGTGCTGATAAAATGCTCTCTATGTTGAAACCTAATTTAACAGCGAATGGGCTTTAATGAATCGTGCTTTTGCCTTCCAGCTGCAATGCTTCTTGACATCCTTATTTCAGATGTGATTACGATCCTTATTTATGTTTTCTCAGTTTGTTTATTGACTAAGTTACATACCACACACCATCCTGGTGACTTTGCTGAGAGACTGTCTCTACATTAATTTACATTTGGGGACTATTAGCAGCCATAATATGCTTCATTGTTTTTTTTTTTTTTTTTTTCAGAATGGTGTCTCTCACACACTCAAATAGACATGCCAAAATGTATTTGTTGACTAAAGTTGTGGAAAATTACATTTTTCCTTAAAAAGAACAGTAAATACTGGAGTACCCCCCAAAAAATATCTACTGAAATATTCCCCTCAAGCATTGAATGACATTTTTAGGTGGTAACAGCCGACTGGCTCCCTGTTTGTGGTGAAGTCATGGAGAACTTTGTACTAGTCCATATAGAATAAGAGTTAGTCAATCACATCTAACAATTCAGCCATGGGAAAAAATGAGATAATGATAACACTAAGACATGAGTAAAAAATAGACATTTGTACCATTTATGGAATTGAGAGGCAAAGGAGGTAGGTTTATTTCCATTTCATAAACATTTGGCCAAATTTTCTCTCTAAATGGTTGCTGGAGCAAAAGGTTAGATCACCAAAGTTAAGACGTGACACAAGTTTTAATTGAGCTTTTGTCAATGAAACAAGTATCTACATTCAGAATTCAATGCAGTTTTTTTCCAGTCCTTTACATACTCACTTCTGCAAATCATTAAAACCACTGAAGGCAAGGATGTTGCTACCTTACATGGTGTTTTCATGTACATTGAAAAAGGCAGCTCTTCCCAAAGACATTTTATTTTCAATTTTCAGAAAATTATTCTAAGTATCATTTGTTAGAAAAATAAACCTCACTGGGAATTTTTGGGTAAAATTCTTTTAGTATATAAGAAGGTGCTAAAGTTATAATCAAAAACAGATGTCTTACATGTGAGTTGAGCCCCTGAGATTTGCTGCACTTTTGCAATGTGCAACCTGAATAACTATACTGGGCAGCTATTTCAGGGGAGAAATTATTCTAGGAGTTGTAAATTTATCTAGTTTCACCTTCCTGACTTATAACCAAATAGAGAGGAAAGAACCAGGTTTAAATAAATGACTTGGCCTTTTATCAGTTGGTTAAGTGTTTGGATGTCAGTAGGCTATTAATTAACATACCCATAGTAGGGGAAAACAACTGTAAAGATGAGATGTCAGCCAGAAATAATTAGGCAGATAATTGGTGTTCCATAAATGGTTGCTGAAGCCCAGTTACGTCATGAGTGTGAGCCAGCTTTAATCTATGGCAATAACATGACTCCAAATGTGTGAATTTCTGAAAAAAGTTTTAGGATGCCAATGTATTATGTTGTTCAATTTTATTTGTTGCTCATTAGCTACTTTGACATTGTGCTAAGTGCCTTCTCTCTTCATAAATGGCCATAATAATTCCATGTGGGTTATGGCTTTAATTATTCTCACTGCCTAAATGAGGAAAGTGAAGCTTAGAGCAGGATGGAGACACTACTTCAATGCTGACCTCTAAGTTCATGCCATTGATGAGCATGTAAATTACAAAATGATGACTATCTTTTTAGTATACCAGCAAGAATCAGTATGGAAAATATAATTATTAAAAGACACAAACAAATGAGTGTGCATAACATTTAAGAACAGATATGTCAAGAAATATACAGATCATGTGTAGAACATGACAGATCTGGTAGGTATATAAACTGCTTTAACCTTTCTGGAGGACAATTTGACAACTAGTGTCAAAAGCTTCATAAAAAGGCATACCTTCTAATTTTCAACCTCAATGTGAGGAATTCATCCAAAGTGTGTAATTAGAAAGTTAGCAAAGATTTCCTTACATGTTTATTAACTTTAGAATTATGCTGATAATGTCAACAACACAATTGGAAATAACCTGTATACTCATCAGTAGGGGACTTTGTTAATAAAGAAAAGTATATTTATAAGCAGCTTTAAAAATGTTGTCATAGAAGAAACACTCTGTTGAAAAATGTTCTCAACATATTGAAAAGTGTATAAAGGGCATAACTGAAAATGTATGATTACAGATTTGTCAAATTAGATGTTTATTTATATTCTCACATGCATAGATTAGAGAAAAGACTAGAATGGTTTATATAAACCTGTTAGTAGTATTTACCAGTGGGAGGGACAATCATGGGTGACCTGTTTTTTCTTTTCTGCTTTTAGGTATGTGTTCTATTTTTATAACAAAACTGCTTTTATTTAGAAAAACTGTACTTTTAGTCAGATAAAAGAAGTTTCAAAAATGTGGATTTAATACAGCCATCTATACTTTGATTAGATTTGAACCAAATATAAAGGTGGGTTAATGCTGGTTTTGATTTTTTGTTTATCTCATTTGTACATTTCCTTTTTGCCTTTGTTAGGAAATAGGAATACGTCAAATAAGAACATAAGGAAATGGAATTTTATTTTTTGAAGAGTGGAACATAATTGGTGTTACCTAGGCAGGATGACTTTTTACAAGGAATACAACATCTCTAGTTTGTTTCATTTAGTTTAGATTCATGTAAACACAGCGTGTCATTCACCAGGATAATTCAGGTCTGCGTTAGTCAGAATACACTAATGGTTATAACACACACCAGCAATATCAGCCACTTAATATACTAAATGTTGATTGATCAATTGTATCATAGACCAAGGTGGTCAGAGGCAGGGTGGGGGACAGAAGAGAGGAGGGGAGCTCTGCTCCATTGTGTCATTTAGACATTGGGAACCCAGGCTTTATCCATCATAGGTGAACTTGTGGCCTGCAAAATTGCCACAGAATAAGAAGAGATACTGTCGAGGTTCCTTCGAGGGAAATAATTGCCAGGTGTGAATGGCCTCCCTCACCTCTGTTCACATTCCATTGGCCAGATCTCAATCACGTGACCTTACTAACACATCACTGCAAGAGAGGCTAGGAAATGTGGCCTTAGGGTGTATCCAGGAGGAAAACAGGTTGGGTGAACATACAACATTCATCACTACCACTTCCACCTAACATAACATCTTACAGAGACAAAAATATTTTTTGTCTTTATAAAGAATGGTATTTCAATATTTGATTTTATTTTGGTAAATAAAAATATTTTAAATTTTCTTTATTTTAAATTTTCTTTATTTCAGCTTTTAAGTTTTATTCTAAATTACTTGCTTAATACTTTATTTTTATAGCACATTGTTCTAAAATCTTTATATCCAGGTAAAAAAGTCCAGCTGTATTGATCAAGGAGTAATTGATGCCTAAATGATAACACATTTCCTCAATAGAATTCCCAAAGGGCTCTTGGTTAAGGGGAAAGCTGCTTACAACTACATGTGTGTGCAGGCTGCATCTTAACTGATGGAATCAGCCTGTTGCCACATGGCTTCTGAAGTATTTATGTCTGATTGGAAACTCTTCAGCTTGTATCAGATGCTGGAAAAATACTTTATTGTCTGAGATTTTCTGTTTGTCGAAGATGACAGTAAAAAAGTTTGAGCATGCAATCACCTGTTCTCATTTTTCACATACAGAGCTTTAGGTAATGTCCAGTCATAATAAATAAACTGTAGCCCTAATTATCCCCTGTAATGTTTACAAAAGCTAAGGGAAGGTGGTACATAGAATAAGAGAGGGAGATGAGAGCTGAAGGTGTATTGCTTATTCATTTGAAATGGAGGGAGGATGTTTCCATTTCAAATGCAGAATTAATTAATCAACCACAGCTTCGGGGCAACTAGAAGTAGTCTCTGGAGACCTAAAACTTGTCTTGTGTGTTTATTCAAGCCCTCAACTCCCAGGAAATTGTTTATTGTTATTTTTAATTAATCAGCTAAAAATGTGTGTTTAAAATGTTGTGAGTATATTTAGATTCTCTTGGGTCATGTGGCTTTATTCTAGGAATTTTGTGGGAAAGTGAGGCTGGACTGTATGAGGGCTGAGCAGGGACCAGGACCCGTGTCAGGGAGTCACCTAACCCTGCTGGGGCTGTGCTCTCCGTCACCCCCAGGCGGAGCTCTGCCAAGATTTCTGCCTAAGTCTTCTTGATACACTGCATCTGGCCCTAGGTCCCATGAGTAAGTTCCCCTTTAAGGAGATATAAACCATGTATTCTGGGACATCATAAAGAGGGTGGAAATTTTAATGTATCTAGGAAGAAAGGAAATTTATTTCACAATAGACTTCCTCTTCAAAGCATATCTGTAAAAAGGCAGCCACAGCAATGACACGTAATGCTCCCCACCCCTCTACTCCTGGGGGAGGCCCGGACCTTAAGAGAGCTAAGTAGTTTAGACCTTGGAAAATGACCCTTCTCTTTAGTAATCCAAGTTAGAGCAAAAATTGTTCAGCACATAATATTACTGAAATCCTTCCCTTTAATGATATTTCTGTGGTTCATAGATGGGAAATGGGAAGTAGAAGTTTATCACTTCTTTCACGTTCCCCCTATATGTTTGGATTCCTTTCATGTCCTTAAATTTCCATTTCCTAGTATGAAAAATGAAGATTATGTGTGTTGCCTCTCAAGGACTATATATAGAGAGTAAAATTTAATCATACAAAGGCCTTTTAAAAATTAAATTATTTTAATAATTTTCCCACATTGATTGAGATGATTATTTAGATAAATTTCAATATGGTTTAAATTCTAATTTTAACATGCTCCCATTAGTGCATCTACCCACCTGCTCATCCATTTCTCCTTTCATCCACCCATTCACTTCTCAAACAGTAATTGCTGATATATGGTCCTCATTAGTCATTTGTGCAAATTTATGAAGGTACGTGAACGAACAAGCCTACGCACCTGCTCTCAACGAACTTAGGAATGATCTGGTAAAGGAGGAAAGTGAATATTATAATATGATACATGACATGAGAAAGGTGTGTGCACGGTATCTAGGTAAGAGGTATGTGGTCCATCTACCTCTGTAGGGTATGGGGGACACATAGATTTGGATGATTTGGGTATTAAAGGGTAAATAGGAGTATTGCAGGCAGACAGCAAGACCAATTTTAGGAAAATGAATCAGCAGTGGGAAAATGTGTTAGGCAGAATAATGGCCCCCAAGAATGTGCATGTCCTGCTTCCTAGAATATTTGAATGTGTTATCTTACCAGGCAAAAGAGACTTTGCAGATGTGATTACAGATCTTGAGATACAGAGATTGGCCTTGGATTATCCAGGTAAATCCAGTGTAATCACTGGTGTCCTTATAAGAGCAAAGGAGAAGAGTCAGAGTCAGAATCCAAGAAAGATATGTACAATGCAAAGAGTTGTCAAAGTCAGAGATAGGCTCATTGGAAAATGCTTTGCTTCTAGCTTTAAAAATGGAGAAGGGGCTACAAGTCAACAAATGCAAGTGGTCTCCAGAAGTGCAAAATGTCAAGGAAATGGATTCTCTGCTAGAGCCTCCAGCAGGAACTCAGTAGAAAGTTAGAGAAAATGAGAAGACACTTCTGCCCTCAGAAATGGTACCATGTAATGTCAAATAATCATGTGCTAGTTAAAGCAGAAATAACCACTATATGTTGCTGGGGAGAAAATTTTTGAAATTCTTCACATATTCCATTCGTAGGACTAAGCATTTCTCTGAATAAAGAGGATTTTTTTTTTCTGCTTGTGACATTTAGTAAGTCGGATCCCTGCTTATCTAAAATTTTACCTGATAGTAGTGTCCATCTACCTGATAGACAGAAGTATCTCTTTCACAACAGAATTGCCTTTTTCTTGAGCAGGAACAAACAGTGAAACTCATGAATGTAGTTGGGGCAATAATTTTTCCAAATTCTTTATTATGTTCATAGTGTGAATATACGCTGGGATGCAGTCTTTGAACATGATATTAAGCACCTAAAATATACCAATGCATCTTGCAGATGCTTTTCGAATACAGGATTTGTATAGAGGGTGTATAATAAAGGACTTGGAAGCAACTGCAGTTACTCCAGTGGAATGGAAGTGATCTCAAGATTGTATGAGGGAGCAGAAAACCATAGGCAACACCTCAAAACCCACAGAGGAAAGAGTTTTACCTGAAAGACATGGGGAGACTATTTCAGGTGAAATGAATGGAACCTAGTATAGTTCAGATGTGAAAAAGAAATATGTGTAGGGGATGGTGGAATATTCCATCTATTTCTACAATACTGGCAAAATATAAAGGCTGATGGGAGGCTGCAGAGAAAAGTGTAGGTTTTTTAAGACAGGCAGAACTGAGTTCAGGTCCCAGCTTTGCTCCTTACCATGTGTATAACTTTATGCCACTTCACTGAACCTTACTGTGCTTTAGTTGTCATCTGTAAAATGGGGTAGCAATGCCTTCCTCACAGTGTTGTCAGTTACCAGGATTCAGTGAAAGAATAGATGTATAGAGCTTAGCAGTATGCCTGGCACACAGGAAACTCTTAATAAACTTAGTTATTATTATGAGAACCTACTGCATTACAACTTGGAGTGTCTTACTATGATCTCTTCTCAAATCTGCAGTCACCAACCTGGTCTTTGAATTAACTAGCTGAAGGCAGAGCAGATACACAAACATAGAACAACAGTCCCGGGGGGAGACAAGCTCCAGTAAGGCCCTGTTGCCCCTTTTGCCATAGAGCAGCAACCAGGTGTGGTTTTTCAGAAATGCCTTTATGAGAGGTTTGGACTTCAGGGTCTATGCACTTGATGTACTGAAACCTCCACTGGATGCTAGTTCCAAATGCATCCAGTTAGCTGTCTGGATAACTTTGTTTACTATTCATCTGGTCACTCTCAGGCCTTTAAATCCTGGGCAATTTCACCCAGACTTGCTGTCCTGCACTTGTTTTGTAAATGGGATCGACTTCATTGAGGTCCTTCAGGATCATAAAGGAATAAATTTATCTTTTTGTTTCGTTGTTCATTGTGTATTTAGATTTAGAAAGCCCTGCATTTGGTAGAGCACATTCCTTTACATGATTAACTGTTGTTAAATTAATTTGACAGCACTTAAGTAATCTAGCCTCACACTAAGTAGGCTCCATATCAAACCAAGCAGTCTTCCTGATCCCTCTATCTGAATCACCCCATCTTGTTTGGAAACCCTCTTATCTGAGTTAGGGACTTATTCCCACTCTACTTGTGTTCCTTCTTATTCCTGAACCTTTCTCTCTGTATAGCCCTGAACAAAATATAGTGGCCCTCTAGGGATATTATTTTAATTGCTGCATTTTATCCAAGACTTAAAACATACATAATTAGAAAGAAACCTCAATTTATATAATTTTCAATGTAATTTAGAAGGTGAAATGGACTGTTTTTGTTCCTGTATCTTTAGTTACTAGATTTTTAATAGCTTGGAAGTGCAGTGATGCTTGAAAATATAACTTTTTGGAAGGAAAATGTACCAGAAATTGTGACCTTCTTAAGTTTCAATGGATTGGACCACTGAGCCAAGAAGTATGCTGACCACCCACAGGGGCTTCAAGCATGGTGCAGTGATTGTCAAACGCCTGGCCGAGGCTAGTTAGAATTAAGTGAAGACAATCTCTATCTGGGCCAGAGAAATTCTAGAACCCGTCTTGTGGGTTTAACATCTATGTAGTGTTTCAAGCAAACCCATCCCCATATCCTGAACTCAAGGGCTGGCAGGTTGTGGATCCTACATATTTAAGACCACTTTGTCTTCTCCCATAATAAAGTTTTCTCCTGCTCCCATTAAAAAGCATTACAAGTGAAAACATTTGAGGAAATCACAACTCCAAGCCTTGCTGGATTAGAATAAGTGGTTATAATAACAAAACCCCTTTATAGGAAACCCTATATTTGGGGAATCGTCAGAAATCCACATGGCTGATTGTAATTCAAAAGCCCTGAGAATAACTACTGCCTTTTCCTTTTCAGACATCTGAGCTTAACTCTTGGCATCCTGGTAGTAGTTTTACAGAATCCAAATTGTGGCAGCAGTGAAAGACATTTGAGGTGGGAGCCTTTTGAGCTCACTCCCCACTTAGAACCTGCCCCTGTTCCTTTCACACCTTTGTTCTCCATCAAAGAGGCCCACATGCACTCACTGTTCCCAATGAGTGCTAATTCGAAATGCAGTTAGTGCTCTGGGAGAAGAGAAGTGGATAATGATCATTTCATAGAGCTGTAGGACCTTTTGCATTAGTTATAATAACAATAACTACCATTGTTCTCAACTGGTGTAGCACTGCCCTCAAGGCTGTGAGAATTCAGCGGGAAATGGGAAGGGATGCTAATGACATGCAAGGCATAGAACAGTCCTGCACAGTGAGGACAGTGAGGAAATGCTTCTGTTCCACTTGACATTGCAGCTCACTGGACATCCTTGTAGATTTAAAAAATAAGATCAGTAGTTATTTGGGTCTCAAGTCTAGCACCCGTGTCTATGTAAATAGGTATTTTTTGCACAGACTGAATATGTATTAAATTTTCCAAGAATGAAACTAGCATGTGCATTGAGGGATGATAGTACTAAGAATTGGAGCTTTTCGAGGAACTGTTCACTATCTCAGTCACATCATGGTGGCCATGTTGCTTGTGATGTAACAGGCAGCGACTCTGCATGTGTATACCTGCATTTGCAGCTTCTACCTTCAGAGCAAAGCATGCAACTAGACTAGCGATTGCATCTTCCTGGATAGAAGAGCCTAACCAATTACATATTTAAATGTATAACATTTTAATATAATTTACTTTTCTTCTATTTCTCTTTTTTTACACAAGGCATTATATGATTTCTTTTGAAATTATATATGTCGGTTATTATCTTTGAATCACATTTTAGGATACTAAAGGGGACACGACCAGACATTTGTTACAAAACAGGAGTGTTGGGTTCCATTGGGGATGGGAACCATTGATTAAGTGCTTATCATAGCTCCAGTACAAAGATAAGGGTATTACGATTAATTCCTAGTCACCATAGGTGGTACGTAGTATTATCCCAATTTATAAATTTAGAAGACTGAGGTTTGCTTAGTGAGTGTCAAAAACATTTCTGGATTTGGGAACTGGCATTCCTACATGTGTAGGTCTAGTAACTCAGACCATTCACTTAGCCATCCGGTAACACAAACCATTCTCTTAACCATCTGGTAACTCCAACCATTCTCTTAACCATCTAGTAACTCAAACCATGCTCTTGACCACTCCATGGTCGCCTCCAGTCAGGCCATGTTCTTGTCCCATTTGAAAAGTACCTAGTCTATATCCGAGGGCTCTCCAGGTAGATCAGCCAGCACTTGCCTATAAATGCCCCACTTGAGGAAACATGAATGGGAAACTTGGGCAATAGTGTTGTGTCCCCAAGGCTGAAGGTTTCTGACCATCAGCAAGACCAGAACATGCCTGGTTTCCTCTTGTAATAACATTCAAAGCCAGATGACAGTGGGGCTGACTCCGTAACCCAGTATGTTTATGTAGGCAGTGCCTGAGAGTTTTGTTTAATGATGTACTAATAGGGCTGACAAGGCTCAGAAAGATCACCACACAGAGGGGTGGGAGAGGAGGAACCCTCTAGAATCCATACTGGGTAATTGGTTCAGAAAGAAAGGTCCTTTCCATCCTCAACTACCAAAGACAGAGCCAGTGAATCAGGCCTCGTCCTCCATCTCCCCAGAGTTGTGAGACCATGGGCAGGACATCACCACCATCTGCTTCCCCCTGCCCTGGCACCTAGCGGGAACTCCAACGGTGCACGTCATGGGCAATGCGACAGCTCCTATTGCTGCTTGCTGAGCTGGCCTGCATGTCACACTGACATTGAGGAGTTTTCTTCCTTCTTGTTCCAACTCTTTTCTCTGTTCTAAATATTATTCACCTCTTGCTGCTTGTCATCAGTTTATTTTCAGTTTTTTTTTTTTTTTTAGAAAAATGCACAAGGTAATGTTTTCCAGTGTGATAAAAGGAGAAAATGATGTGTGATTTCTACCTCCTTAGGTTATATAATAGGTCTTGATGCAGGGCTTCTTGGGATGTCCAGGTTCACTGTCTCTTAAGTATTTCATTAAGCATCTAAAACCAGTATCAGTGGGATGACATGTAAAAATAGCTGCTACCTGCGGTGTACACATTTTGTTTCAGGCACTGTGTTCCTCCTCTTATCTGCTGTTGACCTTGGGCAAGATATTTACCAACTGTGTGCCTCAGTTTCTTATCTATAAAATAGAAAAATAATAATAGTGCCTCAAAAGGTAGGTTGCACTGGTTAACTAAGATAAACAAAAACACTTAGAATAATACCTAACACATAGTAAATGCTCAATAAATTGAACTTGTAGAAGTAGTAGTGGTTGTACAAGTAAATTAATCAGAGTTGCTCACAACAGTCTTTTAAAATTTTGCAGATGAGGAAACTGTCTAAAAGAACTTAAATGGCTGTCCCATTCAACTAATAATGAATATAACTGAATCCAGGTTTGTCCAAACCAGGGATTCTCAACCTTGGCTTAACAGAAATTTTGATCTTCATAATTCTTTATGGTGGGGAGCTGTGCTGTGCATTGTAAGATGTTTTGCAGCATCTTTGGCTTTTACCCTCTACACGCCAATTGCACACCCCAAGTATAACAACCAAAAATATCTCCAGACATTTCCACATATCCCCAGGGATGAGAGTTATGTGCAAAATTGTTTCTTGTTGAGAACCACTGGTGTAAACCAATAGTTTTCTGCCCTTTTTGCTATCCTCATTATGTAGGAAGATCCTTTTCTATATTTTTTTAAACAAATGAGCTAAGTAATGAGGCATTTCTTCATGTTAGAAAACAAGCTTTTGCTTTCCAACTTTCAAAACTCAGCAGTTACTTAAAATAATCAGTTTTATGGGTATAACCAAAACCCAATTCAATTAAAATAAATAATCCCCAGCTAGGAAACTGTCCCTTTGGTCAATGATTAGAATAAATATACATTGTTCTTCAAAATTCTCCAGTTAACACTATAGATTTGTGAAAGCAGTCCTGACGAAATATTTTTTTTAATTTTATTTTTAGTTGACACATAGTAATTTTACATATTTATGGGCTACAGTATGATGTTTCAGTACATGTATACTTTGTATAATGATCAAATCAGGGAATTATATTCATCGCCTCAAATATTTATCATTTCTTTGTGGTGAGAACATTCAAAATACTCCATTGTAGCTATTGTGAAATATACAATACATTATTGTTAACAATAGATCCCCAGAACTTATTTCTTCTATCTTACTCTAATTCTCAACGTGGATGAACCTAGAGGACATTATGTTAAGTGAAATAAGCCAAACAGAAAAGGATAAATATTGAATGATCTCACCCATATGTGAAATCTGAAATAGTGGATCTCTTGGAAGCAGAGAGTAGAATGATGGTTACCAGAGGCTGGGAATGTTGTGGGGGTGGAGGATGGGGACAGATTGGTAGGTCAACAGATGCTGGATTCTTCAGTGTGTGAGCCACAGGGAGTTCAGTACTGCTGTAATTGTAGGAATGGATTTAGAGGTTAGAGGAAAATGAGTTGTTTTCTGTGCTTGGAGTGTTATCAGTTTTTGAGGATGTTGGCACTCTAAGTTAAGGGAAAGGATGCCCTTTTCATCTTCACTTAAAATACTCAGTTTGTACTTTGAAAAGTGGAATGTTTCCTGTATGTGACATGGCTTTCCCATCCCTCTTAATGAGCTTTCCTATCTGTTGGTGTCACCCTTTTCCTGCCACCTGGCCCCCAGGATGATAACCTAGGGTGACAACTGACTTCTGTTCTTGTCAGTATTGAGGCACTGGAGTGCACATCCCGCTTGATGGGCAGGTTTCCCCACCACCTTTCATCAGGACATCACATAGCAGACACACCAAGGGTTGGCCTAGCATCACTGAGTGGTATTCCTTGCCTTTAAAGCGAAAATCATGAATCAACTTGATGTTTCATGTAATTGCATCCAACAGTGAGAACAGACCAATTTTCATATTCGGACCTTTGCATCTAAAGCTCGAATGATGCCCATTCCGGTTGCTCTTCCAAGCCTTTGCTCTAAAGTGCTAACCTGCCGTCATTTGGCTCTTTCTCCTGCCCTCCCTTTCCTGTTGTAGGCAACCAGTGCAGTTGTTTTCTCTGATGGGTTTTCCTGTTGCTTTGGAGGTTACTCCACCCAAGAGGATCTAGGTGCTGCTCAGTGTACTTCTGGGGCTGACGTTTTCCTCTGATGCCTGTTACCTTTTGCCCACTTTTCTTCTTTTGAGTGTATTTAAATTCCAAGCACCGTCACAGCAGGGGAGAAGATTTCTTTGAGTCTAGCTGTTATGATTTACCCCAGAGTGTTAAGATCACTGACAGATGTTGGCCTGGCCTAATTCTCTTTAGCCTGACTCAGAGAAATCTAAAGATTTCCTTATCATTTCATCATCTTCTGAGATGAAGTCGACTGAGAAAAGGGAAGTCTGGAAAGTCAATGGTACCTTCAAGGATGGAACCTATGCACAGGGACTCCCGCATCGCTGGATTTGGATGGTAGAAGCACAGTTCAGATGAGAGGTGGCTGGTTTAGGGTTCTGATAAACAGCAATCATATAAGACTGGTGTGTGGTGAGGTAGGACTTTGGTTCTGGGAATGTGCCGTGGCTGAGCGTCTGCTGTGGATATGGCAGAGACTCTGCAGGCCATGATGGGGTGAGAGCCAGGGCCAGAGAATGGAAGTGAGAGCCTGAGCCCTCAGAGTAGGCTGCCTCGATTGGAATCCGGGGTCACTTCTCTTTTCTAATTGAAAGATCCTACCAGCTGTTGAATCCCTCTATGCCTCAGTTTCCTGCTCTGTAAAATGGGAATAATAAGAGTACCTACTTCATAGAGATGGGAATTAACTGAGGTAATGCATTTAAGTTACTTGGAATAGTGATTGGCACCCAATAATACTAAGTATTAGCCCTTGTTATTAGCAAAACTACAAAAAGGCTACAAAAAGTGGACCTTTCTAATCACATTGACTGCCCATTCTCCCCACTTAAACACTAACATCTGCAGCGGACTTTGGCCCATTCTGTATCTCCCTCTGTTGTCTTTTACAAGCTATTCATTTAATATCTTTGCTTGCCTCTCAGTTTTTCTCTTAGATGAATGTCATGGCACTGTTAAGCCTGTTCTCCTGAATTAACTGGAAAAGCCAGTAAACTTTCCTATCCCCTTTATTCTGATGATAGAGTTTTTACCCCTGGCCATAGAAGTGGGGACTTCATCCAGGCCTGATCCGAAATGGCCATCAGGCTGCAAATAAAGGTGTTCCAAAGATCGTGCAAATGATCTTGGGGTCACAGCTCTTCTAGGGGTTGTTATTCGTACATAGGGCTAAAAATGTTCTTTCTGCTGGAGTTGCTAAGCGGGTGGTGCCTACATGAAGTCTGCTCTCAGCCATCCAAGCAAGTGAGGCTGAAAACAGATGTAAGAAGATGTGAAGAATGAGGAAGGGAGAGAGTGGTGACTATGGTGAGTGCTGGCTCCTCCTTCATTTCTGTCACTCACCACCCATCCTTCCTAGACTCATTCCCTTTCTGCTTAGTCCTATTCGGATTGGGCCCTGAGCCTCTGAACCAGTTGGAGTAATGCTGCTTAAACAAAACAATGAGTTCCATCAGGACCAGACAGTGATGGGATTTTACTCATTTCTATGATGCCTGTGCCTTGCCTAGTGCCAAGCTTGGTCAGAGGAACGATGTGGTCTACATTTGGAGAAGTAGAGCTCCAAATGTCAGAGCTAGAACTGCCTTCTCATGGGGTCTTACTTTGGCAAGTGACTTGGGCCAAAAAGCATCTCCTTATCTCCTGTGAGCTGTCTGCCTGGAATTTGCAGAGCCTGGACCACTGGAATGGGCGATGGTGGATGCCACCAGATGCGAGACTTACAGACAGCCCAAAGCCCTCTGGACACTGCCCCCTTCTCTTATTCCCACAGGCACAAGCTCCCCCGGGTGCCTGGGAGGACTCTTTTCTTTTGGAAATATTGGACAGGATCCATATTCCCTTATTCCCTTGCTTCCTTTTAACTTTCTTTTAAAAAGTGGCTTCCCTGTGATACAGGCGGTGGGCCGGGAAGTGCTGTGTAGAGAAGTGCAGGGTCTCTGGCAAGGGCTCCACCCTCAGGCCTGTGCCCATGGACCTAAGTGAGAATAGGCACTCTTGTTTTCATGCCCAAATGTTGCATTTTCCAAGACCACTCTGGCCCGCCATGTCCCCCATCCTGTGCCAGTAAAAACCCCAAGACCCTAGCGGACACACGCATAAGCAGCTGGACATCAAGAGGAACACACTGGCAGAAGAACACACCGACAGATGCTGGAAGGCCATCAGTGGTGGAACGACGCAGATGCTGAGGGAAATTTGGCAGAGGGTGGTTGGAGAAGAGCCTGGCCGCTGAGCAGCCCGACTCCAGGGTAAGACCACCTTCCCACTCCATCCCCCTTCTGGCTCCCCATCCATCTGCTGAGTGCTACTTCCACCATTCAATAAAACCTTGCACTCATTCTCCAAGCCCACGTGTGATCCAATTTTTCCGGTACACTAGGGCAAGAACCCAGGATACTGAAAGCCCTCTGTCGTTACAATAAGGCAGAGAGCCTAATTGAACTGATTAACACAAGCTGCCTGGGGACGGTAAGCTGAAAGAACACACTGTAACACATGCCCACTGGGCTTTGGGAGCTGTAAACACTCAACCCTAGACGCTGCTGTGGGGTCGGAGCCCGTACTCCCCATGACATGCCTGTCTGCATGCTTCCTCTAGGGGTCTGAGTAATGGTGCACCAAAGACACAAGCCTCACCCTTGTTGCATGTCCTGCAAAGGGATAAGGGAAAACTCCTCCCATTTCACCTGTGCATAAGTGTAGGTCTTCTTTTGACTTTTCATAAACTTACATTCCTTTATTTTGTCTTAGCCTTGTTATAACTAGCAAAGCAGGTGGGGCAGTTAACACCAGTGTTAATACAGATGCTTAGCGAAAAAAGGTCAAATTCCTGGGCTTCCTTTGTCCCTAGCCTGACACAGGGTTGAAGGTAATGACAATGCTGAGATGTGAGTGGCCTAAGAAGACAAGATGCATGTAAGTGTCCTCTGTACCTTATAAATAGATTTTACTAGAAAGTGTTTTAATCCTTTAACTAGACCTTGGAAGTCAGCTTCCAGGAGCACAAAACAGATCTTTTCCCAAATAGGTACAGGCTGCCCTCGAGGAATAGCTGTAGGACACAGGAATATAAGCTATTCTGTCATTTTGACACCTCTGTCATTTTGACACCTTTATTAATGTGCCATGGTAGGAAATGAAATAACCTATTCATACGTGCTTCAGCTAAGCCTGGAATATACATTTTTAAGGCAGGAGCTGGGGAGGAGGTTGAGTGGAAAAAAACAAAAAGCTAAAGGGAACAAAAAAAAGATTCTGGATGGACTTTGCAACCATAAATGGTAAAACTAACCCTGTTCCACTGCCAGCTAGAAGAACAGCCGAGTAAGGTTTTGATTTACAGGAACAGCTCAGCAAGGGCCTTGTAGAGAGCTTCATGCCTGCTATAAAAATGTGATTAGCTATAAAACAGAGAGCTTTAACAAGAGCATTTAAGCATAGGCAACAGACCTGCTCAAAAATAAACAAAAACAGATATTGCTGCCTGAGTGTCTAACCCAACTTCATAAAGATCAGGATTAGGAGAATTTTTTTAGGCTTGTGATATAATTAATAACTTTTTACTTTTAGAGTCAAAAGAAAGGAAAAGGAAAGATGACCTTGAACTTTGCAAATGACTTCAGTCTGCCTCTCCTCTAAGCCTCTCTCTTCAGCTTGTGCAGTTCTAAAGCATGAATAGGAATCCTCCCCCAAAACAGCTCCCTGTGTCAGACCCTCCCTGGACACCAAGGATGGAAGGAAATAGAAGCCAGCAGGCGTCCAGGGCCTCAGGAGGGGAAAGTGTTTAAAGCTCCAAGTCTCCCAGCCCCCTGCCCTGGGCAGTCCCTCACTGCTTGCTCTGTGACAAGTCTGCACTAATAACCCTGCACTGGGAAGGTCTGTGGCCAGAGCCTCACCCAGTTCCCATCGACAGTCCTTTTGAAAACAAGTGCCCCTTCTAAGTTAGTCTGAAGAGGTCCATTGGCTGGATATGGAAAAAGGAACTAAAATGCTGCACATCTGTTAATCACTGGGGTAATTTCTTAGTGATTAGTCACAACAGCCGTGATCTATGGATTTCTCCCTGTGTGTCAGTCACCATGCAGAGGACTTTATACGGATTATCTCTGTATCTTCCAACAAACTCTCTGAAGTAGGCTTTATTATCTCCATTTTATAGTGGGGAGAGAGCATACCCAGAAAGATTATCATACAACACATGAAAGTTAGAGTTGGGATTCAACCCTGGCCTGTCTGAATCCAGAGATCAAGCTTTTAACCCCTATGCCAAGAAAGTGGTTGTACTGAAAAAACACTCAGGTTCGAGAGCTGAGTTCTCCTGTTTCTAGCTGCAGTTGCTTTCTCTGTTCTGTGAAATACCAGGTGTACGTTCCTCCTTTGCTTAGGCCTGATGCAGTTACAGTGAAGAATTTTCAAAAAATTCGTATCTTCGCAAAAGAGGCATGTCCACTGAGTCTGCAGGCCAAACATGAGGTTCCCTTTGCTACTTTTTGTTACTTCTTTTCCTTTGTGTCTTTCTTGCTTATCCTTGTCCTGCTGAATACATCTGGCCGAAAGCTCTTCCTTTCTGGGAGTGAAACAGTGCTTTACTGGAATACGTATGGCATGGTGTGGTTAACTGCAGTTTTACAGTCTCCTCTCATTTCAGAAAGCAATAGTATATTTAGCCACCCAGAAATTAAGTAAATACCATTTAGGATTTCTTAAATGTAAAACAACATTGTCGTGCTTTAAAGTTGTCTTTCTAAATGTCCATCTTCTCACCCTCATATTACACCTTGGCTTCAGGGAAAGGGAGAGGATTATTTTGAATTGGAAGGGTTTCTAGACATATCCTAGGATTTAAAATAAATAAAACTGGAACATAACCTGTTTTTTTATTTTTTAATGTCTTCTTGTGCTGTAAGCTGAACCTCGACCTAAATTCTTGTTAATTAAGACTTTATCCTATGTGTGCCTTTGTGTAAAAACGAATTCTCCCATTATAATCATCCCACCCAACCTTGCCCAGCTTCCTTGCAATATTGCTTACGGTAAGTTTTCCTCACTATTGGAGGTTTAAATGGAGCCTTGTATTAAATAAATGCTCAATCTATTTTAGTAATACTGCTTTATAACTAGGGCAGACTTTTCTTTTCAAAATAGTTTCAGTGCTGATTTTCATCAGGACAAGATCTTGATTAATTCCCAGATAGACATTGAGAACCTGTGGAACAACGTCCTCTCCCTGGAACCTCATCATTGTTTCACAGTTACTTATGGGGAAACACCAATTCAGTTTAGGGGTATCTTCTGTGCAGGCCTTTCCTCACACCCTGAGTGGTGTAAATGCCCCTCCTCGCCCTTTCCCTTAGTGTCTTTGTGTCTTTATCCTCACAAGTTCGTCTTCATCATGTAAAGGTTTGCTTAAGTAGTTTTATATCCCCATTGTTTAGCACAAAGTAGGTGATCAATAAATGTTGCTGTGGAGTGATTGAGTGCTTTTACAAAAAAGCAGAGTATGTAGGTAACCTAACACCAAATAGATTATGGGAAGTTCTGATATTTGCAGGTACCATGTTATCAAGGTTTTTGTACATGTAAGATTGCATCCTTTTGGAGACCAGAGTGATTTCTAGGGGAGTTTGGTGTTTTTGTTGGGCCTTAAGGAATAGGTCCTCTCTGGTTAGGTGAAGATTTTCCAAGAAAGTATTCCAGGAATAAGGGATTATAAAATTACAAGGTCTAGAAAGTCTAAAAGCACAAAATTTATAATCAAGAGTACAGTGTGGTGGAAGACAGAGACTCATATAGGAAGAGTGAGAGAATGACACATTTTGAGGACACATTTTGAAGGATCTAAATGTCTGATCAAAAATTACGTTTAATTTTGAAGGCAACTAGAGAGCATATGTAGAGTTTTGAGCCAAAGCATGATAAGATTGAATAAGTGCTATGAGATTAATATGACCATAGTGTGTAGGGATAATACGTTGAATGGGCAGAGAGACTATTTCTGCATTCTAGATTCAAGGAGACAAATTGGGAGTGGAAGGAGTGAGAACAGAATGATGGAGGTGCCAAAGACATTTTTCTGAAGAGTTGACAGACTTTCTGCACACACAAGGCTTCATTGAGCTATCACAGGAACTCATTTGCTTCTCTCTTTTGGATATTTAAAAAATTTGTCTGAAAAGCAAAATTGTGAGATTTTGTCTTCTTCTTTTGCCCTGACTCTGGTTAAACTTGAGCAAATAAACTGACTTTCAACTTTAATGCCAATGCTATTTTGAATTTTGCCAAAACCAACCAGTATCCTAGAGCTAAGAGCTAAAGAAATGTTATTTTCCAAAATTGGCAAATGCTTCCAACTTGTTATTAGAGTAGGATAGAAATATTCCTAGTGAGACCCACCTACTCACTCATATTGTAGAGAGAAAGTTGGTGATGATTCACAATCCTTATAATAATGCAGCAAGTTGCAATGTGCAATTGAAAGCGCGATATTTTTTCTGATTTTTAATGCATCTTCCAGAGGTTGGAGCACAGGGAGTATGAGCATAAGCCAGGGGAAGAGGGATAGAGGAGTTCTTTTAGAAAAATCACCAAGAAAAAACCAAACAGATAATCTGTAATCTCTTAAAAAATAACTGATGGCTATACAGGATTTTTATGAAAGCATAATAACTTCCAGAACATAGGCAAATTGGTACACATCCCATCCCAGTAGCCATCACCTAACATAAGTCACGTATCTTTAACCCTGAGTTTACTAAGTTGCATACAAATTAAGCATATGCATGTGGGCATTGGAGGGGCATGTTGACAAAAATTTCATTACTTTAAGGAGTCCTGATACCGAAAAAGAAAAATCTCAGAGCTAGAATAATGACGCCCAAGAGCTAATCTAAAGACCTTTTATTTTGACCACTCAATAGTGAAATGAACTTAAATAGGGGTGGTGTGGTATATCTATTTTTGTAATGTAGAACACTGTATTTTATTCCTAGTTTTTATTTAAAACAGTGATGATAGATACTAGTTGACAGTCTTAGGTTGTCTCCAATTTAAAAAGAATTCTGTCTGTCTTTTCTCTGTTTCTTTTTCTCTTTCTGTAAGAGCCACAGAGCTCAAGTGTATTCTACAGTGATTTACAATTAGTATTATTGAGTCCAGTTGCTTAAAAAAGAATTTGGACTGTAAGTATAGAACAATTTTCCATAACAAAGGTTAAAATCAAAGGATAGCTTAAATGACGCTTAGTTAACTCCGAATCAAATTAATCAGGAAACCCTATTCTTTTAGACAAGGTTTGCAAACTAATTATAAGTGCTGGTGTGGCCTAGACATCTCTTAGCTATGCAGATGCTCATTCCCTGCCTGCCATAGACCCTGAGACACTAGGTCATAGATGGAACTCAGGAACTTGTCTTTCTTTTTTCTTTTCTTTTTTCTTCTTTTCTTTTCTTTCTCAAGCACCCCCAATTCTTTGTGAGGTAGTTGTCTTCAGAGCACATTTTGATCATCACACAACAAGAAGGTAACTGTGGCACTTCAGGTGAGAAGAGAATCAGCATTCAGGTCTGGTTCTACCATTCACTCCATGAATCTTGTTTCCTGTTGTGTTATAATTGGGGGGTATGTTCATTTTCTGGGGGCTACCGAAACAAAGTACCATACATTGGGTGGCTTAAAACAAAATAAATGTATTATCTCACAGTTCTGGAGGCTAGAAGTCCAGTATTAAAATGAGCACAGGGCCAAGGTCCCTCTGAGACTGTGGGTAGCGACCTTCCCTGCCTCTTCCTAGCTTCTAGTGGTGGTTGTCAACCCTTTGCATTCCCAGCTTGCAGCTGCATTGCTCCAGCCTCTTCCTTCGCCATCCCGTTGTGCTCCTTCTGTGTGCTCCACTCCTCTTTCTATGAGAGAACCCGTCGTATTGGATTAAAGGCCCACCCTATCCCAACATGACCTAACACTTAAATAATTATATCAGCAGCAACCGTATTTCAAATGGGAGGTCACCTTCTGAGGTTCTTTTTGAAAGACACAAACCCATAATGCAGAAAGAAGGAGTATGTGCCTAGAACAGGTTAGGAGTTCCCAAATCAGAGTCAGAAACTGATCCATCCAGACTTTCTACAGGTCTCTTAGGAAACACACTACAATTACAGGTTTCACTAACCTGACTGCCAGATCCTGACTCAGTAGGTAGGAGATTGTGCCTTAGAATGTGTATTATCCTTCGGTAGGAAATCCCCACTCTGAGTAGCCCTGCCAGATCACAGCCCTAATTGATGTTCTGCTGAATGTATTGGGTAAAAGATAAGTTATAGCTACATAGAACTGATGCAATAATCTCATATAACTACATATATTATACTGTCTTCACAATGCACTTTGACCATATGTTCATCTATTTTGACAGGAGTGGGGACGTGAGGTTCTCAAGTTATGCTTGCTTAACTCATAGCCCATGCTTTTAAGGAAAACTAAAGCTCATTCTAACAATTGTCTTTATAAAATTAAAGGTGTTGTCGATGTTTGATTTTTCCACCATTTTAATTATCAGAAAGATGATGAAAATTGGGTTGTTCCCTCCCATTATGACTGATTTCCTCTCATTAATAGAGACAAAGGCTCTTCTTGAAGTGGAACTAAAATGTAAACATGAGTTCACCCTAGTCTCTAAAGACTTCAAGAGGCCATGCATTTGATCAAAATGGCATGTTTTAAATCCTCCTTTCATGATAGAATACAGATAAAATACAGATAGACTGAAGCCAAAAGCGTTCCTTGCTGCAGACACACTCAATAATACGTACGTTGTTAATCCCTGGCTGTTTCAAAGTAATTGTAGGCTTCTGCATGGAACCAATTTTCTGATTTTTGGAGACTAAGATAATTCCAATTGCATGTCCTTAACTATGATAATAAGTGGAGTCTGCCAGTGGTTGCTTGTGTGAGCCGGTCATGCTGGAGGAAAGAATTGGGCCTTCATGTGTCTTACAAACTATAGCTTTCTCTTTAGCCCTTTCCTCAGCAAATGGAGTCATGCCAATCTAAGTATTTAGAAGTGTCTCACAGAAACACTGAGTTGCAGATAGAGTGGAATTAATAATTTTTATTACATAATTTGCTGTTTCAAATGACAAATTTTGAGTAAACAAACTTGGTTGATACTTTTTGGATAATTTATGGTCAATTCTTAGTTTTCTTTGAGTATTTTTAGTTACAATTATGTTCCAATGGGACTTTCTTTTTTTCTACAGTATCATTGTTACTGATCTGCATTTAGTTTGCCATATGCTCTGCAGTATATTTGTCTTCCCTGGTGAGGTTGTATATAAAGTGAGGTACAGATTTTTGATATTCTTAAGTCGGGTACATAAAATATTTTGCCTCAAATTATTATTTCAGAAAAAGTTTTTTTTTAATTAAAAAAATCTGAATTAGCCAAATCCTTTAATCAGTTCCTATATGTATATTGTGTCTTGCTGAGAATTGAGGAAGAGTGTAATTCAATGCAGAGGACATTTGTGAATTTTTTGAGTCAGGTTGGAGACAGAATTAGAGAAAATTTTCTATCGATATTTTTGGTTTTTCACTCACCACTGAGACTGAACTAATGATTTCCAGGTTTCTAGGAGTCACGTAGCTCTTGAAAGACCGACTACTTTCTGTGTCTCTGGGTCAAAAGTTACGAAAAAGAAGCAAGAGAATCTAAGCCAAAATAACACTTCAAATAGTCCAATGACTGTTTATGGCTTTTCACATAAATATTTAGACCTTCATTAGAAAACATTAGATTTAAGCAGAGAGTAGCATATGCAGGTCAGTCTCAGAATTTACCAGCTATTCATCAGCAGTAAGTCATTGGGGTTTCTCCCTTTTGTTGAAGTGGTTTGTTTTTGGTCACAGAGCGTCATCATTGTCATGCTTCAGTTCTTTCATTTGTGTACTATTTAATTAATTAATACTTAAATATTTGTTGAACATTTACTGGATACATATAATGGGGATTAAATACCTTAAGAGAATCTCTCAGTTGAATTGAGGAGATAGACATATAAAAAAAATTTCCAACATGGGAACATGATAAATCTTGGAATGGAATGTAATAGAAAAACAATATTCATGCAATAAAAAAATGCATGAAGAAGAACATAACATGAAATTCAGGAAAGTAAGACACCCTTCATGGAATGAGGTTTTTTATCTATAATTGTAAAGATAAAGTACTCTTGATCTTCATAAATCTTCACTAATTTATTTTCCAAATATTTACAAAGTATTACAAAGTGTTGGCTACTGTGCTAAAGATGACTGTAAAGTACATGATTCTTGCCTTAAAGACTCCCAGATTAACTTAAGGAAGACAGCTAAGTGAATGAAGAAACATGGCTCCAGCCAGGTGCGGTGGTTCACGCCTGTAATCCAGCACTTTGGGAGACTGAGGCGGGCAGATCACCTGAGGTCAGGAATTCCAGACCAGACTGGCCAACATGGTGAAACCCCCTCTCTACTAAAAATACAAAAATTAGCCAGGAGTGCTGGCCGGTTCCTGTAATCCCAGCTACTTGGGAGACTGGGGCAGGAAAATCGCTTGAACCCAGGAGGCGGAGGTTGCCATGATCCGAGATTGCGCCACTGCATTCCAGCCTGGAAACAAAGCGAGACTCCTCTCAAAAAAAAAAAAAAAAAATTCACAGCTCTGTGAAAGTGCTGACTCAGAACTGAAGGCTGTCATGGCTCATACAGGAAGTATTGCTTGAAAAGTAAAGTGAGACTTTTTGGTTTGCAAAGACCCAATGCACTCAAATGAGCTCAAATAAAAATGGCGGCATTGAAAGACAACAAAGTTCTCACACAAACATAATGGAGCCAGTATTGAGTGTCTGGGAGAACTACAGGAGCCACGCGGTATCTGCCTCTCTCTGGATCTGTTAAGTGGTCTCATTCTGCTTCTTTCTGCATGTGCTTTTTTCTGTACTGAGTCACCGGTATTTTATTGAACAATATATTTTTTCAATAGGTTCATTGTTATCATCATCTCCTTTTTTAAAAAAATAAAATTACCTGAAGTCTTCAAGATTGCACTTTATGGCTAACACATTGGAAATTGTTGACATTTCTAGTTGACTCTTCTCTGTAGATCAAAATATTTTTAATTGAGAAAATACTTTCTTTCATGCGCGTCCATGTGAAGAGACCACCAAACAGGCTTTGTGTGAGCAATAAAGCTTTTAATCACCTGGGTGCAGGCGAGCTGAGTCCGAAAAGAGAGTCAGCCAAGGGAGATAGGGGTGGGTGGGGCCGTTTTATAAGATTTGGGTAGGTAAAGGAAAATTACAGTCAAAGGGGGGTTGTTCTCTGGCGGGCAGGAGTGGGGGTCACAAGGTGCTCAGTAGGGGAGCTTCTGAGCCAGGATGAGCCAGGAGAAGGAATTTCACAAGATAACGTCATCAGTTAAGGCAGTAACAGGCCATTTTCGTTTCTTTTGTGGTGGAATGTCATCAGTTAAGGCAGGAACCAGCCATCTGGATGTGTATGTGCAGGTCACAGGGGATATGATGGCTTAGCTTGGGCTCAGAGGCCTGACACTTTCTACAGTTACTTACACAAATGCTAAATTTGGAGTAAATACTGCTAAATGGAGCTTACTAATTCTACTTTTAGTATTGAAATAAATAACTCAGCCTGAATATTTTTACATTTTATTTACAATATTATATTTGTAAACTGAGGTTACAATGGGCATTCAAAATAATGTTACATGTTTCACCTCCAACAGAATGAATTTCCAAAAATTTACTTTGATTCTATGATGTGCATGAAGAAAACCAAATTTTTCTGGAATTAACTTTATTTTTCGTTTGAAGTGTCTGGTAATACTGACATAAAATTAAGATCATTTAATCTTGTGTGAAATTCTTCTGCTAATGAAGCAAAAATATTGACAGTTATTGCTTCACTTTTTGTGCATGCATAAAACAACTTGGATCTGAAAATAAAATTAATTTAGCAAAGCACTGATCTAGGTGAAAAGTCATTAACTTTTGATAGAATATATTAATATTTTTAAACAGATTATGTGTCCTAGGAATTTCATGAAGTCAGAAAAGTTTTGGTAGAGTGAAGGCTGGAAGCTAGATGATAATAAGTAAGTGCTAATTTTGAAGGGTGTGACGTCTCTGATTCAAAATGGAGTGTTAAAATTTTACTTTTTAAAATAAAATTATAATGTCCAATTCAGACTCCTAAGTAATAATGACCTTACTTTAGCTGAAAAAGCACATAGCATTAATGAACTAAAGACACAAAATAATAAATACAATTGTATTTTCCCAGAATGTAAAGATACTGTCGACATATGTCATGCAGAGCATCTAAGCAGGGTCACACTCAGCAGTGGCAGGTCCTCATTTCTCAGCTGCGTCCTTAGTAGAGGGCTGGTAATTGCACAGAGACTGACTCTTCCCTGTTCTCTGTCCTCCAGTGGCCTGGGTTTCTGCTCATTCTGCTCCTTCCAGTGGTTCAGGGTGAGTAGCAAGATGTGAAGGGAGAGTGCTGAGAAGGAGGAGGGTGGAGGAAGTTGAGAAAGACAGCAGCTTTCGATGAGTGCACAGGCCACTCTTCAAGTCACCAAATTTAAATGTTGCTTGTGCTGCTCATTAACATGTTGGGAAATCCTTGACTCTTTCAGGATTCCAGCTCCCTCATCTGTTAATAAAATGAGAAATTGCCACAAAGACCTCCCTGCCTTGGAAATTCAAAGACTATATAGGCTCTATAATTCAATGGTAGAACTTTTTTATGGGGGGTGTTAGTTACTAAAACTGTAGACTGTTTATTTTGACCTTTGAGTATAGGAAAACTTGTTGAGGTAAAAATATTCTCTTCTATGATTATTCAGGTAGAACTTTACCATTCAACTTAGGGATTCTGAAAGATGATTACAGAAAAGCACTATGATGCAGAGCTCCATGTGGTGATGTCAAATCCAATAATTCAGTTAAACTCCTGTAAAAATTTCCCATCTCCTACTGGCAGGGTCCAAGTCAGGATATACTGCATTTCTTCTGTTTCATTCTTTTGTTGGAGTTAAATACTATTGCAAACAAGGCTGGATGTTTTTATTTCTTTTTGAAATCCAGAATGCTCTTTGTCATTTGACAATGCAGCATACTAAACTACTTAAAATACTTTGTGAGTGAAATCACATGCATGAAATGTGGTATAAGTTACTAGAGCCCTTGAAGGGCAGCACTTGGGTTTAGTTGGCCTCTTCTGTTTTACCTAATTTCTCAATCCCACCTATTCTTTTTTCTCACTTTCTTAAATCCCAGTAATTATCTTAGGCATAAAGCAGTTTTCTATGCATAGACAGTTCATTTAGATTGGTAACATGGGCTAGGTAAAAAAAAAAAAATTAAATATATATATACTTAGGCAATTTTTATCTCGTTTAAAATGGCTTGAAAGAACCATGGTACTCAGAGCTTCAGAGATGCCCTGTCTTCTGATTTTGCATTCTCACAATTCTCTATGATTTAAAGGAGCAATGCAGTGAATTTTTATAAACACAAAACTTCTTCCCAATTTTATGTTTTGGCATCATAAGTATGTATTGACAGCCTCAGTGTTAGAGGCTCAGCACTGTGATGTGCACATGTAAGTTCACATAGGAATGAGAGTTTTCAAGGGCAGGGATTTATCTTTGTTTACTGTTATATCCCTTTTGTCTACAACAGTGCTTGGCACGTAAGCATGCTAAATAGATTAAAGTAATGAATGTGAGGGTAATCCATACTCTCCTGAGGGCGAGAATCCTACCTGTCCTGTACAGCTCTGTGTCTGCAATCCCTAGAACAGTGTTTGCCTCCCATTTGTTGAGTGAGTGAATGTACTTCAGAACTTGGTCCTTGCCATTAAAGAGCTTGAATCTGGTTTGGAAGACAGATTGGCAAAATATTGAAGAGCAGTAACAGTTTGGGATTGTAATGAAAAATTATCACTAGAAAGTCATAGGTTGATTGTCAAGGTAATGATATAAACAATTGTTCTAGATGTTCAAAATAGGAAAATAATATACAACATAAATCAGCCCTCACATTTTGACATTGTTGGATATTGATTGATTGCTCAATTGATGGATTGAATGGATCTTTGAATGCCTCTACATTCCAGGCAATATATTGGGTGGTGGGAAGTCAATAGTAAGATAGGTGTATTTCCTACCCAAACTGAACTCATAATCTAATGGGTTCAATTGATAATCTTGTTTTTTTAAACAAATAAATAAATAAATAAATTTTTTTAACAATAAATAAATGTTTATTTTTGAAGGGAAAAAATGGAACATTGAAATAAAGAATAATAGTATTATACTAGAAAGGGTGAATTCTAAGGATATAACAATTAAGCTCTGTGAAGAATATTCTAGGTAGAGAAGGAGGTATGCAAAGGCCCTGAGGCCCAAAGGCAATAAGGAATGCAGTCGCTGAGACCTCTTCTACCTGAGTGTGAATAAGGAGGCAGGTTCTGAAGGATTTTAATCAACGGGTATGATACAGTTTGTATATTTGTCTCTGTCTAAATCTTACGTTGAATAGTATTCCCCAGTGCTGCAGGTGGGGCCTGGGGGGAGGTGTTTGCATCATGGGAGCTGATCCTTCATGGCTTGGTGTTGTCTTCATAATAGTGAGTTTTCAAAAGCTATGGTTATTTAAAAGTGTGTGGCACCCCGCCACCACCAACTCTCTCTTGCTCCCACTTTTGTCATGTGATGTGCCTTCTCCCCCTTTGCTTTCCACCGTGATTGTAGAAGCTCCCTGAGGCCTCCCCAGAAGCTGAGCAACGTCAGTGCTATGCTTCCTGCAGAGCCTGCAGAACCATGAGCCAATTAAACCTCTTTTCCTTATGAATTACACAGTCTCAGATATTCCATTTTAACAATGCAAGCTAATAGAGGGGAGATGGGATACAATGTGTAGAGAAAGCAAGAATGGAAGTGGTTCAGTTTGTTTTAATAGTTCATCAAAGGAATGACGGAGAACTTAACTAAGGTAGTAGCAGTGAAGAAGGCCAGTTATGGAAAGATTTGTAAAATGAAAGGATTTGCTGTTGGAAAAAACAAAAAAACAAAAGAACAACAACTACCTGGAAGTGGGTTAAAAGTGGGAACAGAGGATTTTCCCTAAGTGTCTGATTTAAATAATGGGTGGATAGTACTGCTTTTTACCAAAGTGGAAAATGGCGTTGGGAAGAGACAAATCTGGGGTGGAGAAGCATGGATGCTGTGGTGGGCAGGTTGTCTTTGAGATGTCTTCCCGACATCTCAAAGTTCCCCAGGTAAGACTGGGGAACTGAATGTGTAAAAGTACATCTCAGAGAAAAGGGCCTAACTAATGATATGAAAGTCTCCAGTATGTTGATGGACAGCAGTGGAGAGTCAGCTGGGCATATTAAAATTTAAGCCTTCACTTTACAGAATGCCGACCTGGAACTGTGAGTGAATTCTTCTTTAAGGTATATATTTAACATTGGGACAAGGATATCATCTATTAGTTAATATTTTGCTACATTAAAAATATGTCAAGGTAGTGTTTCTTTTTTTCTTTTCGTTTTTTTTTTTTTTTTTTTTTTTGCAAAGTGAAAGCAAGTTTATTAAGAAAGTAAAGGAATAAAAGAATGGTTACTCCATAGTCAGAACAGCCCTGAGGGCTGCTGGTTGTCCATTTTTAAGGTAGTGTTTCTAGACTACACATATATCCTATTCTTTCTGTGCACACATCTTGTTATAGGTATCTCTCATTTTCAGTAAAGAAACTATATAGTTAGAAAAATCTAGAGAAGAAAGACCCCAAATTTTTAAACTGAACATAATCAGGATAAGGACATTACATATTTGTGACACCTAGCCTGGCCAGGGCTTTTGTGATTTGGCTCTATTTCTGTACCAAGGCATCTGAGACAGAGAGAGATGACAGACGTTTGCATCTGCCAGGTTGAAGCCAGGAACTTTGTGAGGAATAAGAAACTCAAAACCTCTTTGGAATCAGAGGAGGAGCAGAAGCTTGGAAGGCAGTGTACATACAAAACGTATTAATTAAGCACCTACTCTGAATGTCCTGCAGAGGATAGGAGGGCAGGGTGCAAACCACAGGGAGGTTTTTCCATCTGATTTTGGGCATAACCTCCTGATCTGGCCTGTGTGTATGCCCCAAATCACTTCAAAGTTTCTTGCAGCATCTGGGTGTGCTCCAGTATTCACTGGAGATCCTGCTTGACCACGTGAGAATGTACAAGTAGCCAAAGCTAGGATGGAGATTTGTTCCTCTCTGTATCTCCAGTCTTCCCACCACCCTGTATCTTTTGTCTGGACTCTTCTCCCATTTACCTTTATTTTCTATCCCATCTTTATAAAAACAGCTTCTCTCTTTCCTCCTCAATGCTTTATCTTGCTCTCTTCTTAAAGTGGCTGACAGCTATTTTTATTTGTATTTCTATGCCAAACATTGATGATGTATTTTCCACTTTTCTTCTTACCATTTCTCCTTCAGCCCTAGATCATTTTATGCCAGGGCTAGGTTGGTATCCGATCATGGATGGTATCTGGCTACCTTGATTTTTATACAAAAAACATAAATCTGGTTTCTGAAGATGAGTCACAGGGCTGTCCATCCTTTCTCAACATTGTCTGCTCACTGCAGTGGCAACTCAAGTAGCCCCATCTTTAGATAGGGAAAGGAATTGGGTCTCTCACTGGGTTCCCATTTCGAATCTCATTGTAGGACCTGGTCTGCTTTCTGCCTATATGTCTTAGCAGATGTAAAGGGGTACCCTTACCTAATTTTCCCTGCTAATTCACTCCTGAGTTCCTTTACCTGAAACATGTGTGATCCAAACAAACTTGGAGTTATCATAGCTAGAAATGATAACCTCTGGCATGCAAGAAGCTGAACTTGAGTGCCAGCACTTCATTGCTGATGCCAAACACCACATTGCCTGGCATCCTAATGTTGAAGTTTTGCTTCAGGGAATGAATAATCAACTCTCAGATCTCTTAACCATTTGTAAATCTCTGAGACATTATCCTCAGAGGAAAAAATTCCTTTTTTTTGATTTTTCATTTAAGGGAACTTGAGCCAATAATCCAAAGTGCTTTTATTCTCAGTTCTATTTGCTTGAATGATCCAAGTTGTGTCTTTTTCTTTGGTGTTTTGTTTATTTGTTTTCAAACCAGAAGAGCATGTTAAGTAAAGTTTGTGGAATGAAAAAAGTGCTCAGTGCTTGGTAATACAGTATTGGAATATTTGAATACAGCTAAATTTGCAGCAGTGAGGTGATGTGCTTTAGGGTTTTTGGCAAGGGATAAAGGTTAGGAGTTGTTGTCCCAGAAAATGTTTTTTCATGTAATTGGTCTTTGACTTAAATGAGGAGTGTCCTGGAATCATACTTGCATGACATTGTTGGGTCTCTGAACACCGTTTAGTTCCTTTGCATTGAATGATCAAGAGTGGGTTCCACTGAGAGCACATTCTTCACTGAAAACAGGAGCATCTGCTTTCAGTTAAGATGCTGGGACCAAGGTGGGACAAGTACCGTGGACACATAAGACCTGGGCTCTGCTCACAAAGAACATACAGTCTAGTTGAGAAGTTAAGATATTACACTGTGGCCATTAAAAATGCAAATCCTGACAGCGTGTGGTAGCTCATGCCTGTAATCCCAGCACTTTGGGAGGCAGAGGCAGTTGGGTCACCTGAGGTCAGGAGTTTGAGACCAGCCTGGCCAACATGGTACAACCCTGTCTCTACTAAAAATACAAAAATTAGCCGGGTGTGGTTGTGCACACCTGTAATCCCAGCTACTAGGGAGGCTGAGGCAGGAGAATTGCTCAAACCCGGGAGGTAGAGGTTGCAGTGAGCTGAGATTGTGCCACTACACTCCACCCTGGGTGACAGAGCAAGACTCTGTCTCAAAAAAAGAAAAAAAAAAAAAAAGCAAATCCTGTTTGCCCACCTTCAAATACAGACAGAATCAGGCCACTTTTTATTGTCTGTGGCTATTACTCTTGTCTTAGACACCATGATCGTTCATCTTGATTATTGCCATAACCTTCTGTCTTAGTTTGTTTATGCTGCTGTAACAAAATACCTGAGACTAGGTAATTTATAAAGAATAAAAATGTATTTCCTCACCATTCTGGAGGCTGGGAAGTCCAAGATCAAGGTGCTGGCAGATTTGGTATCTGCTGAGAGCCTATTCTTACAGCATCTTCTTTCTGTGTCTTCAGATAGTGGAAAAGTTGGGAAGGTAAAAGGGGCCTAATTCCCTGGAGCCCTTTTGTAAGAACACTAATTCTATTCATGAAAGCAGAGCCTGTATGACAATCACCTCCTAAAGCCTCCACCTATTAAAACTATCACACTGGGTCTTAGGTTCCAACATATAAATTTTGATGGGACAAATACATTCTACTTTAAGATCTCCTAATTGGTGTGCCTGGTACTTCCACTCTTGTCCCTTTTAGCCTTTTCTCAACATAGCAAGCAGGAAGATCTAGTTAAAAGTAAGTCAGGTCATGTTAGTCCTCTGCTGCCAAAAACCCCTAGGGGTTCCCTGATGCCTCAGAGTAGAGGCAATGTCCTTGCAATACGGATAAGATTCTACATATGGCTGAGCCACGCACACCCTCGTTGACTCTCTGCTGTCAATGTCTGCCACATGTCCTCTTGCACACTCTGCTCCTTCCACTGTCCTCTCCTTGCTCTTCCTGGAGTACACCAGAAACATGACCACCTCAAGGCCTCTGCATTTGCTGCTCCATCTGTGTGGAATGCTCTTTCCCTCAGCTGGCTTAATCTCATACATTTAGGTCTGTACTCACAGCGAGACCTTCCAAGGCCACATTGTCTTAAGTTAGACTCATACATGCACATGCACAAAAAAACACACTCTTGCTTACTTTAATTTTTTTCATACAGCTATCACCGTATGATGCCGTAATATTTTGATTAATGTCTCTCTCTTCCCCAGTAGGAGGTAAGCTCCATGAATGCATGCATTTTGTTTTGTGTGCCATATCTTTAACACCTAGAATGGTACCTGGCCCATAGTGGGTGGCTAATAAGTATTTATTGAATGATTATTTTTGTTATTTTAAGCATGTGATGGTTTTCTAGGGCTGCCATAACAAAGTACCACAAACTGGGTGGCTTAAAACAAAGAAATTTATCAGACAGCTCTGGAGGCTTGAAGTCCAAAATCAAGATATCTGTTGAGCTTCTCTCTCTCTAAAACCTGGAGGGGAGTGATATGGTTTGGCTGTGTCCCCACCCAAATCTCATCTTCAATTGTAATTCCCACAATTCCCACGTTGTCATGGGAGGAACCTGGTGGAAGATAATTGAATTATGGGGGTGAGTCTTTCTCAAGAAATGCTGTTCTCTTGATAAGTTTCACGAGATCTGACGGTTCTAAAAAAACAGGAGTTTTCCTGCACAAGCTCTCTTCTTTTGTCTGCTGCCATGTGAGACGTGCCTTTCACCTTCTGCCATGATTGTGTGGCCTTCCCAGCCACATGAAACTGTAAGTCCATTAAACTTATTTTGTGAATTGCCCAGTCTCTGGTATGTCTTTATCAGCAGCGTGAGAATGGACTTATAACACAGGGAGAATTGTTACTTGCCTCATCCAGCTTCTAGTAGCTCTGGAGATTCCTGGCTTGCAGCTGCAACTCTTCAAGCTCGGCCTCCATGATTGCGTGGCATTCTGTCATTTGTATGTGACTTCATATTGTATGAAGAAATGAAGATACCTCCATGTGTCCATGTCTTGTTATATGGACATAAGTCATATTGGATTAAGAGCTCACCTTCCTCCAGTAAAACTTCATCTTAACTAATTCAATTTGTTACAACCCTATTTCCAAATAAGGTCACATTCTGAGATCCTGCGAGTTAGGACTTCAACATAACTTTATGGGGGATACAATTCAATCCATAACAGGTGGTCAGGGCCTGAATTAAGTAGAGATTATGGCATTAAGGATGTTGAAAGCTAATAGCTGGCATGAGAATCTGAATGAAGAATGAATGGCATCCCTACAATGGGGGTTTGGGACATAATCCCAAAAGACACCATCCTGAATACCGTAAACCCTATTGTGAAGATCCTGAAAGATTGAAATCCTGAAAGTGTAAAATCCCCAAAATTACAATCTCAAAGAATCAAAATTCCAAAAATATAATTATTTTTAAAAGGAGAGTTGAGAAACATATAAAAATGTGATAGAATACAGGCAGTAATGACATACATATTTTTGCAAGCATAAAACAGATATATTAACAGCAGTAATACAGGTATAACATTTTTTGAGCAGACGAACCATATTAAAAAATAAATAGCTTATATAAATGCACTCATCTGAAATGCCATTATGAACAATCCAAGTCTTTTAATCAAAAACCTTGATGGATCACCACTGCATCATCACAGCATATGCAGTCACCCGGAGATCCCAGAGCTTATGTTATCTTTCACAGAAGCAGATATACAGAGGGGTTATCTTTTCATCTGCTGAAAAAGTTTCAATGTTTTTATGTGCATGTACAATGCTTACATACAAAGTCAACATTGTGATAATGCACTTTCCTGTAGTCAAATTTGCAAAATATGTGTAAAATGAATTAGAACTCTTTAAAAGCCTTTATACAATTTATATCTCCAGTATTGGAAAAGATTAAATACATAGGATAGCAAATTGCAGAAAATGATGCTGACAATTTAAAATAGTGAAAAAAAAAAAAAAACCTAAAACGACAGCAACAATACCCAAAGAAACTGAAAAACCTGATACATGAAAAAATGTGTTATAGGGATAGATTATGGGCAATTGCACAGAAGTAGCCCTAAAAACCTGGCTGACTTTCACTGTCATTAACTATATTTTGAAGTGTTGCATTAAAATATTATCAATCTGTTACTGGAAGGCAGGAAAGGCAATCTGTGATACATGTTTTTCTTAGTAAGAGCTCCAATTTATATTTTCTTTTCTCAAAATTTAGAAGAAAATTTCTATGGAGCCTAGAGATCATGTACTGCTAGCTACTGGCAATAAAATTTAAAAAAAAAAGAAAAGAAAAGGAAGCAAAGAAAGGAAAAAAGGAAGGAAGGAGGACAGAGAGGAAGTCTAATATTGAGGGTGGCATTGCTGTCTGGAAACATGGGACACGTGGAAGGACAGGTATTCCCTTTATGTGTCAACTTGTCTCCTCTTCTCCTCTAAAACTTGACCAGACTAATAGCCCACCAACAGAGCTGTGGTCCAGCATCTACTCAGACCAAAAAGCTACAGCATCTATAAGTTGTCTAAATTATCTGGTCTAGAATTTCAGGTCTCCCACATCTGTCACCTTCCCTTACATACCTTGTGACCCAGCTACCTTGTAGGACTTGCTCCTCCCTGTAGGTACCCTTGTGGATTCCCAACACATATGTCCTTTTTATTAGTCTGTTCTCATGCTGCTTATAAAGACACACCTGAGACCGGGCAATTTATGAAGAAAAAGAGGTTTAAGGGATGTACAGTTCCACGTGGCTGGGGAGGTCTCACAATCATGGCAGAAGGTGAAAGGTCCATCTTACATGGCAGCAGGCAAGAGAGAATGAGAATCAAGTAAAAGGGAAACTCTTTATGCGACCATCAGATCTGGTGCACCTTATTCACTACCACAAGAACAGTATGGGGAAACCACTCCCATGATTCAGCTATCTCCCACTGGGTCCCTCCCACAACATGTGGGAATTATGGGAGCTACAATTCAAGATGAGATTTGGGTGGGGACACAGCCAAACCATATCATCCCTTCTTATGCTTCTCCTTTGACCCCCTCTCAAATGTAGCTATTACCTTTGTTGCTGTCTTCCTTCCAAATCTAACTTCCCTATCATCAAAACACATACAACAACTTTACCCTTACCTTTTTGTTGGCATTCATGATACCCTGTCTTATAGGTTTATATTGGTGAAGGTCTTGTCTGCTATAAATTAGAGAGATAAACATGTCAGTAGCATGATTTTTTGTTAGTAAAACTTTTAGATGATTGTAGATTTAAATCTTAATAAAATCTTTGGATTTCTGAGTCAAAGAATGTGTAATTTCAAATACAAGAAATTAACATTTCTTAATTGTCTTCTGAGACAGCAGTGCACAATAATGAAAACAGGTTAAGATTCAGAGGGTAGGGTTGGAGAAAGAAGAATTAGGAAATGTGGAGAAAGTTTGGTGGATGATAAAAAGTCTCTATTATGTTACACTTAGCTGTACTTGATTTTGTTCTTTAAATACCTACACTGTCCTTGGGAAACAAATTATTTAACATATTGTGATAGGCTGAATAATGTGCTGCCCAAAGTAACTCTGTCCTAATTCCTAGAATCTGTGACTATGTTGTTACATGGCAAAAGGGGCTTTGCAGATTTGATTATGTTATGGACCTTGAGATGGGGAGAATATTCTGGATTGTTTGGGTGGACCCAATGTGATATGGTTTGGAAGTGTGTCCTGGCCTAAATCTCCTGTTGAATTGTAATCCCCAGTGTTAGAGGAGGGGTTTGGTGGGAGTTGAGTGGATCATGGGGGCAAATTTTCTTCTTGCTGTTCTCCTAATAGTGAGCGAGCTCTCATGAAACCTGGTTGTTTAAAACTGTGTGGCACCTTCCCCTTCTCTCTCTTCCTCCTTCTCTGGCCATGTAAGATGTGCCTGCTTCCCCTTTGCCTTCTTCCATGACTGTGAGATTCCTGAGGCCTCCACAGGCATGCTTCCAGTACAGCCTGTAGCACTGTGATCCAATGAAACCTCTTTTCTTTATAAATTACCCAGTCTCAGGTAGTTCTTTATAGCACTATGAGAACAGACTACACAAGGTAATGTGGAGTGTACAATGTGGAATACACAATGTACAATATGGAATACACAAGGTAATCACAAGGGTCCTTGTAAGAGAGAGGCAGGGCTAGGAGCAGTGGCTCACGCCTATAATCCCAGCCCTTTAGGAGGCCGAGGCGGGTGGATCACGAGGTCAGGAGACCATACTAGCTAACATGGTGAAACCCCATCTCTACTAAAAAGTACAAAAAATTAGCTGGGAATGGTGGCGGGCGCCTGTAGTCCCAGCTACTCGGGAGGCTGAGGCAGGAGAATGGCATGAACCTGGGAGGCAGAGCTTGCAGTGAGCCGAGACCGTGCCACTGCACTCCAGCCTGGGCAACAGAGCGAGAGTCCGTCTCAAAAAAAAAAAAAAAAAAAAAGAGGCAGGAGTGTCGGAATCATAGAAGACATCCTGATGACAGAAGTAGAGAGATTGGAGGTGCTGGCTTTGAAGATGGAACAGGGGCCACAAACCAAAGAATGCAAGTGGCCTCTAGAAGCTGGAAAATGCAGCACACAGATTCTCCCCTGAGCCTCTAGAAGGAACGCAGTCCTGCCAACACCTTGATTTTAGGATGTCTGACCTCCAGAACTGTCAGAAAATAAATCTGTGTTGTTTTAAGTTATGTAATTTGTGGCAATGTATTACAGTGTCAATAGGAAACTATATATATTTTACAGGAAGAGGAATTAAGGCTGTGACAATTAAAAGTAGAGACCAGGACAGGCATGGTGGCTCATGCCTGTAATCCCAGCACTTTGGGAGGCCGAGGCAGGCGGATCACAAGGTCAGGAGATCAAGACCATTCTGGCCAACATGGTGAAACCCCGTCTCTACCAAAAATACAAAAATTAGCTGGGCGTGATGGCACGTGCCTGTAATTCCAGCTACTCGGGAGGCTGAGGCAGAAGAATCGCTTGAACCTGGGAGTCGGAGTTTGCAGTGGGCCGAGATTGCGCCACTGCACTCGAGCCTGGTGACAGAGCGAGACTCCGTCTCAAAAAAAAAAAAAAAAAAAAAAAGTAGAGACCAAGGGTTGGCACCCCTTTCTGTCTAGGACCAGATAGTGAATATGTTACACTTTGTGGGCCACGTGGTCTCTGTCACCATTACTCAACTCTGCTGTAGACAATACCTAAATAAATAGGTTTGGCTGTGTTTCAGTAAAATATTATTTGCAAAAATAGGCAGTAGACTGGATTCATCCTTCAGGCTATAGTTTGCTAACACATGGTATAAACCAGTGCCTCATCATCATTTATTGTCTTAATTTGTGCTTCATAATAGCCTGGAATCTGATTCCTATCTAAGCATGCTACTTGCCCACCGAACTAGAAACAGAACATCAGCAATAGCCTATAGTTGGTTCTCTAGCCAGAAACCTTAAGGTTTTTACCTGTAAACATCAAGCCCATTATTAACACTACAGATATGTTTAATGCCTCAGTATTTGCACGTTTGCAAAAGCTGTGTCCTAGAGGTGTAAATGGTAGTGCTAAATTACATTGGCTTGATTTGGTCCAGAGAAAACCCTACTGTATTTTCATAAAGCTGTGTCAGTGTTTTTAATGCTAAGAGTATGTACTTCTCATAAAAGTATATTTCATCAAACAATGTCTACAGAGGATTAAACTGGACTATAAAACGATGTTTTTGTGTACAGCTTTCAGGATTGCTAACGCTCTATTGTTTATCCTTACTCCCTGGGGCATCTCTCTTGAGATGAAGATTTGCTTAGCAGATGACATGCTGTACAGACAATGTGATTTTTAGCCAAAGAAATCGCTGTATGTATGCAGGGATTCTTCCTCGGGTCTCTATCAATACTTGCCTTTGCTTTGTGTATCTGACCCGTAACATTTGTATGAATGTGGCAAGTTTAACTTGCCTGCTTATACCTGGCTTGCCAAACACAATTCTGCCCTCATCATTTTTTATAACAAGATTAAGTAACATTGCTGCCCCCTCTGTGTCTCTGCTGACTTTCTCCTTGGTCCTCCTGGCCTATTAAGTTGCCCTTGAGCCTTCAAGACCAGACTCAATTCTGCCTCCTCTGTGGTCAAGCCTTTCTCACCATTCTTCCTCTGCAACTTCTCCTAACATCTTTCGGGTCTGTATATGGGCTAGTTAATTAAAGTCACACCAAGTTCTAGCATTGACATGATTTTTGCATGCATCATGTTAAATTACAGATCCTTATATTCAGAAGCTGCATTATAATTTGGCTGCAATTCATAATATTTAAGCACAATATTCAGTAAATATTTGCTGGCTTATTGATTGTTGATTTCATTATTTGCGTCCTTTTTGGATTTTAAGTTTGGGTATGTGACATTAAGAAATATCTTAGTGGAATATAGAATGGAATCATTATTTTTATTTTACACTCTCTAAGGTAAAGCAACTGTTCACTCCCTCAATATTTTAGAGAAAGCGGTCTAGTCTTATTTCCAAATTTGCTTAGTGGTTATAATTTATGTTTAAAAATCCTACTTGATGACATTTAATTAAGATCTTAGAAGCAAAGAATAATTAGGATGTATTCCTGCATATTTTTAGCTTTGGTATGACTTTACCTAAACCATTCCATATGATTAAAGATCTTATTATCTTCAAAGACTTACAGATAAAGCAAGTCCAGAGTCTCCTGACAGGGTTTGAGTCTATTTAAAAGTATTTGCCGGGGAAGGTCATATGCATTTGCCAGGCCTCAGTGAGTCATAGCACTTGATCCAGAGAGGTGCGTTTGGAAATGTTTTTCTGGGTCCCTGAGTCCCCTGCTGCTCCTATGGCGATGTCTCCTAGGTGTGATACCCACATTGTCAGTCTGGTTTGGCAGTGCATACTTCCAGCAACCATGCAGGTATAAAATGGAGAACTGCTCTGAGACTCCACCCAAAACAATTCGAAAGATGTTCAGTTAAAATAAATAAGTGTCAGCCACTTAAACCACTCCTGTTTGAAATTGTCTGTCTGCACCCACTCCACTGGAAGTTATCAGAATTTTTAGTGAAGCAGATATTCTGATGCCCATAGGTATTGAAGACCAGGGATCGGGACATTTGAATAATAAGAAACTGCACAAAAAGTTCTTGATTGCCCCCTTGCATATTATAATGTTTGGATGAGTGAGAAAAACTGAGCAAAAAGTTGAGAGCAAATGATTATATAAAAATAGACACAAAACATTGCTGTGTTGTATATCGGCCAAAGATACATAATCTGAATCTAAGTGTGAGAATCAAACACACAACTTCAGATGGGGGAACTTTATACAAAATAATTGCCCTGAGCTCTTAAAAAATGCCAATGTCATGAAAGATAGAAGAGCCCGGGGAAATGGTCTAGAATAAAGGATCTTTGATCAGATTCTGGATATAAATATAAAATAAAATAAAGCAAAAATTCCCAGCTTTATAGATAATTTTTCAGTCAGTAGGTAATATTTAAACATGGACTCTATCTATGTTAATGTTGAATTATTATATGTTAGTGTTTAATTATTAACTTTTCTGCATGTAATAATTGATGGGATGTGGGATAATATCCTTCATAGAAGGTACATGCTGAAGTATTACAGGGACGCAGAGTCAGTCACAAGATCTACAAATGGCTCTCAAGTAATTCAGAATAGGAAAATGTATATATGTTCCATGTACTTACTTGCGCACACACAGCCGTGTATATATGTAAATGAGGAGAGGGAGAGAGAGAATGTGGTAAAATGTTAAACAATTGGTAAATCTTGATATATAGATGTTTATTGTACTCTTGCGCTTTTTTTGTAGGTTTGACGTTTTTCAAAATAAAAAGTTGAGGAGAAAACGGCAAATTCCAAAGGGTATTTCCCTTCATCTTTCTTTAGATATTAGTCAAAATTCAGCTAAACAGAAGTGGAGAATCCCCAAGCTACTGAAATAAATAAGCTGCTCTAATCTTTTATAAGATTTGGGTATCTTAGTACTTATAGGCAAGGGCAGCTGAAGACTCACTAAATAAATATGTCTTCATCAATATTTGACCCTTTAAGGGGTACCTCTGCCTGTTAAATAAGCAAGGAAATAAAATAGCGTAACTAGGCATGCAGGCATCGTGATAATCACAAGTTTTTCATTTGGAAATGTTTCCCAACTTGGGAGTTATTGCTTTCAGCTGTAATAATAACAGGCTTTTCCGCTAAGGAAAAAATACGTGGTGTTTAAAATAAATATCATCAGTACAATTCTGCAGTGTTGAAAAAACATAAATGACCTTTTTTCTTTTCTTTAAACATTAAAATCTCCTGGAGCTTCCAGGGGACAGAATTTGTGTTCACGGAGAATGAATTTCAACTAAGAGGTGACTGGTTACAAAAGACCTTCACCGTCATTTTAAGTGGTGCCAAAACCCCTTTTATTTGTGGCCTTTGCCCAAAGATAAGCCCAGACTTTTCTCCAAGTATGTTGGCTACACTTTCTCATTGCAATCTGGGATCTGCCTGTTAAACACAATTGAGAGTGGAATTATAAGCTCAGGGGATGTCACTATTTGCATCCTAGGAACTGACTCAAACCAGTGTACTACCAAACTCACAGTACAGCTACAGTTATCGGAAGGCCAGTTTTAAAAGAATTCACACATTTCTCCAGGGGATAGCAAAAGGTTTGAAGGCAGCTTTCTGGTGGGATTTTACACCCTCGTTTTTTTTCCTTATGAAAAAAATAATAGCAAGTTCAGGCTTTGTTCCTGAGACCTCTGTCTTAACATGACAAATCCTTTGCCCAGAAGATTAAGTAATTATTCTCTTGTCGTTCTGTATCCTAATTCCATTTTTTCCTTTTTCTTTCACTGACAAAATATCAAGAACTGTAGTGAATATCATTTAATGAGCATCTCTGATGTTTCTGATATCATGCTAAGTGACCTATTTATAATATTATTTGATACAAACAAGATATCCTATAAGACAGTTATTGTCTTATTTTACAAAGAAGGGAAATTTTACAGCTAAATTAGCAAGTGATCGCCAGTCTGGGAATAAAGTCTTGCTCCTGACACTACAATATATGAAGGACAATTAGTTTTCTTTATTCCATCATCCATTTAAGAATTGTGACAGATAGCATACAGAAAACAATCAAATAGATTGAAACAAATTCCTGTGAGGGTGGCAATTTTATTACTTTTCTCGAACAGCTGGTTAGTTCTTTTGTGAGTGTGTTTATCTTTCTAAAATCTTTACAAGGACGGCACTTATTTGTCAATTAAAATCTGTATGGCTGACTAAAGGAAACATCAGACATTCTGTAGGAATCATTAAGGTCAAGGTAGCTTGCCATGATTTAGGCCTCAGATCAATAAAACATTCAGCTAAGTTCTCAAAGAGCGACCTTGGAAAGGAGAGAGAACAACCATGAAAGACATTTGGAAGTAATAAGGCCAATCAGCTGATAGCCATTCACTGACTTGTAGAGACTTGCCAGGAGAGAAGTCTGCGTATTCCCTATCAGTAGCTACTGCATCCTGTCTGTTCAACAAGATCACCAGTTCTGTGCCAGCCATTGGGCTGTGAGCCGAAGTCATTCAAAGGAATGGCCACAATTGCCTGCATGTCTAAATTTGCAATCTTGGTTGAATTGCTGTGCGTAAAATAGGATGTTAGCAATAAACCATAATACCAACAAACAGTAAACCAGTCATTCATTAGCAATCATGACTATTAGCATTATCTTCTGAGTATAGTTGTAATGAGCCCACATTATGGATGCCCCTGGGACATTTTCCTTGCAGTCTTCTTTTGGGTTTTTCTCTGAAAACATTATTCAAGGATCAGGTGGAAGAGGATAGTGGAAAGGACTGAGGGTAAATTATACAACCAATTAGAAACTTCCACACTGTCAACTTTCAGCTTTCATTATATTTATCTTGGATGACTGAGTAAATTACTTGGCTTTTCTCCATTCTTAAAATGTCATATAAAACCATATTGTGCCTGATTACCTGATTCACTTTATTATAAGCCCTTGGAAGCATGCATACTGGTTGTAAATATCATTGAATAACTTACTAAAACTTTATGTGTTTAAATTGTATCTAATTTTGCATTTATACCTAGCTAATTTTATTTCTGTCCCCATTTATTAACTTGAGCAATACTCACCATCTGAAATATGTTGGCCAATAATTATTTCTTCTAATATGGCCCACATATTAGAAGAAATATGTAACAGCTTTGTAACAATGACATCATCAGCTACCATATGTATTAGACTGTTTCCTTTCAAACTGGTTTACTGAAAAGAGTATAATATGATGATAAATATTATCATTATTAGAGTATAATATTATTATTATATTGTATAAGAACATAGCATATTATATAACTGGGTGTTTTGGTAGTGCAAATTATTTGTTAAATAAAGGTAACAATGGGTTAAGATAGAAATATGTTTGAAAGTGATAATTTTTAAATATAGTAATTTTTCTTCTATTAGTTTATATTCATAGTACAACTTACTCTGCACAATAGTGATGTTTGACTTTAATTCTGGAATATTTTACTCTTTAAAAAGATCACATCTTAAATTTCAATTATGCAATTTTGCTCTTAGGATATGTACAAAAGTTGTAAATGCTTGATAGAGAATATACATATAAGGTATAATGCTCATTCATATACATCTTTGAAGCTCAATATTTTATTTCATTATAGGGACTAGGCAAATTTTCATTTTATTTCTGGCTTATAGACCATTTCTTGGATTTTCGAAGATTTTTTTTTAGTGTAAAACCTATGCTATCAAGCAAAATAATCCCTTTCTAAATTCCTTTAGGCCTTTGATTTACAGAGATCTGTGAGTATTACATCCATGAAGGACTTGGTCTCAAGGTTGCAGAGTTATGAGATCTAAAGGTAACATCACCCATAATATGTGGGAAGTGCCCTGCCAAAAATCATAGCAAACAAGGTTTCAAACACTAAGGAAAAGTTTAGTCTTTGTGGGGCCTATCTTCTCATTTGTATTTCAAATGAAGTTATTCATATTCTTTCTTTCTCCCTCCCTCCCTTCCCCTTTCTCCTCTCTCTGCATCATCCTCGAGTCTCTATTAGTTTATCCCCAAGATGATAAAAATAGAAATATTCCTTAACTTACAAGAGAGGTGATCTTTTTTGACTTTTGAAATTATGCCCTTCCTACTATGCCATTTCTGAGCTCTCCTTTATAGTTTAACTTCTCAAAACATTTTCTTTTCATATTGCCTCTATTTCCTCATTTTTAGTGTCTGGTTTTTTAGTTGTTAGTCTTGCTATGATATTTTCCCAGGCATATTTCTCAGCCCAGATAAGAATCCTTTTATTTATTTATTTATTTATTTATTTTTGAGATGGAGTCTCGCTCTGTCGCCCAGGCTAGAGTGCAGTGGCACGATCTCAGCTCACTGCAACCTCTGCCTCCCAGGTTCAAGCAATTCTCCTGCCTCAGCCTCCTGAGTAGCTGGGACTACAGGCACCCACCACCACAGTCGGCTAATTTTTCTATTTGTAGTAGAGACGGGGTTTCATCATATTGGCCAGGCTGGTCTCGAACTCCTGACCTTATGATCTGCCCGCCTTGGCCTCCTAAAGTGCTGAGATTACAGGCGTGAGCCATCACGCCCGGCCAAGAATACTTTTAAGTAGGATTGCATTATGTACTAATTTTTTTAACTAGCCAGTCACTCAAAAATATACTGTAAACTTATTGATACCAGTTTTTTACTATTATAAAAATAGCAAGTATTGTCTAAGAATTCATAACCACCCGGAATGCCAGGTTTGAATTTAGAATTCTAGGATTCTTGGAATCACTCATTCCTATCCGGCCACCTATATTGTCCTATACTGACAGGAAATTTGCACGTATATACCTGGACATAACAGCCTGCACGTCCAGGCTCCACCCTCCAGCTACTACAAGTTGTTAACCTCGGCTATTCAACAAGCTTTGAGGTACACACAGTAATTGCATAATTTGGCTGTTTTGGCAGGGCATTCCAGGGTTCCTGAGATCTAAGTGTGGGTTGGAATGAAGTGCAGTGGAACACATCCTCTTGGCCGGCTCATTTCCTGCTCATATGCACTAGGAGAAATTCATAGAAATGTTCATACCAGCATTTGTAAGCAGAAGACAGGCTGAGTGCCTTTGCTCATGTCTGTAATCCCAGCACTTCGGGAGGCCGAGGTGGGTGGATCACCTGAGGTCAGGAGTTCGAGACCAGCCTGGCCAACGTGGTGAAACCCCGTCTCTACTAAAAATACAAAAATTAGCCCAGCGTGGTGGTGCATGCCTGTAGTCCCAGCTACTCGGAAGGCTGAGGCAGGAGAATCACTTGAACCCGGGAAGCGAAGGTTGCAGTGAGCCGAGATCGCGCCACTACACTCCAGCCTGCTGACAGAGCAAGACTCCGTCTCAAAAAAAACAAAAAAAAAAAGAGAGAAGAGAAAACAACCTGGAAAAAAATCACAGTTAGTTCTTGACAAGGGAATGGATAATTCATGTTACACAATCACATACTATAAAGTAATGATAAGATGTATGCACACATTATAAATATTTTATAAAATATTATGGTAAATTGTATGTAACTGATTATCACAGAATGCTTTTACTGATTTTTGCTGAGTCTTGTATGAGTAGCCAAGCTGTGGAATTATGATTCAGTGTAGGGTGAATATTAGATAATATTTTTGTTTATGTTAACAATTAATACAAAAGTGAAACAACAGAGACATATTGGAAATTCACTATTTGTCAGAGACGTTAGTAATTACTGTACTTTGTTCAATGAGATAATAACTTTTGAATACTAGAAGAGTACTTTTTCATTCTTTTGAAGCTATAGACATGATATAATGGCTATAGACGTGACACACTTTTAAGTTTAATCTACATTATTAACATGTTTTCCACGACTATATTAAGTCTAGGTAATCCACAAAACAATAGATCAAGTCCTGACTTCCAGCGTTGCAGATTTCCATGGTATAAATACTCCTACAGTTGCTAATTTCAAACTACTGACATGGCACTGCTGACATAGAGTTGAGAAAAGATAGGCAGTAATACGCATGACATAGTGTTTCCAGCATACAGTCGAAGGACACAGCCTCAAGAACATGGATTTTAGTAAAATGTAGTAACATAATTGGAGAATGATGAGTTTTGTGTCTTTCTTTTGTTATTAATATAATTTGCTTAATTATAAGTGTACATAATTTACTTTTTTATAATGGTTGTGTTTAACAACTGACTTGGAAAATTTTGGAGAATTTAACAGCCCCCTATTATAAGCTGGTTCAAAACAGCTTTAGCACAATATTGTCCAATGACTGAATAGTCTATGTTGGGTAGTTTCTGTTTTTTGTTTCTTTCTATTTTGTTTTTCTATTTGTTGATTTCTGATGCAAGATAACACTATATTACTTGATACAGCTTTAAACTTCAGCTTCATATTTGGAAGGGCAATCCCCTCAGTTTTCTTCTTCAGGAATGTGTTGCCTGGTCTCATTGAGGAATATCTTGGTACTTCCCTCTTCTGTATAAATTTTAAAATTATTTTGTAAATTTCACCCAAATACCTCTTGAAAGTTTGAATGAAACTTCATTGACTTTTAGGTCAGTTTGGTGAGAAGAGACACCTTTATGATATTGATTTTGCTATGTATTAATATTGTGTAACTCTCCATTTTTAGTTTCTTTCATGCTCACAAAGGTGTAATCTTATAGTGCTTAAAACTTCCTTTTTAAAAAAATGTTTATTTCAAAATACTTTATATTTTTGGTTGCTGGTACAAACAGTCTTTAATATTTCTTTTTACTAAGTTAACTATTATTGAGGTGTAATGTACAGACAATGGAATGCACCAATTTTGTATGTATAGCATGATAAATTTTGACATATGTTTACACCCTGTAACCACCGCCACCACAATAAGGATTCAAAATATTCCTATCACTCTAGTAAGTTCCTTATTGCTCTATTTTGGTCAAACCCTCCCTGCCAAGCTCCAGGAAACCATGAATTCACTTTTTTTCACAATAGATTAGTTTTAACTGTCCCAGAATTTCATAAATATGGAATCATACATGTGTGCTCTTTTGGGGTCTGAAATTTTTGCTGAGCATAATGCTGTTTTCAACTATCACATTTATGAATTTTCTGGTGATTTATAACATTTTAAAGTATGCTAACATTTAAACAAATTAATGAATATTGGATGTTTTTAGATGCTATTTACCGTAACTTTAGCTTATCAGTTGTTCCCTTTAATATTCTCTTTGCAAATATATTTATAAATGAGCTTGGATTCGTAGAGCAGTGGTTAGAAAACTTTGTTAGAGTCAAATGATAACTATTTTCAGCTTTTGGGTCATACAGGCTCTGTAGCGATTACTGTGTTGAGTATTGTGACAGCAGCCATTTAGTATATATAAACAAAGAGGCATGGCTGTGTTCCAATAAAACATTATTTAAAAATACAGGCAGGCAGCCCTCAGACTGTATTTTCTTGATCCCTGTCAGTAAAACCATTCATATACTTGTGACATTAGGACTATTTACACTTTCTGTGTCCTCTTGGGTAAGATTTATTAATTGACATTTTCTAGTATTTTTTCCATTTTATCTCTGTTTTAATCTTTATTATTTTCTTCTTTCTGTTAGCTTTGCATTTAGTTTATACTTCTTTCCCTAGCTCTTTAAGTTGTAAAGTCAGGTTGTTGATTTGAGATCTTTCTTATTTTTTAATATAAGCATTTATAGCTGGAGATTTCCACTTTACCACTGCTTTCACCATATCCCATACATTTTGGTATGTTGATTTTTTTCATTTTTATTCATCTCTAAGCATTTTCTAATTTCCTTTGTGATTTCTTTTGTGATCCACTGGGTTATTTAAGAGTGTTGCTTAATTTTCACAACTTTGTTCACTTTTCATTTATAGAATTTTTCTGTTATTGATTTCTAAGTTCATCCCATTGTGGTCAGAAGACATACTTTGTATGATATCTGTCATTTTAAATCTAATGAGATTTAGTTTGTGGTCTATCATATGGTCTGTCCTGCAAAATGTCCCATGTGTACCTGAGAAGAATGTGTATGCTGTTAATGTTGGGAAGATTGTTTTGTTGTTGTTGTTGTTGCTGTTGAGAGGGAGTCTCAGTCACCAAGGCTGGAGTGCAGTGGAACTTACCTAGGCTCACTGCAACCTCCATCTCCCATGTTCAAGCAATTCTCTGCCTCAGCCTTCCAAGTAGCTGGGATTACAGGTGCTCACCACCACAGCCGGCTAATTTTTTTGTATTTTTAGTAGAGACAGGGTTTCACCATGTTGGCCAGGCTGTAGATTGTTATTTCTGTGTTTATTAAATCTACTTGGTTTATTGTGTTGTTTAAGTTCTCTATTTACTGACTTATCCTGTCTGGTTGTTTTATCCATTATTGAGAGTAGGGTATTCAAGTCTGCAACTATTATTGTAGAACTGTGTATTTCTGTCTTCAATTCTGACAGTTTTTGCCTCATATATTTTGATGGTCTGATATTAGATGTATGAAAGTTTATAATTATTATGTCTTCTTGTCTTGCTAAATTTTTCATATGTAATGTCCTTTGTCTCTGATAACCTTTGACTTAAAGTATATTTTGTTTTATATTAATATAGCCACTCCCACTCTTTTTTGGTTACTATTTGCATAGAATATCTTTTCATAGCTTTCTCACTTTCAATCTGTTTATATTTTTGGATCTAAAATAAGTTTCTTGCTGGCCATGGTGGCACATGGCTATTGTCCCAGCTACTCAAGAGGCTGAGGTAGGAGGATTGCCTGGAGCAAGGAGTTCCAGATTGTATTGTGCTATGATAGTACCTGTGAGTAGCCACTACACCTCATCCTGGGCAACATAGTGAGACATCGCCCCTTAAAAAAATAAAATAAACACTTTGGGAGGCTGCGGCAGGCAGATCACGAGATCAGGAGTTCGAGACCAGCCTGGCCAATATGGTGAAACCCCGTCTCTACTAAAAATACAAAAATTAGCTGGGCGTGGTGGTGTGCCTGTAGTCCCAGCTATTTGGGAGGCTAAGGTGGAAGAATCACTTGAACCCAGGAGGCAGGGGTTGCAGTGAGCCAAGATTGCACCACTACACTCCAGCCTGGGTGACAGAGCAAGACTCCATCTCAAAATAAATAAATAAATAAATAAATAAATAAATAAATAAAATGAGCCTTTTGTGGATAGCATGTAGTTGGATCTTGTCTTTTAGTCCATTCTTATAATCTGTTTTTTGATTGGAGAGTTTAATCTATTTACATTTAAGTGATTATTGATTGGGAGGAACTTGTGTTATTTTGCTATTTGTTTTCTACATGCCATATAGCTTTTTTTTTGTACTCCATTTATTGCATTACTGCCTTCTTTTGTGTTTAGTTGATTTTTTGTGGTGTAATGTTTACTTTCTGTCATATCCTTTTGTTGTGTATTCAATAGGTATTTTATTTGTTATTACCATAAGGATTACATTTAACATCCTGAAGTTATGCCATTCTAATTTGAATTTATACCAGCTTGGCTTCAATAACATACGAAAACTCTGCTCCTTTATAGCTCCATCTTCACCCCTCTTGGTTGTTGATGTCACAAAATTACCTCTTTATACATTTGTTTCCTAAAGAATAAGGTAATATTTTAAATGTGTGTCTTAAATTAAGAAAAAAAAATGGAGTTATATCTCATTGTTACTGTAATACTAGCTTTAAAAATTGCCTATATATTTATATTCATTGAGATCTGTATGTCTTCATGTTGCTTTGGATTACTGTTTAGTGTTCTTTTATTTCACCCTTCAGGGCCTCCTTGAGCATTTCTTGTGGAACTGTTCTGTTGGTAATACATTTTCTCAGCTTTGCTTTTTGGGGGAATGTCTTCATTTCTTCCTCACTTTTGAAGGGCAGTTTTGCCAGATATTGGATTCTTGGGTTGGCAAGGTTTTTTTGTTTTGTTTTTTAGTTTTTTAGAGCTTTGAATATATTGGCCAATGGCTGTCCTCTAAAGTTTCTGATGAGAAATCTGCTGATCATCTTTAGGGAATCCCATGTATGTGACAGATTTCTTCTCTCTTGCTACTTTCAAGATTTTTCTCTTTGTCTTTGTCTTTCTAAAGTTTGATAATAATGAATCTTGGTATGGGTCACTTTGAGGTTACATTATTTGGAGTTCTTTGAGGTTCTTAGATATTTATATTCATGTCTTTCATCAAATTTGGGAAGTTTCCAGCCATTACTTCTGTAAATATTCTCGCTGATTCTTTCTCTTTGTCATCTTCTAGGACTGCTACAATGCACGTATTGGTTTGCTTGATGTTGACTCATGAGTCCTTTGGGATCTGGTTACTTCCATCGTTTTTTGTTGCTGTTATGGTTGTTCCTCAGGTTCAGTAATTTCCATTGCTCTCTCTTCAAGTTTGCTCATTCTTTCTTCTGCCTGTTCAAATCTGGCCTTGAATTCATTTAGTGAATCTTTCATTTCACTTATTGTACTTTTCAGCTCCCATATTTCTTTTCACATTTTCTATATCTTTGTTGACATTTTCATTTTGTTCATATATCACTCTTTGGAATTTCTCCCTATATTTCTCTATTGCTGTCAGCACTTTAAGATAACTGTTTTAAAGTCTTTGCCTAGTATATCTGCCATGATGTCTTTTTCAGGGACAACTTCTGTTGGTTTGTTTTTTTCCTCTGAATGGGCCATACTTTCCTGTTTATTTGTGTGCCTTATTATTTTTTATTAAAATTGTACATCTGAATCTAATAATACCTTTGCCTCTATTTTTGCAGATAAATAAATTAAGACTTGGATAAATTGAGAGGCATAGGGATAATAGGGGACTGGGATTTGAATGTCCAATATTTTGATTCCAGAGTTTCACCCTAACTTCCGAATTCTTTGCAACTTTTTCTCTAAGTCTGTTCTCACAAAGCAAACTTTTAATGTGCAATTTAGTAACTTAATAAGATATGGCTATTGGAAAGAAATAGTCTGTGGAGAAAGCCTGAGTCAATTATGTTCTACAATTTTAAAAAACTGGGATTCTGGTTTGTAATTCATCCTGTGAAATTGATTCTTGCCTAAACTACTAAAATTATGTTTCTGAATGCAACTAAGTGAGGATCAAACCATGAACTCTGCTTCTACTTCTGTATATTTTCTAATTTTCAAAGGCTTGTACAGACATCTCATGTCATCCTCATAATATGTCCTTGAACTACTGATAATTACTTTTTCCTTCTTAGAGGTAAGTCAATTGAAATGAAATGGTTTGTGAAACGTGGATGTAAATTAAAGGTCTTTTGACTTTTCTTGCAGGACTTTTCCAATATAGCATGGATCAGGCATTTCATGAATTCCTTCCTGAACTAGCCAAATGACTTCACCCTTACGTAATCTGATTTAGTTCCATGTCATATAATTAAGAATTGGATGATGATTGACTTATTGGTGTCTTAGAGCACTGCAATGTTTAATGCATTTGTGGATCTAATTTAATTAAATGAGAAAAGGAACTTCTACACCGTTAATATATGATGTAAATGCACTGAAATGGGAACTAGAACACATGCAATTAAGAAATTTGTTTCCCCACTAGACATAACAAGCCAGGAAGGATGACAAACATTTTTGTGTTTTGTTTCTCGTGGACTATTTCCACATGATCCGTGCCTTCATATATTTGGGTGTCAGTTTCTGAAAGTTTATTTTGCAGTTTCTGAATTGATTGTTCTGGATAATTTAGCATTCCCTTTTTCTTTTGACAGTAGCAGAGAACTTGTGCATGGGTGGCTGACTTCTAATAGTCTTTTGATATTTCTATTTCCCAGAGGCCTATCAACCCAATGACTTTTTATTTTTATGACCCATGTTCCAAATAATGACATGTAAAATTTCTGTTATTAGCCTCTTTTTTTGACTATGACTTCCTTATAAAGAAGAAAGAAAAAATTACTGTTATTTCAAACCAGCACTAAATAAATTTAATAAAACTTCATGCACAAACTTCAATTTGGAAAAACTCTGTTGCATAGTGTATCAGTAGTAATGTTTATCTTTTTAAAGGCAGTGTTGGCATTATAAGTGTAGAGTGTTGTTATATATAGACAAAAATTTTTAATTAAGCGTTAATAAACAGTTACATGTGATGTATGGAAATAAATGTGAGCCGTAAATAGTAATGATAATTTTCATCATAACTACTTTTTAGTGCTTACTGTGCGTCAGGCAGCATCATATGTGATTTAATTTGATCCTCACCACAAATCTAAAAGGTTGGTACTAGTGTTATCCCCATTTTACAAATGAGAAAAATGCTGTTCAAAGAAGTGAAGTAAGTCAATCGGGTAACGCTCCTAGTTAAATCTGTCAGTTCCAGATTTCACGTTCTTTACTGTATGCAGTCCTACTGTATGACATATGATCGAAGAATAAAAGCCGAGTTCCCATGAGAAACAAATACATGCTTTAAAAAACAACTGCAAAACATCTAGACCACTAGCTTCTTCTGCTATCGAGTTAACAAGTTCAATGGCCAGGAAGATATATGCCCATATTAATAGAATTCTCTTGAACCACAAAATGTAGAAGGATAATAAATTTTACAGATTTTTTTTTTCCTGTTTCACATAGTCTCCAGTTTATGAGGACAGAAATTTGGAAGAAATTTATCTCAAAGTTTCGTGTATTTTTCTCTTGCACAGGTACTGTAAATCTCATAACTGATCATGTTTGCCTATTTTCTTTGGCTACTAGGAAGATTAGAAGAAAATGTGCCGCCCACGTATAATAATTGGATTTCTTAATCATATCTTGGCTTCATATAATTTTCTTACCCTATTTTTCAGAGGCTCTGGTTTCTTGAGTGATTATTCTTCATTCTGTTATATTAAAAAAATTCCTTCAAGGTCCCACAATATCTTACTGAGGTATGGACTAAATATACCAAAAATAAAATAAGTATGATAAAAATTCAAAATATATTGTTTTATTTAAAGACTTAGAATTTCTGTCAATGTGGACTACTGACATTTTCTGTTAAATTAAGAGAAAGGGTTAGATTTGGTTTGGTTTTAGGAATATAGATATAATCATATCATTGTATGAAACCATGCATCCTACTATGAATGTATGTTTTGTTCTATTTTGGAGAAGCTATTTATTTCTAGGGCATATTGCCATGCACAATTAGATATATGATACAAAGGGACAGTTTTCTGCTTCCTGATAACAAAAATTAAAGGTGAATTTCTCCAGATTTATTCCAGGGCTTATAAAATATTGTTATCATGGATGACCTAGTAACAAATGTAACACCCCATAACCTTTAGTGACAATAGAATTCATTACTCTAATGTTCTATTGCCTATAAAACAGAGATTGAAACTCCATGCCTATCATGAAGATGTTAACAGGTGTTTTAAGCTAGATTGCTAAGCTCTCTTATTACTGATGTCTGGGAGCATCCTATTTTTACTGCAACTGGGAGGGCATGATTTTTCTAGGCAGTTTGGACCCCAGAGACATAACCGTCTGAGTACATTCTTGTTAGCAAGAGGGAAAATGGATGATTGGAAAAATAGCATTCAAGTGTTCCAGGGAAGAGGGAGGAAGGATCCTCAAGGGCTGTGTTAGTCTGTTTTCACGCTGCTGATAAAGACATACCCAAGACTGGGCAATTTACAAAGGAAAGAGGTGTAATGGAGAACTCACAGTTCCACGTGGCTAGGGAAGCCTCACAATCATGGTGAAGGCAAGGGGGCATAAGTCACATCTTACATGGATAGCGACAGGCAAAGAGAAAGCTTGTGCAGAGAAACTCCCATTTTTAAAACCATCCGATCTCCTGAGACCCATTCACTATCACAGGAACAGCATGGGAAAGACCGCCCCCCATGATTCAGTCATCTCCCACTGGGGACCTCCCAAAACTCATGGGAATTCTGGGAGCTACAAGATGAGATTTGTGTGGGGACACAGAGCCAAACCATATCAAGGGGAAGAAAAGAAAAAGGGAAATATTGCTTTGGGATGAAAAAAAAATGAATGTGCAGAGGGCAGAGGACACGGATGACTTAGGTAAGTCCATGCAGAGTGTAAGCTTCATGAAAGCCTTTCTTTAATAATCTCTGTGATGTGTGATGTGTCACATAATACATGGATTACCTTTTCATGCCGAGAGTTCTGTTAGTAAATCAAGATGATGAATTTTCTTGATGAATCCCCGAGTGTGCTTAGAGGAGAGAGGTAGAGGAGGCTGTGTTCGGGGCTCTGGATTCCCTCAAAGCAACTGGCAGTTGGCTTTTCCTGGCTGGTTCCTTGGACTACATGGATCCTGAGTGGTGCTGTGAGGTGCCAGAAACAACAAGCATGTCAAGTCTCACTTCAGGACTGAACAAAGTTATCTCTGTCCAGTGCGTATCCAAATGCAGTGAAAAAAATGCATGAACAGATGGAGGAATTCACTTGTTCCATTTTCCTTTGGTGAATCTTAGGAGCTGTTTTGCCCATGATATGTTTGTTTTCCATACTTTTATATGTTTTTCCCCAGACACGGTATAAAATTTAGTATTTAAAGGTTAGTTCTGGCAAAGTTAACCAAATAGCTCTTATGCGAATTCCACAGATGTGCTTATTTATTCATGTGTAGAATGCTTTCTGTCCTCAAATTACTGTTCTTTATAATGAGGCCATGCCAATAATTAACTATTCTTTCACAGCTTAAGGGTCACTCTATTGTTAAAAAAATAAAATAAAACAGGAGAAGCTTGATCCACACAAAAGGAGTATGGTTTATAATTTTTACTATTGGATGCACTGAATAACATGACAGCAATGTTTAACATTTAACATAACAGCTATTTTATTAATTAAAAGATGGCTTTCAGTGTTCTTTTTTTTCCCTCTCTTTTATTTATATTGTCATTTGCTGCATGGAGTTTTATATTTTAGGTAGAATTAAGAAACTCCAGCATGTGGGATGCAGAATGTCTGCATTTATTTATTTGCAGATGCATGTGTGATACCAGTTTAGGAAACTCTATTTTAAAGGTAGGATGGTTTAAAGTCAGAATGATGGTACATAGTTCATATATGTTAAGATTACGATCTATAGAAGCCCCACTTGTCTAAACTGCAATATCCTCCTATTTGGAACTACAACTGATGTTAAAAAGAATTTATTTTCATGGGCAATTTTCTTCTTCAACTTGCTGAAGTCAGATATAGAAAACAAAATGCCATCAAGGGTAATGTTATTGCCCTTGCACTTTAATCTGGAAAGGGCAGAAGAGCTTTGCACCTTCAGGACTTCCTCTTTCTTGAGATAAGTGATGTTAGCTTCACTATTCATTTAGTATTGTATTATATTATACGTTACATATTTATATATTTTATAATATGGTTTATATTCAAAAGAAGTCAAACTATCCAGACATTACAGAAATGGTCACACTCTAACAAGCATGATCGTGAGTACTAAAATAGTATCCAGTGCCTTGGACCAAGCATAAGTATTAAAAATCATGTTTTTTGTTTCTTTCTTTCTTTTTTTCTTGAGACAGAGTCTCACTGTCGCCCAGGCTGAAGTGCAGTGGCGCTATCTCGGCTCACTGCAACCTCCGCCTCTCGGGTTCAATCAATTATCTGCCTCACCCTCCCGAGTAGCTGGGATTACAGGCACCCGCCACCACGCCCGGCTAATTTTTGTATTTTTAGTAGAGACGGGGTTTCACCACCTTGGCCAGGCTGGTCTTGAACTCCTGACCTCATGATCCACCCGCCTCAGCCTCCCAAAGTGCTGGGATTACAGGCGTGAGCCACCGCCCCGGCCAGAAATCATATTTAATGTGAACACAATTACAAGAAGAAAATAGTGTATTATAATAATTGTTTTTCTAAAATGATTGATGGAGTCCAAATAAAATTCATGAATCTGACAAATATTCATTTAGTATGCCATGAATGGAACACTGTACTGGGAAGAGTTAATGCAACAAAAATGACTGAAACATAACTGTCCTAATACAACCTGTAGGCCTATAAAAGGGGCAGAGGCCAGAATTTGGAGTCTGACATAAATATAACGTGATTAAAATGTTTGTTGTGGAGGGTGAATGCAGTGGTAGCGGCAAGCTTCTCCAGGAATTGTCATTTATTTACTAAACTAAAAGAAACAAGCTTTGTGATAAATTGCAGGTTAATGTTTTGTAAATATTTATTTTTTAATTTTAACAATAGTTTTATTTTCCTATAAAATAGCTTGTTAATGGCCGGGTGCAGTGGCTCAGGCCTATAATCCCAGCACGTTGGGAGGCCGAGGCAGGCGGTTCACAAGGTCAGGAGTTCAAGACCAGCCTGGCCAACATGGTGAAACCCCGTCTCTACTAAAAATACAAAAATTACCTGGGCTTGGTGGCATGTGCCTGTAATCGCAGCTACTCAGGAGACTGGGGCAGGAGAATCTCTTGAACCCGGGACCCGGGAGATGGAGGGTTGCAGTGCACCAAGATTGTGCCACTGCACCCCAGCCTGGGCTATAGAGGAAGACTGGGTCTCAAAAAAAAAAAAAAAAAAAAGCTTGTTAATGCCTTTGCTGCCGCCCAGTCCCTGACCTTGCTGTCCCCAGCTGCGCTGAGCACACAGCTTTCCACAGATCCTGCTGCACAGGCCTCTTCCTCATTCCCTCCAAAGCCATGCTGCCTCACCGTGGCGCTGTCCAAATGCTTCTGATGCTGTACGCCGTCTCTTCTCTATGGGACCTCAGTGAGGCACATACTGCTCCTCTGGGGCTGGCGATCACAAGTCATGGGTTTAATCCCTGCTCTAAATGTTACTAGCTGATTAGACTTTGGGCAAGACATTTAATTTCTCTGATCTGTGCCCTCTTCTGAACAATGTGGATTATTGTAAGACATATAGGAGTGGTTGTTGTAAGTATCAAGTGGGGTAACAAATGGGAAAGATTCTCCCAAGGCCTGTCTCAGGCAAACCATCAGTTATGTCCATTAACCCTTCCCTCTCTCTTTTTCTGCCTCCCTCCTCTTCCATCCTTCCTTCCTTTCTCTGTTTCTTGCTTGCCTTTTTCTTTAAAATTCTTTAATCTCCTCTTTCTCTTTTCTGTGATATAATAATCACAAAAGAAGGACTTATGATACATATGTTCAGGTAGTTCAGAAAAGGAAAGAGCGTTTCACAATTGAAAGCATGAGAGAAGTATTCAAGGAGCACTCATGTAGGTCTTGAAGTGAAAGTAGACCTTACATATATAGAAAAGAGAGAAAGCATGTCCAGATGGGTGGATGTAAAGTTAGCGCCATCATGGAGGGCCTTGCCTCCTTTGTACTCTATTAGACAACATGGAGGCTCTGAAGTTTATTTATTTATTTTTTTGAGACAGAGTTTTGCTCTTGTTGCCCCCGCTGGAGTACAAGGGCATGATCTTGGCTCACTGCAACCTCCGTCTCCTGGGTTCAAGCGATTCTCCTGCCTCAGCCTCACAATTAGGTGGGATTACAGGCACGTGCCACCATGCCCGGCTAATTTTTTGTATTTTTAGTAGAAACAGAGTTTCACCATGTTAGCCAGGCTGGTCTTGAACTCCTGACCTCAGGTGATCCGCCTGCCTTGGCCTCCCAAAGTGCTGGGAGTATAGGCATGAGCCGCTGTGAAGTTTATTTTTTAAAATCATTTCTAGGTATTCTATAAAGGATTGCTTCTGAAAACAGAGTTCATGATTAATAGACTAGGTAGAGAAGAGAAGTGGAGAGACCATTTCAGAGGATGTGAATCAAAGTAATAACAAATGAAATGGAAAGGGCTGTTGAGGAATGAATTGCAGTGTCACTGGGACTTCCAGCCAATTGCTTCTAGGTGTGTAAGCAGTGATGATGGGGATGCTAAGCTTAGTCATTGGAAGGACACAGGTGCCATGATCATGGAGAGGAAACATCAACTGAAATATTTTTGACTAGAAAGGTAATGAACAATTACATGTTTGAGATTTCAGCTGGAAATTTGGGAAAATGTGTTTAGAAAGTGATGGGAAGTACAAGCCTTGATTTCCACAGCTATTTAAAACCCACTTCCAGGGATTTTAGAATAGAGGTTAAATGTAAGAAGTAGACACATTCAAGGATAATGAATGTCCGGAGAGAAGGGCTTAGAGCAGATGACCTGAGGGAAGTGAGATTTATTTTGTGAATGGTGAATGATGATCCAGAGAAAACATCATCGGAAGCTGAACTGCTTACAAGGTTGGGATAGTGTTGAGAGAAGAGAGCACTGGGGTATTTTGAATAGTGTGGTGCACTGAGTTTGAGGAAGATGGAGGATTAAAGGCTGTTGGGTTTATCAACTTAGAGGTCACTGGAGACTTTTGGAAAACAGTTTTACAGGGTGATATTTGTTAAAGCGAGAGCAGGACGAATAGTGTTTCATAGTAAGCCATGGAATTGGATTTGATGGTTTTAAATCAAGGCTTGTTTTCCACTAGTTGCTTCAGATGTAAGATTTAGTGTCTTTCTGGGTGTTTCATGTAAAGAAAAGATAATTTATGTGAACTTTTGTATTTTTAAATGAATATTCAATGCATTTAAGTTGCAAATTTCAGAACCCTTTTTCTTGAGCTCTAAAGCTTAACTCCAATTTATTCTATTTATAAATGTGATATAGTGTAGCAACCACTTTCAAAAGGACCTTTACAACTTAGTTAATTAAATTCCATTAAATATTTAAACAGCAATCATAAATTTAACATATTCATTTCTGTTTTGAAGCTTTTCAATACTCCAGCAACTTAGATGGCCCCAAGTTCTAGAGAAATCTACATAAATATAATAAGTTGAATATGCAAGTATGGTGGCCCTTAAGTTCTCATAAATATTACAATATTGTTTATACAACAGTAGATTTTTCTTATAAGTTTCAAATTAAAATAACAAATCCACATAAATCACCCAATCTTAAATGTGATAAATACGTAAAATAGCAACTATACACAAATTATTTCTAAGTGCAAAAGTATTAAAGCACTGGGCTTGTTGTTGCTACTTCATCTTTGTCCCTTTTTCTCCATTTGGCTGATTTTAAGAAAATTTATACTCTAGGAAAACAATTCTACCAGTCAGGGTCTGGTTTCCTCAGCTACCATTCCTTTTGTCTTCCTCCAATTTAAAAGCTGAAAAGTAAGACATTCAAATTCTCAGCCTGTCTTGCAGCAGGAGGAGGCCACTTGATACGCTGCTGTCTGATGGGATATAGACAGGAGTTCCTGTGTATTTTAAGTTGCAGATAATAGGGAACCAGATATCCACTCATGACTACTGAGAGTTGGACCTAGAATTATCATAATATCTGACGCTTCTATAACCCTCACTGTATTCCAGAAACCATCTTCTGTGCCTTCTATGGGCTAACTATAACACCTATAACAACTCATGAGGTAGATGCAGTTATCCTTCCATTTCATCACTGAGGAAATGGTAGCACAGAGAGGTCAGTTACTTGCCCAGAGTCACACAGCCAGTAAATGACAGCATTTAAGATTTGAGCCCCAGCCCCCTCATTCCAGAATCCTCTTAATCTCTTCCCTATAGTCACCTCTCCCTGATCTCCATTTTTCCACTGGGCGTCCGAAGCTCTTTGTCTTATCTATTCTGCACTGTTTATGACATACTGTTACAGCTAATGGTTTCCATGTGTGCCTCCCCTGTTCCACTAAGTGGTCCTTGAAAGCGTGCAGCATGGCTCTTTATATCTCCAGTCACAGCCACAGTCTCCCTACAGATGTTCAACAAGTATTTTCATGAACAAGTGACTTCAGATCTATAAAATTACAAATGCCATAGATAGACTTACTTCAAAAACTCAACCGACCAAACCAAATAATTATTTGAAATTAAAAAGAAGTAAACCGGTAGAATAGTGACTATTTTACTCCATAAAGAGTGTCACTTTGCATGATCTGAGGACTTGGGAATGTTGGAAGGGCATTGCTTCAGGAGATGTTTCAGGCTAAGAGAAAGATCTTTTTAAAATGTATTTTGTTAATTGCACAATAAGGTGGAAGGAAACCAGGATGCTTGAGAAATACCCTGCGCTTCATGGTAATCGTGGAGATGTGGCCACACTGTTCAGTAATACATTTTTATCACTTTGTCTGTATACATTAGAGCAGAGTTCGAGAGGACAAGTGCCCTAGTTCTCAATTCCTTTTATACTTAGGACTTTGACCATAAAGAAACCTAACATTGCAAAGATTGACAGAAATATTCTCTACTTCCTGTAATTACCAAAGCATCCTGGTACCCATCAGTTCTGGACTTCTGTGTTACCATCTTTGCTCATTCTGACATCATGGGACCCCAGAGAGCTGCTCTGATTGCTTTTTGTATGTAAAAGCAAGTTTCCCTTTTTGTAAAATCAGGAGGCTGAAAATGAGCATCAACATATGTGCCTGAATGACTTGCCTGTTGGAAATCTGCTCCCAGGACTGGTGCCAATGAAATATTCCAAACACTTGTTTGGGAGGCACCGTAGAACACATTCTACGAGGGAGGAGGCATAGTATGATAATTAACACCGACTCTACAGAGTCACATGGCCTGGATGAAGTCTGGCTCCGTTTAAGTTGTATGACTTTATTTAAATCATGGCTTTCTGAGTTTTGCTTTCCTTACATGTGAAATTAGGGTAATATGAGAAGTGCTTATGATGAGAAGTAAAATAATATAATAAAGAAAGTGCTTTATGAGCAACACAGTGCTATCCAAATATTTGTAACTATTTTCCAAAAAATATATAATTAGGAACCTATCATACCTAATTGTAAGCCCTGATGTTTCAGTGGGTGGTTTCCCAGAGGTTGTGATGTGGTATGTTAGCTTTACTGGAAGACCTTAGCATACAGGCAGTTTCCCTTCTTGTTATCTACTGGAGGGTGGGAACAACATGTTGGCTCTCCCCTTCACATGCCTCAGGATGTTTATTTAAAGGAAAACAGCTCTCTTGGTCAAGAAAATCCCCCCTTTTCACTCTCTTCCTTGAATTTTGTAATAAGACCTGCTTACTTTCTCTAAAAGAGCAAAGCGAACACCCATGGCATCATATCTGTGTGGTACCATCTTAGGGAGGAAGCTGAGGAGTCCCCTACAGATCTGCTAGAAAAGGAGACCTTATGTTGCACCTTTGCATCTTTCTCCATAAATGGCAGTGTCGTTATTCAAGACTTTGGCAAATGTCTGAATCAAACATTCTGTAGGGAAAGAAGACAACTAACAATGCTCTGTTCAGATCTATGATTTTCCTTGAGGAAAACCAAAGTGTGAGTGGTGCCTGGGCACCCATGCGGAGCTGATGCCTGTCCACAGACATCTGAAAGCAACACCACATTGTCACCAGCACTGAGGAGATGATCCACAGAAAAGGAGTGTCCCTTAACACATTGAAAGTACACGTTCATTTCATGATATGAGGTGTCCATTTGGTTTGAGCGAAGTGATCATTATGTAACATTGGTTTCTCTCATCTGGGCAGATGCATCCCTATACCAGCTGCCTGCAAGTCCTTCCACAGCCATCCAGCATCTTGGCATCCACTTCAGCTTCCTCTGAGGGTTCTTCCCCGCATCTCCAGCTGGGCCTGAGGGACAGGATTTCAGACTCCTTGCTGCTGACTTTTAGCCACCTGCAGCCCTTGATTCTGCCTCTTGCCCTTCAGATGCCTCTTGCCCTTCACGTTCCACCCACCTCCTTTCCAGCTGTAACTCAACATTTGTCACCTCAACCAGATATTAAGCTATTTAAAAGGTATTTTCCTACAACAGCCTTATGGAGCTGAAATTCACATACCGTAGATTTCACCCATTTAAGTGTACAGTTCAGTGGGTTTTAGTGTATTCACAGAATTGTACAACCGTCACCACAATCTAATTTTAGAACTTTTTTTTATCACAACAAGAAATCTCACACCCATTAGTATTTATTCCTTATTTGTCCCTATCCCCCTAGCCTTAGGCAACCTATAATCTCTTTTTTTGTCTCTGTAGATTTGCCTATTCTGGACATTTGCTGTAAAAGGAATCATGGAATATATGATTTGTTGTGAATGGGTTTCTTTACAAGGTTCATTTATGTTGCAGCATGTATCAATACTTAATATCTTTATTGTTATAGAATATTCCATTTATAAATTTACAATGTATTATTTACCCATTAATCAGTTGGTAGACATTTGGATTGCTTTCATTTTTTGGCTTTAATGAGTATTACTGCTACGAACATTTGTGTACAAGTTTTTGTGTGCACCTATGTTTTCATTTCTCTTAGGTATATACCTAGGAGTGGAATATACCTAGGAGTGCTGGGTTGTGTGATAACTCTTATATTTGTCTTTTTGAGGAACTGCCCGACTATTCACCACAAAGGCTGCTCAATTTTATATTCCTTTCTGCATTGTGTAAGAGTTCCAATTTCTCTACATCGTCACCAACACTTTTTATTATCTTTTTGATGATAGCCATCTTAGTGGGTGTAAAGTGGTATCTCACTGTGGTTTCTAAGCCCCCTTTTTAAGTCCAAAGTATGGGAAGAATACCCCATAACTGCTTTCTTAGGTCATGGAGATGAGGCACTGACAGCAAAGCTCTCTCCAAAGAAAATGTATGTGAAGATCATTCTCTTAACTTCTAGCCTATGGAACCTTCCATTTCTGAGATGGCAAGGAATTTAGGACTCATTACCCTTGGTTTCCCCCACTTCCTTTCCTGCAAGTTATGGATGGTGGGGTCTGCCCTTTCACTTTGACATACCTGGCCTAGAGTCTTCACGCTTCAGCTGAAATGTCCATTTAACATCATGTTACAAATGAACTATCTTTAAAAAAACAGATCTTCCATTTATAATATATCCACTGCTCCCCCATTCAGGCACAGAGCTCTTTAGATTTCATTTGAAGTGTTTTCCTCTTTAAAATTAACTACATTTGATGCAACTGGCTCCTTTGAAGGAAAAAAAACACAGACTGTTGCACATAGTCATGAATCACAAATGAGGGTGTTTATATATTCAATGAGAAATTATTTTTGCTGGCAAATGGTTGTGTTTTTTTCCAGTCCCCTTAAATCCTTACCTTTTTTAAAAAATGGATTTGAGCTGGCTAACCAAAATACATATGATACAACAGAATAAAACCAATAGAGAAGAAATCAGGCAAAGGGAAAGAAAGGATAGAAAAATGAAAACACAACTAAGGAATAAGTAACATTTGCAAATGCTAGACATAGGCACAGTTGTCAGAGGTGGTCACAGATGTATCCAAATTCCCTAATTGTTTAAACAAAGAGAAGAACACAATCAATTTCACAATTTTACATATTTATATGACATAAAGAATGTAGTTGCTTAGGACAACCATACATTTTCCTAAGAGAAATAAAGTCTCCTGTGTTCTTATAGTAAGCATATTGTGGACTGAAACACAATATGCTCAGATAAATAACTCTTAGCCTGATCCTCTCTCTTTGAATATTTCTCAATGCAAACAGGTGGCACAAGGCTAAAGGTGATTTTATTAAAATTCATTATAGAAAATCTTTATATAGAAATATGTTAATGATAATCTTGCTTTGGACTGTCTAATCTTGTGTATTTTATGACATTGTACTTACGACATTGCATATTTTCACAATAGTCTTCACAGTCACATAGACACACTTTAAGTTTGTTGATAAATATTTCTAATTTTAGTAACAGTTTTACCTTATATGAAACATGAGATCTACTTCCGTTGGTGATTTACCCATTGGATACATGTGAGCGTTTGTGTATATTCTTGCAACTTCCCTTCTAAGATAGTTCACATATGAATTGTCAACTTAAAAAATGAATTTTTTTTACCAAAAGTTGTGGATTGATGGTCAGGATAAAATTATATACATGGGAGGCCATTCTTTGACCTTCTCTACATCTTATAGGAGATTGAAAGATTCTTCCTTGCTTATTGTTTTTCTTCTTTTCCCCAAAAATGCTGCTCTTGGGTATAAAAAAAGAGTTAAAAATTACAAATCTTTAAACCACATCTGGTTTGTGTGTTCTCAGAGGCCACTTGCTGGAAAAGCAAGGCGTGAGGCAAAAAAGGAAGGAAAATATCGTATAGTCCAGTTAACCCGTTTTATAAGGAAAATGAAACTATTCTTAGGAGTTATAGCACCATTTAAAAATGTAGAAAGAAGTACAGGAAAAGAACAACTTTTTTTTTTCCTCCGAAGAAACCAGCAGCCCATAGAATTAGCTCACAAATAGAAATCAGATCACATGAATGCACAGGAATGCCATGGTCAGGCCAGGAGACAGTTATACCATGTCCCTGGCCTCGGGTGGTTACTGTTAGATTGGAGTAAAAATCAGAGGTAATGGTTTTACTGAGGCAGAATGAGCTATGTGTTGGTGCCAATTCACTGTCGGGGAAGTAGACGAATAAATTATTAAATGCGCATATGTGTTACTGAGGTGTATTTCTGCTTAATGGACACTTTTGGCTGTTTTTAGAGATGTTTTTATCCAAAACTACTTAATAAGGGGAGATTTATATATAAATACTCCCTGGTGAGAAATACAAATAGTTTGGTCTTTAATAAATCAAAATCTGAAAAGCACTTCCTAAGTCCTCCCTCTGTGTGGTGGGGGAGAATAATATATCCTAATTTTGAAGCAGTTCAGACATTTTAAAATATAGAGTCTGGGGAAGGAGCAAACACATCTCTAACAAGGAGGATGCAAAAGCTCCTTAAGCCAATTAATTAGGGAATTTGACTGATGAAATAGTTTCACTGCTTTCAGAAACAGGTGTTTGGAAAGGCAGCTGAAGAACGAATCTTATGTCCACTTCGCTGATGGCTATATCATTTCCTCCCTACCCCCAGAACAGTGTAGGCATGTGGTAGGCATTCAGTAAACCTGTAAAAGCAATGAGCGAGCAAGGCTAAAGATGCTGTCTAGAATTGCTGTAGGTGACCTATGCTGATGAACAGGTAGGACTACATTGTAATTTGCATTGAACATATTTGTTGGTTAATGGCTTCTTCCCTGGTATTTGAGAGTTGGCTTTCCTAAACATTTTAAAGCAATTCCTTTCAATCTTATATATGCTATTATATTGAATTTTCCATAAAGTTTTGTATTAGTCCATTCCCACACTGCTAATAAAGACATACTCGAGACTGAGTAATTTATAAAGGAAAGAGGTCTAATTGACTCACAGTTTAGCATGGCTGGAGTGGCCTCAGGATACTTACAATCATGGCAAAAGGGAAAGTAAACACATCCTTCTTCACATGGCGGCAGCAAGGAGAAGTACAGAGTGAAGCGAGGGAAAAACCCCTTACAAAACCATCAGATCTCATGAGAACACACTCACATGGAACACCATGGAAGTAATCGCCACCATGATTCAGTTACCTCCCACTGGGTTCCTCCCATGACATGCAGGGATTATGGGAGCTACGATTCAAGATGAGATTTGGGTGAAGACACAGCCAAACCATATCATCTCACTCCTGGCCCCTCCCAAAACTCATGTCATCACACACTTAAAGACACAATTATGCCTTCCCAACAGTCCCCCAAAGTCTTAACTCATTCCAGTATTAACTCAAAAGTCCAAGTCCAAAGTCCCATCTGAGACAAGGCAAGTACCTTCTGCCCATGAGCCTGTAAAATCAAAAGCAAGTTAGTTACTTCCTAGATACAATAGGGGTGCAGGCATTGGGTAAACACACCTGTTCCAAATGAGAGAAAATGGCTAAAACAAAGGGGCTACAGGCCTCATGCAAGTCTGAAATCCAAGTTGGTCAGTAAAAATGTTAAAGCTCCAAAATAATCTCCTTTGACTCCATGTCTCATATCCAGGGTGTGCTGATGCAAGAGGTGGCTCCCACCATCTTGCACAGCTCTGCCCCTGTGGCTTTGCAGGGTACAGCACCCCCTCCCAGCTGCTTTCACAGCTGGCATTGAGTGTCTGCAGCTTTTGCAGGAGCACAGTGCAAGCTGTTCGTGGATATACCATTCTGGGGTCTGGAGGATGGTGACCCTTTTCTCACAGTTCCATTAAGCAGTGCCTCAGTGGGGACATTTTGTTGGTGGTCCAATCCCACATTTCCCTTCTGCACTGCCCTAGCAGTGGTTTTCCGTGAGGGACCCACCTCTGCAGCAGACTTCTACCTGGACATCGGGTGTTTTCATACATCCTTTGAAATCTAGGCAGAAGTTCCCAGACTTCAGTTCTTGACTTCTGTGGACCCACAGGCCCAGCACCACGTGTAATCCACCAAGGCTTGGGGCTTTCAGCCTCTGAAGCAATGGCCTGAGCTCTACATTGGCTTCTTTTAGCCACGGCTGAAGTTGAAGCAGCTGGGACATAAGGCACCAAGTCCCAAGGCTGCACACATCAGGGGTCTCTGAACCCAACCCAAGAAACCATTTCTGCCTCCTAGGCCTCCAGGCCTGTGAAGGGAGGGGCTGCTGTGAAGACCTCTGACATGTCCTGGAGACATTTGCCCATTGTCTTGGTGATTAACATTTGGCTCCTTGTTACTCATGCAAATTTCTGAAGCCAGCTTAAATTTCTCCCTGGAAAATAGGTTTTTATTTTCTATCACATCATCAGGCTGCAAATTTTCCAAACTTTTGTGCTCTGCTTCTTCTTGAACACGTTGCCACTTAGAAATTTCTTCTGCCAGGTACCCTAAATCATCTGTCTCAAGTTCAAAGTTCCACAGATCTCTGGAGCAGGGACAAAATGCCACCAGTCTCTTTGCATAGCAAGAGTGAACTTTACTCCAGTTCCCAACAAGTTTCCCATCTCCATCTGAGATCACCTCAGGCTGGACTTCATTGTCCATATTACTATCAGCATTTTGTTCAAGACCATTCAACAAGTCTCTAGGAAGTTTCAAACTTTCCCACATCTTCCTGTCTTCAGAGCCCTCCAAGTCTCTAGGAAGTTCCAAACTTTCTCACACTTTCCTGTCTTCTTCTGAGCCCTCCAAATGGTTCTAAGCTCTGCCTGTTACCCAGTTCCAAAGTCGCTTCCACATTTTTGGGTATCTTTATAGCAGCACCCCACTCTCTGTTGTAGCAATTTAGTGTATTAATCCATTCTCACACTACTAATAAAGACATACCCAAGACTGAGTGCTTTACAAAGAAAATAATTGACTCATAGTTTTGCATGGCTGGGGAGGCCTCAGGAAACTTACAATCATGTCAGAAAGGGATGCAAACATGCCCTTCTTCACGTGTCAGCAGAAAGGAGAAGTGCTGAGCAAAAAGGGGAAAGCCCCTTATAAAACCATGAGGTCTCCTGAGAACTCACTCACTATCACGAGAACAACATGAGGGTAACTGCCCCCATGATTCAATTACCTCCCACCAGGTCTCTCAGGAAACACTGGGATTATGGAAACTACAATTTAAGATGAGATTTTGGTGGGGACATAGCCAAACTATATCAAGTTTGCTGAAAAAAACCTCAAATGATTATCACAAAATAAGAATAGAGATGAGTTTTGAATTAATGCATTTCTCCATAGTTAACTTTTTTCAATTTAAACATTTAGTTATAAATAAATATTTAATTATTTGGAAACTGTGACTATGAAAGTGTATTATTTCTCAAAAAAAAGGAATAAAATGAATGAATGAGTGATAATCCTAGGTAGCAAAACCCTAGTGTAAGCTAATGCACTATTTTTACTCTTTGTATTCATGAACATGCTTGAAATAAAGCAATTTATTTAAGCACTTGTTTTGGATCTCTTCTCTGTTAGGCATTCTCTAGATGTGAGAAAATCAGATAACAGGTTAAAATTCATGCTCTCATGGACTTTATATTTTAGGGAGAGGAGAGGCAATAAACAAATTTTAAAATAATGAAATTATATTATGGTGTTAATTAGTTACAGTGGACTGAAGTGAAAAAAAGTAGAATGATTAAGGAGGTGACTCAGGGTAGCAGTGCTGCATGAAAAAGTTTCTCAGGGAAACAAGGGAGTAAAGTCTGCATATGTCTAGGAAAAAAACATTTCAGGCAGAAGGAAGCAAAATTCAAAAGCGCCTAATACAGGAGTGTGCTTAGGGTGTTTACAAAACAAGAGGAGGACCCTACATTTGGAGCAGCATGAGCCAGTAAGGGTGAGCACAGTGGGGTCAGGATGATGGGGGAAGTTATGTAGGGTCTCACAGTAGCACTCCATCTCTGCACTGTGTTCTGTATGATGGAATCCATTGGAGAGTTTAAAGCAGAGAGAACTTGATCAGGTTTCTACTTTTAAAAAACCCAAATGTGGCTGCTGTGGAAGAGAGACTCTCATGGTCAAGCTTAGCAGCAGGGAGAAATAGCAGAAGGCCCTTTCCTCTTTCCAAATGAGAGAGGATGGATAGTCATTTGAACTGGAATCTTGGTGGTGAGAGGGTGAGAAGTGGTTCGGTCTGTGATCTCTGTTAGAGCCAGAGCCTTCAGAAATTACTGCTGCACTGGGTGTAGAGTGTGGTAGAATGATACTAGTCAAGAGTGAATCCTAAGTGCTTAGCCTGAAAAGTTGGGTGAATACTATTTAATGACTCAAGGAAAATTAGAGAGGAGGAAGATTCAGGAGCATAAAAGCAAGACTACTTCTAGACATGTTACCTGTTACCCTTGAGATGCTTTTAAGACATCCAAGGGGAGCGGTAGAGTCGGCAGTTGGATATTTGAGCCTGGAACACAAAGGGGATGTTGAAGCTGGTGATACAAAGTTGGATGCTGGCTATATATAGATGATGTTTGATGACAGAATACCATAGACTGGGTGGGTTATACACTATGGAAATGTATTTCTCACAGTTCTGGAGGCTGAGAAGTCCAAGATCAAGGCCCTGGCAGATTTAGTGTCTGGTGAGGGCCCATTTCCTCATAGACAGTTCTGTTCTCATTGTGTCCTCACATGGCAGGAGTGAGGGATTTCTCTGTGGTCGCTAATCTCATTCATGAAGGCTCCACACTTATGACCTAATCACCTCCCAAGGGTCCCACTGCCTAAAGCCATTGCATTGGAGATCAGGTCTCAACGTACAAATTTGCAGGGAACATAAACATTCGGTTTCTGGCAGTATTTAAAGTTATGGACTAGATAAGACCATCTAAGACAGTGCTTTTCAAAATATGTCTAGTGAATGGCCTTTGTTTTTTCTAATTTGCTGTAGACTGATGCTTTTAAATACAATAAAAATAAATCTAAGGGAAAACAAAATTTAAGGAAAACTGAAATAAATACATACTAAATACGAGTGCCACTTTTTTTTTTGCTAATAGAGTTAATAGACATAAAATTATTCTGTCAAATTGCTGTAAAAGTTTCTTAACACTCACTCTGGCTTCCTGTACTTATCTTGCTATGGACTGAGAACAAACAATTCACAGAGAGTGCTTGTTCATGGATCATGCTGTTAGTCACACCAACCTGGGAATGAGTGTGGAGGGAAAAGGGACCCTGAGCCACAACTTTGCCCTCAGAAAGATGAGAAGGGAGGTGGGAATTCAGCAGACTGTGGTTCCTAGAATCCAGATGAAGATGTTTCAAGAAAAACGAGGCAATTACATAGTATATGCAAAATAGATCCCCAGGCATTAACTGTAATAATGAAATACCAGAGTGAATGGAAAGATGTTATTTTGCTTTTACACGTTCCTTCCCCAAGCTTTCATGGTGGTACGGCTCTACCAATCTTAAGCTTTGTTTATGCATGGCCTATTCTAAGATCATCTGGGGACAAACCTGAATGAGGAGGTCTCCCAAAAGAGCAACAGGATTGCCAAAGTAAAAGTTGCATCAGGGTCCAACCTAAAAGTACTAGCCAAGTGTCTCAACTCTTAGATTGGATGCTGTAGGGGGTCAACCTGGCCATTAAAGTCATTACCACACCAACCATTTCTGTGTATTAGGGTTATCCTTCTTTATTTTCAGCAGTAGCTATTATTTCAGCCAACACCTATCCAAACCATGCCAACAATATAGGAATATACTTGATTCTCAGCAAAGGTGATTTCTTCGGACAAAGGAAAAAATATCTATGCACAATGGTTAGTTGGTTCAAATGCACACATACGGACCCAACATAAGATGACTGCCTGATGTAGAGCCATAAGGGAATCGTGGGATCCAGGTTTTCCATCTGTAACTCATCCTCCCACTTATAAATATTACCCCATCTTTCTTACTTAGGCTGCTGCTTGTCTCTGCTCATCCCTCCACCTCTGTTCCCCACCTGGGGGCAGCTGAACTTGGACTATTGCCCAGCTAGATGTTAGGATGAAGGCCCATTCTAATACTTTGCTGGTAATTCTTTTTAATTATCCACAAATGTCTAAACATTTTCTGGCCCTTACCCAGTCCCAATCTGGCAGCTTTACCTATTCCAGTGGTTCTCAATCAGGAGTGATTTTGCTCCCCAGGGAACACCTGGAAAAGTCTAGAGGAATTCTGATATAACTGGAGTGATTTTGCTCCCCAGGGAACACCTGGAAAAGTCTAGAGGAATTCTGATATAACTGGGAGGGGGTGAGGTACTACTGGCATCTTGTGGGTAGAGAGTAGGGATGCTGTTTAACATCCTGCAATGCACAGGACAGGCCCTGACAACAAACAGTTATCTGGCCCCAGATGCCAAAAGTGCCAGAGTTAAAGAACTTTGCCTTGTACTTCATTATTGTGTCCTCCATGCTAATGTTTCTCACCACTTAAATATTGTAGATGTTTTCAGGTTGATTGTGTCCCCACCCACATCTCACCTTGAATTATAATAATCACCACGTGTCAAGGGTGGGGCCAGGTGGAGATAATTGAATCATAGGGGTTTCCCCCATACTGTTCTCCTGGTAGTGAATAAGTCTTACAAGATCTGATGGTTTTGTAAATGGGAGTTCCCCTACATAAGCCCTCTCTTGCCTGACACCATGTGTTTGCTTCTCTTTTGCCTTCTGTCATGATTGTGAGGCCTCCCCAGCCATGTGGAACTATGAGTCCCTTAAACCTCTTTCCTTTATAAATTACCCAGTCTCGAATATGTCTTTATTAGCAGCATGAGAACAGACTAATACAAGGGCTAATTTTTTTTGTTTGTTTGTTTCTTTTGATAGGGTCTCGCTCTGTCATCCAGGCTAGAGTGCAGTGATGCAATCATAGCTCACTGCAGGCTCAAACTTGGGGACTCAAGTGATATTCCCACTTTAGCCTCCCAAGTAGCTGGGACTATAAGCATGTACCACTATACTTGGCTAATTTTTTTCTCAAACTCCTGGCCTCAAGTGATTGTCCTTCCTTGGCCTCCTAAAGTGTTGCCATGGCTAACATGTCTTTAAGATTTCAACAGTTAGCCTCGCACGGTGGCTTATGCCTGTAATCCCAGCACTTTAGGAGGCTGAGTGGGGCAGATTACCTGAGGTCAGGAGTTAGAGACCAGCCTGGCCAACATGCTGAAACCCTGTCTCTACTAAAAATATAAAAATTAGCCGGGCATGGTGGCACATGCCTGTAGTCCCAGCTACTTGGGAGGCTGAGGCAGGAGAATTGCTTGAGCCCAGGAGACAGAGGTTGCAGTGAGCAGAGATCATGCCACTGCACTCCAGCCTGGCCAACAGAGTGAGACTCTGTCTCAAAAAAAAAAAAAAAAAAAAAAAATTCAAGAGTCCAAATTCAACTTGTGAGTTACACTTAGAAGGATTTATTGACAAACTTGTTATAAGTGTGTATCCTCGGCTGGGTGCGGTGGCTCACGCCTGTAATCCCAGCACTTTGTGAAGCCAAGGCGGGCGAATCACGAGGTCAGGAGATCGAGACAATTCTGGCTAACACGGTGAAACCCCATCTCTGTTAAAAAATACAAAAAATTAGCCAGGCGTGGTTGCGGGCGCCCGTAGTCCCAGCTACTCGGGAGGCTGAGGCAGGAGAATGGCGTGAACCCAGGAGGCGGAGCTTGCAGTGAGCCGAGATTGCGCCACTGCACTCCAGCCTGGGGGACAGAGCGAGACTCCGTCTCAAAAAAAAAAGAAAGTGTGTATCCTCAGTCACTGCACAGCAGTGTTGATGCAGGAAGACATCAGTAATGAAAATAGCTGATGGGATGTCTGAATTGTAGAATCGTTTCCATGTAATGCATTGGATTATATCTGAGTGCCCTGTGGCTTGACTTACCCAGCTCACCAAAATACCCTCCTGGGGAAACTTGCCTTGACAGAGCCCAGAGCCCTGGGCCTTGAAGAGCCCAGGAGACTCTGCCTACAAAAAAAATCTTCCTCATTAGGCAGATGACACCTTTTTCTGAGCTGTATACTTGCAGGTAAGGGACAAGTTTTGGTGGGGACACTGGCTGGATTCCAGCCTTACACTGCCCTCTGGGCCAGGCATTTTTGTTTGAGGCACAACCTGCACAGACTTATGCTTCAGCCTGGCTTGAGTAATATCTTTGAGATGAGGATTCTGTTTCGTTTTTATTTACTGAAGAAACATAAGAGCCTTCTTTGTGTCTATTTTAGGTGCTTGAGTATACCAAGGAATAAAATAAGTAAAGATCCCTTCCCTCAAAGAATTTATATAGTGATGCTTATAATCTAGTGGAGCTTGCATTTTTAAAGTTGATGATGTAAAGCTAATAATAACTATACACTGTAAGTGAAAACTAATAAATTACTCAACATTTCTTCCTTAGGTGCAGATAGTAGTGACCTGGTTTAAATAGTACCAGTGCCTTGGACTAGGCTTTCTTCCTCTTGCAGAATGCTCCAGCTGACCTCACAATGGGGAGGAGGACATGTGCCTTCTTGTACTACTTGCTATCACACTATCCTCTGACCTTGAGTCTTTGCTAGTAGCTTGGTTTAGTGTAAAGGGAAGCATGTTACCCCCTATAGGACTAGCACTTCCTGCAGCCCCACCTGCAGTTTCTATCAAGTCTCTGATTGAACATTTAATCTAAAAGCTCCATTCTGAATTTATGAGCTGTTTCCTGCTTCTTTTTGTTTTATTTTGCTTTTCTTGCCTTTGGGCACCTGAAGCCTATGTCTTGGGCCATGTCAGTCAAAAGGTTGCTTGTGCATTTTTTTTTCCTGTTTTGGGGGTTTTGGATCACTATTGCCCTAACGTCATGAGCGGCTGCCTTACTCCAGTTTCTATATACCACCATCACTATCCCTAACCACAGTTCTGGAGCAAAGCATACAAGAGCACAGAAAACCAAAAATAAAGTTTCTAAAACAGATAGCAGTGAGAAGCTCATGTAGGTGGACTGCAGATCTGAAGTTCACTGGCAGAAGTGGGACTGACACTTGGTCTACCTTTGACATCTGGAAAGACACAATGCACAAACCTACATGACATAAATTATTGAATCCAGTCATTCCTATTCTAGGACTGTGACAGCTTTATACCTGTTCCATTGAAAAAGAATGATGATTTTTTTTTTCAAAAAGACATAATGCATCAAACACATTTCTGTTTCCGTGTTGTGGTTCCAAGGTGCTATGATTTCTGACCATTGTGTGCTTTCAGAGATATTTCCATGATGTTCAGTGAAGCTAGACTTCTGTATAATTGGGCTATCATAATTGTTACACTATTGAACACTTGCCTTTTGTTCCCATAAGGCTCTAGCCCAGTGGTAAAAATTTTTCTTTTCACTTTTTCTTTGATCAGTGGTCAGATGGTAACTGGAATTTGGGTTGCATGAAATGGACCATTAGGGGACTGAAGGATATGACGTGGTGGATAATGTTTGAAAGGAAGGATTCTGTAAACATGGAGGTTTAGATGAGAACTTAGCTGCTTTGAAGACCAGGCCAGATTTCAGGCTGCTCAAGGGAGTCATTTATAGACTTACATCTACAAATGGTTTTGATTCAGAAAACCCTTGGCTATGTTTGTTTGAAATCTAAGGATTTTGATATCTTCTCGCTGAGTTTTGACTCATTTATAAGAATAGTGAATATTAGAGACCATACAACTTACACACAAATAGAAGGGAATCACATTCTTTTCCTGTCATTTTGGAGAGGGAACCTTACCATAGTCAAAGCAGGTGAAACTTATGATTCATTGTCGATTTTTAATAATATATGTCAAAGGGAGGGGTGCAAGGGGCAAGATCTGAAACAACGGCTCACCTTAAAAATGCATTTGCGTTTGGTGTTTGGAGGATTTGCTCTCATTACTTTTGTAGCAGATTAACATTTGAAGTCATGTTTGTTTTTCTCAGACTAGTATTAAACTGGGTGCATAATAATTACCCAGCAGCAGGAATCTGGTAACAGATTAAGAATGGAGAATCCATAGAGTCAGTATGAATAAGGGAGACCCAATGTCTCTCTGGAAATACCACAGAATGAAGTAATAGAAAAATCATTTTACCTCACTAAGGAATTATAAGTTTCATGGCTCCTTTTGCAAAAGTTTGAAGACCTTGAGTTTATTTCATGTCGATCTTCAGAATTTTAATTTCTAGTGCACTGAATTTACACATTGCTTCACATGGAAGTGTATGTACTGGTGAAAACACAAAATAGAATGTTTAATAAAATTGCAGGGGGCTAGGAGGGATAACATTAGGAGAAATAACTAATGTAGGTGACATATACCTACGTAACAAAACTGCACGTTCTGCACATGTAACCCGGAACTTAAAGTATAATAATAAAAATAAAATAAAATTGCAGGGAAGGGGTTAGAGGCTTTTGAATTCAAATCTTGGGGGAAAAATGGAAGGAGACATATGCTTAAGATGATCTCTATTTTCAGTGGACAGAGCTAAGTTGGTGAGAAAGGCTGGGGGCCTGTGCTTTGTCAGGTAGTTTTCATGGGGAGAAAATGTTGGGTAAAAGAAACCCAGATTGAGAAATAGTCAACAGACCTCAGTTTCTCAGTGCATTTTATTTTATTTTATTTTTATCCCAAGCCATTGGATTTCTCTGACCCACCAGGACCAAGACAAGTAACAGGAGGTGAGAATATAGGATTTCAAAAGCATTAAGAGTTGTAATTTTTTTTGAAGTCCAGAAACAATATGCATCTTGATATGCAATAAAGGACTTTGCAGACTTCTCATTGAATCAGCAGTGCTTTGTTTACTGTACTTTTTTATTACTTCATTTTAGTAAATGTATGAATATTTATATAGACTTGTATAAATTCACCCCTAACCTCAGTTCCTCAAGGCTTCTTTTACAGTCACATCTTAAATTCGTCAACCACAAGTTATCCTTCTAGAAGGTTCTTGGCGAACTGTAAACTACTTCAGGGACCACTGTACTTTCACTATCATTGTTCGTTTTTATTTCAGTGGTGTGTCCAGGGATTTGTCCTTAGTTTAATCAATCTTTGTTTTCAGCAAAATGTTGACGTTAGGGCAAAGTTGTTTTTGTGGCTGTTGTGATAAGACCTTGAACATTTTCGCCGCTGCAATTCAAGAAGCACTTGGCTACTCTGTGGCAGGCAGACTCTGAGGATTATAACTCCTCTTGCAGGGAGGGCTGGAACCTCCCTAGGGAGCAGGCGGGGGCTGGACAGTCTGCCAGACACACGCTCTCTAGGACACACTCTCTCTTTTTTTCCCCGTATAGTGCTTGTGACTGATGAATTCAATGAGCGCTTCAATTCTCCTACTTTGTTCTTTCAGCAGACCATTTGTGTCTTTGAGAGCTTATTTTGGCAAATGAATAATCAGCTATCCAAATTGGCTCAAGGACGATCAAGGGGAATATTTGACCTCTACTTTAGATGATCTACATTTTTAATGTTAGTATTTGTGACTTAGCAGAGCGGTTGATCATAACTGGCCTTCTTTCTTCCTCATCTGTGAGCATACATCAAAGGCTCCAAAATATGCACACAAGACAAGTTTAAAAGCCCTCATCATTGTGAAAATTTCTTGTGATTTTTATTTTAATTGGGAGAGAAGGAGGTGTGGACAGGAGATGCTCATGGCTATTTTTTCTACAGATCAAATCCATAGATCTACATTGTATTGTTTTTCTCCTTTCAGAACTTTAGTATAAATTCATTACTTGTCTTATTATTGAAAAATATTATTCAGACATAGTGAGGTACTTTGATGTAGTTCTAGTGGCTATATTTGTTGTTTCTTAGAAGACTTAGCTGTCTGCAGGGGAAGTAAAAATAATGGAATTAAGCAGTGGGATCATCCCCCTTCAAAAGTCTTACATTTATTAGCATATATTTATTTTTTTAAGACAGAAGTCCACAAACTATGGCATAATAAACAATAATGCTATTCTGGAACATGGAAAGTCCTGGACTGGTCATCAGATATAGGCTCTAGCCTTGACTTCACCAGCAACTGGGCGTGGGGCCATAGATAACTCATTTAACTTTCATGACTCTCAGCATTCTCATCTACAAAAAGTGTTGGATTAATTCAATCAGTGGTTCTCAAATTTGAATGTGCAACAGAATCACTGGACCTCATTACCATATTCAGTAAAGCTTGGGTGGAAATCTGCAAATTTGCCTGTCTAACATGGTCCCAGGTGATAATGATGCTGGTGTGGGGAGCACACTTTGAGAATCACTGGATTGGATGATTTCTCTGACTACTTCTGGTATTAACATTGGGTGACTTTTATGCTCTGTGGCTAGAATGATCTGCTTAGAGCTTCAGAATGCATTGGCTGTGATGGGTCCAATGGGCAAGTGCTACGAGTAGAACTGAATAAGAGCAGAAATTTGAATCAATAGAGTCATATGGTTTTAGGATGGCCCAAATATTAGCAGTATCTCTGAGTGGTCAAACCCCCCAACCAAGAGTTGGTGTATTGGAGTCCAGCAGCAGGGGCATCACATGGTGGTGGCTAGAGCAAGCTGAGCATTTGGTTGGACTGATGAGATCAGTGTAAATGATGTGACACATTTCAACAGGCTTATGTACATATTGGATACGGGAAAAAGAAGATTTTGATTGATTTCACAAGTTAGACACCGGGCAACCAATAAATGCCACTTGCATTGCTACCATTAATGTAGCTTTTTATACCAATGAGAAAACTGTACTATTCTAAAAGTAAAATGAAATTAAATAGGCTCTAGTTGTATCTGTATCTCTACTGTCCTTCGGGAATAGTGAAGTAACTATACAAGCACAAGCACGTACATTATTAACTAAGAACAGTGGTGGCATTTTTCTTTGTTGTCTAGACTCTACTAGGCTCTTCTAGTGATTCTGGAAATCATTAAATCCTTGTTTTTTTCAAACCTCACCCACAAGGTTTTCAAGTACATTTCAGTTCCTGCTCAACACAGGACAACACTTGCTCACTACAATGACCAAAGTACCTGACTTCTAGATGCAGGCTTGGAAGTGAGAGAGACTGATTGGAACTATTTTTAGTTGTGATGTTTTTCTTGAATGCTCTCTGATGGGAAAATAAAGGGGAATGGCTTGAGTTTATTTCTTCATATTTAGGAAATCCCTTCTGCCTCTGTTGTTCAACTTCCAAATTATTGAAACACTTTCCAAAACCTCATGCCCCTCAAATTTGTATACTAGACCATTGCCTGAAAACAAGTTTGTAAATATATACCCTGTAAGCCTTGAAAAAGGCTCAGCTCAGGAGAAATTAAATTGTATTTTGTATTTTAGTGGATAATATGGTACTGTGGGCATTAACAAAAATATGTAATTAGGGAGAATCAATATATTCCATCCAAGAACTTCTCTTATCAAAAGAGAGGGTAGAAGAATTGAAAACATGAATGAATAGGCATGAAAGATGGATTTCCAAAGACCAGCTAGCTTTGCTCTGTGTGTGTGCGTGTGTGTATATGTGTGTGATTTTCTCTCTCTCTCTTTCTCTCTGTGTCTCCCATATACAGATATAAATTGTGTTGTCCCATCTATCTAATGAGTAGGTTAGATTAGATCAGTAGTTCTTTAAAAAGGCAGTTTCTGCACACCAACAATTATATCGCAGTCTGCAAATAGCTATATTTTGCTTGGGCAACAAAGCCGAGGAAGCCTCAGTTTGTAATTTAACCGAAAACAGTTTTCAAAAAGCACATCCAGTAGAAATATCCTTGGCTTCTTACCTTCTTTCTCCATCAAGGTGAACACTTTTCATTACACCTAGAAATAGCCAAACAGCCAGTAAAAAATCACTGGCCAGTACAAATTCTTAGGCAATAGGAACTAACCAGATGTTTTATCAGCCAATCAGAATGCTGTAAAATAACCTGAGAAAGGCTGGCACTGAAGACGTTTGTGGCAATCCAGTGCCTAGCACAGAAGATACTTGTGTGTATTGCATCAACTGCTCCCAGTTCTCCATAGCAGTGGAGGAGAAGTCAGAGAGAGAAGAGAGAGACCAGCTTCTAGACTTCCCTACTGCCCTACTGGCTGGTTGCATTAAAAGCATCTGTTTAATGAGAGTTTGCCAAGTTTACTTATTACTAAATAACATGTAAATTGGTATTTGCAGCTGTACTAAGAATTTTCACAGTTCTAGGATTAGCCTGAAAGCAGTTCAATCTAGTTACTGATTTATGTGTTTCTGAAATCTAAAAAATTTTCCCAAGACCCTGCTCAGACTTTTTTTTCACTAAGTCTAGATGGTGTTTTCAAATATTTTACATAAATATATTTCACTGTAAAAATGTAAACTTTATACATGATATTTAACAATTCCTTATATTAAGAGGAAGCAAAAAAGCAGCTAAGAAAAATGTTTTTACTCTCCATATTTCTTTCTACCTTCATGTAAATGGGAATACTTTAGTTTTATGATAACAGACCGGTTTTAAAAATCTTACTTACCTCATCCTTATAAGCATTTCAGTGTTAGCTGAAAGTAAATTACTCTCTTTCCTTTCTCCATTTTCATAATCTATTGCCGCCATTTGGAAATATCTGTTCTCATTAGTAACTATGGCACTTGCAGCCTAAATGGTCATGAAGTCACTATCCGGACCATTTTTAGGATGTCCCTGTTGGATGCAAGTAGTTTAAAGCCATATGATTCGTTTTTATTAGCTGTGCTGTTCTTAACCAGGGATAATAAAGGCTTTGCAAGTCAAGTCTGCATGGCAAAAAAGGTGTCCACAAGTGTGAATGGCTCATTTTTAATGACTAGCCAACAGCCACTTGTAAAAGATGTAATTGAAATTGTTCAGAGATTAGGTTCCGTCTGCTTTGTCCTCCTTCTCAAAAGTTTTCATGGATCCAAGCTATTCTTAAGCATTGTTTAATACTAGAAATAGCCTTTATGGACTAATAATAAGAAAGAAAAAGGCAAATTTTAAAAGATATTCCAAATTCAAAGAAAATAAGTTTGGCAGCCTGACTTTTGATTATCTGTAAAAATCAGGGCCAATAGTTTGAACGGAAGAGTAAATATGAAGGTTTTCTAAACAGTTTTTTCTGGAAGAGAGGGTTGGAGGTGAGAAGTTCTCCTTTATTCAGCAGCAGTGCCTACAAAAAACATAAATGGTGTTTCTGTGAACCTCAAAAAGTAAATCAGTGAGTGGATGTAGGAATTGGGGTAAATGAGCAATAGCTGCCTTGTCATTTCAAGTTCTGTGTCTTACTCCTATTTCACAATCCTTTCATAGGAGAGAGAGAGAGAGTTTTCTTTAAAGGCAAGGTTTGTGGGTAAGAAAAATTATTGAAATAATGTAGGAATAACTCAAAACCAGAGAAGCCTTTGACTCAGTTCAAAGAGGCTATTAGGAGGAAATTGACTAAAGCTGTACAGACTCTAAGACCTGGGCACTTACATTCCTTTGCATTTCTTGAAGAATGCTTTGAATTCTTGTTCTACTCCTAGGAGGCTCTCGAACTTCAGATACTAATCTCAAAGAGAGTTATGGAGTCCAGAAGACATCAATTCCCTGTGACAAACAGAAAACTAATTTACATTCCTGCTGAAACTCTGTAGATTTTATTTTCTCAGGAAAAAAAAAAAAAAAGATTTGTTTCCAGGTGCTTTCAAGTTGTTGTGATAGAGCTAGAGGTGATGCACAGAAGAATCTCAGATTTTCTCTGCCTTCCAGCTCTGTCATCCAGTAGCTGCAGGATGGCTGTGAAATACTGAACTGCTGTTCTGTCATTTGTAAACTGAAAATGACTAGAATTTCCATGACCGTTCTTTTGAGGATAGAAGTTGGTTACATATGTGGAAACGTTTTGTGCACTTAAGGTACTCCAGAAATCTCAAAGGGCTGAAGGATGCAGCTAAGTGGGAAGGAGGCATAATTCATGCCAACGTCAAGCAGGCTCAGTCAGCCTCTCTGTATGGCATATCCCTTTCCTCCCCACAGCTAGATGATTCCTATTTTCGTTTACAGATGAGCCCAAATGGTTCCCTTCTCTTCCTCTGTTCTCCTGTTACATTCTCTTTGTCTTGGCACGCGTTCACGGTGAAATTACGATAAAGATGAGGGAGATAACAGGTAGCACCATGGAATCAAACAGCCAAGTAGAGTTGGCAGGCAGAAAACATGATGACCACCAAGTCCAGGGTGTCCCATTTTTCCAAAGACTGGGGCCTCTTTCTTTACCATCAGAATATTTTTAAAATCGCCTCATATCTTACTAAAAAAGAAATAAGTATCAAATGCTTAAAATACTCAAATTTCTAAAAATCAGAGAGAAAAAGTACTTTAAGGAGATATGATTTAATCTTTATATAGTCTTAAGGCGAGAAAGGACTTTATAAACAAGGGCATTTTTTTTTTTTTAATTTTAGAATCAGCAGGTACATGTGCAGGTTTGGTATATGGGTATATTGCCTGATGCTGAAATTTGGGCTTCTAATGACCCTGTGACTCAAGTAGTGACCATAATACCAGGTAGGAACATTTTTATCCAGCCCAAAGTGTCAATAGTATTGAGATCAAAATACCCTGTTGTAAATGAATGTTTTCTAAAGTGCCAAATATACAAAAACAAAGGGCCGGATAGATATATTATGGTTCTTATACCTAATGGACCATTTTGCAACAATTAACATGTTAAAGAAATGCATCTATTTATATAGAAAGCTTTTCACAGCATATTTGTTTTAAAAAGCCACTTACAAAGCTTGTGATTTCATTTTTGTTTAACACGGACTTAATAAAATGTACCCACAGCAAGGTGTTTAAGGGATTGTCTCTGTCTTGTTGTGTGTGATTGTAGGTATTATTTTTATTTACTTTCATTGTGCAATTAACTCGAATTGCTTCTCTATTAAGAAAAATAATAATAAAACTAATTATGGTAAGTTTTTGAAAAGTCATGCTATGGATTTACACTTTAGAGTAGTTATAATTTTAGTGTCCATTGATTTAGAAAACACATGACAAGCAGCTATTATTATTTTATTAAATCTTTAAAATACATGTCTTTAGAATAGCAACTACACACATTTGAAATATGCTAGCATATGTATCTGCCAAGAGGTTATTATACTTTCTTGGATTTGTTAAAATAATCGTGGCCACACATAAGCCTGAGGCACATACTATAAGCCATTGATTAACCAGTAAGGTGTCTGCAAACATGAGGCTATATTTTATTTAGTAGCAGTTCATTCCTTCGGCTTTTCCTACTCTTGAAATTGCAATAAGATTGTGTCAGAATGCTGTGTTAATATAATTCTATCAATGGCAAGCCACATTTTTAAAGACTCTTTAAATGAAAAAGTGTAAATAGTATGGAATCCACAATTAACATGGAATCCAGTCCTATTAAATAATTTCATTTAAACTTTCCTCACTTTTTTTTAATCACAACTGAACTGTAAACTTGAAAGAGGATTATGATAATGAAATCATTTTTCCTCTTTTTTAGATGTAATTTTCCCAGAATTCCCATTGACTGCCTTTGAAATAACTTAGTCCATGATGTTGACAAAGCTTTTAAATTTGAAGAAACATCCTTACTTGTACATAGTAACAAAACAATCACTCACTGAAATTATGCTTTGTAAAATATATATTTTTAAATTTCCGGACTCGGTCGTGTATATTCAGGAAATGTAAATTATCTATTAAGACCCACAATCATTTGTGAGATGTTTATATTGTTCTCTGATAGGTATAGATGACATTAATTTCAATAGATGTTCATTCATGCATTCATTCATTTATTTTTTGTTCAGAAAATGTTTATCACTGTGTACTGGACACTGAGAAAATGACAGTGAACAAAATAGACAAAGTCTCTGCCCCCATGGAGATTAAATTCCATTGCATGCTGGTGTCTGGTCATAGGATCTGAATGTCTAGTTAGAAAGGAGGCAGATATGACCAGAATTATTTCAGAACGATATAGTACCTCCTACACCTTTCACCTGGAAAATTAAATATAAGTAAAACAAAGTATTTAACATTTTACTAGGTGGAATCAATGAATGAACCAATGACTGCCATAGAACCATTCCATTTCAAAGCCAGAAGGCACCTTTGAGAATTATTTCATTTTTTTTTTCAATTATTTGCTTTAATCCTTGTTTTTTTGTTAGAATGAAAAAATGAATGTCCAGAAAGTCACAAAGCAGGTTTGAGGCATTGCTGGGAGAAGCCTCCAGCCCCCTATTGGGGTAAGAGTCAGCTGTTCTCTCTAAATTGTCTGGAGAGTTTTATACCCATTGTGCACACCTACAAAGCATGCACAAACCATAGCTGATCATTCTGCAGTTATTCATGTCATAGGAAAATGATTAGCTGTGGTATACCCTTATATGAGGTAGTGAAAATATATTTTACCTTATAATATATTGATTATATATTCACTTCAGGCACTCATCTACCATATATAACACAAAGTTCACTTGAATTATTTGCATTTTGGAAAAGCAAAAAAAAAAAAAAGAAAAAAGTTGAGAGAGTCCTAGATGAAAGTATTCAGGTCCGTCATGCTTCAGCTGTATACCTGCTGAGGTTTTTCACAGGCTCATCATTGCCTAACACATTGAGCTTTACCTAGGAAATAAACTCTTTTTGACTTCTTGTTTGGATTTCAAATAATAAAGGTGAGATGTGAAAACTAAGGGATGAAGCCTTCTGGACCCAGGAACATCTTTGCAGTACAAAGATGCCATCCCCTGGAGTCATGGGTTAAGTCTGGAAGGTAGAGAGCAAAGCATTATCCAGGAGTTCACTGCAAAAATTGTCTCTGTTGAGATAAACTGGTGGAGGGAATAGGATGGCAGAAGTAGTAGTAATGAGGACAAACTTAACTCTTAAGTCATTGATTATTTGGATCAATAAGTATATTGAACAAAATAATTAACTCCCACTTAGCAAAATGTCAAATGGGAAATATTGCAGAAACCTGTAATAGGCTAACAACAATTAAAGAATGAGACAGAAAAAAAAAAAGCAGTCCCATATTTCAGAGTGATCATTGGAAGTTAGACAATTACACGAATATTGCATGAATGGGAAAATGAAAGAGTAAGAAATGGGGCAGCCATGACAGTCATTTATTTTTCTTCTGGACAACCACCTTTTTATCCTGTTGTCTTGGGCAGGTACAACATATGTGCCTGTGGACAGAGGAGTGTTTAAAAGGTAGCATTGAGTTGACATGAGAGGCAGTCTGTTCTTTCCATTTCCTTTCCACTGCTTCAGCATTGCTTACTAAGTAATCTACCGCATTAATTTTTTGAGTAGGTAATTTCCTTTTTCCTCTCTTTAAAAATAATTGTTTATGGCTGTCTTGGTGCCAAAAATATCATAATCCCGTGTTCAGGAAGGAGATTGCCATGAACAGGGACTCTGGACTCCCAAAGATGTTCTCCTGCCCTGTGTCTGGGCTTCCCAATTCTTTACAACCTTGAACTTGGAGAAGGTAGGAAACAAAAGATTTATTAGTTTCAGCCCATTGAATCTCTTCACTTCCAGAACTACACCTTTATTTATTTGCCTTTTTTCCTAAAAATATTTAAAAGTCAATCCTAGTTGTAAATTATTATTTATTTATTTTTTTGAAACAGGGTCTCACTCCGGTTGTCCAGGTTAGAGTGCTATAGCACGATCTCTGCTCACTGCAGCCTCCATCTCCTGGGCTCAGGTGATTCTCCCACCTCAGCCTCCCAAGTAGCTGGGACTGTAGGTGTACTCCACCACACCCAGCTAAGTTTTTGTATTTTTAGTAGAGATGGGATTTTGCTATTTTGCCCAGGCTGGGTCTCAAACTCCTGGACTCGAGTGATCTGCCCACTTTGGCCTCTCAAAGTGGCAGGTGTGAGCCACCATGTCAGGCTGAAAATTGTTTTAAAAGATGTTTGAATTGCTTTTTTGAATAAAAGTGCTTCATCTTCTTTTGAAATTGTGGGTTCTCAATACTAAAGTGTCACTATATCAAGTTATCAATTGCTGTGTAACAAATAACCCCAAAAAACTTAGCAGCATCATGCAACACACGTTCATTATCTCACAGTTTCTGTGGGTCAGGAATCCAGGTAAGACTGAGTTGGGTCCTCAGCTTCAGGGTCTTAAGGTGTAGACTGGGCTGTGGACACCCAGCGTTTGACTGGGAGGGGATCTGCTTCTAAACTCACATAGCTGATAGCAGGATTCAGTTTTTCACAGGTTGTGAGGATGAAAGCTGAAGTTCTTCTCTGTTGGCCAGAGACCATCCTCAGTTCCTTGTCATGGGACCTCTCCAACATGGCAGCTTGCTTCGTCAAAGACAGAAAGACAGAGTGTCTGCTAGCAAGACGGAAGTTATAGCCTTTTATAACCTAACCACAGAAGTAACACCTCTTCACCTTTGCCAGATTCTGTTGGTTAGAAGCACCCTTGTAGGGTGGGGGAATGCCTGGGAGCAGGATGAAGGGATCACTAAGATCCATGTTGGAAATCCACATAGCACAGCCATTTTCTTAATGAGCAGTTCCAGTCTAGGTTTTTAATTTACTCAGAGTAGATTTAAAGTTCTGTATTCATATCCCAGCTGGGCTACTTAATATTATTAGCTCTGTGACCTCGGGTGTATTATTTAACCTCCCCTAAGCCTCACTTTCTTCATTTGTAAACATAAATCTGTAAAAAGAGGATAAAAGCAATGCTCTCTCTTAGAGTTGTTTTGAAAGTTAATTAAATTCTTGCAAAACAGCGTACTGCTGAGAGAATGAAATATTTTCAATTGTCTAAGTTTTTCAGAATGCTGAAAGGCTTATAAACTTGTTTATAAGTAATTTTTAATTTAACATTTTGGTTGAAACATATCTGAAATGCATTACGTAGTGTCTTCCTAAACAGTTTATGCTAATTGAATTGAGCCTTGATAATTTATGACCCTCGTGTAAAATCTAATTATTGCTTTATGCTGATATACAGTGATGTACAGTGGCTTTTGAGATGTTTGAAGTTTTTTCCCTTCTTAAATGGCCCCAAATTGCTCTGACTTTTGAGTCCTTGTTTTTAATTTGTTTTTTCTCTCTTGCTCTAACACTGCTATCAAGTACATTTCATTTTTATCACTGGGCTACATCTAGCGACCCTTCCATCTCCCAAAATTTTGGTTTCTAATTTCTTGTGGACTTAAAATGGAGAGGCAATATGTATAGTGCTTAAGAGCATAAGATAATCCTAGGTGTAAATCCCAGCCCTTCGCACTTGCCACCTGTGGATACTACTCAACTAAGTGCTTAACTAAAAGCATGTAATCCCCCTGTGCCTTAGTGTATATCATCTATGAAATAGGATGCTGTTTTTATTTACAGTAAGTTAGATCCTGCTTATATGATGTGTAATATATGGTAGACGTGATAAAGTCAGCTATTGTTACTTAACAATTTACATAAATAAGTGTGTTAGAATTTTTGAAACGTAAGAAGATACAGGCTGCAAATTTGGCTCTCTTTTTGGACCAAAGTACGTTGGCATCTGTAAAATTTTTGGCGAGTTCCAGGTTATTGGTCTTTTGTTGAGAGACTACATCGAATATAATTTGTGGTAAGTCCCATAGGAATTCCTTTGATGAAAGGAAATCCATAATAGCAATCTCATAATATTACATAGGTTACATAGAATGATTTTCTTTCTCTACATCAGAGCATTATTTTTTATCTTGGTTTTATAGGTTTCTATTCTGAGGAAGGTATTTGAACTCACTTTTGAGTTGAAAACAAAATGCGTGATGTTCAATTTGATCCTCATTAATAACAATTATAAACTGTTTTGGGCAGAGTTATCCAGAGAGAAAGAACCAATAAAAAACATACAGATAGAGCTATATGAGAAGGGATTTATTATGGGAATAGGCTCCTGCAATTATGGTGGCTAGTCCCACAATATGCTATCTGCAAGCTGCAGAGCCAGGAGCACTGGTGATGTAATTTAGTCTGAGTCAAAGGCCTGAGAACCAGGGGAGCAGATGGCATAACTTTTAGCCTAAGGCTGAATGGAGGCCTGAGAACTTAGAGGACTGCTGGTGTAAGCCCCAGAGCCTGAAGGCTCTACAGTTTGGAGTTCTAAGTCTCACAGACAGTTTGAGTCTCACAGACAGACTCAAAAAAGCTTTACTATTTATCTGGGTATCTCCTAGTCCAGTTAAGTTGACATCTAAAATTCCCTATCACATAAACCAAAGATTGAGTATCAATATGTTGTTGGAAAGTGTTTCATAAAATGGAGACTGACCTCATATTTCTGGTTCCATAGATCAGAAGCAGGACAACGTGATGTGAATGGAGAACATTTCCTGTATTTTGACCACAAGATACTATTACTATTTGAATACATATCAATTAGATTAAATGAAAATGCAAGTATAGAGAGATGTGTTTTCTCATCATTTTCTCAAACTGAGATGAGTGTCACCTTTTGGCTAAGAGATAAGCATTGTAGAAGTGAACATTATAAGCAGACAGGTGTAAAGAAGTAAGAAGGGAAAAGGAAATGAGGAAAAGTACAGAGGCCTCTAGGATCCATAAAGGTTAGCGTGTGTGCCCGTGATGAGGAGGGATAGGAGTTAGTACCTCAGAAACTCCGAGGGGGGCTTAAGAACAGGAGCATCAGCCATGAGGCCAGACCAGTTAGTTTCAAATCCCAGCTTTTTCACTTATTAAATGCATGGGCTTGGACAAGTAATTGGCCATCCCTGCATTTTAGTTTCCTCATCTGTGATGAAGGCCACTATAGTGTTCACCCCACAGGGTATTGGGAGCACTGAAATACAAACTGGGAAAATTACTCTTAGTTAGCAGAATGCTGGGCATATTGTAAATTATCTGTGTATTTTGCTGCCTTACCATAATCTAGAGCAGAAGTTTACAAGCTTTTCCTCTAAAGGGCCAGATTGTAAATATTTTAGTCTTTGGAAGCCAAGAGGCAAATTGCAAATATTATGTATCTCCTTACATAATAAGAGATAAGACAAATTTCTACAAATTTTTTATTGGTGAAATTCAACATATAATAATGTAATTAAATAAAATTATTGTATTATAGATCCAGTAATGAGAAGAATGGAATTCTTTTGAGGAGTAGATGACATTTCCCTTAAATGGGATTCAAAGTTACTGTTCTCTAACACCAATTTTTCAAAAAATGTTCATCTGTAAAAACCCTTCTTGGTGCACAGGTGAGCTATATACGAACAGGCAGTGGCAGCCGGATTTGACCTGAGAGCTATGATTTGCTGTCTCCAGAACAGTGGTTCTCAATTTTTCCTTTATGATCTTGGTACTGAGACGTACATGAGTGAACATGGATGACATTCACAAATGTTATGCACTCCCGAGGCCATACCAAGATTTACCCAATCCCCAGCACAGTAGCTGCAACCACACACTTTTGTCTGACAGAAAAGCACATCAAGCAGAGACTTTAGTGTTATAATCAATATAGTAACAAATGCCCAAGATGTGCATCACAACTGAGCATACCTAGCCAGTGTGTTATGACACCAGGTTCTCTGAATATTTCTACTATTCAGAACAAGTCCTCCCATTCACAACCTAAAGTGACAATTCATAGCTGCAAGAAACTTTCTAAAGAAGGAGGTTGTATTGTAGTGCAAGCAAAGGGAGATTCTTTTTTCTCTTTCATGTGCGGGGAATGATAAAATAGAGAGCTGAGCTCTAGGGTAAGTGGCACCATGCTTCCTCCCACCAACAATAATGCCCAGTTGTGTACCAATTGATGGCTCTTTCCTGAGTTCCAGGAGTGTGAATCCATCCATCTGCTGGGAATCTCTGCCTGGATCACCTTCGGGTATCTCAAACTCACACTGTAGTACTGAACTCATCATCAAGCCCCACCCCCAATAGATCTTATATCTGTACCCTGCTCTCCAACCCTACTCTCATTTCCTCATCCAGCCTCTCTCACGTGACCATGCTTACAGTGTACAGCGGCTTCCTGGTTTCAGATAAATCAAGGTTCGTTCCCATAGTCTGTGGGACCTGAACCAACACTCCAGCTTCATCTATATCTGTCTGTCTGTCTGTCTGTCTGTCTATCTACCTACCTACCTACCTACCTACCTACCTAACAGCATCATAGAATTAATTGCCTGGTATTCTCTGCAAACACCATATTGTTTCTTAGCTTCTTCTTTGGTCCTGCTGTCCCCTTTACAGATAATCCTCCCATTCCCCAAATACGGAATGCCTTACATCGGCCTCCTAGCCTTCCATGAAACTTCTTTTCCCTCATCCCAAAGGCAGAGTTTGGGTCTACTCTGTATTTCCAGTATGTCTTAAGCATGAGTTATACCCACTATATTGAATGTAGTAGTGCTTTGGTATCTCTGTCTTCCCACCTGCGCACTGAGAGACTTGAGAACTAGGAGTATGTCTTAATTTTTGTATCCGTAGACAGGGATTCTTATATAAAGAAAGCACCTAGTCAAGGTTTACTGATTTAATTAGCTCTACAGAACTGGCTTACAGCCACTGTGTTTATCTGAGCTTCATCACCACAAGGCAGAGGGAGTGAATATAAGTTAGTAGCCAGGAGCCAGATCTAATATTTAAAAGGCTGCTTTGGAGATTTCATTTCCATTGGCGTGTACAAGTTCATGATTGTTTCGAAATAAAACTTGTTAGGATTTTAAACTTGACTTTCATTATCTCTGGTATATTCTTCTTTAAAACATATTTGCTCTTCCCAAATAGAAAGAGTAATTCATGACTTTCCTATCTACTTATTTTGTCTCAGATTTGATTTTGATTTTTCTCTGTCTTCACGAAACCAACGAAATAATAGGGAGAATAATTGAAGCTTTCTAATCATTAGACTCTAATAAAGAAACTCGATACACTGTAAACCCACCACTACATTCTACCGTGACGAGCAGAACAACCTGAGAAGAATACAGTTTTTTACTCTAAGCAGCCTTGGTTTTCCTTGTCACACCACTAGTAAACAACTCTGTTTTAAAAATCTGTAATTTTCTTTTTTTTTCTGTTTCTTTTTCTTGAACTTTTATTTTAAGTTCCGGGGTACCCGTGCAGGATGTGTAGGTTTGTTTTATAGGCAAACATGTGCCATGGTGATTTGCTGCACATATCAACCCTTCAGCTAGTTATTCAGCCCAGCAGCCATTAGCTATTCTTCCTGATGCTCTCCCTTCTCCTACACTGCCCCCGACAGCCCCCAGTGTGCGTTGTCACGCCCCCATGTGTCCATGCATTCTCATTGTTCAGCTCTCACTTGTAAGTGAGAATATGTGATAAAAAAAAAAAGTCTATAATTTTCATTCAAAAGACTGCCTTAAGCAACTGTGAAACAATTTAACACAATTTTACCTTAAGGTTCATATCCACAGCACATCACAGAATCAAAATTAAGACTGGGCTCATATTTGCTAATCTGGAGATTGTGCCTGTCTGCAGGAGGCATAGTCTTTGCGGTGTGAGGAAGGCTACAGCTCGGTGGAACTGCCTCCCCAAGACCCAGAACCACCATGGGTACTTAGTGTGTACATCTTGATTGTAAATGCCCAGGGCTACTCTAGAGGTAAGGAAAAGTGGAGACAATAAAACCAGCAAACATACATGGAAAGACAAGATGAAACATTTAGAGGTTCATTATAGCAAAAGAAAAATATAAACAATTTCCTGGAGAACTTCTGTTTTTATTCCTTATTTCACGCCTTTGCTAACTAATTTGCTATTATTTTTGACAATCTTTTATTAGTAATATTTATAATAATTAGACTCCAATATCATGAAGCTGGGAAGATAAATATTTGATGACAAAAACAAATGCCCTTGGCAAAGCATACACACAGATTATATTTAAATAAACTTCATGATTGTTCATAAAATGTCTTTAGAACCTAAAACAGGAGGAATGGGTGTGCATTATGGTAAGAAATTTCTTAATAATCACACATTTTTAATACTTTTTGTTATGTTTGCTTCAAGAAAAATTTACTACTTTTGTCATGTAGTAAATTTGTCATGATTTTATCTCTTCAACTTCATAATAATAGTATTTGAAATATATACAATAGATCTCACTGCTTTGGTTAACAAGTCCACAGTTTAGTGTCAGCAGCAGGAATGGTTGTTGTTTGTTTTTACACTGATGTAGAGGGAAATGAATACGTTCAAGTGATGTTGTTTTTTCCCATGTGTTTGGATACCCTACTACTTTACAGGTAGAGTGAATTCTAAAGGCAGGTAGATACCTATCATTTGCCTAAACAGTAACATTGCTGGCTGGGCACGGTGACTCACACCTGTAATCCCAGCACTTTGGGAGGCCGAGGCAGGTGGATCATGAGGTCAGGAGATCGAGACCATCCTGGCTAACACGGTGAAACCCAGTCCCTACTGAAAATACAAAAAATTAGCCTGGCGTGGTGGCAGGCACTTCTTGTCCCAGCTACTCGGGAGGCTGAGACAGGAGAATCGCTTGAATCTGAAAGGTGGAGGTCGCAGTGAGCCGAGATCATGCCACTGCACTCTAGCCTGGGCGACGGAGCGAGACTCTGTCTCAAAAAAAAAAAAGAAAAAAAAGAGTAACACTGCCACTGATATACAAACAGCCTTTCAATAGAAATTTAGTACAGAACCACCAGTGGAAAGAAAAGGTTATTGAAAAGTTTGAGTGGGGGTGAACTGCCTTCTTCTGGGATGGGGCTGGTCATGATAGTACACACAGAGCGTGGTCCACTCATGGTGTGGTGTGTTTCTCCACTAGTGCTGGTCCAGCCAGGGCTCCACTCAGCCCTGCCTCCCTGTGCACAGTGGCCACAGTGCTGTGCAGGCAACAGCTGGGGGATTTGCTATGGACTACACAGTAGAGATGGAGATATACATCAAAGTCTAGAAATGTGGGCATTTTGATTCATTTGACTTCCCTTTCAGGGCACTCAGGGCTCAATTTATCAAAACAACAAACAGTAATTGAGTCAATAAGACATATGCTGTAGGGAAATGTTCCCAGGTATTGATCCAAAATATTGGCATGATATTTACATCTGTTTGCCAAAGTCATACATTGTCCTAATTCCATGAACAGACAGGCAGCAGGGCATAGAGGCACGGAGGCTGCATGGAGATCCCTCACTGCATTGTCCGCTGTCTTCCCACATGGCCTTTGGCACATGGCTCCCCCTGCCACCAGCTGCCTCCTTCTGGGGGAGTGCGAGAAGACTGAAGTTCCAGGAACTGCCCAGTATTCTATTCTGCATTGGAATCCTCTAATAAATAATGCCATATCAATGTAGCTAATTATCATTATTTGAGCATACAACTTGAGTGCATCCATCTGGAACATTCAAAATTGACCCTCTATGGTATGATGAGTGTGTGTGTTGTGGGCAGGAAAATCCTCCATAGGAGAAATCTAGCATTACCCAGGATGAGATGGAGAAATCCTTCACTAATCCATGCGCTACTCATCTGAAGCTTTATTTTCTAGACTTTCTCTTCTGAAGTGTACATTTAGTCCCCATGCAAATGACTGTTAAAGCAAATCAGCAAGAGCAAATCAACAATATAATCCTCCTGGCACCACATGGTAATGTAATTTTTCAATTCAAAATGCACACGCAAAATACTAAAGTAAATGGCTCTGTGGTAACTATATCAAAATAAGAAAAATGTTTCGCTTTAAAAATATGCTATATCTAGACTGGAAGAGGTGAAGCAGATATGACAAATAAATTCAGTAGGATCCTGGATGGGTTTCTGGACACGAAAAAAAAAAACACTGGTGAGCAGTTGGCTAAATTTGAATGAAGATTTGTAGATTTATTAATAATACCATATCAGTGTTATTTTCCCAGTTTTGGGAATCTTACTATCATCATATAATATTTTAACATTTAGGTAAGCAGGCCGAAGGGTATGTGAGACCCGATTGTGCTACCTTTGAAACTTTTTTTGTAAATCTGGAGTTATCTCAAAGTAGAGATAAGAATATTTCATGAATCACAATTTTAATGCCTTATTTATCTTCTGGTAGGTCAGTTTAGAGAATTTTTACAATAGTATTGACTTTTGATTATAATTTAATGATCCATATGGAATCACAGACTATTAAAGCCAGATGGATTTGCTCTGTTGATTGACGGAGGGAGGAAGAAGAAAGCAGTATTTAGCGATTAAGTCACCAGGTGCCAGGCTGCAGCTAACTCTGTTAGTTGTGTCCTGGTGTCCACTTGCCTGTGGTTTCTTGCCATGCAAACCCTGATTTTCCGTAGGGCCCCAGTGTGCCCAGCCTGGGTGATGGATCATCCTGGTCTCTGATTTTCCACTCGCCCTTGCAGCTGGGGAGGGCCATGTCAGCCAGTTCTTGCCAAGAAGATAAAGTGAGAGGATACAAAAAGTATTTCTAGAAAAACTTTGCTTTCCTGATAAAAGGAACAAATGCATCTGGTGCCTCCCTATCCATCCATTTTTACCCACCTTGAATACAGCTATGGTGAGTGGAATTCTGGCAGCCAACTTACGACCGTGAGGCAGAGCCCAAGAAAGCTGCAGAGATGCCAGTGGCGAGGCAATAAACGAACGAGTAGCTACTACCTCCAGACTTTTTCATATGAGATGAATTTAAACTCTTACTAGTTTAAGTCTATGTTACATCTTTTGTTACTTGAAGCCAAAAACATTTCCTGTTGTTTATCCAAGAATTTTACATGAACCATTTCATATTATTCTTGTAGGTATAATTATCATTGTCCTATTATAGAGATTGGGAGGTTGAGGCTTAAGGAGATTAATTCACTTCCCCACCATCATACAGGAATGAGTGGGTCTGGTGTTGGAATCTAAGCATGCCTGGCTCTAATCCCCTTCCTTTCTCGCTACACCACACAGCCTCTGTTTGATTATTTGTACCCATGATGAGGCAGGCACGATGTTAGATTAGGAAACTTGTGCAGAGTTACCAAACTTGGGGTTATATCAAGACAAGATTCCAGTCTTATTTTTATATAGCTCAGCAAGTTAAACCTTTTAACGGAATTTCCACATCTCCAATGCGCTTTGCTCATCCCATCCTCCTGTTAGAGTTAGAACTAGCTTTCTTCCCTGTTTTGCAGTTAAGCCTTCTCTGCGACAAAAGTTATGTGACCAGCCTAAGGTCACAGAGTCGGTCATTGGTGGACCTGAGAAGGGAAGTCAGCTTTTCAGTACCTTTCAAGTCCCTTCTAATGCACAGCATTTGCTTCTACCTTTTCATCCCTCTTAGCTTTTCCCTCACCATACATCTTATTGACACTTTCACTCTTCACTTCTCTGATAAATGTAGCCTTGCCTGCCTTGAAATGGAAATCAAATGGCTCAAAACAGTGGAAGAACGCAGTTCTGAATATTTTTAGTGGGACTCTAGTTTTCATTGCCTTTTTAGTTAGAAAAATATTATCCAGCACAACTTCATTTGTGATATCACTTTATTCAGTACAAACTTATTAAGTCCGTGGTGCCATAAGTATATGTATAGGAAATCTGAGATATAATCATCAGTACCTTGGAGTTTATATTGAAGCTTGGGAAAGGGAGAGATATCAGAATGTTGTAAATGGGATAACCTCTGGCTGGGAATCAGGAAATCTGAATTCCCGGCCAGCTCTGCTTGTAAAAAAGCTGGGTGCTACTCAATGTAGGTATTACTGAGGTACAGTCTGACATAGTACTATTCAAAAATGTTTGCTACCTCTTTGAACCAGACCTTCCCTGGTTCCAAAACCACAGCTATCTGGACTAATAGAAGGTCAAAGGATTAACAGATTTTTTTTTTTTTTTTTTTTTTGAGACAGAGTTTCGCTCTTATTGCTCAGGCTGGAGTGCGATCTTGGCTCACTGAAACTTCCGCCTGCTGGGTTCAAGCAATTCTCCTGCTTCAGCCTCTCAAGTAGCTGGTATTACAGGCGTGTGCCACCACACCTGGCTAATTTTTATATTTTTTTTAGTAGAGACGAAGATTCACCATGTTAATCAGGCTGGTCTGGAACTCCTGACCTCAAGTGATCCACCCGCCTGGGCCTCCCAAAGTGCTGGAATTACAGGCATGAGCCACCGTGCCCAGAAGGATTAACTGACTTTTAATAAAGTAACTATAAGTGATCTAAAAGCCTCAAATAATGGATCAACTGTGCTCCAAAACAACAGGAATATTATAAGTACACATGCTCTAAACAGCTAAACACCTATCTTACCAGCAACATCCACTTCCTCCTCTGCTCCACTTAATGGTGCAGGGTAGTTCAACCTAAGGGAGATGTCAGGCACAGTTTACAGGTGCTCGCATCCCTCATGTTCCTGGAAACTGAACTGTGGAATACTTGATGTGTCAGCAAGAAAGGTGAAGGCAGCTTATAAGATTTCTGAATCATTGTCCAAATTCAATAAAAATCCTCCTTTCTTGGCTAGAGAAGAGACAAAACCCTCTCTTTCCATGGCATAGAAGACAAATAGTTAAAGTAAAAGGCCTTATGTACTCTCATCACTGAAAGGCACCATTGAAATAGCAAGGCTTTGGAGTCAGAGGTTTTACAGTCAGACCCCCTGGTGCAGCCACAGAAGCTATGTCAACTTGGGCTAGTTACTTAGATCTCTAAGTCTATTAAAATGGAAATAATAATACCCTCTTCATGGTGTGATTGCAAGAATTTTTAAAAAATGGCATATATTATATAGCACAGTGACTGGCCAGGCTCAATAAATGATTGGAATTAGTGGAGGGAAGAGCTAATTTTCACTAATCTTCTGCTCACTCTCCTCAAATATCCTCTATTATATCCCTTTTTATTTCCATATTGTTTGTTTCTACCTATAGCTTGACATACAGTCTTTTAGCTCTTCTTACATTCTGTGAAGACCTTAATAGTGACTCAGAGCTATGAAAATTGTGAGACTTTGTTTTTTTTTTTGAGACAGAGTCTTGCTGTGTCACCCAGACTGGAGTGCAGTACTGAGATTGTGGCTCACTTCAGCTTCAACCTCCTGGGCTCAAGCGATCCTCCCTCCTGAGCCTCCCGAGCAGCTAGAACCACAGGTGCACATCACACCTGGCTAATTTTTTTTAAAAGCTTTTGTAGAGGCAAGGTCTTGCTATGTTGCCAAGGCTGGTTGTTTTAAACTCTGAGGCTCAACTGATCCTCCTGCCTTGGCGTCCCCAAATCCTGGGATCACTGACCTGAGCAAACAAGCCTGGCTGTGACCCTTCTTTTCAAGGTCTACTGTGCCTGACATATAAATAGAAAGGAAAGGCCCAGTTAATGTTTTTTAAGTTAATTTACTTGCATTACACTTATTCAATTCCAAGCAATCTTACTGAGTTGGGCCTCACTTTAAAAATTTATTTTAAAAACATTTTCCTGGCCAGGTGTTGTGGCTCATGCCTTTAATCCCAGCACTTTGGGAGGCCGAGACAGGAGGGTTGCTTTAGCCTAGGAGTTCAAGACCAGCCTGGGCAACATAGCAAAACCCCATCTCTACTAAATTTTTTTTTTTAAGTATCTAGTCATGGTGTTGTGTGCATATGGTCCCAGCTACTCAAGGGAGGCTGAGATGGGAGGATCGCTTGAGCCCAGAAGTTTGAGGCTACAGTGATTCGTGACTGTGCCACTGCACTCCAGCCTGGGTGACAGATCTTGTCTCAAAAAAATTTTTTTTCCAAAACTTAGAGAATTTTTTAATAATGGAAGAAATTATCAGTGGCCTAGATGCAATCTACAGAATTCCATACTGGATTGCTGCTGTTTATAATATCGTAGGGAGGGGGCATATAAATGAAGTGTGTGGTTGATATGGTTCTATGTAAACTACTCTACTTGGAACAGGGGGATGAGTGAAAGGAGAATATATTCACTGGATGCCCCGGTCAACTTAAGCAAATGAATAGAAGAAAGGAAAGATCTGGAGAGCATAAATGTTCACTGTGGTTCCATGTTCTTAGATTCCCTTTCCTTCTTTTGCACATGGATCCTATTTACATATATTTTATTACATTTTTTATTACTGCTGTAGCAAATTACCACAAATTTAATGACAAAAAAAAACCCCACAAGCCTCTTTTTTTACAGATCTGGAGGTCAGAAGTCTAAATCAAGGTGTCAGCAGGACTGTTCTCCTCCTGAGGCTTTGAGAGCAGAATCTGTTTCTTTGATTTTTTTTTCAGCTTCCAGAGGCTACCTGTATTCCTTTCCTATGATCCTTTTCTCACCTTGTCATTCAAACTTCTACTACTGACTGACCCTCTTCCTCCCCTCTAACAAATACTTTTGTGATTACATTGGGTCTACCGGGATAATCCAAAATAACTTTCTCCTCTCAATACTCTTAACTTGATCTACACGTTCCATTTTACCAGGGGAAGAAGCATATTCCCAAGTTTCAGGAATTCAGACATAGACATCTTTGGTGGAGGGTGGGGGGGCTACCATATATATTGATGTAGATATGGTTTTATGTTTTAGATTGTACTGCCTCCCTATGAGTTTCTGTTTTCCTGGCTATGGCCTTGGTCCTCAGAATCTGTTCCCATCTTTGAGAATCCCACCTTTGAGAGTGGCATATTCCCACCATAATATGGACTCCAGATTTCTGTCCTGTCCTGATAAATTGGTCAGTCCATTGTTTTGCTAAGGGTGTGCCACTTTAATGAAACCATATTAACCTGATTGAAGAAGAATCTTGATATAAGCTTAAAATTAAAACAATAATAGTTTAATAATGGCACAAACTAATTTCAAAGTAGTTAGAGCGACAGTTTTTCCTTGCCTTTTCTGATTCTCACTCTTGAATTTGGAGGTGAAAGTGGGTGCATCTTTGGTTGTTGTCCGTGGTCCTGAACTATCCCAGATACTAAGGTTGTTTCTCTTGACCCCTGAGACACCAGGAACTGCTGTTCAGTTTCTCTGTCTTGTTTAGAAATTCCAAAGTAGGTGAGAAAAGTAGATAAGTCTGTGAACAGAGCTTAGTGCCTGAGCATTAAATGGATACAGACTGTTGGAAAGGCATAGCCCTTGACAGATCACCAGGTAGAAAACAGAAAACATTTCTGACATGATTTTTAAATAATTGAAACTGTAAAAACATTTCACAGTTTACCATGTTGTAAACATCAAACAGCTAAGCAGCATAGGAAATGTGTGCATTGAACAGTGCAAAGGATGTGCAACCAAAACACAAGCATTGAGCAAGAAAGATAGGGAAGATGTAGTAATAAAAGGATCATTATTAGTTGAATAGCAGAAAAACATTTAGAGTTGGGTTTTTTGTTATTTGCTGGAAAATACTACCTAATGTAATTTATTACTGTATTTTTATGTCATACATTTTTGACAGTTCTGTCATGTTTTTGGAAGTTAGTGTCACTGTCTACTCCTACCCCACCATATACACACACACACACACACAAATACCATCACCACACATCATGGGAAGCTGGTGGGGAATATGCCATTTCATTAATTTCTCCCCAAGCTTCATCCCACCCCATGAAACACAGACCATACTTTTGATACCTGCCCATATCTTTAGTATTTATTATGCATTAGCTCTTCATTTTCTAAGGGATGGAATGGAATGGGAATTAGGAATGGATTTGGGGTATCAGATGTCAGTGATTTACATAATCATGTAGGAAAAACTACAGATTTCACCAAAACCAGTGATTACACATTATTGTTTCAGCTAATTCAGAATTTCAATGAGGCATGAGAATGGAATATGGGCCAGGAATGTCTGCTGCACATATTTTTGATAATTAAAAACGAGGATAGCAGTCTTTTTACATGTTGATAAGGTTAATCAAGGCAACGTCATTGCAGTTGTCAAAAAATCCTGATTATTCTCCTGCACTCCATTCATTGTGAATCTTTGCTTTGAACACAGGGGAGCTTCTGGACCTACAGGTACAACTATAATCTGATTATGTGTTTTTCTACTTGAAGAGACTACGTTTTTAACTAGTAAGGCTTAAGACAGATTTCAGTTTTTATTAATTCTCAAGATTAAGAACAGATAGCGGCAACATGTCATGAGTTTCATTAATGCAAAATGGGAACCAAAGTTTTGTTCTTATTTTTAAAAATAATAGTGATAATAATAATATAACTAGGCAGTAAATAAATAAAAAATCTGAATCCAGAGCCCTTTGTTAAGTAAAACATAACAGAAAGAAATCAGGGTAGATGCCGGCCAACATTCGGATTAATAAAGTGTGAACGTACCACTCTTGCATGCAGATTAGCAAGAATTAGCAATCATATAGATGAGTATAGTAAGTTTTAACCTATTTGCTGTTACCCTCCCAAATCCTATTTTGCTCAGGGCACACCTCCATTTTACAACTAGTTAATAAAGAATACTATAATTTAAAGTTCATGTTTCTATGGTAACAACCAATTATAAATGCAATCTGAAGAGATGGAAGGAAGCTGCCAAAACTCTTAAGGAAAAAAAACATGATCTGGGTTGGCAACCCACAAGAAATGTTGCTTGATAAGGGCTTTTGCCAGCTTCCCCTAGCATTGGCCTGCAAGTTTATATCTGAACAAACATCTTGCACCCATTTTCTAAGCACTGCATCTGTAATACATTCTAAAAGGATAATTGTGTCTGGGGCTCAACATATGTGATGGTGAGGCAGGAAAAAATTCGCACTTTTTTTGGTATAATTTCTCGCATATGTTTCTTATAACTTCATGGCACTAACATCAACACTAGAGAGAGAAAAGAACCTTAAGTGGGCTAGCTTTTTTCAGAAGCATATTCCTAAGTTTTACCTTAAATATTCTTATGTTCATTGTTTATACATAACAATGGATAATGGTAACATTTATGGAGATAATAATTATAGAACTTAAATAAAATGTTAGCCATCAATTGGGAGTTTTAATGTTTAACATATGTATACCTGATTACATATATATCTTAATATAACACTGTGATTACATATGTATCTTAATATCTTCTTCTTAATCACTCTGTATATGATTGTGCTTTGTTTTCAGGAAGCTCAATATGCACACATAAGGCATTTCCAAAATAGATGAATTAAATTGAAGATAATTCATGTTAAAATATATTTCACATTCATTATTCCATGCATCTTATTAACAACCTAGGGAGAGAGGATGTTTTCATTTCCATTTTACATATAAAGAAACTGAGAAATGGAAAAGTTAAGGACTTACTGAAAGTCACACATTGTTAGTAGTGGAACTAGGGGCAAACCCCCACCTTGGACCTCTAGATCCAGCATTGTTTTCACTCTACAATATGACTCCTCCACTAGCTCAAAATTAAATACACCTGGATATCAAGCTTTATTATATCAAATAATGTAGCATTTGAATCTTAACTCCAAAAAGTGTTTATGCTTGAAACTAACCAATTGGTAATATATGGATAACGTATTCCCTATCATCTACCTGTGTCTTTCTCTTAGTTGTAGTTAAGTGACTGGAAGGCAAAAGAGTGAAATTGACAATGATGGAAATCACATTTAATTAGCATGAAATGGTAAGCAGCTGCTATGTTCAAATCTTCCTGTTATGAGATTGTCAGACTTATAAAATATTATCCACATGGCGCAGTTTTGAACAGTGAAAGAGAAGTTGAATCAAAATTTAAAAGCTCAGTGCATAGAAATTTTGGGTCCTAGGAGACACACAAGAATTTCCCTTTTAAGGAAATTGGCTACGTATTGTTTGCAAACCCCTATTCTGGTAAAAAAAAAAAAAAAAAAAAAAAAAAGTAAATTCCAGTTCCAAGGTTGAATAACTTTTTTCTTAGATTAGAATGGTACTCATTTGAGCAAAAAGCACTACTATTACATGTGATCTAGGACAATACTAATTTATCTTCTCTCTGGCCATATTGAGGAAAGTGGAAAACAAATCACACAGTCCCACTCTCCACATGAACGCCAGCAATCAGCTAAACATAATAAACCTGCAAGAGAATATTTTTATATTATCAAATTTGTTTATTTCCCAAAATATGTATTTTGGAAAAAGGTATGTATTTTGGTTACCTATATTCAAAATTAGTCAGAATTCATAAGAGCTATCAACAAATAACTTAAGCACATTTCCTCTATTTTATACCTCATTAATGGGAAGACATCATGGTATAAAGTAAATTCGTGGGTATCTAAGATGCTCAGAAAATGTATACTTTCTCTATAATAAGGTATCATCAAAGGCTGTTTCTACTTAAAGTCCTGTTGCATTTTGAACTCCCCCTTTCAAATATTTTTCACTTTCTTTAAATCCCCAACTTTGTTCCTATCTAAAGATATGACTCCATCTCTTATTTTACTGAGAGAATGGACTCCATCCTTTCTATCTCAAATTTCCTGCTCCTCAACATCTCTGGCTTGGGGCCTTCGTTCTCTTCATTTGTGGTACCATAGTTCTCAACGCTGGGTGCACAATTAAATAAAAACCTGGAGAGCTTTGAAAACAAATACTGTTGCCTAGGCACCCTCTAGACTAATTAGTTAAGAATATGGTTTGAGGACCACTGACCTGATCTTTTCCCCTAAAAGAAATCCAGTTATTCACCTGTGGTCAAGGTCCTAAGTGAGAAGGCATTGATTCACCACTCTTTCTCATCTCCATCGTTTTTCTTTTCCACTTTTTCTCATGCTACCAAGCAGCTCATTTCATCACATCCTCAAAAATCAGTCCAAGAAGGATCTTTAAAGGGAGAGAGAATCCCCCTTCATAGAACACAGGTAGTTGCCGATGCTCCCGCTAGCTTTCTTATCCAGTTGCAATGGCTTAACAAAGCCATACTTCCAGAAGCCAAATAAAACCAAAGATACATTAGCTGGAAATAAAAAATGATCATGAAATTGATCATGAAAGGATAATCTTGCTAGGGATAATGTGTTTAATAGCAGAGCACCTTCTCTCAAGATAAAAAACGTGGTTTCTTACTACATTTATGTGATAGGAGATTCACTGTAAGAAATTATCTTTAGTCAACTTTGTTGCTTTTCTCTTAGCTAGTGAATAAAAACCTTATTTACTGATAATTGTCATTACAGTAGATGACATATACGCTTAGGATGGGTATTTCATCTTGAGCAGAGTAGACAAGCCATGCCATTAAACATGTAAAAGAGTGGCTTTAAAAAAAGTGGATCTCATGGAGTTGGAGAGTTTCAGAATGGTGGTTACCAGAGGCTGGGAAGGGAGGTGAGGAAGGAGGGATGAAGGTAAGTTAGTTAAGGAGCACAAAAATAGTTAGATAGAAGGAAAAAGTTCTAGTACTTAATAGGACAGTAGAAAATTTATAGTTAAATATAATTTATTATATATTTCAAGGTAGCTAGAATAAGAATTGTAATGTTCCAAAGATAAAGAAAATGTTTGAAGTAATGACTATTCCAGTTACCCTAATTTGATCATTACATATTGTATACATGTATTGAAATATCACATGTACCCCAAAATATGTACAACTAGAGTACATAAATGAAATTTTTTAAAAAGCTATCAAAAAAAGAAATGGAAAAGAGTGACTTAGCAGCAGTTATTATCTTGTCTCCAAGAGGTGACTTTTCAGAGTTGTGGTTCGGTTCACAGTCATTGGTTTCCATGCCTTTCCGAGTTCTAAGGAAAATCAGCCGTGGCCCATTAAAAAACCCTTCATATCACTTTGATAAAATTTTACATGGATTAAAATAATTTTGAGCATATTTTTAGGCAGTTTAAAGTCTTTTAGATACAGTCAGCAAATTAATGGCAATATAGTAAGTTTTTGATTTATAGCTTTGGCCTAAAAGTCGTCATGGAAAATCTATTCTGTGGCAGAACTCAATGAGCACTTTATTTCAAAAAGCAATTTCATTTTGAAGATAGAACCACTTACTCTTGGAATACTTGTTTTTCAGCAAAGATTTCTGAAATTTCCGTTTATCACTCTGCTCTCTCCAAACCTAATCACCTTTACCTCATTCCAGATGTCCGACTTGTGTTTGTCAAAAATGGATTTGAAAACTAATTGCCACATCATGTGGGTATTGAATATGTTAAGTGATTTCTCTTTGGCCAGTCCTCCTTTGAAACATGGAGGGGCAAAGGAAGTCTGAGTCTACAAAGGGAGCTGAAGGGGAAGGGCAGTAACTGGATCACAGTTTGCACGGCTGTGTCTATATATTTTTTTCACTAAGAAAAGAGCAAGATTAGTGGTAAATATCCAGTATATAATCATTCATTTGAAGTAAAGGGCTAAAAGTTGCCTATGGCAGCTTGTTTACATTTAGTGAACTGAAGGAAACCATATTTGTGTTACTGGAAGGAACCCCAGGTAGCACCCAGAAAAAAGAAAAGCAAACCAAAAAACCCCACTATACATATATATTTTTTTACTTTGCAAGCTGATCAAACTCCACCAAGTCAGAATATGTCATAATTTGAATTGGAATTGCCCAAAGATTACTGACTGTATTTTGGGAGGTGGGAAAAAACAGAAAACAATTTGTTAGGTAAATTTGACCCATAAACCAATTTCAAGGCTATTAAGAATTAGGAATGGATTTTAGTGGCTTGACACAGCCATATTGTTTAGTCAACAGGCACTTCTAAGATATGAGCTCAGGGAGTCCTGTGTGCTTGTCAAAGCAAGTGGAGTAAAGGTTCTGGGAACCTCTGGGAATGGTTGGAATTCTCTACAGAAAATTAAGATGATGTTTAAATTCAGCCTTTTCAAAAACTTTACCCTTTACTCAACCTAAATTAATGCAGTTTTACTATTCTGAAGAATTAAGTACAGAAATGTGTGACCTGAGAGTTAGCATGCAAATAAACAAACCAGAGCAGGCATTGAGTCAGATATTTGGCCACCACCAAAAGCTGGGTTTGCCTTTGCTGTGCCACACCACACAGCCAGGAAAATTCTGTTCTTTCTGGTGCAGAAGGCTCTAAAGAGGAGGAGAACTCTGATTCCATTTATCTTGATATTCTAATTGTAAAGTTTGTGATCTCATTATCACTGCCTTAAACTTCTTGGCCAGTCGCTATTTCTAAGATATGCTGTGGATGCAGTTGTGACAGTGATTCCCAAGGCCCTCTGCTATCATCTCTCTTCCCGGTACCACAATGGTCCCGTTTGAGGAAGAAGACAGAGGACATGAGGATGGATTTGTCCAATAGAAATTGGAACTTAGAGTTTACTTGTCATGCTTGAATATGTTAAGGGAGGTTTTACTGCTCTAAAGGATAAATAGAAAAATAATTGGAAAATTGAAGCAAGTGATAACGAGAGAGAAATTTTTAAAACGTTCAAAAAGTAAGAAGCAGTCATGGTACACCACAGTTTTATTTATGAGTAAGACTTGCATGCCATTGGATGTTAGTTTAACCATCCCCACCCCCAAGAAAAAAAGGTCTAAGTACATTGGGAGGATGGGGAAAGGAGAAATTGTGTGAGTGTGTGTGTGTGTGTGCGCGCGCGTGTGTGTGTGTGTTGAGTGTGTAGTATAAGAGTAAAATAGTATATTCAGTAGTAAGAAGCCAGTGTCAGTGCCTGATATTGAGAAATAGAGAAGTACTTTCTGAGCATGTTCTTTAGAGGTGAATCTGGAGATTTCTTTAGAAGAGTTTCAAGTGGCTGCCTCTGGGGAGAAAAGGGAGCATTCAAGCTTTTAAAGTATTTGCACCATAGTTTGATTTTTTTAATAAAAAGTACTTTAAATGTAAATGAGAAACCAGGAAGTGGAAGCAATATGCATAGCTAGACCTCTCTTGATAAGTATTGCTATAAAGGAGAGTGTAAAACTGGGGCAGATGTTGAAGAGAGCTGAGGAGTTGAGAGAAGACCTTTTCAACTTTTTTAAAAAATATATACTTTAAGTTCTGGGATACATGTGCAGAACGTGCAGGTTTTTTACATAGATATACATGTGCCATGGTGGTTTGCTGCACCTATCAACCCGTCATCTACATTAGGTATTTCTCGTAATGCTATTCCTCCCCTTGCCACCCACCCACTGACAGGCCCCTGGTGTATGATGTTCCCCTTCCTGTGCCCGTATGTTCTCTTTGTTAAACTCCCACTTATTAGTGAAAACATGCAGTGTTTGGTTTTCTGCTCCTTTGTTAGTTTGCTGAGAATGAGGGTTTCCAGCTTCATCCATGTCCCTGCAAAGGACATGAACCTATTTTTTATGGCTGCATAGTATTCCATGGTGTGTATGTGCCACATTTTCTTTATCAAGTCTAACATTGATAGGCATTTGGTTTTTTCCAAGTCTTTGCTATTGTGAATAGTGCTGCAATAAACATGTGTGTGCATGTGTCTTTAGAGTAGAATGATTTATAATCCTTTGGGTATATACCCAGTAATGAGATTGCTGGGCCAAATGGTATTTCTAGTTCCAGATCCTTGAGGAATTGCCACAGTGTCTTCCACAATGGTTGAATTAATTTACACTCCCACCAACAGTGTAAAATTGTTCCTATTTCTCCACATCCTCTCCAGCATCTCGTTTCCTGACTTTTTAACAATCGCCATTCTAACTGGTGTGAGATGGTATCTCATTGTGGTTTTGATTTGCACTTCTCTAATGACCAGTGATGATGAGCCTTTTTTCATATGTTTGTTGTTTTCTTAAGTGAGGAGCTTAAAGATGGTGTTTCTTGGTGACAGGAAGGAAGAGTGTAAGTGGAGCTATTGATAACGCAGGAGTGACAGAGAAAGATCTAAGGAGCAACCTTTTTGAGACAGTAAGGAGGGATGAAATCCACAGCCCAAGTGAAGGCATTTTCTTGTGAAAAGTTGAGGAATATTTTCTCCATTTTAATAGCCGAGGTTGGGATTGTGGGGGTGGCCAAAGGGTGGGAGATGTTTGAGGAGAAAGGGCACAAATAGTGGAAAAGTAAATCTAGGAAATGAATTTTCCTAAATTTATTTAGTAGAATGGCCAGGCCATTTGAGACTTTATTTGACAGTTGCAATAATAAATATAAAGTGACACCAAACAGCTGTGTGATTTTCTCCAGCAACACCAACTGGCCAATGTGCAAGCAGAGAGCGGGTAGGAAGTTGGAGCTATGAAATTTGGGGGTTTGACAGGTGAACCCACAGCAGAAGAGAGAAGCAACGAAGTTGAAGATTTTTGCATGAGAACGACTGTGATGGTGGGCGTGGAAGGTAGGTTGGAAAAAGAGGAACTGAACACGGGTGGTGGAGAAATAGTGAGAAAGTGGCAGGGTGAAGACCTGAGAATGTCAGCAGCAATGAAGAATGGGAACCATGGCACTGTCATAATTTCCGGCAAGTGCACTGGGCAGCTAGGAGGGGAGGCAGGGACCTGCATGGTGCAGTTCCTGGAAATGAGAAGGTCCTGGGTGTGACACTGAGACGAGATGCCTAAGGCAGAGTGGAAAAAAGGGCTGTCGAAGGTGACATCAAGGTCAGGACACTGGATATTGACATGTTAGAGAATGATCATTGTAAGCCACCCATGAATGAGATAACCAACATGACAGCAATGAGGAGGAGAGAGGGTGATATAAATGGTGCATCAGAGCCTCAAAGGAGTAAGACACTGCAAAAACAAGGAGAATAGGAGGTCAGAAGGAGTAGCAAGAAAACCAAGGAGGGTACCTATCAAACCCCAAGCCCTGAGGTTCAGGGGATACCCAAGAAAATACATTGCTCCTGGAGAGGGCTGTAGAGGAATGAGTGTGCTCAGAGGACAGGTCTCAGTTAAGGTGTAGAGGTGAAGGGAGCATTCAGAGAAATAGTTAGGGAAGTAAGGATGGGTGCTGGATTATTGATATTATTGATTGAGAGCACCAGAAAGCATAATGGGAAGGCTTAGAGAGGAAAAGAATGGAGTTTTGGATCAGGATGTAGATGTATGGGAATGGGAATGAGGGCTCTCACAGATCTCACAGGAAACTTGCACTTTTGGCAATGGGCCAGGTAAACATGGATGTGGGGCATGATGAATGACTTCTGAGAGTTTCCTATCAGCAGGTGAGCACTCAGGTCTAGCATGGTGGCCCCAATGAGTGAGCTTGGTGATGTGGCAGTGACTGTTTCCCTGGCAGCCTATGTTGCAGTAGTTCTGGGTGGCCACATTCTCTGTCTCTCACAGTAGTTATTACCATTGCTTTGGTCAAGATTATCTTAAAGAGTATAGTAGTGTAGTGCTTCATGAACATGAGAGGAAGGGCTATCACAACTCTTGTTGGTCACCTGGGGCAAGTCAGGCAACTCTGTGAGTATCAGATTCCCCATTAGACAAAAAAAAATTAGCCCTGTAGGTCCTCTTCAGGTTTGAATTTTTGTTATTATGACGTTAAATATATGCTGTTAGGTTTGTAGCATTTTTAAGTGAAGGATTTGGGCCCATATTACATGGAGATGTTTACTGAAATTGGATTTATAAAGAAGCACATTTGCTGAACTTCCATTTTTGACAGATGTATTATGTTGAAATTAATAATTTAGAGAATATGTAAGAATATTGATATGGTTTGGATATTTGTCCTGCCCAAATCTCACGTTGAAATGTAATCCCCAGTGTTAGAGATGAGGCCTGGTGGGAGGTGGGTCGGGGGGCGGGGATCCCTCATGGCTTGATGCTGTCACTTCATGAGACAGGGGTTGAGTTCTCAAGAGATCCCATTGCTTAAAAGTGTGTGGCATCTCCCCACCCCCCTGCTCCTGCTCTCACCATGTAACATGCCAGATCCTGCTTCACCTTCTGCTGTGTGTAAAAGCTCCCTGAGGCCTCCTAGAAGCCGAGCAGATGCTGGCACCATGCTTGTACAGCCTGCAGAACCATGAGCCAATTAAACCTCTTCTTTATAAATGACCCAGTCTCAGATATTTCTTTATAGCAGTGCAATAACAACCTAGCACACACACGCACAAACACAAAATTAGCTTCTATTTCACTAGCACAAGATTCTACGTGTGTGTATGTGTTCATATGTCACTGCCATCATTTTTAAAGGTATTCCTTTTCTTTTGTGTCTCCATTCATCTGAGGGTTGGGTGTAGCTATCATGAATCAGGTCTATACTGCAGCCTAGGGCATGATGAGCCAAACTTCTGTCTAACTAGCACGAGACTCTGTGCAGTTATCAGAATTTCAGAAAAACAGCTTATGATTACAAGGTTAAAAAGAATCACTGCTTGGCCTTCATAACTTCCCATTGCCACATGTATACATACATTGCGTGCTCTGCATCGCTCTGACCAAACGGCTGTCGAGGCAACACAGGAAGCGAGTGAAGCTGGGAGTGATCTCCTGCAGCAGGTCTTCAGAAGACCTATTTTCTCTTGTAGAGGTTTCAGGGGCACTTGGTTAATGTGACCATGATACACATTCACGTGTGCACACCTACACACAGTCACACACACCCCACTGTGGACATCTCACAATATAGGACAGGCTTTCAGCAACAACTGGGTCACCTTTGCACCCAGTTGGTGGTTATAAACTCAGACAAGATACTTTGAAGTGTTTTATACACGGAAGAAGAGGGCAATAGTAGGAGAATAGTGCCTTCGCCCTTTCTGTGCTTTCAAGCATGTAAGCCAATCACCTCCCTCCTCCATCCCCAATTAAAGGAAAAAAATTAGCCCCATACATGGATGCTTGAATTCTCTTAATATTAAAAGTCACATGTGTGATGTAAATAAGATGAAAAGCAGTGTGGATTACCCCATTAGAAACGGAGATGAACTAGCAGCTGGTTGCATGAACGTATCAAAGAGCCTACTGTCCCAGTGATAATTCTTGGACAAAGCAGTTAGGACATTTTCCATCAAATCCTTTTAAGCCCCCTCGCAGTTCAGTTGCATCTGGCACGCATTGTGCCTGTTGTCTGCTATAACTTTGCAACACAGTGAAATCCCCGGCTTTGACTGCAGCAGCATGTGGCTCTGAGTGGCATCTGTAAAGCAATGGCACTTCTTAATTTTCATAATAAACAGAAAATACTTTATGAACAGTATTCAAATTGGAATGGCTCCATTTATCTAATTGGGCTAGACTGTCATCATAAAGTGAGTCCTTGAGCAGAAAAAAGCAACACACAAAAATGGCTTCTGCTGGTGACCTAATTTTCTAAATCATTTTTTCTGCTAGTGCAAGTGCTACTAAATATATTGGGTCATCACAAGTTCCACACTCCAGGATAGGCGTTTCTACCGGTGGGTGAATTCTCAGTAATCATTGTACTGTTTTGAAATTAAAATTAGATGGCATTAGAGAGCGTTGGTGAGGGGGGTGTTTCCTCCTTCCCTCCCTCCCTCCCTTCTTTCATTCCTCCACAGAACAAAATAAAAGTGAAATATAGAACTTGCCATGATTGGGAAACCAGTAGGTAGAACTGGAATTCAACCTAGGTCTACCACTGCCTGGATTTCACTTAAGAAATTTTAGAGTATCATTGTTCATTATATTTTTTGATGTTTTCTACTTCTTTCATTGCCTGTTTCCTGGCAGAAATGTCCTGAGAGTATTCAAAACCCTGTCAGTCCTTGATATACTTGCAGTGCCAACTGCCTGTTCTTTTCTGGGAGGCTCATTCAATGTAGAATAAAGTAAATTGGCAGAAATGTAATAGTACACCAGGGAGGGATTGTGGTTTAACATGAGTTTGATATAGTTAGTAAAAAGTGAATTAGAATAGTTTGTAGATACTTTTAAACCTGTGCTCAAAGGTATTATTTGATTAAATTTAATAAAAAAATTAATTACTTAGTATGTATAATACGTAATGGACTTACAGGTACGGGTGGATGCAAAGATGGGTGTAATGAGTGAACGACGCCTCTTCCTTCCAAAGTCATGTCCATAGTCTCATCACCAGAATCCATGACTGTGACCTGATTTGCAAAAAGATTATTTACAGATGAAATTAAATAAAGGATCTCAAAATGAGATCATCTTGGATTATCCAAGTGGGCCCTAAATCCAGTGATGTGTGTCCTTATGAGACCCACACAGAGGAGAAACACATGGAAGAGAAATCTATGTGAAGACAGAGGCAGAGATCAGAGTGATGCAGCCACAAATCAAGGAACAGCTGGGGCCACCAGCAGCTGGAAGAGGCCAGGATGGATTCTTCCCTAGAGCCTTCCCAGGGAGTGCCGCCCCACCTTGACTCCAGACTTCCGGCCCCCGGAAACTGTGAGAGAGTACATTTCTGTTGTTTTTAAGGCACCAAGCTCGATATAATTTGTTATGGCAGCCCTAGAAAATTAACAAAGTAAGTAAAATCAGTCGGCATTGAAGAGCTTGTAATATATGATATGTGACAAACTGCACATGCTGAAGTGAAAGTATTAAAAATATAGACGTGAAGGGGAATTAATTTCAAACAGAGCTGCCTGGAAAGGTCTTTTAAGGAGGTATGCCTTGATCAGGGCTTTAAAGAAGATGAAGGCAAGCCGTGCAGAGATGGGCCAGGAGGAGATTTCAGGGAGGTCAGCAGAGCCATGACAGAGGAGGATTCAGGGATACTATTGGAGTGAATCTAGTTCTGAGAAAGGAGAAGGTAAGATCAAAACAAAGTCTAATATCACAAGAAGTTTGATTGTGGTCAGAAATACAGAGAGCCTGAATTCAGTCAAATAGAGAGGTACTCTGTTGTTAGCTTTAAATTATGGAGAAACCTACTCTTTCCATCTTCCTCCATCTAAAATTACATTTAAGAGATGGGTTCCTGAGGAATTACTGCAAGGAAAGAAATTAAATTTAGAGAGGAAAGAAATAATTTCAGGGATGTTCTGAAAACTCTATAATGCCTTGGACATGCCCTGGTTTGTAGTATTTAACATGTGGTCGTTTCTATTTATGTGACTGTCTTCATTAAATGCATCCTGTCTTAATTTCCTAGGGCTGTCACAACATATTACCAGCAACTGGGTGACTTACCATGATAGAAATGTATTTCTCACAGTTCTAGAGGCTGGAGGTCTGAACTAAAAATGTCAACAGTGCTGTGCTCCCTTTGAATGCTCTAGAGGAGATCTCTGCTGCTTCCTGGCTTCTGGTGGCTCCTGGCAATTTATGGCGTTCCTTGACTTGCAGACCCTTACTCCAATCTCTGTCTCTGTCTGCACATGGCCTTCTTCCCGGTGTGTCTCTGTGTCCTCTCCTCTTCTTCTTAGAACACCTTTTATTGGATGGAGGGCCCAACGCAATGGAGTATGTCCTCATCTCAAGCTAACTAATTATATCTGCAAAGATTCTGTTTCCAAAGAAGGTCGCATCCTGAGGCTCTGGGTGGACATGAATTTTGGGGGAGCACTATTCAACCCACCACTTAGCCGGTTTATGTTTTAACCCATAGAGCCTAGCCTGGAATTTGACATAAAATTGTAACCTCTCAATTTTTGCTGAATACAGAAGTGGATCTGCAGTGCCCATGAATGATGTGGCATTGCTAAAAAATAAAACATGGGAGAGAAAACAACGGAAGAAAAGGGAATTGGGAAAGAGAAAAGAAGCATCTCAAATTTTGCTGGGAGATATAAATCCAAAGTTTGTGTCAGGGCCTATAAGGGCTTATTAGATTTGGTCTCAGCCTGCCTCCACCTCCTTGAACCTTAACCTTCTTCCAGCTTCTGTAGGTCCTATGCCCTTTGCTGGAAACATCACTCTCCCCATTCTGTACGTCACTCACTCCAACATTCTTCAGCTCCTGGCTTCAAGGGCACCTCTTTTTTTTTTTCTTTGACGGAGTCTCGCTCTGTCACCAGACTGGCAACAGATCTTGGCTCACTGCAAACTCTGCCTCCTGGCTTCAAATGATTCTCCTGCCTCAGCCTCCCAAGTAGCTGGGACTACAGGCATGCACCACCACACCCAGCTAAGTTTTGTATTTTTTTTTTTTTTTTTGAAGGAGTCTTGCTCTGTCGCCCAGCTGGAGTACAGTGGTGTGATCTCGGCTCACTGCAAGCTCCGCCTCCCGGGTTCATGCCATTCTCCTGCCTCAGCCTCCAGAGTATCTGGGACTACAGGTGCCCGCCACCGCGCCCAGCTAATTTTTTGTATTTTTAATAGAGGCGGGATTTCACGGTGTTGGCCAGGGTTGTCTCTATCTCCTGACCTCGTGAACCACCCACCTTGGCCTCCCAAAGTGCTGGGATTACAAGAATGAGCCACCATGCCCAGCCAATGGCACCTCTTTAAAAAGGTGACATCTCTGCCAGTGCTCTACAAGACCTCATATCTTTTTTTTTGTTGTTGTTAGCAGCCATCAGAGTTTGGAATAATGTTTTTAATAATATAGTCATTTTTATGTCTCACCCTCTGCCAGACCAGCAGTTACGTGAAGATATGCTCACTGCAGTCTTTCCAGCCAGGGTGTTTGATAGGTCCTTCCGAATAACAGACTTTCAGATAGTTTAAGACTATTACCGTGTCTAACCTCAGGCTTTTTCCACCTGCACAGCCCACCTGCCCTTTGAGGCAACCCCATCCTCTTCTCCACCCCATGTCTGCTGAGCATAAAGGCAAAGCACAGACACAGGGCAGCGTTCAAGGCAGTCACCCACGACCACACAGGCTGGTGTTCAGGCTGTTTGTGCTCTGATTCCATCATTTGTGAACTCCTGACTCTACCTTGAGATCACAGCTTTGCACCCTCCTGTAGGCTTGCACTTTCCCCATCCTGCAAGGCTCTCCAGTTCTCTGTAGACCCCAGTGTAACCCACTCCTTTGGTTCCAATCTTCTTCCCATCACTTCAATTTGGAGCCAGTTCCCTGACTCTGTTCCTATGGCTGTGGCCAGCTCTGGGGCAGATAGTGTGGGAGGCAGAGTGGACCAGGGGTGCTGTAGGAAGATCATCACACCAGGCTATGAATTGCTTCCCTGGGCTGATGACTCACCTCTCAACGAAGGCCTTCTAAAGCACGATGCTTACAATAAAATGCGTGTGACCTGCCTGGGTGAATTAGTGAGGGGCAGATTCTGGACCTTGAATTTGCCCTGATGCTGCATAGGCCCCCGTGGCCAGATCTTCCAACACTGCTTGTTCCTATTTAGTTTACCTTCCACTAAAACCTCCAAAATCATTTCCACACTGATGCTAAATTATAATTCTCCCCAAACTCATGAAGCTAGGTATTTTTAAGTATACAACCTGATTTCAAAATTTAACCCTACTAAATTTTATGTTGTTACAGTCAATCTATCCTTGCAGTAAGCTGAGATTGCTGTACATGATTTTTAAAGAAAATACTAGAGTCTATCTAGTTATAAGGATGCTGGTGTCTCTTAGGTAGATGGAAGCTTTCCTCTGAGCACAGAATCTGGAGTCTGACCACCTGGAGTTCAGTGATGCTTCCTCCGCTTTGCTTGTCTGATGTTGGTCCCTTGTTCAACCTCTTTGTGACTCAGTTTTGCAACTGTAAAATTAGAGAGTAGAGTTGTCGTGAGCTTTAACGAGGTAACCCAGGTAAAGAGCTTAGTGAAGTGCCTGGCGAATTCTTCCTGCTAAGTAAATGTGAGCCATTATTCTGACCACCATTTATTATTAAAGCCACCCATGCCAGCATTTTTCTCAGCAAATCATTTTGTCAGAGGACTGCGAACCTAGTCATTGGCCAAATATTAGGTGCTAAAGAAAACTTCCTGTTATGAAGATTCCTCTTTCTCTTACAAATATAGTACATCCTTTTAAAAACAATGTAGTTGAGAATCTGTAATGCACCTGATGTTTAGAGCAGCTTCCCTGACATTTATTCACTGAACCCAGGTGGAATGATGGGCATCGGTCTTGTCTTTAAGACACAAAAGTCAGGAAATGGGGACACAGAAGGGAAACACTGCATTTTCCAAATGTGAGTCATGGACTCAAGATGTTAATGAGCTTTCTATGAGAATGGTTCTCTGAAGACATCTGCCTGGAAGATAAGATTAAATAAAATTAAACAGGCTTGTAGTCAAGCTTCTTAAAGTCCTTTTGGTCATGGGAAGTCCGTGAGTACCAGTGCCCTTCTGAATGGGGTGGCCTGGTAGGGTAGACAGAGTATGGGCTGTGTAGCCAGGTACACCTGTTCTAGCCTCCTTGCTAGGTCAGTGAGTTGTGTAAAAGGGGGGGGGGGGTTATTGCATGTATCTAAGCCTTATTGTACTCCACCCTAAATTGGGTATAATACCTGCTTTGCAAGATTCTCCTGTGGATTACAGAGGACTTATGTTAAACCTGAGCACAGTGTCAAGCTCTTACTTAGTAGGTATTCTATACATGGTAGGTAAACTTAGTATTCTAAACTGCAATCAGGATCTCAAATAAACCTATGACAGAACCTAACACGTTTAATTCTGTGGTTCTTTGTTTCAAACTTTCTGTTGTCTTAATGCATTATCTTCTCTCCCTGAAGAACTTGGTTTTGATAACTCAAATAAAAACTGTTTCATGTCCACTGTACGGCAGCTACATGGGGTGTATGTGTAATCATGTATCCAAGAAGGAAATATTACATATTTCATGCTTCGGGTGCCACCTAGGGTCCAGAAATGATGGGCATGTATAGAACATTTAAACAGGGTAATTGGGAAGAGTTTACCAGGGACTTTTACAAAGTTGAAGACAGAGTTAAGAAGGACCCTAAAAGAGATGGGAAGTTCCCTGGTGGGTAGCTCCTGGGCCTGACAGGACAAAAGGAGAGATACTCCTGGGGCACTAGCCAGAACTGGGAGAGGGCGGTCACTGTCTGGGGAGAAGACTTTGTGTGGCAGAGGAATGGCTGACTTGGGAGATGCTGGATAGTAAATACCCTGACTTCTCTCTTCTCCTTCCCAGCCTGTTTCTGCTGGGCTGCCCGTTACTCAGTTCCAAATAGGAGCCAGAGAGCAAAGGAGCCTTAGTAGTATATATTAATGTAGCCCTTAGAGATCTGGCTGCTGGGCTCCAAACAGGGTACAGAAGGTTCCAAAGTGGGTCTGCTGGTGGAACAATCGCAGAAGCTGATTCCCAAGAGTGTCCCGTGAAAAACATCCATTTAATACCCACATTGCAAGCACAACAAGTATTTTTGTTTAATCCTTAAGGAGTGAATCACTGTGTCATCTTGGAGCTTTACCAATAGCAAACCACTGTGATGTTATGATAATGACCAGAGCCCACTCAATTTTATATATTCCTAAAGGCAGGAAAAATAACAGGGAAATGGTATTATAATGCACCTGACATCGTAGCTGTCAAGCATTGTGTGTTAAAGCAAACTCTTCTGGACCTCATGATTAAATGATGCCATGGAGTATCTTCCCAGGGGTTTAAGAGGAAGCAGAAACGAGGGTATTTTCACATTACTTGTCCTTTCTGTTTGATTCACCATGGATTCATTGTGAACCCAGTTAGTCATGTGCTGGTGGATAACCCAGCAAGATGTATTCCTCCTCATTCCAGCCCATCCTTTCAAAGGTAAGACTGTGCCATTTACATCCATAATGCATCCTGGAAAACGTTTGAAAGCTCAATGTCTGAACGTCAAGCAGTTGATTTTGTATTAATTCATGTGGGGTGAGGGAAGGCAGTATTTTCATTCCCCGGGATTTAAACAGTGTGATGAAATACCTAAAAGCAGTGATGTTGGAGTTACCTTTCAGGAAGGTAAAGACTTTGACAGGGTTCCAATGAGACCTGGACAGAAGGCGTCCGGCTTTCTCCAGGGGTCTGGAAAACTGACTCAAGGACCCTGCTTTGTTCATGCTCTACAGCACCACCTCCCTATCATCAACTCAGCTACAGGACCATCTGGATGGATCCATGAGACTGTCCTTGGTGCCTGCAGAGAAGCAGTGGAGGGATGAGGCCCCCTCTCCTGCCACAGTAGCATAGACCAAGTGTCCCTTAGCTGACAGTACCTTGATGCTCACACCAGTGGGGTTCCCAACCCTATAGTCCATCTTCTGCGGCACCTGTAGTCTAGCTGGATGACAAAAGGGAAGAATCGAGGAGAGGGGGAGTCAGACCAGGAACTGTCATGGGGGAAGGGGAAGATTAGGTAGGAGAAAGTCTACTTCCAAGCCAGCCAACCTTCAACCTTCCTGCGTGTGCAAGCTGCATGCCTCTGGGGACAGGGAAGGGAGGGGAGCTGCAGTGCCTTCTGCAGCTGGCAGATGGAGGAGCCTTCCCCTGGTGCAGTGCGGTGCCACCATGTTGTAGCTGGAAGTCCTGGATCCCCAAGTGAGGAAGTGTCTTCCTCTCCTAGGGCCGCTGTACCAAATACTGCAAATGTGGTGCCTTGAAACAACAGAAGTTTATTCTTTCATGGTTCTGGAGGCCAGAAGTCTGAAATCAGGTGTCAGCAGGGCTGTACTCCCTTGGAAGGGTCTGGGGAGACTCCCTCGCATCTCCCAGATTCTGGGGACTGCAGGAGTTCCTGGCTGGAAACTTCAAGGCTCCTATCATTGCCTTGTCTCACACACTTTCTCCTCCATGTCTGTCCTCTGATGTCTCTTATAAGGATACTTATTATTGGATTTGGGGCCCATTTGGATAATCTAGATGATCGTATTCCAAGATCATCATTTTAATTATATCTGCAAAAAACGTTTTCCAAATAAGGTGACGTTGCTAGGTTCAAGAGGTTAGAACATGAACATATCTTTATGGAGGCAACCCACTGTGGGTAGGAACACAAAAGCCCTGGGTGCAAAGGTGTTTTAGGAGTTTAGTGCACTGTATAGTAACTTAAGTTCAGACCTGCCTAGACTGATTTCTTATGATAATAATTTGTTCATTTATTCAACAAATACTTGAGTGCCTCTTAAGCCAGATTCTAACAGACACTGGGTATAGAACAGTGAAGAAGATGAATTTGATATCTGCCCTGATTGTGGCAGAGTTAGAGTTTCTGCAGTGTGTTGTCTTACATAAAAACACAGCAACAACACAACTACAGCATGAAACTTTAACGACTTTAAATCCCTAGCCATGTGCGCCTCTCCCATGTTATCCTGCCCACACTATGCACACACTTCATCCTGTTTTCACTTCAGTGGCAACGCATTTTTGGAAACAAAGTTCTCTCGTGCCTGTGACTGCCAAAACCTGTTCTCATCCAGATAAATCAGTCACTAGGTTTATGATGCCATCTCGTTTAAGCATATTTGCATCTTAGCAAGGAGCCACAGCAAGGGGATAAGCATTCTCTTCTCCTATGGAGTGTAACACAAATGTTATCTCTGTTGGCTAAAAGCGGAATAGACAGTCTACTTGTACTCCAGAATGCCTTTCTGTACATTTGCACCAGTTCCATAGAAAGTTTTTAACACTCAGACTGTTTCCATAGTATTTTACATTGTTAATCATTTAATCAACTGCAGTGACATCTCCTGGCTGAGATGAGAGATTACTGGTAGACATTTTTTAAGGGAATAGAAAATTACAACAATGTTAAAGAAATAAAAGAAATTATGTTTGCCAAATGTTTTTGTTTTAAGGCCATCAGCATTTTATAGGCTCCTATTCTAAGTACCCCTAAGTTCAGAACAACAAATGACTGAAATTTTAAAAGGTTAGAATTAATAGTATCTCCCTTGACTTAAGATGAGTAAATAAAACAGGAAGACGTGTTTTAAAATTGGCAAACTCTTGTGGGAAATACTGCCAGAGCCTTATAAATGGGGTAGTGAAGGTTTTTTGCTCACAGATTCTGGGGCTTTCTCTTATCTTTGAGCGTGAGTTGGGTGAGCAGCTTTGTGAACAGTATCTTTCATTTTATCTTAACAACTTTGGGATACAAGGCTAACCAGTGATCACACAATTGTATGCTGACGTTAGTCTCCTCTGTTCCTGCCTTACAACAAAAAAGCTATTGTTTGCAACCTAATAATAATGTAAGAGGGGAGAGGCGAAAAAAACAACACAAAAGGTTTTTCCTCTATAGTTAGAAATTTGGTTTCAATACAGGCCAGAGAGCAAGCAGGGTGCATTTCCTGTGGGAAATACTTTTCAACTGTTTTGTTTTGTTTTGTTTTAGCTTTATTGCTTAGTGTGATGCCTTAGCATGAACTGCTTATGAAACTTTTAAAGATATGTTAAGATTCAGGCAGGTGGACAACAAGCTCAGCCAGAGGCAGCCTTCTGTGTGATTCTGCATCTCCTCTTTGCTGGCTACACCCTATGTCCAGTCTGGTTTCTGTTTGTATGTTTTGTTTTTCTATAGCCTTCTCTTCCTCCAGACATCCCTCAAAAGCAATTCAGGGGGAGAGAATTCATGGCTCTTACTTGAGAGAATAGAAGACCTCTGAGAAATGATGGTGGTTAGGGCTGGGAGAGGAAGTAATAGGTATTTACACTCACAGAACTAGCAAGATGTTTTCCGTATATCATCATTTGACTAGATTTTTTCTAAATGTATGATTGTTTGCAGTTCAGAACAATATAGCTAAAAGTGGATTCATTTGTTCACACTGGCATTTTAAATGTGTGTCAATTCTGGAAGCCTAATGTAATTGTCAGAAGCTGATGCAGTTTCTAGGTAGGAATTCTAAAAAAGGTATGCCTACCGGCCAGATATTGCAGTTGTCATCTATGTACCTTTTTAATGAGGTAAACTTGCAAATTTATGTCTTATAGCATGACTAATTGGAGAGAAAAAAGCCTTCTTTAAGGACTCAGTCACAGAGTTATCTGCCAACTAATGATGTGTCTGATCATTAAAATCAGCTTATGGATTTTGTTCATGGGTTTTTCAGGAAGCAAGTATGGATGCCACATTGTTCTTTAGATGGGGAGGTGGGACAAAATAGGGGAGAAGGTAATATGTTTATTTCAATTTGGAAGGAAATAAGCACACACCTTACATATGTTTGCCTATTCAGAGATCCACTATACCTGAGCATCTCATTGATTTCAGAGGCACACTCATCCGATTGCCACTATAAATATAACAGATCAAGAGAAAAGGGAGCTACATCTTAAAACTGGGAATAATAGTGGTCCAAAAACTGTCAAATTTCTTATTCTTAAATGTTTTCCTAATAACCCATAATCTATTTTGTCCTATATATTTCAGTGCTATATATTCTCCCTTGAATTGATTGCCTGCAGAGTAAATTGTTAAATTGTGAATAAATCTTGAGATGTAATAGGATTCTCAGAATCAACTTTGAAAATTTCAGAATGGTTTTCTGCCATAGAAACCAACAATGCCTTGTTAGCTAAGGAAAAATAAACCAGATCTTTTTCTATGAATTATAACGATGATAAGAGCACAATTTCCAATAAATAGCCAACAGGAAAGACCCATTGGACTCAGCCCAAAGGGCAGGTGAGTCCTCTAACATTAGAGGGTGGAAAACTGCAGCCCTCGGGCCAAATCTGTCCTTTCCCTACTTTTATAAATAAAATGTTATTGGAACATAGCCATGCCATTTGTTTATACATCATCTATGGCTGCTTCTGCACTATGATGGCAGAGTTGAATAGTTGCAACAGAGACCATTTGGCCTGCAAAGCCTAAAATATTTACCACCCATCTTGTTACAGAAAAAAAAAAAATTGCCAAGCCTTGTTCAACAATTTTATCTCTGTTTAGAATTGGCATCAGTTCCTGATCCAAACTTCCAAAATGAAAGTAAAATCCTGGGTACAGACACAGGTAATTGCAGGAGAGAAAAACGTCAAAGCAGTCAGGTTTTATACCCTGCCGTGACATCCATTTCTCATATGCTTTACAAGTGAGAGAAGCATCCAGAGCTTACAGCACCTCAGCAGGGAGTATTTTCCCTCTCTTTGGCACCATCCAGGGCTCACCGGGATCCATTGTGTGAGGCCAATAAGGATTACAGAATTCCTTCCACAACCTGAGGTATTGATTAGGTTGGCCAAGTCAATGCTAAAATTAGGCACAGACTAGGAGGCACGGAATGGATTTTAGAACGTGCGTGATGAGATCCAGAGCTACTCAGTGGGAGATTCAGAGAAGCACTGCAGAATGGGTGCTTTACTGTAACTGAGTTTTATTTTTACATACATACAAGTGGTAGTTGAAGGGACTGCACATTTACCATAATTCTCATAAACCAGTATATATTTTTGCTGGCTTTAAAAAATACCAATTATTTGTAGATAGTCTGAACGACAAAGTAAGTTTCAAAAAAATGTGACATAGCTGAGTGACCATCTTGGCTCTTGCTATGTGTATAGCTTTGAAAGTGATTCAGTTTTGCCTTGTTGGTTAATCTCCTTGCTGTGAAAACAGAGGTTGGGCACAGCATACAAGACTAGGGTGACCAATAAAATAGGTCATCAAGTCCCAACATGCTTAACTATGAAAGTACCACTAGAACTAATTAAACCAGGTCAACAGCTGTAATGTAGGACCCTCCCAGAGGAACGTGATATGTGGTCTCTCTATATAAACATGTGACACCTGTTTCTGCCTGTGGTTTGAAAGTGCTTGGCTTCAGAACTGGGCTAGAACATACAGAACCTTTGTGAGAATAGGAAGAAGGTACTGCTTTCTGAGACCAGTTAGCAATAGGATCTCCCATCTTCTGGGCTGATGCTCTCTTGTTCCATAGGACGTAGCTCACAGAGTGGTAGAATGAATCTCAATTCCCCAATTGGGCCCCCTGGCCAAATGTCTGGCAGGGCACAACCATATGTGGCTGTTCAGCTTGGCACCACACAATGGTAATGGCATTGAAAATAGGTTTGTGGGAATGTATGTTGCTCAAAATATGCAGCATTTTAACCTTGATCTAAAATCAGTATTCTTTGAATGGTTACATGTTGGATAGTTGGAAATGACTAGATTTTAATAAAAACAAATTAAGACAGATTTCAGTAATAGCCTACAATTTAGACGAGAAATTTGTGACGTCTGTGTTTTTAAAAATATACGTTTATGCTCCTGAAAGAAATTATATGTTCTGAAAACTTGAAGTCATCTCAGTCATAGGAAATATTGGCTTTTAGATTTGCCCAGACCTTTCAGGGGAAAGTAATTTGGATTTTTTTCCACTTAATTTTCCAGATAATTGCTGTGGTTCCTCCCTATTTCTCCATTAATATAGCCCAGATGACAGAAGAGAGGTAGCAAAGAAAAATGTGAACGTGGAGAGGGAGGAATAACACAAAATGGCCATCATATTAAGAGCATTGGTGCCATTTCACATAGTTCTTCCGACCACAGCTGTAGCAAACCACTCAGTCTGCTATTGTTCTTCATGTTCCTGGCAGACTCTACACTTTCTATTTGGAAAGACTGATCAGCAAACATATCTGTCTTGAAGCACACAGACACCCACAGGCTTGCCAGGCCCCTCCACCGCTCTGCTGACCTGAGACTCTCCTCTTCCCTTTGCTCAAGGATGTTGGAAAAGCAAATAAAAGCCACTTATACACTCTACTCTATGCATTTCTTTTCCTCCAGTTTCCCCTTTTCTTTGGATTAATTTAACTTCTGCTTATGAATCTGATAGTTCTTCCACATCGTTCTGAATTTCCTTCAGCACTGAAGAATTAACATTTTTAAAATTAAGTAACATTTTCCCAAAAAATGGAGCAGAAATAATTTATGTTTATATTTGTGCATGTAAAAGAAGTCTGTAGGATGCACAAAATTAATAAGAGAGGTGAACTTGGAAGGCGTTTGCTGATCAGACAAGAGATGGAATTGGAAGAAGACTTCTCACTATGTATCTTGTTTTTTCATTTATGATCTATATGAATATGTTACCTATTCAAGAAAATTAAAACTTTTTAAAAATCAAAACACAGGCAAAAAGACAACAGTGACCTGAACAAATGCTTCATCAGCCTTCTCTCCCATAGTAGAACCTTGAAGGTCCAGCAGATATCCACATTTCTGAGAGAATGTGGTCGTCATTATATCAGAAGTTCTAGATTCATTTTTTTTCTAACTTTGGTCAGCCTTGAGGAAGATGAAATTCCCTGTTTGCAAATGAGGATTCTGACTTAGACTAAAAATGCAGTGCAATGATATCCAGGCAGTTGGCAGTACCACGTGGTGCATTGACACAGCCCCCTTTGCAGGAGTTGATTGCAAATAATCACACATTTTTCTATGTACTGACAACCAAGAAATAAGTTGTAAATGGGTGGCAGGTGCTCAGCACTGACCAGGCAATTGAATACAAGAGTGAACAAGAGTTTTATTCTGCTGAGTGGAGCTCTCAGTGTAATTGAGGAAACAGTAATCTAAATGCACAATGTCCATGCACTGTCACAAGTAAAATGCATGTTGCAATACAAGACAGCTGACTCTAGAGTTCTGTGGATAGACAGAAGGAGCGACTGACCTCCTTTGAGACAGATAGAGGAAGAATGCATGTCTGCATCTCATTCCCATTGGAACAGCTGTAAAAGATCTTTTAGGTGCCTGCCCTAAACCCCTCCCTTTTTTTTTTTTTTTTTTTTTTGAGACAGAGTTTCACATTTGTTCCCCAGGCTTGAGTACAGTGGTGCGATGTCAGCTCACCTCAACCTCCGCCTCCTGGATTCAAGTGATTCTCCCTACCTCAGCCTCCCGAGTAGCTGGGATTACAGGCATGCGCCACCATGCCTGGCTAATTTTGTATTTTTAGTAGAGACGGGGTTTGTCCACATTGGTCAGGCTGGTCTCGAACTCCCAACCTCAGGTGATCCACCAGCCTCGGCCTCCCGAAGTGCTAGGATTACAGGCGTGAGCCACCACGCCCTGCCAAACCTCTTTCTAAAAAGGAAAAAAGGTCACAATGCTGAGGGTGTCTTAATTCAAAAGCTTGAGGAAAATTGTTCAGTACATCATCACAGAGCACTACACGGATTAGCAGCAAGTCCTCAGAAAGTCTGTTCCATCATCTGGCAAAATGTACTCTCTTGGGGTTTCATTGGTAGGTCATGAGAAAGTTGACCAGTTCCAACCAGGTCACAGTGTTTCTTCCCAACTATCACTCTCAGCAGTTGAAAATGTGTACTGTCATAAAGTGTTTTTTTTTATTTTGTTGTTTTAATTACTAAAATCACGGTCCAGCAATCTTACACAAGCTTCTTTTTGAAGCGGTCAGGAAACAGTGATTTTGGGAGGGGTTTTCTGCCTTGAAGTGAGCAAAAGAGGAAACATTTTAATAACAATATCTTATCCATTTTTGTAGATTCCTTGAAATCCAGGGAGGAGCACACAATGAAACAGAGACTATGTCAGTTGTGATGTAGGCATCATCATGCTGAATATTAAGAGTGGAAGTAGATTGATTTTGTCTGCTGCAGAATGATGGATATGAAAGCAGGTGTCTGGTGGGCAGCAGGAACTCATACCTCATCTCAATAGGCTTCACATCTGAAGGCTCATCTTGCTTCTCAGTTACATGATGAAGGGAGACACCATCCAAGCAGTAAAGATAGGAGCACAGCACTGCTGAAAGCAAGGCTACTCCTATCGCACGTTCTGTCTTCATAAATGAAGAACAGAAGAAGAGAAAATAATAAATTTCTATAGAATGACAGACAGGCCTAGGCTTAGGGAATTCATGAAACAAACAAACCAACTCTTCTCAAAATTGAGTGGGAGGAAAATGGTCACTAATGTTGATTGAACTCCTGCAAGCCAGGCACTTGATGTAAATTATTTCATTTAATCTTCAGAACAACCTAAAAAGGCAGGTATTTTATCTTTATTTTGTACGTGATAAAATGACAACTCAATAAGGTGAAACATATCACCATTGCCAGTGAGCAGTAAATGCTGAAAGTGGACAGAGGAGACCATATCTCAGCATATGGAGGTGCATATAGACCACTGGACTTGATGGAGGCATGTCCGGGGTGTTATCACAGAATTTTTGGGAGGCCATAAGGCTAGTTACCTCGGAAGTTCCTGCATCCAAACCTGAAGGTCAGACAGACCTTACTAGAAGGTGCACATAAACACAACTGTTTTGGGGAATGTGTCAGTCAGGATTCTCCAGAGAAACAGAAACAATACAGTTCTGCTTGTATTACACACATAACCAATAGGGTTCATGTGGAAGTTGTCAAGTCTAAAATCCATAGGGCAGGATAGCAGTTTGCAAAGTCAGGCAGGACCTGATGTTATGGTCTAAAGGCAGAATTTACTTTTCTCTGGGAAGCCTTAGCTTTTGCTCTTAGGATGTTCAACTGATTTTATTAGGCCTGCCTGTGTGATCAAGGGTAATCTCCTTTACAAAAGTCAACTGATTGTGTTTGTTAACCACATCTACAAAATACATTTGCAATAATACCTGGGTCCGTGTTTGATTAAATAACTGGATACTATAGGCTGGCCAAGCTGACACATAAGACTAATCATTATAAGGGATTCATTGGGGCATTGCCACTTAGTAGGATAAAGGACAATGGTAACTTACAGGTTAAGTCCATAGGGCTACTGTATTTAAAAGGATTACAAAGGGAGCCACATATATGGAGAACTTTTAATGGAAAGCTAATTGTAAATGATGTGTAATAAAAAAAGTCATTGGGTCAAAAGTGTAGCTTTCATTTTGACAAGAAAAGCCAAGATATGGCTTGTCTAGAAAAGTGTTAAAATTTTTCTGCAGTATAGGCTTTTATCAACTGATGCAAAATCCTTCATCTTGGTATCTGGTGAAATAAGAAAGCCAGAGTTTTGAAATATTCTCTTATGGCCTTATAGATATTCATTGAAGGGGGAGTCAGTGTGTGTGTGTGTGTGTGTGTGCGCGCGCGCGTGTGTGTGTGTTTGTGTGTGTGTGTGTGTTGCACATCAACGTGGGACAGGTTGGCCCTCTTACCTTTGGCTGTCTTCTCTGAAAGTGTCTTTCATTGTTTCTACTTAACACTGCTAAAGATTCTAACCCCAAATAGTCCACAATAATAATTTCATTCCATATTTCGGGGGGGGCGGGGTTAGTTTGTCAGCATGATTACTAGTACTCTACTGCATTTGATGAACTTTTTGAGAGATGTGTATCTATCTCCATTTCATCGATGAAATTCAAGAGATGTTAGGGACTTCAAGTTAACAGGGCATACTTAGTCTGATGGGGTATTGCTCACCTCAGTAGAACAAAGAAAGCCTTCAACATGAGAGAAGGCCCTACACTTCTGGTTAGGCATCCCCAATTCTCACCTTTTCCTCACACCTCCCATCCCGTTCATCAACAAGCCCACTTGGCTCTACCTCCAAAATCTATCTTGGATCTTAGTACTTCTCACTGTCTCCTCTGTGACAATCACGCTGAGAGACCATCATCCCTTCCCTCCTTTGGATCTTCCTCCCTCTATTTCTCCCCTAAACAATCCACTTTCCACCCAGTAGCCAGTGTGACCTTTGAGAAGCATGACCCAGATCATGTCAGGTCCCTGCTTAAAATTCAGTCAAATTAAGGTAATGTCCATGTTTCTCTGCATGGCCAAGTAGGGTCTGTATGACCACCCCCACCCCGCCCCACCGTCCCTCTGATTCCAGATGTCTACCCTTGTGTCTGTCATGTTTGTTCACTGCTAAACAGTGTCCAGCCATGTATCTCTCTCCTTTGACCATGCTAGCTTAGCCCCGCCTCAGGACAGTGGCACTGGCTCTTTTTTCTTGAACACTTTTTCTCCTCACTTGGCTGTCTCCTTTCCATCTCAGCTTAAATGTCATCTCCTTAAAGTGACTTCCTCCACCATCCCTGATAAACTAGCACTGCTCTCTCTCAGCACCACCACATCATCCTTTTTTTTTTTTTTAAAGACAGAGTCTCATGCTGTTGTCCAGGCTGGAGTACAGTAGCATGATCTTGGCTCACTGCAACCTCCGCCTCCCAGGTTCCAGTGATTCTCCTGGCTCAGCCTCCCAAGTAGCTGGGATTACAGGCGTGCACCACCATGCCTGGCTATTTTTGTATTTTTAGTAGACACAGGGTTTCACCATGTTGGCCAGGCTGGTTTCAAACTCCCAACCTCAGGTGATCCGCCTGCCTCAGCCTCCTGAAGTGCTGGGATTATAGGCGTGAGCCACGGCACCCGGCCCCACCACGTCATTCTTCACCAATTACCCTCTGTTGTTTTCTTTATCTGTTGACAAATTTCATGCTATTTATCATTCCTCTGGAGAAAATGAGACCCATGAGGACAGGCACCATCTAGTTATTTCCCATACCTTCAATGCTTTGATCTATATATAACCCATAGTAACAGTTGCTGAATATCTATGGACCACCTGATTTGGAAATCAGCTACAAAAAATGTAAGTATTTGACCAACATTTTGTTCCTAAATATAACATAAGTATAACCTTGACCCCCTAATCTTATAATACTTATCTATGGAACAATGAGTTTGAGTCATTGTTCGGTATCACCCATAATCAACCTTAGTTTACCCACATCACTCTGTCTTCTTCTTCAATATAACATTGTCTTCTACATGCATTTAAAAATCAAAAAGAAAAGTTTTAGGAAATGAGTAATTGAAGGGAGGTCACAGTTAATTTGCATGAATCCAAGCATAGATTATCTTGCTATCAATTTCGTATTGAATTTGGAGATTGAAATTACATATTATGCCAAATTAAATATTCTTTGTTACTCATATTTTCCCCTTTCTCCCCCCATCCTTCCTCTCATCTCCCTCTTTCATTCTCCCTCCCTTCTTTTCTTCCCTATCTCTCTTTCTCTCTGCATTCCTTCTAATGTTTTATAATGTGTCACATTTCATGCAACCCCCGATGTAAAAATTTATTAGATGACCTACCTAGCCTTTTCTCCAAAGGCTTGATTATTTTCTTTGGAAATAATTAGGGATGATAAATTTTGATAGCATCTTTTCCCCCTCCTCCTGTATTTGTTTGATATCTGCATTCACAAACTTGCCCCTTTACCAGGGCAAGGACTCTGTGCAAGTGAGGAAATCAGGCACTCCGGTAGATGTGTAGGGGGTCACATACCTGAGAACCACCATGTTTGAGGGACAGGCCCTGGCATTCCATGGCTGGCCATCAGAACACTCCATACAGGTCCTTTGTGTCATTCAAAGAAGAACCAGTCAACCACATCCATACAAGTGCTATTGCTCTTCTGCCTGAGCCCGACATCACAGGATTCTTACAACCACATACTGTTATTTATGACTGTCCCTTCTGACCCAAATATTAAAATAATTAATCTTACACCTTAATAGTATTTGTTAATTCCAGGATATTTTACATTTTGCAATATATTTTTTACTGCAGCATTCTTATTCTACTTCTCCACATTTAAAATAAGCCAGGCACAATGGCTAACACATATAATCCCAACACTTTGGGAGGCCCAAGAGGGAGGTTCTCTTGAGGCCAGGAGTTTGAGACCAGCCTGGACAACACAGAGAGACCCCATCTTTACAAAAAAATTTAAGAACTAGCCAGGCATGGTGGCATACAACTATAGTCCCAGCTACTCCAGAGGCCGAGGTGGGAGGATCCCTTGAGCCCAGGAGTCAGAGGCTGCAGTGAGCTCTGGTCATGCCACTGCAGTACAGTCTGGACAACAAAATGAGACCTTGTCTCTAAAATAAATAAATAAATAATGAATAAATAAAATGTTTACAGTTGACCATTATATTATTTATAGTTTTGAGATTCCCTAACAAAGTACCCCACACTAGGTAGCTTAAATCAGGGGTCCCCAACCCCTAGGCCGCAGACCAGTACCCATCCATGACCTGTTAGGAACCAAGCTGCACAGTAGGTGAGCACTGGTGAGGGAGCATTGTATCCTGAGCTCTGCCTCCTGTCAGATCAGTGGCAGCATTAGATTCTCACAGGAGTGAGAACCTGATTGTGAACTGCACATGTGAGGGATCTAGGTTGCGTATTTCTTATGAAAATCTAATGCCTGATGATCTGAGGTGGAACTGTTTCATCCCCAAACCATCCCCCTGCACCCTTCCGCCAAACCGTGGAAAAACTGCCTTCCACAAAACCAGCCCCTGGTGCCAAAAAGATTGGGGACCATTGGCTTAAATAACAGAAATATGTTTTCTCACAGTTCTGGGTGCCAGAGGGCCAAGATCAAGATGTCAGCAGGGCTGGCCTATTCTGAGAACTCTCTCTTTGGCTTGTAGATGGCCATCTTCTCCCTGTGTCTTCACCTCACCTGCTCTCTGTATGTGTCTATCATAACTGCCTTTTCTCATAAGGACACCAGTCACATTAGATCAGGGGCCACGCTAATGACTGCCTTAGAGATCATAACCTTACTTACCTCTTTAAAGACCCTATCTCCAATTACAGTCACATTCTGAGGTACTGGAAGTTGGGACTGCAGTGTATGAATTTTCTGGGAGCACAGTTCTGCCCACAACAGCTTTATAGAGACAGAATAGAGAAGGGTGTTGTGCTGGATTCCACAATATGACTTGCTCTCTGTAGGCCAGTGAGGAGGGATGTTACCTCTTTTATATCCTCAAATTTCACTCTTCCCAAATAGATATCCACACTCTTTAAATTGGGTTAACTGTGAATTTGGAGTTTATCTTAAAATATCATATTGAAACCTAACTTTCTAATTTTGTGGAGTTTTAATTTTTTTTATAGATTTAACCTAAGATTTTACCTAAGGGCCAGGTCAACACTGTGGATGCATATAATGATATCTAATTACAAAGTTCTTTGAAAAAACCTATTTTAGAAGTCTATAAAAACTTCCTTCTTATAACTAGTCCACACAGGGACCCAAAGGCCTTATTCAACCCCTAAGGTCACTGAATTTCAAGCCTAATAAGTTCCAGGAGAGAAGTAATCTATTCAGAAAAAAAGGGTATATTTAATCACCGGATTTTAAAAAGAAAGCTAAGTTCTTCATGATAACTTAAGTAGTTAATGGAATTTATTTAAGAATCTGTTTACAATAATAACTTCAGTGGATATAAAATAGATTTCTTCAATTTTACTAGTTTATTTTAACTTGCAGAATTCTTTGGGCATTGAAGTAGCTGAGAGGCTTATCTTCTTTTCTCAGGCTATGAATAAAGAGGAAGAAAAAAGTGAAGATTGATTTTTGTTGTATAGTCCTTTACATTTCTCAAATTTTAACCTACTTAAAAAACCTCATAATCACAGAATAAAATTTTACAAGTGATAGGGCTCTTTAAGATCATCTAATCCAACCCTATAATTTATGAAAGTAGTAAATAAGACTGAAGAAGGACAAAATGACTTAAACTACACATGGAACAATTTAACAGAAATATTTAAAACTTAACTCTTTTGTTACACTACTTCAGTATGCTTGTTTAGAGGTTATACAAGCCAGTTGTTTTTATTCTCTCAAGTAATTTAAAGACTGTCACTTGAGACTCATTTTATTTTAGTCAAAGTAGAAAAGTTAACTCCCCAAATGCTAGCACTTAGTGCATTAATTTGTGGATGATTCATCTCAAAATTACCTTCCCATGTATCTGCTGCAATTAACTTTGACAAGTGTAAAAACAAAAAAACAAAATAAATCTCTCCTATGGCCTGAAAAAAAAATAGTATCAATAACCTCAAAATAAATTATTGCTTTAAAATTGTTTGCAAAATTAAGGAGTCAGAAGTGTATGGGAAGGCATTTAAAGATTTTGAGTGGGGAGGTGACCTTAGGGCAACAGCATGGATTAATCTTCCACACTGGGGCACGGTGTAGAGTGTGGGTTTTCTGATAATTATCAGGTTGGGACAACAGGTATAAAACAGGGCTTTTCCCGTCCAACTTGGAGGTCATCCTGTTCTTTATGAAGGTTAACCCAGCAGAGGGCAGTGGGATAGACTGGCCCAATCAGGGACTGATGAATGCGCCACAGGAGACAGGGGGCCCACGTATAGCTAGAAGTACCTCTTCTCTAAGGAATGCGGCAGAAGCAGCCCAGAGTAAGGTGGACAGCTGAGCTCCGCCTTCTCCTCTCCCTCTGTGACTCGCTGTGACAGCTGCCCTGTTGTCAAATGTGCACTGTCCCTGTGGCTTCTTGCATTTCTGAAATCTATGGTACAATTGCATTTTTCTTTTCTTTTCTTTTCCTTTTTTTTGAGACGGAGTTTCGCTCTTGTTGCCCAGGCTGGAGTGCAAATGGCACAATCTCAGCTTACTGCAACCTCTGCCTCCCAGGTTCAAGCAATTCTCTTGCCTCAGCCTCCCAAGTAGCTGAGATTACAGAAGCACACCACCACGCCTGGCTAATATCTGTATTTTCATATTTCATCACGTTGGTCAGGCTGGTCTTGAACTCCAGACTTCAGGTGACCCACCCTCCTTGGCCTCCCAAAGTGCTGGGATTACAGGTGTGAGCCACCATGACTGGCCTGATTGCGTTTCTAAACAGTAAGTAAGATATTTTATAATGAGAAACAGTGACCCTTTCTACATGGTGAAATACACCATGCTGGTACTTGGAGTTAGGCAACCCTGCCTCTTAGAGATCCTCCACATGCCTCTTCTGACCCATTGTGCCGTGTGCACTGGGAAGGAGATGACCATGGGGAAGGAAGAACTGTGTTCTGGAAATCCCAGAGAGCTTGTGGAGAAGCCAGAAGCCATCCCCGCTGGCTGGAGAGATCATGCAGGGACAAAGCCCAGCACATGATAATGGTATGTAGGTCAGAGTATTAGAAATTGAGGTTTCTGGCAATACTAAATAGTCAGCACTCTTGATTAGAACTTAATTGCAAACTGTTTCTAATCAAATCCTCCCTAACTGCAGGTACTTTTGCCCCAACATTTGTTTGTTTGGGTTGTTTTTCTTTTCTTTTTTTTTTTACATTGCTGAGGAAGTTATTATACATTGAACATCCACATTCTCAAACATCATTTCCAGAAAGAGCTCTCGCTTACTTCTTCTAATCGCAAATTACACAGATTTCTAGCAGCAGGGCACCCCCAGAAGCAATTCAGTGTTGATATTTTTGCCAGTGGTTACAAGTAAGTAACACCTGAGTCTGAACAAATAAACATTACAATACAATCCACTCTAAATCTACAGGTTGTCCTGAGCTGAAAATCATGCGGCTTTTCTGAGATGGTAAAGTGAAGCTTGAGCTATGAGGCAGACAGGGCTCTGCCTGTCCACTGTCTTCCCCCGTGACCGTAGACCAGGATTTGGCAGTTGAGACAACACTGCCTTTCCAGGTCTGTCAGCAGCAGGGGGCACATCTGTGCGGGAAATTACTCACATGCTCCTGAGGCCTGGCTAATTTATGATTTTTTTTTCTTCCAAATAAGCTGAAATATGTATGTGGCAGTGATCTAACCCACTCAACCCATTGTTGAGACAGCAATGGGCATTTTTCAGATTTCCTTCATTGTCTTTCTCAGTGTCGTATCAAATTCCACAGATCTCTTGTAGGTCAAATTTTTTTTTACATTAATTTGCCTTCATATTTAAGTGGAGTAAGAAGGGCTTCTGAAAAAAATTCATATATAAAACCATATATTTCCAGTTGTAAATCCTTCCATATCTAGCCATGGACTTGCGATAGCCAATGAGGGTTTCTTCCCAGAACCTCTTCCACACACTCAGCCTGGACTTACCCCGTTCTCATCTTCAGGCGACACCATGGGCATGACTGTGTATTTCCCACTGTGTATCCTGATAACAAGTTTTTGAGTACCTAGTAGAGTAAAAGACAGTGACTTCTGTCCCTTTCTCTTCCCCTAGCCAGAACCAAACACATAAAGATCACATTATAGCTTCATAAAGTATAAAGAGATTTATCCCAAGTGGCTAGTTTCCAGTGGTGACCTCCTTCTTTTGAGTTTCCCTTTCAAGAAAGCATGGACTCTGCACACAGGCAGTGGCTTGCACACTGCTAGACTGCCAGTGCTTGCACAGTTCCTGACACACAGCAGGGACTCGGGGTGTGCAATCTAAATATAGCAGGACTCGTGAGTTCATGTAGGCCTGTTCTTTTTTGTACATAGCTGTCCTTCAGGCCTCATATGGGCACCTTTTTAAAAGTCTGCTTGCACTAAATATATCATTTCGCCCATCCTGAATTTCTGAAGACAACTGACTATTATTTTTATCCAACAAACCATCCAAACCCCAGTCATTTTCCTTAAGTGCAACTCAGCAGAAGGAACTGCCCTACTTTGATTTTAAACCAATGTCATAGATTTAACTCTGCAGGAATATTTTCTTGCTAGTGGTCTCCACCAATCATCATCATGGGAAGTTGCTAAACCTAAAAAAAAAGTTGTGCATCAATGTCTGCATATCACAAACATCTGTGGACGCCTGTTCTCAAGCAGGATGGTGTGTGCCTATTTTTTGGATACCTTACCCAGATGGTTATTTGAACGTTGAACTTTGGGATTGCCTGTGGGAAATGTCCATGCCTTTGAACTTGCAGACTCCTTCAGGGGTTACCATTCCACTTGCTTAATTAGGAAATGATCACTGTGGTTAAAAGCACAGAACCCGGGACCCAACAGACCTGGATTGAAATCCTAATTGCTTTCCCTCCCTAAAATATATTTCTTTCTACAAAAAGTAAGAGAGAAGACCAATAATAGAATTAACTTCATAGGGTTGTTAGGTGGAATAAATTTGATAGGGGATACGTAAGGTTTTGGCACTGAGCCTAATATAGAGTGGACATTCAATAACTATTAGCCTTTAGTATTATCACCAGAGTCTCAAAGAACTAATCGTTATTAAAATAATCATTCGTGCACATAAATGCTTTATACTCCTAGAAAGCACAAATCAATTTAAAGAAAAAAAAAAGCTTTAAACATTTTGATAGACCAGTGATAGTCAGTTTACAGCAAAAGAGGGAGTAAGATTATTTAGTTAAACAGGAAACAGAACTCTGAGGCACTAAGCTAAATGGAAGGACAAAAGATGAGAAAAGACAACTTGAAAATAACTTTGATTTTGCATACATTAATAAATGTTAACATGCCTGTTTGAAACACAGTATCTGAGAGTTATGATATTTTATCAGCCAAAGCTGCAAATCCTGACATTTTTCCCTAATGTGTAAATGGCAGATGTCATTTATATGTGCAACATTCACATGTGAATCTGGATTCCTAGAATTTCTTTGGAAAACACAAAATATTTTGCTCAATATTTCAGCAAGTATAACTCTAATCTATTTTGGTGGGGTATTCATTTCTTTAAACTTTAAATACATATCAAGAATAAAATCAGACAACAATGATCCTTTTTTTCAATTTATGTGAAAAATAATAGAAGTTAAAATATTCAAAATTGAAGTCTATTTCTTATTTTTATTTTTTTCTAGTTCTTTCTCACCACAAATAATATCAAGAAGGTGAATAAACATGTGCCATTGAATAATCATCAGTGAACCATATTTAATATTAAAAAGTATATGAGCGGGCACAGTGGCTCATGCCTGTAATCCCAGCACTTTGGGAGGCCGAGGTGGGCAGATCACTTGAGGTCAAGGGTTCAAGACCAGGCTGGCCAACATGGTGAAACCTTGTCTCTACTAAAAATACAAAAACCAGCCAGGCGTGGTGGTGCATACCTGTAACCCCAGGTATTTGGGAGGCTGAGGCAGGAGAATCACTTGAACCCAGGAGGCAGAGGTTACAGTGAGCCAAGATCCTGCCATTGCACTCCAGCCTGGGTGACAAGAGCAAAACTCCGTCTCAAAAAAAAAAAAAAGTATAAAACATGAAATACAGATTTGAACCTATTAATATGAATGCCACAATTGCAAATTTTTTATTTGCATCTTTATTTTATCTGCCTTGGATTTGTCCATTGAAAGCTGTTATATTGTTAGTTATAATTCGGCTGCCACCATATTTTTCTTTTATAATACTTACCAAAACTGAAATGAAATAATAAATTGTAATAGTGTTTGTTTAATACATTCTTTCTCTTCCCAACTCTAAAATCCAAGGGACAGATCTCTCTTATTTATTTTGTATTTTCATTGTTTAGCATAGTTCTTGGTTCCCAGTAGGCACTTAACACATATCTCTCAAGTAAATAATCAAAGAAAATGTAGACATAGAAACATATCGGCATTTTCATCCTTTCTATCTTTCCTAACAAAAGCAAACACACAAATTGATGCTTGAGTAAAGTTAAAAGAAACTGCAGAAGGATCTCTAAATTTATAGCTCACAAGCCTATGAGAAATTATGAGCTTTACAGTTACTAACCATCCTACTGATATCAGTAACTCCTATGGTCAGATGCAAAAGTGAGATAGGCATGGGCTTGATGTACTCCTCTCCACCCTTTTCTATGATTATGGGAACTTTTGCTGTGAGATCATATTCAGTTCTGATGAATCTTTAAAGTGTGTCTATTAGTCTCTCAGACTGCCACAACAAAGCACCACAGATGGTGTGTTTAAACAATGGAAATGTATTTTCTCACAGCTCTGGAGTCGAAAAGTCCAAGATGAAGGTGTCAGCAGAGTTGGTTTCTTCTGAAGTGTCTTTCCTTGGCTTGGAAATGGTCCTCTTCTCCCAGTATTTTGATGTGCTCTTCTCTGTGTGTGTGTATACCTGTGTCCTAATCTCTTTTTATAAGAACAGAAGTCATATTGGATTAGGGCCCATCCTAACACCTCACTTTAAGTTACTTACCTTTTTAGAGACCTTATATCCAAGTACAGTCATATTCTGAGGTCCTGGGGGATAGGACTTTAACATATGATTTTGGGGAAGGGGTACAATTCAGCCAATAACAGTGTTCCATGCTTAAACAAATTTACGAGAAAAAAAATGACCCCATCGAAAAGTGGGCAAAGGACATGAGCAGACACTTCGCAAAAGAAGACATTTATATGGCCAAAAAACTTGAAAAAAAAGCTGATCATCAGTGATCACTAGAGAAATGCAAATCAAAACCACAATGAGATACCATCTCACACCAGTCAGAATGGCAATTATTAAAAAGTCAGGAAACAATAGATGCTGGTGAGGCTGTGGAGAAATAGGAATGCTTTTACACTGTTGGTGGGAGTGTAAATTAGTTCAACCATTGTGGAAGACAGTGTGGTGATTCCTCAAGGATCTAGAACCAGAAATACCATTTGACCCAGCAATCCCATTACTGGGTATATACCCAAAGGATTATAAATCATTCTACTCTAAAGACACATGCACACATATGTTTATTGCAGCACTATTTACAATAGCAAAGACTTGGAACCAACCCAAATGCCTATCAATGATACATTAGATAAAGAAAATGTGGCACATATACACCATGGAATACTATGCAGCCATAAAAAGGAATAAGTTCAGGTCCTTTGTGGGTACATGGGCGAAGCTGGAAACCATCATTCTCAGCAAACTAACATAGGAACAAAAAAACAAACCACCACATGTTCTCACTCATAAGTGGGAGTTGAACAACGAGAACACATGGACACAGGGAAGGGAACAACACACACTGGGGCCTGTGGGGAAATGGGGGACAAGTGGGAGGAGAGCATTAGGAAAAATACCTAATGTATATAGGGCTCAAAACCTAGATGATGGGTTGATAGGTTCAGCAAACCACCGTGGCACATGTATACCTATGAAACGAACCTGCGCATTCTGCACATGTATCCCAGAACTTAAAGTAAAATTTTAAAAAAATTTTAAAAATTACTGTAGCCTTGTAGTATAGTTTGAAGTCAGGTAGTATGATGCCTCCAGCTTTGTTCTTTTTGCTTAGGATTGTCCTGGCTATCCGGGGTCTTTTTTGGTTCCATATGAAATTTAAAGTAGTTTTTTCTAATTCTGTAAAGAATGTCAGTGGTACCTTGATGGGGATAGCATTGAATCTATAAATTACTTTGGGCAGTATGGCCATTTTCATGATATTGATTCTTCCTATCCATGAGCATGGAATGTTTTTCCATTTGTTTGTGTTCTCTCTTATTTCCTTGAGTAGTGGTTTGTAGTTCTCCTTGAAGAGGTCCTTCACATCCTTGTAAGTTGTATTCCTAAGTATTTTATTCTCTTTGTAGCAGTTGTGAATGGAAGTTCACTCATGATTTGCCTCTCTGTTTGTCTGTTATTGGTGTATAGGAATGCTTGTGATTTTTTCACATTGATTTTGTATCCTGAGACTTTACTGAAGATGCTTATCAGCTTAAGGAGATTTTGGGCTGAGATGATGGGGTTTTCTAAATATACAATCATGTCATCTGCAAACAGAGATAATTTGACTTCATCTCTTACTATTTCAATACCTTTATTTCTTTCTCTTGCCTGATTGCCCTGGACAGAACTTCCAATACTATGTTGAATAGGAGTGGTGAGGGAGGGCATCCTTGTCTTGCGTTGTACTGGTACCAAAACAGATATACAGACTGATGGAACAGAACAGATGCCTCAGAAATAACACCACACATCTACAACCATCTGCTCTTTGACAAATCTGACAAAAACAAGAAATGGGGAAAGGATTCCCTATTTAATAAACGATATTGGGAAAACTGACTAGCCATATGCAGAAAACTGAAACTGGACCCATTCTTTACACCTTATACAAAAATTAACTCAAGATGGATTAAAGACTTACATGTAAGACCTAAAACCTTAAAATTCCTAGAACAAAACCTAGGCAGTACCATTCAGGACATAGGCATGGGCAAGGACTTCATGTCTAAAACACCAAAAGCAATGGCAACAAAAGCCAAAATTGACAAATGGGATCTAATTAAACTAAAGAGCTTCTGCACAGCAAAAGAAACTATCATCAGAGTGAACAGGCAACCTACAGAATGGGAGAAAATTTTTGCAATCTACCCATCTGACAAAGGGCTAATATCCAGAATCTACAAAGAACTTAAACAAATTTACAAGAAAAAAAATAAACAACCCCATCAATAAGTGGGTGAAGGATATGAACAGACACTTCTCAAAAGAAGACATTTATGCGGTCAACAAACATGAAAAAAAAGCTCATCATCACTAGTCATTAGAGAAATGCAAATCAAAAGCACAATGAGATACCATCTCACACCAGTTAGAATGGCAATCATTAAAAAGTCAGAAAACAACAGATACTGGAGAGGATGTGGAGAAATAGGAATGCTTTTACACTGTTGGTGGGAGTGTAAATTAGTTCAGCCATTGTGGAAGACAGTGTGATGATTCCTTAAGGATCTAGAACCAGAAATACCATTTGACCCAGCGATCCCTTTACTAGGTATATACCCAAAGTATTGTAAATCATTCTACTATAATGACACATGCACACATATGTTTATTGCAGCACTATTCACAATAGCAACGACTTGGAACCAACCCAAATGCCCATCAATGATAGGCTGGATAAAGAAAATGTGGCACATATACACCATGGAATACTATGCAGCCATAAAAAAGGATGAGTTCGTGTCCTTCGCAGGGACATGGATGAAGCTGGCAACCATCATTCTCGGCAAACTGACACAGAAACAGAAAACCAAACACTGCATGTTCTCACTCTTAAGTAGGAGTCGAACAATGAGAACACATGGACACAGGGAAGGGAACATCGCACACTGGGGCCTGTTGGGGTTGGAGGACTAGGGGAGGGATAGCATTAGGAGAAATACCTAATGTAAAATATGGGTCGATGGGTGCAGCAAACCACCATGGCACATGTATACCTATGTAATCTGCATGTTCTACACATGTATCCCAGAACTTAAAGTATATATATATTAAAAAAAGAAAACTTGGTTTTTATGACATGGAAATAAAAACAATTTTTGCATTGTAAAAAAATTTTTTTTAATGGTAGAATTTAAAAAAATGTTCCATGATCAGATTGGTTTGAGAAATACTTTGTGATACCAAATTTAATAATTCCTTTAATATGCTACTATGCATTAGGAATCTCCAAGAAAAGACTACAGGATTCTGGCTTTGCTGAAAACAAAAACTGAAAAACTTCTTACCCACCCCAATTGCTTACACCTTTAACATCCCACCATATTTTTCTTGGAACACCGGCTGGGTAGAGCACAGCAGTGGCCTGGCGCTGTATGAATGGCCCTGCATTTCACTAGTGTTGTTTGAGGGCTGCTGATTGACCTCTCCCTGATCCTAAGCAGCCCCACTGGTGAGCCCCTCTCTGATAAGCAATTATTTCCAACTCCATACCATGTCCAAAATGCACTCTTAATTGAGGCAGGACTTTTCTTTGTGTATTTAACAATTCTTAATTATGACTTTACATTTTTGTGTTCTACCAACCAGTTGGTACCAATTTTTCCAGCAACTTTCTCACTCCAGTTTTGGAGGTACTATTGGAATATTTCTCTTTCTCTGTAACTATTGGCATTTGATAATATTTTTTGCAGCTAATTATCTCATTGATTGAAAGGAATGAAGGAAGGGATCCAATGAGATGCTTCTTGGAGGCAAGGAAACACAAATGTACAACTTTGAATAGAGTTTCAACATAAAATAGCTGTCCAACCTCCATGGAAACAGAGTTCTTTATGGACGCATTATGCAGGCAAACTTGCTAAGCTCTTTGGGACATTAGTGCCTTTAATAATGATGTTAGCAACTTTTCCTAAACTATTGCATATGTACAGTAGGTCCTTAGCAGAGTGGGGGTTCGTGAATTAATCCCTATTTAATGAGAAATATTTGAAGGTGATGAGAGTCATCTGCTGCTGATGGGAAAATTCTGCCTTGATAGATTATTTCTGGAACATTAAAGAATCTACTCAATCAAGATACTTGACTATTTAGGACAGGACAATTTTGTGAGAAATTGAAATAAAATACAGGATTTATACTCAATTATTTTCATCACCTATAAAATGTCCTATATTTGCTTTAAGGGTTTTAAATTTTCACACTTTCTTGCTTTCATCAGACCTCAGTAGCCTGTACTAAATCAAATGGCTAGATGCTGAGTTTTGGCTGAGGGTGTTTTTAGTAAGGTGATAACCAATGGCTATATTTGAGAAAATTTATTTTAGATTAATTTGTAGTATGTTTCATTTCAAACTGTCTGGAAAGAGCTATGAAAATATGTTTATATGTGAAACGTGCTGCAGCATTCTCACCAACGTGATGCAAAATTTCCACATCTACCTAATGATTTAGATAGAAGTCATAATTAAAATATATTAGGTGTTAGAAAATGTTTGGCTGCTCAAAAATAAATTATTATAATACAAGTTATTATCATTTCTTTATGCTTGACCTCATCACTGTTAGAAAGTACTCCGAAATTAACTGGTGGAAAAGGAAAAGAAGTTACTATAGGAAAAAGACACCTGCACCTATATGTTTATCACAGCACAATTCACAATTGCAGAGATATGAAATGAACCTAAGTGCCCATCAGCCCATGAGTGAATAGAAAAAATCTGGTATGTATATATATATATGTGTGTATATATATATATATATGTGCCATGGAGTACTACTCAGCCATGGAAAAGAACAAAGTAAGTCTTTTGCAGCAACTTGGATGGAGCTGAAAGCCATTATTCGAAGAGAAGTAACTCAGGAATGGAAAACCAAATACCCTAAGTTCTCACTTACAAGTGGGAGCTAAGCTATTGGTATGCAAAAGCATACAGAGTGGTATAATGGACATTGAAGACTCAGAAGTGGGGAGGTGAAGTGGGGAAGGGTTAAAAACTACATATTGGGTACACGTACATGTAATGTACATGACTCCAGTGACAGATGCAGTAAAATTTCAGATTTCACCACTATACAATTCATCCATATAAAAACACTTGTACCCCTAAAGCTACTGAAATAAAAAAATTAACTGGTGGAAATAAATAATTAAAATATCTTATGTTCCTTTCAATCTGTCTACTACTCTGTTCTGTTCTTTGGAATACAAATAAAAAGTATTTAACCTCTGAACTTTTTGTAACTGTAAATTTGAAAAGCTGCTTAATTTTTTATTGTGATGGCAACAGTGTTGATAATCTATACACATTTTCGGAGTAAATTAATCATATTAAGAATTTTGTCAGAAAATAAAATTCCACTTTTGTCAACAAAACAAATCCACTTTTGTTAAAAACAAATCAGTCTCTGTTTAAAACTACAAACACACCTCTCCGAATTTCTGTGTAGGTTGTTTTTGTTCCTTAGCTCCATGCAAAGTTATGTGGCTGATGGTGAGGGAATGGTAAGTTTGTGGGGCTTAGAGCCCAAAGACCTGGGAGCAGGCCCAGATTCTACTATAAACTTTGGACAAATCGTTTACTCTGACTGAACCCCAGTTTTTCTAACTGTATAATGAGAATGACATCCCTTACAACTTTGAAAACATAGTGAGAGGGAATATCTGAGGCTTTGTTGATGACAGATGGACAGGTCCCAAGAAGCAGACAAATAGTCTTTTAAGGACAAACAATGCAGTGGAAACCTTCTTTCCTAAATGCATGACTTTTGCTAACTTTTTTTTTTTTTAAAAAAGGCAATGATATTTCACTTATGTCTGAATCACAATCCCTGACTAGCTGATCAAGTTTCCTAGCCTATTAGTAATAGATAAGGAGAGTTTAGTGTTAGGATATAACAGTGATGATCAAATAGGTGAGAAATTATAGGCTGGGATTTAGAGATTGGATACTGACAGAGTAATCTGAGAAATAAGGGCTGATATGGTTTGGCTATGTCCCCATCCAAATCTCATCTTGAATTGTAGTTCCTATTACCCACCATGTGTCATGGAAGGGTCCCAGTGGGGGGTAATTGAGTCATGGGGGTGGTTTTTCCCATGCTGCTCTCATAACAGTGAATAAGTCTCATGAGATCTGATGGTTCCATAAAAGGCAGTTCCCCTGCACAAGCCCTCTTGCCTGCCACCATGTAAAACATGCCTTTGCACCTCCTTCACCTTTCGCCATGATTGTGAGGCCTCCCCAGCCATGTGGAACTGCGAGTCCACTAAACCTCTATTTCTTTACAGATTACCCAGTCTCAGGTGTTTCTTCACAGCAGTATGAAAACGAACTAATACAAGGGCGAAGGAAACCATGTGTCTCCATGATCCAGCCTCAGATGTTTGTGCTTTCCTTAGAGCAATTCCATACAAGATAGAGTCACCTAGCGCTTAGGAGGCATGAAGTGAGTCTGTAACTTTTAGGAGCTGGGGATATGGCAGGCATTGCTGTCATTCTTCATCTCCAGTACAAGATGAATTTTGACCCATATGTAAAATGTTAGTATCATATTAATCTAGTAAGTTGTGTGTATGCATGTGTGCATATGTGTTTTTGTAGGTGTGTGTGTATGTGTGGTGTGTGCGTGTTATTTGTGAAGGAGGTAAAATCTGAGAAAACACTTTTCTTTACTAGGAGAGATTCCCAGGCCATCTTCCAAAGAGAAATAAGAACCTGTAGACGCTAGAGATACAGTGGCTTTTTCCTCCTGTTTTTCAAACTAGTGAGAAAGGATCACTTTAAACTATGAGACATTAAAACAGAAGAGAAAACATTGTACCATCCCTTCTTATCCATATGTCTTCCTGGGGAAGCCCATTTCTAAGTTTTTTGGCTAATAGTGATTCAGATTTGTTAGAAATTTTGAGTATTAAGGTAGCCAAATGAATCCTTTCTTTTAAAAAATCTTTAATAACCATTTAAAAAGGTAACTTTTACAAAATTTAAAGTTTTAAGTGATATAGAAAAAATAATCAAGTAAGTATTTTAAAATATGTTTCTTATTTCTTAGCTTCCTGTATCTACAAGTCAATTTAACATTGGTAATTAAATAAGCATATTAGTAAAATCTACATAATAAAATTTTATGGGACTTAAATTTTTATATTGGAGTTAATCTGAATGTCCCATTATTTCGTGTGTGTGTGTGTGTGTGTGTGTGTGTGTGTGTGTGTGTGAGAGAGAGAGAGATTTAAAATTCCCATGGGATAAATTATAAAAATAGAAATGAAGAAGAACATATTAGTTATTCATATACCTGTGCATCTGAAATTAGCCATTTTCCTCACTGAATACATAATGATTTCCGAGATGAAGAGCAGTTAACCCAATGGCCTCCTAAATACTAAACTCCATTAAGCTTGCCTCTGAGCAATGGCCACAATCATGAGTGTATCCTCTAGTGTTGTTTATCGTTAATGTCCATATAAAGTATACTGATTTATGATAACTTCCAAAAGACAATCATAGGGAAGCCAATTAGCTAAGGAAAGGAGATGACCTACATAAAGGATTGGCCAACTTTTTCTGCAAAGAACCAAATAGTAAATAATTTTCTGCATTGCAAACCATAGTATCTCTGTCGCAGCTACTCCATCAGCTCTGCCTTGTAGCATGAAAATAGCCAGAGACTATAGGTACAGAAATGGCCTGGGTGGGAGTTGGCCCGCAAGCCTTCATTTGCTCTCAGGGATCCTGTAAGATAGGTGAATAATTTTAATTTCTAATTATACTGTTGCACCTGAAAGAGTTGTGGCTCCATAAAGGTCTGTAGCTGTATGAAAACTGAAAAAAAAATGTGATCAGTCATCTAGATACTGTGAGCGAAGGCCAAACATCTGGATGTTTGGAAATCTAAACTAAAATTTAAAAAACACCTATTATGTTATCATTATGATTACTGCTAAGCATTTGTGTACTGCATTCCAAGAGTGTTCTCAACATATTTAAAAAACTGGAGACAAAATGAAAGAATACCTTTTTTCTGTTCCCTTTGAATCTGATATTTGAAAACAAAGGGCAAAGGAGGGGGAAAGTGTTTCTAGTAAAAGACAATATATTTCTTAGTATCAGATACCCTTTTAAAACCATCACAATGAAAGCCACAAAAGCATGGAGTGCGTTTGATATCAACCAGTTTGCAAATTAAAGATTCTTCGTTAGGACATCTAAGCAGCCCCAAGAGGACACACCTGTGGCCACCAGCCCTGTACTTCACCGCACAAGCCCTGTCTGAGTTCTAATGCCGGAAAGGAAACCTTCAGAGAGAATAGCTACTTCAGAAGGAGGGATGAGCTGAGTCGTGGTATCCCAGCTTGAGTGGTGGTTGTTCATCTTCAGTGGTAGAATACAGAAACTATGGCCTGCAGCAAAGCTCTTCTGGTGATTTCTCCTCCTTTTCAAAACAATATTGGGAGGCCAGGCTGCCTCCATATTGAATTCTAGAATGAAAACTGACCAGCTCTGTTATTCAGAGTCTAGGGAAAAGAAATATGAGGATTGCAATGCAAAAACATGGAGTCCTTGTTTGTTTGCTGGTGGGATGAACTCCAGCCCCTCACACTTAGCATTAGAAGCTCCTTTCCCATGATTTTATGGAAGAAGAAAGCTGTTGACTGCCCAGGCCTCTTGTGGGCACCTGCGCCATTCATTATAGGGCTACATTCACCACACACTCCCACACTCCAGCCTTGCTCTGGCTCTGTTCTTGTCTGTGTGTGTCCTCACCTCCTCAGGCACTGTCATTGGGAGGGACCCCTTTTTCCCTGGAGGGTCCTCCCAGCACCTGATCTGGATCCCATCCCATCCTCTCTCCCAAGAGGGCTCTGTTAATTCTCCCCTGTCTTACCCCGCCTTTCACTGGCCTTTTACTTTTCTTATATAATCACTTAAACTTGGTGCAGCCTCTCCCATCTCTCTTCCTCCCCTTCCCTCTAGGTCAAGCCCCATGCAAGATGCCTCCCTGGTTCCTCCTTGTCTCCTGGATGTTTGTGGGTTTCTTCCACAGCATCCAATTTCAGTTTTCCTGTTTCCTTTCAAGTGAATTATCTCCTCTGAGTCTTATGTATGCTTTTCTTTTTGAGGACTTGACCACACCCCAAGATCTAGTGTTAGTTCTGGATTTCTCCGCATCAAAAAAATGACTGGTTAGGAAAGGGAATGCCTGGCTCCACACAGACCGGTGAAGAAAGAATGAATACCACGGTTCTGGACCCTGACTCTAGAATGAATGTTCTCCTCCCTGTGCAATGTGTTCTTGAGAGCTGTCATGTTGCAGCAACTTGGCTACACTCATCCCACACCCCCAAACTCCACCCTTGCTCTGGCTCTGTCCTTGTCATCTAAAGAGCTTTTAGAAAATACAGATGCCTGCACACCCCTCCACCACCCCGCAAATCCCAGTGTCATGGTCTGCGGTATTAAGTGCTGTCGTGGAACTGGGCTGCTGTCCTACTGCAGTACTGTCTTCCTGATGGCAAGGATACCGCTTATTCAACTTTGCTCCCCCATCCCACTGAATAGAGTCGGACACATGGTAGGTCCCCAGTAAATGGTTTGTTAGATAGCTTTATTGTGAGTTTATTTCCAAAGGTAAGAAATCACTGGGAATTTCACAAACTGGAGTCATTTTACTTATACTACCTTTTCATAAAATGTATAGAAATATCTTTTCATAAAATAATTTTTTTAGAAATATCTTTTTATAAATTAATTTTTTTAGGTTATTAGCATCAGTCTTCCTGTTGTGAAGATTTCTTTTTAATTACATGATTGTGTGTGAGTTACATCTCATAGAATTCCTGAGAGAGCCCAATCTTAGGTTGCTGTAACATGACAGCTCTCAAAAACCCGTCGCACAGGGAGAAGGACATTCATTCTAGAGGCCAGTGGCCCCAGCTTGGAATTCCACCCCTGCTGCTGAATGGCAGTTGGATGTTGGGCAATTTACTTAACCTCTCAGAACATCATTTTACTTAGCTGTGAAAATCAATAATTCAGCAACAGTGAGTGCCTATTAAGGACTTGCTTGGTGGTTATCAGTTTATTCTTTCTCTTATCTGAGGCTCACAGTTCTATGAGGAAGTAATATAATTGTCACCATAACCACTATCCATGGCTTACACATTTGGAAATCTGAGATGAAAGACTTTCCAGATTTTAAGTGTAAAGAAATTCCAGAGCCCTCACTCATCCCCACCAAGCTCTACTTCCTCTCAAAGGAGAAAGCAGCAGGGACTTTTCTGAGCTGTTGGGAGTATGAGCTGAACATCTCCAAGGTCCTCATTTCCCCCTTATCCTTATGGTGCCTGAATTAGCTAATCTCTAATTTCTCAGTTACAAAGAACTGCCAAGCTCCCAGTTAACTTCTATCTCGGGAGTGGACATGAGAGCCTAATATTTGAGACCAAGCTCTGTTTGCTGCCTCAGTAAAAACCATTTTCTGTAGGGTTTGGTGTGGACTAGCTTTCAACCAAATCATGTCCCCTAAAACATGCAAAAGTGAGACCCAGTGTGGTGGCTCACACCTGTAATCCCAGCACTTTGGGAGGCTGAGTCAGGCGAATCACGAGGTCAGGAGATCGAGACCATCCTGTCTAACATGGTGAAAGCCCATCTCTACTAAAAATACAAAAAAAAAAAAAAAATAGGCTGGGTTTGGTGGCACGTGCCTATAGTCCCAGCTACACAGGAGGCTAAGGCAGGAGAATCGCTTGAACCCAGGAGGCAGAGGTTGCAGTGAGCCGAGATCACACCATTGCACTCCAGCCTGGGTGACAGAGCACGACTCCATCTCAAAAACAAAACAAAACATAAAAGAAACATGCAAAAGTGGAGTGTGCAGACTCAGGCAATGAGGGCAACAGGCTGCTTTCCAGGGCAGCTTGACCAGCCTTTCCTCCCTAGAAATTCTTGTAAGCCCTGGATTAAGAAGCCTGGATATTTCTCCATTCCACATTCCAGTGGGTCTCATTATTTTAATTATCGTACTTAGCCCAATAGCACTTTTCCTCATTTGTCTATTCCTAAACCGGATGAACATTTGAGCTGGTTGCTCTTTTTTTTTTTTTTTTTTTCTTGCAGGGCGTTAAGGTTAGTATAGTAATATCAGCCCACCCTTTCATATGGCTTAGCAGGTACCATGCACTGTTCTCATCACTGTAGATGTGCGTTAGCTCATATCTCAAAATAACCTGATTTGCCCCCATTTTATGAATGAGGACACTAAGGCACACAGAGATAGAATAGGAGTTCCCAGATGTTAGCGTGCATAGTAAATCACCTAGAAGGCTTGTTGAAATAGATCTCTGGGTCTCACCACCAGGTTTTCTGATTTGGGAGGGCCACAGTGGGGCCTGAGAATCTGCATTTCTAGCAAGTGTCCAGGTGATGCTTATGACCATACCACCATTCCAGGGACCACTGAGATAAATTAAGTTGTCCAGGGCCCCGCAGTCAATAAAACATAAAGGCTGGATTCAAACCCAAGGAATCAACCTTTAAATGCATTTGCATTACCTCTTGTGATAACTAGACGGGTCTGATGTACCTCACAAGAGGAATGCCTGTTGCCGTATAAGCCGTTTTCTATTTTTCTGCATATAAATGTGAGTGTCTTTGTGGGTGTATGTGCTTATTTGTGAATGAGTAGACACATGTACATTATAACCAGACACTCCACTGAGTCCAATGTGTGTCAACAGGGAATATCTATTAGCAAATTCTTTAATCATTCCCATACTTAATTTAACAAGTATAATCATTAGTTTGTTTCAATAACAAATCTCTGAGCTCATCACAGTCATTATAACCTGTCATTTGGAAATAATGGGTTTATGTTTCAAAGCATGTGTAATCTCACACATATTTCCTAGAAGAAAATCAGACTCTGTAATTTGACCTAATGACAAGTGTAATTAATGCTGTAGATTTGTAGACTCTTAGTTATCAAATCCAACCTCTCATCAGTTTCATAAATTTTGAGATCTGTGAATGTGGTGCTGGTAGCCATTACTTGGAGGCTTCCCAGGTTAATCTGACTCAACTGTGGGCAGCTCTGTTGCTCTAGTGGCTTGAAAGCTCTTTAGCTCAGTTAACCCAGACCTGCCCTCCTGTGAGTTTCATCTGCCCTAAACCTGTGCCCTCCAGCAAGCCGTATTGATGTCTCACGTGAGACCATCTCAAATGTACAAAGATGCCACTCCAAGGATTCTAGCCTTCAATGACCCAGCCTCTCTTCAGTGACTCCTCAAAGACCCACCCTCTTTCTGCCTCCAGTTCCACCTGCCCTGAGCACACTTTGACCTGGCATTGTCTCCCCTTTCAAATACAGTGTCCCGAAGTGAATGAAATGCCCCAGAAAATATTCAAGAACGAGAATCCTAGCACTTGATCTGGAAATGGATGCTGAGATTAAACGTAAACCATTTTAGCCGGGCACAGTGGCTCATGCCTGTAATCCCAGCACTTTGGGAGGCTGAGGCGGGCGGATCACTTGAGGTCAGGAGTTCGAGACCAGCCTGACCAACGAGACCAGCCTGACCAACATGGTGAAACCCCGTCTCTACTAAAAATATAAAAATTAGCTGGGCGTGGTGGCACGTGCCTGTAATCCCAGCTACTCGGGAGGCTGAGGCAGGAGAATTGCTTGAACCCGGGAGGAGGAGGTTGCAGTGGGCAGAGATCACGCCACTGCATTCCAGCCTGGGCAACAGAGCAAGACTCCGTCTCAAAAAAAAAAAAAAAAGAGAAAAACGTGGACCATTTTCACTGGCAGTTTCCCAAATGCATTTTGAAAATGTGTTGTTCCTACCTGACTGTGGCTTATTTTCTCAGGTGTACTCCTCGGCACTTCCCGGCCCAGTCTGTGATGCCAACGTTTTTGTTTGTTTGCTTTGCTTGTGACCGTGGCGCCCTCTACTGTTCTTCAGAGTTGCTAAAGTGCCTTTCTCAAGAAAGTTCCAGATTGAAAACTTAATTAAAATAGAAAAAAAAAAGGTTTTCTGTAGCTGAAATTAGCTATTAAAAAGCTAAGTGCAATTCAAAGGAAAACATACCTTCTGTTTATTTAAGACAATAGCAATTTTCTTTTTCATGGAAGACAAACCTTCTAAGCTTCCTTTATCGGTTTTGCTTGGTCTTAAAAAACCCAGTCTCACCCACTGAGTCATGTTGGAAAACACTGGATGTTTTTTACACTAGATATTTGGAATCGATCTAGCAGAAGAGTTTCAGGGTCCTCTCAGTAGTTTTTGAAAGCTGTTTCCTGAATCATAAACTTTCATAGCTTGAAGACAGTTTTAAAATTGTCAGGCCAATCTTTTCAGTTTTGAAACCAAGATTCTGAGAAGCTAGAAGAGTTTCCAAAATGCACAAGCAGTGTCAAAGCCAGTCTGTGAATTTCAGATGTGAACCTAATTCATTGCGATATGTTTTTATTTTCGTAAATCAAATATATTAATTTTGGAACATGAGATATTATAAACTCAATGGGTTTTTTATTTTAAGCCAAAGTAAATAATAAACATTTAGTAAAAATTTCACAGTAATTTAATTATTTTGGCATTTAGTTAATAAAATCCATAAGCTATGACGGATGCCTTAAAAGTCCAATTTTCAGTGTTTATTTTCTTATGTTTCCTTGTTATGCTTGCTAATACGGCTTCTGACAGAAGTAAATGTATTAATAGAACTGTTGTAGTCACTCTTATTCCTATATGATTACTAAAAACCAAAGAAAGTTTGGAATTTGTCCAGGAATGTTAATATTATCTGAACTTGGTCCAGTAAAACAGTAAAACCATCTTTATTTGGAAGAAAAAAAAAACTTTATATGGAATATAAGGTCTCAATTCATTAAAACACCATATACATTGTTGTAAAATATCAAATAGATCTTACAACTCATTAGTAGAGCAACTTTGTAATTTGCTTATTTAGAATTGTTAGAGGTTTTCACCAGCTTCTAGCCAACAGAAAGAACTCACCTGTGCGTTTGAATAAAGTAGACCTGTCATGTTTGTATCAGAAATACTAATTATTCTCACTTCTGTTGTAATATATAAAGCTATGGAAATTTTATTTTAAGTGTTTCTTAATTTCTAAATTCCTATACATTAGGATGGGTGGAAGGCATTGTCATCTGTTCCCTGGATACTATCCCTGTTCTCATATGGTTTTTCTAAATTGCCAAAGATTTGAAATGCAACCAGGTAAAAGTAATACCATCTAACAGCTCAAGTTATAGCATTAGAATTCTTTAGACTAAGTGTCAACTTCAGTTGTCTTATTTTAGAGAGGAAGAAAAGGAGAAACTCAACGGTTTGATTTGCCCAAGTAAGAAACAAAACCAGGAGCAAACCCGGGTTTCATTGATTACCGGGCTAGCGCTCATTGCCCTGTGCCTGAAGTATATCCTATAAGCTTCCTTAAGGAGATTTTTTTGTGAACTTAAAATTATGAGATGGGAGTTGGAAGTTTGAGGACACAGCCAACATTTCTTCGCTAGGTAACAGGCACCAGGCCTAGAATAAGACTTCTCTTAAGGGGCAAAATTAAATACATTGAAGCCAACGTTTTTGTGATATTTTGGGATGTCTAACCAACATCAGCTCCAGTTCTTTTCGAAGTCTTTATTTTCACTCCTTACCGACAGCTTAACATGAAAATACTAGAGAGAGTTCACATTTGAAAACATTTTAAAGACTCCCTATCTAATGCTAAATGTCTAAAGTTGAGAAACTCTCAGAGAAAGTATTTAGCTTTAAAAACTTTTGTACTTCGAGAAAATAGCGTCTATAGGGTGTAGAATTCCATCTTTTAAGTACAGAATGAGGAAAGATAGCAGCAACATTTTCTTTTTTTATTTTGTTGAGACAAAGTCTCACTCTGTCACCCAGGCTGGAGTGCAGTGTCGTGATCTCTGCTCACTGCAACCTCCACCTCCCGGGTTCTAGTGATTCTTGTGCCTCAGCCTCTTGGGTAGCTGGGATTACAGGCACCTGCCACTATGCCCAGCTAATTTTTGTATTTTCAGTAAAGACGGGGTTTCACCATGTTGGCCAGGCTGGTCCCAAACTCCTGTCCTCAAGTGATCTGCCCACCTCAGTCTCCCTAAGTGCTGGGATTACACGCATGATCCACCGCACCTGGCCAGCACCAACATTTTCTGTGACTTTGTCTTTGCTCCATGCAACATACCCTGAGACCTAGTCGTATGCCTAGGCTATTTCAGTACTATCAAAAATAATGTTAAAATGAGGAGAGTCTTGAAATAACAGAGTAAAACTGTGCTCCTTCTCGTAGTCTCCTGACATTGCACAGAACCAGACATTCTCCTCTGGGCTGTACCTGTGGCTTTTTTTTTTTTCCACGAGAAATTTACACAAAGGATGATGGATCTAGCTACCTAATGATGATGAGAGACAAGGTTCTCTCCATTTTTCTGTTTTCTTCACCTACAATCACCTTCCGCACTTCCTGCCCCATGAACACTTTTTCATTCCTTACGGTTTAGTTCAGCCATCATTTCCTCCACAAAGACATCCTTATAGCCCCTTAATTTGGAGATGCATCACCCTGCTCTGCTCTGCCTTTGTGTAGATTCTGCCTGTATCTCTATCCTAACATTCAATATATTACATTTAAATTCTCTCAATGTGGTTTTTTTTGTCTGTTTTGTTTTTTTGGTTTGGTTTTTTTTCGATCTCTGCCTTAGGTATCTTTGGTTTTCCTAGATCTGACACATGGGAAGTGCATAATAAATGAAATTATGTTAAAACAGAAATCTTCATTTTTGGGGTCATTGGAGCTCAATTGAATAGCGTATGTCAAACAAATAGCAGGTCAAATCATCAGCTATTGTTTTAGTTGACTTTGTTCTTCTATAACAGAATGTTTGAGAATGAGTAATTTATCATAAACAAATTTATTGGTTCAAAGTTCTTTAGTCTGGGAAGTTCAATATCAAGATACCAGTATCTGGTGAGGGCCTTCTTGATATGTCATCATATGGCGAAAGGCAGCAGAGTGAGAGAAAGAGAGAAAGGGGTCTGAACTTACCAATGAATCCACTCCATGATAACGACATTAATCCATTCTGGAGGACAGAGCCCTCACAGCCCAATCACCACTCAAAGGTCTCCTCTCCCTATACCATTATAATGGCAATCAGATCTCACTGTGAGTCTGGGAAGAGGCAAACATTCAAACCATGGCTGCTACTAAGAGGCATGCGTTGCAGCCAGTTTATCTTGGAAGACTCACCCAGAATTTAATTTCTTAAAATTCAATATCCTTATGAGGGCAATTGGTAACACCTGCTGTGAATATTTTCCAGGCTACAATTATACAACAACACTCCATGCCAAAAATTGTTAAGGACCTTGATCAAGCATTTGTCCTTATGTTCAAGCAGCTCAGAACTGTTTTCTGTGGAAAACCTTGGCCCTGCCCATCTCTGCAAGATAGGCAACCATCCAGGCTTTAGGCATTCAGGTGGAAGATACTGAATTTCATAAGACAATGTTTGTTTGATTCCTCTGTGCTTCCAGTTTCACATCATACCTGAAAAATGGAAATAATACCTATCTTATGAGGTTGTTGCAAGAATTAAAAACACATCAAACATTTTAAGTGCCAAGTGTAGTCAGTGCTATGTAGGTATTGTTGCTGGCTATTATTAGTATAAGATTGAGTTAGAATTGCCAGACTTAGCAAATAAAGATATATAACACCCAGATAAATTCGATTTTTAAGAAAATGACATAGTATTTCTTTAGTATAAATATATCTCATGCATTATTTGGGACACACTTGTACTAAGAAATAATTTATTACATGAAATTCCGGTTTCACTGAGTGTCTTGTATTTAATCTGGCAATCTTAAGTTGAATGAATGAATGAACCCTAGTTGAATTTTTCAAATATAGCTTTTAAAGGGTTGTTTTCATTAACTGAATAGAACATATAAATCCCCTCCAGCTGGGAGCCTTCTCTATTAATTGAACACCTTCTGAGATGGCTTCTTGACTCTGCACTGTAGGCTCAGGTAACAAGGTGAAAGGCACCTGAAAATGAATCAGGAACTCTGGGAGACCCAAAGATTTAAAGTTCTGGGGATCCAGCCGACCTTCAGTGCCAAGGAAGGACTTTTAGGTTTAGTCTCTCCCTGACTTGCCGTGTTACGTTGGAAAGGCTGAACAGAATTTGGTAGAAATCTTAGATATAGTTGATATCCAGAATATGGCCAGTCTGGATATAATTCATACATAGTGTTTGCCAGATCATTTGTCAACCTACAGGAAACAACTTCAGTGGATCTGAGAAACAGATTGAAGACAGGGCAACAAATGCTAACATTTTTTGATTTCTGAAAAGTTATCTGGCCTTTAGGCTATTGGCATTTTTAATTAAATAGCTGAAGTGAAGCATGCAAAAAGATCAGTGTTAGTAACGCACCCTTAATTTGAATGGTGAAAGATTCATGATCTACTGAAGCCCAGGTCACTGCCCCGCATTATTAGGTTTTTAATATAGCTTGAGTTCTCAGGTTGCATAAACCAGATAATTAAGTGACAATGGATTTTCATATTCTTATTTAATAGTGACCCTGAATTAACCCTTCAACCTTCAGAGTCATCTTAAGTCTTCATTTTTATCCTTGTCTTCTACAGTAATTGTCTTTGTGGTGGTGGTGGTGGTGGTTTTTGCAGCTCATTGGTTACAGCTTCTTTTGTTTTTATTTGTTGTTTGTTTGCCGTTAGTCCCTGGAAATTTGTAACTGCAAAAATACTATAGAATTTTTAAATAAGTCTTCTTATAATTATGAAAAGCTGAAGCTGCTATTGATGTGCATTTTAAAACCATGTTCTATATGTACCCTCTGCATGCAAAATAAAAGTTGAAATTATAAAAACAAACAAAGCATGGTCCAATATCATCTCAAGAAATAAATGGTTAAAAATGAAACAGACTTTTTTTCCATTCCTACATTTTTTCTAATGTTGGGAGTTCCAAGTAACATATGGTAATGCTTTAAGATTCAAAATCATACGCAATTATTTTCATCTTAATAGCATTGGCTTTCTTTGCTTTAAAATTCACCACCCGGCATATAAGTTTGCCTGTCCTCACTCAGTCTGTATTTTCCTAAAAGTGCTCCTGAAAGTAAAGAATATTAATTATCATTCTGCAGTGGGATCATAACTTTGAAAAGTTGAACATCAAGATTTGCTTTTAATATATCACCATTTTGTTATTAAAATAATAAGGTGTGACACTTGGATATTTCCTTTGTAAAGATCCTGAGAAGTGATTGCCTTCAGGTTTTCTGTCTTCTCTAGTACAGTATAATAATTTGGGTAATTTAAAATAAAACTGAAATCCGAATCATTTACATCTTGAGACGTACCCAGAGAATTACATGTTGTGATGACAAATGAGCAAAGAAAAACTCATTTAGCACGTTTTTTGCCCAGATCTCCCCCTGTTTCAAACTCTCCCCAGCAAAGCTGCATTTATTCTGAAGCCACTGAGACTTAAACTTCAGCTCCCCAACCTCATCCCTTCCCCAAACCTGGGTCCTTCCAAGGTCTTGGAAATGTATTCACATAGGTTTTTGAAAACTTAGCAAGGTGGCTGGGCGTGGTGGCTCACACCTGTAACCCCAGCACTTTGGGAGGCCAAGGCGGGCAGATCACTTGAGGTCAGGAGTTCGAGACCAGCCTGGCCCACATGGTAAAACCCCATCTCTACTAAAAATACAAAAATTAACTGGGCATGGTGGCACACGCCTGTAATCCCAGCTACTCAGGAGGCCAAGGCTGGAGAATCACTGGAACCTGGGAGGCAGAGGTTGCAGTGAGCCGAGATCATGCCACTATACTCTAGCCTGGGCGACAGAGTGAGACTCCATCTAAAACACACACACACACACACACACACACACACACACACACACGGAAAATTTTGCAAAGGTTAGACATTTTTAACACAATCAGGTAAGACTTCAATCTCTTTCTTCTCCAACTTTAGAGGAGACCCTCAAGTTGTACAAACCTCAGGCGCCACCAGACTGGGGCCCACCACTGTTCCCAAAGTGCAGCTTATTTTAATTATTACACATATCTTGCATTATTAGTGAGGTTGAACCTTTTCTGATTTATGTTTATTAGTCACATGTTGACCTTGAGGCCAGTTTTGCTCCCTATTGACTGTGCCCAAAGGGAGAGAAGATGGTGGAGGGGAGTGGGGATGCCAGGGCAGCACCCAGTCCCAGCACTCAGGCTCAACTCCAAATCCTCTCCCTGGAGCTGCCCATTGCCCACCCGAGGGCAGATTCCCTCCCCTTGTTCTTTTTACCCTTAGAGTCTAGTTTCCTCCAATTATTACATCTGGAGAGTCTCAAGCAGCAAGGCCTCAGTCCTGGAGTCTAGTTCTTTCTCTGAATCTGAGGACAAAATGTGAAACCCAATGGCGTCCTTATCATCCATGCCTTTGATGAAAATACAGCACTTACAAGGTTAACTGGCATCACTCATGAACTGCTGCTGCTATCATTGTGACTCTTGGGACTGCAGCAGTCTTCTCAAACTGCCTATAACCTCACCCCTTGCATGATGGAATAAGTAGCTTGTGAAGGGAATTTGCGATTGTTTTGTCTCAGGTATCTGAGAAGAGGTGGGAAAGGGAGTAGACAAGGCATTTTTCAGATCTTACGACATGCCAGTTTCTGCATTTTACATGGCACAGTCTCTCCTGATACCTCCAGTGATACTAAGTGGTATTCTCCCTATTTGGGGAAGACCTGGAACAGGAGGCAAACCCAGGGCACACTGACCGCATAGCCGAGGACCTGGCCTGGTGGTCTCCAAAGTGCCATTCACACAACAGCTAGCTAGCCTCACAGGGCGTCAGTATGATTCCCGGGAAAGAGGTGTCTGTGTTTAATGGATTTCTATGGTCCAGTGCTGTGGGGAAACACTAGGACATGACCCTGTTAAGCACAGAACTCTTATAAAAGCTTTAATTGGCTAATGTGCAGGGTGAGCCAAGAGGTCTGTTTTCCACAGACTGTGTTCTGTGAAACGCACTCTGGGAAACATTGTTGGAGAACTCCAGGCTGCTCTCATGGAGCATGGAGAGAAAATTCCCCTTTTCAGAAAGTGGTGTAAATTCTGGAGGGATAGTGGAGGGGAGGGAAGGGGCAGGATATGAGAAGGGGACATGGACAGCATCTTTTCTTTCGGAATGAAGACAATAGACACCTATCTGCACCCATGGCAGCCCCAGGTTGTGACTTGCCCCTTTGTAAAACCACCATGCCCTCCCATTGCCCATGGCCCTTGCTCTGTCCACACCCCTCAAGCCCTCTTCCAAGGATGGGAAGTCCTTCCCATCGCTGGCCTTCAGGGTAAGAAAGCAGCCACTGGTCTTAACTGCTTCCTCCTGATCTCCAGCATTTGTGCTATAAACTCTCTACTCTAAATACTTTATTTAGACTCTGGTTAATGGAACCTACACATCTGGGAAGTCCCGGACCTTTCTAATGAATTTAGATTATTCTGGCTTTAAAGAGTCTTGTTTCTACTAAGACTTTCGAGAGCTTGTTTTGAAGCTCTCCTTGTATCACCCTTTCCCTGAGGGCAGTACATGGAGGAAGCTATTTATGCTGCCTCAGTAGCAGAGAAAAAAGATATAGAAGCAAGTAATCTTTGCGAATAGCAGCCTTGTAATATCATGAAATATTATTTTGTTACATCTGTTTAAAGCTTGTTTTTACAAATCCTAGAAATGACACTCACTAGGGAATAAATCAAGCAAGGGAGTGATTTGTTCCTTAACAAATACCAGTTTGTCAGACCTCCGTGTGAAGTTATATATTCAAAGGTAACAGACTGTGGAATAATTACCAGAAATGTGACTAAAAACATCTTGATTTCATCTCAGGTTCAACTGAACCTTCTTAATACAAGGCATTTGAGTTAACCATCTCGAAAACAGCTAGTTTAAGGAGGTTTTGCAAGTGGCTATCAGTAGAAGAAGGAAAGCTGATGCAGACACTTTGGTGACAAACAACATTGAGTTTGTAGAAACTCTCTTTATCCAAAGACAGAGAGGAACCAAGGCAATAAGAGATCTCAGAGGGCTTCATTCTGCAGGTCGGGATGATTGAGACAGAAATTCAAAGAGAGCCTTTGTCTTAGTCCTTTTGGGCTGCCTATAACAAAATACCATAAACTAGGTGGCTTTTTGATATGATTTGGCTGTGTCCCCACCCAAATCTCATCTTAAATTGTAGCTCCTACAATTCCCACATGTTGTGGAAAGGACCCGGTGGGAGGTAATTTAACCATAGGGGCGGGTCTTTCCCATGCTATTCTCATGATAGTGAATAAGCCTCATGATATCTGATGGTTTTATAAAGGGCAGTTTTCCTGCACAAGTTCTCTTCTCTTGTCTGCCCTCATATGAGACATGGCTTTCACCTTCCACCATGATTGTGAAGCCTCCCCAGCCATGTGGAACTGTGAATTGATTAAACCTCTTTCTTTTGTAAATTGCGTCAGTCTCGGGTATGTCTTTATCAGCAGAATGAAAGCGGACTAATACACTTATAAACAACAGAAATCTACTTCTTATAGTTCTGGAAGGTGGGGAGTCCATGATCAAGGTCCCAGTAGGGCTCAGTCTCTGGCTGAGAGATGGCACCTTCTTGCTGTGTCCTCACATGGTGGAAGGACAGGAAAGCTCTCTGGGGTCTCTTTGATAAGGGCACTCGTCTCATTCATGAGGTCAGAGCCCTCATAACCTAATCACTTTCCAAAGGCACCATTTTCTAATACCATCACCGATTAGTGATGGTATTAGATTAGTGAAATTTCAACATATGAATTTTATGGGGACACAAACAGTGAGATTAGAGCAGTCCCAGAGTGCGTTATTTACTCAGCTTTGCTGAGGCAGAACAGCTCCAGTATCTTCCCTGATGATTTAATTTCAGCAAACATGGAACAAGACTCTCCTCTCTAAAGCAATAGTCACACAAGACAAGTCTTTCCAGATTTACCCTCAACCTTGTTATTAGCTGATGGGGCAAGGCTTTGCCGTTTTTCTGTGTGATGCACGGAGACCCATATTCAAGCTAAGAGAGGTTGTAACACTGGAAGGATGCTTGTTTGTCTTTCTATCCAGGTTGGGAATATCACCTTCAGTCCATCACTTTCCCTTTCTTGCACTGGCTTTTCAGTACTGTTTAAGAGGAAGGGCATGGACATTCTAAAATTTTCGTGATGATATTGACTACTTTGACAAAAATAAGCATTTTCATTTGAAACACATATTTAAGTAACAATTTTATATAGGGAAGATCTGATTTCTACTCTTAGAATATAACAGTCATAAGAAGTTGCATCAGAAACATCCAGGTGCTCTTTTTACCATCTAGGCAATTGTGTAAACTATAAAATGTTGAACTATAGAGCCATCTGTAAATAAAACATTATTGTATTTGTTAGTGTATTTTCTTTTTCCAGAAAAATGCTTACCAGGAGTTAAGAAAAGTTATCCAAAACTTGGAAATTAGGCAAACAGAGGGCAGCATGTCATTTCAATATCATATAGGTGGAACACTGGTTAACAAATCCACCTAAGGGCTGTACGCTTATCTAGGGAACGTAACTTTGTTTTAATCACCAATTACTATTAACTGAAAGCCTAGATTATGTGATGTTACATGTTAATATGCAGATTTTTGTCCAATTTTGTATCTCACCCAGAAATCTTATTCCAAATTTTTTTCTTCTCTGCCTATATATTCTTCTTATGCACTTTTGAATCAGCATATTCATCTGGTTGGCTCCCTCATTAAGGTGTTAAAGAGTATTTTTACACCAGTTTTCTCTATTTATATAAGGGTCATGTTTTTAAACTTTGAAAATTATTCTTTGGCATAGGTAGCTTTCTTTTTTTCAGTGGATCTCCATCTTCCATGAAAGACACATACATAAAAGGGATAAAAGTATTGTTTCTCTGAACCCGATAGAGGAGAAGCTCTCCAGACAATCTTAAATGCACATCTTTCTGATTATAAATCCCGTGGCCTTAACTGGCTTCTCTTCAAGAAGTTCATATCACAACTCTGCCACGTAGAAGCTGTGTGAACCTGACAAAGTTCTTAATGCTTTCATGCTCTCATTTCCTTTTCTTTCAGCATGCCTGTTTTGTAGCCTTGAGGCTGAAAACCTAGACTTCTGGGAGTATGCAGATTACAGAAGTGCTCCTTTCTCAGTAAGATTTACATCCTGCAAATGGTATTGTTAAAGACCTAAGTAGGCAACAAAAAATTTAGCAAATTCATTGGTTGCTGAATTGCTTATCCTTTAATTCCAGAAGCTATGTGTTAATCACATATCAGTAGGAAATCCTTCCAAGTAATGAGCTGGGCTACTCTTGTAAACTACAGTTTCATATTTTAATGGTTACTTTTGCTTAGTAATCAAGTCATGACTTATCAGGGATATACACCATTAGCTTCTTGCCAATGTAAATAGTGGGTGATTTGTGAATCATTGCTCTGCCCTTTTAGTAAATATTCTGATGAATGCTATAATTTTTAAGGAACTCAGCATGAATAACCACTCTTGGCTATCACCAGCAGGTTTTGAACTGAGGAAAGAAATGAAATGGCCGGTACTTTAACTCCATTTCTTATGGCATTTTTCTTCTATGTAGCACCAATGCAAAATGCAAGAAGAAATTAAGAGAAGAAAGTGGTCTGATAATTAGACCTTGAATGAGAAAAACAAAATCTTATTTAGAATTATAATATGAAATTATACATTATTATGCAATTATAATATGCGATAGAATTTTTAAGAACCAATATTAGAATGGAACCATTAGAATCATGTTTAGAAAGGTCACAGAGGGCAGAGCAGAGTGACTTTTTTTGAATGTCTACTAAGCGTTTTACTTGACACATGCTTCTCAGCTTCACAGTATCCTGGAAGAGTGGATATTACTTTAAAATATGAGAAATAGGGGCCTGGAGAATGTAAGTGACTTTCTGAGAGTCACGCAGTATAGAACATGAAGGCCATCTGATGCAGGTCTGACTCTAAAGCTGGGCATCTCCTATTACCACTCAAGAAAATAACACTGGACAGTGACTGCAATGGAATCCCAAGCATTTCTGTTACAGGACAAAAATCATCTTCATGTGCTTTTGCTTTGCATAAGAGGCACTGTCACTTGTGTTAGGACTTTCTGTTAAGTTGTAGTCCTTTGAAGTTCTCAAGTAACTAAAAAAACTATATGTCTTGTGGCATCCTGGGTAATTTTATGATCTGCAGGAAGCTAAAGAACTCTGGGCAGGATTTTAGACACAGGAGTACCTCCAGCCTGGTCAAAATAATTTATTTTTCCACTAATACTTAGATAGGTTATAGGAACCCTCCTCCTTCCCAATAACATTTATTTGCTTTTTTACTCATTCAAAAAGTAGAATTCCTGGGCACTGTCCTAGATGTCGAGGATGTCAGGGTAAACAAAATTCAGATGGTCTCTGCCTTTCATGGTTCTTGTATCTTATCATTGTACCATATTCTATCAGGTTCCTTCATTCACTCTTATTCATCTGTCAAATACTTATTGTACACTTACTATGTGCCAGAAATTGTTTTGAAAGCTTTGGGATATGTCAGTCAACAAAAGAAAGATTTCTGCTTTTCTGGGCTCTAACGAAGGAAGACGGACAATAAGAAACATGAAAAATGAGACAAATTATATAGTATTTTGAAAGGTGATGAGAGCTATACAGAACAAAAAGAAAAAGAAAAACTAGATCATGTTAAGAGAGATTGGGAAGATCAGGGTAGCAGGGAAACAGTTTACAGTTTGAAATAAGATGCCCTAGGTAAACCTCATCAGGAAGGTAATGTTGGAATAAAGATTTGCATGAGGTGAGGGAGTGAGCCGTGTAGATATTTGTGATCAGAACAGTCTAGACAGGTAGTGTCAAGCTTCTAGGTGGGAGTGTGCCTCGTCTGTTTGAAGAACAGTGAGGAGCAATTCACTAGAACAAGTTGGAAAAGAACAGTAACAAGAACTGAGTTCGGGAGGCAATAGGAGGCCAGAATGTGTGATGCAGTATGCCCCATTTAGTCAGAGGTACTCTTCAAGTTTAGGAGCAGAGGGTAATGTGACTGGCCTGTGTCAGGTTTCAGCCTCCTGTCAACAAAATGCTGTGGCCATCCACATCATATATTATGATGGAACCTTAGTGACAAACCTTATCAAGAGAAATGGGATAAATTAGCCATCAGCTGTGTCGTCACCCTTTCTCCAGGCAAGACCCCTCTTGTTAGCTGTTGGCATCTTCTGCTACTTCACTTATAAGTAAGCAGTGAAGCATCCAGACTTTGTGTTTTTAGTCCCCTCCCTCGTGTCCAGCAGACAAATATCCAGAATTAGATAGAATTACATAGTATATGGCTGAAATATTGTGTCACTCATTAATCTATGACAGCAAGATCCCTAATACTTTAGTGACAAGTCTAGAGCACTTGCCCAATTCAGACTAAAGCCATTATAACACTCAAATGTGAAAAGCCAACATTAATTGAAATGTAAATGATAGTCTCTCATGAAGTTGGATACTTGCTTTATATTAGAAACTTAAAGAGAATCTTAATCCTTTCATAAAGCAGGTAAATACTTTTAATTGATCTTTAACTGCATATATAGGATAAAATTAAACATGACACTTGTTCTTTCAAAGTTCATAGAAGAAATTCTAAAGCATTTTAAGGGATCTGAGCCATACAGTTTTTCCCATATGTAGCTGACATACCATCAAGAGGAAAAAAAGCAACCATAAATATGCCTTATTTAGGCTCTAAAGAGCTAATCAGAGACTACAGTTAAGTTTAGTGATGATAAACTTGTTTTAACAAGACATTTATGTCTGGTTACAATTGGCATTTAGGAAAAGCGTGCTTAGATTGAATCCAGCAAAGTAAAATTGAGCCAAATTCTAGATAGAGCTCATTTAGACCACCCTCTGTAGATAATTTATTATCTAATCACTTCCCATTTAAAAAAATTCTTAGTATGTTTAGTGTTAAGATATTATGAGAGCCAAGGATGGCAGCCAGAGGTCAAGTTAGTCAAAGACCATGAACATAGTGCATTGTCCTTGAAAATAACTTGGTGGAGAGAAAGGAATGTGAGGTCTGCATCTGACAGCTTCAGTTCTCTGGGCTCGTTGAAACTCTGTTCTCAGTGGTCATTTATGTTTCTCTCAGATCAGCAGTAGCATTTATTTTTAGAGAGAGTTTTGAAACTTAATCACTCAGCACAATACAGAACTATAAATGGATAAATAAGTTTTGTTCAGGAGCAAAAGAGATATAATCATTTCTCCTGACATTTTGAAGCTGCTTCTGTGGAGTTGGGTTGTTAGGCCATGGAGCAAGAGGACTGTTGTCTGGTGTGGTGTCATACTGCAGGACTGTCCCCTTACTCTAGTCAGAGTTCAGTATGTTGGTGTCCAAGTGGGAGATGTGGATGGATGAGGCTCCAGGTTGTCCCAGGCAGCTCAGTCCTCTGTTTTAGTCCATTCAGGCTGCTATAACAAAGTGCCATATAAGCCACAAGATGGCTGGCTTATAAACAACAGAAATTTACATTGTACAGTTCTAGAGGCTGGAGAACCCTAGATTGAAGCGTTGGCAGGTTCAGTGCCTAGTAACAGCTCAATTCCTCATAGATGGCCATCATCTCATTGTGTCCTCATATTGTGGAAGATGCGAGGGGTCTCTTTTATAAGAGCACTAATCCCACTCATGAGTGCTCCACCCTCATGACCTAATCACCTCCCAGGCACCCCACCTCCTAATGCCATAACATTGGGGGTTAGGATTTCAACATAAGAATTTTTGTGGTAACACAACATTCAGTCTATAGCACCACATTAGGGATTTAGATAAGCACACCCTAGACGGATATTGAGCATCCTCGTTGCTGAATGTAAAAGATCTGCAAGGATTTGTTTCTTTATATCAATGCATATTTCAGCTGTATTTGGCACTGATGACCCTACCTCCTCCTTCTTTTACCCTTGATTTCTTGGTCTTTCTCTACTCCCACGACTAAGGCTGTCTTCCTTTATTGACATCTCTTCCTCCTTAACTACCCATTCAAAATGCTCTTCTTCCCTGGGGAGTCTCCCTGGGCCCTGTGTTTATCTCACACATCCCTTTCTAGTGCACACTGAGAGTTTGAACTACTTGAAAATTAATGACTTTAAAGTTGTTATCTTTACATTATATTTTGCCCTAAATTCTAAGTATGGCTCTATCTATAGATGTATTTATAACAGTAACTGCCACTAAATTACTATAATTATGTATTTGGTTTTGCTTGTTTGTTTTTAAAACCTTTTCATGCATTGCAGTTCCACTCAAGTTTCCTCTGCTATGGACTGCTTCTTCATACACTTTACCCATTTTTCTGTTGGGTCATCTTTTTTTTTTTTCCAATTTGTAGGAATCCTACTGTTAGTACTTAGATTCTGAGTACTAATTTTTTGACTATCATACAATTTTCTAATTTCTTTCTCCTTTTCATAACTTATCTTTCATTCGTGTTCTTTGTCATACAAAGATTTTAATTTTCATGTAGTCAAATTTATCTATCATTTTGTGATTTCTGCTTTTTGTGTTCCTTTTAAAAATAATTCTCTCCCCTGACATCAAGGAGACACTCTCAAGTATTTTATTCTAAAATTATAAAATTTTGTTCTTTGTATTTAGGTCTTTAGTCTATTTAGAGTTTATTCATTGTACGATAAAATATAGCAATCTATCTGATTTTTTTTATATGGGGAACCAGATTGTCATTACTAAATATTGCATATATCTTTTTTTCCATTGAATTCTAGTGCTTCTTTTATTTTATTCCAAACTTCTGTATGTGCCCTGATCAATGTATTGGTTCATTCTAATGAATGGTGAAATGAATATTTAATGCACTAAGAACAACCAAATGGATATTTTTTGTTGTTGATATTTGTTCTCTTTTATTTATTTACTAACAAAATAGTAATAAAGGCGTTACATTTAGGCTACACTAGATTTAATATTTATTTAATAAGATCATTTCTCTTATTTCTCTTCCTCCTCCTTTTCTTTTTCTCCTCTTCCTCTTCCTCTTACTCCTACCTCTCCTCCCTGTCCTTCTTTTTCTCCCAATGCTCAAGTAGATCCAAGCCCCCCACTTTTGGAAGGAGAGTTGCAGTGTTTTACCCCAACAGGGTGACTGCTTAATAAAAGAAGAAAAATCTGCTTACTCTTTTACAACTAAATGGTTACATTGATTACATTTAGTTACAACTTTTATTTTTTTACTTGGGCTATGAATAAACCATTTTTGTCCAGAGTAAAATATAAAATTTCTGTAGGATATCTTCTGTCTTTATGTCCTTCTCTTGTTGCATTTTTATAAATTATTTCTTAGGCTGAAATGACCTAAGCTTTCAAGTACATGCTGTAGGAGCAATACTGACATTTGTTCCATCCCAGTCTTTCCTCGGAGAAAGTGTCACAATGTAAATATCCTAGAAGACCTCAGGCTGCAAAGGAAAAACCTTCAAGTGTGCCTTGAAAAGTCTTTTTTATGTGCTTTTTATTCTGTCTCACTGATCTATTTTTCTATCCCTCTGCCAATATCACACAGTCTTATTTACTCAAACTCAGTAGTAAGTTATGACACCTGTTAGTAAAAACCCCTCCTCCTCATTCTTTTCCAAGTTAAGAATAGAGCTTAGCTTTACTCTTTCATATGAATTTTGGAATCAGTTTGTCAAGTTCCACAGATAATTTCATTGGGATTTTGATTTGTGGTCAGTTGAATTTATGGAATAATTTGGAGAAGATTAACACCATTATGATATTGAACATTTTCTGCCTCGAATATGATAAATATTGCTATTTAATAATAGATTATTGACCGGGCACAGTGGCCTGTAATCCCAGCACTTTGGGAGGCCGAGCCAGGTGGATCACGAGGTCAAGGGATGGAGACCATCCTGGCCAGCGTGGTGAAACCCCGTCTCTACTAAAAATACAAAAATTAGCTGGGCACGGTGGCACGCGCTTGTAGTCTCAGCTACTTGGGAGGCTGAGGCAGGAGAATCGCTTGAACCCAGGAGGTGGACGTTGCAGTAAGCTGAGATCACGCCACTGCACTCCAGCCTGGCAACAGAGCAAGACTCTGTCTCAAAAAAAAAAAAAAAAAAAAAAGTTATAGATTGTTAAGTAACATTTTGTAATATTTTTGATATAGATACTCATAGGCATTTAGTAAATTTTATTATCATGTGTTTATACTTTTTATCACACTTACTAGTCAATTAAGGCCTATAGCAATGTCACTGGCTTTTGTGTGTCTTGTATCTGACAACACTATAGAACTTTCCCATTAGTTCCAAAAGTTTATCTATAGTTACCCTTGAAATTTTTTTGTGTAGAGTAATGACATTTATCAGTTAGTATAACTTTGCTCTTTTTTTCCCAATTCTTATACTATTAACTTCTTTTTTTCTTGTTTTTGTTTGTTTTGCTGGTTGGTTTTTTTGGTAGTGGTTGGAATTTCTAGTATAATGTTGAATAGTCAGAATGATATGAGAATCATTTTTTGTTTCTGGTTCATAGAAATGCCAAAGTTTCCCTATTAAATTTGACCTATGTTAGCAGTTGGGAATAAATCTCAGTTTTAAAATGTCCCTCCATTTATAGTTTGCTAAGAGTTTCTATTATAAATGAGTGTTTTATAATAGAATAATGAAATAAAAAACATAAATAGAAAAAAATGAATTTTGTTGAATCTTTCAGCAGAATCCAGAAAGATGTTCATTTTTTTTTTCTCATTTTAACCTGGTAACCTGGTAGCTTGCAGTGGTCGATTTCTGATGTTGAACCACCTTCTTGCATTCCTGAAATATGTCCCAACATCATGATATATTAAAGTTTGTATCCCTTGCTTGAACTACTTTGTATTTTACAGAGTAAAATACATTTTCCCTATGAGGGAAAAATGGTTTCCTGGGCCAGGTCCAGGGACCCCTTGCTGTGTGCAGCCTAGGGACTTGGTGCCCAGTGTCCCAGCCACTCCAGCTGTAGCTGAAAGGGGCCAATGTAAGGCTGGGGCTGTGGCTTCAGAGGAGGCAAGCCCCAAGCCTTTGCAGCTTCCACATGGTGTTGGTCCTGCAGGTGCACACATATCAAGAATTGAGGTTTGGGAACCTTTGTCTAGATTTCAGAGGATGTATGGAAACACCTGGATGTCCAGGCAGAGGTCTGTTTCAGGGGCGGAGCCCTCATAGAGAACCTCTGCTAGGGCAGTGCAGAAGGGAAATGTGGGATTGGAGACCCAACACCACATCCCCACTGGGGCACTGCTTAGTGGAGCTGTGATAAGAGGGAAACCATCCTCCAGAACCCAGAGTGGTAGATCCACCAACAGCTTGCACCGTGTGCCTGGAAAAGCCACAGACACTCAACGCCATCAGTGAAAGCAGCTGGGAGGGGGGCTGAACCCTGCAAAACCACAGGGACCAATCTGCCCAAGGTTGTGGCAGCCCACCTCTTGCATCAGCATGACCTGGATGTGGGATATAGAGTCAAAGGAGATCATTTTGGAACTTGAAGATTTAATGACTGCCCTATTGGACATCAGACTTGCATGGGACCTATAGCCGCTTCATTTTGGCCAATTTCTTCCATTTGGAAAGGGCGTATTCACCCAATACCTGTACCCACATTGTACGTGGGAAGTAACTAACTTTCTTTCGAATTTACAGGCTCATAGGTGGAAGGGACTTGCCTTGTCTCAGATGAGACTTTTGAGTTAATGCTGAAATGAGTTAAGACTTTGGGTGACTGTTGGGAAGGCATGATTGGTTTTGAAATGTGAGGACATGAGATTTGGGAGGGTCCCAGGGTGTAATGATATGGTTTGGATGTGTCCCCACCCAAATCTCACCTTGAACTGTAATAATGCCCTCATGTTAAGGGTGGGGCCAGGTGGAGATAATAGAATCATGGAGGCAGTTTCCTCCATATTGTTCTCATTGTAGTGATTAAATCTCACAATATCTGATGGTTTTATAAATAGAAGTTCCCCTGCACAAGCTCTTGTTTGCCACTATGTAAGACGTTATTTTGCTCATTTGCCTTCCACCATGATTGTGAGGCCTCCCAGCTACGTGGAACTGTGAGTCAATTAAATCTCCTTTCTTTATAAATTTAAATTACCCAGTCTTGATTATGTCTTTTTTAGCAGGAGGAGAACAGAATAATACAAAGCTGTACCACATTTTATTACTACCTATCATTGGCAAAGTTTTACCTTTGCTACAAATATAAGGTTATATACAAATGTACAAATACGAGGTTGTATACAAATAACAGGTTATATTTTGAAACATCTTTATATCAGGCTTATGTTTTTAGGTGATTCTCTATATAATTTTCAGGAAATTTCTATCTCTCTTGTTTATTTCCTCAAATTTTCTACATATGTATAGTGTTAAGATATTTGTATATGCTAATATAAAATGATGAGCATATAAGCTTTTGCCTTTGTCAAAGTGTATTCTTCTCTTCTTCTAACATACACAGTATAAAATAAACTCCCATTTTTCTCTCCTTATTACCCCCTCTGGTTCTTCATAACCCTTTCACCACAGCACACACACACATTTGCTTATTGGCGTGTAGTCTTTCTGGCTTTCCTGTCTAAATGAAAGCTTCACAAGGTCATAGATTTCACCTCTGTTTTTCACTGCTGTATTCCTGCCACACAGTATGAATTTAGTAAATATTCGAATGAATAAAATTGAAAATATGAATCTTTCCTTCTGTTTGGTTGAGTGATCATGGAATTAAAACTATGCATGAAGCCCCATAGTCTAAGAATGCAAAGAACAGTAGTGTTCAGAAGACGAATAATAAATGTCCATAAATTGCTCTTCTCAAATTGCAATATCTGATGAATGCAGTTTAAAAGAGGACTTTAAAATCTCTAAAATTTCTAAGAATTTGAGACATATTGCAAATTACTGAATAATTGTGATTTTATTGTCAGGTTTCATTGAAATTTTAAAATCTTAAAGCTAATTTAAAACCCAAGAAGGTGTCAGATGAATAATCTTTAATGAAGAATCTACACACAGGAGCAGCAATATAGTTCCTAAATATATAGCTTAATATGTGTATTAAGCTATACTATATATATTTAAGCTTTATATTTACATATAAAGCTATATATTTAGAAACTATATATAGTATAGAATATATAGTTTCTAAATATATATGTATAGTTTCTAAAGATTAAGCTAAAAAGCTTAGTAACTACATCTCTAGAGAAGTGCCTTTTTTTTAAGTTAAAAGCAAAAACAAAAATCTTCATTCCTTTGATGCATCTATTCTTGCCAGTAACTGCCTGAAGACGCTACTCCCAACTGTGGCAATTTAGCACAGGAGGGGGGACACACTAAGAAGGTGGGAAATTTGGATGTCTGCTTTTTTAGCAGGGGAAGGAAAAGCAATTGCCAGTAGAAGCATTTAATTGCATACAGATTGGCCTTTCATTTTGCTTCAATCTTTTCCATTCAAGTGCCAGGGAAGGGGAAGTATTACCTCCACTGCTTACATCGGAGGTCTGCTTCCACTTAGCTGCTGAAGCAAGCCTCTCCTTCTTTCCAGAGATGCCCCCCGTGAAAACCCACTGTGAGAGGAGTTGGGCTTGAGTGGCTCCAAATACACAGCAGTAATATTCTGAAGCCTGTCCTGTTCCTAATCCTGCACGGCAGCTCTTGGCACTGCTGGACAGTTCCCCAGGCTTCTTTCCAATTCTTCCTGTGGAGCAGGGAAAGAAAACCAGGTGGGGTGGCCAGGCCATCTCTCATGATCGGTAGAGCATAGCTGAGTATAGAGTATGCAGGATAATGCAGCTACATGAAGATGAATGGTCAGAAGTCAGGAAGGATTATGGGGCCACAGCCCCCAGTGTCTTACCCCTCTGGAGAGCATCACTCAAACCCAAGAGGAGGATACAGGTGGGAGTGTGAGAGAAAACCCAACACTATGAAGGGAGTGTCTACCTTAGGAAACATGATAGAGCCTCAGGGAGGAAGCCAAGGCAGGTGTGCTTGACAGGGAACCCATGCTTCCACAGAAAAAAAAAATGACAATATTTCTGTACAAGGGATAAATCTCAATCATTCACAGACCACTCCTGCATCCTCTCCCTAAAAACAGACTTCAGAAATAGCTAAGAGTCATGAATATAAGAAAGCTCAATGGCCAAGCACCCTATAAGAAACAACTTTTCCTTAAGCCACTGTGGCCTCCAAATCTGTCCTTCTTTGCATAGGACACGTCTCAGCCTCCAGCTTAGCCATCGGCCTTCTGTGCTGTGCTTCCAGACATGAAGCCATCCTGCAGCCTGGGACTGCTTCCCACTTTCTCTTCTGCCTTGCACAAGTTAGTACCCAATTGTGTTGATCCCTCTGATTTAACTGCTGGGTGAAAATTCTTCCTTCTGAGAAATGGTTTCTTTCAACTTGAGGAAGCACACATTTGGACAATTTCCTTATGCTGGTAATGGTTATTTCTGTGTACTCTTCTGATGCGGTGAATTGACTGTTTCTAGTTTGTCTTTCTGCACATACCAGCCAAATACAACTTGAATGCATTCAATAAGTTCCCATTGATGGGTGACATGTAAAATAGATGTTCTGATAGGATTTTAAGTGTCAAGGTTATAGTTCCCCTTTACATACTAACCAACCCCTGACCCCTAGCCAAGTAACATACTTTTACCTCCTCTTACAAGCTGAGAAAATTAGGACTAACCCATCTAGTATAAATAATTGGAAGGAGCTCATATTGCTAAATAAATATCTGTTAAATATTAAAATGATAATATTCAAATAATTAAGATACAGCAAAATGCCATGTTTCATATTAAAAGTAGATTAAACATTATATCATTACTTAACTTCTTTTTAATGATAAAATCAAAGATTATTTATTACAAAATTGAATTTAAAAATACAGAGGCTGGGTGTGGTGGCTCATGCCTGTAATCCCAGCACTTTGGGAGGCCAAGGTGGGTGGATCATGAGGTCAGGAGATCGAGACCATCCTGGCTAACACGGTGAAACCCCGTCTCTAGTAAAAATACAAAAAATTAGCCGGGCGTGGTGGCGGGTGCCTGGAGTCCCAGCTACTCGGGAGGCTGAGGCAGGAGAATGGCGTGAACCCCAGGAGGCGGAGCTTGCAATGAGCCGAGATTGCACCACTGCACTCCAGCCTGGGCAACAGAGCGAGACTCCGTCTCAAAAAATAAAAATAAAAATACATAAATGAATAAAGTAAAAAGTCAAAGCCATCTGCCTAGTCCAGTTCTCCAAATATATCCACTATGGTGTGTGGATATATCTTGGCATGTGCCATTCTGGACATTTTTAAATGAATACACAATTATTCAAATATGTAGATAACAAACATTTGATCAAGCAGGGTATCACAATGAATGAATCCTTTTTTATAACTTGTTTTTCTACTGATTGTAATAGAGTTCTTCTTTCCATATCCATAGCTTATAAATTCATCTCATCTTCTAATGTTTGAAGAGTATTAATACATGTCAGTTTTTTAACAAATTAATGGAGTTTACATTGTTTTTATTTCACTATTATATATTTGTTATAAAAATCTCTCCATGGCAAAAAGAGTGAAAGAAATATAAGTCACAAAATCTCTTAAATATGTGAACCGAGGCACAATAAAATTTTCAAGAGTTTCTTTGAGCAAACAGCAATTTATGAATCAGGTAGCTCCAAGCCAGAAGATGTTCTGGAGTTTCACCAAGAGAATGCAAGGGTAGGGGGACTTTTATATGATAACCTGCAAAGGAAAGCCAAGAAAATATTTGATTGGTTACAATTATACCGTTGTCTTATTTGGTCCATCTTGTTGCAAAGTCCCTAGTTATACAGGTTGTTGGCTGCTTCTGACTGGTTGAGCTTAAAATCTGATTTTTCTTTAAAAGTGGCATTAATGAGACACAGCTCAAGTTACATTCTTGGGAGAGAGAGAAAGAGAAGAGAGAATAGTTGTAACAGATGAAAAAAGAGAAGGTTGTCATCTGTTATATACAGACAGCTTTTATCAGTAAAAACAAAATAAATGACCATTTAAAATGAAAGCAAATGATGTAAAAAGTTAATTCACAGATTTGTGAACACATGAAATTATGCTCAATCTTTTTTTCAAAGATATAGAAATTAAAAATTATAAGAAAAAAATGTTCTACCAGATTGGGTGGAAAATTAAAGAACCAATAATCTTGAATATTGATGAGGTATGAGAAAATAGCAAATCGTACACTCTTGGTGAACTCATAATTATCCCACCCTCTTTAGAGGACAATTTAGCATACTGATCCAGAGTTTTAAAGGAAGCACTGCTTTACCCAGTGTGGTAGGCAGAATTCCCAGATGGTCCCTGAATTAATCCATTCTCATGCTACTAATACAGACATACCCAAGACTGGGTAATTTATAAAGGAAAGAGGTTTAATTGACTCACAGTTCAACATGGCTGAGGAGGCCTCAGGAAACTTACAGTCATGGTGGAAGGGGAAGCAAACACATCCTTATTCACATGGCAGCAGCAAGAAATGCTGAGCAAAAGCAGGGAAAGCCCCTTATAAAACCATCAGATCTCATGAGAACTCATCCACTATCACAAGAACAGCAGCATGAGGGCAACCACCCCCATGATTTGATTACCTTTCACTGGGTCCCTCCCATGACACGTGGGGATTATGGGAACTACAATTCAAGATGAGATTTGGGTGGGGACAAGCCAAACCATATCAGCCCCCACAATATCTGTCCTCTGTGTACATCCTGTATATAATTCACTCCTTTTAGGGCAAGCAAGACCTATGCATATGAAAGAATTTCACTCTCTTGATTAGGTTTCATTATATGGAAAAGGTGGGGGGACCTTGCAGATATCAGAAAGCTCTCAAATCAGTTGATTTTGATTTAATTGAAAGGGAGATTATCCAAGGAGGACCTGACCTAATCAGGTGAAAGCCCTCAGAAGAGAGACTAGGGCCTTGTTAAAGAGAAAAATCCTCCTGCTGACCTTTAAGAAGTAAACTGCCATGTTGTGGGAGAGGTTATGGGAGCCTCTTGGAGCAGAGAGCCACCCGCAGTGGGCAGACAGCAAGAAAACAGGGGCTATAGTCTTACTGCCAAAAGGACCTGAATTCTTCTAACAACACCTAAGTTTGAAAGGGGACGCTTAGCACTGGAGAGGAACACAGCCCAGCTAACACTGATTGCAGTCTTGTGAGGCCCTTGCTGAGTGCCCAAACAATACTCCTGACCCACAAAAACTGTGAGAAAATAAATAGCTTTGTTTAAAGCCGTTGAGTTTATGATAATTATTTACACAGCAACAGGCAGATACTCCATCCAGCAGTTGTACTGCTAGAAATGTATTGGACAAAAATATCAAAGTGTACATTGTTGTATGTACAATTATGTTCTTTGAATAATTATTTATAATAATCTGTTCTTTCTGTGATAATTTGGAAGGCTTTTCTGATGCTTTGTGTCATCAGGACTACCTCAATTACTTAATTCTACCTTTCTTAAAAAAAAAACACAATATGGCAGACACAACATTCTTTGAAGCTTAAACAGTTTTCCGAGTGTATATGCATGCATGCATTTTGTTTTTGTTTTTTTGAGACGGAGTCTAGCTCTGTCACCTAGGCTGGAGTGCAGTGGCGTGATTTCGGCTCACTGAAACCTCCACCTCCCAGGTTCAAGCGATTCTCCTGCCTCAGCCTCCCGAGTAGCTGGGATTACCAGCACCTGCCACCACGCCCAGCTAATATTTGTATTTTTAGTAGAGATGGGGTTTCACCACGTTAGCCAGGCTAGTCTTGAAATCCTGACCTCGTGATCTGCCTGCCTCAGTCTCCCAAAGAGCTGGGATTACAAGCGTGAGCCACCATCCCCGGCCGCATGTTTAATGGAATCATTTAACTAAGAGAGAACTTTAAGTCAAAAGTAAACCTTTCTAATGAAACTAAAGTAACTGTGGGATTTTGTTGTGGCTGAGAGCCCAAAATTTATTTCATGAAAAAGGAAGAAAGAGCCCCTGTTTTTTCTGCAGAAACTTTAGGGGCCTCAATTACTTCAAACAATATTTTTCAGGAGCACTGAATTTTTGACTGTTTAAAAGGAAACAAAGCCCGAGTGAATGTTTTCAAATGCTATAGTCTGGATTATTGTCTCTTTTGGAAAAGTAAATCCAAGATGGCAGCTGCTGAGATGGAATGTTTCTTTGGGTGTTCTTAGCGCTTAATGTATAAATGATTGCTCTAGTAATGTGCAGTTTCATGAACTCCACTGATACATGGTCTGTGCAGGTGATTCCTCCATGCATTAAAAACCTTAATAGGCTTCACCTACTCCTTTTATCCTTTGGACTGTGATTTTAATATTTGCAAACTTAAAGCCAAATTTAATTAAAGCCAACTGTGCAGTGAATGCAGTGTGTGACTCCTCTCTTGATCTGCCTATTACAATTTAGTATCAGTTTGTTTTTTCTCTTCATTGCATCTGAAAGAGATCCTCTAGGAGAGGCTAATAGTCATTTGGTGAATGGATGAATAGAATTAGCGAATTAGAAACAAATTCCTTGATATGGTTTGCTGTGCCCCCAGCCAAATCTCATCTTGAATTTTAGCTCCCATAACTACCACCTGTTGTAGGAGGGACTTGATAGGAGATAATTGAATTGTGGGAGTGGTTTCCCCCATACCGTTCTCATGGTAGTGAATAAGTCTCACAAGATCTGATGGTTTTATAAGGGGAAGTTTCCTTGGACAAGTTCACTCTTGTCTGCCACCATGTAAGACGTGTCTTTCACCTTCTGCCATGAGTGTGAGGCCTCCCCAGCCATGTGGAACTGTGAGTCCACTAAACCTCTTTTTCTTTATAAATTACCCAGTCTCAGGTGTGTCTTTATTAGCAGAGTGGAAACAGATTAAGACATCCCTACAAATTCAAAATGCAAATTTTCATGTTTGTTTTTAACTTCTTGAAATGATTCATACTATTATGACAGTTTACCCAAATTCATACCTGTAAAAATGTGAAGTTCATTAAAATCTTTTAGCTTCTGCCTCGTCTGTTTTTAGAGCTTGATAATTATTAAGAACTCCTTCAATTCTCCCATGAGTGAAGCACTCTCATTTTTCCCATTATACAGATGAGAAAACTGAAGCATGGAGTGATTAATCAACTTATCTGACCTGAGCTAGTGGGGGTTGACTTAGGACTTGAACCCAGTCTATTTCCAGGTCCTGCTTTCACAAGCACCAGCACTTCTGCCTGTATAGATTAGAGCTTAGATTGATATCTTAGATATCCACACACTGTAACTTCAAAGCTGGTAAAATATTTTAAATTAAATAAATAGCTATTACTTTTTAGTATACAAAAACTTTAAATGTTGGGGGATGAAAAAGTTATGGTAAGAGATTAAGGCAATCCAAGCAACAATAGGAAAACATTCCGTTATTATGAAGCTTTGCATTGATAAGTTCCAAAGAAGATCACAAACGTGATTCCAGGCTGAAAAGTAGTAATTTTGTAGACGTTATTGTACAATATTCTTTCCCAGTTGGGCTCTAAGAGCTAAGCTCATAGCCTCCCTTGCAGAGTAGCTTCTAGCTATGGTCCCTTTGAACCACAGCTTCCGTAGAGAAAGGGGGTATTGCCAGGTAAATCAGCCCTGGGTCTTTGTGGTGTCACAGCCACATAAACTATGACTTTATCCATGTCATTTACAGGGTGACAAAGGTAGAAGGGCCTTTTAAAATTTAGATGTTTGTTATAATGATTAGTATTAATGTTGGGAATGATAATGTTTTCATAGAACTTACTGCTAGGCATTGTGGCAAGTGTGTTCCAGCATTGTATCCCATTCGGTTCTTGCAGGGCAGCGCCCACTCATTTCCCAATGTTGTCCGGACATGTTCCCATTACCCATGAGGCTCAGATATCCTAGCTGTGACTTGAAATCTGAATGTCACTTTTTGTTCCAGAGAGTTCACTATAAAGTGGAAAGACATGCTGGACTTTCCACAGGCTGATCTATGCTTTTGAGTTTTGATTTTCCTGAATCCTTTTTCAAACATCCTGTAGAGGTAAAAGTCAACACTGGATTTTCCTTTGAACGTGTGCTCTGTGCCCTGCTCATCTCTTGCGGCTTGGCTGTCGCCAGCATGTAAGAACTCCCAACTCCTTCCCCTCTCCTAGAGCCGCTTTGCCTCTTTCCAGACAGGCTCAGCTGAGTGCTCATTCTCTTTCCTTTTGAAAACACGACTCTGAGATGCAGCCTTTCTTGATAGACAGCATTGCTTGTGGAGCTATTATACATGTAATCAGCAAGGATACACACACCCGGCCATTTCCTGAAGAACGTGCTGCCAGGTCCGTTCACAATCACTCCTTTTATTTGGCATCAGCTTGTCTATTTGGAGAGTCTGACCACTGTTCAGAGAATTTTTTTTTCTCTATCAAGTACTTTGTGTTTGAAAGTGATGCATAAATGGCCTCTTTTCCTATTTTAGCCTGTGTGCAAAATGAAGTGCAAGTTGAAAACAGATATTCTCTTTGTCAGAATCACTCATACAATAGCATGTGCCTCAGGTCGCAACGGCACCTAACCATAGGAATAAAGCCTTGTTCTTCTCTTCTTGTCCGCCAACAGGCTAGAACTCATTTTATCAGCAACCAGAAATGTACTTAAATTAATGAAATAATGGGTCACTCTAATAGTTTGAAATATACTCTGCAGCATAAGGACATGTTTAGCCTCTTGTTCTGCCCGTGAGTGGGGGTTGTAGTCACCCTGAGTCTCTTAGCATAAAGTAATTCTCAAGGCTAAATCCATATAAATTAAATAAATATTATTTTCCATGTCTCTTTGCATTATCATTTTAGTTCCTTCACAATTCTTTTTAAGAGTCAGGTAGTTAATATAGTTTGGGAGGGCTAGGGAGGGCTGAGGATAAATATAAGCCTGTGTATTGCTATTCTCACGCAAATAAATAACAAATGGAAAAAAAGATTCTGCAAACTAATACACACACACACACACACACACACACACACACACACAAAGTTCCTTGGCTAGTTTTTTTGTAATATATATATTTCCTATATGTAGCTACCCTGTGGCCTCCCCCTAAGGTAACCACTTTACTTTTTAGTAGTGAAGAATGTCTAAAATATAATAAAGGTATATCTAGAACACAAACCTCCAAGCAGGAACAACCCATTATCTCTCCTTTGCATGCCCTGTCAATGGCTTCAAGGTCAAAGCTAGCTAAGTCTCTGAGTGTGTAGGGAGCTGACATCTTGGTGAAAAGTCCTTCAGTACATGCTAGATCATAGCTGACTTGCACTATCCTTCCAAACTTTGGAATATCTCTCTGGTATTGGATTGGTTACAATGGAAACAGAAAGATTCTGATCATACAAAATAAAGATTTTCATTTGTGAGCTCAACCATTGGATCTGTCATCTTCCATTAGTAGAAAAAATGAGGAAATCAAATACTTTGTTTTGTTTTTAACCACGCAGAGAAGGAAGAGAGTAGAGTGTGGGAAATTGATATATCTGCCTTACTGCCCCAGCCCCTCCCTCTGGAGTGTGCAAGTGGTCAGAAGTCAGCAAATTACTTTTCCATCATATTTGGCCCCAAACTACCCTGGTGAGTGAGGAGAAAGGGAATCATTTGATAAGGTTTGGAAAATAGCATCTGTTTTTCTTAGTGTTTCTGGATGAATTTATCAGGCATCCGGTAATTTGTACTTTCTGTTGAAAACTATAATAGAATACCGTGCATAGACATGAAACCTTTTGGTATTAGTCAGAAGCTACATACTGACTGCTGTTGGAGAAGACCACATTTACAGTCAAGGGTAGAATCATCTGAAATAGTTTCCCCTGGAAAAAAAAAAAACATGGCCATATATGCCTACATAGATCTCCTCTTTGCTTCATGAATTTGGAACTAAACCTGGGTGTTTAGATAATTCCAGTTCTAGGATTTTCTCACCTTGAGTTTATTCCCCTTATTCTTACTAGTTCAGTTTGGCCACTGTACATATGGAGCTTACTAGAGGCAAAGCACTCTGTGAGGGGCAATGGTTATACAAATAAGTAAGACTTTCCTGGGAAAACTAAATCCTGACATCAAGGGTGAAGCACAAATACAGTCACTTATGGAGGGCTGTCACTCATGGAGGGCTGACTATTGTAAGCTTTAGATATATTGATTTATTTAATCCTCTTCTCTATGAGGCAGATCATGCTTTTTATGTCTAGTTTACAAATAAGGAAGGTGAAGCAAGTCACTTGTCTTATGTAATCCTGCTGGCAAATGAAGAGCCAGAATTTGAGCCCAGGGGCACTTGTTCCAGAGTCCACACTCAGAATCACTGTGCTACAGTGGAACACAGCAAATGTGTTGAACATGCAAGCACTGAGTGCCATAGAGCATGGAGAAGAGCCAGCCGGCACACCCCAGGGCTGATTCAGTGAAGTGGGGTTTGAGATAGAGGGGCCATGAGCAGTCTCTGGCTGTGCTTCTGTATTTTCAAGGAGGTGACATCTTGAAGGGGAATTTATGGGATGAGAAAGGGGTTACTAGTTGAATGAAGAGATCTGAGGAGCCTACCACGGAGAAGGCATGGCTGGGTAGAGACCTCGAGTTGAGAGATGGTACTTGGGGCTAGTGGCAGGGGTGGCGAGAGGTGAGCGGGGAACATCTATTCCTGGGACCTTAGTAATGAGACTCAATCCTGGACAAGCATCCTTGTGATAGGGATGTTCAATGCGGAGTAACTGGGAGGAGACCTTGTCGAGGAGCATATCATGCTGTCCTTCAAGTCCAAGTCCTTCATGCCCCAGGCAGGCAGGTGGATGCATGCTCTGACTTGAGAAGAAACGCCATTCACAGGGCTGGATTTTTAAGTATTAATACAAGGCAAGAAGGGGCAAAGCATGAAGTCAAGGCTATGGGCAAGGGTAAGATCTAAAGAGTTTTGTGTTTGTGACCAGGAATATGAATTTTCCTTATGGTGATGGTTTTAGAAAAATCAGTGCAGTAGCTTTGTGGAGTTTGAATTTGTTCAGTACACAGCTCTAAATTCCACATTTATAATAATTGGCTATCTTCTTGAATGACATATGGATATTTGATCTTTGCAAGTCTCTTAATGAACAGTGACAGCGATGTAACAGATTGTTTTCATCAACATCTACAAAGGTCCTCTCTGCCAAGCCATTGGACTAAAATATTCAGTAGAATAAAGTGGACCACTTGGGAGTTTCCTTACTCTGATTTCATCTTTCTGTCTTTAGAGAGAAATGGTTATGTTACCAGAATACTCAGCAGAAATAAGAGAGAGAGGCAGAGGAGCTGTGAAATCCATATAATAAACAACCATCTGTTAGTAATTTATCAGACACATATAGGGCCTCAGCACAGTGGGTTCATTTGGACATGCAACACTAAGAAGTGTTTTTTCCTCATAAGTGTGTACATACGGTAATTGACTATAATTAATAGGTCAGCCTAAAGGTGAAAAAAAATCAAATTCCAAAAATATAATTTTGACAAACATCCTGTTAGCCATCATATTAATTATTCTATCTTTCAGTAGGATCTGAAGTCTGTCTGGGTAATCTTCAGCCTATGTGCCATGTGACTTTACCTGAATGTTAATTACATTAGCATGCTTTAGTGGAAAGGAAAGAAGGAAGAAGGTTGAGATGGGAGATCTGGGTTCCAGAACCAGTTCAAGTTCAACTCAAATGCTTTTCTAGAAATAGGAGAAATTAAACTGTATGATTTTTAAATCCTTTTTTAATTTGAAAATGCTTTTGAATTTGAACATATTAAGAGTATAATACTTCATACTTTCTCACGCACTCTCCCACCTGTTGCAGGCTCATGCTTTCAGCCTGAAACAGGTCATTTTGGCTGAAGCGAGTGACAAACATCCTTCACCCATTTTTAACAATTTCCCATTGCATTAAGTTACCCAAACTTTTTAGTCAAGTTCTGTTTTGAGTGAGCATTTGATGGTTATTCCCTTCTCACAAATACACTAAACTATTCGATCATAACAGACTCAGTCAAACCAAAAAAAACAGATGCTATTCCCTAAATAATACCCATCAATTTCTTCATTAATGTGTTTTTGAATTGTTTACAATAAAACAAAAGTAACAATCCACTGTTGTAATGATAAGACCAGGGTATTTCCTCATATTAGAAACAAGTCAAAATCCATTGTCTCTACTTCCTTTGCAGAATTTAGTTGACCTCATCCAAATTAAGAAAACACTTAGCTTGAAAGTTTGCCCTGCTAATTTTCATAGAAAATTAAAGTAAAATCATTATCAAGGGCCATGGTTTATTTTTCATCATTGTATAACTCTACATATTTTAGGTATAAACAAAATTTTGTGCATTTTTATTTCAAAAGACATAAATTTTGTTAATGTGTAAAATATAAAAAAGCTCAGAAGAAATTTACTTGTAATTTTACATCTGAAAAATAGACACTTGATGCTGAGGTGCTTTTACCCTTTCAGACGTTTTTCTGCATATATATATATAGAAATAACTCTCACTTCACTATGTGGTGCTTTACTGTTTTATAGATGGATTGAGACACAGTGGACACCCATACTTTTATTCTGGATGGACCTACTGTAAAATAGTGCTAAATGTTAACCATTTTTTTTCAGATCTTAGGTCATATATTTTCTTGTTCCTCCTAAAATAACTCTGATCGTAGGAAAAATGATACATTTAAGGTAAAAGTTATCACAAATTCAATCTGTTAAATTTGTGTCACACCTAGAGCTAAATAAAAATCTTTGTAGAGAAATATATTTCTATTTTTAAACTATAAACAGCTTCATAAGCAGATATTTTGTAATTAGCAGGGAGTGGAGGGAAGAGAACCAACATTTATGGAACATTTACAGTTTGCCAGGCTTTGTGATAGTGAATTTAAATGTACTTTCTAAACTAATTTTTATGTAACAAGGAGAGTTCCATATTATCCATTTTACAACTAAGGAAATAAGAACAGAGAGTTTAAATAGTTTGAACTTGGTCACACTGCTTTAAAGCTATAAAGATACAATTTGAACCCAAGCTTGTCTGATTCCAAAGTCTATGATTGTTCTTAAAAAGAAAAACTTAACAGCTTTTTGTTTCAAACTACCAAAGTAATATTTACTTATGGACAAATAGAGGGGATGTATTAGTCCATTTTCACACTGCTGATAAAGACATACCTGAGACTGGGAAGAAAAAGAGGTTTCATTGGACATATACTTCCATGTGGCTGGGGAGATCTCAGAATCATGACAGGGAGGTGAAAGGCACTTCTTACATGGTGGTGGCAAGAGAAAATGAAGAAGATGCAAAAGCGGAAACCCCTGATAAAACCATCAGATCTTGTGAGACTTATTCACTATCACAAGAACAGTATCATGGGGAAACCGACCCCATGATTCAAATTATTTCCCACCTGGTCCCTCCCACAACACGTAGGAATTATGGGAGCTACAATTCAAGATGAGATTTGGGTGGGGACACAGAGCTAAACCAGGGGAAAAGCACATTCTGGGGCCTATCAGAGGGTGGAAGGTGGGAGGTGGGAGAGGATCAGGAAAAATAAATAATGGGTGCTAGGCTTAATTCCTGGGTGATGAAATAATCTGCACAACAAACACCCACAACCCAAGTTTACCTATATAACAAACCTGCACATGTACCCCCAAACTGAAAGTAAAATTAAAAAAAAAACTAGAGAATAAAGAAATACATGACATAAAAGATAGAGACATCAATAAATCCACTCCAGATTAACTACTGTTAATTGTCTGGCACATGTTTTTAAAATCTGTTTTCTGTCCATATTCTAAGATACACATGTATTTTTTTACTGCTTTCATTCACTTTTCCTTCCTTCCTTCCTTCCTTTTTTTTCTTTCTTTTCAAAATGTGACCATGATATACATACTTGTGTTTTTCCACTTGGCTGTTTACTTCCATGACTCCTTCCAAACTCCTTTTGAATAGCTATAAATTAAAGTAGCATTATCTGTCATAGTTAACCAGTTACTAATAAATGCATATTGCGGTCATTTTTAAACATGTTTTAATAAACATTCATATATATTTATCTTTATGTATGTATGCAAGTATTTTTGTAAGATAAATTACCTACATTACAAATTCCCAAGACTAAAAGTATGAACCCATTACATTATAAACCATACTGCAACATTGCCTTCCATAACATCTTACCAATTTATACTCCCATGGCACTGCCGCAGGCATTGTCAGTAAACCCTAACCAAATGACAGGGATAGAGATCATTCATCCCACCTCAATTTTACTGATCAAAACACTGAGCCTGAGAGGGGTAGGGGTTTGCTCATCCTTACACCTGTAGAAAGTACTGGGGTCAAGCCCAGCTGAATTATAATATTAACTATGTAAAGTATAATAATAGCAAGCCAACACTTCAGAGTTCCAGGCACTGTTCTAATTTTAAACTCATTTAATTCTCATATCAACTCTGTGAGTTGGGTACAATTACTATCCCCAGATTGCAGATAAGGAAGCTGAGGAACACAGAGAGAGCCTAAATGACGTTTCCCATCAGCACATCTCCTGAGAGGCTGAGCCACCATTAGAATTAGGCAATATGGTCCCAGAGTCCATGCTCTTCACTTGCATGCTATATTTCTATGTTTTACTTATTTTCTATAAAGTAAGTTGTTTCCAAGAGGTATTCCAACAAAGTCACCTAGTGAAGTTCACTAAAATGTCATGAGCATAAGAGAGCCGTAGGCACCATCAAACATAGAAGATCAGGATCAAAGATTTTAAAGGTGGCAAAAGTAGTGAATGTTTTCTTGTGGTCTTAGGCAAAGTGAGAAATCAATACAATTAGATTGGGATCAGAAAACATATTTGAGCTTAGCTTAATTATGCAGAAATAGATGATTTATTTTTTCCTCCAATAAAGTTAGGTATCTTTTTAACTACTAGCAGACATATGTGAAAATGATTTGCAAAGGGTGACTTCATTGTAAATGCTACAGCATCTGGTATATGTGTATATGTGTATAATTATTGAATGTGTATGTTTGTCATGTCTCTATTTTGAGGACCGATAGATATAAGTTGAGGAAATAGAAACAGGTAAGTTAAAGAATTGTTCCAAGTTGGCACATTGGTTCAAGAAAATGTAGTATTCACCAGTATGCCAGTTTGGATTTCTTTCCAAGTTCATGGCTTGGTATTCCAGTCTTATTCCTTTTTTTCTTATTCACATTAGAATTCTGTAACACTGTAAAAGAATTATTGCAAATTTTATCCTTACAACTATTAGAGATGGAAAAAACTGGAGCAGGGAGGAAAAAGTATATATATATTTTACATAATATATATAACATATGCATATTATATATAATACATATTCAAAACTTATTTAGGATTTATCATTCAAACATTTTATCTATCATATAACAAATAACCATAAATGACACATCAGCATTGATAGCTAAGATAAGGGATTATTCTACAGTAAACCATTCAGCTAATATTTTATTCAGGAAAGAGGTTCTTTTGGTATTCATTGGATGAAAAAAAGGTTTTCAGAAGAAAGCCAGTAGTTTTGAAGCTTAAGTCCTTCTGTGGTGGGATCTGAGAACTGGAGAATTCTTTGAGGGCATTTATTGTTAAGTACTGTGTTTATAAAGGACAGGCAATAAATGCTGTCAGATGTCCATAAATTTTATTTGCAAGAGATGCTTTAGTGGGAATTATCTAATGTGCACATTTGTACTGATATGTCTTCAGTAACTTTCAGCTCTGAATCCACAAGGGAGCAAGCTACCTCGGCCAAATGTTAGTTTTTTGTTGATCTTTCTTTGCTTTTTAAAGGAGCCAAATTATTTTGATTTTTTGAGTCTGATTTAAGTTGTTGCTTCTCTTATTTAATAAAATCTAATATAGAACCATTTTGCAGATTTTACCATTTTTCCACTTACTATACTCATGGATGCTCAGTGACCACCGGAAATGTAGTATAATAAAATATTGTTTTATGGCTATGAACTAGGATATAATTAATACACAATATGGTCTGGAAACAATTCTACTTATATAACTTAACCAGTATTTTTATATCTGATATCCATTTTTAATATGTTGAAATAAAACATACCTTGGATCCTCTTCCTCACATTATTTAAAGTTAGGTTTTCAAATCCAATACTTACGATCAAGTGCTAGACAGAGATCAAAGAAGCCATCCAATTGTCTGTGCCCCAGTGTGAAGTAGATGATGCAGTGATTCAAGGAGGTGATGGGTGGAGCTTTTGAGGAGCCCCTACTGTGTCCACCAGGATTGGAGCCAAGAGAGAAAGTGAACTGGGCCCAGGCTGCAGTAGAAGCTTTTTATCCATCTTCTATTCCATCCTTCCAGTGACACAATAAGATAAGCATGATTACCCCAGTTGAGATAAGCATCAGAGATCCTCAACCTAGGGTGATTTTGCCCCACAGGGAACACAGAACAATGTCTAGAGACATTGTTGGTTGTCACAACTGCTGGTATCCAACTGGCATCTACTGAGTAAAGGACAAATTATCTCACCTGTATTAGTCCATTCCACACTGATAATAAAGACATACGCAAGACAAGGTAACTGATAAAGGAAAGGGTTTTAATTGACTCACAGTTCCACGTGGCTCGGGAAGTCTCACAATCATGGCAGAAGGCAAAAGGAGCAAAGTCATGTCTCGCATGGCGGCAGACAAGAGAGTGTGTGCAGAGGAACTCCCTTTTATAAAAACAATCAGATCTCATTAGTCTTATTTACTATAATGAGAACAGCACAGGAAAGACCTGCCCCCATTATTCAATTACCTCCCATCAGGTCCCTCCCACGACATGTAGGGATTACGGGAACAACAGTTCAAGATGAGATTCGGGTGAGGACACAGACAAACCATGTCACCACTCAAGATATCAATAGCGCCAAGGCTGAGAAACCCTGACCCATTTTACAGATAAAGAACCTGAGGATATAAAAATTTGAATACGTTGACCAAGGTTCACAATTTGTGAATGGTAGAGTTAACATCAAACTCAGGCTTGACTCATAAGTTTATCCTCTTTATCAATAAAACTCATTCCTTCATGGGTAGTTAGAAACACAATCAGAAAATGCAGATCAACATCCAGTTGCAGACAGTTGTAAATATTAGGGGACTGTACATCATAGAGATTTTAGATCCATTGAATATTTATATCTAGAACTATTAAATAAAAAGCACATACTTCTAGGAAATCAAAGTTCAGCTGAGAAGACTAGGGAAAATATATAGGCATACGTGGAATTCCAGTTTTCAAACAATTTATTGGTAACAAAATTTTATTCCTTGTACTTTTCTATTTATGTGGACACATATTCTCCTATCTGACAGCCTAGAGTTACCTAAATTTATTAAGTATGAGAAAATTGAATCAGATATTTTATTTTCAATATTATTTCCAGAACTCTTCATTTTTAGTTTATAAATATTGAGAAATGCCCTCTGGCTGTCCTGCTTGATTTATTTTATTCTTTGTATCTCTTGTCAAAGAAGTCCAGTGCATCCAGGCTACCAATAAGGAATTCTGATCCAAGCCTTGCACATCGTATTGAAAAGTCCTAGTTGCACAGATAATATTTAATTCTTTAGGAAGTTGGGCTTATTTTAGTTTCGGATAAGCTTATGCAAATTCAGGTCCCTTGGAGCCAGTCCTTGAAAAGCACTTATTCCAGTCTTTGTTGTCTTCTCACATTCATCCTCATCAGTGTATTAATTTCCCTTAACCTGGCTTTTTAGTTCCTCATTTTCGTAGTTGTCAACAAATCCAAGGCTTCTTTAACCAATTAGATACTTAGGGGTGATATGGTTCTTATTATTGGACTTGTCTTGGAAAATTACTAGACTATGGGCCGAAATAATCATAGAGTATTAGAGTTGACAGGAGATTTAGAAACTAATTGTCTAGACCAGATGTCTAATTATATACTTAGAGAAGCTAAGGTCCAAAGAGGTTAAGTATCTTTGCCAAGGTCAAACAGCTGGTTAGCAGTTATGGTGGAACCGCAGTTCTTATCTGCTGATTCTCATTTCTAGGCTGTCTGCACCACACTTTTTGCTACCCTAGAATGTGCTTCAAGATAATATTTGCTACATGGCATTCCACAGTGGTACATCTGTACCCAGTGTGTATTCTTTAACACTGCATGTTTTGTGGCTTAATTGGCCTTACCAAGATAATAGGTGGTTTCTTAGGCCCAGGTGTGACCATGGCAGTACTGATACCTAAAACTTGAAACAGGAGTGCCATTGTCATCACACTTTCTTATAATTCAGACACAGGCACAAGCTCCCAAGGATGGCTGCCTCACAGACCACATATGCAAGGATATTACCAGAATGACTGACATTTACATTGTCCCTGTATCTGAAGTCTTTGAAAAGAGCAACAACAACCACTCAAACTAGAAGGCAGAAAGCAAATGCTTGAGATCTTCTGTCAAGCCAAAGCCCTCTCTTGCTCAGCCACCTATGTGGTTGAAGGCAAAAGGCATCTTTGCTATGGCACAGAGTGATGGGGCATAAGGTAGTGACAGTTGCACGGACACCCAACAAAGGACATCTATACTGACTCAGTGGGAAACTACACTGTACTTGGTGATTCTCAGAGCCACTGAGCATAGAGGACTGCATGGAGCAGACCTTATTACCCATACTTCCCAACCTCTGGTTTTAAGGCCAAGCAAAGATAGAAACACAGGCTTCTCTAGAATATAGCAGCAGGGATATGAACAGAAGAGAGAGAGCTGGTAGCATAGTCCTATTAACATAACCAGCCCTGCTGGTGTCCTGAAGTCGTGGGGTGTTGACCACAGAAAATCAGCAGCCCTCTTCAGGTCACCTGGTGCAATGTGGCACATTGTTGGGCTCCTTCTGAAAAACGTGGCACATGCTCACCCTGTTATATCCGCCATATTCCAACTCCATTTGTCTAAGGACCTAGGTTGCAGTAATCTTCTACAAATACATATTTTAATATATGATCAGCCAGACTTCATTTAATTGTTTATTAAACATTTATTTATGGAGTATCTACTATAGGCCAGGCATAATTAGTGGTATAAGGTGACATGGAAAATTAAACTTATGGAAAGAGTTTTAACACTGACTGTCTTTGAGAATGGAAAGAAAAGAATGGAGAAATGACCTTAATGTGGTTTGACTGTGTCCCCACCCAAATCTCATCTTGAATTGTAGCTCCCATAATTCTCTCATGTTGTGGGAGGGATCCTGTGGAAGATAACTGAATCATGGGGGCGGTTTCCCCCATACTGTTCTCGTGGTAGTGAATAAGTCTCACAAGATCTGATGGTTTTATAAGGGGAAATGCCTTTCACTTGGCTCTCATTCTTCTCTTGTCTGCCACCATGTGAAACGTGCCTTTCACCTTCCACCATGATTGTGAGGCCTCCACAGCCACATGGAACTGTGAATCCATTAAACCCCTTTCATTTGTAAATTGCCCTGTCTCGGCTATGTCCTTATCAACAGCATAAAAACAGACTAATACAGACCTTTATTGAACATCTACAAAAACCGGGCATTTTATGTATATTATTGTACTGAATCCTCACAAGACTCTTATTAGGCAGTCATTTTTATTCTCAATTAACAAATTAAGGAAACAACTCAAAGATCTGTAGAGTACCTGAGGTTCACAGCTAGCGAGCAGGGAGCTGGTGGTGCTCTTTCCCATGCTCCAGTGGCTTCAATGAAGATGCTCTTTCCTGTATTTCAGTGGCTTCATGGGCTGAGTTGGGTCCCCTGCCATGCAGAACAGGAACATGCCACTGAAGCAGCTGGATGATGTGGCAGTGGGAAGGTGGGCAAAGCTGATTTGGGGCAGAAGCAGGGAGTGCTGATGTGCAGCAGAAAGGAACCTCAACTCCCTGAGAGTCCAGCTGGGGTGGAGCCTCGTCCTTACTGACGTGGAGGAAAGGGATTCTGTCCCATACTCCCTATCCTATGCCACATCCAAAACCTGAGGCCAGTAGGGCTGCTCATTCCCATCTAAGAAAGCCCCTGGGGAACTCAAACATTTTACTACATGTGCACATCTGTGTGTATTGAGAGCATGTTCTTATGTATGGGTGTGTGTACACTGCACAGGGGTATCTCGGTTGACTGCAATCCCCACACATGATGTATAGCAAAGTGTTTAAACAGTGACCTCTTGTACTAAAATTTCCCAAAGGGCACTGTGAGGTAGCAGACGTCCACTCTAAATTAGATTTCATTTTATTTGCTCTCTAGTGCAGGTAGCAATAAGTAGCAAAAACCCAAGGATGGAAAGCGAGAAATAGAAGCTTAAGAGAAGAACTGAGGAAATCCCTAAAATTAAAGATTTTCAGTGTTAACCTTTTCCACTTGGAACATGTGCTTTCTGGTCATCATTTTCTTTTTAAGGGCCCATTTTTATTTAAGAAGAAAAAGTCTTTTTTCATGTGCTTTTGCCAGAGAATATAGAGTTATATTCACATAAATCAAGGCAGGAATTTGACAGGTACCAGTCTGATGTGATCCACGTGGGCTAGGGTCATAAAATATCTACATGGGAGCCATGGAGAATGGTCGATGTGACCTCACATTGGTGACAAAATTCCTTTTACTGTCTGGCACCATTTCTGTGTTCCTCTTGCTGTCTCTTATGGTTTGGATATGGTTCATTTGTCACCACCAAATCTCATGTTGAAATTTCATCAGTGTGTCAGTCCTGGGAGGTGGGGCCTAGTGGGAGGTATTTGGGTCATGGAGACAGAGCCCTCATGAATAGAATAATGCTCTCTTTTGGTGATGAGTGAGTTCTCACCCTGTTAGTTCACCAAGAGAGCTGGTTGTTAAAAAGAACCTGGTACCTCCTCACTCTCTCATGCTTCCTCTCTTTGTATGCTCTCTGCCCATGCAGGGTCCTCCTCGCCTTCCACCATGAGTGGAAGCAGCTGTTGGCCCTCACTAGATGCCTAATCTTGAACTTGGTAGCCATTAGAATTGTAAATCAATTCTAGAGTTGTAGGTGGTTCCCTATCACTGATAGTCTATTGACTAGAGTTACGGATGGGTATTGAGGACTGTGATGTGCTAAGAATGGATGAAAATAAGATTATCTGTCAGGTCTCTCAGAGAAGAGTAACCAAACTTGGCAGAAATCACTTAACATGAGTGTCTAGGTATTCCTTTATAGCAACCCAAATGGACTAAGACACCATTTCTAGAAGCCCTGTCATTGATATTCTAGAGTTGTAGGTGGTTCCCTATCACTGCCTAATCTTGAACTTGGTGGTCATTAGAATTGTAAATCAAACAAACTTTTTTTTCATTCTGAATTACCCAGTCTAGGTATTCCTTTATAGCAACCCAAATGGACTAAGACACCATTTCTAGAAGCCCTGTCACTGATATTCTAGAGTTGTAGGTGGTTCTCTATCAGTGCCTAATCTTGTACTTGGTGGTCATTAGAATTGTAAATCAAACTTTTTTTTTCCATTCTGAATTACTCAGCCTAGGTATTCCTTTATAGCAATCCAAATGGACTAAGACACCATTTCCAGAAGCCCTGTCATTGATATTCTAGAGTTGTAGGTGGTTCCCTATCACTGATGGTCTATTGACTAGAGTTACGGATGGGTATTGAGGACTGCGAGGTGCTAAGAATGGATGAAAATAAGATTATCTGTTAGGTCTCTCAGAGAAGAGTAACCAAACTTGGCAGAAATCGCTTAACACAAGTGTCACAGAACAAGTAGAATAAAGTTACTGGGAGGAACCAGAAAAGTAGTGCAGATTTGTTAATGCTGAAATGTAGCCAAGACACATGGTTTACGTTGCAGTAGAATAAGTCAGCAGGTTCAGTAGATTCTAATTTCTATTGAAATCCATCTTAAGAAAATATTAAAGAAATATTATTATATCTAAGGCCTTTTCCATTGCAGGGAAAAGAATGCAAGCTCAAACTAGCCTCAACTTAAGATGGAGTCTATTGGCTGCTGCAGATAAAAAGGTCTGGTATTGTCTTCCTTTAGGCTGGCTAAATTCAGACATTCTGTGAATGATCTCAGGAACTGATTCTCCCTCCAAGACTTGGCTCTGATTTCTGGCAGTGCTGCTTTCATTTGCTGAAGGATTCTCTTTACATGATGGGAAGGATTACCATTTTAAACTTAAGTGGTCATTATAACTCAAAATTTCATAAGGAGAGAAACCATCTCTGGCTCCAAACATCCATTCCAGCCCCCAAAAGGTCTCTGATGGGTAAGTAAGCATCATTTGTCCAGCTTCTGTGGGAGAGGAGTAACGCCCTGACTGACAGCTCCATCTAAATGCTACGAGCTGAAGGAAGGGCTGTTCCCAAAGGAAAGGTTGCAAGGAGGTTGAATGAGTACCATAGCTATCCATAATGAGACTGATTAGATCCTGGTCCCACAGGGAGAAAACAGCTTAAAAGCAAATTGGAGCTTACCTGAATGTTCGAAGAGGGCTTTAAAGAGAGAAAGATTTGAATTGAGATTATATATGTCAGGAGGATCTAGAAGCAAAGATACTTCTATAACTTAGACTTAATTCCTGCACTGCATAATGCTGCCTCTCCATCACACTTCACAGACCCACGGATGAAGCTAAGAATTGATGACAAGCCTCTCACTCTTAGCACCCTCTCTCCTAATCCCTTTACATCTTCACTCAGCATTTTGCTTACTCCGTTCTTGGTCTCTGGGTCTCTCTCTCTCTCCCCACCCCCACTTCTATTTCTGTCTCCCTTTTTTCCCCTTCTTCTTCCCTCCTCCCTTCTCTCTCCTTAAAATGCCTTCTTGAAAACAATATACAATAGAACCATGTGGTGAGGACAGTTCCTTTCAACTCACTTTTACTTAGAGCTATTTTCATCATAATTGTTGTGAGATGAAATGCTGGCCTTTCTTTACATGTTGAAAAAATTAAAAGTGCTTCAAAGGTCAGAGAAAACAATCCCCTAAATAACAGCTTCAGGGAAAATGCCCACATAAAGTAACTGCTCCCTCCCTGACACCAGAACATGTAATTCTCTAGTTTTCGTTAAGAGTAGATCTCCTACCCATTCTTATTATCTTTAAAGATGACAACAATGGGACCCCTTAGACCAGAAGGCCCACCATAGCCAAATAATTCTTACAGAAATAAAATTGTTTGTATTTTTTCTCCTAGGATAAAATCTATATGACAGTTTTGTTACTGGAAAAAAAAGTCTCCTTTTCCCTAGAAATTGTGCGAATGAAACAGAGGTAGATTTTGTTTTCAATTATGGCTGCAGTTCTACATGTTATTTGTCACATGTAGACACAGGAATGAGCCTTGCAACTGTGGAATTATTAGCTGAGTGAAAAATGTTACTGGACCAAGATGTTTTCCTAACCATTGCTAGAATTAGTTAAGTCACTGACATCAATGTCTAATATATAATGTGCATTATCAGAGAAAACCACCAAAACATTCACAGGTTGTGAATACAGTAATATAACACATATGTGCAGATAGCTAGCCACTCATGATCAGAAGTTTTCAAATGATACTTCTGAGAAATTGTTCCTGTATTTTTTCCTTTAACTTTATCTGTAGCTAATGCCCATTACTTTTTTTTTATTTCTTCTAAAAAAAAATGGGATACATGTGCAGAATGTGCAGGTTTGTTACATAGGCATATGTGTGCCATGGTGGTTTGCCGCACCTATTGACCCATCCTTTAATTTCCCTCCCCTCACCCCCCACCCCCCAACAAGACCTGGCGTGTGTTGTTCCCCCTCTGTGTCCATGTGTTCTCATTGTTCAACTCCCACTTATAAGTGAGAATATGCGGTATTTGGTTTTCTGTTACTGTGTTAGTTTACTGAGGATGATGGCTTCCAGCTTCATCCATATCCCTGCAAAAGACACAATTTCATTCCTTTTTATGGCTGTATAGTCTTCCATGGTGTATATGTACCACATTTTTTTAACCCAGTCTATTAATGCCCATCACTTATATGGAATGGGGTAGAATGAACCAACTTTTGTCCCTGTCTAACTTGAGAGTTAAGTTAGAAACTTAAGAAAGATACATTATGGTAGGAAATAAATTTGGAGGTGAGGCATAGAGCAGCGCTTTTTTTCCACTCTACATATAAATCCTGATATTCAAATCTCTTTAATTAGAAGACCTTGTAAATTCAAATCCATATCCTTTAGGATAAAGTTTCAGTACTCACTATGCACTAAAGTCCCCTGTTCTCTCAGACTTGGAATCACTCACAGTCTTCCCTTCCCTAAAGCAGGTGGCTTTCAGTTCTTAGCATACAGTTCTTTAAACTGGGCATGCTGTTCATCAACTTAGTGATTTTGCTCCAGGCTTCCTCTCTCTAGAAGACTACCTATCATCTCCACCTTCTCCTGACTATCCTTAAGACTTAACTCAAACACACGTCCTACAGAAAGCCTGTCTTGACAGTCCTTCAGTCTAAGGAAGTTGGTGTCAGTCCCATAAATAACATCTATCACATAGACCTGTCACAGCAGTGACTGGTTTACTTGTGTTTCAACTCCAACAGAACATCCTTGTATCTTCAGTAATTCTGATATTGTTTTCCCAAAATGCCCCTCTGGGAAGTACAATAATGGCCCCCAAAGTGTCTGTATGCCAATCTCTGGAATCTGTGAATGAGTTCTATTAAATGGCAAAAAGGATTTTGCAGATTGAATTAAGGTTACTGAACTTAATAGAGGGAGATTAATCTTGATTACTTAAGTGGGCTCAGTCTGATCACCTGGGTGCTTAAAGTGGAAGAGACAGGCAGAAGAAACACAACCACAACAAAGAGGCAGGAAAGATTCAAAGTGTTAGAGGGACTCTACCCACTGTTGCTGGCTTTAAAAATGGAGGAAAAGGGCTGGGTGCAGTGGCTCATGCCTGTAATCCCAGCACTGTGGGAGGGTGAGGCAGGCGGATCACAAGGTCAAGAGATCAAGACCATCCTGGCCAACATGGTGAAACCCCGTCTCTGGTAAAAATACAAAAATTAGCCGGGTGTGGTGGTGTGCACCTGTAGTCTCAGCTACTTAGGAGGCTGAGGCAGGAGAATCACTTGAACCCGGGAGGCGGAGGTTGCGGTGAGCTGAGATTGCGCCACTGTACTCCAGCGTGGCGACAGAGCAAGACTCCGTCTCAAAAAAAAAAAAAAAAAAAAAATGGAGGAAAGGGACCATGGGCCAAGGAATGTGGGTGTCCTCTAGAATCAGGGAGCAGCCCCTGGCTGGCAAGCCAGCAAGGCAACAGGAACCTACAACCTGCAAAGCCAAGTCCTACAGTGGAATTCTGTCAACAGTCTGAATGAGAAGATAAATGAGTTTGCCTCTAGAACCTCCAGAAAAGAATGCAGCTCTCCTGATGCCTTGATCTTAGCCTGGTGAGATCCATGCCAGAATTCTGACCCACAAAACTGTAAAATTATAAATTTGCATGTGTTAAGCCACTAAGTCCATGATAATTCATTACAGCAGCAAAAGGAAACTAAGATACCTTCTCCGGCATGGACTTGGACTCAACAGAACTGTGTTTAGTACCCAGCATCAATGCTACTGCAGTGTGATTTGGGGAACTAAATCTGAGTGGCCACATTCTGTACATGGATAGAATCCAGAACCTGTCGCTTAGGCTTCTGTGTGGACAGCATGTGAAGGTATAGGTAAAGCACTCAGAAGATGGTTGGCACATATGAATTTTCACCTCCACCTCATTACAAATCCATGCCCCTCAGCCTGGAAGGATCTCCCCGCAGATGTCTACATGACACAATCTCACCTCTGTCAAGTTTCCATTCAATGGAACCTCCTCCTTAAAGTCCTTCCTTGGTCATGCTACTTAAGATTTCAACTCATCCCTCACCCCCAACCTCATCACATTCTAGTTCTCTTCCCTACTTCATTTTTTTCCCCGTAGTACTTGCCACTAGAGTAATTGTATATAAGAGTTAACTATCGCTGTGTAACAAATCACCCCAAAACTAAGGGACTTCAAACAATACGTACTTACTCTCTCACTGTCTTTGTGGGCCAGGAATCCAGGCACAGGTTAGCTAGGGGGCTTTGGTTGTCTCAAAGCTCATTATGAGTCATTGAACGAAGAGCTCCATTCCTCACCAGCTGCTGGTTGGGGGTGAACTCAGTTCCATGCCACATAAGCTTCTCATTAAAATGGACAAGCCTAGAAGGCAAGAGAGAGTGCTAGTAAGACGGGAGTCACAGACTTTGTAGCCTAATCTTGGAAGTGATATCCCATCACTTTGCCTATATTTTCTTTGTTAGAAGGAAGTCACTAGGTCTAGCCCATAGTTAGAGGTGATTACACAAGGGTGTGAATACCAGGAAGCAGGCATTTGGGGGAGCCTTGTCAGAAGCTGCCTACCACATCATGCTCCCCAGGCTAAATGGGACAGTCCCCGTTAACAAACACTGCTTTAATGTTGTTATCAGCCGTACTTCCGGCCGACACATGTGGCCCTGGTGTAATTATCAGGGGCACTTCTTTCACGCAAGAATTGTCCAGACTGAGACAATAAATTACGTCATCTTCCCTCTTAATGCTTTCCAATATAATATAGAATTTACTAATTTGTTTTGGTATCTTATCCAAATCCTTCTCTAAATAGCAGATCCCTAAGCAGGATTTAGGGATCCCTAAATAGAGATTTTTATATGTTTTGTTCGCCGCTGTATCCCCAGTGCCCAGATTAGTAGTCAATCTTCAAAACATATTTTGAGCATATATTTTGTCATGAAGTGTTTAAAACTACGCCACTGAGTAAAATTGGTGTTTTGGGAATACATATTGTTGCTATGTAATCTCACGGTTTTCATCAATACTGTTTTGGGGAATCATCAAAATAATAATTAAGCTGGCCATGGTGGCTCACACCTGTAATCCCAATACTTTGGGAGGCTGAGATGTGCAGATCACTTGAGTCCAGGAGTTCCAGACCAGCCTGGGCAACATGATGAAATCCTGTCTTTACAAAAAATACAAAAATTAGCTGGATGTGGTGGCACACTCCTGTAGTATCAGCTACGCAGGAGGCTGAGGTGGAAGGATCACTTAAACCCAGGAGCTTAAGGATATAGTGATCCGCGATTGCACCACTGTACTCCAGGATGGGTGACAGAGTGAGACCCTCTGTCAATAATAACAATAATAAGTTAGTTGCTATTGTCAAGGTATGGTGAGGGGGGAAAAGAAGGGACCTACCAACCTAAATGATCCATGGGGGTGGGATGGGGATGATGTTTTGGAGTTGGTGAGCCAGGGTTGAGTTTAAAATCATAAGCAGGCATTCAGGGGTTGCATGGAGATGGGGGTGTGGCAATGTATGAAGAGCAGAGGTTGGTGAGGTGGCACAGACAAAATCAAGAGGCTTAAAGACCATGCTGTGGAGTGTGGACTTATCCCAAAGACTCCAAGGCACTGCTGGAGCATTTGAAGAGGGAGAATGGAGAAACAAATGCACGGATCAGAAAAGTCCCTCCTGTGGCAGTAGAGAGGATGAGGTTAGATACACCTGGAAGGAAGGAAAAGATTAAGGGTTTTTTGGAGTGTCAGTTAGGGTAGAGGGAAATTTAGTAAGAAAAAGATGGTGGGGGGATTACTCAAACATGTTCATGCTGGTTTTGCTGGGTATATTGACTATAAATTAGTTTTTCTATCACATTTTTATTATGTAGTTATATCACTTGTAAATTAAAGAAGTTATATTAAAGTGTTCCCACTAAGTTTGGACTGGGTGGAGCCCACCACAGTGCCACAGAGCCACTATAGCCAGAATGCCTCTCTAGATTCCTCCTCTCTGAGCAGGGCATCTCTGAAAGAAAGGCAGCAGCCCCACTCAGGGGCTTATAGATAAAACTCCCATCTCACTCAGGCAAGCACCCAGGGGAAGGGGCGGCTGTGGGCACAGCTTCAGCAGACTTACACGTTCCTTCCTGCCAGCTCTGAAGAGAGCAGCAGATCTCCCAGCACAGCGTTCAAGCTCTGCTAAGGGACAGACTGCCTCCTCAAGTGGGTCCCTGACCCACGTGCCTCCTGATGGGGAGACATCTCCCAGCAGGAGCTGACAAACACCTCATACAGGAGAGCTCTTGCTGGCATCTGGCAGGTGTCCCTCTGGGATGAAGCTTCCACAGGAAGGAGCAGGCAGCAATATCTGCTGTTCTGCAGCCTCTGCTGGTGACACCCAGGCAAACAGGGTCTGGAGTGGACCCCCAGCAAACTCCAGCAGACCTGCAGACTGTTAGAAGGAAAACTAACAAACAAAAAGCAATAGCATCAACATCAACAAAAAGGATGACAATGCAAAAGCTCCATCCAAAGGTCACCAACACCAAAGACCAAAGGTAGATAAATCCACGAAGATGAGGAAAAACCAGCACAAAAAGGCTGAAAATTCCAAAAACTAGAATGCCTCTTCTCCTCCAAAAGATCACAACTCCTTGCCAGCAAGGGAACAAAAGTGGATGGAGAATGAGTTTGACGAATTGACAGAAGTAGGCTTCAGAAGGTGGGTAATAACAAACTCCTCTGAGCTAAAGGAGCATGTTCTAACCCAATGCAAGGAAGCTAAGAACCTTGATAAAAGGTGAGAGGAATTGCTAACTAGAATAACTAGTTTACAGAAGAACTTAAATGACCTGATGGAGCTGAAAAACACAGCACGAGAACTTCGTGGAGCATACACAAGTATCAATAGCTGAATTGATCAAGTGGAAGAAAGGATATCAGAGATTGAAGATCATTAAAGCATGAAGACAAGATTAGAGAAAAAAGAATGAAAAGGAAGGAAAAAGCCTCCAGGAAATATGGGACTATGTGAAAAAACCAACGTTTGATTGATGTACCTGAAAGTGATGGGGAGAATGGAACCAAGTTGGAAAACACACTTCAGGATATTATTCAGGAGAACTTATCCACCATAGCAAGATAGGCAAACATTCAAATTTATGAAATACAGAGAACACCACAAAGATAATCCTCAAGAATAGCAACTCCAAGACACACAATCATCAGATTCCCCAAAGTTGAAATGAAGGAAAAAATGTTAAGGGCAGCCAGAGAGAAAGGTCGGGTTACCCACAAAGGGAAGTCCAGCAGACTAAGAGCGGATCTCTCTGCAGAAACCCTACAAGCCACAAGACAGTGGGGGACAATATTCAACATTCTTAAAAGAATTTTCAACCCAGAATTTCATATCCAGCCAAACAGCTTCATAAGCAAAGGAGAAATAAAATCCTTTCCAGACAAGGAAATACTGAGGGATTTTGTCACCACCAGACCTGCCTTACAAGAGCAGGAAGCACTAAATACAGAAAGGAAAAACTGGTACCAGCCATTGCAAAAACATACCAACTTGTAAAGACCATCAACACTATGAAGAAGCTGCATCAACTAGCCAGCTAGCATCATAATGACAGGATCAAGTTCACACATAACAATAACAATAACAATAACAATATTAACCTTAAATGTAAATGGACTAAATTCCCCAATTAAAAGGCACAGACTGGCAAATTGGATAGAGAGTCTAGGCCCATCGCTGTGCTGTATTCAGGAGACCCATCTCATGTGCAAAGACACACATAGGCTCAAAATAAGCAGATGGAGGAAGATTTACCAAGCAAATGTAAAGCAAGAAAAAAAACAGGGGTTGCAATCCTAGTCTCTGATAAAACAGACTTTAAACCAACAAAGATCAAAAAAGACAGAAGGACATTACATAATGGTAAAGGGATCACTGCAACAAGAAGGGTTAACTATCCTAAATATATTTGCACCCAATACAGGAGCACCCAGATTCATAAAGCAAGTTCATAGAGACTACATAGAGATGTAGATTCCCACACAATAATAGTGAGCGACCTTAACACCCCACTATCAATATTAGACATATCAACAAGACAGAAAATTAAGAAGGATATTCAGGACTTGAACTCAGCTCTGGACCAAGTGGACCTAATAGACATCTAGAGAACTCTCCACCCCAAATCAACAGAATATACATTCTTCTCAGCACCACATAGCACTTATTCTAAAATCAACCACATAATTGGAAGTAAAACACTCCTCGGCAAATGCAAAAGAATGGAAATCATAAGAAAGAGTCTGTCAGTCCACAGTGCAATCAAATTAGAACTCAGGATTAAGAAACTCACTCAAAACTGCACAACTACATGGAAACTGAACAACCTGCTCCTGAATGACTTAAGGCAAAAATGAATAAGTTGTTTGAAACCAATGAGAACAAAGACACAATGTACCAGAATCTGTGGGACACAGCTAAAGCAGTGTTTAGAGGGAAATTTATAGCACTAAATGCCCCCAGGAGAAAGCGGGAAAGATCTAAAATTGACACCCTAACATCACAATTAAAAGAACTAGAGAAGCAAGAGCAAACAAATTCAAAAGCCAGCAGAAGACAAGAAATAACAAAGATTAGAGCAGAACTGAGGGAGATAGAGACACAAAAAAACCCTTCAAAAAAATCAATGAATCCAGGAGGTGGTTTTTTGAAAAGAATAGCAAAATAGATAGACCACTAGCCAGACTAATAAAGAAGAAAATAGAGAAGAATCAAATATACACAATAAAAGAATGATAAAGGGGAGATCATCACTGATCCCGCAGAAATACAAAGTACTCTCAGAGAATACCATAAACACCTCTACACAAATATACTAGAAAATCTAGAAGAAGTGCATAAATTCCTGGACACATACGCCCTCCCAAGACTAAACCAGGAAGAAGTCAAATCCCTGACTAGACCAATAACAAGTTCTGAAATTGAGGCAGCAATTAATAGCCTACCAACCAAAAGAGGCCCAGGACCAGGTGTATTCACAGCTGAATTCTACCAGAGGTACAAAGAGGAGCTGGTACCATTCCTTCTGAAACTATTCCAAACGATAGAAAAAGAGGGAATCCTCCCTAACTCATTTTTTATGAGGCCAAAATCATCCTAATAACAAAACCTGGCAGAGACACACACAAAAAAAGAAAATTTCAGGCCAATATCCCTGATGAAGATCAATGCGAAAATACCCAATAAAATACTGGCAAACCAAATCCAGTAGCACATTAAAAAGCTTATCCACCACAATCAAGTCAGCTTCATCCCTGGGATGCAAAGCTGGTTCAACATATGCAAATCAATAAACGTAATCCATCACATAAACAGAACCAACGACAAAAACCACATGATTATCTCAAAAGATGCAGAAAAAGCCTTTGACAAAATTCAACAGCCCTTCATGCTAAAAACACACAATAAACTAGGTATTGATGAAACATGTCTCAAAATAATAAGAGCTGTATATGGCAGACCCACAGCCAATATACTGAATGGACAAAAGCTGGAAGCATTCCCTTTGAAAACCAGCACAGGACAAGGATGCCCTCTCTCACCACTCCTATTCAACATAGTATTGGAAGTTCTGGTCAGGGCAGTCAGGCAAGAGAAAGAAATAAAGCATATTCAAATAGGAAGAGATGAAGTCAATTTATCTCTGTTTGCAGATGACATGATTTTATATTTAGAGAACCCCATCATCTCAGCCCAGAAACTCCTTAAGCTGATAAGCAACTTCAGCTAAGTCTCAGGATACAAAATCAATGTGCAAAAATCACAACCATTCCTATACACCAATAATAGACAAACAGCCAAATCATGAGCAAACTCCCATTCACAATTGCTACAAAGAGAATAAAATACCTAGGAATACAACTTACAAGGGATGTGAAGGACCTCTTCAAGGAGAACTACAAACCACTGCTCAAGGAAATCAGAGAGGACACAAACAAATGGAAGAACATTCCATGCTCATGGATAGGAAAAATAAATATTGTGAAAATGGCCATACTGCCCAAAGTAATTTATAGATTCAATGCTATCCCCATCAAGCTACCATTGACTTTCTTCACAGAATTAGAAAAACCTACTTTAAATTTCATATGGAATGAAAAAAGAGCCCATATAGCCAAGAAAATCCTAAGCAAAAAGAACAAAGCTGGAGGCATCACGCTACCTGACTTCAAACTATACTACAAGGCTAAAATAACCAAAACAGCATAGTACTGGTACCAAAACAGATATATAGACCAATGGAACAGAACAGAGGCCTCAGAAATAACGTCACACATCTACACACATCTGATCTTTGACAAACCTGATAAAACAAGCAGTGGGGAAAGGATTCCCTATTTAATAAATGGTGCTAGGAAAATTGGCTAGCCATAGGCAGAAAGTTGACACTGGACCCCTTCCTTACATCTTACGCAAAAATTAACTCCAGATAGATTAAAGATGTAAACATAAGATCTAAAACCATAAAAACCCTAGAAGAAAACCTAGGCAATACCATTGCATGTGCAAAGACTTCATGACTAAAACACCAAAAGCAATGGCAACAAAAGCCAAAATTGACAAATAGGATCTAATTAAACTAAATAGCTTCTGCACAGGAAAAGAAACTATCATCAGAGTGAACAGGCAACCTACAGAATGGGAGAAAATTTTTGCAATCCATCCATCTGACAAAGAGCTAATACCCAGAATCTACAAGGAACTTAAGCAAATTTACAAGAAAAAAACAAAAAACCCCATCAAAAATTGGGCAGAGTATATGAACAGACACTTTTCAAAAGAAGACATTTATACGGCCAGCAAACATGAAAAAAAGCTCATCGTCGCTGGCCATTAGAGAAATGCAAATCAAAACCACAATGAAATACCATCTCACACCAGTTAAAATGGTGATCATTAAAAAGTCAGGAAACAACAGATCCTGGAGAGGATGTGGAGAAATAAGAAAGCTTTTACACTGACGGTGGGAGTGTAAATTAGTTCAACCATTGTGGAAGACAGTGTGGCAATTTCTTAAGGATCTAGAACTAGAAATACCATTTGACCCAGCAATCCCATTACTGGGTATATACCCAAAGGATTATAAATCATTCTACTATAAAGACACATGCACACGTATGTTTATTAAAGCACTATTCACAATATCAAAGACTTGGAACCAACCCAGATGCCCATCAGTGATAGACTGGATAAAGAAAATGTGGCAAATATACACCATGGAATAATATGCAGCCATAAAACAGAATGAGTTCATGTCCTTTGCAGGGACATGGATGAAGCTGGAAACCATCATTCTCAGCAAACTAACAGAACAGAAAACCCAATACCGCATGTTCTCACTCATAAGTGGGAGTTGAACAATGAGAACACATGGATACAGGGAAGGGAACATCGCACATGGGTGCCTGTCAGAGGGTGGGGGGTTAGGGGAGGGATAGCATTAGGAGAAATACCTAATGTAGATGACGGGTTGATGGGTGCAGCAAACCACCATGGCACATGTATATCTATGTAAGAAACCTGAACGTTCTACACATGTGTCCCAGAACTTAAAGTATAATAATTAAAAAAAAAAGGTGTTCCCATTATTTTAAACTAGATACTTATTATGTTGCATTTAAAGTTAGTTTGAAAATATGACATTTTAGTTGATTAATTTATAGCTAATGTGTTGATTTTGCACTCAGTAAGGGCATTGCTTTTAAGCTCCATGTTCAAAGGTTTCTCTTCATTTGAGTATTAGAAACGTGAAACTTAGAAACTCTACCAGTTACTGCACATGGACATCAAAATAAGAAACTGACTTTACTTCTTATAGTAAGAAACTATTAACCTGTATCTATTTTTTAACCTTTCTGTGTTATAGTTAGGTATATTTGTCATCTAAGTTCCACTTATGGGAGCTCTTATTTCAATTTCTTTAAAATAAGCAATTAGAAAACTAAAGTCAGGTAATGCCTTTTAGAAAGTATTTTCACTACATGATGCCTGATAGTTTGCAGAATGAAACAAATTTATCAGTGTGAGGCACTGAGCCCTACTAGTGGGAGATGGTTACTAAGTATTTTGTGAATTGATGAATGAAGAACTGAAAAGGCATTCTAAACCTGGGTTCATTCCTCTAAAGTTTTGTATGTCAAAGAGCAGAGATTTTAAATATTTAACATCACTGTGAATTTGCTTTTTCTAGATATCAGCGTTTATTCCAAATTCAGAAAGGTCAGCTGGCTTGTATCTGATCACATAGCTAGTTACTACCAAAGACAAATCAAACCCCCAGCACACAGCATCCCATTTTTCCTGAAAAGCTGTCGCTGGCTTCACAACATATCTGCAACTCTTGACATTTGCAGCAGTTTTCTCTTCAGTAACATGTAAAAATTGTTTCAAGTCTCCAGAAGTCCTCCTACTTATTCCATGATTATATTTGGGTTATGAAAATGAATGAGCCTATTTGAGAATTTGAATGGAAAGCTCTTGCTCAGTCACTTTGCATAGTTTCTATTGACTTTATAATGCAATATTCAAAGAAAAGTTAGACTAATGTGAAATGGCAACAGAAATAATAATTTCCTTCTTGTTGCCTGTTAATTTTCATGAGGGATTCATTTAATCGTATTTCAATTCCATAGAGACTGAAGAGATGCAGTTGGGATGATACAAACAGCCTATCTTTGTCATTCTAATTTTTTGCTGTGTAGATCTATGCACTTGGCAAGGTAAATAACAATGAATAATAAAATAATGTAAAATGATTATGTGGAGCCATCTCTCTGTAGGTAGCAAAAGACAGATTCTGTAATAGAGGAAATTAATAAAGCAAAGAGAAAATTAGTAATATTAATTTTTAGTCTACTGTTATTTCTGCATTGCCAAGCCTATCTGTGGTACTGAGTTTCTCTTTTTAAAATAACTCATAATGCTTTCTAAATTTTTGCGGGTCTGATCACCTGTTTGCTAAAGAAATTACTATATTTTTAATATTCCCGCTAAAGAGAAACATAGCACTTATAACCAGTTACCCTCTGAAAAAATTCTGATCTTCCACACTTGTTCGTGTTCATCTCTCATGCCCATCCTTACTCTGTGTCTCTTCATACAGTTTCTCGCATGACCTTCTAGCCTTACCAGACTTTCAGGCCTAGTCCTAAAGGGGCGAGGTGCTGGGTTTCAGCCCTCTGGGAGTGTAGCTTAGCTACAAATGCAGACCAAAACCCAGACCAATGAGCTCCCCAAAGTGCTGCACTATGAGGACAACGTGAGTGTGAAAAGGCTATGTAAATCCTTCAGTTGTTCTGGCAGGCACTTCACAGAGCACGCCACCCTCAAGGTCAGCCACATCTTTTTGAACAAAGAACACTGCAGAAGTTGCGGGGAGTCAGGGATTATAGAGGACTGAAGTTACTTCTACAGTAGCTATAATGGAAGCTGTTTAGGGAGATGTCAATATTTCTGTCAATAAACTCCTGATACTTATACATACTGAAACACACAATAAACTCAAAGTGATGCCCTACAAATAATGCCTTTCTGAGCTGTTAACCAAATACCCACTGATGGCTTCTTTCCCCCCAAGTCTCTCTCCATGTTCTCCAGCAACTCTGCATGAAGATGGACCAGTGTGGGCTCTCGATTTAATCTTCATAGCCCAGGAGAAAGAGCCTGGAACTTATCTTCAAACTATTTATAATTAATTCTCAAATTATGATCTAGTTTCTGGATCTCCAACTCCTTGAGGAGTTCTCTAATGTTTGGACACATGTATTTCCTACAGAAAATCTGGAACCCTTTCTAATGGTGACCCTTTTTATTAAACCACACTGCCTTTCATCCATACTAAAGCACAGCTCATACAGTCAATTAAAGAATGTGATGGAAGCTAGAGAAAATGGAGACGCAGCCAGGCTGAGTTTTCTGTCCATACACTACATTTTGGAGGAGATTAAATGCACTTAGGGTCTTCATATATTCTTTCCTAGCCTCCTTCTCACTTTTCAAGCTGCCCTTGGCTGACCTGAACTCTGGCTACATCTCCCCTAAGAAGGGAAAGCAGAACCCAGAGTCTCCACCAGAAACCAGAAAGCAATGGTTCTGTCATTTTGCATTAGTATCAGAAAGCTGGGGAGCTTTTTAAAAATCTTGATGTTTAGGTCCATCTAGATCAGTTGCATCAGTTGCTCTAGGAATGGGACCAGACTTGGATAGTTTTCTGGGTAACAATTTCACTTGTTTTCTTTCTCAAGAATTATTTCTGTCTTGATGATGAAAGCTAGTGCATTAATTTTCACTTCTAGAAGTTCATCTTTTTTTATCCTTTTACCTCCTTGCAGAAGTCATGCAAAATATGCTAGTATGCTAGCCGATTAAACTGGAAGCCCAGCATTTATAACGGCCAGAAGAAATCCTTAAAGACAGTAACCTGATTCTCAGTTGTGAAGGGAAAAGAAATCTTCAGGTTTAATCTCCTTCTTTCTAATTCTAAAGCATCCCTACCAGACGCCAGGATAGCCTCTGCTTGCCCTCCACCAGGAATGAAGAACACGTGTCCCTAGGGGAGTCTGCACCATACTTAGCCTCTCTGGAGGTTAAAGAGGCCTTTAGCCACCAAGCAAAACATTACCTTTGCTGCCCATTAAATGGCAGGAGGCTTTCACATGAGCAGTTTCCTATGAGAGAAATCAGCTTTAGGGAACAAAATCTTTGCTTAGTATCACAGAAGAGTGAATTCTTGGTATAAATTCCCCCAGGCTAAAAAAGGAAACTCTGGGAAGATCAGTTCCTTTCATCCTTGTGACAGATGGCTTGCCTACAAGCCCATGACACTTAAACCTGTCATAAGGTAGTATCAAATTCATCCATCTTCAGCTCGATTTCAGATCTAAACTGAAGGGTATTGTTAGCATGTACTGTGAACAAGACCAAAAAGGAGTAGAGCTAGAGTGAGTACATGAGATGATAATACAGAGATCAATACCAAAGCATTCTAAACATCTATAGGATCCCCAGCTGTGATGAGATGCCAAATGCCAGGATCACCTATCTTCATGGTTTTCTTTTCTAAATCCATATGAATTAATCCTGGTTCTGAGTTTTCAAGCAATACAAATCTATCGACTAATTTAAGCAGAAAAAAAAAACTTGTTAAAAGAGTGTTGGGTCAATCACTATCCCTCCAGAAGAATCTGAAAACCAGAGAGACTCCACCTTGAGGACAGCAGACCACAACCATGTCAGGATGCTGGTCTGGTGAAGGACCATTCACAGCTGCCTTCCATGATGCTTCTAAAATCACGGCTACTATTACCTCTGGAAGTAGAGGGTGCTGCTGGTGCTGCCTCTACCATTTACTGGACTTGCTCCTGTGTTCTTCCTGCTTCTTCTCATGTTTAGCTTGCATTCTAAGTATGAGTGTGTCTGATGGGTCCAGGTCCACCGCCCTGAGCTGGCCATAGCTATAAGAACAGTGAGATTGCAAGCACCAGACGTTTTTAGCACTAGCCCTCAGAGCTGAGCTCCACCTCAGGAGGAGGGGAGTCCCCAACACAGGAGAAGCTGCACGTGCACCACAGTCCAGCAGAAACACAGCTGCTTTTTTTCTTCCAGTGCTACTCTGTGAACAGGTGCCCACCTGGGAACTATGCAACCCAGTGACAAAGACAGAAGTACAGAAATTGAGAGGAAGCATTTAGAAACTCTTCTTACAGCTGTTTAAGCTTAGGTTTTGTATATCTTTGTTTCATTTTATTTCATTTTTCTACTAATTCGTTTTGATTATAATTTGCAAAACTATCAGGCTACAATGGATTGCAAACAAAAAACCTGGCCTTTTAATGCAGAGAGTTTGAGAAGCACTCTACTTAGTATATATAATATATATACTATATTATATATATATATATATAAAGTAATATATACTTAGTAAAATAAATTCAATTCCTGTAAGCCAAGGAAAGTTGTAATTTTTATTCAATAGCAAAAAACTAATATATTGAACACTTACTGTAGTAAGTGTAGTATGCTCTGTAGTATGCTCATTTAAGCCTAGCTCTGTAGTATGATCATTTAAGCTTTATTATTCTATGATTCTAGTACTGTTTTTTATTTTGGTTTTAGAGATAAGAAAACTGAGACACAGAAAGATTAATGGACTTTCCCAAGCTATCTGATTCCAGAAATTTCACTCTTTTTAAATTTTTAAAATATTTTACTTATTTTATTTTGTTTTTTGGGAACAGGTGGTGATGGGTTACATGAATAAGTTCTTTAGTGGTGATTTCTGAGATTTTGGTGCACCCATCACCCAAGCAGTACCCAATGTGTAGTCTTTTATCCCTCACCACCCCCTACCTTTCCCTCAAGTCTCCAAAGTTCATTGTATCATTCTTATGCCTTTGCATCCTCATAGCTTAGCTCCCACATATGAGTGAGAATACACCATGTTTGGCTTTCCATTCCTGAGTTACTTCACTTAGAATAATAGGCTCCAGTACCATCCACGTTGCTGCAGAGTGCCATTATTTTGTTTCTTTTATGGCTGAATAGTATTTTGTGGTATATTTATACCACATTTTCTTTGTCCTTTCCTTGATTGATGGGCATTTGGGCTGGTTCCATATTTTTGCAATTGCAGATTATGCTGCTATAAATATGCATGTGCAAGTATCTTTTTCATATCATGACTTCTTTTCCACTGAGTAGATACCTAGTAGTGGGATTGCTGGATCAAATGGTAGATCTACTTTTAGTTCTTTAAGGAATCTCCACACTTTTTTTCCATAGTGGTTATATTAGTTTACATTCCCACCAATAGTATGAAAGTGTTCCCTTTTCTCTTACCCACCAAAACATACTTTCCCTACCTTGTATGACATTCCCAACCTAAGAGCAGCCAAGAGCTAACACAGTTAATAGTATTCAGTTCTTAAAAGTTGATTATCTTTAAAGGGCAAACATATTCATTTGTAAGACTCACTTGCTGTACTAGTCTCTTCTCACATTGCTATAAAGAAATACCTGAGATTGGGTAATTTATAAAGAAAAGAGGTCTAATTGGCTCATGGTTCTTCAGGCTATATAGGAAGCATAATGCTGGCATCTGCTCACCTTCTGGGGAGGCCTCAGGAAACTTACAATCATGATGGAAGGCAAAGAGGGGACAGGCACTTCACATGGCTGGAGCAAGAGGAGGAGTGTTGGGAGAGGTGCTGCAAACTTTTAAAGGACCAGGTCAAATGAGAATTCATTCACTATCGTGACGACAGCACCAAGGGGAATGGTGCTAAACCATTCATGAGAAATCTGCCCCCATGATCCAATCACCTCCAACCAGGCCCCACCTCCAACAATGGGGATTACATTTTAATATGAGATTTGGGCAGGAACACAGATTTAAACTCTTATCACTAGCTTTACTTCTGAGTAGGCTTCTGTGACTTCTGACTAGTCACACCGGATATACTGAATGTAAGATCCTAGAAGAAGCTGTCAGGAAGTGGTGGCGCCAGGTCATCTGGAGCTGCTGGGCTCAGTGACTAGCCAGAGATGAGTGTCCCAGCACCTGACATGTCAGGCTTTCTTGTGGGACCTAGTCCAGGTTGGTGTTGGGGTTGTAGAGCTTTCTCTGGGTAGCTGACCTGTCCAAAGTGTGGTACCATGAGAAGAGGAATGTCTGTTCACAATGACTAGGAATCAATCCACCTTCCCCATTCTTCTTACACAGCCAGGATTTCTATAAAACTAACATTTCAGACCTGACAGAAGTCACTAGTCAGAAACAGAAATACATCTGTGCTCTGAGGAAGGGAGTATCAACAATAAGTCTTATGAAGCCAAATGGCCTTTAATGCAAGAAACCACAATCTCTTCTCAATCTCCTTTGGAAGAAAACCATACCATATGGGCACAGTTCATTCTCCTTGAACAGAACCCTAAGATTAAACTGAGGTCTAATGATTGAGTTTGCAGAGCAGCAATCATATGAGTGTGGGATCACCCGATGAGATAGTTCTTTTAAGGCCTAATACAGCTCGAATGTCAGAGCTCTTCATGTTGAAAATAATATAAGAGTATTTTTTCATTGCAGGGATTATAAATTAAATGTATTTTCTGATATATCACTTTAATCATTTTAGAAAAAAAAATCAATAAAATGGGACCCAGCTTGCTCTGTCTTAGCCTCAGACACATTATCAATAATTATCTCATCTTTCAAAATGGCAGCCAACTCCCAACTGTTAAAAATTCTTCATTATAATTAAAATCATCCTTTTCAAATTTATCATCATATATTATTGTGTACCCTTCAAGCATTTAAGTTAAGGTAGAAAATATAAGGATTATGTTTAACCTACATGTTCAGGGTTGGCATAATTGCTATCTTGGTATAGATGCTGCCTAAAAGCCTTGTGATGGGGCAGGGAATTCAGAAGAATGTACATTTATCTTTGACAGAGAAGTTTTAAGGTTTGATTTGTTTTTCTTTAATTTTTGTTTTTTCTGGAAGATAAAATACTACCATTTTGCCCCATTCTTATTGAAAAATAGACTATGAGATACTCGGTGGTTTCTAAACCCATGTATAGAAAAACTGTGATTCACCAAACTAGATTTCCCACATGTTGGTTTCTCATCACAAGTTTTATGCATAACAATTTTTTCGTGTTGTAAGAATGGGTTTTATAACACCAAATTGGGCACCACGAATTCACTTACCATTCTTCAGGTGGTGAAATATGCGTCATTTTTGTTGGAAATATTGGGGCAGAAAGTCCAAAATGTGATCATAGGTACATTCCCTTAAGTCCCAGATCACTGCTGGTCAAATTGCCAGTTTTATTGATCACTCAGCCTTGTTGAACATCTGGAGACAATTTTTTCAGTGGGTGGTAGTGGACAAGAATATGTGGCTGAGTCATTCAAACTAATTAAATTCTAAAACCCACCTATTTTTACCAGACCATTCCAAGTAGAGATAATCTGTAAATACCAAACTATTTCCTAAAGTGTCTAGTATAATTTCAAACATGGATAACTGCCTAATAAATACTTATGGGATTAATTTTGTATAAGGAAAGTTTTAATCTTTCCTCCAAATAACTGCATTTGTCTTCTCCATTATTTTGTTGCTGAAGTGATCAAACAAAACCAGACTGAGAGGGTACAGAAGTCAACTTAGGCTGCTGTAACAAAATCCCACACACTTAATAGAAATTTACCTCACAGTTCTGGAGGCTGCAAGTCCAAGATCAAAGTACCAGCAAGGTAGATTTCATCTTGAGGCCACTTCTCTTGGCTTCTAGGCAGCCACCATCTCCCTGCCTGCTCACATGGCCACTGGGAGAGAAGGAGAGAAAGAGTGAGCTCCCCTGTTTCCTCTTCTTAGGAGGACACTAATACTATGGGATCAGGGAATCTTCTTTCTTTCTTTCTTTCTTTCTTCTTTTTTTTTGAGATGGAGTCTCGCTCTGTCTCCCAGGCTGGAGTGCAGTGGTGCGATCTCGGCTCAATGCCAGCTCCACCTCCCGGGTTCACACCATTCTCCTGCCTCAGCCTCCCGAGTAGCTGGGACTACAGGTACCTGCTACCACGCCCGGCTAATTTTTTGTATTTTTAGTAGAGATGGGGTTTCACCGTGTTAGCCAAGATGGGATCAGGGAATCTTATGGCCAAATTTAACGAGAATTACTTCCTTAGAGGCCTCATCTTTAAATATAGCCACACTGGGAATTACAGCCTCAACATATGAATTTTGAAGAGATACAAACATTCAGTTCATAATAGAGGGAAAAACGCAATTCATTTACAAGTGAATTCAATAGAGATAGTTGAAAATATCAAATTCAAGATATTAGTGGAGAAAACACAGCTTTCTAAGCAAGAAATCCAGTTGGTATAAAGTCTTTATTTCACTGGGAAAATTTTTACCATTTGAATCACAGTAATCCTAACACATTCTTTTAGAAAGGGCAAAGCGGTGGGATAAGAAGTAAAACATTTCCCCTCCAAAATAAATGTGGAAGGAAATATAATAAGCTGTGTATATGTGTGTTTACCCTTTTTAAAAACCCAAAGTCTTCCAATCAATGATGGAGAATGTTTCTAGTTTGATGTATTGGCTATCTACTGCTAGATAACAAATTACCCCAAACTTGGGTGACTTACAACAACAGCACTATTATCTCATGGTTTTTGAGGGCCAGGAATTGGCACTGCTTGGCGCCAGCTGCATCACAAGGCAGCAGTCAAGGTGTTGTCTGGGACTGCAGTCATCTCAAGGCTGGACCAGGGAAAGATCCACCTGACCTCACTCACGCAGTTGGTGGCAGGATGCAGTTCTTTGCAAGTTGATGGGTTTAGGGCTTTAGTTTCTCAAGAGCTGTTGCTCAGAGGCCTTCCCTGGTTTTTCACCATGTATGCCTCTCCACAGGGCAGGTTCCAGCACGGCATCTTGCTTCATCAGAGTGAGCAAGTGAGAGGGCGAGAGAGAGGATGAAACCAAGAAGGAAGTAGTCATCTTTCATAATCTAACCTTGGAAGTGACATCTTACCACTTTTTCCAAATTTCATTTATTAGAGACACACCACTGCATCCAATCCACACACTCCAGGGGATGTGATTACACAAGTATATAAATTCCAGAAGATGAGATTCCACTGGCACCCACGTCAGGGAGCACCTACCACAAACAGCAACTGGCTTCCTCTTTAATCAGGACAAAATGAAATGTGGAAGACCAAAGAAATGTTGAAACTCCAAGGACATTTTCCTGTAAAATGTTCAAAACATACAGATAATTCTCTAATGCCTGGTTCTGTATCTGTGGCCATATGTATAAGTCGCACTGGGCAAGTTAAATATCCATATTATTGTTAGTCACATTTTTTTTTATTTTTTTGAGACAGGTCTCACTCTTCCATCCAGGCAGGCAGTGGTGTGATCACGGCTCACCACAGCCTCAATTTCCCAGGTTTAAGGAATCCTCCTACCTCAGCCTCCTGAGTAGCTGGGAATACAGGTGTGTACCACCTAACCAGGGATTTTTTAATTTATTTTATTTTTTTTTTTGTAGAGACGAGGTTTCACCGTGTAGCCCAGGCTGGTCTTGAACGCCTCAGCTCAAGTGATCTGCCTGACTCAGCCTCTCAAAGTGCTGGGATTATAGGCATGAGCCACTGTGCCCAGCCTAGTCACATTTTTAAAAATGATATTCTCCTGTTTGATATATATGTGAATAAATTACCAAAAGAGAGCAAGAGGAAGAGAGAAGGAAATCAACTGAGGCACAAAGCTGGAATGTTCTCTACCAAATGTAGCCTGGATATGGTGTGTTCCTGTTTCTGTTTCTACAAAGCAGTATCAAGAAATAATTTTGAGGTGTGTGTGTGTGTGTGTGCATGCAAATGTATATGTGCATACCTGTGTGTGTGCATGAATGCATGTGTGTGTGTCTGTGTGTATGCATGTGTGTGAGTGGCCATGCATATTTTTACAGTGAGAACACAGGCAGGGGAAAGGCTCTGTGTCCCTGTGGGTGGCCTTGTATATTTACCTTGCTCTTTTCTCACTATGGCCGTAAAATCAGGCAAAGGGACTTTTTAGATTAGAGAGGCCTAAATTTGTCCTGACTCCAAAAAGCATTTCCTTTCTCAGAAGTACACTGTTTTTTCCTTAAAAAGCAACCCCAATGTATGTTGCTTAGTGCATCCCCAAAGTTACCCCCAGATAATCCCCATTATCATCAGTTAGTGGCTAATTTCAGTTATCCCTACTTGGCCCCTTCCTGAGGCTGGTTTATGGATGGTTATCCTGCCACTTGGGCTTTTCACCCTATAAACCAAGGATCTTCCACTTCCCTTAACTAGCAGGGTACAAGCAGTGTACACGGAGCCAAGGAGAAAATCCTCTTCTAATAAAATCTGACAAAACTTTGGAAGCTGCATATGTGTTTGCCCAAGTGTTTGCATGTGCACATGTGTGTGCCTAAGTCTCAGACATTTTCCAAGAATCGTGGCTCACAAGGCAACACCTCTTATCTAACAACTATATTCTCCCCAAAATGATTTAAAGTGCCATGAAGATTTCTTTACATTGAGCAAGTTCATTGTGGCTCACCCGCAATTACAAGGTGAAACAGTGCTTTGTTTTACTTTGGGCTGGAAAGAGGAAAGAGAAAAAGCTTACCAATTCAGGAGACAGACAAATTGCTTTTTCTAAACAAAGATTCACTGCACTTATAAATGTGTATCTCCCATAATTTTAAAAAAATCGTTTATATATGGGATGAACCTTATAAACAACAGAATAGTCAAGGCTATGGTTTTGTCCAATTTAAGGACTGGACTTGACAAGACCACCAATTGTTCTGTTGTGTTTTGGAAACTCGATCCAAGTTTACATTTCCAGCCAATGTTTCACTCCTTATGTTTATGACAGCACAAAAGAGCAGGCTCTGGGAATTTCTTGAGGGGAAGTCATGGCAGTCAGCACTGTCACTGAGAGGGAGAACGAGGGAGGAACATATGTGGAAGGGCAAGCAGGAGAATGGATGATCCCTTTTGGGTTAACATTTAAATCCCAAATTGAATTCCCCTACATGTCAAAAATGAAAATATTTTCAGTGTTTGCACATACATAGGAATTGCCAAATGGGATTTAAGTCTGAGAAAGCACCATAACATCAACCATTTGTACAGCTGTTGTTGGAAATGGCTCCAAACCATCAAGGCATGTCTAACAAGTATAAATATTGGCCCTCTGCGCTTCTAAGCTTTGTTAAGGTGTATCCCTAAAGACAGGGAGCTAACAAGTACCTCAGTAAACACGTAGAGTATTGGAATATTAACTCCGCTACTCATGGGGGTTGTCACTCCACAATCTTGGTATTATCTAGGCATAATACAGCCCTTTTATGGAAACTAGACAGTATCTTTTGGTACACTCAAGAAGCTTGGCTGTGCATTAGTATATGTGAAACTCTTTTAAATACATATGTGTTGTTTCCAGTAGAGTGGGGAGGAAAAGCCAGTGTTAAAAAACAATAAATTTCTTGGATTCTTTGCTCCGCCAGTAGCTTCCATGTTCTCTCTCTCAGCATAGAGAGCTCTTCCAGAGTCCAGACACCTGACTGGGTCTCCTGTGTCTGACATCATAACAGAACCAAAAGTTCAGAATATCCTTGAACACTTTTCCTCAAAAATCCCCTGATGGACAATCTGAGACAGCAAATTAAATTAAAGGAGATAAGTGCTTTTATAGTAACTAATTCATATTGCACTATCATCCAGGAAATTGTCAATAAGAATCAATTTTGCCCTCCAAATTCTGATGAACTGATTGTTATGATCCCTTTGTAAACACCACTTTATTTATTTATTTATTTATTTATTTATTTATTTATTTATTTATTTTTGAGATGGAGTTTCGCTCTGTCACCTAGGCTGGAGTGCAGTGGCGCAATCTCGGCTCACTGCAACCTCTGCCTCCTGGGTTCAAACGATTCTCCCGCCTCAGCCTCCTGAGTAGCTGGGATCACAGATGTGTGCCACCACGCCTGGCTGATTTTTGTATTTTTTAGTAGAAATGGGATTTCACCGTGTTGGCCAGGCTGGTCTCGAACTCCTGACCTCAAGTGATCTGCCGACCTCAGCCTCCCAAAGTGCTGGGATTACAGGTATGAGCTATAAACACCACCTCAAATGCTAGTACAAATGCCTTCCAGAAGCCACCGAGCTTTTTCCCCTTTGATTTAATTTTTGTAAAGTGATTTTTTAAACCATGTGAGTACTTCAGTAGACCATTTGGTCAGGTTTAGAAAAAAATCTAACAAGGAAATGAGGTCTAAGACCAATAACCTTCTGCACTTCTCTTTCACGGCCCACTCTGCCACTCTTGCATATTTCCCTCTACTTTACAAAAAAATGGCAAAATTGGTCTTTTGCCTTCGATCAAGAGTTTATTAACTAAATCCTGATAATAAATTTGGTGAAAACATTTTGGATAAATTGAAATTACTTGAATAGTGATATATTTAAAGAGATAATCTAGACAATTAGAAGAACCAAAAAAAATCTTCAAAAATCTATTATCTGTGCAGAGAGATTTCTAGCTTAAGTAGAGCTGTATTATCCTTGGCACTGCCAGTACTGCGGTTCCCCTAAGAGTTTGCTTTTTCTGTGTCCCTGTAGAAATATCTGGGCCTTGGTCTCTCCACATCATAAATAGTCAAGGAAGCAGACAAACAAGCAGAAAAAAGTGGGGCGGGGGGAAAGAAGGAACATTCACAACCTCTCAGAGACAAGGAATGGTATAATCCACTAGGAAGGAAACTGGTATGTGGCCAGATCTTACCAATGCCTGGCCACAAGTTAATGAAAACACTCCTCTCTGGGCTTCAGTGGTTAAAGATTCACAGGCTGAGAGATCATTCTCCTCAGAAGTGATTACCCATTCTTCTGATACACCCCCAAACATCCCTACCTGGGATTAAGATTCCTTGCTGTGTGACTTACCGGAGTGCTCGAACATGACTTCTGAGTATCTTCCTCATTGAAAGGCAGAAGCTCATGTTTCTTGGAAAATCACTAAGCGGCAGAGATTTTCCTATTGAACCAAAGTGGGAGAATGCAAGAGGAACTGTAGTGTCTCTAGAGTTAAAGCAGCAGAAGCTACTTGTGACTAGAATCAGTGAAACCTGCATCAAATGTATGCCAGTGATGTTTGGATGGCCTAAATCAGCAGTTCACCAACTCTCTGCCATATTAGAATACCCAAGAGCTTTGAAAACCTCCAATGCTTGTGATGTACCCCATATCAATTAAATCATGGTCTCTAGGGATAGGATCCAGGTATCAGTGTTGTTCTGAAACTCCCTCAGGTGATTTCAACATGCAGCCAAGTGTGAGAATAGGTGCATTTGTAAATGACTGCAGGCATATGGCACTGTGCATTGAACATTTCTGTCTCCAGAGTCCATTTATTCTTTTCTTCCACAGACATATGATCATTCAACAGCTATTCCCAACTAAAAACCAGGACTAACACTTGTAAGATACAAACAATACACAAACAAAAAAAACCAGGTGCTATAACCCAGGCTGACTTAAAAAGTGAGATGGGAGGAGGTGGACCATTCCTAACCGGAGGGAGATTTCTGATAGTCCTGACTTTAGAATGAAAGAAAAAGTTCTTGGGCCTATCAGACTTCATTCTCTCATTTCAAATGAAGAGCAGAACATTAACAGAGCTCAACTTTGGTATCCTGTAAGGCAGAGGTCCCCTAGCCCCTGGGCCACAGACCACTACCGGTCTGTGGCCAGTTAGGAACTGGGCCACACAGCAGGAGGTGAGCAGCTGGTGAGCGAGCATTACCACCTGAGCTCCACCACCTGTCAGATCAGCAGGGGCATTTGATTCTTTTTGTTTTTTTGTTTTTTTTAAGACAGAGTTTTGCTCTTGTTGCCCAGGCTGGATCGCAGCACAATCTGCTCACTGCAACCTCCGCCTCCCGGGTTCAAGCGATTCTCCTGCCTCAGCATCCCAAGTAGCTGGGATTACAGGCATGACGCCCAGCTAATTTTGTATTTTTAGTACAGACGGGGTTTCTCCATGTTGGTCAGGCTGCTCTTGAACTCTCGACCTCAGGTGATCCACCCACCTCAGCCTCCCAAAGTACTGGGATTACAGGTGTGAGTCACCGTGCCCGGCTGGCTTTCGATTCTTACAGGAGTGCAAGCCCTATTGTGAACTGCGCATGCAACGGACCTAGGTTGCACGCCCTTTATGAGACTCTAATTCCTGATGATCTGAGATGGAAAAGTTTCATCCTGAAACCATCCTCTGCCCCTCCCTGCATGTGTGAAAAAATGGTCTTCCATGGAACTAGTCTCTGGTGCCGAAAAGGCTGGGGACCGCTGTTCTAAGGCTCATCTGAAAATGAAGATCTACGTGATTGAAGTCTTGAGATTAGCCCTACCTTTTAACATGTAAACTCAAAACGCCATAAACAAATTCAGGAGGAGATCAAGAGTTTATTAACTAATTTCTGATCATAAATGTGGTGATATTTAGGATAAAATAAAATTACTTGAATAGTGATATATTTAAAAAGATAATCTAGATAATTAGAAAAAAAAACTTGAAAATCTATTATCTGTTCAGAGAGAGTCTAGCTTAATGATGGCCATATTATCCTTAGTGTTTTCTCTGCATAATTTATCTTTTTTGTGGTATTGTTGGTGCCATAACCTATTACCATTTAGATACTCAGGGTGAGAAATACTGAGATGGAGTACTTTTAAAAGGCCTCCAGTGAAACCATTTAATTCATCACTTGCTAATTCTACTGTAGGCACTCAGATATGTCAGGAGAGTAGAATGTTTAAATATCTTCAAGTTCTTGCTCAAGTCAGAGATGTACCAGTTACTTTTACTACAAGCCTAACCTAGGGACAGTCAGGTTTTCAATGATTTTATATCCCATCCTCTCCTTAAATTCTGCTCTGCATGGATCAGAATAGTTTCTGTGTCTATTAGTTCACTGCCCTTACCATTTAAAATGTTAGAAAGAAATGAAATCCCCAATGTAATTTTCTACATTTTAGAATCCATCCACTCAACAAACATTTATTAAAGTACATATTTATGTAAACTAGACTCTGTAATAGGAACTGGAGACACATCAGGAAACAAAAGAAAGATGATGTCCTTTGAGCTTACAGTCTAGTAGAGGGAGACACAATCAGCAAATATAAATGAGTATATTATATGTCAGATGGTGGTAAGTACCGCCAGGATAAAGTATCATAAATGAGTGAGAGGATTATTATTTTAAAGAGGTTATTCTGGAAGGCTTCCCTCTGGAGGTGACCTCTGAGCCCAGTTTAGATCCCAGCAGGAACAGATGGCACATTCAAAGGAGAAATTGACGAGAACTGAATAAAGGTGCTATTTACACAGGTATAGACAGTACCCACGGACTAGCTACAGTAGGAAGCTGTTACCACACACAGTCCTGAAGGGGCAGAGGGAGAGAGTGGCGGTGTTGGAACTTAGCAAGAGCTGTAGCCAAGAGGAAAAGTCTGCTTGACTGCAGTGGGGCCAGAAGTAAAGGAACTCAGCCACTGCCCAAAGCACCAGGCAGGAGGGAACAGCCCCAGGTTGCAAGGGAGATCAGTGCTCCCTGCCTCCTCCTGCTCACCAGCCTCCTGCCAGTGCTCCTGGGAGCCACAGCACTAGGGAGCCAGGAGAAGCAGTTCATGGAGGTCAGCCTCCTGCAGCACAAAGCGCAGAGCACAGAGAAAGCCTGGGGGACAGGGGAACAAACGGAGTGAGCCCTCCCATATCTTGAAGACAACACTCCAACCAGAGGGTAGGTCCTGAGGGAAGTGTGCATGGCACATTCTAGGAACAGCAAGGGGGTCCCTGTGAGCAAGAGGAAGGCATGTAGAAAGCCAGGTGGTTGACACACGGTAGGGGCAGATGATGTGGAACCATGCATGTTCTACAAAGACTGTGGCTCTTATGCTAAGAGGTGAGTTGAAGATGTTGCTGGAGAGTTTTGAGCAGAGGCGGGACATGCAGCTGTGTGGAAGACAGATCCTCAGGGGTCTACAACGGCAATGGCTGCAGGAGCTCAGAAGTCACAGCGGAAGGTCAGATGGGAGACTGGTAGTTTGAAATAAGGTGGTAGCAGCAGAGGTTATGAGCAGGGTTGATGAAATTGATTCCACTGTGCTTTGGGTTCGCAGCTTACTTATTACATCTGAAAACGTATTATATCATATCCTCATTCATTTTAAAGACATTGATTAAGCAACTACTATGTGCAAGGCAGGAATTCAGACAGTTCCTCAGCTCAAGCGAAGGAGAAAGGGAATGCAGTGTGCCTGACCCTTCATTAAGTATTTCACCTGGGCCCATTTGTTTTCTGTTTCATTTTTATAACAATGCTGTGAGGTGGAAACTATTTTCCTCATTTTACAGATTAAGAGATCAAGGCTTAGGCCGGGCGCGGTGGCTCACGCCTGTAATCCCAGCACTTTGGGAGGCCGAGGGGGGCGGATCACGAGGTCAGGAGATCGAGACCATCCTGGCTAACAGGGTGAAACCCCGTCTCTACTAAAAATACAAAAATTAGCTGGGCGTGGTGGTGGGCACCTGTAGTCCCAGCTACTCGGGAGGCTGAGACAGGAGAATGGCGCGAACCTGGGAGGCAGAGCTTGCAGTGAGCGGAGATCACGCCACTGCACTCCAGCCTGGGTGACAGAGTGAGACTCTGTCTCAAAAAAAAAAAAAAAAGAAATCAAGGCTTAGAGAGTTAAATATGTACAAGGCCTCTCAGCTGGGGAGAGGCAGGACAGGGTGGAAATCAGTCTGACCCCAATCAGTCTCTCCCACTAACCATCATGCCCCCACTAATATGGGATGTAAGACACGGACAGATACTGTTTATTCTATAACAATTGGCAAACTCTTTCAATGCCTCTTTCAAAGGATGCTATGAAATTATGAAACAAGAAATGGCCAGAGTTAATTTGTATTCATTTTAATAATCAGATATAAGCATAATACTTAGGGATGTTATAAATCAATTCTGAGTTTATGCACAGAAAATTAGTGCCACTGGGGCCAATGAACGTATCACCTGAATAATTTATGTTAATAATCGCATACATGGAAGAAATGACCATAGTAAGCATAGTACCTATTGAATTTCAGTTAACTTACTGCATAAAAGCATGATCTGAATGTACTTTTTTTTTTAATTTTGAATATGCCTTTGTCTACAAGGTCCAATTAAAAAATAATGGCATTGGGTATTCTTTTTAATGTTTCAAATGCAACTTCAAGCCAAAATTAGTCACCTGGTTGAAACGGAGTTATCCAATTGTGATCAAAATAATTTAGGTCAAATATTTCATATTAGAACTTATATTTGAAGACATAATGCTATAGGATGAATTAAATCATTTCTCTCTGTTTTACCTTGTATTGAAGAGACAAACTCAGGTTCAATGCATACGCCTGGTAAACACCCATATGGAGGCATGATCAAACTCCAATCCAGGCAGAAGTCCAGTCCATCAGGTAGGGCTATAGAGAAAACATGTCAACATTTGGAAAAGCTAGGTGCTTAGCCCCAGGCTGGCAGCCTTCATAGAATATTAGTCCCAGCCAGGCGCGGTGGCTTACGCCTGTAATCCCAACACTTTGGGAGGCCAAGGCGGGCGGTCGGGAGTTCAAGACCAGCCTGACCAACAGAGAAACCCCATTTCTACTAAAAGTACAAAATTAGCCAGGCATGGTGGCACACCTGTTGTCCCAGCTACTCACTTGCTCCTCGCTTGAACTCAGGAGGCAGAGATTGCGGTGAGCCGAGATCGCACCATTGCGCTCCAGCCTGGGCAACAAGAGTAAAACTCTGTCTCAAAAACAAAACAAACAAAACAAACAAACAAACAAAAAAGAATATCAGTCCCAGTAACAGAAGGGTCAAATGGACTTCTGGAATATGTAGCTGGTTATTGCAACACACAGCTAGCTTATAATGTTCTAATAACAAAAATCAAAGCTGATAACATTTTTATTTCAGGGCATATTGAAATATGAGACTTATCTAACCAAATCCTGATGGAAGCACAAACAGTAAATTTCAGTGATAGATATCATGCAGGTATAAGAACTATGGAGAAGTTACTGATTGATAGCAGTGACATATCACCTTTACATATGAAATTGTATTTTCTATTGCGTTTTCTGTTTAGGGTTTAGATGAGGTTTTACTGATGTCTATGGGAGTTACCTAAAAGATTCCTTCTAAGGAGAATATTCTGCCACATTTTTAGTAGGTATGTATGGAATATGTCAAATCTTGACACAATATTTATGAGGTAGAGTTTTACTGTTATTAAGCCTCAAAAAAAGGTCAATTCATAGAAGAAAATATCTGGAGTTGGCCCAAAAACTACACCCAACTCAATTCTAGCTGTGCCATCAGGCCTAGAGAGAAATTTAAATCTTTTTTTAAGGTTTTTTTTTCTTAGAATTGGACAGAGTGAATGCTAATTTTTTAAAAGGTGATAGCAAGTTGCTTCACAGAAGAAAAAATAAGCCTTCCAAACAGTTTAATGGTTTTAAGAATTTGGGTTTCATTGTGTGATGTTTCAGGTATTGACTCATTAATGTCTATAAAACAAATTACCAAATGAAAGTGTTTCAAAAATAGTTCAAAACTGTCAATATTCTAAAATACCTTTGTCCTATCTATTCTACTCGTTAATCTGTTAGGTTGGCACAAAAGTAATTGTGGTTTTTGCTGTTAAAAGTAGTGGCAAAAACCTCAATTACCTACCTATGTTTGGAAAGATATATATCAAAAAGTTAAAATGATTACCGATGAGTGAGGGGGATTATAGATAATCATTTTTCCTCTTTTTGATATTATTTCCTGAATTTTTAGCATTGTGCATGTATTATTTCTAAAATTGGCATTCTATAAAGCTATTTAAACTTTTTTTAATCTAGTTAATTTTGAAGGCAAGGAAACCAAGTATCATGCTTAGCACATGGAACAGGGCATAATTGGCACTCTCATAGAAAGCCTTAAAAGTCCTTTAAAGTTTTCCAGAGAAGAATATGAGATTAAAATATCATAAGTAAAGAAGGTGCTATAAGCTAGATATATTGCACTTAGTGAATATTTCATTTGCAAACATTACAACGTGAACATCTCCAATTATTTAAACTCTGTTGCCTTACAAATGATCACCCATTTTTGATGCTTAGGGCCCTTTTTCATACTTTTTTTTTTTTTTTTTTTTTTTTTTGAGATGGAGTCTCGCTCTGTTGCCCAGGCTCTGGAGTGCAGTGGCGCAAACTCGGCTCACTGCAAACTCTGCCTCCTGGGTTCACGCCATTCTCCTGCCTCAGCCTCCCTAGTAGCTGGGACTACAGGTGCCCGCCACCACGCCTGGCTAATTTTTTTGTATTTTTAGTAGAGACGGGGTTTCACTCTGTTAGCCAGGATGGTCTCAATCTCCTGACCTCATGATCCACCTTCCTCAGCCTCCCAAAGTGCTGGGATTACAGGCGTGAGCCACCGGCCCGGCCCCTTTTTCATACTTTTAAACCCAAGGCCAGCTGTAAAATTAGGATTTAAGACATGAGCTCAGAGTCAGCTGAATGACTGAGTCTACTTTTTTTTTTTTTTGAGACAGAGTCTCAATCTGTTGCCCAGGCTGGAGTGCAATGGCAGGATCTCAGCTCACTGCAACCGCTGCCTCCCAGGTTCAGGCAATTCTCCTGCCTCAGCCTCCCAAGTATGTGGGATTACAGGCATATGCCACCATGCCTGGCTAATTTTTTGTATTTTTAGTAGAGATGGGGTTTCACCATGTTGGCCAGCCTGGTCTCGAACTCCTGACCTCAAGTGATCCACCCACCTCGTCTACTTTTGACCTTAGATGTTTAGGTCGGAAATGTCAGAGGTTAGGTAGAGAGGCATGGATACTAAAATTGTTGATCTGTCATCTATTCCTCATTTCTGAAACCTAATGCAAATGAATAAGCCATCAGAATGTTGAAAAAAGCCTCTAAAACGACCTATCTCATAGTTCCAGCTAGGGTGTGGGAGAATCTCACCGGGTGTGAAGATAATGGTCTTTAAGCCAATCTGTATATTGTGGCTCTGGCGGACCAACAGTGGCATGTGCCACCAGTTCTCCAGCTGGAAAGCCCAGATCACAGGCCTAGGAGAATAACTCCTGCCAGTTCCTCCTTCCTCTGCCCCTTTGAAATGGAGATTATCTGGGGATGGGTTACTCAGGCATCTGTTGTTATTGACAAGCATCAGAAAACCAGCAGTCCTATCCCAGGGCTACTATTTCCATTTCTGTGTATGCCTTAATAACTCAATCTGAACATGAGAAGAAAAAAAAAAAACCCAGATTTGCCCAACTTAAGGCATTAAGTCTGAAGAAAGGTAACTATTTAAAGGTGTTTTACAATACGTAATAGGATGGCCTGGCATGGTGGGCCTTGCCTGTAATCCCGGCATTTTGGGAGGCTGAGGTGGGCAGATCACTTGAGGCCAGGAGTTCGAGATCAGTTTGGCCAACATGGCAAAACCCCATCTCTACTAAAAATATAAAAATTAGCAAGGCGTGGTGGCATGTGCCTGTAATCCCAGCTGCTCTGGAGGGTGAGGCACAAGAATCGCTTGAACCTGGAAGCAGAGGTTGCAGTGAACTGAGATTGTGCCACTGCACTCCAGCCTGGGTGATGGAGTGAGACTCTATCTCTCTCTATATATACGTATATATTTTTTTTTCATAAACATAGTTTTTCCTAATTCAACAAAATTTTGAAGGGTCTTCTAAATTTAACAAATATTTATCCAGTCTTCTATGCAATCACTCACCTTGATGCTGCAAGAGATAGAAAGAAAGATTTTAAGGAACTAAATCTAACGCCTTTGTTCGTCTTACTCATTTATTCAACAAATACTTATTGTATTTTCCTCTTAAGTGTGAGGCACTTCTGTAGATGTTGGAAAATAGTTTTGAACAGGATCATCAGGGCATGCATGATCATGGAGTTTACAGTCTGGTAGTAGGCTGAGGAACAAATATCTTAATTAACATAGAACATGCTGTAATAGTTTAAGTGAGGTGTACATCAGATGTTGAAGATCCCAGGAAATACTTTATGAAGAAGATACCAATTGAGTCAGATGTGAAAAGATTTTAAAGTAAAAACATAAATTCCCAAGGATGAGAAGGAAGAGGGGACAACATGAGTAGTGTCTGAAGGGTGGGAGAGTTTAGGCTATGCTCCCGGAAATAGGGAATAGTCTAGTTTTTCTAGAAGTCAGAAAGGTATAGGAGAAGAGGATGAAAAATTGTGTTGAAGCCCCAGCCAGGCCTGCCTTATGTGGATAGGCAAGAACTTTGTTTGGAATTCAGCAGGCAATGCAAGATGTTGCGTAAGGGATCAGTGGATGGATAGCAGCTGTGTTTTTAAAAAATTAATCCAATGGGAATGGACTAGAGTTGGAAAAGAGTAGAAGGTGTGAAACCCATTGGGAGGCCATCACTATCAATATATTTCATAATGTCACTGTGACTCCTACAAATAATGAGACACATTGCAAAGCCAGCATGCAAATGCGATAGACTTAGTGATGTATATAGCCAGAGTTTCCCATTCACTTCCACCTCCTCCTCAATACAAATCCCATGTTTTCCAAACTCATGACTATGAAGATCTGTCTTCAGCCTTGTTTAGTATAGCTATTGCATCCAAAGTAAGAGAAACCAGGATTTCACCTACAGGCAGAGTGAAGATACTCAGAAAGTAAACTCAGCCCCAGCCAGGGACTTCATGAGCTGGAACATTTGTTCAGCCAGCAACTATCCATCAGCTACTCATTTCTGGTGGGACGAAAATGTCTGAGCCTCCTTCTCCCCAGCCACGTTCAAAATTCTGTTAATTTACTTGAAAACATGACGAAAAGGCCTAAGCAATGGTCACCAAAAACCTGGTAGTGATATATAGGGGTAGTGCAATGTCAGCCAACCACGAGACTGATTGATAGACACATAACATTTATGTGTGTGAGAGAGAAAAAGGGAGAAAGCAGAAGGGATATCCTGCCTATCAGTCAGCATTAAAAGAGAGAAATGAAGAGATTGTCTTGAGCACTCATCATTCTCAAAGGAGATTTGTGCATTGATTCCAACAAAATTGTCCTTAGGCATAGAAATGTGAAAAGTGCTTTTATGGTAAAATTTAGATTTTAGCCTCAAGCTAAAAAGATGTGTCGCAGGATACAGTTCTTCACCTGAAATAGTTCCCATAGACACGAGGAGAAAACTCAATGTATTCTCGGCTCAGCTAATCCATTATGCCCATAGAAAAACGGCAGCTCAGAGCTGTGTTATGAACCCATTCAATACCACATGCGTTTGCAGCGCCATTTCCTCAGTTTCTGTTGCCTTTCATCTGGGATGTCACTTCATTGCTCCTGCTCAGCCTTTGCCAAGTATTTATTTTTTGGCCAGCAAATTACAAGGATTTTTTTTTTCCTCCTTTTTGAAAGGACTGAATAAGTCACAGAGCTTTCAAAACCAAGATTATGTGTATATAATATAAATGTGTGTGAGATATGTATACACACATTCTATCAATCATTATATATATATTTATACACACATTCTATCAATCATTACAAAATATATATATATATTTTTTGAGACGGAGTTTTGCTTTTGTTGCCCAGGCTGGAGTGCAATGGTGCAATCTCGGCTCACCGCAACCTCCACCTCCTGGGTTCAAGCGATTCTTCTGCCTCATCCTCCCAAGTAGCTGGGATTACAGGCATGTGCAACCACACCCAGCTAATTTTGTATTTTTAGTAGAGACGGGGTTTCTCCATGTTGGTCAGGCTGGTCTTGAACTCCCAACCTCAGGTGATCCGCCTGCCTCGGCCTCCCAATGTGCTGGGATTAACAGGCGTGAGCCACCGCGCCTGGCCAATCATTACAATATTTTTAACTCTTAACTTTAATTCTGAAACAGTGTAATGATTCAAGTGTTCTGCTGATTGAAATGATAGCATGTGATAACATTTCTATGAAAAAGGAGTTATCATTGAGATAAGCGGATTTGAAAAGCAAAGTTTTACAAGATTTTTTTATAAGCTTTGGTCTGAATGACTTAAGAAAATCAAGAAACCAAACCAAACCAAAAAACCCTAGTTTTGCCCCAGCAGTGCTTAAGACCTGGAGAACAACCATATCAATGCCTTAGAGAAGCTCAGAAGGGTGATGTCATGCAGTCTCCCCAGTCAGGAACTATTCAGAGGCCTGAAAGGGAAATCTGAAACAAAAAGACCCATAATCTAAATCATTAATGAGAAGAAAAAATTTCAGGAGCCCATAAAGACCTTCCTGCAAATAACTGAGAAGGGAAAGAGCTTTCAACAGACTTATTATAAGAATGTTGGTGGTAATGACCAAAGATATGAAACTCATCTTTAATGCTTTTTAAAGATACACACCTAAGAAAATGTCGCCAAGTATTTCCTCAGGGTCTTTGATGCAGAAATTTGTCCCTGGTACTGAGAATTAGTATCAAGATTAACTGGCCTTTGGAATATCTGTTGGGGAAGTCTACCTGGTAACCACACTATGATCCAACTCAGGTTCTCAGCTTGGTCAGCTCAATTTTTTTTTTTTCTTCCAGCATATAGGGAATGGTCCTACTTGGGACAGCCTTCTGTTGTCTAAGCTCACAAGAATATAATCAATTTATTTTTTACACGAAGAAATAAATAATTAATAGTACTGTACAAACACTGGATCCAGAAATATCCTCATCTTAAACCTGAGGTTACAGGACAGCATCTCTAAAAACAAAAGTCCATTATTAGGGTAAGAAAAAGGAAGTCATCCTCACCACATTCCTCAATACTAAGTGTAATCTTTTCTCACACGATGGCCTTCCACCACCCTAGTAACATCAATCTATACCAAAGAACTGCAAAGAAAGAAGAAAAACCTACTTTTCTTGGTGTTGGGGTCTGTAGGGATCTGTTCGTGGTGCCACTAGCCAAGCCAGCCATGGTAAGAGACAGAATGACAGGTGATGGCATTAAACAACAGAATCACTTCCTTTGCATAGATTTTTCTTTTTTACTTTCTCAATGAAATTCTTTATAATTCCCAGCAAACGTTTTATTTTGGATTCCTTTAGAAGTCAAGGCAGCATATAAAAACAAATCAAAGGTATAAACTTTAGAACCTTATGAGCAAACATCATAGTACATCATAAATGTCTCCAAATAACAAATAAATCAATAAAACTAAAAATGATGATTATAAGAATTGAAGTAGTATGGACTGTCTGAAATGTAAACGGTTTGGTTCAAGGACAAAGAAAATCATTGCTACTCCAACTTCTGCTAATATTTAGAAGAGCATGTGCCCCTTGGCCTAATTTTCAGGCTTCCAGTTTTCTTTAGAACAAGTTTACTTTACAATCTGAAGAAAAGCTAAACAGATAACTCATAAAAAGTGCTTCATTGAAATTAAGAATCTTTAGAGCACTCTGGACTCTTGATGAAACCTAAATTCTTCAAAAGTATCAAGTAGGAACCTGCTTAACTTCAAAAACACATGTGGAAAAATTAGAAAAATCAGAAGTAGATTCTTCAGTGGCCACTCTAAAAATGCATTCTTCAGTGGCTACCCCAATTTCTAAAAGCTATTAATGTATACTCCACCACTACAGTTCACTGAATGTCTTATTCTGTTCAGGATGCTGTAACAAAAATACCACAGACTAGATGGCTTATAAACAACAGAAATGTATTTCTCACAGCTGGAGGCTGAGGGGTCCAAAATCAAGCCTCTGCAGATTGGTGCCTGGTGGGGGCCTGCTTTTTGATTCATGGATGACTGTCTTCTGACTGTGTCTTCACGTGGTAGAAGAAGGGCAAGAGAGCTCTCTAAGGTCCCTTTCATAAAAGCACTAATTCCATTCATGAAGGTTCTGCCCACATGACCTAATCACGTCCCAAAGACCCCACTTGCAAATATCAGCACATCAGGAATCAGGTTTCAACACATGAATTTTGCAAGGATATAAACACATTCAGTCTATTGCACTAAATAATGAATGCTGGGAGGACCAAAAGTTCCTTCCCTTGTTATCATGTTTTTAAATTAATAATCCATAATTTACTTCCCTACAAGATTCTAAGTGACCCACAAGACATTAGAACAAACAAAAATGGGATGAAGCTAAAGTTAGATCTTACTGCTAAATTTTTCACAAAGTATTGCCCTTCTGAGTAGGACGAAGACCTGGATAATTTCTCTCACTTCAAAAAGATTTTTGATTCATACATAGCACAGTGCACTAAATACTCATTCATGAGTGTTAATACTTGGTTTTTCATTCTTGAAGAGTTTTAATCTGGATATGATTGCCGTGTCTTGCTGTATGTTGTATAGGTTTATTTTTCAGGTAAATACCAATTTCAGAATGCAAGGACCTAGGAAATTTAACTGCATCCTTCAACATTTAACTGCATCCTTCAACATTTAACTTGCATTGTTCAGACTAGCAAAAGTGATGTGATGATTATATGGCCAGAAAACTTGCATATAATAGGCCCCATAAACACTCCACTCCTCTCATGCTGCCACCCCATTACCTGTTTTACTTCCTCAGTGGGACAGGTTCCATGCAGCTGCCTCCCATCTTGTTGCTCTTAACCTTCTCTCTGTATGGGGAGTACACAGTGACGGTTTTATATTGGTTGTCTTGCTTCCACATGGCTGAGTTTTCCCCCTTCCCCCACAGCATGTTCAATATTTGGATTGGAACAGGATGTTTACAGCTACGGAGTTATTAGTTTGTTTCCTTTAGAAGGCTCAGAAGCCCCAACCGTGAAGCCCTAGAGTTCTTCCTGTCTCCACAGTACGGAGTGCCAAACGTTGCATCCGTGTCCACACAGTCATTACTATTACTATCTAAATGGGCTGATGTTTTCAGCCAGCATCTTTTTGCCATTTGCTGCCATTATGTTGACATAATGAAGACAACTGAATAATATACAAAGAAGAACTCAGAGGCTTTGATTAAAAGAAAAAAGTGTCCAGATGACTTGAGGAAGTTGGTACAATCCAGATTTCACATGTGATTTACTTTTGTCTGCTCTTATTATCCCAGTGTATGGCTCCATTGGTGACAGTGGCTTTCAAAATTTGCCCATGTTTGTGTGTAAAGCTTACTCTTGATGACAGAATTTGCTAGCTGCTTTTCTGAAGCCCCTTAAATAGATTTCAAGTTGGCTTGGAACCATTCAGGAAGCAGCAGTAGAGTTGGTTCAGCAAGTCCTCCAAATTGAGAGAAATAATAGAGCTGTACTCAGAAATCCAAGATCATGTTGTCATTGTCAGTCCTTCGGGGTGGATTCAGTATTTTCACTTCTGGCTTTCTAGGTGAGCACAGTGCAGCCTCTTGGCAAAGTTGCAATGATGCTAATGATGCAGGCTTCGAGCAGTAGGTCTAGGCAGTCAGAGCAGGGCAAGCCCCGTGGGACTGACTAGTGTCCAACCCACCACGGGTCTGGGCTCCAGAGCTCTTCTGCAAAAGTGCTTGGGCAGGAAAGATACAGCATCACCACTGTGAGGACCACTGGGAGCCACTTGCAGAAAAAAATCCACTGGGTTGAAGGCCAAGCAAGCCAAATGACTACATTGAGGGGTAGAGGCCATTTCAAAGTCGATATTAAACTTCGTGTATAACATTTCAGGAGCAATCGAGTAGAGAATGGGACCCATCTAGGGAAGAAAATGTTTCTTAAAAGATCAGACTCTCAACTCTTTCACTGAAGGATTCTGACAAATAAATCCTGCCTACCTGGAGTTCACTCTAATTCAGGGGTTGGGAGAAGGGGTTTAGAGTAAGCACCATGAAATCTGACAGGTTCTCCACATCTTTCCAAATTCTGGCACATTGTCTCCAGAAAGACCAGCACCCTCTGCATTGACATGGTTTTGTTGTTTCCTGACCTCTGGCCTATGTATAAATGTGAAAGTCTTTCTGACTAGCAATAATTATTCCTTCCTTCATACAAAAACAGAGAAGGAGTAGGGAAACCCACAATTTATTCCAACTGACATTTTTTATGCTTTTAGTTCTTAATTTTAATAGAGTTTTTTTTGGAATATCCTTTAAAGGAGGTTAGAAAACTTGACAGTATAGCAACTTAATGTTTCTTTCTCTTCTCACCCAACTCAAATTGTGATGGCTCTGCTAATCACCCTGATCTGATCATTATACATTATATGTATCAAAAGATCCCTGTGTACCCCATGAATATGTACAATTATTATTTGTCAACTTAAGAATTTTTATTAAATTAAATTAAATTAAAACAAACAGGTTAGAGGACAGTGCCATTAATTCATTCAAAGAAATCCAGTACAGAGGTGGCAGAACTCTTTTATCTTTCTATCTTCTGCCCTTTCACAATATAAAAATCAGAATTGTAGTTAATGGCTTTCTTTTTATGTAACTTTTGGAGAGTACTTTTTTATAGCCTATGGTAAGGGAAGGGAAGAAATAATGGTTATTTCAGGGATCTAAGTGTAAGGTTGACACCATGAAATACAGCACTGTTAGTATACCTTACAATAGTTACTACATTTTGAGGCATAAGATAAGAGTATCTCTAAATCTTCGTAGCTACATTTTTCTATTTTTCTTACTTTTTATCAGTAAAGTCATAAGACTACTGCAAGCATCATTTTTCTTAGCAACTCTAATTTAAAGATGTCGTCTTGTGTTTTGATAGGTTTTCAAGATTTGAACCAGATTTGTTCCTACTCGGTTATCTGTTAGTCAAATGTAAACAGCAACAGACCCTTTCTGACATCTTGTGTACTCATGTAAAATGAAACAATACAAAACTCATAACCGTCATGTGAATACACAATACACTTTGTTCCCTCTTTTGATTACAGAGCAATGCCAGACTCTAAAGAGGGATAATTATAAACTCTTTGTGGATTTTGTGGCAAAAGCAGAGATTCCTTGCTATGATTATTAGATAGATTATGGTTGGAATGGGTTGCTTCTAATTTTATTTTGGTCTTTACACAATTCGAATCATAAGGAGAAAAACTGTTTCAAAGGATAAAGAACAACTGTGGTCAAAGTCAAAATTATTTGTTAGGAATGCAAGACACCCACAAAAAACAGTCATATTAATAACTATGTATTTGATATCTTGCACATTAATCTTTGTCAAGATGTTCCTAAATTTTTCCCTAAAAAAATCTCTATTTCATATATATTTGGCTGTATTTATGAGTTATTTTTTAATAATAATAATAATGTGTGCTCTTTAGTTAATACATTAGCCTAAGAAAAATGTTAAAAGTACTAATATCTGGCCACCCATGTCACAATGTAAAATCATAACTTCCTAGAGGGAACTGGAACTGTAACCAACTAGGATGTTACCATACTAGGATACTGAATATGCAACATCGTAGTATGTAAAATATCAACATAAACGATGAGCCAGAATCCACCATTCTTTTTATTTTATGATTGAGTTATAAGCCTTGAATTCGCTTAAACAGGAACTAAAAGCAAAAGTTGTTCTTTGTGGCCTGTGCTTCTCTGCACTACATTTAAGCATTACCATAGTCAATCACTGGATATTCAGCTCTGTTATTTCACAAGACTCTTGACATTGCCAAAAGAGCCAACTTGGCCATTTTGCAAGACACTGTTTTAATCAACTTTTTATTTTCCTGATCCATAAAGCAACATGAAGCAATCTTTTAGCTATAAGCCATGCTTGCTTCCTTCAAATGAACTTAAAATTAATTCTAAGACAATAAAACACTGAAGTTTCTCTTTTTAAGCTAAAATTAAGGTGTTGTTTTCATTTTATTTTCACTTTTTGAACCATTTTAAAAGATGTGGTCTTTTTACCAAAGAGGACTAATCTATTGCTTGGAGGCCAGCCTGCAAATAATCTGGCCTAGAGTGAGGAATCCTTTTTAAGACAGTTTGTATTGAATGAACCAAAACAATTTCCACCCTGAGGCTTCCATCTGGTCAACCTCTGTTCAGTCCCATAAATAATTAATATGGAAAAATGGTGTTGTTTTTTTTTTTGTATCTTCAGTCCTCTTTGCTTTTACTAATTTAACAGAGAGATATTTAAAAACCAAACAAACAAATGTAACAACAACAACAAAATCTTGAAGAAAGCTCAGGCCACCAGCCTGGAATATGATGTCAGACTGTTAACATTTGCTGGCAAGAATTAAATATTTTCAGTTCAGTTCTAAACTTATGAAGATAAACAAAGTGGTCTGCCCATCAGAAAAGTGTGAATATTGTGATGTGGCTTGGGGGACACATAAGAAAGAAAACAGAAGGCAGGAATGGAGAGGATAGGTCATAATTAATACACTCAATCTACCCTTGTGCCTCCTCTTCGACCCCAACCCCAACCCCACCCATGTCACAATGTAAAATCATAACTTCCTGGAGGGAACAGGAAGTGTAACCAACTAGGATGTTACCATACTAGGATGCTGAATACGCAACATCCTAGTATATAAAATATCAACGTAAATGATGAGCCAGAATCCACCATTCTGTTTATTTTATGATTGAGTTATAAGCCTTGAATTTGCTTAAAAGGGAACTAAAAGCAAAGATTGCCTAGAAAAGTGGTTCTAAATAAAGATCATCGCCAACATATCAAATGTACACTTCCTTCCCTCCTGGTTCCAAACCCAGGCATTTTTTTTTAATGATATTGCAAAATTTTATTGAGGAGCTTTACACATTGGTCAATGCTATGTTATATAGTTACATTTAAATTTATTTTTTCAAACTTGATTTAAATGCCATTAAGAAATACAGCCTATAAATATAAACTTCTAAGTATCTTTCTAAAGAGAAACATGACTCAGAAATTATAGGCTGTTGAGATATGGGTGCTTTGCAGAGTTTATGATAGGTCCCCATTCTATAGAGCTATTTTACATAGTTGACCTAGAAGGATTTTTTTTTTTTTTTTTTTATGTAACATGTATTTTACCATAATTATTATTTTTTAGTTGTTCAGGATCCACAAAAAATTTTTTTTTTTTTTTATTATACTCTAAGTTTTAGGGTACATGTGCATATTGTGCAGATTAGTTACATATGTATACATGTGCCATGCTGGTGCGCTGCACCCACTAATGTGTCATCTAGCATTAGGTATATCTCCCAATGCTATCCCTCCCCCCTCCCCCGACCCCACCACAGTCCCCAGAGTGTGATATTCCCCTTCCTGTGTCCATGTGATCTCATTGTTCAATTCCCACCTATGAGTGAGAATATGCGGTGTTTGGTTTTTTGTTCTTGCGATAGTTTACTGAGAATGATGGTTTCCAATTTCATCCATGTCCCTACAAAGGATATGAACTCATCATTTTTTATGGCTGCATAGTATTCCATGGTGTATATGTGCCACATTTTCTTAATCCAGTCTATCATTGTTGGACATTTGGGTTGGTTCCAAGTCTTTGCTATTGTGAATAGTGCCGCAATAAACATACGTGTGCATGTGTCTTTATAGCAGCATGATTTATACTCATTTGGGTATATACCCAGTAATGGGATGGCTGGGTCAAATGGTATTTCTAGTTCTAGATCCCTGAGGAATCGCCACACTGACTTCCACAATGGTTGAACTAGTTTACAGTCCCACCAACAGTGTAAAAGTGTTCCTATTTCTCCGCATCCTCTCCAGCACCTGTTGTTTCCTGACTTTTTAATGATTGCCATTCTAACTGGTGTGAGATGATATCTCATAGTGGTTTTGATTTGCATTTCTCTGATGGCCAGTGATGATGAGCATTTCTTCATGTGTTTTTTGGCTGCATAAATGTCTTCTTTTGAGAAGTGTCTGTTCATGTCCTTCGCCCACTTTTTGATGGGGTTGTTTGTTTTTTTCTTGTAAATTTGTTTGAGTTCATTGTAGATTCTGGATATTAGCCCTTTGTCAGATGAGTAGGTTGCGAAAATTTTCTCCCATGTTGTAGGTTGCCTGTTCACTCTGATGGTAGTTTCTTTTGCTGTGCAGAAGCTCTTTAGTTTAATTAGATCCCATTTGTCAATTTTGTCTTTTGTTGCCATTGCTTTTGGTGTTTTGGACATGAAGTCCTTGCCCACGCCTATGTCCTGAATGGTAATGCCTAGGTTTTCTTCTAGGGTTTTTATGGTTTTAGGTTTAACGTTTAAATCTTTAATCCATCTTGAATTGATTTTTGTATAAGGTGTAAGGAAGGGATCCAGTTTCAGCTTTCTACATACGGCTAGCCAGTTTTCCCAGCACCATTTATTAAATAGGGAATCCTTTCCCCATTGCTTGTTTTTCCCAGGTTTGTCAAAGATCAGATAGTTGTAGATATGCGGCATTATTTCTGAGGGCTCTGTTCTGTTCCATTGATCTATATCTCTGTTTTGGTACCAGTACCATGCTGTTTTGGTTACTGTAGCCTTGTAGTATAGTTTGAAGTCAGGTAGTGTGATGCCTCCAGCTTTGTTCTTTTGGCTTAGGATTGACTTGGCAATGCGGGCTCTTTTTTGGTTCCATATGAACTTTAAAGTAGTTTTTTCCAATTCTGTGAAGAAAGTCATTGGTAGCTTGATGGGGATGGCATTGAATCTGTAAATTACCTTGGGCAGTATGGCCATTTTCACGATATTGATTCTTCCTACCCATGAGCATGGAATGTTCTTCCAATTGTTTGTGTCCTCTTTTATTTCCTTGAGCAGTGGTTTGTAGTTCTCCTTGAAGAGGTCCTTCACATCCCTTGTAAGTTGGATTCCTAGGTATTTTATTCTCTTTGAAGCAATTGTGAATGGGAGTTCACCCATGATTTGGCTCTCTGTTTGTCTGTTGTTGGTGTATAAGAATGCTTGTGATTTTTGTACATTGATTTTGTATCCTGACACTTTGCTGAAGTTGCTTATCAGCTTAAGGAGATTTTGGGCTGAGACGATGGGGTTTTCTAGATAAACAATCATGTCGTCTGCAAACAGGGACAATTTGACTTCCTCTTTTCCTAATTGAATACCCTTTATTTCCTTCTCCTGCCTGATTGCCCTGGCCAGAACTTCCAACACTATGTTGAATAGGAGCGGTGAGAGAGGGCATCCCTGTCTTGTGCCAGTTTTCAAAGGGAATGCTTCCAGTTTTTGCCCATTCAGTATGATATTGGCTGTGGGTTTGTCATAGATAGCTCTTATTATTTTGAAATACGTCCCATCAATACCTAATTTATTGAGAGTTTTTAGCATGAAGGGTTGTTGAATTTTGTCAAAGGCTTTTTCTGCATCTATTGAGATAATCATGTGGTTTTTGTCTTTGGCTCTGTTTATATGCTGGATTACATTTATTGATTTGCGTATATTGAACCAGCCTTGCATCCCAGGGATGAAGCCCACTTGATCATGGTGGATAAGCTTTTTGATGTGCTGCTGGATTCGGTTTGCCAGTATTTTATTGAGGATTTTTGCATCAATGTTCATCAAGGATATTGGTCTAAAATTCTCTTTTTTGGTTGTGTCTCTGCCCGGCTTTGGTATCAGAATGATGCTGGCCTCATAAAATGAGTTAGGGAGGATTCCCTCTTTTTCTATTGATTGGAATAGTTTCAGAAGGAATGGTACCAGTTCCTCCTTGTACCTCTGGTAGAATTCGTCTGTGAATCCATCTGGTCCTGGACTCTTTTTGGTTGGTAAACTATTGATTATTGCCACAATTTCAGAGCCTGTTATTGGTCTATTCAGAGATTCAACTTCTTCCTGGTTTAGTCTTGGGAGAGTGTATGTGTCGAGGAATGTATCCATTTCTTCTAGATTTTCTAGTTTATTTGCGTAGAGGTGTTTGTAGTATTCTCTGATGGTAGTTTGTATTTCTGTGGGATCGGTGGTGATATCCCCTTTATCATTTTTTATTGTGTCTATTTGATTCTTCTCTCTTTTTTTCTTTATTAGTCTTGCTAGCGGTCTATCAATTTTGTTGATCCTTTCAAAAAACCAGCTCCTGGATTCATTGATTTTTTGAAGGGTTTTTTGTGTGTGTCTCTATTTCCTTCAGTTCTGCTCTGATTTTAGTTATTTCTTGCCTTCTGCTAGCTTTTGAATGTGTTTGCTCTTGCTTTTCTAGTTCTTTTAATTGTGATGTTAGGGTGTCAATTTTGGATCTTTCCTGCTTTCTCTTGTAGGCATTTAGTGCTATAAATTTCCCTCTACACACTGCTTTGAATGCGTCCCAGAGATTCTGGTATGTGGTGTCTTTGTTCTCGTTGGTTTCAAAGAACATCTTTATTTCTGCCTTCATTTCGTTATGTACCCAGTAGTCATTCAGGAGCAGGTTGTTCAGTTTCCATGTAGTTGAGCGGCTTTGAGTGAGATTCTTAATCCTGAGTTCTAGTTTGATTGCACTGTGGTCTGAGAGATAGTTTGTTATAATTTCTGTTCTTTTACATTTGCTGAGGAGAGCTTTACTTCCAACTATGTGGTCAATTTTGGAATAGGTGTGGTGTGGTGCTGAAAAAAATGTATATTCTGTTGATTTGGGGTGGAGAGTTCTGTAGATGTCTATTAGGTCTGCTTGGTACAGAGCTGAGTTCAATTCCTGGGTATCCTTGTTGACTTTCTGTCTCGTTGATCTGTCTAATGTTGACAGTGGGGTGTTAAAGTCTCCCATTATTAATGTGTGGGAGTCTAAGTCTCTTTGTAGGTCACTGAGGACTTGCTTTATGAATCTGGGTGCTCCTGTATTGGGTGCATAAATATTTAGGATAGTTAGCTCCTCTTGTTGAATTGATCCCTTTACCATTATGTAATGGCCTTCTTTGTCTCTTTTGATCTTTGTTGGTTTAAAGTCTGTTTTATCAGAGACTAGGATTGCAACCCCTGCCTTTTTTTGTTTTCCATTGGCTTGGTAGATCTTCCTCCATCCTTTTATTTTGAGCCTATGTGTGTCTCTGCACGTGAGATGGGTTTCCTGAATACAGCACACTGATGGGTCTTGACTCTTTATCCAACTTGCCAGTCTGTGTCTTTTAATTGCAGAATTTAGTCCATTTATATTTAAAGTTAATATTGTTATGTGTGAATTTGATCCTGTCATTATGATGTTAGCTGGTGATTTTGCTCATTAGTTGATGCAGTTTCTTCCTAGTCTCGATGGTCTTTACATTTTGGCATGATTTTGCAGCGGCTGGTACCGGTTGTTCCTTTCCATGTTTAGCGCTTCCTTCAGGAGCTCTTTTAGGGCAGGCCTGGTGGTGACAAAATCTCTCAGCATTTGCTTGTCTATAAAGTATTTTATTTCTCCTTCACTTATGAAGCTTAGTTTGGCTGGATATGAAATTCTGGGTTGAAAATTCTTTTCTTTAAGAATGTTGAATATTGGCCCCCACTCTCTTCTGGCTTGTAGGGTTTCTGCCGAGAGATCCGCTGTTAGTCTGATGGGCTTTCCTTTGAGGGTAACCCGACCTTTCTCTCTGGCTGCCCTTAACATTTTTTCCTTCATTTCAACTTTGGTGAATCTGACAATTATGTGTCTTGGAGTTGCTCTTCTCGAGGAGTATCTTTGTGGCGTTCTCTGTATTTCCTGAATCTGAACGTTGGCCTGCCTTGCTAGATTGGGGAAGTTCTCCTGGATAATATCCTGCAGAGTGTTTTCCAACTTGGTTCCATTCTCCACATCACTTTCAGGTACACCAATCAGATGTAGATTTGGTCTTTTCACATAGTCCCATATTTCTTGGAGGCTTTGCTCATTTCTTTTTATTCTTTTTTCTCTAAACTTCCCTTCTTGCTTCATTTCATTCATTTCATCTTCCATTGCTGATACCCTTTCTTCCAGTTGATCGCATCGGCTCCTGAGGCTTCTGCATTCTTCACGTAGTTCTCGAGCCTTGGTTTTCAGCTCCATCAGCTCCTTTAAGCACTTCTCTGTATTGGTTATTCTAGTTATACATTCTTCTAAATTTTTTTCAACGTTTTCAACTTCTTTGCCTTTGGTTTGAATGTCCTCCCGTAGGTCAGAGTAATTTGATCGTCTGAAGCCTTCTTCTCTCAGCTCGTCAAAATCATTCTCCATCCAGCTTTGTTCTGTTGCTGGTGAGGAACTGCGTTCCTTTGGAGGAGGAGAGGCGCTCTGCGTTTTAGAGTTTCCAGTTTTTCTGTTCTGTTTTTTCCCCATCTTTGTGGTTTTATCTACTTTTGGTCTTTGATGATGGTGATGAACAGATGGGTTTTCGGTGTAGATGTCCTTTCTGTTTGTTAGTTTTCCTTCTAACAGACAGGACCCTCAGCTGCAGGTCTGTTGGAATACCCTGCCGTGTGAGGTGTCAGTGTGCCCCTGCTGGGGGGTGCCTCCCAGTTAGGCTGCTCGGGGGTCAGGGGTCAGGGACCCACTTGAGGAGGCAGTCTGCCCGTTCTCAGATCTCCAGCTGCGTGCTGGGAGAACCACTGCTCTCTTCAAAGCTGTCAGACAGGGACACTTAAGTCTGCAGAGGTTACTGCTGTCTTTTTGTTTGTCTGTGCCCTGCCCCCAGAGGTGGAGCCTACAGAGGCAGGCAGGCCTCCTTGAGCTGTGGTGGGCTCCACCCAGTTCGAGCTTCCCAGCTGCTTTGTTTACCTAAGCAAGCCTGGGCAATGGCGGGCGCCCCTCCCCCAGCCTCGTTGCCGCCTTGCAGTTTGATCTCAGACTGCCGTGCTAGCAATCAGCGAGATTCCGTGGGCGTAGGACCCTCTGAGCCAGGTGTGGGATATAGTCTCGTGGTGCGCCGTTTCTTAAGCCGGTCTGAAAAGCGCAATATTCGGGTGGGAGTGACCCGATTTTCCAGGTGCGTCCGTCACCCCTTTCTTTGACTCGGAAAGGGAACTCCCTGACCCCTTGCGCTTCCCAGGTGAGGCAATGCCTCGCCCTGCTTCGGCTCGCGCACGGTGCGCACACACACTGGCCTGCGCCCACTGTCTGGCACTCCCTAGTGAGATGAACCCGGTACCTCAGATGGAAATGCAGAAATCACCCGTCTTCTGCGTCGCTCACGCTGGGAGCTGTAGACCGGAGCTGTTCCTATTTGGCCATCTTGGCTCCTCCCCACCGACCTAGAAGGATTTTCCACAAGTATTTCAGTTTGCTTGAATTCTACTCCACAACTGAATTTCCAAAACATTATTATTAACTTTGCATTAAAATGGAGCTTTCTATTAAAAAAAAAAGAAGTATGACAAGTTCTGAAAACTAAGATGATCACTCTAGAATTAGGCCCATGTTACTCCACCATAAAAGTCCTGCCTCCCGCACTCAGGGACCCACCGAAACGCCAGTCTTTGTGCTATTTAATATTGGGTCCATTCACTGGAAAAGCCCTGCCCTAGAAAGGGGCTCTGGGGTCTTTAAAGAAGAGATTATGAACTTAGACTGTAGTAGGCCCAGGGAACTACCCATGCGAAATGTATCCCAGGTCAATATAAGGTGACCTTTAGAATCAGAGCCCAGCGTGCTGCAGAGAGACCCTTAGCAGAGAAATTAAACAATGTTTAAGTGTACTAAGTCTCTTTACGTGTTCTTTCTCTCTATATTTGATAATATAGAAAGAATAAAATGTTTCTCTATATCCTTGGGTCACTGGTTTTTCCAAGCATTTAAAAATGTTAATGGGAATGTGGAATTTATGAGTTTACATTTGTTTGGCACTTAGTGCCTTGGATATAGTAAGTGCTTTACACAAAACTTTATGTTAAAAGAAATTGTTGTAAAGATTTTCAACAACAGTGGATCATATTTTCTTTTTTTTTTTAATGTTTTTTTTTATTAATTTTTTTTTTTATTATACTCTAAGTTTTAGGGTACATGTGCACATTGTGCAGGTTAGTTACATATGTATACATGTGCCATGCTGGTGCGCTGCACCCACTAACGATCATATTTTCAAATGACTAAGGAAATGCAAGGATTCACTATGCTATGAAAGTGTTCTAATTACTTATTGATCTTTTACATGGTCGTAAGTTTAGTGGAGATTTCTCTTTTTTTCTCGTTGAAAGTTGAATTTGTGAGCTAGACTATTGCTCCCTGTGGGGCTTGTTTTCTGCTGTGAACTGAAAATGTATTAGTATCTTTTTACTAGAATCTAAATTCAATACTATGCCATCTATTGTAAAGATGTAAACGTTGGAATTTTGTAACTATTCATGGGGAAATGAGACTAAAGAATTATCTGACAATTGAATATAGAAAATAATTAAGGCAGCTACATAAAGTGCAACTCGAAGATTGAAAATTACGGATTGCAAGCCTTTGCATGAAAATACATGTGTTTCTTCTCTTGTCAAGACAAGAAAGAGCTGGCTCCTTTCCCAAGCTTTGCAAAACTATCTCTGAGCTCTCTGGAAGACAGGGAATTAGAAATACTGTCGCTTCCACACTGTCAAAGAGAAGCCAGTTCCAGTTATTACAGTTGATGCGTGACTTAGTTCGGGGGTTGGGGAGGGCAGGGGGACAGGAATACAAACAAAAGTTTCTGTTACATCTTAGGTAACTAAATTTCAACAGTAGAGATCTTAAAATTCTGGGCCAATGTAAAAGTGTTACTCATTTTTATTTATTGTGAGTTTTCAGGTATCGTTGTTATTAGAAATGAGCAGGGGGCCGGGCGGGCGTGGTGGCTCACGCCTGTAATCCCAGCACTTTGGGAGGCCGAGGCGGGCGGATCTCGAGGTCAGGTGATCGAGACCATCCTGGCTAACATGATAAAACCCTGTCTCTACTAAACATACAAAAAATTAGTCGGGCGTGGTGGCGGGTGCCTGTAGTCCCAGCTACTCATGAGGCTGAGGCAGGAGAATGGTGTGAACCTGGGAGGCAGAGCTTGCAGTGAGCCGAGATCGCGCCACTGCACTCCAGCCTGGGCGACAGAGCAAGACTCCCTCTCAAAAAAAAAAAAAAAAAAAAGGAATGAGCAGGGATCTGGATAATCTATGATAGCAGGTATTGTGAAGAAAAAAGCACCAAGCATTTGGTTCTGAGATGCTTTAGGTGATGTGGGCTGCATGAGATTGTTTTTGGGTGTACATGTGTCTTTTTAAATATCTTCTGAGTAGATTAATACTATTAAACTAAGTGTATGTACTAGCTAAGCCTAAATTAAGTGGAGGGGCAAAAACAAAAGACCTGAAAATGAAATATTGATAAATCACAGAAATGTTCCAACTTCTTCAATCTGAAACATCTGGTTCCTCCAAGTAATTCCTGTAAATATTTCCAACTGCAACCAAAAAGAAAATGAAAGTGATTTGTGGTAGGACCGAGCGAGCACATTCTCCCCTTGGTGCATTAGTTGAGCAGCTTCTGGGTGGCTGAATCCATATAAGACTCTGGACTGACTCAGAGATGAAGGAGGCATCTCCTGGCCTCGAAGTGCTCACAGTATACTGGATGGAGAGGCACTCTGTGCAAAGGGCTATGATGCAGATATATTTGAATTCAGTGGAAACACTAAAAGTAGCTAAATATTAATAATTCAGCCTTGCTGGATCTGGGAAGGCTTGGCAGAAAAGCTGACTTCTGACCAGGAGCTTGAGTGATGACTGAAAATTCATCAGTTAATCTGGAGAAACAGGCCTTCTGGGCTGGGAGAACATGAGCATGTGCTCTGCAATGTAAATTTTGGGGAAGAATCTCATACATACTCTAAAAAATGGATTTTGTTCCCTGGGTAGTGTTCCGTACAATGCCTGGCATATAGTAAGCATTCAATATAAAAGTGTGGAAAGAGCTGTACTGGCTTCCTGGGCTGCTGTAACAAAATACTGCAAACTAGGTGGCATACAGCAACAGAATTTATTGTCTCACAGTTCTAGAGGTTGGAATTCCCAAACCAAGGTGTTGACAGAGATGTGGAGTAGGATCCTTTCTTGCTTCTTGCAGCTCCTGGAAGCCCCAGATGTTTCTGGAGTGTTGCAGTGTAACTCTAGTTTCGGCCTCCGTCTTCACAGTGCCATCTCCCTCTGCATATGAGTCTTTCTGTGTCTATACCCTGTGTCTCTGTCTTGCCTGCTTATGAAGACACTAGTCATATTGGATTAAGAGTCTACTCTAATCGAGCATGACCTCCTCTTAACCTAATACGTCAATAGACCTTATTTCCAAATAAGGTCACTTTCACAGACACAGGGCTGGTTAAGACTTCATCATATCTTTTGCAGGGGACGCAATTCAACCCGTAACAGAAGGAATGAGCTAGTCAAGGTTTTGATGCCGGGAAAAATGGTCCATATTTTAGAAAGTAAACCCTGAATGCAGGATGGAGTCCATATTAGTAAGGTGAAGGGTGGGAAGGAAGACTAGAATCAGGAGTCTCAGTTAACGAGTTGTTGAAAGGAGATGAGAGATGATGAGCACTTGAGCAGGGTGGGAGCAGTGGAGAGAGAAGGGAAACAGACGTGAAATCCATAGCCAGTCAAAGTGAGGGACTTGGGGACTGATTAGATATAGGTAGATGAGGGTCAGGGAGGATTCAAGATGATTCCTAGGGTTCTATCCTGGGAGGCAGACCTGATGAATGGTGATGCCACTAATGATAATACAGAACGTAAGGCGGAACTTTTGTTTTGCAAAGGATATTGATGAGTTCACCCTTGTACACATTGTATTGGTGATACATCAAATACACTTGTGGGGAGAGGACTAGTTGTCCATAGAACTCCATGGAATCATTCTATGCCTGTGCTATGTAAAATACTGTTTTGTGGCTGCTGAGCTCTTGAAATGTGGCTAGTGCACCTGAGGACCTGAATTTTCAGTTTAATAAATTTAATTTCCAATAGTCACCTGTGCCTAGTGGTTACCATATTAGAGAGCACTGACCTAGCAGGTACTTAGACATGTGTGTTTGATATTTGAGAGAGATGCAGAGATGGGGGAGCATGGTCTAGATTGAAAATCGAATTTGGGGAGTCATTAGCTTATAGGCAATTGCTGAAGCCTTGTGGGCCGTGAGCCCATCGAGCAGGGAGCCAGATACAGAGATGAGTTAAGAGTGCAACCCTTGGGGAACATCAGTGTATAAGTTGTATACCACAAAAGAGAGTGAGCAAAGGACACCTGAGAAGCAGAAAGGAAAAGCAGAAGAGAGGACAGTGTTGCAGAAGGCAGAGGAAAAATTTCAAGGAGAATGCAGTCTACCATATCCGAGGAAAACAAATTTCATTTAATAAACTATGAAAAGGGGCTTTCACAATTACAATATTCCTTTACCAATAAATGAAATAGCCATATTTTATTAACAAAGAGTAAGTACATTGTGCTCTAACCATGGAATTTATCTTTATCTTCCCTCCACCTCCAGCCAAAGGTTAATGGAGGCAACAATAAGGAATTTATAAAGATGGGAGTATTCCAGGGAATCCAGAATAATATGCCTCTAAAAACATTGCCCTATAGCAGGAGGGCCCAGAATGCATTTCCCATGAAGTCCTCAATAGAAGTTGTGTAACTGTTTTAATGCCTGTACTGATGGTAGTATCACTTTTCATAGACTCTGCCTAAATACTCTGTGAAGTGGGTAGACTTATTTCCAGTTTACGTAAGAGGAATCTGTGGCTCATGGAGTTTCAGTGTCTTGCCTCAGATGATACAAGCTGCACATAGTAGAGTTAGGAATCCAGGTTTTTCTGTCCATGCTCTTTCCACCTCAACAGTGTTTTCTAAACTTAAGACATTGACATTCTGCTCTCATGATTTTTTCCATATATGCTCACCACTTCAACCGATATTCACTTAATATTTTTAAAGTAAACTTAAATTATTATTTAAAAGCTGAATATTATAGTTTTACTTGGAAAACCAGTATCACTCGCCATAAATATATGGTGATTTTGAAATAAAAAAAAATCACACCTGTAATCCCAATATGTTGGAGGCTAAGGTGGCAAGATCACTTGAGCCCAGGAGTTCAGGACATGGGAAATATAGCAAGATCTCATCTCTACAGAAAATTTTAAAAATGAGCCAGGCATGGCAGCATGTGCCTGTAGTTCCATCTACTCGGGAGGCTGAAGCAGGAGGATCCCTTGAGTCCAGGGGTTCAAGGTTGCAGTGAGCTTTGATCATGTCACTGCACTCCAGCCTGGGTGACAGAGTAAGACCCTGTCTCAAAAATAAAGTAAATGAAAGAAAGTAAAGGAAGGGAGGGAAGGAAGGAAGGAAGGAAGGAAGGAAGGAAGGAAGGAAGGAAGGAAGGAAGAAAGAAAGGAAGGAAGGAAGGACGATGCTAGCGAAATACTACTGCCTGCCAAAGACTTTAAATCAGAGGCTTATGCCTTTTTTTTTTTTTTTCATTAAAAAGGGACATCAGCAAATGTTTAAAGATATTCTAGAAACATTCTCTACCATAGGAGATTAACCCCTTGCCTTGTGAAAAAAGTGGCCTCTAATAGCAATGCTACTCTAGCTCAGGGATGAAAATGAAACTTCCTGCTTTCCATTAAAGAGTAAATATTACAGGCCACATGCAGTGGCTCATGCCTGTAATCCCAGCACTTTGGGAGGCTGAGGCGGGCAGATCACTTGAGGTCAGGAGTTCGAAGCCAGCCTGGCCAACATGGTGAAACCCCATCTCTACAAAAAATACAAAAATTAGCTGGGCATGGTGGTGTGCGCCTATAATCCCAGCTACTCAGGAGGCTGAGGCAGGAGAATCACTAGAACCTGGGAGGCAGAGGTTGCAATGAGCTGAGATCATGCCACTGCACTCCAGCCTGGGTGACAGGGTGAGATTCCGTCTCAAAAGAAAAAAAGAAAAGAATAAAGTCCTTCTGCGATTTAAGGAAAAAGAGGGTACTAAGAAGTTGTTTGATAAAACCATGAAGAGTCTGATGGATTATAATCTAGGACTCACACACTTTCTGAGGCCACCCAATCTTTATTCGGACAGAAATTTCTTAGAAGATACTTTCTAGATACTCACACTGGAGGCAAAAACCAAACTGTATTATAGATTTCAAAAGTGCATTCTGTACATTTCATTGATATACTTATGGATTTTAGAACAATGTGGCTTAAACGTTTCCTTAGCTGTATGAATATTCCCTTCTAGAAGAGCTAAAGGAAAAACAAAACCCACGCTTAGTTCGGATCAGACTCAAAAACTGGGCAACACTGGAAAACTGGGGTTTGTGACTCAGTGAAGAGCTGAACAGTGGACTGGCCTCTGTGACTGATATTACATGAGTTCCACCATCCTCGCCAATTTCCCACACATCAGTCACCACAATGCTACCCTTATCAGACTGGTCCATGTGACCAAGAAAGCAGGTCTTTTGTCCTTGGACAGGAGTCTCTGCCATCGTCTGATCCTGGGGGGTACCAACTGCTGGACGATATTCTCAGCAAGAACTCTTGAGTCCTAAAGCTAACTCCCTCCAGGTGAAATGCAAGATTAACGTCTGCATACATTTCTACTTTATCACAACTAATGCCTTAAGTAGGTTCTAGGTTGTGTAGATGATCTGAACCACATTAAAAGAAAATATTTTTAAGTAAAACAAGAAGAAAAACGATCGCTCAGATTGTGTTCTTTTCTCACTAGCTAGGTTTTATTGATCTATTTTTTTAAGCTTGAGTTTAAGCTAAGAAAAGAAATCTTGCTTTTTATGGCAAGAGTTCTTGAGGAAAAAGACAACTTATAATAGAAAGCATCTTGCACAAAAGTTTTGGTAATCAGAGGGGGAAGATGAAGAGGAGCTTTGTAAATTTTGACTTTGAAAGGCCATTGTAATGTAAATATGACTTCCTAGAGTGTAAACAACAGTGGTTTGAAATTAAAAATTTGTACAAAACAGGCAGCTATCTAGTTAAAAGAAAATGTGTCTAATAAGCATGTGTGTCTGAGATGTCTTGAATATTTTGATACTATACTGTAATTACTAACGATATAAAATTTCCAAGACTTTTGAAACCATGAGAAAGTTTTTAGGATTTTTTTTCCCCAGAAAAAGACAGCTATACTTTTTTGGTACTCTACACATTTAAAGTAATTTAAGAATAAAAAACATACTGTTCCCACACAAATACTTGAAAGTATTTTAAATTATTAATGGAACCACAAGTTCTTAAACTTTAAAGAATCCTCTGTCTCTTAGTTTAGCCAACAGATGATTATATTAACATAAAAAAGTACGGTTACATATATTTGAGTTAAGGATCATCATTGTGTCAAGAAAATATTACATTTATAATGAGAAAATCCAAAAGTTCACTAAGAATATTGTTTAATTCAAACGTTATATTTATTGTCTTCATCTTGGACTTCTGAAAACTGACTTTTTTCTCAGACTTGCACAAACCATTCTATTCTTTACCATGCTGGGTTTTGCATGATTTGGAGGCATTCTCACCATAGAGCCATTTTTCTCTCACCCTGAAGGACATAGGAAAGAAATTAGAGATGTCAGAACAGTTGTGTGGAGGTACTTTAATGGGACCATGGTGCAGAAAGGAGGTGGGGTAAAAATATTTGCTTTAGGCCAACCATGGTGGCTCACGCCTGTAGTCCCAGGACTTTGGGAGGCTGATGTGGGCAGATCACAAGGTCAGGAGTTCCAGACCAGCCTGACCAACATGGTGAAACCCCATCTCTACTACAAATACAAAAATTAGCCAGGTATGCTGGCAGGCGCCTGTAATCCCAGCGACTCAGGAGGCTGAGGCAGGAGAATTGCTTGAACCCAGGAGGCGGAGGTTGCAGTGAGCCAAGATTGCACCACTGCACTCCAGCCTGGATGACAGAGCGAGACTCCATCTCAAAAAAAAAAAAATTGCTTTATAATCTAGTTAAATGCAATGACTCCTCCCTTTCTAGACCAAACTGGGCACTTGGGCAGCAGTAACAATGTATATTAAATGATCCAATAAACAAACGGTCTCTTTTGCCTGTAAATCTGTAATGCAAAAATCTGCAGCAGTGCAGTTTACTGAATTTTAATGCCAAATGTCTATTGCTGTATATTCCTTGCCATCTACTCTGTGTATCTTCCTGCAGACATCAATGTGGGTTTGTTATTTTTTGTTTGTTTTTTTTTGTTTTGAGACAGAGTCTCCCTCTGTCACCCACACTGGAGTGCAGTGGCTCAATCTCGGCTCACTGCAACCTCCACCTCCTGGGTTCAAGCGATTCTCCTGCCTCAGCCACCCAAGTAGCTGGGATTACAGGCACCTGCCACCATGCCCAGCTAATTTTTGTATTTTTAATAGAGATGGGGTTTCACCATGTTCACCAGGCTGGTCTCAAACTCCTGACCTCTGGTGATCCGCCTGCCTCAGCCTCCCAAAGTGCTGGAATTACAGGTGTGAGGCACCACGCTCAGCCTCTTTGGTTCTTTTTGTGTCTTTTGGTTGTATTCAGCTTTCTGATATCATTGGGAGACAGTTAAATCACAAAATACACTAGATATCATTAGGAGACAGTCCACAAAATATACATCCTATTGCAAAAGTGTGTGGTCATTTCTCCTTTAAATTCTCCCATTCTGCCTTCATGACACTTGTAGTGTGCTCCTCTGTCTTTCCTCGAGAGGAAATTTTATAATTTTAATAAAATTTTACGATTTTATAATTGTTGCCTTTTTCAAGTCTTATATTTGAAATTAGCTGGGAACAGTGGCTCACGCCTGTAATCTCAGCAATTTGGGAGGCCGAGGCAGGCAGATCACTTAAGGTCAGGAGTTCGAGACCAGCCTGGCCAAATGCTGAAACCCTATCTCTACTAAAAATACAAAGATTAGCCAGGTGTGGTGGTGTGCGCCTGTAGTCCCGGCTGCTCAGGAGGCTGAGTCAGGAGAATCACTTCAGCTGGGAAGGTGGAGGTTGCAGTGAGCTGAGATGGCACCATTGCACTCCAGCCTGGGTGACAGAACAAGACTCCATCTCAAAAAAAAAAAAAAAAAAATCAACCAGCAGTATCCCTTTTGCAGATTTTATAATTTTTACCTTTTCAGATCTGTCTGTCCATGTCTCCATTCATCCATCCACCCATCCACGCTAATACACAGTAACTCATTGAGTTTACCTTTAACAGATTTCATTTTCAATTCATGCAATTATTCCCAGGGAAAAAAAGTTTGCTCAAAGACTGCCTGCTGGAAGATAAGGGGCTAACATCTAAGATTTATAAATAACTCATGCAACTCAATAGCAAGAAAACATATAATCCAATTTTAAAAATGAGCAAAAGACTTAAATAGAAATTTTTCTAAAGATGTCATAAAAGTGGCCAACAGGTACATGAAAAGGTGCTCAATATCACTAATCATCAGGGAAATGCAAATCAAAACTACTGTGAAATATCACCTCACACGTGTTAGGAGATCTGTTATCAAAAAGACAAGAGATAATAAGTGTGACAGGGTGTGAAGAAAAGAGAACCCTTGGAATCTAGATTGTTGCAACCATTATGGAAAACAGTATGGAGCTGTCTAAATAAATTGAAAGTAGAGTACCATATGACCCAGCAATCCCTCTTTTGGGCACATACCCAAAGGAGATGAAATCACCAGCTCGTAAATATATGTGCATTCCCATGTTCATTACAGCACTGTTCACAACAGCCGAGATACTGAAACAACCTAGGGTTTATCAATGGATGAATGGGTAAAGAAACTATTTTATATTTATGAAATATTATTTAGTATATAATATATACATATATCATATATGTTATATATATGAAATACTATTCAGCCATTAAAAAGGAGGCGGTCCTGCCATTTTCCACAATATAGATGGATCTAGAGGTCTTGGTGGATTTTAAAAAGGCACCTGCTCTACATATGTTCTGGAAGTTTTTTATGTGTTATGAAAATGTACTGCTGTCTTAAAAATTGGGGCATTTTTTTCCTGATACTTCAGGGAATATTTTATCTTCAAGTAAAATGATCAAGAGCTTTTTATGTATACTGCTTTGCATTGTTTCTTGCCAGGGATGCTGTGGGTGATATCTGCTCCTTGGTGATAAGGATTCCACCTCGGAGAACAGAAGCTGCAGGGAAGGAAGGCGTTTAGGGGAACTATGCTACAGTTTCACCACAATCCCCATTTTCAGTTACCAAAAGGCCTTCTCAGAATTTAAGGACACGCAAAGCAGACAGCAATTAATTTAATTCCAGATAGAAGCTTTTGACCATGTATATTTCACTGGCACTTTTTGCAAATCTCACTCTCCCTGTTCAGAATAATTCCTGGCAGTGTTGTAGCATTCTTCCAATTACCACTCATGCATCTCACCGTCTTGCCTAAAGGAAAAGTGAAGGAAGATGTAGTCTAAACAGCTAATTTTCATATAAATGTATATAAAAATGTAAAATACATTAAAATTAACAATAATATCCCCTTAGTGTTACTGCTAAACTGTATTTTAGCCCAATGCATATCATCTTACTACTAAGATAAATGGCAATTTTGCACCAAGACATCAGATCAATGGAAATTCACTTGGAATAGATATTCAGGCATGAAAGTATGTTCATACCTACAAAATATTCTAAATCCATAATCTAAGTTCAAATATAGTCAGCTTTATTTTCTTTCAGCACATATAGTCAGTTTGTATTGCAATGTCGTAAGACCAGGAGGAGGGTTGCAGAATTCTTCTACCTCTGTCATCTTAATATTTGTCTCTGATGTTCTCCTCTCTGAGTGTGTGTCCTGGTACCCCTGCATCGGGGTCCCTGTTTCTACTCTCAGAAGAATCAGCAGCTATTGCCAATGTCCATTTAGCTGCCAGTCTTCTGAAAGAAACGTAGGAGAAAAAAACTGTGTACAAAGAGTACACCTGGTCTTTCTACATTCTCTTCTGTGAACGAAATATACTACTTAGGAGATAGAAATGGTCCTTGTTTTGAATTTGAAGCCATGCTTTATTTTCCTGCTATAGAGACATATTCTGGTACTCTTTATAATAATATCTAGTGACAGTAAATAGGTCCTGATATCAAAGGGTAAAACACATTGTATGACAAGCTATTCATAGTTTATCCATAACAAAATTTATTTTCAAATGTAAATACATATATATGTATATTTTTAAATTTGGAAATACATTTAATGTATTTGTGGAAAATATCAAGAAAAGATATTTTGTGACAACTTCTAGGTATGCATCTCTGTACTTTTTACTTGTCATGCTTTATAATCTTTTTAATTATCAGGTACTATTTATTTAATTGAGACAAATTGTTAATCATCTTTTCAAAAGTTCCCTGAGGTTGTTGGCCTGCTGTAGGAATAGCAGGAAGGAATCAGAGACTCTTGGTGTGTCTTCTGGTAAAAGAGACATCCAGCTTTCCTAAGCGCTTGGAGTATGAAAGAGTGACAGGTTTTAGAAATCCACTTCACCCTCCCCCCTCCGCCCCCATGCACAGGGTAAGTATCTTTCATTCCTCAGTGGCCACCTCTAGGCAGGTAGTGTCTTCTGCTTCAAGATGAATACAACCTAGGCAGGCAGGAGAGGGATTTCTGTGCCCTCACAGCTGCTAAAATGTCAGAGCTGAGAGCCTAGGATTGTCTTTCCCTCCTGGCCCAAAATAAGTTGTTCACCTGCCTCCAAGAAACACTGGTTTCAGCGATAAATCTCTGCGTACTCATAATAATGAAGGTGGGTACCATGGTAACTTGGATGGCAGTTTTGAAGTCCAAAATTGGTTTATATTTAAGATTTTCCTTAAAGATTTGCTATTCATTCTAGATGATTACCAAAGGGAAGTACGATTTCTTTTCTTATGAACGATTTAAAATGCAGCATGTATACCACCTGGAACAGAAAAATACATGCCAAGCTGGAATTATTTTTTAACATATACTTCCATTCAATTCAAGATGTTTGTTGTGCACCTACTATATATCATAAACAATGGCAGGTGCTGCCAGGACAGAAACAAGGAAAGGATGTAATCCTTGTCTCAAAGGAGTTTTTAGTGTAATAGAAGGTATGTCCATCATCTGTTGCGACAGTAATACTGTGTAAAAAATCACCCCCAAACTCAGTGTTTAAAAACATTGTTTATGCTAGCTCATGCATCTGTGGTTCATCTGGGTATTGGCTGAACCAAGCTGGCCTTGGTTGAGCCTGTCTGTAAGGTACAGGTTGGAGGAAGTTCTGTCTGCTTCACGGGTCTCTCATTATTCTTTTTTTTTTTTTTTTTTTTTGACAGAGTTTCACTGTGCAGTGGCACAGTCTCAACTCACTGCAACCTCCAACCTCTGCCTCCTGGGTGCAAGCAAAAATTCACGTGCCTCACCCTCCTGAGTAGCTGGGATCATAGAGGTGTGCCACCACACCTGACTAATTTTTGTATTTTTAGTAGAGACAGGTTTTTGCCATTCTGGCCAGGCTGGTCTCAAACTCTTGGCCTCAAGTGATCCACCCACCTCAGCCTCCCAAAGGGCTGGGATTATAGGCATGAGCCACTGTGCCTGCAAGGGGCTAGTGAGGCATGTTCTCCTCACTGTGAAGGTAGAAGATTGAGAGGTCAAGCCAGCTGCACAAATGGCTTTCCTCTAACATTTTCTGCCAAAGCAAGTCACATGGACAAGCCCTATGTCACTAGAATGAGGAAATATACTCTGTCTGAGGTGAACTGCAAAGCATATGACAAAGGATATGGGGACACAGGGAGGGATGCAAAATTAGGAAAATATATAGCAGGTGCGCAAATGTCTTGAATTGAATGGTAATGCTAATATGTTAAAAATAATACAATCAACCACATTGGAAAAGATAAATTCACAAATGTCTGTATAACAAAGGGTGGGGGCTTCACAAGGGAAGGGATCCTATCCCAAAGACAGGAAGAAAACTTCTTAAAGGAGATGGCATTTGCAGCTACTCAAGAAAGGTGTTTGTATTTCAAGAGGCTAACATGGGAGGTTGGGGCAGCACATAATTCAAAGATGCTCCATGAGCACAGCGTGGATGCACATAAGCCATTCTCAGTGTTAGGTTATAAACAAGCAACTGAACAGAAAAATTGCAGCGATAGAAAAAGGAGATCTGTAAGAAAACTACAAGTAGGGGGAGACTTCAGGTCTCAGAAATTTTTGTATTGCATGTTATTGCTGGAAGTTCTTTGAGAAGATGGTATGAGTGTTAATTTCCAGGGTATGAAATATGCAAAAGCATATAAGCATAGAGCTTTTGTTTAAATCTTGAGAACTATAATTAGAGCTGGAAATGACTTAGAAATTGTTTAGCTCAGTTCACTTATTTTATAGATGAGGAAATATGTATTTTGAAGATAAATGCTCTATGTGTGGATATGTATGTGTAGCTATATAGATACATACCTATACAGATAGTTCCTGATTTTACTATGGCTTAAATACAATTTTCAGACTTTATGACGGTACAAAAGTGATACACATTCAGTAGAAAGTGTACTTTGAGTACCCATACAACCATTCTGTTTTTTACTTTCAGTACAGTATTCAATAAGTCACGTGAGATATTCAACACTTCATTATAAAATAGGCTCTATGTTAAATGACTTTGTTACTGTAGGCTATTGTAAGCCTTCAGAGCACATTTAAGGTAGGCTAGGACAAGCAAACATGTTTGGCAGATTAGATGTTTTAAATGCATTTTCAACCTGGGATATGTTAAATTTATGATGGGCTTATGGCCCGAAAACCCCATAGTAAGCTGGGGAGTATCTTCATGTGTGTGGGTATATGTATGTGTGTAAAATATGTAAAATATATAAATATGTTAACAGAGAAAATACATTTCTTCCTAAATAAAACCATATATGTGGTATTATTACCATATATATCCAACGTGTATATATGTATTATTATATCCAATGTATATTGTATATAATATCCAATGTATATTATTAAATATATTATTTATATAATATATATTATATAATATCAATGTATATTATGTAGATACAAAATTTATATTATATTGGATCTAATAATACATATATACATTGGATATATATGGTAATAATACCATGTATATGGTTATATATAATATACATTGGATATTATATATATCAAAAATATATCATATGCAATTGTATTTAGAGAGAAAGACTAAATTCTTCTGTGTATATTGAGAAAAAGAGAGAGGAAATGAGCCTACTTCTTGAAGTGGCATTCTAAAGAATTCTTAATCCCTCACAAACTTTAAAACTGCTGTGTCCTTATCAGCGATCTTTCTAGTTCCAAGGAATAGAATATGGCTCATACTATTCAAATGCAAAGGGGAGGTTGTTAATAAGAAGAAAAAATAAACATGTTTCCAGTTACCCAAGGACTGGAAATGCTGTGTGTAATGCCTGAGCTAGCAGAGGCCTTTCATTGGCTCCCCTTGTCTGGGGCACTGTTTTCAACAGAAACGGGAGCAGACACTGGGAGAAGTGAGCCAAGGCAGCAGGTGTCCTCTGCGCCTACTCACTACTCTTCCTGTCTTCTGAAACTCACTCCCCTCATTTGTAAATGCAACATAATCACCCATCTAACCAAAATATAATTAGGGAGGTAAATCAGTTTGTGTATCTAGTATATGAGGTTTCTCCAGAATAGAAACAATGAAACTTTGAAGTTGTGCCCTACCGTAATCCCCGTTCATGTAGACTGGAAGTTGTCAAACTATGACCTGATGGGATTTGTTCCCTGGTCTAGACAGGGACTAGTCCAGCTGGTCTGCTTTTATAAATTAGGTTTTATTAAAACAGCCACGCTCCTTTGTTTACACTCTGTTTGTGGTAGCTTTTGCACAACAGTGGCAGGGCTTGTCGTTGCAAGGGGGACAGAGCCCATGGCCTGCAAAGCCTCAGTATTTAATATCTGACCCTGTTCATTGCAGTCTGGTCACTCCTGGTGCAGACCACAGGGAATTGTTGCTTTCTGGAATGGGCGACACGTGCATGTGCTTGGTCCTCTGGGATGGCATTGGCAGGAGTCGGCCCAGGGAGGACATCTGTGGAATGAGAATGTTGCCCCCATGAATGTTTTCTCTAAGAAAGAAACAGGTGCTGGCCGGGCACGCTGGCTCACACCTGTAATATCAGCATTTTGGTAGGCCAAGGCGGGCGGATGACCTGAGGTCAGGAGTTCGAGACCAAACTGGCCAACATGGTAAAACCCCGTCTCTACTAAAAATACAAAAAAACTTAGCCGGCCGTGGTGGCGCATGCCTGTAATTCCAGCTACTCGGGAGGCTGAGTCAGGAGAATCGCTTGAACCCAGGAGGCGGAGGTTGCCATGAGCCAAGATCACGCCATTGCACTCCCGCCTGGGCGACAAGATCTTAAAAAAAAAAAAAAAAAAAAAAAGAAGAAGAAAGAAAAGAAAAGAAAGAAACCAGTGCTTTTGCTGCCTCCCTGGGGCTCTGCTGAGGCCATCATGATTAACCTTTGTTCTCTGTCCTTTGCCAGACTCCGACCTGAGCATGCGCACACTGAGCACGCCCAGCCCAGCCCTGATATGTCCACCGAATCTCCCAGGATTTCAGAATGGAAGGGGCTCGTCCACCTCCTCGTCCTCCATCACCGGGGAGACGGTGGCCATGGTGCACTCCCCGCCCCCGACCCGCCTCACACACCCGCTCATCCGGCTCGCCTCCAGACCCCAGAAGGAGCAGGCCAGCATAGACCGGCTCCCGGACCACTCCATGGTGCAGATCTTCTCCTTCCTGCCCACCAACCAGCTGTGCCGCTGCGCGCGAGTGTGCCGCCGCTGGTACAACCTGGCCTGGGACCCGCGGCTCTGGAGGACTATCCGCCTGACGGGCGAGACCATCAACGTGGACCGCGCCCTCAAGGTGCTGACCCGCAGACTCTGCCAGGACACCCCCAACGTGTGTCTCATGCTGGAAACCGTAACTGTCAGTGGCTGCAGGCGGCTCACAGACCGAGGGCTGTACACCATCGCCCAGTGCTGCCCCGAACTGAGGCGACTGGAAGTCTCAGGCTGTTACAATATCTCCAACGAGGCCGTCTTTGATGTGGTGTCCCTCTGCCCTAATCTGGAGCACCTGGATGTGTCAGGTAAATGGACACTGACCTACCAGCTATGGGCCCTCCTGGTGCACCATCCTAAAACAGTGGGGACAGTGCCACCACCGGAGGGTCCTCTTCTTGCAAGCCATCAGAGATGGGGGCGGGTGGTAGGGAGGCTGGCTTTTGCAGAGAAACTGTCTCTATGGAATCATGACCCTGGAGGCCACAAGTTTCCCTTTCATCAAATAATGTCCACTTCTTTTTTTTTTATTATTATACTTTAAGTTTTAGGGTACATGTGCACAACGTGCAGGTTAGTTACATATGTATACATGTGCCATGTTGGTGTGCTGCACCCATTAACTCGTCATTTAACATTAGGTGTATCTCCACTTCTTACGGGAGTTCTTAGGGGAATTCTGGCACATTTTGCCTGGGAGTTGAGGTTAGTACGACTTTTAAATGTCTTTACTCTTCATAACTCTCACAGTTACTTCAGAGCAACCATAGATAGTGCAAACAGGGTATCTAAGTGTAGAGAAATAGGAAACAAAAGGCTAACTCAAGCACAGTTAGCTTAGAAACTATCCTCGCGCCCACCTGCTGTTGGTCCCTGGAGCCTGGAATCTTTGTCCAAGCTGTAAAAATGACCTCGTGTGTTTTCGTACCACGGGCCAGACGGTGCCCACTGTGGGTGATAAAACACTCAGCTGTGGGCTGTGCTCATGATCACTTGCCATTTTGTAGTGTCTCCTTAGATTTCACCAGCACTCTTCTTACATCTGGGTTAATCCTGCATCTTTTCTCAAGCAAAATTCTCAATTACACAGTGCAAGGGCAAGGTCCATTGAATTAAATCTTTAGTGCTTTTAAAAATTGAAGGAAGTCGGGCGTAGAGGCCCACGCCTGTAATCCCAGCACTTGGGAGGCTGAGGCATGAGGATTACTTGAAGCTAGGAGTTAGAGACGAGCCTGAGCAACAAAGCGAGACCCCTCTCTCCACAAAAACTGGAAATATTAGCCAGGCACAGTGGTATGAGACTGTGGTCCCAGCTATTCTACTCAGAGGCTGAGGCAGGAGGATTGCTTGAGCCCAGGAGTTCGAAGCTGCAGTGAACTATGATCATACCACTGCACTCCAGCCTGGAGGACAGAGTGAGACCCTGTCTCTGAAAAAAAAAAAAAAAAAAAAGAAAAATCGAAGGAAATCCCAGCATGGCTGCTTTGCTTGGAAACCTCTCTCAGGCAGGAAGAATTAAAGCCCAGACTCACACTTAGGCGCCAGACATGATCTGCCTGGACTAACAGCCCTTCCTTATCTCATTTGCTGCCTAGTCAAAAGATGAACATTCGAGAGGCTGAAATGTGTAAGATGCATCAGGGACTTAAAACCAACAGCACGACCAGCAACCTCAGGGAGTTTGGGGGAGGGGTCAAGAAGTAAAAAACACTATGGTGGGTGAACAAACAGAATCTGGGATTTACAAGCATCTGAGGCCAGTGATGCCCTCCAACAAAACCCCAGCTAAAGCCGGCTCTCAGCTTGCTCTCTCTTTCGAAAGCCGACGTCTGAAAATATTTCAGATGACAGCCCATTACTTTTTGCAGATTCTTTCCCGTGCTGGAGAGCAGCTCGCTGCTCCTCTACTTCAGTTGGCTTCAAGACAAAACCATAGCAGCCATATGTTCAGTTAGTCATGAGTAGCCAGTGGCATCGAGAAGCAGGAAACCAGGAGGTTTTCTTACATTTTTCCTCCAAGGAATTCTGGAAAGAGAAAATGTTGTGATGTGGTGGAAACAAGTTTCAAAACTTTGTGATTTAGAAAAGTTCACAGCTTTTTCTAGATGTGTTTCCTCTTCATTTAAAAGAAATGGCGAAGGACTGGGTTCTTTAACATCTAAGAATTGGAGCATTTTATAAACATTTCATTTTCTTTTCTTAGATTAGAAAATGATTCATTTTTGGAATCCCTATCTTTGTAAAAGGTGCTTCCCATGCACTCTTAATACAGGCTGCAAGTAATTGTACCCTCTTTTGGAGGGTCCTTTTGAAGTTCAGAAATGCAGAAACCACTTTTGCTATTTGGGAATGGAAATTCTTGCGCTTCTAGCCTTAGTGGTCCTGCCTGGCCCCTTGACTAACCATTATTAAGCCTTGATATCTGTCTTGTATGTTAACCTGCTTACTTTGAAAGTTCAAATATATTTGTGTAGCCTCCCCTCATGTCTCCCAATGACAACAGTGATCTGTATACATAGAGATAAAAATGAGGGGAATCTGCAGCTCACCAAGTTAAGAACACAGAATCCCACATATGGGAGAAAGTTTCAGATAGATGGTCTTGAAAGACTCAACAGGCCATGAGGATGGATTTGTCATCAGCACCTACTAAGGGTGCCCTCCTCTTCTGAGGGCATCTGGAAATTGTTATGTTGATGCAGAGAGGCCAGAGGGCTGCCACAGTTGATTTCATTATGGCTGGTTCTCTTTAGTTTTACAGCTGGGCCCCGATAGTGGCCACATTCTCAGTGGCAGTAGACTTGACTTTGGAAGACTCATCACTGGTCTAGAGCTTAATTCTCCCAAAGGAGATGAGACTGCCTATCCTATCCCTAGCATGCAGAAAATGCTCATCTGGGAAGCTATCTTTAAAGTCACTGAAAATGACTACAACTGTATTGTTTTGTCATTATCACATATTACCTTTTATTAATAGTAGCATTAAACATCATTGCACTATATTGATGAATATATTGCAATAACGAGAGGAAGTGGTAATAAAGAACATATTTGTGAAAGCTGTATGAAATCTGGAATCAACTGAAGAAACCCCATAGGTTTGTTCAACCAATTTTCAAAATATAAAATGTGGTAAATGTTAAAAATAATATTGCTTCAGAAAGAACCTCTCTAACTGGAGACCTGGAATCATCCTTTTTTCTCCCCCTAATCCTACCCAACCAGTAGAGTCCTGTTCAGGTGACTCTACTTCCCCAGTACCTTGAGTCCATCTCTGTCTGCCTGCCTGGATGCAGACTTCCCCAGCCATTCCTTCTTATACCCATCTCCATGGCCTCCAGAGGAATTGTTTCAAACTACAAGTCTAACCATTTACTTTCCTGCATGAAACCTCCAATAATTGCTCCCTATGACCTACAGGAAAAATTCAAGTTCCTCCACAGAGCACGTAACAGCCTTCATAAGATGCTCTTCTTAGGTGCAAATTTCATCTCTTTCCTGCATACACGCAATGCTCCCTTCTGTAGAACCATCTTATCTGCATGTCCCAAAACACATCCTATCTGTGCATACGATGATGTGTGCATGCCTCTCTGGCTTGTGTCCCTCTCCCTCCTCTGCCTGCTGCCCCTCCTCGAGAACTCTCTGAACAGACTTTTCATTGCTTAAACTCCAGTGAAGCATCCCCTGAATGTAGCCTTCCCCGGCTCACCCCCAGTGAGCTAAGGGTTTTTTTCTGGGTGTCTGCCTTTTGGGTACAGAAAGCTAGAGCATTGATGGACTTGGAATTCTCAACTCATGATGAGCTTTGAGCTTTATAAGGGCAGAAATATGTCATATTTCATTTTTGCACTTTTATGACATTGTAATTAAGTGAACACAGGCGTGTCAAAGTTTTAAGTGGTCATTTTGGCCTTTAAAAGGCTTAAAGTTCCCTTTGGTTAATACTCTAAGCAAGGATTTAGGAAGCTGCAGTGCAACAGTTAAAAATTCCTCATCAGTAAAAGTGAGGTGGTTGGGAGGATTAAATGAGTTAAGACATGTTAAGTTCTCAAACACATGCTCTGAAGGGAACCACGTAGGAGGCACTCAATAAATCGCAGCTGTCATTGTCGTTGTATTGTCCTTGTTATTAACCTGCCTGGAAGTCAGCAGTTGTTCTTCATTGACTTAACCATCTGACACCCCAGAAGAGATAGAGATATCACCCTAATAATGAGAGGAAGTGGTAATAAAGAGCATATTTGTGAAAGCGGAATGAAATCTGGGATTAACTGAAGAAACGCCGCAGATTTATTCAACCTATGTTGTCTATTCCCTACTGAATAATATTTATATACCTTACCCTAGATGTCAAAGCAGTCCCCTGATCTCATCCCAAAAGACAATTCTTGCCTTGGTTTTGACTAAATCCTTTCAGACACCCTAAGTTTCACCTCATGGATACCCTAACCCTCCCATGGACTTGCCCCTTGCTTTCCTTTCTCTGGGATGTGTCTATTATCTTACTACCTGGACTCCATATCTATTAATATATATGCAAATTGGTTTTCACTCCACATCTATGCATCCAAATTATTTCTCTCTTTCAAGGGCCCCTTTGGAAATTATGCCATGGTGGCTTCCAAGTTTCCAAAGACCCCTGGGTGCCCGGTGTCTGAATGTTCACTTCATTTTCTACTGTATATCTCTTGTGTAATTTTTCAACTCTATGATACATCATAGTCACTTCTTAAGTCCCTTTCTAAATTGAAGTCTTGGAATGAGGAGTCAAGAAACTTATCTGTAGTCTGGTTGTACAAGTCATATAATCTCACTGAGCCTGCGATGCTTCATCTTGAAAAAAAATGATGTTTATTCTGGATGATTTCTAAGGTTCTCTCCATGTCTATAATGTTTGAATGTGTGAACTAATCATAAATAATACCTGCTGAGCCATGAACCAATTTACTTTCTTTTCATCCCAAACCTAGCAAATCTATAAGAGTTTGGGCAAAACCTAAAATCTAAAATTATTGATCTAAAATAATACAAGCCTATAAAATAGTCTCTTTACCAAAACTGAACTAAACAAGTATTTCATTAAATTTGGAATTCAGTTTCAAAAGCAAAGTATACATTTTCCTGGACCAAATATATTATCTTTCCTAGAGTGTAGCAGATTTTGCTAATTTTGTTTCTAAAGAAAGGAAACTAGAACCAAGAGTTTAAGAGCAAAGGTTATCATATGATCTTGAAAAACAAAGTGTCTTTATAGGCGTCACAGATGGCCAATCACTACCATAGAAAAACAAATTCAGTGCAAGCAGGATTACAGTCAGCCTCAAGAAAGAAACTCAAAACAAAGGGAAATTTCAAAGCTAAAAGGGACTAATCACCTTTTGCAAAACCACAAAGCCCACTGGAACAGTGTGACCTGCCTCTGACAAGCTGTTTTTGTTCTCCATTTTTGGAGTGTGTGCTTCACTCCTTCCTGAAATTCTTTGACTTAGTAGCACGTGGTTTTTGAACCTCATTATTCCCAGGGCCTGAGTGTCTAAGAGTTTCCTGGGCAGCCTACCAGGAGGTGGGAGGAAGGTCCTCGTTAGCACTTTTGTGAGGCTGCTGGGAAGCCTTGGATATTGCGTGAAACAGCCAAGGTGCAGAAGTGTCCGAAGTGAGGCGCCTAGCTGTAGAACTGCCCGAGAGATTTGAGAAGAGCAGAGAGAAAATGAAAAATATATATACAGCCTCGGTAGTAGAATGAAATACATAAAAATATACATTTATTTATAAAATATTAGGTTGGTGCAAAAGTAATTGCGGTTTTTGTCTTTATTTATCTATTTTGAGATCAAGTCTTGCCCTGTCACCTAGGCTGGAGTGCAGTGGTGCGCTCCAGATTTTCTGCAACCTCCGCCTCCCAAGTTCAAGCAATTCTCGTGCCTCAGCCTCCCAAATAGCTGGGATTACAGGCATGCACCACCATACCTGGCTAATTTTTGTGTTTTTAGTAGAGACGGGGTTTTGCCATGTTGCCCAGGCTAGTCTTGAACTCCTGGGCTCAAGCAATCCACCCGCCTGGGCCTCCCAAAGTGCTGGGATTGCAGGCGTGAGCCAACACACCCAGTCGGTTTTTGCCATTTTAATTGCAAAAATTACAGTTACTTTTGCACTAACCTAATATTTATAGACTATGGATATTAGTTACATTAATATACCATAAGTATACTGTACGTGTTTTTATAGAGTAATATATAGAGAACTTAAATATACCATGAAATAAGTGTTTCCTATATATAAATATATAAATTATATAGTGTGTATATATATAACTTATGCATACATATTTTTTAGGAGATTAGAAACGATGTTTAGAGAGGCATCTAAAGATACCTTCCTGAGCATTAATATTGTTCTAACAATCAGGTAAGAAAATGTTTATAAAAGCCCTTTGTAAACTTCGTGATTCAACACAAATAAAAGACATTATCATTAACTATAAAACAGACAACTGTTTTTCAATGTAGGTATACTTCAGCCAAGGTCCTGAAGACTGTTGGAAGTTGGATGATCTCATCTGATCCTCTTATGGAAGACTCTTTTCCCTCTATAAACCGCTCATTCATTCAACAGATACTTAGCACCAGCTATGAACCAGAAATGAGACAGCAGTGAACAGCCCCAAGTCCCTTTTCTCAAAACTTACATTCCAGAGTGAGGAGACAGCAAATAAATAAGTGAATAAATAAATATATAATGCCACCCAGGGATAAAGACTCCTGAAAATAAAGGGGAGGAAAGCAGGGGATGCTAGTTTATACAAGCATGGTTGGGGACAAATTTTTCTATAAACAGATTGGCTCTGAGACCTGGGAAAGTCTGGAGGGCTAAGGGAAGCCATTTCCAGTGCTCAGAGGCTGGAGAGCATTTGTGGTGTGCGGGAAATGACAAGCAGGCCAGTGGCGTTGGAGGAATGAGGTAAAAGATGCCGTCAGAGAGCCCCGGGGTGCAGATCCTTGGGAGCCCTGTTAGACTCTGGATTTTACACTTGGAGTGAACGGGCGCCATCCCGAGGCTTTGCACAGGGGCAAGCTTCGAGTTCCGTTTTCCAAGACACCTCGGGCAGATAGGGGTGTGGGGAATCGACTGTAGGAGCTAAGGGCAGGGAAGGGAGTCTGATTCAAGGACACCTGGAGTGAACGGGCGTCATCCCGAGGCTTTGCACAGGGGCAAGCTTCGAGTTCCGTTTTCCAAGACACCTCGGGCAGATAGGGGTGTGGGGAATCGACTGTAGGAGCTAAGGGCAGGGAAGGGAGTCTGATTCAAGGACACCTGGAGTGAACGGGCGTCATCCCGAGGCTTTGCACAGGGGCAAGCTTCGAGTTCCGTTTTCCAAGACGCCTCTGGCAAATAGGGGTGTGGGGAATCGACTGTAGGAGCTAAGGGCAGGGAAGGGAGTCTTGTTCAAGGGCTACAGCAACAATCCAGATAACACAGTTGTTCTTCCTCAACTAAAGAGAGTTGGATTGACTCAGAAGGTCTGTTCAATTGACAGAAGGTCACCTTGCTAGACTAATATATTCACTTCCCATAGCGTTTTCAGAGCACATGCATATCTGTTCTCTCATTGCATCCTCATTATATCTGAAGTGTCGGCTCACCACCTATTCATTCCCATTGCATAAAGGACAGTTCTGAGAAGCAGCAACGTTAAGCCTCCTGCCTGAACCAGGTGTGACTCCTAACCCAGTGTTCTTTCTGCTAAACCAAGGTACATGCCCGAGCTTTGTCTTTCATATCTTACTTTGGACCAGGGAGCTTCCAAACCAGGGCAGCTCAAGAACTCACTTTTACTGAGCTCCTGGAACTTTCCAGGGCCAAGGCAAGATATTTACACACATCCTCTCATTACTCCATCCCAGCTGCCTCCCAGGGAATGGGATCCTCCCTATTTTAAGACAAAGGAAATACTCAGAAGGATTGATTTGCTAAATGTCAGGCAAGTAGGGACAGATGACAGATCAGGAATTGGAACCATGGTTTTTCTGATCCAATCCTCTTAAGCCCAGATAATAGAAATAATGTAGTTAAATAATCAGATAAATATGGGGAACCCATTCTTGCATTTCCTCTCTATAGAGACCAAGACAGGAAAGGGTAACATCAGCCTCGGACCCAGACTTGGGCGAGGGTCAGGAATGCCCCAGGGCATCCCCAGGCGTGGCTCCCCTGCTGGCAGGTTGCTCTGAGCCTGTGTTCTGTCTCTTTGTGCAGGATGCTCCAAAGTGACCTGCATCAGCTTGACCCGGGAGGCCTCCATTAAACTGTCACCCTTGCATGGCAAACAGATTTCCATCCGCTACCTGGACATGACGGACTGCTTCGTGCTGGAGGACGAAGGCCTGCACACCATCGCGGCGCACTGCACGCAGCTCACCCACCTCTACCTGCGCCGCTGCGTCCGCCTGACCGACGAAGGCCTGCGCTACCTGGTGATCTACTGCGCCTCCATCAAGGAGCTGAGCGTCAGCGACTGCCGCTTCGTCAGCGACTTCGGCCTGCGGGAGATCGCCAAGCTGGAGTCCCGCCTGCGGTACCTGAGCATCGCGCACTGCGGCCGGGTCACCGACGTGGGCATCCGCTACGTGGCCAAGTACTGCAGCAAGCTGCGCTACCTCAACGCGAGGGGCTGCGAGGGCATCACGGACCACGGTGTGGAGTACCTCGCCAAGAACTGCACCAAACTCAAATCCCTGGATATCGGCAAATGCCCTTTGGTATCCGACACGGGCCTGGAGTGCCTGGCCCTGAACTGCTTCAACCTCAAGCGGCTCAGCCTCAAGTCCTGCGAGAGCATCACCGGCCAGGGCTTGCAGATCGTGGCCGCCAACTGCTTTGACCTCCAGACGCTGAATGTCCAGGACTGCGAGGTCTCCGTGGAGGCCCTGCGCTTTGTCAAACGCCACTGCAAGCGCTGCGTCATCGAGCACACCAACCCGGCTTTCTTCTGAAGGGACAGAGTTCATCCGGCGTTGTATTCACACAAACCTGAACAAAGCAAATTTTTTTAAAAGCAGCGTATGTAAGCACCGACACCCACTCAAAACAGCTCTTTCTTCCGGGAAGGTTATTAGGAATCTGGCCTTTATTTTTCCTCATTTCTCATGGGCAACAGAGGCCAAAGAAACGAAGCAAGACAAACAGCAAACAGGCATTTTGGTCAGGTCATTTGTAGGCAGTTTCTCTTCTCACAAAAGATGTACTTAAGCAGGCTGATCGCTGTTCCTTGAGCAAGGCGCTTACTCTCCTCCGCTCAGGCCCCCAAGGCCGCCCTTTCCCTCGCACACAGGCCCCACCCCCACAGTTCCACGCCCCCCCCCCAAGGCCACACCCTCCCTCCCTAGAGCAGCAGCGAGGATCCATCATCAGAATCACAGTGCTCTCCAGACCTCCTCTCTAAACTGCTTCATTGACCTAAGTCACTCTCTTCAATCCCACACCCATGGACATTCTTGTCAACTCAATACCATAGCACTTTGCATAGGCAAAATACTTTTCAGGCCTTTTTAAAAAATTCATTACAGCAAACAGCTGGGGAAGGACATGCAGTCCTCCCCCAGCTCTGTCAATGACTATGACCTTGGCCAAAGCACTTCACTGCTCTGGGCTGCAGCTTCCAGCACTGAATCAGAGGCCACACAGCCCAAAGATTAGCTTCATGTCCATTATAGCATTGAGGGAGCAGAGATACCCATACACAGAAGCACCTTGGCATAGAGCACCCAGGCATCGACCTCTTCCAGGAGAACTGATTCTGTGGATGGATGTGATTTCAGGAGATTGTGCAGTGCCAGCATCAGTGCATAAAGGGTCCTGTATGTCCTTTGGCTGCAAATCACCCACTTCCCTGTGTTTCAGTGGGAGAATTTCCTCTCCCACCTCCTCACATCCTCTTTTGCCAGGCTGGATGCTGTCGTCTCTGTACACAAATACTTTCTGCATTCCCCCCTCCACACCATCCTAGCGAGGCACCAGCACACCTAATCACAGCAAAGCCCAGATCCCCCCATCAGTTGCTTTTACTCAGTGTTTTCAAATAGGAGTAAAGGCCCTTGCAATTTTTAATTAACAAGCAAGGCCCAAGGGAACACATGTCCTCAAAAGTTTTTCTGATCCCTCGCCTTGCACACCTGGCATGCATCAGGCACATCTGTCCTACAGCTGGCAGAGACAGATGCCTCGGTTCTTTGTCATTCAGATTGCATTTGACCTCTTCTCATCTATTTATTTCTTTATACATCCAGACTTCATCACATGAAGCCTATTGGGGTTAAGTTTGTAAGTGTTTAATTGTGCAAATTGCCACCCTGTGTACCTCCTCCATGTCTGTCTGCGTGTTTTCCACCAAAGAATGCAAAGCAGACTTCCAGGTGTTTAAATTCTGTTCACTCAACAATGCCAGATGAATGGAAGAGGGAACACACTGAGATGACTTAGACTCTGGTCCACCAACCAGACCCTTGGAAAGGAATACTAAAATCATTACAAGGTATGGATTTTAAATGGATGAAACTTCAAATTATCTTATTTGGATAGAAGTCTATATTCTAGCCTCATTTGCATGAAGTCAGATAGCCAGAAGAAATTCCATTGCTGGTTTTCACGAAATTCACTTGTCTTTTGCTAATAAACACATGGCCCTTTCCCAGATTATTCTCTAGCCAAGCCCCACCTTTGTTACGTTGAAATCCCTCATTTATTTTCTTCTCAAAATGCCCATTATCCAAATGCAGAACCTCTGCATCTCCAAGCCAGTTATGCTGAATTTGTCAAACTTAGACACCCTTGACAACTGCACTCCTACTGTAGGCTCCTGTGCATACTGTCGTCTTCTGTGGGGGATGGAGAGGTTAGTGTGATGAGGTGGTGTCTGCCCAGGAGGTTTCTTTCAAACATCATGGCCTCCCATCCAATCAACATCATCAAATTACATGTGTAATCAAGGCTCTGTGCCATGGGGGAAATGAATCATTTAGCTAGGCCAGGATCTAGTGAAAGCCACAGAGTTTAAAACCATGAAAGAAGTTGAAGGCAGCATTCCTCAGCTCTGTGACTTGTGACCCTATTTGAAGTTTCAGGATTTGGGTGTCACAAAGGATTGTCCCTAATCCTTGGCCCTGGGGTCTTCCGAGTGAGCTGGTTTAATACTCTGAGAATGAGCAGGGAGATCCAGAGAATGAATCCCTGACCGCATCACCTAAACTGTCTTCCAAACATGAGACAAAGCTGACTGTTCACACTGATTGCCCAGCACATACCGTCTTGCCAGTTTCTTCTTTTCTCCCAGTCTCCTGTTCATCCATTCTGTTCTCCCTTGGGGTGGGAATCTATGATGGAGGTTACTGGGGAAACAGCTCAGCAGATTTTTGGAGACCAAACCAAAGGTCTCACTAGGAAATTTATCTGTTTTAAAACATTGCTTCCTTCCTGGCTCTGCTAAATTGAATGCTCATTGTTTGTTGTTGTTGTTTTTTAATTCTAATGTTCAAATCACTGCGTGCTGTATGAATCTAGAAAGCCTTAATTTACTACCAAGAAATAAAGCAATATGTTCGTAATCAGCCTCAGCTTCATTTTTAATAACCTTTCCAGAGGAGAGTGCTGTTTGGTTGGGGGCCCTCAAAAGTATGCAGAAAACTTTCTTTGAAGGACAGAGCAAGCCAGGTCACTGCCACTGTTGCCTGCTTGGAGATACAGCGATGGTTTTCTCATCTCCTTTGGACCAGTGATTTTGGCTTAAAATTGGCAGGTAAGTGAAAAACCATTACCTTCACAGTATAGTTCAGGTCTTCAATTCCTTAACCCAAACCCTGTGAGACTCTGTCTCCAAAAAATAAAAAATTTATCTGCGGTGGGTTTTGTAATACCTACCTCAGTGACTGGGACATCACCCTTAACCAGTCATATTAATATTTCTTCAGCAATAGATCTGAATAGTCACATGACATGAGATTATTATAGACTATAAATAGCCTTGCATCAGTTGAGATCCGGTTTTGTCAGGAAATTAATTTATACCATAAATAACACAAAAACTTCTATTTTTTTCAGAGCTTTCTGGATTTCAGAATTATGAAGAGCTAAGGACATGAATATATTTACCTTGGCACTGGTTACAAGCATTGGAGGAAACTTCAAAATTATGCTGACCATTCGTTGTTATAATTTGTTAAAGTGTCTTAGAGTACTATTAGATTGGTGCAAAAGTAATTATTTTTGCCATTACTTTTAATGGCAAAATTGAAATTACTTTTGCACCATCCTAATAGAACCTGGAAGGAGAAGATGGAAAACTGATCTAAGTCAGTTAGAAAAAGTGAAATGCCAAATCCCTTCTTCCCCACCCAAACTTTTCCATCTGAGAAATCAATATGGCAAAAAGCAAGTACTGATAGATGAATGGGAAAGTTCATCCTTAGCAAGAAAAAAGTATTGAGAGATATTAATTTTAACTATATTTGTCTTTGACCTTCTTCTCATCCTGTGTTAGCTGCTTAAACAACTCTCACATAAACCAATGGGACCCTTAAATGGCTTGCAACATGAATTTGAGGACGCCCCATGCAATTCTTGTCAAGATCCTGGAATAAGCCCAGAAGTAAGTAAAATGCATTCACCTTTGAGGTTCATGACCTCTTAAACTGACATTTGTTCAGACTTCATTAGAAAAAGTTTTCAGGAAGTTTGCTATCTAGAGCATGCAAAATGAAAAGAAAGAGGATTGAGTATTTTTCGGGGGAAAAGTAATATAATACAAGTGCTTACTGTGTCTAAATTATCACAAGGAAGTCACCAAAAGTAGTGTATTTGTTCAATAGCTGGCAATCATGATTAGTTTAGAGAGAAGCTAATTGGAAGAAATGCTGACTAGACAGGGGAATAGGGAGAAAGAATATTGAAAGACTAGGTAAATGTTGCAGTGAGAATATTCACACAGAAAATCTGTGGCACAAAATTAGTTTTTCTGTTGCTTTTCTGCTTTTTGATCTTTACACCAGAAGCTGTCCTGCTGTGGTAGGGAGGGGTGTGGGGGTAGGAGGAGTGCCCGTCATTATTTGTCCACAGTCGATGTCCATGCTATCACCAAGAGTTGCCTAAACACAGCTCCACTTTGCTAAAGAGCAACTCTGGCAAGTCTCATTCAGATGACCACCAGGGGGGCAAAAGCCATTTACCCAGAATAAGAAATACTCTCATAGACACTCGGATTGGGGGCATCACATCCAGGAATCACCCAGGATATGGTTATTCCTCCTTTTTTCTTTGAGAGCATCATTATCTCCTAAAGCCACAGGTCCATCTTGTAGGATCCTTTTTACCCTCTGAAATTAGTAGATCAGTTTGCATTTTAAACCACACAGGATGCAAAAACATCTCCGTTTGGGAACTGGACAAGGTACAATCCCTGTGTGTCAACAGACAGTTGTGGCATCTCCTGCAGAGCTGTCCCAGGAAGTGTCTGCATCTCAGATGCTGATGACATAGACTACTCAGGAAGGCAGCCTTCGTGCTCTAGATTATACTCAAGTATAAGCAATCAGCATCATCCAGGTGTCACAGGAGGGCCTTGAAGGGTCATTAAAAAAAATTCTTGACCTAAATATTTCCAAACCAGTCAATTCTATGTTGTGGAATATTTGTCTTTGCAGCCCTTCAACCACTGAATTTTACTCTGATGAGATCAGTATATCCAAATTTTATCCTGGCCCATGTGATGATCAACACATGATTGTGACTAGAAATGGCAATCATTCTTCACACACAAAGGCAGCCCAAGAAGTACCAATTATGTTTTTAAAAACCTTTAACATGCCGGGTGCAGTGGCTCACGCCTATAATCCCAGAACTTGGGAGGCCGAGGCGGGCGGATCGCAAGGTCAAGAGATTGAGACCATCCTGGCCAACATTATGAAACCCCGTCTCTACTAAAAATAGAAAAAATTAGCTAGGTGTGGGTGCGTGCACCTGTAGTCCCAGCTACTTGGGAGGCTGAGGCAGGAGAATCGCTTGAACTCGGGAGGCAGAAGTTGCAGTGAGCCAAGATCACGCCACTGCACTCCAGCCTGGCAATGGAGCAAGGCTCCATCTCAAAAAAAAAAAAAAAAAAAAACCTTTAACAATGATTTATTGACCATCTACTCTATGCCAAGTTTTACAAGTTCTGAGTGAACAAATACAATATCCTTACCCCAAAGAAACTCCAGTCAAATAAGAGTAATATATAGTAAGGTAGGATGGAAGAGTGGAATATAAAAAAGAATGTGACAACATTCATTCATTCATCCAACAAGTATTTATTAATAACTTAAGAGATGTCAGATACTGTTTTATCACTGGGAGTGCTGTCCTGACAGAACTTACTAAAGAAATAATGTTCAGCACATTATTGGGAGAGAAGAACAAGGCTTAGGCTCATCTCTTAGAGAAGACCCTTGAGCTGGGTTTTATATACTCAGACAAGGTGGACTTGGAGGAGTGATGCTCTTTAACATCCAAAACAGAGTACATGGAGCCCACTCAGGGAAAAAATATTTAATAAGGTTAGTGAAATAATTTATCTCTACTCTTTAATATTATCAAAACATTAACTATATTAACTATAGGTTAACATGGTCATTGCTTTAGGTTGGTCATGTGAAAACATGGCAAGTTCTTTTGTTCTAGTGTCTTCATATATATATATATATATATATATATATATATATATATATATATATATATATTTTTTAGACAGGGTCTCACTGTGTTGTCCAGGCTGGAGGGCAGTGGCACAATCACAGCTCACAGCAGCCTCTACCTCCTAGGCTCAATTAATCCTCCTGCCTCAGCCTCTTGAGTAGCTAGGGCCACCGGCACTTGCCACCACACCAGGTTAATTTTTTTTCATTCTTTTGGTAGCGTGAGAGTCTCCTCGTGTTACCCAGGCTAGTCTCAAACTGCTGGGCTCAAGTGTTCTCCCCATCTTGACTTCCCAAAGTGCTGGCATTTAAAGTGTGGGCCACCCTGCCCAGCATTCCCAAAGATTAATGCCTGTGTGTACATACATGCACAGACACATACCATGTACACATGTGTGTGTATATGAACTGGCAGTCATGATTCCCCAGGATCTTGCTCAAAGAGAAATGCATAGGAACTCCCTCCCTCAATAATCTTGGGATTTTTCAGCCCACATGGGCACTCTTTGATGTCACTCTAATTGCTACATACCTGTAATGGGAATGATCAGAATAACTGAGGTTCCTGAATTTACCATGTTCCTTTACTAAAAACTAGACTATGTCAATAATTTTCAAAATACACTGTGGCTCAAGTCAGATTAATTAAATACTCTTTAAGATTGCCAAGAAATGAATTTTACTTGCCAACTCATTGAGGAAAAGTTCTTTGAAACCTCAAATTCCATCAGGGTTATGAATGTGAAATTATCTGCCCACAGTAATAATAAACTAAACAGTGACAGCCATTAGGAAGTGCGAGAGAGAGAGAGAGGAAGGCTTTTAAATCCCATTCTCTAGCAGTCAGAGCCGACAGTCCTTGTGACTTTTCAGGGCCCCAGGAGTCTCCCAGAATCTGAGTAGGCTCATTAAGCCCATTTCCAGAGAGACATGCAAAAGATATAGGAGAGAGGATTTCTAATTACAAAGATTAGCCAATAATTGGTACTTCCTTTTTCTCCAGTCTTCTTCCAACCACTAATGAACACAGCCACTCTCCATAAATAAAACTTTTTAAAAATACAGGTTTTACATCATGAATGTATTCTTCATGGGTGTTTACATTTAAAACTTAAACAAACTTATCAAGGCCCTTTCCATTTATGAGAAAGTAGATAATGGGACAAAACTGTCACGACTGATGAATAGCCTTCTCTATTTCCTCTCAAAGCCTTCTTCTGGAGATGGAGACCAAGTAGATGTAATTACCTGGGTACAATTTTACATTTTCCACACTTCCAGAGTAACTACACAAATGCCCCAGATTTCAACTGCACAATTCCTCATTTTGCAATCTCACCCTTTAACAATAGGCAGATATTGGTTTTTCATAATCCATTGCCACTTAGCAAAGTCCCTGAAGACATCATTTTGCCCAGCAAATCCTTGCTTGAGTAGAAGAACCCGAGAGGGAGAATTCAAACTATTTCTCTTGTTCTTTTTACAACCACACAGGCAAATACAGATTTATGACATGGTGGATCTGTGTGAATGGCGCCCAGGCATCCATTAGCTAGTCAGGGCTACGGGACTCTGGTTGGCTCTTCTCTACTTTCCTAATTTTAAAATACCCAAAGAATAATGACCATGGATGTTCTGGAGGGTTAGAGATCAAGAGGTTGTAGATTTAAAGAAAAAAAGTGAGAGAAAAAGAAACATTCAAGTAATGACCTCTCACATAATGAGAAATAGAATCTCCTCCGGATTTCCAAGCTGGCATTGTTTCCCTGGTACCTTCGCCTGGGGGCTCCTGTGTGTAATGTTTCTTTTAAAAATATCACACACAGGAAGGCAATGAGAAATACAAACACTGCACGGGAGAGCATTAATCTCCTTTTCTCTTAAAACTTGTGCTTAATCCCAAAAGCAAGTGGCAAAATAATCTTAAAGGTGATCATGTTATGTAACGACTCCTTTTGCATTTACAAAAGAAAAGCCACGCATTCTCAGGTGCTGAGCATTGAGTATTTCTGTTCACTCACTGGCCTTGTGGGCTAAGGGCAGCAATGACTATTTTTTTTTTTTTTTTTTTTTTTTTTTTGGAGACGGAGTCTCACTCTGTTGTCCAGGCTAGAGTGCAGTGGCGTGATCTTGGTTCAATGCAACCTCCTCCGCCTCCCAGATTCAAGCGATTCTCATGCCTCAACCTCCTGAGTAGCTGGGACTATAGGAGTACACCACCACACCCACCTGATTTTTTGTATTTTTAGTAGAGATGGGTTTTCGCCATGTTGCCCAGGCTGGTCTCAAACTCCTCAGCTCAGGCAATCCGCCTACCTTGGCCTCCCAAATTGCTAGGATTATAGGTGTGAGCCACCATGCCCAGCCTGATGACTAATTCTTCACAGCTAATAACTTGTTCTGGCCAAGGAGACAAGTAACCCTTTCTATCAGATTTTCTGAATGATACAAAAGTTTTTGTTTGTTTGTTTGTTTTTTGAGATGAAGTCTCACTTGTCGCCCAGGCTGGAGTGCAATGGTGCTATCTCAGCTCACTGCAATCTCTGACTCCTGAATTCACGTGATTCTCCTGCCTCACCCTCCTGAGTATCTGGGATTACAGGTGTGTGCCACCACGCCTGGCTAATTTTTGTATTTTTAGTAAAGATGGGGTTTCAACAAGTTGGCCAGGCTTGTCTTGAACTCCTGACCTCAGGTGATCTGCCCACCTCGGCCTCCCAAAATGCTGGGATTACAGCTGTAAGCCACCACACCCGGCCGATGCAAAAGTTTTATATCAGCAGCTCCACAGCAAAGCTCCCCTCTTGTGGGCTTGGGAACCCAATGCTAAGCCTTGCAGGTAGCATGGATCCAAGCAAGACCTGGAAGTTTCCTTTGGCTGAAACCAAGAGGCATTGGTAATTCTCATGGTGATAACAAATGCATCTTTTAAAACTTTTTTTAAAGGTTATCATTTCTTATTTTAGTTGCATAAATTTCATGTATTTATTTCCATTTGTATAGTACTGCCAATAGAGTACTCTGTGGTGACTGATGAAACACAAATTCAGGTTTCAGTCTATATTTTTAGGTCCCATGTTTTGGGGTTTTGGTGTTTTATATTTTGGTCCTATTTTTCTTTCTTTCTGATGGAGATGAATAATTAGTTGTGCTAGCTGAGATTGGCTCCTTACGTTGTACACCATTTTCAGAAGATGTGTCTCCATACGCGCCTGTGGTAGTGTCAAAGAGCTCCTCAGGCAACAGTGCTACACATAGATTGCTCAATGCCCAACAGAAAATACCACTGTCAGAACATGAAGGTTAATTTGTCTGGAGCACAGAACATTTTTGGAGATAATCCTGGAAAGATAACCAGCCTCAATATGGAAAACCACAGAAATATTCCACTCCATTCCTGGCAGATGAATTCCAAACTGTATGCAGAGACTTAATTACCCCATAACTATAAACTATGTTTAACAAATTTGTAGGGGTATTTTAGCCCCAGAAACTTTGTGATCTGTTTGTAGATATTTATTCATCACTCATAATTTCCTCCTAATTTTCCTGCACCTTGTGCAGCATTTAGAAGGTTAAATTTTGTTTCTGTTAGAATCCAAGGCCCCTCATGTAAATTATTAGTGGCTATCAGCTTGTCTTTTGAAAACTGTTGCTAAACTACAGATCAGCCCTGTGATAAATGTGATCCAATAATTTCAAAAAGCCACATAGGGAAATGTGTCAAAGTTCTTTATGACACTTGTTAGGAGAATATCACAACAACGAGAGATTTGTGGGTATTTTGTTTTGTTTTTTATGCCCAAACATATTCTTTCCATATGTTCGGCAATGGACTAGAAATACATATAGCTGAACTTTGAGAACATTAAGTTACATTTTAGAAGTGATCCAATTTTGGTTGAAAATATTGTAATTAGAAACTTCACATTTCGGTTTGCCTATGACATAGGACTACCTGCTGATCTCACTGCTTTATATAACTAAAAAACCTTGTGTGTCTTTTTTTGTTTGAGTTTTAATGAATAAAATACACAGGGGTAATATAGTGAAAGAGTTCTAGATATTATCTCTATCTTATTCCAAGATACCATAGTATATGAATAAATTTGAGTCTGCTTCAAGTTAGGATCAAGCAGCTCACTTCAGCAGGATTTATGCACATCTGAACACCTAATCCTCCAGAAAACTACTTTTAGCCACCATTCTTCTGTCTTAGCAGAATCAGAATAAATAATAGAACTTATTTAGGGCCCATTTCCCAATCTTCCTATAAACCCCTACCACCACTCCAACCTGAGAGCAAAGTATGGACCAGAAGTTTCCGAACAAACACAGTTCATTCATTCTCCACTTCTTTAATAACAACTTCCGAATGTCCCTGAATTTACCATGGCTCAGGAATTGGATTGTCTCCAAGGGACTTTCTAAAATAATAACTTCATGTCTGTCATTAGTATTCCTCTTGAAATTAGAAGTCTATAATAGCAGAGCCTCGATATGGCCTTGTACTAGGTTAAATTTTCACCCTAAATCATCACAGATCACAAAAGAGCTAGCCAAGAAACATGGACCAAGTCTTCCCCTCATGCATGTTACAGACACAAAGTGCAAGAGTTGTCTTTAACTTTATAACATGGTCATATCTGGTTAACTAATTATTACATTAGGATTTGACAGTACAGAATTTGCTTCTGGATTCTGTCACTGATTTTGTGTTGTTTGGAAGAATTACTTAATTTCTATATAAGGGATATGACAACAATGGTTAAGGGGTCAAGTTCTTTGGAAGTATTACCATAATTTATATTTTATATTGGGGGCTGGTTTTTATATAAAAAGATGATAGAGATAGATAGATAGATAGATAGATAGATGATAGGTTAATAGATAGACATACATATATACATATGTAAACATTTGGTAGAGGAGTACCCAGCATTAATGCCATTTCACAAAAGCTTCTGGTGTTCCTGAAATTCTCACTTACTTAGTGTTTTATTTAGCTTTAAAAGACACATTAGCTTTGGGACACAAAACAAAACAGGAATGGAACCCTATCTGTCAAAAATATTGAGTGCTGCATCTGCCCTCAATTTTTATTAAAATCACTCTAAATCTTGCCAGTCTGTCCAACTAAAAAGAGTAAAATAATAAGATATTCTACTGATGCTGGAATAAGGACAAAAAAGATGTTTGACTCAGCCAATAAATTGAAATGCTATAGGAGAGAGCCAAGGGGATAAATAACCCATCTGAATTAGGAAACAGACAGGACTTCATGGCACAGATATTTTTCTCAGTTCTAGTTACTGAGACCAAAGATGACGGTATTTATTGATGGCATTCAGATGTCTCCCCTTTGCCAAACACAATATTTTTTCCAATGTGGTAGTAGAGAAATGTGTCTTTTGTATTGACTTAAAATTTTCTAGCCAGACATTTTTTTTCCGGAAAAATATAGCAGGAAGAGTACCATTGATAATTCAGAAGTAGCCAGCCTTCTAGGGAAACAATGTCCAAAGAACACAAGCAAACTTTTGCATGTGCTGCCTCTTAGTGTTTTCTTTTTGATAGAGCAGTTAGAGCTGACTATGGAAAGACATAATTAAAGTGCTAGAGATAAATATTCTAAAGATGTGAAAGAAACACGGTCATGTAAGTCTCACATTGCTGCTATTTCAGAATGAAGTGCATTTATATGAAATGGCATACCTGGAAGTGTGGAGTACTGTTCAGAAAGGGGAAAAGGACTGTTCATGGATAACTTATTCACATCAGAGATCTCAGGCATCTCTCAGACATAAGGAGGATTGATTTCTATGGTTGACTTGTGCAGTTTTTCTCTTAAAGTGTCAAATGCAGCAGTTCCTGAGCCCGCTCTTTATCTGACAAAAAAGGAGGACTAGAGCCACAGATGAGAGTCTAAAGGCGCTACCTGTGCCAGGTATTCAGCTTGCATGTGATTCTGCCACACATTGACCTCTCAGGAGCCTTTAAAATTGAAAGTGTTCTGAACATTCAATCCAGCAAGTGTTTATTGATGGTCTTCCTTGTGCTAGCTGTTGGAGATATAACAAAAAGCAAACACAATTTCTGCCTTTGAGACACCCACCTATTGGGGAAAGACCAAAATGTAAATGGCATTTTGATTCAAATCAACAAACACTTCTTGAGGCTGCACTTAAGGGTCCTATTGCTTTAGGCACTAGAGATAGCAGGGAACAAGACAGACAGAAGATCATGCCCTCCTGGAGTTTATGTTCTACAGCAATTTCAATCCTGTGCAACAGAACTTTCTGTGATGATAGAAATATTCTGTACGTCCACTGTCCAATACAGAAGCCACTTGCCATGTGTGGTTACTGAGCACTTGGAATGTGGCTAGTGTGAATGAAGAACTGACCTCTTAAATTTCATTTAATTTTAATTCATTTAAATTTAAGTAGTCACACATGGCTAGAGCAGCACTCATTGTACTTTCAGTGATAATGAAATGTTCTGTACCTGTGCCACCCAACAGGGTAGCCACAAGTCACATGTGGTTAGTGAGTACCTGAAATGTGGCTATTGTGACTGAGGAACTGAATATTAAATTGTATTGCATTTTAATTAATCTAAACTTAATGTAAACACATGTGGCTAGTGACTATGCATTAGCACAGTTCTGGAGACTTGGTTCTCAAAGTGTGGTCCATGAACCAGCGGCATCTCCGTGTTAAAAATTCAGCCCCTGCATTTTAGCAGAGTCCTCAGATTAAAGTGTGAAAGGCACTTGTCAATTAGAGAAAGATAAGGCATAAAACAAAGTAAATGAATTATATGTGTGTGTATACATATGTGCAGGTGTATCTGTGCATGTATGGGTGAGAACATGGCTATGTATAAGAATATGCATGTGTATAGGTGGTGATGAGAACATTCTATGATGCAAAATAAAGCAGGGAAGGAGGACAAGGAGTACAGTGTGGAGAAACTTTAATGTTTAGAAGACATTCAGAGAAGTCTTCACTGAAAAGGTGACCATTGAGAAAAGACTTGCAGGAGATGAGTTATATTAATCCATTCTCACACTGCTAATAAAGACATACCAGAGACTGGGTAATTTATAAAGGAAAGAGGTTTCATTGACTCACAGTTCCACAGGGCTGGGGAGGCCTCAGGAAACTTACAATCATGGCAGAAGGGGAAGCAGACACGTCCTTCTTCACATGGTGGCAGGAAGGAGAAGAATGAGAGCAAAGGAGGGGAAAAGCCCATTATAAAACCATTGGATCTCATGAGAACTCACCCACTATCACGAGAGCAGCATGAGGGTAACCACCCCCATGATTCAATTACCTCCCACTGGGTCCCTCCCAGGACACATGGAGATTATGGGAACTACAATTCAAGATGAGATTTGGGTAGGGACACAGCAAAACCATATCGTGAGGGAACAGACAAGTGGATATCTTTTGGAAGAGCATTCCAGACAGCTGAAACAGCAAAAACAAAGGCCTTGAGGCAGGAACAAAGACCCACCTGGCTTGTTCCAGGAACTGGCAGGAGGCCGCAAGGCTGGGGCAGGGTGCCTGGGGACACTGTGGTAGAAGTTGGGAGTCCAGAAGTAATAGGAGCAGCTTGTGAGAGGCTGGTGCCATTGTAACGAATTTGGCATTTACCCCCAGTGAGTAGGGGGATCATAAACAAAATGAATAGTATGATTTGACTTATATTTAATAGAGCACCCTCTGACTTTGTGCTGAAACAGGCTTGAGTGGCACCGGGAAAAAGCAGGGACTAGCTAGGAAACTATTGCAGCAATCCAAGCGAGAGATGAGGGTACTTTGGACCACGTTGGTGAAGATGGAAGTGGTGAGAAGTGGTCAGATTCTGGGTATGTTTTTAAGATAATACCAAATAGGATTTGCTTACAGATTGGGAGACAAAGAGAACAAAGATGACCCCAAGCTAGCTGACACATTTTCTGGCTTTATGAACACAGACTACAAAATAGAGTCAGACATCATTTCCTGCACTATCTACGTGACAAAAACTTCAAGGCTCTGTCCCATTCCTGAGGGGAAGTCCACTAATCTATCCCTATTGGCAATCTGAGTGGATAACATGTAGAAGGACTGTAGCCAAGCCTCCATCACACTTCTTTCTTTGATATGGACATTTGAGCTTTTCTGCCTTTCATAGAAGAGGCTATGAAAACTCATCTTCAGCCAGATTACCTCCCAACAAAACCTCCTTATAGAAATTATTAGTCACCAGTGTCTATCAGTTCTCCTATCAACGAAATTTCTGGAAAGCAACACGGAGACTGCTTGACACCTCCATCTGCCATCCTCCATTGGGTCCTGGCCAATCCTGCACTCTTCAGATCCCCTCTGACCATCACCTCATTGGCTTCTCCTGGTTGCCCTGCTCTGCTCAGAATTCAGTCCTTGTAAGCCAACAGTTACGAAAGACTTTGTCAATCATTTAACTTATTCAGCCAGTATTTACTAAGTACCAGCCATAGACCAAGCATTTTTTTAGATTCTAAAATTGTGGACAGAACAGGTGATTCCATAGCCCTGTGAAATTTACTTTGCTGAAGGAGAGACAAATAATAAACAAATAAAAGCATAACATAATAGCAGGTAGTGATGAGGACTATGAGGAGAACTAAAGAGGTTAAGGGGAGACTGTGTGCCCAAGGATGTGAAGGGGCTATTTCTGACAGGATGCTCAGGGAAGGCTTCTCTGAAGATGATATTTCAGCAAGAGAGAGAATGTATTTGCATTATAGCAATGCAAACAATTTTGCAATTGAATGCTGTTATTAGTTTCCTGTTACAGATTACACATTATCCCAACATTTGGCAATTTCAAACAACAAACATTTATTATCAGACAGTTTCTGTGGGTCAGGAATTAGGAGCAGTTTAGCTGGGTGCTTCTGGTTGAGAGTCTGCCAGTGAATATACTGGCCCCGGCAGTCATCGTCTGAAGGCTTGATGGGCTGGAGAACCCACTTTCAGTCGCATTCAGTGGCTGCTGACAGTTTCCCCCAGAGTGAACGATCCAGACAAGGGGCCAAGAGATGGCAAGCTGGAAGCCATGGGTCTTTTATGACCCTGTCTTGGAATGACCACTAGGATATATCACTTCTGCTGTATCCTAGTGGTCCCACAGACTGTCCCTGATACAACGTGGAGAAAACGACAAAAAGCATGAATTCCAAGAGTTGAAGATCACTGGGAAACCATCTTGGAGACTGGCTGTATCAAATGCAGAGCATCCCATTCTTGAGAGACATTCAGCTCTTTGTTACCCAGTCACGCCATTGACTGGCTCTTTAATCCCTCTCTCAGAGGCTAAGAGAAGAAAAGGAGGAAGATTGGAGGAGAAGAAGAAAGAGAAATAAAATGAAAAGGAAAAAATGACAGAGAAATTTTTGCATTTTCTTTTGAAAAGCCATTCAATTTTGTCAACTCCTAAGCCCAGATCATTTCTAGACATGTCGTTGTGTGTCCAAGCACCCATTATTGGGCTTTGCTGCAATGGGATGGTTTACTCAGTATCTCAAGGTTTCTTTCTCCCACTAACTGTCATGCCAGATACCACAAAGATAAGTGCATTTTCTAAGAATTTTGTTCTCTCAAAGATACAAATTATGCCAAATGTTCCCTTTATGAGACTAAAGTTAGATATAAGACAGTTTTTATTAAAAATAATTACTTTTGGCTGGGTACGGGGGCTCAGGCCTGTAATCCCAGCACTTTGGGAGGCCGAGGAGGACAGATCACCTGAGGTCAGGAGTTTGAGACCAGCCTGGTCAATATGGTGAAACCCCATCTCTACTAAAAAAATAAAAATGCAAAAACTAGCCAGGTGTGGTGACTTACACCTGTAATCCCAGCTACTCAGGAGGCTGAGACAGGGGGATCACTTGAACCTGGGAGGCGGAGGTTGCAGTGAGCCAAGATCGCGCCATTGCGCTCCAGCCTGGGCCACAAGAGTGAAACTGCGTCTCAAAAAAAAAAAAAATCACTTTCATTAAACCTATTTGAAGACATTGTCTATTTTATGATCCATTACCTTTCTTCAACATCTGACACTTTTCATTCACTTAGATCTCTGCAAACTGTCTCACACAATAAATCTCTTTAGGTTTAGTTCCAGGGAAAAAATTTACCCTGCAGACAAGTTTGCCTGCTTTCTTTCAGCAATCCATGAAAATGACATATCTCATTATATTTTTATCTTCCTTTGTTTCCAGGAAATATAAAAAAATAATTAAAGGCCAAACAGTATAATCTTTAGCTCTTTCCCAGATAACTAGTAGCATCTATTCCTGCTGCTGTATTTCATTTGACTGTTATCCTTTTTCATTATGTTTAAGGTTGTATACCACCTCCAATGCCTTTGCATTTCTTTATATTTCAATTAAATAGTAAATGATGATAGTTCCAACCCACAGTAAACAATTCTTTACTCTGGCTCCAAAGCTTAGGTCCACACACGGAAGGACTATCACTGTGAGGAAGAGCTGTGCTGCTTTAAATCATCATCATCATCATCATCATTGTCATCTTCATCATCAATAGTTCCAGTAACACTGCTGAATATGAAAAACTCCTAGCTGACCCCGCTAATATCTTGAGAATGCTGTCTTTTACCTGTATTCCTTCTTGAAATTCATGGAACCAGCATGTGATTATTCAGATTAGTCCCTCTTCTGAGCTCCGTGTCAACCCCGGGTACTGTTTATTAAGGGGTAAATTGTATCTCCCCACTTTCCCGAATTCACATGGTGAAGTTCTAATACCTAACACTTTAGAATGTGACTATGTTTAGTGATAGGGTCTTTAAGAGGTAATTAAGTTAAAATGAGTTCATTCAGGTGGGCCCTAGTTCAGTATGACTGGTGTCATTTTAAGAAGAGGAAATTTGGACACAGACTTGTACCAAGGGAAGACCATGTGAAGACGCACAAGAAGACAGCTATCTACAACTCAAGAAAAGAGGCCTTAGGAGAAACTACCCTGAAGACACCTTGATCTTGGACTTTTAACTTCCAAACTGTGAAAACATAAATTTCTGTTGTTTTAGCTACCCAGTCTCTGCTACTTTGCAGTGGTAGCCCTTGCAAACTAACACACTGTTATGTCCTCCCACAGAGGAGTAAAAGCTGAGGCCCTCAATTATTTTTATAATCAGGGTCAAGCTATAATTGGCCACAATTTGGTTTGAAGATACAAAATCATATAGAAGCTGAGCATAGGGAATAGAACAGCAGAAACCAATCATGCTAGCAGGTGTCAATTACATCCCAAGGGAACTTCTGAAAGTGTCAAAGACACCATCAGCCTGATCAACAGCTCACTCCTCTGAACTCCACTGAGGTAACAGTAATGGAGGGTGAGGGGTTTGAGTTTGGGACAAATATCCCAGAGAATATTCTTTTCTCTGAAGCCCAAAGTCTTATTTCTCCATGTGATGCTGAAATACCACAGTTGACTGTGTCCTTTATGGCTTGATACCACCAGTAGTTATCTTCTTTTCATCTTTTGACATTACTTTAAATCACTGCACGTGTTAAATTGCTTTTCTAAACCGGAGGCATAAGGCCTTCTGGGGAAAGGGATGCGGAGACACTCTGAAAGTTGGACATCACAGGCTGATCTTCACATTAAGAACCCAATGACACATCCTTCTTGCTTCCCCAAGGAGAGACAGAGGAGCACTTCTTGGCCCAGAGGATTTTTACGGTAGCGCAGATCTGCTGAAATCATAGCTGGATAACATTTCCAGCATCTAATTTGATATCAGAATTTAGCAACGTGAGGACTGACAGGGAGTGGGTGAGGATAGGTAATGACTAGAAATTCAAGACCAGAAAAAAAAAAAAGTTCCCTGTAGATAAGTTAGAAGACACACAAACATTTCATTTTCTTCTCTTCTTACTCTTAAAAAAAAAAACTACAGTAGTATTTCCTTTCCAGAAAAGGGATGTGAATATTTATGCATCACATGATGGTATTGCTGGTAACACTCAGCTTCTATTATCATCTTCAGAATGTGGTGCAGACAGAGTCATTCCAAATATTTCCATGCTGTGACAAATGAGAACCTGGATCTATTCTTTTCTGATTTCTCCTAAATGTACATGGTGATATTTTTTTCACAAGACATAAATTGAACCCATCCATGAAAGGATGCAAACCTTTCAGTGAAGAAAATGGAATGTTTATCTGCTGACTCAAGTACACAGGTGTCAGACATATATACCTCTGAAGCATTGATGACAGGAGTGTTCCCTCACAGTATCTGTTATGACAGCAGGACTAATAAGTGCAGGTCATCAGCCACCATTTTTTAGCTAGAGGGATCAGGAAGTATAAATAGTGGCTGTGAAAATGCCATGCCCCATCACCATCACTGATCCCCTATAGCATGACTGGCTGCTTCCTATAACTGCTTCCTTCATCATTTATTAGGATAAAGAAGTGGTGGTCAATGTGTGGCATTCACTGCCACCTCCTGAGAGGGCTGGAATCATGGAGACACCAATAGGCTTGGAGAAGAAGTACCAGCTCTATGCCTAATTAGCTGTGTGACCCGGAGCAGATCACTTAATCTTTCTATCCTCAGTGGCCTTGAAGAGGATCAAGGGGATCAGAACATGTCACCTCAACATATGCCACTTTTGCATAATAACTATTTTGTGCTGAAGGCTTCTGAGTTTCTGAAATCTTTTTATGTGCCTAAAAGCAAAGCCTCCCCAAACAACTCAATATCCATAAATTTCCTCCCTGAGAGCAACTCTAACCTTCTCAGAGAGAAGTCAGCACCACACTGAGACAGACATTGTCACAAACTGTCACATTTCCCATTTATTTTCATAAGTGACCATTTGTCTTTCCAAATAGTCATTTTTCTTTCCATAAGTGCCCTTTTACCCCTGGCCCTTTCCCATTGAGTTAGGTACATGGACCCCACATTCTCACCACCTCTTGGAGTTCCTCCTCTCTGAAAGCTCCCATGTGTGTGCATCATGCACATGTTAATAGACTTCTGTTTATTATTCTCATGTTCATCTGTCTTTTGTCAGACTAATTTACAAGATCCCAGGTAGAGAACCTAGGAGAATCATGGGAAAAAGAATTTCTTCTCCCCTACAACCTCATCTCTCACTTATGGAATTTGATCCAGTTCTCTTCCCTAAGTGATAGGGCGAGAAATGTGAGAGATGATAAATAAAAGTGTTTTGTCAACCTCAAAAGCCTGTGAAAGTGTAAGGACTAAGGAATGCACATGCACAGCCACCGAAGTCTTCAGCCTGCAAATCCGGAAGGCTCTTGCATCTGTTTTCATGCTCTGCTCCACCAAGCTGCCCATGGTTGTCTTCAGGAATACTCTGCTCACATGTCTTTAATTTGGATAGATTTCTGGCTGCTAAATCATGTAGTATAGCTGCAGCCACCTTCAGATATCATGTCTGAATTGAAGAACCCTGACTATAACTCAAAAATGGTGAGATTTGAATTTAAATACTAATGGAGTATCGATTTATTAACTTTCTTACTGCAACACATTTCTTGGTGCATGTAAGACCCTCATCTATAAGCCACAAACTTACCTACTTGAGGTATAAAGTCCAGTGTAGCCTATTTCCTGAAAAGTTTCTAAAAATATAATACTTCTGACGTCAAATAGCCTTCCAAAAAAGGATAATAGTTGTGTCAGAAAATTTTGTAAGAATTCTTTCCATTTCTTTTCTATTTTAAAGCAATTTATAATCTGTATTTCTGAACACCGAGTTGATACTCTTAACAATACCAACAAACCCATAAGTCTAATTGTAACATCTTTATGATTCAAGAATGAACTTTGCTGCTTAATTCTGTTTCGGTAAATGGTAATTCTTCACCTGCTGAGTAAGCAAATACCTAGGCTGGCGCAGTTTTAAAAACATTCAGAGTTAACTTAGTCTTTTGGGATTGAGTTTATAGCAATGCCAAATTGCTTTGAATTTGGTCTTCCCTTCCCACTTGGTAACGTATCACTCTCCTACTCGAAAAATCTGGCTTAGAAATAGGCACTGTAATGTTACCGGGGGATGAAGGAGGTCAACAGGTTTGTGGTGGAGAATGGGAAGACAGGGAATCAAGCAGCTTTGTATTCTCAGCCCTAAATAACTAACTGTACCCCAAGTCCTGTTCTGTTCTGTTCTGTTTTGGCCCATGGGAAAGAAAAATAAAAGACAGGAGAGAGCAGTGTCATGGCAACAGGAAGCCCAGGGAAAGAGAAGTGGCAGCGACTGAGAGGGCCCGGGTGACACTGACAGAGGGCCTGACCACTGCAGATAGCACTGGCCACGTTTGCCTGTGAGGACAGAAGGTGACCCCAGCAGCCACCCTGCAGGGCTGTGTTTATCCAGCAGCAGTCAGCGCTTGAGCAGCCCCAGCTGTGGTGAGTTCGTGAGCAGGGTAGACCACACCCATCAATGGAAGAAGCATCCAAAACCTGCCTAGGGTTTGTGGAGGAGGTGGTGGGTGCTGGATACAAAGGGGATTCCAGGAACATGGGTGCTGCTCACCTGTCCTTGAAAGGTTGAGAAGAGCATTCATGACTTGAGCTGTCCAAGTAAGGCGCCAAGAAGGAACTATCCAAATGATGGCTATAAACGGACAGAAGGAAAGAACAGATCTTCATTAAATCATTACTCCACAGTTTTCCCATACTGAACCATTTCTGGAAATGTTTATAGGTACACAAAATAAGGCAATAAAATGCTCTTATCAATGATACTTCAAACAATGTGATGTTGCCTCATGGTGACAATCCAGGAGGAATTATACAATTAGAACTTTCCATTTGCTTTCATTCTAGACAAAAGTTTACTGTGTCTTAGTCCATTTGTGCTGCTGGGACCAGAAAAACCATAGATCGGGTAATTTATAAAAAATAGAAATTTGTTTCTTGCTGTTCTGGGCACTGGAAAGTCCAAGATAAAAGAGGCAGCTGGTTCAGCGTCTGATGAGGGCTGCTCTGTGCTTCCAAGATGGCGCCTTGTTGGGGCGTTCCCTGGAGGGGATGAGCATTATGTTCTAACATGGTGAAAGAGCAGAAGACAAGGAATTCACTCCCTCAAGCCCTTTTATAAGTGCCTTAATCCCACCCATGAGGGCTCCTGATGACTTAGTCACCTACTGAAACCCCCACCTCTTAATATACATCGGTGATTAAGTTTTAACATTTGAATTTTGGGGACACATTTAGACCATAGCACATGGTCAAGGCATAAGGAAAGTAAACTATCATTTAAAGAGTACATAAGCAGGCCCCTCTGAACACTCATAAGTAGATTGAGCTGACACCCTTGAAATAGTCCTCAGGAAAACCAAACCACCAGGGGCTTTATTCTCCATCCACAGTGATGCAGAACTTTCTAGCCATACGTGACACCAAGCCTGAGCAATGGGAACTACTGAAAAGAGTTCCAGTAAGAGTAAAATATAAAAGATATTTCATCAGCATGAGCTGTAGCATAGAAAAATGGACTTGCCTGAGTGTGATTCTAGGGACAAAGATGCTTATACATCAGAGAGCACAAGTTCTGTGCCATTCAATGTGAAGTTGAATCCTACTTTTCCTAAGAAGCTTCCCTATCTCCACACTTCTGGGAGCAGGTCTGGGCTCATACTCATACCTAGAGAGCCCCTGGTTTCTTTACAAGAAGTCTCCAACTCCTTCTCAGAACCCTACAAATCCAGGGAAGAGTGACCATTGCTTAGCCTCAGATTTCCTGTGTTGAATTGCACGTCCACACTGAGTCAGCTCAGGGACCTTGTGCAAGGCACCTAACCTTGTTTCCTCATCTTGTACATAAGAGTAACAGGACCTACCATTGATACAGGTAAATCGGAAAATCATTCAAGTTAGTCCTCACAGAAAAAGTGGATCCACTGCAAAGTTACTTAGTCACTACCTAAACAAACACATTGTAAAGGTATTTATTTTCAAATCCACTTCGCCAGCCACCTTTTAGAGACCAGAGCTTCTCAAATTTTAGAATGCATCAGAATTACCTGGAGGGTTTCTTAAAACAGATTGATGAGCCCCATCTCTGGATTTTCTGATTTTAATGGGGCCGGAGAATTGGCTTTCTAGGAAGTTTCCAGAGAACTCTGATATTGCTGGTTTGGGGACCACACATTGAGATCCGCCGTTATATAGGTGATTAGCTTTGTTAAATATTCTCTCTATTAGATAAACTCCTTTGTTCTAAATAAGTTAAGATCAGGTTAAAGTCTATTAATCTATTTATGACTTCATTCAAATAACTCATTTGAATGTATAAGCAAAAATATACTTTCCAAGGCCCTTTTAGCAGTCGACTCTTTTGAATGGGAAATTCGAGAAAGAAAAAGGGTAACAAATTTAGGATATGGATATGAATTTGATCTTTATACATAGCCATCACCCAATCTTGCTGAACTTTGGGTATCAATTATGGCTTGTTTTATGTCTATTGTTTTTATTTACAAAGCCAAAATGAAAAACTGGGACTCGCTATGTTTTTGGAATTATAAGGCTGTGGAACAGATGGTCTGATCAAGGGCCTAGCGGGCTTTTCTTCACTTTCTGCAGAGTACCAGCTGCAAGGACTTCTGAGATCACAGGGAGAAAGAAAATCTCATCCCCTTGATGGAAAATGAAAATCCCTGTAGCATTTATGAGACTTGGAGAGGAAGTGGCTGTTCACTTCATGATACAGAGGAGTACATGGGGCAAGAACCCAAAACTCTAAGCCTGCTTTCCATCATGTTACACACAGAGAAGGGACACAGACATGCCAGATAGCCTATATTGGATACAGATGTCCCGAAAGGAGCAAGTTTGTTCTGTTCAGCTGCCACGGCAACACCAGCTGCTTATGAAATTATGAGGAGAGAGGGGTGAGGGGGGTTACGTGTTCAGACATATATTTACAGTAATTTTACAAACCTCATTATTTCCAAAGAAGAGCAAGATGAAAGCAGCCTGTTTATAAGCCAGACTCACCAACTAGGCCTACCATCCCCCCTCCCTTGAGCACCATTACTGCAATATACGTGCGCTAAATGGAGAATTGGCCAATTATTCAGAATGTCCAAGAAAAGTCCTCTTTGATTCAATCAAGTGTCTGCTTTAGTAGACAGATATAATTTATATAAATGGAATTGTATCTCATCCCCTTATCAAAGAAGAGGGGCCTAGACTTCTTGTCTGAAAGTGACATCTGGCTGGCATCTTTTGAAAAAACATCCCCCACAATCCTCTAAAATTTTGTTTCACTTTTTGTAAGGTTCTTGACAACAATTGATTAATCCAATCATTAATCAATTAATAAAGACAAAACACCTCTGAAAACTAGAACAGATGGTTAAGGTCTTCCATAATTTGAGGGAATTTCCAATGACTATAAAACTGAGGGAAACTGGTGTAGTGTCCGCTTCTGGCTCAGAAAGGCAGGGATGATACCAGTCAGAAAACTGGCCCATAGTTTCCCATCTACGTGGAAATGCTAGATGAGGCACTCGATATGATTGTGTAGATTTGGTAGTTACTTTATGCTTAAATCAGTTGGTGTCTGAAACTCCCCACAGACTTCTGAGCAACAAAGGGAGGGATGAAGGTGAACCCCCTGGGAAGGGAGGTCACCTGAGTAAAGTGCTCTGGGCACAGACAAGGAAATTGCCCAGAAAGCAGGGCCTACTCGAGGGTATGGTTTCTCCTCTGGTCTATCTTTTTGTAAAGTTTCAGAAAACCAGGGAGAAAAGATTGTGAAAATAAGTATAAACATATAGCAGATACATTATATTCATACAATGTGATGGTTAATTTTATGTGTCAACTTTACTGGGTTAAGGAATACCCAGATAGCTGATAGAGCATTATTTCTGGATGTGCTTGTGAAGGTGTTTTCAGAAGAGGTTCACATTCGAATCAATCGACTAAGAAGATCCACCTTTATTAACGTGGGGGCGGGGGGCATATCAAGGGCCTGCCTGAATAAAACAAAAAGGCAGAGGAAGAGTGACTTCTCTCTTTTCTTGAGTTGGGACGTCATGTTCTCCTGCCCTCAAACACTGGAGCGCCTGGTTGTCAGATTTTGCTGCTCCAGACTTACACCAGCAGTCCCCAACACTTAGTTCTCAGGCCTTTGTTCTTGGTCTAGGAGTTAAAACATCAGCTTCCCTGGTTCTCAGAGCTTCAAACTGGGACTAAAATACACTACTGGCTTCCCTGATTCTCCGTCTTGCATTTGACATATCGTGAGACGTCTGGGCATCCTTAATCAAATGAGCCAATTCCCAGAAGAAATCTACTCATATGTATGTATATGAGTACATATAGATACTCATACACACACACAAGTATACACACACACACATATGAGATTGTATGTGTGTGTGTATATATATATACATATTTTATATGCATATATAATGCATATATAAGTAGAGAGAGAGAGTGTGTGTGATTTAAGAGATTTAAGGAACTGGCTTACACAATTATAGGGCTGCCAAGGCTATAGGGCAGGCTGGCAGGTGAAAACTCAGGTGTGATTTCTATACTACAGTCTTAAGAGATAATTCCTTCCCCTCTGAGAAACCTAATTCAGCTCTTAAGGACTTCAACTGATTAGATGAGGACCACTCACATTATGGAGGGAAATCTGCTTTACTTAAAGTCAACTGATTGTAGATGCTCATCACATCTACAAAATGCCTTCACAGCAACATCACAGCCTTGCCAACTTGACATATAAAATTAGCCATCGAAGGAGGGTTAGTAAAGGGACTACAGACACACCAAGTTTTATTGTGCTTCACTTTATATCACTTTGCAAATAGTGTTTTTTACAAATTGAAGGTTTGTAGCAACCCTGTGTCTAACAAGTCTCTTGGTCCTATTTTTTCAAATACATATGCTCACTTTGTGTCTCTGTGTCCCATGCCAATAATTCCTGCAATATTTCAAGCTTTTTTACTGTAATTATACCTGTACTGATGATCTGTGACCAGTGATCTTTGATATTACTCTTGTAATTTTTTGGGGGCACCTTAAACCACACTATGATAAGACTAAGAACTTAACCAATCCAGTAAGTGTTGTGTGTGTTCTGACTCTTTCATCAAAACTGGTCATTCCCCCATCTGTCCACCTCTCCTCCAGCTTCCCTATTCCCTAAGACACAATATTGAAATTAGGTTCATTAATAACCTTACAATGGCTTCTAAGTGTTCAAGTGAAGAGTAGTATGTCTCTTACTTTAAATCAAAAACTAGAAATGTTTAAGTTTAGTGAGGAAAGTATGTTGAAAGCTAAGATACACCAAACACTAGGCTTCTTGCACAAAACAGCTAATTTGTGAGTGCAAAGAAAAAGTTCTTGAAGGAAATTAAAAATGCTACTCCAGTGAACACACAAATGATAAGAAAGCAAAACAACCTTATTACTGATATGGAAAAAGTTTTAGTGGTCTAGTTAGAAGATCAAACCAGCCACAACATTCCCTTAAGCCAAGAACTCAAGAACAAGGCCCTAACTCTTCAATTCTATGAAGGCTGAGAGAGGTGAGGAAGTTGCAGAAGAAAAGTTTGAAGGTGGCTGAGGATGATTCGTGAGGTATACGGAAAGCAGCCATCTCCCTAACATAAAAGTGCAAGGGAAAGCAAGAAGTCCTGATGTAGAAGCTGCAGAAAGTTATCAAGAAAAGCTAAGTAAGATAATTGATAAAGGTGGCTACACTAAACAACAGATTTTTAATATAGACTAAACACCGTTCTATTCAAAGAAGATGCCATCTAGGACTTTCATAGCTAGAGACGGGGAGACAAATGCCTGGCTTCAAACTTCAAAGGACAAGCTGACTCTCTTGTTAGGGGGTAATGCAGCTAGTGGGTATAAGTCACCAGTCCATTTATAACCATTCATCATTCAAAAATTCTAGGGTCCTTAAGAATTATGCTAAATCTACTCTGCCTGTGCTCTATAAATGGAACAACAAAGCCTAAATGACAGAACATCTGTTTACAACATGGTTTGCTGAATATTTTAAACCCACTAGTGGGACCTACTGGTTAGAAAAAACTCTAATGGCAATATAAAAAGTGATTAATGGGTTTTGTTTTGTTTTGTTTTTGGTTTATTTGTTTGTTTGAGTTGGAGTTTAACTCTGTTGCCTAGACTGGAGTGCAATGGTGCAATCTTGGCTCACTGCAACCTCCGCCTCCCAGGTTCAAGCAATTCTCTTGCCTCAGCCTCCTGAGTAACTGGAATTACAGGTGCCCACCACCACACCCAGTTAATTTTTTGTATTTTTAGTAGAGATGGGGTTTCACCATGTTGGCTAGGCTGGTCTTGAACTCCTGACCTCAGGTGATCCACCTGCCTCAGCCTCCCAAAGTGCTGGGATTACAGGTGTGAGCCACTGCGCCCAGCCGATTATGCTAACACAACATCCAACATAAAGCTCATGGATCAAGGAGTAATTTCAACTTTCTAATTTTATTATTTAAGTAACACCTTTTTGTAACTCTATAGCTGCCATAAATAGTGATTTATCTGATGAATCTGGTTAAAGTAAATTGAAAACCTCCTGGAAAGAATTCGTAGTTCAAGATGCCATTAAGAACATTTGTGATTAATGGGAGTAGGTCAAAATATCAACAAGAATAAGAGTTTGGAAGAAGCTGGTTCCATCCCTCATGGATGATATTGAGGGATTCAAGACTTCTTTGGAGTAAGTCACGGCAGATGTGGTGAAAATAGCAAGAGAACTAGGATTAGAAGTGGACCCTAAAGATGGAGCTGAATTTCTCTGATCTCATGATAAAGCATTAACAGCTGAGGAGTTGCTTCTTATGAACTAGCCAAGAAAGTCATTTCTTGTGTTGGAATCTATTCCTGGAGAAGATGCTGTGAACATTGTTGAAATGACAGCAAATAATTTGGAATATTACATAAGCTTATTTGATAAAGCAATGGCATGTTTGAAGAATATCAAATGTAATTCAGAAAGAAGTTTTACTGTGGTAAAATGCGATCAACTAGCATGACATCCCACAGAGAAATCTCTTTCCTGAAAGAGTCAATCAATACGGCAAACTCTATTATTGTCTTATTTTAAGAAATTGCTACAGCCACCCCAACTTTCAGCAACCACCACCCACATCAGTTAGCAGCCATCAACATCAAGTCATGATCTTTCACCAAAAAAAAAGATTACGACTTTGCTGAAGGCTCAGATGATTGTGTGTTTTTTTTTTTTTTTGGAATAAAGTTCTTCTAATTAAGGTATGTACATTGTTTACTTAGATGTAATGCTACTGTACACTTAATTTATAGTATATTGTAAACATAACTTCTATATGCACTGAGAAACCAGAAATTTATGTGACTCACTTTGTGGATATATTCACTTTATTATAGTGGTATGGAATTAAGACTACAGTATCTCAGAGGTGTGCCTGTATTTACATATGTGTGGACAGAGTAAGGCACTATGGTTTGAATACTTGTGTCCCCTCTGAAATCCATGTTGAAACTTCATCCCCAATGCAACACTATTAAGAAGTGTGGCCTTTGAGAGGTGATTTGGTCATGAAGGCTCTGCCCTCATTAGTGCTCTTATAAAAGGGCTAGAGAGAACTAGCTCAGCCCCCTTTTCACTTCCACCCTTCTGCCATGTCAGGACACAACACTTGTTTCCTCTGGAGGAACCAGCAGCAAGGTGCCATCTTGGAAGCAGTGAACAGGCTTTCAGCAGACACCAAACCCACTAGTGCCCTGGTCTTGGACTTCCACCCTCTAGAACTGTGAGTAGTACATTTCTTTTCCTTATAAATTACCCAGTCTCAGGTATTTCTTTATAGGAGCAGAAACAGACTAAGACACAGGGAATCCAAAAATGATAGTAGGGGTTAAAAACAGGGGTGCTATCATTATCTGTAGGCCTGAAAGGGGAAAGTTTGGGGAGTCTGAAGTTACTAGAATCTGGACAGAAAGCATCGTGTGATAGGGGTGCCTTAGGAGAATTGTGGCCTTGAGTAAAGTGCCCAGCAACCTCAGGAAGGGAGTCAGAGGAGATAAATCCCAACCATTCTCTCCTCCCTTACTGTAATCTCTTGCTGGAGATTTCTATTAGCTGAGGCCAACTGAAAACCAGAAGCCAATGATGCCCCAAGAACTTCAGAGCAGCAGGAGGCAAAATAGAAAATGTGTGCAGGTCTTTGGAGAGAAAACACATTGGCAGAGCCAGAAAACAATCTACATCCATCCTGTAATTTCACAATGGATCTGATTATGCCTCAAGTTGCTGGAAGATGTGCTAACATTAAACCCATGATTAAATGAAGCAGACTTAGATAAAGGGAACATCATCCTGAAGACTCAGAGAGACCAAAACAAATTCTTTTTTTTATTTGCTCTGGAAGCCACAAGAAAACTTTGGAAATCTGGCATCACCTAATGGATGTATGCAAATATGATCCTGATAGAAAAAAAAAGAAAAAATTAGAAGGGGTAAAAAGACTGAGAAAAAAACGACAACACAGTTATATGTACAGCAGATGAATAGGATGGGGAATTATTACAAGGAAGTTACCAATATAATTGCAAAGTTAAATTTTCTACTTGAGGCAGTAAAATACAGAATTGAAAATGTAGTAAAAGTAAAAGTGGGCCGGGCGCAGTGGCTCATGCCTGTAATCGCAGCACTTTGGGAGGCCGAGGCGGGTGGATCACTTGAGGCCAGAGTTCGAGACCAGCCTGGCCATCATGGTGAAACCCATCTCTACTAAAAATACAAAAATTAGTTGAGTGTGGTGGTGCATGCCTGTAATCCCGAGGCTGAGGCATGAGAATCTCTTGAATCCACGAGGTGGAGGTTGCAGTGAGCCGAGACTGCGCTACTGCACTCTAGCCTGGGTGACAGAGCAGAAACTCTGTCTCAAATAAATAAATAAAAATAAAATAAAATAAATAAAAGTAATATGGAAGAGAACCTCGAGAAACTGTGGAAGCAAAAATCAATGGCATATTTGAGAAAACAACTTTCTTTCTTATACACTTTGCTGAGTTTCAGTTTTAAATTGTAAGGATACGAATTTAAAGGGTTTACTGCTTTCCAGGAAAAAAAAAATCAATGGCAAGAAGCACCTACATCATAGCAGAAGTTTTGAGTTTTAAAAGTGAAGAAAAATTTCACAAGCCTTTGGAAAAGTTTGGATGAAAGTTGTGTTTCGTAGTTGATCTTCTCCTCTGCAACTCTAAGTACCAGAAGACAACTTGCCACATACACAAAGCAAAATATGCAGCGTGAGCATTTTATCACTTGACAATTTTAACGTTGTCAAGTTAAAGAGAAAGACTTATACATCTAGTTGCTCAGAAAATTACCCTTGCATTTTGAATAGTTTTAATTGGATGAGAGATGACTCAAAATTTAAATCTAACATGTAGTCAGCAAACTCTAATGTTCTTTACAAAATAACCTCAAACACGTTTGTCTGACTCATCTTTTTTATCCCATCACTTACAGACAACTGGGCATGGAAGTGAAGGGTATAAAAATGTTGTTAAGGTTTCCCTTCCTCAGCATTCATCCTAAATTTAGAATTGAGAAGGTTTGTGTGTTATCAGTCCGTGCTGCAACTTGGAGTGAAGCTTGACCCTAAAGCGTCCCCTCAGTTTTAACTCATTTAGAAACAGAAATGTGTTTTTATGATCATCTTAAAGTCATGGTTGATGACACCTGAAACAATCATTGTTTTTATTTTGTACAGGCCACTGCCAACATGGCAAAACTTTTGGGTATTTGGGACATTGAATTAGAAGGAGTACTAAAAGTTTTATTTGTATCCTTTAGAAGCAAAAATGTACAAGTAATATGATACCCAATTGCACCACAAGTTACTTGAGTAATCATTTTGGGCCTCTTTAAAATTCATGTTGAAGACAGCAGTGATTGGAGATTTTAAATTAGGGAAGCCTAATAAATCCACTCAGAGGCTGATATAAGCTGTGACCAATCAGTGCTTTACAAAATTTTTCATATAGGACCTATAAATGTCTTCTTATTAGTGATGCTTAACAATTAGTGCACATTGTATAATTTCAACTGTCTCTTAAGAAGTGTAGAAACAGGTCATAAGAAAATAAACTCAAAATGTTAACAGATGTGTACTTTCAAGGCTTTGAGTATGGATTTTGTAAGCATTTCTAATGTTTCTATAATGAACATTTATAATTTTTAAATCTGAAAACTTGAAAAATTCAGCATATACAATACGTTATATAATTTAACACAACCACATAAATATTCACAGCACAATATGGAAAGAAAATAAATCAAAGTGTTGACAGCATATATCTCTAAGTTGTAGAAACATATACAATTTATTTTTTTCATTTTTGCAATGTTTTAAACATTTTGATAATAATCATGTTTTAGATTTATAAGGGAATAAATGAAGGAAACCTGGAAGCATTTTAACTGTGATTTATCTTTGTTCTTCAAGGAACAACTATATGAAAGAATATCCCACATGTTTCACTGAGGAGTTTTATGACCCAATAATAATAATAATTACACTCATAAACACAATGACAAGAAGTACCATTTATATGAAGGGTGTTCTGTGCCAAGCATTGTCTAAGCATTTACATTCTTAGCCTTATTTTATCACTAAAACAATCCTATGAGGTGTGTTACTAGTTTGATAAACATTTCACAGATGAGAATTCAGGCTAAAAGGGAGCAAATGGGAGTAAATAACTTGTCCAACAGCTAGTGAAGAGTGAGCCCAATGTTTAGACCAAAATCTGTGATCTAAAAGCAAAAGGATAAAGATTAAAATTCAATATATGGAAAAGGCTGTCTCCCACCAAGGTCAAGACTTGTTTCCCTGAACCAGATTAGCTTCCAAGGGCAAGGGTCATCTTCCAGGGTGGGCACAGCCCAACTCATGAACGTCTGACTTTTACACTTTCACATGGTCTTTGCCTGCCCACAAACTCCCCACGTAAGTGACCTGCTCACTCAGCAATCCTGGCTGGCCCCATTTCTACCAGTGTTTGTGTAAGTTTCACCAGTCAAAAACACAGAAAAACAAATCGAGATCAAGACCAAGACAGAGAGGGAGAAACCCTGCCCGGGATCTCAGTGCAGTCAGCACCCTTTCCTAACTTCCTGGAGCAGGTCAATCATCCTGTGATGTGTTATCTCAGCTCCATTCTAGTTAGCCCTTCTCATCCTTGTCAGTGTACATTTATTCGTGAAATAATTTTTAAAGTAAAGGATGTCTTTCATACTGACTGTTAGTACCATGAGGACCAGAACCAGGAATCTTTTTATCTGTATCCTGGTGGGTCTAGTACAGCCCCATTTTATGCCTGGTTTTCTGGTATATTTATTAATAGTCTCCCCTCTCACTCTCAAACAGATCTGGTTTGGATAATGAATTAGATGGTAAGCCTGTTTCGGCTTAAGAGTATCTTCACTGCCTAGGGTACCTGGCACATTTGGGGAGTTATCTACACATATGTTGAATCAATGAACTAATGAATGAAAACTCCCACTCCTGTCCACTGCCACCTGGGAACTCAATTTCCAGTTGATCATTGTTTCCAGTGCTAAGTGAGAGCCTTCCATGGGAAGGTTTTGTTGAGTTGGTTCTCATGATGGTGAATTGAAATGAGACATCTAGTCCCCTCGTCACATCCAGTACTTGTCAGGGCTCAACCAGAAAGGTACAACCATATAAAATTATGGGATTGGGTATTTATTTATTCATTCATTTATTTATTTTTTGAGATGGAGTCTTGCTCTGTCACCCAGGCTGGAGTCCAGTGGCCCAATCTCGGCTTACTGCAACCTCCCCCTCCCAGGTTCAAAGCATTCTCCTTCTTGGCCTCCTGAGTAGCTGGGATCACAGGCACCTGCCACCAGACCTGGCTAATTTTTGTATTTTTAGTAGACACGGGGTTTCACCATGTTGGCCAAGCTGGTCTCAAATTCCTGACTTCAGGTGATCCACCAGCCTCAGCCTCCCCAAGTGCTGGGATTACAGGCTTGAGCCACCAAGCCCAGCCTGGGATTGGGTATTTCATAGGGGAATTAAATCTCACACAATTGTGGAAGAAGCTGGGAAGTGAAGGTCCAGGAGAGATTGGGTGACTAAGGGACTTGGTGAAGCTGTGAAGCCACAAGCGTGTCATCGCCAAAGTGAGACCATAAAAGGAAGCTCATGGCAAGCATGTGCGAGTCCTCACAGCCTCCAGATAATGACGGCTGGGAGTTCACTGCTGCCTTCCAAAGTTCACATCAGTTCATCTGTGCTCAAGACACCTCAAGACCATGCAGGGAATGGGAATCTGGAACACAGGGTTTTTGTATAACCAAGTTGACATAGCACAAACCAGCATGTCTTTCCTCTGTCCCTCTGTCCTTGCATGTACACTACTCCTTTTATCTGTGGCACTCTTGGTCTCCCTCAGTATTTCACAGGCTTCTCAAGTGGTCCTGCATCCTGGTCCTAAGATGAAATGTCCCAAGTGGCTGGCTCCAATTCTGAGCTTGCCTCTGAAAAAGGAAGCAATATTTGTTCACGTTCTTTGTGTACCCAAACCCTCATTATTGTTGTTCTTTATCTTGCAAGGCTTAATTGAGGAAAAGGACTGAGGGTTAGGAGGGCAGTACTTCTCCTGGAAAAGAAAACAAACCCTTCCATTTATGATGGTGAGATCAAAATTATGCTTACACTGTAGCACCTGATTGTTTCTGCAAGTTTTTGGGGTGACTAATCACCGTGTAAATATTGCTTTTATCAATAGGGAGGGAAAATAATTCCTGAGTTTTTAATCAACTTCTAGGGAGTGAAATAAGAAGCGCAGGCACTGTGTCTTTAGGGACCCCAGTCCTGGTTAAAGCTGCCAAACCTCAGATCATCAGATCATAAGAAATGTCCACCCAACCTTTCCTTGGCTATGCTGTCAGATATCCAGTTAGAATTGGGTGGGGAGAACCAAAGCCAGTAGACAAGCATGCAGGAGAGAGCCAGACAGCACAGCACAGATGACGATTTGATAGGCAAGTTTATTATTAGGAGTATGTGGCCGTGAGGTTGTATTCAAAATCACATAGACAGGAAATTACAATGACCAACTGAGAACAAGTGAGAGTTCAAAAACATGGGTACAATTTGTGACAGCAATAAGGTGTAAGAGCTGCAAATCAGACACAGCATCTGGATTCATTGTCTGCTGTTGTCTTCCTTTATCCTCAGGGCCTATTGTGATCTTGATCCCTCTCTGTCTCTTTCTCTATGTCTATCATGCTCTTCTCTTTCTCTCTCACTTATCTCTCTCTCTGTGTCTCTTTCTCTCTCTCTCTTCTGTCTCTTTATCTCTTTCTTGCTTATCTCTATCTGTCTCTTTATCTCTCCCCTCCCTCCAGCAACACACTCACCATTATTTAAATGCTGATTCAGAGTCTGAGAATAGAATAAGATAGTCAACAAACCAACCCATACAATATTTAGCCAAATACATGCTCCCACCCAATAAAAGCCATTTGAGGGTGCCCTGCCTCTGTAAGACTATTGATGACACTTTGATTTACCATATTGCATCTATTTATCCCACTGTATGCCAGGCAGTTTGACTGTGTAAACTACCAGGATCACACTTGGTTGATCCAAGTTTGGGACAGTTGTATTTACAAATATACAAATATACAAATTCTCTAGAATTTCCTAGAGGAAATTATCTGTCCCAGTTTGTCTCTGTAAGATGAAACTCTCTGTCTCATCAACACAGACTGAGTGTTGATGTCATGACACTTGGTCCATGTTCTATAAATCTCCTTTCTTCATTCTGTGTCTTACCAAAACACCTCATCTGCTCTGCTCTTCTGATATCCAGCCTTTGCTATCATATGCCGTGATAATCTGTGTCATATCTTCTCTCTCCACTCAGATATAAACTTCCTTTAGCTCAGAATTTGTATCAGACTTAACTTTTTATTTATCATAGATATCTGCTAAGTATTCCTGAATAAATCAAGCAATAAATTTTAGGATCTTTACATTGCTTGACAATTCAATTTCATTACTGCTCTAGCCATTTATGTTATGTTTTCCCTAGGAGTTTATGACTTGCTTATATTTAGTCCCACTTTTCAGTAATGGAGCCCTTTAAAATAAGTTTTCCTATTAATTTTTAAAAGAACATCACTGATGTCAAATGTATTACCTTGTTATAGGGTAAAGTTATTAAGCTGCCAGTGAGGGGTTAGATGCACGATGTGTCATAGTGGATAAAATATTTTCATTATTTTAGGCAGACATCTGTTCTCCCATTTACTAAGAGTGTGACTTTGCAAATCCTCATTTGCAGTGTGGGTAATAACACTCATCTCTTGGATTGGCTGTGGAGAAAAAAAATAAAATGCATGTGGAAAACAGCACACAGTCCACACTCAATTCATGATTATTTGAAACATTTTTTCCTAATTTTCACACTAAATTCATTAATTTAAAAAATCATGAAACTTTATAACTTGGAGTAAATACATTAGAAAGCACCTTGGGGGCCTTTTAAACTCTAGGATATTAAGTTACATATTATGTTTCAGGAAGGAAGGTATGCTTGGGGTAGATACACATCTAACTTTCTAATGTGACATCGAAGAGAAAACCCTGCCCTTTCACAGGATGCCAAGAGGTCTCTGTGGCTGAGAGTGAGTGACTGTCTTGCACCATCAATAATGTGTAATCCCATGCAATAGGGAGCCGAGACGATAACTTTACATCCACACCATCACCGCCCTTTTCAAACTCCTGCTCCAGCTTTCTGTGAACACACCCCAGAGAGATAAGTAGAGTAGATGCCATTTTTATAGCATATCCAGGAGGCCAAGAACTCAAGAGGTTTGAACATACTAGCAGGCCATAAAGTCCCAGATGAAGGTCTTAGTCATGGTGTCATCTGTCAGCTCACTGGGGCGAATGCCTCGGGGCTCCTGCAGACATGGGGTGGAGTCACAGCACACCCTGGAAAAGGGGAGTCCAGAATGAGGCGAAGTGACCTGGAAGTGCTGTTCTTTCCTTGCTCTGACCCTCCCATCCCCATCTTTCTGTGTAGGATCATGATAGCACAAAGGACATAAAATAGAAGTCTCCCTCACCACACTATGTAACTCTGAGACTCGCACATATGAATGTCTCCACAAAGCCTGGTCCTAGTGACTCCAACCAGGAATCTTTCATATTCCTGCACACCTTCCTCTCTGTGACAGCTTTGTGATGTGTCAGTTAACTTGGCTAAACTGCGCTACAGGCCCCACCATTTTCTTTCTATTTAATAGTATGTTTCCGGTTGGGAGGAGCTACAAGGGATAATCTCTCAGAAGAGATAAAGGACAGAAGAAAGGCAGTGGCCAATTTGTAGCATACACACACCTTCTCACAAATATTTGATCAAACACTATTATGTTCCTCTGAAGGGATTTTTCAGATGTAACTAAAGTCCTTAATCAGTTGACTTTATCAAAATAAGCCTTTAACGAGACATTAGCTCTTCCGTGAGCCCAGAGACTCCAAACAGCAGCTGAGTCTGCAGTTGTTCCCCTTTTACCCTGTGTTTCCTTGCCTGTTCATGATCTTGCCTTCCTGACTGCCTGTCCTCTGGTCTTCAGGGCCGCTTAACCAGCTGCACAATTGTAAAGGCAATTCCTCGCAATAAATCTGCATGTAAAAACCACATCTCCTACTGGTTCTGTTTCTCTGTTGAACGCTGGTATACCCCCTCTCAAAGCCCATTGTCCAGTCATTCTCCAAGTTCTGATAATTCTCCCTTCTAAAGTAGTATCTTAATATCACTAGAGATGAGATGGCCACCTGGGGAATCCAATTCCAATTTTTACTTCTCCTAGTGCCAATAGAGAGTAATTTATTTCTGCCTGTTCCCACTGTCAATAGCAGAGACCAGATGCCATCAGCTCTTACCAGAATGATTAGAAGGGCCTCATATCCTGTACTCAGCAAGCCATTGGTATCCAACCTATATTCTTTGTTGGACAGAGGGCAAACTTCCATAAATACAAATCTGAACAAGTCAGCCCCCACTTAAAACCCATCTGTGGTTTCCCACTGGGTGAAGTCTCAGATCTCAAACATGCCCTAAAAGCTTCTGCACTGCCTAGTCTTTTCCTACCACTCCAGTCTTCTTTCATCCTCACTCCGCCTTTACACTAGTACCCTGGAAATTTCTCCCGACATTCTCCACAGGGTAGGCAGAATAATAGTCTTCTGAAGATGTCCATGTCCTAATCTCTGGAACCTCTGGGTATGTTCTGTGATATGGTGAGGTAGAACCAAGGTTGCTGATAAAATTAAGGTTGCTAATCACCTGACCTTTGCACAAGGAGATGATCCTGGACTATGTGGGTGGTTCCAATGCTGTTACAAGGGTGCTTACTAGTGAATGTGGAAGCAGGAGAGTCAGAGTCAGAGTTTGGGAGAGATTTGAAGATATTGCACTGCTGGCTTTGGAGATGGAGGAAGGGGCCATGATCCAAGGAATAAAGACGATCTCTAAATGCTGGGAAAGCCCAAAAACCAGATTCTTTTACTCAGCCTTCAAAAGGAAAACAATCTTGCAAATATTTTTATTTTAGCCCAATGAGATCTATTTTAGACTTCCGACTTATAAAATTTTAGAATAATAAATTTGAATATTTTAAGCTACCAAAGTTTGTAGTAATTGTTAGAACAGCAAAAGGAAACTATTATATCTACAATTGGGAATTCCTGCCAGCAGTAAAATTCCCAAACTGGCAAGATGCTATCTACTTTTTACTTTTTTAAATAAAAATAATTACCATTATACCCTGATTTTCATGAAAGAAAGAACTTTTCACTTTTCACTTTTTATTTTGAAATAATCAAATTTACAGAAGACTTACAAGAATAAAGAACTCCCATATACAATATATCCAGATTCACCAATATTTAACAATTTGCCACATTTCTTTACCCTTCTCTCTTTCTTAATATATATATGCAAAATTGATATATTTATTATTGAAATAAAAATTTTAACACAAAATTAGAAGGGGCACAATCTCAGAATTAAGCAAATCCCATATTTTCAATAACTTAGCAATATTGTTCTTACATTTTCCTATTTTATCATGGGCTAGTAAAAAACTTCATTATGGAACAGCAGTGGTTCATGGACAAGCATGCATGTAGAAACCACTATCTGAGTAAATGCTTATATATTCTTATGCTTACTTTTAAATGACTCATTTTCAGAGAACTCTCATATTCCCACACTAGAGTTGATTCTCCAATTTTGAGTTTATCTTGAAACCTGAACTTCTTGGTGTCCTCCATAACATTTGTATACAGCCCACGAGACTGTAAGCTCCTTGAGGACAGGAACCATAGGTTTGTCTACCGTAGAGCACATTCTCTTCAAAGTTACATTGATGATGTTAAGGAATTGACAAAACAACTGATAAAGTAGAGAATATAAAGTTCATTTTAAAACTATAATTGTATGAATCTCAAATGCAGATGCCAAACTCAAAAAGCAACATACAAATAAAGTTGCTATAAATATGAATGTATAAACCTTTGTATATAGAGAGAGTTTCTTTTCTCTTGGATAAATACCTAGGAGTGAATGACTGCATCATAAGGTAAATGCATGTTTAGCTTAAGAAACTGCCTAACTGTTTTTCAAAGTGGCTAGAGCATTTAGAACTCCTATCAGAAGTATATGAAAGTTCCAGATCCTCCATACTTCCCAAATGTAGTAAAAGACATACATATAAGTATATAAGAAGCTTGACAAACTCCAAAGAAGATGAACTCAAAGAGACCCACACTGAAACATATCGTAAACTGTCAAAAGACAAAGAGAATCTTGAAAGTGGCAAGACAGAAGACTCATCACATACAAAAGATCTTCAATAAGATTATCAGCATATTTCTGATTAAAAACTTTTGAGGCCAGAATGCAGCAGGCTTTCTCTTTAGAACTCACAGAAGCTCTAAAAGGAAAAAAAACAGTCAAGCAAGAATCTTATATCCAGCAAAACTGTCCTTTCACGGTGAAGGAGAAATTAAGACATACATTTTCAGTAAGCAAAAACTGAAGGGGTTTATTACCAATAGACCTGCTCTGTAGGAATGCTCAAGGGAGTCCTGAAGGGTAAAAATGAAAGGACTAGACAGTAACTAGAAACTATATGAAGAAATAAAAAGCTCAGTAAAGGTAAATACATGAAAATTATAAAAACTTGTTATTGTAACAATGGTTTGCAACTTCACTTTCTGTTTTCTACATGATTTGAGAGTAATACATTTTATAAAATTACCAGTTTAAAAGCTAGTGTTATTTTAACTTTGGTTTGTGATTCCACACTTTGTTTTCTACATAACTGAAGTGACTAATGTATTAAAAATGATTAACTTATGCTTTTGGACACACAATGTATGATGATGTAATTTTGCGATATCAACAACTGAAAAAGGTGAGGATGAAGCTGTTAAGGAGCAGAGATTTTGTATGTTATTAAACTGTTCTAAATTCAAATTAGAGTTTTATAACTTATTTATAGTTAGTATGTTTAATGTAATTCCATGGTAACCACAAAGAAAATAGCTATAGAATATACACAAAAGGAAATGAGAAAGAAATTTTATCATTTCACTACCAAAAATCAGCTAAATACAAAAGAAGACAGTAATGCAGGAAATGAGGGACAAAAAAGCTATACGGCTTATAGAAAACAGGTAGCAAAATGACAGAAGTCCCTTCTTATTAGTAATTACTTTAAATGTAAAGACTAAACTCTGCAATCAAAAGACAGAAATTGGCAGTATGAACTTAAAAAAAACACACACACAAAATCTAACTACATGCTGTCTACAAGAAACTCACTTTAGATCCAAATACAGAAATAGGTTGAAAGCGAAAGCATGAAAGAAGGTATTTTATGCAAATAGTTACAAAAGAGAGTAAGGCTGGATATACTAATTTCAGATAAAATAAATTTCAAATTTAAAAAGATTACAAGAGACAAAGAAGGATGCTATACACTAATACAAGATACAATACAGCAAGAATATATAGCTATTTTAAACATTTTTCAGACCTAGTAACAGACCCTTGACATACATGTAGCAAAAATTAACAAACTTAAATGGATAGATAGTTCTACAATAATAGTTGGCGACTTTCATGCCTCACTCTCAATAATAGACAGAATAACTAGGCAGAAAGAAGATAGGTAAAGAAATAGAGGACTTGGACAGCACAATAAGCCAGCTAGCTCTAACAGACATATAAGGAACACTCTGTGCAACAGACACAGAATGCACATGTTTAAATGCACATGGGGCATTTTCCAGGAAATAAGAACCTTTGTACGCTGTGGATGGGAATGTTAAATGGTATAGCTGCCGTGGAAGATGGTGTGGTGGGTCCTCAAAAACCTTAAAAGAGAATTACCACAGGATCCAATAATTCTACTTATAGGTATGTACCCAGAAGAATTGAAAGTAGCGTCTCAAGGAGATATCGTTGCTTTGAATACCCATTTTCATGGCAGTATTATTCTTTTTTTTTTTTTTTTTTTTTTTTGAGATGGAGTATTGCTCTGCCACCCAGGCTGGAGTGCAGTGGTACAACCTTGGCTTACTGCAACCTCTGCCCCCCTGGTTCCAGCGATTCTCCTGCCTCAGCATCCTGAGTAGCTGGGATTACAGGCACTCACCACCATGCCTGGCTAATTTTTGTATTTTTAGTAGAGACGGGTTTTCACCATGTTGGCCAGGCTGGTCTCGAACTCCTGACATCTGGTGATGCGCCCGTCTTGGCCTCCCAAAGTGCTGGGAGTACAGGTGTGAGCCAACATGCCAGCCAGCAGTATTATTCTTAATAGCTAAAATGTGGGAGCAATTCAACTGTCCATCAATGGATGAGTGAATCAGCAAAATGTGATATATACCTACAATGAAATATTATTTAGCCTTTCGAAAGAATAAAACCCTTCTACCCATGCTCAAGCTATAACATGGATGAACTTTGAAGTGTAAAATAAGTGAAAAGTGAAATAAACCAGTTGAAAAAAGCTAAATACTATGTAATTCCACTTACATGAGGTGCTTAGAGCACTCAAAATTACAGAGACAGAAAATAGAATGATGGCTTCTTGGGCTGGGAGGAGACGGGAATGAGGAGTTATTGCTTTGTGGATATAGAACTTCAGTTTTGAAAGATGAAAAGAGTTTTGGAGATGGATGAAGGTATAGGGTTAGCAATATGGATGTACTTCATACCACTGGTCTGTACACTTAAAATGCTTAAGATGGTAAATTTTATATTAATTGTATTTTACCACAAGGTTTTAAAAATTGAGAAAAAAACTTTATAAACTAATAGTAAAGTTCACTGTCAAAAAGCCATTTTTCTCCTAAATCTAATTGTATCTCTTTTATATTCCAGCCCAGGGTAACCAGCAGCTGAAATCACAAGAACTTATCTACCAGCCCACAACATAATTTACTTCATTAGAAAGTTTTCCACAAGCTGGCATTGGAAACTTGGGCTTTAGAAGTGAAAGAAATCAATTTATCCCCTGCTCTGAGCCATCCTGCCTTACGTGGCTGATTTCTAAACCACCACACAGGCCTTGTTACATTCTCCCTGCCGAGCATCCTTCCAACTTGTGTATAATAAGGAGATGAAGTTGAAAGAAGACGTCAATGAACATAGTAGTTTTTTTAATCTAAAAAATACAAACAGGCTTTAAAAGACCATATGTAAGTCTTCTTTAGTTTCCAAACCACAATAGATGTACTAGGCATGATTATTCTAAGGTCCCTGCAATAAATGAAATCCGAGGTAGTTCCAACAAATGATGAATTCATGGTGGAAAAATAATTTCACTCATTTGCTGTCTTATCATAGGTTTTGTTTTCTCTCCAAAAAATACATAGTTGGGGTGAGGGGGCAATACAGAAAAAAAAGAAACGGGGGATGATTGCATTGTTTACAAAGCAAAAAGGAAATTATTTGGTTCTGTGAATGCAAAATGTTTTGACAGTATTTCCGATTTTGCAGGACATCTGGTGTAGATGATATCGAGGGCATTAGAAGTAAATAGCTAAATTCTGTTATTAGTTCTGTTACTATTCTACCATATGGAAATATTTTTATTTTTCCCCTCAGTTTAATTCATTGTTGACTTGGGAGAGAAAAAATCCAATTAAAAATGACATGTGAACTGCTTGTCACCCAACTCTTGGTTGCCTAACATTGTGGCCTATTTTTTGTATAGAGACCCAGTTCTTGAATTAGCCTCTATAAATATGTTTCCATGTATTGGCTTGAATTTTGTATAGAAATCAGAGTTGTAAAAAATTAAAGGTCTGGAAGACTCAGTCTTGTTAAAATGTCAATTCACTCCAAATTAATTTATGTATAGGTTCAGTGCAAACCTAATAAAAATCTTAGTAAGTTGTTTTGTGGATAATGACAAGCTGATTCTAAAACTCATATTTAAAAGCAAAGAAACCTCAATAGCCAAAGCAATTTTGATAAAATAACAAAGATAGAACCCTCACACTACATAATTTCAAGACTTACTGTGAAGCCACGTTAATCAAGACAGCATGGTGTTGGTGAACGCATGAATCAAACTGATGGGGTCTAGACTCAATGACTTCCCAATAATAATGAACAAACCTACAGCCCAGATATCTGTTTCTAAATGCCATTTTACAGTAGAAGAAACCAGACCTCCTTGTAGAATTAGTTGAATCCCAGGACGGGACAGGGAAAACTTAAGATAAGCCTAGAGCATCTAGTGGTGCCAGAAAGTAAGGAAGTGCTCAAAAAAGAATGGGGGCATGTCCAAAGCTCACAGGAGCCAACATGAAAGAGCTCCCAATGTCCCAAGTCTGAGCAAGTTAATGATAGATTATTTTTATCAAGAGAATACAATAAGCATCCATGAGTCTATGACATAAAGAAATGAATGAATGAATGAATGGGAGATAACAGCTCTCCCAATGAATAAATGTAGAAAGAAGATGGAAATATGAATTCACCAATAGAATGCCACAGTAATAATTGTTGCAGGCAAGATGTACCAACGAAAGCCAAAATTCGTGGGTAAAACTTTGAGGATAAAGATTATATGTGCCTAGTGCAAAATTATCTCCTTCAAGATACCCATTAATTGCTAAAGGAAAAATAGTAATTTTAAAAATGGAAACACCTGGCAGATGCCATCTCAGCCAAGTGATCAAGATTAACATCACCAGTAAAAAGACATACTGACATCCCATACTTCCTGATTTGATACACTAAGAAGGGCTTATCGTTTCTGTGGTACTCTTGGCCAACAATGCGCAAGTAACATTTATTCATTGAAACACATTAGGCAGAACCAAATTGCAGGACATTCCTCAAAATAGCTGTGCAATACTCTTCAAAAGTGTCAGATCCTGGAAGACAAAGAGATACTGAGGAACCATCACAGAGTGGGAGAGGACATGGAGACATAAAAACTAACTGTAATGTGGAATCCTACATTGGATCATGGACCAGAAAGAGAACACTGATGGGAAGACTGATGAAATCTGAGTAAGTCTGTAGTTTGGTTTAGAGAATAATAATAATAACAATAACGGTTTAGGTGCTGACTCCTTAATAAAATTCCCCTAGTTACTGTAATGTCTAAAAATGAAGCCCCCATGGTGGGCTACTGTGACTATTCACTGCATTTAAGAATAAAGAATAATTAAGGATGTGTGAATAGATGGTAATAAGTTAATAACTCAGATGGTGCTGCTAATACATAACAACCCAAGGAGACAGCATCATGTAACGAAAATATTTTCACACTTCATAATCTATTGAACTCCTCTCTGTTTCTCTCTGGCCTCCCAATCTGTTGTTCTCTCTCTTTTTCTTTCCATCTGTCTCTTTCTTTCTCTCCCCCTCTACTTTTACTCATACTTCTGCATTATGTTCATATACAGTATAGAACTGAAGTATATTTTTAAGTAACTGATATTGTTATCAAGTCCCAGAGCTTCTCTACTGAAGCTTTTAAAGAGTTTCTGTCTTCCAAAATAAAAAGCTAAAGCTGCATTGTGGTGATTGTTCTTCCATGTAAGTCTTAAATTGATATAGCATGTGTGAGATTACTGGCTCTTGGTAGGAAATGTTTTCTTCTCTATGGCAAAAATCTTAGAAGTCCATTCAGAATGATGCTGTCAGAATGTATTTTCATGGGATGCTTTGAAATAGACAAAAAAAAAAAAAAAAAAACAGCACACAGCACACAAAGATTTTATTCTTTAACATTGTAAATCAACTCAGTTTTTACCTTCTTGTTCATAATCATGGTGCAATGTAATACAATATATAGATGGCCAGTTAAAATAGGAGTAATTTCAAAATTTGATCATTCTTTTTCATAGAAGAGTACAATTTTTACTTGCAAAAAAAAGAGTTAATCAAATTTTGTTACATTTCCTTCTCCATCTCCACTACATTTTCAGAAAAAAAAAACAAATTATATTGATTGCTAATATGGTACAGATTAGACAGACAAGAGGTGCTCCTTGAGTTAGCTACCCCATAATTTATTAAAAAATTAATTTCAAATGGAGCTTGAGCACTTTCAAAATCTGGCTGTCATCCTAAATACCTTCTCTGGGGGATGCAAACTGTTATTTTTGTTTTATTTTGCTATTAATTTCCTTAGTTGAATTACCTCTAATTTAGCTCAGAGAGAGTCTGATCAAAAAAGATCATAAAGATGAAGAAAGATAGGAACCTATGCTTAGAAAGTGAAATCAAATACTATATAGCATTTCTCAAATATATTAGGCTTCCTAATCTATTTTTCATTCGCTTCCCAATTCTGCTTATATCTAGCCCTGGACAGAAGTGAACACCAAATATAGGAAAAGAGAGTAAACTCCAGGTGTGTGCACGTAAGTATGCATGTGTTGTGTGCATGGGTTGGAGGAGTGAAGCCTGGACTACAGAAATATTATTCTATATTTAGAATAGCAGGCTGATTGAAATACCCCAGCTTTGTGCAGAGCTCTCAACTAAAGTTTGCACTAAGGAACAACCAAAATAACTAGACACTGGAGGAAATCTGAAATGGGAAACAGAAAGCTCAAGATACAAACTTCTATCCCATAGCAAAGAGAGATAATTCCAGTAACTTAAGGACACTTCAACCCTCCAGTTAGTCCCTCCGAAAAATATAAAAAGATTTTTTGCATTCATAAAGCAAGAATAGGTGAGCTTTCACAAAATCAAGTTTGCTCAGATTCTAAAAGGTTCAAATGAAGAGTTGGAAAATACATTTAAGGGAATCTATAAGAACAACAACAACAAAAAAACCCTGAGACCATGATTATGGAAGACATGATAAGGGACATAGAGATGAAATCAGAAGGTCTCCAGCAAAAACGGGTGGCTGCCTACTCAACATCAACTCTCTGCTTCCTTCTTATTAACATTTAGGGACTTCTGATGGTTTCTCCTTATCCCCTTCACCCTTCCCTCAACTCTCTGACTGGGCCACAGGAAGCATAGATGGAGAAAGAACAACCAGGTTGGGATCTGAGGGTGAAAGCTACATGCTAAAGATGATGACTCCGGAAGAGGGACTGACCCTGGATTTTTACAACATCATGGAATTGCCACACCAGACAAAGACTTCTCCCCTATAGGTTTCTAATTACATGAAAATTTAAAACCATATTTTGTTGAATGAGCCACTTCAGTCATATTTCTGTTTATCTGGAAGCAGAAATAATGGTATCTAGAATAATCAGATATTATCTTAAAATAATACCATCTAATACAACATTCAAGATCCAACTAATAGAAAAGAATAAAGAAGGAAGAAAAGGGGGAAGAGAGGGAGAAAGGAAATAGATGAGGGAGTCTCAAAGAACAATAAAAACAATTTCCAAAAGATAAAGGGATGCAAGTGTCTTATATTTGGAAAACTGTCCCAAGGGCTGGCGCAGTTAATCACATCTCCATATTTTGTACAACAAGAAAACAAGACATCATCTTAAAAGGTCCCAGGGGGGAAAAGAAAAGCAAGTAATACAGACAAATATAAAAATAAAGTTGAAGAAAAATTTTAAACTAGAAATTGTAGCCAGAATGTCTAATAAAACATTTTCAGACATACATGGATTTAGAAAGTTTGTATTTCCTATAACCTTCCTTAGAAGTCACATCAGAATGTACTTTGGCAAAACAGTATAAACCAAAAAAAAAAAAAAAAGGCAATTCAAAAAATATTCAACAAATCCAGAAAAGTAGTGAAAAACAGTTTTATGTTGATTGTTCTCTCATTCTGCTGCAGAGCCATCAGTCACGATTGAAGCACAGAAATGAAACGTAATTAGAAACTCTTGGATGGAAGAGAGTTATAAAATACAGCTATGAGATAAAAAGTAAAAATTAGAAGGTCAGTGGGTTTTCAAAACAAATATAGTAGATTCTAAGTGACATTTTATATAACAAATAACTCAGTGGAATGGTAGAACATTATTTGGAATATGCTGGGGATTGCATATATCTTGCACTTCACAAAAAATAAAAAAGACAACCAGAATGCCAGAGAATAATTTTTTTAAAACCCACCAAAATGTATACAAGAAAGGAATGAACCAAATATAAAGTAGATCAAAACATTACATTATTTTGATCAATTGTGAAGAATAAAAATCAGAATCTGTTTTGGCATTCTTCTTTCATTGGCCAGTAAATTGTGGCTTTAAAACTACAAAACTAAGGTCAGGCGCGGTGACATGCTATTGAGTCCCAGCTACTCAGGAGACTGAGGTGAGAGAATTGCTTGAAGCCAGGGATTTTAATCCATCCTGGGCAACACAGCAAGATTCTGGCTCTACTAAAACTAAAACAACTATACTACTACTACTTGATGATTCAGTAAATAATATTTAACGTAGTCAAGTAATATAAATACTGATTTTCAATTTTTGGGAACAAGGGTGAATCAATCATGAAATGCTTACTAATGAAAACAAAACAAAATGTAAACCTGATTAATCTTGACCATGTAAAAGTACAGCTGAGAGCAGGTGGCCCAGACAGTTATGCTGTTCACAGACTTGAAGTTGAAGGGTACTGGGCTAGTCTCCTTGGGCAGAAGACCAGTTTGACGAGAGCTTTAAAATGTCTGTAGTGTCTGAGTTAGGAATCCTCTTTTAGGAATGGATAACTGGATGTTCAAAAGTTTACGCATGGGAACCTGAGGATGGTCATCACAGCATTATTTGCATTAGTAAGAAAAAAGGTAACAATGTCAATGTGCAAACAATAGAAAATGCTTAAATGAATTGACATATCTGTACAATAATATATAACATTAAAATGGTAAATTTTAATGATTTGGGAAATATTTGTAATACAATATTGCTCAAATAAATTAGCTGAATGGGACTCTATTTCCATGTCATAGACTGGGTGGCTTAAACAACAGAGATTTACTTCCCATAATCCTAGAGACTGGAAAGGCCAAAATGAAAGTGCTTTCAGATTCGGTTTCTGGTGAGGGCTCTCTCCCTGGCTTGTAGACAGCACTGTGTGCTCACATGGCAGAGGCCAACTGAGTGAGCTCTGCCTTCTCTTCCTTTTCTAATAAGGACAATAATCCCATCATGGGGCCCTACCTTATGACTTTATCTAAACCTAATCACTTCCCTAGGAACCCAGCTCCAAATACCATCACATTGGGGGTTACAGTTTCAACATATAAATTTTGGGGGGGCACAAACATTCAGTTCATAACAATTCTGAACATTTACTGAGTGTTTACTGCAAGTTAATTTTAAAAAATTTTACATGTATTAATCTATCTAAATCTCCAAACCACCATGTGAAATAGATGCTATTTGTGAGCATGTATATATGGAATATGTACATACTTATATACACATACATATACATACACATGTTTACATATATATACATGTCTGTCTATATACATACACATTCTATGTACTATATATATGTATACATATGTAGGTATAAATATAATTATGTAATTTACTCACAATGTCTCCTTCTCCCTCTCACCTTCTATGGTCCCCTCTTCATGAGAGAAGTATACTCCCTGCCTCATGGACTCTGACAGATCATGTAAGTAGCTTTAGTTTAATGAACCACTAGTAGATGGGATGGGAGCAGACACTATCAATAAGCTTGCATGGTTTAGGCTTGCTTTCTTTGCTTCTGCCATCACCAAGCTAGAAATAGGGTTCAGGTATTCACTGTGTCCAGAATGAGGTATGTGGTTTAGATCCAAACCTACCTATTGCCTGGAACCAGATCAGGTGAAGTTGCTGAGCCCAGCAAGCCAATTCCAGCCAAATCATCAACCTGTACACTCATGAGTGATAAAAATAAATGCTTATTATTGTAATGCACTGAGATTTTGTGGCTTTTGTTACCCAACATTATTACAGTAACAACTGACTGATACTATATGTCTAAGTAAAGCTTTAGTGGTAATCTCTGGGTAGTAGAATGAAGAATGACTTTTATTATCTTCTTTACAGTTAATTGAATGATTTTAAAACTATTACCCACTACTTTTTCAATTTTTAACATGTCTTTAGATAAAGCAAATAATTACTGTTACATTAATGTTTTGTGTTTGTATTATATACAGAATTATCTTAAAATCACCATTGATTTGGAACTTTGAAATTATAGATTATTCAACACTTACTCTAACTTAATTTTAAAATTCAACTTTTTCCATGACTTAAAATGTTGGAGATTAAATAATCTCTTGGTTCAAAGAACCACTTAGGCTTTTTTAGAAAAACAAATTGAGGAATCTGTGATTTGGTAGTGTGTCTCCTTGGGCATACATGAATTTTTTCAAAATGTCATGAGACTAGTATCATAAGTTGCTCATGGAGATCCAATTAGACAGAGTCACAGACTTACAGAAAAGGAAATCTTCGTATTTTTTAATTTATCAGGAATCCTGACTGAACTTTAATTTATACAACTACCGGAGCATTACACTTGGACACATTTGTTGAGCTTTGATAAATCATGGTGACTTTTGGGAACGTTGGTGAAGCATTTTATGCATCAGCTGATGGGAGAGAGTCCACCAAACAAGACTGAATTTAGGAACTGGTCAGAATCCAAATTTATTTTTCATGGTACTTCTGGGTTACTGTCCCAAAGTCCTTTGAGCAAGGAAGGCCAAGGCCAATAACTTTAGCAAAGGGAGAAATTAACAATAAGCTTCCCCCCTGCCATTTAGCTGTTTCCTTTAGCCCCTTACTCTCCTGGCTGGCTTACATCTAAGAGTGACATTAAGGCTGATTGCAAGAGGTAGACCAATAAAAAGATAAAATTCATTTTTATATTGTCATTTTTTATGTTAATGTCTCCAGCAAGACTAAAAGAATCACTAAATGGTAACTGTCTCAGGTGGAAATAAAATAAAGACCCTGAATCTTTCGAATAGTTCAAGTGCCAGTGATAATACCAAATTTTATTTGTCATATTTTCTTTTTCTTTTCTTTTCTTTTTTTTTTTTTTTTTTTTGAGACGGGGTCTCACTCTGTCCCCCAGGCTGGAGTGCAGTGGTGCGATCTCGGCTCACTGCAAGTTCTGCCTCCCAAGTTCACGCCAATCTCCTGCCTCAGCCTCCCGAGTAGCTGGGACTATAGGCGCCCGCCACCATGCCTGGCTAATTTTTTTGTGTTTTTAGTAGAGACAAGGTTTCACCGTGTTAGCCAGAATGGTTTCGATCTCCTGACCTCGTGATCCGCGCGCCTCAGCCTCCCAAGGCATGAGCCACCGCACCCGGCCTTATTTGTCATATTTTCTAATACTTTCCTTTATTACAAATAACATTGGGCTAAAATAATGTTCAGAAGTCAAGATTTGTTCATGTTTTGCCTGCTTTGGCCTTCCATTGACTCAATTGTTAATATTCTCCCCTTAGAAGGCTGCTTGAAGCAGATGAGAATGGGAATGACAGAAGACTTGGTGGGGTTGCAAGGGTGTCTTGTTGCCCATCAAGAGATCTTATCAATGCCTGTTCCTGAAATTAGCTCCAACTGCATATTGTCTCCTAAATATTTGGGCACTGAGGGATCGTAACTTCTTGAACAAAGCATCAAAGTGTGTATTCTACCTTATTGATTTTAGGAAGCCAATTGGCAACTTAAAAAATGCCAAAGGAAATATGGGGTTTAATTAATTTCTTCATTGGAAGTATTTCTTCTTTGGATATTATATTCATGTTTCTAACAGTTTTTTAAATAATATTCTTTGCTTATTTTGTTTCCTCTTTGCGGCTCATGCCACAGCATTTCTAGTTCAATTTTTTCTTCTATTTTTTCCTGACTTTCTCGAACAAGTTCTAACATCACGTGCCTCTTAAAAATGCACATACTGCAAAAAAGAAGAAAGGAAGGAAGGAAAGAAACTTTTTTATTATTTACCAATGTTTGCCTCAGCATCTCAGACACTCCTAGTATCGTGAATGATGATTGATCCTCATGTTTTGATTTGTGAGGTTTTTCCACAAAACACAAGGTTTTGTGGAAAAAGGAGAGTGATAAACTGCTCCTTAGGCCTCATTTAAAGGATCACTTTCCTAGCGATGTACTTATAATTGGTATGAGAGCTGAATGTCCTGGTGACCTCAGGTACCTTTTGGTAAATTATGCTTGTTTTAACTGCAATTTAGCCAGATGCCCTTAACCCGTCTTCCCCCCATCTTTACTGAGTTATAATTGAAAAATTAGATGTACAACTTAATGTTTTGATTTACATATACATTGTGAAATAATCTCCACAATCAAGCTAATGAGCAAATTCATCACCTCACATAGTTATCTTTTTATTTTCTTTTCAGTGGGAATCATGCTTAAGATCTATTCTCCTAGCAAATTTCAAGTATACAGTACAGTATTGTTAACTATATTCACATTGCTGTACTTGAGGTCTCCAGAATTTACTCTTCTTGCATAATTGAAGCTTTGTGCACCTTGAACACTGCCCTATTTTCCCCCTACTCCTCAGCCTGTTAATCATCATTCTACTCTCTGCTTCTGTGAGTTTGACTAGGTTAGATTCCACGTATAGATGAGATAATGCAGTATTTTTCTTTCTGCATCTGGCTATTTCACTTAGCATAATGTCCTTCAGGTTTATCCATGTTGTTGTAAATGGCAGGGTTTCCTTTTTTAAAGCTGAATAATATTCCATTTGTGTGTGTGTGTGTGTGTGTGTGTGTGTGTGTGTTATTTTCTTTATCCATTCATCCATCACTGGTCATTTTAATTGTTTCTAGATCTTGGTTATTGTGAATAACACTACACCAAACACATGGACATGCAGATATCTCTTCAACATATGGATTTTATTTCCTTTGGACATATACCCACAAGTGGGATTGCTGAATTATATGGTACTTGTAAAAATTTTTGAAAATATTTTTGATGACCCTCCATACTGTTTTCCATAATGGCTTTTTCAATTTACATTTCCATCAATAATGCACAAGTGTTCACTTTTTTTCACGTTCTCACCAATACTTGCTATCCTTTGTCATTTTGATAATAGTCATTTCAACAGGTGTGAGGTAATATTTGGCTGCGATTTTGATTTGCATTTCCCTAACGATTAGTGATGTTGAGCAACTTTTCATATACCTTTCGGCCATTTGCATGTCTTCTTTTGGGAAATCTCTATTAAGATCCACTGCCCATTTTTTAATCAAGATATTATTATTTGCTACTGACTTGTATAAAATTTTTTGTACATTTTGGATATTAACTTCTTATCAGATATATGGTTTGCAAATATTTTCTCCCATTCCATGGGATGCCTTTCACTCTGTTAATTGTTTCCTTTGCTTGTAGAAGCTTTTTAGTTTGATACAATCCAACTCAACTATTCTTTTTTTATTTTGTTACTTGTGCAGTTGATGTTATATCCAAAAGATCACTGCCATGAAAAACGTCAAGAAGATTTTTTCCTATTTTCTTCTAGTAGCTTTATGGTTTCAGGTCTGACATTTACATTTTTAATCCATTTTTAGTTGATGGTGTGAGGTAAGTGTCCAGTTTCATTCTTCTCCACTGCATATGGGTATCCAGTTTTTCCACCATCATTTATTGAAGAGATTGTCCTTTCCCCATTGTGTGTTCTTGGCACCCTTTTCAAAATTGATTGACTGTAGATGCATGGATTTATTTCTGGGCTCTGTATTCTGTTCCATTTGTCATCTACAGGTCTATTTTCATGCCATTACCATATTGTTTTGATTACTGTGGCTTTTTTTTGTGCAGGGGGGCAGGTGTTGGGTACGGAGTCTCACTCTGTCACCCAGGCTGGAGTCAATGGCGGGATCTTGGCTCACTGCAACCTCCATCTCCCAGGTTCAAGTGATTCTCCTGCCTCAGCCTCCTGAGTAGCTGGGATTACAGGCGCCCGCCACCATGCCTGGCTAATTTTTGTATTTTTAGTAGAGATGGGGTTTCACCATGTTGGCCAGGATGCTCTCAAACACCTGGTCTCAAGCAAGCTGCCTGCCTCAGCCTCCCAAAGACTGTGGCTTCTTAAACAGGAAGTGTAATGTCTCCAGCTTTGTTCTTCTTGCTCAAGATTGTTCTGGCTATTTGGAGTTGCATGTCATTCTATATGGATTTTAGGATTGCCTCTTCTATTTCTGTAAGAAATGCCATCAGGATTTTGGTAGGGACTACATTGAATTTTTAGATCACTTTGGATATTATGAACATTTTAACAATATTAATTCTTCTAATCCATGAACATGGGATGACATTGTATTTATCAGTATTTTCTTTAATTCCCTTTATCAGTGTTTTATAATTTTCACAGTACAAGTCTTCACCTATTTAGTTAAATTTATTCCTAAGTGTTTTATTCTTTCTGTTGTTATTGTGAATGAGATTGTTTTATTAACTTCCTTTTTGGAGTTTGTTATTTGCGCATAGAATCACATTGACTCTTGCATGTTAATTTTATATCCTGCAACTTACTGAATTTGCTTATTAGTTCCACATGTTTTGTTGTTGTCATTGTTGTTGAGTCTTTAACATTTTCTACAGATGCATTCATGGCACTCTCAAACGGACAATTTCACTTCTTCTCTTATTTGGATACCTTTTATTTAATTGTCTTGTGTAATGGCTCTAGCTAGGACTTCCACTACTATGTTGAATAAAAGTGACAAGAATGGGCATCTTCGACTTGTACCATATCTTAAAAGGAACGCTTTCAGTTTTTCCCCATTGATTATGAGGTTAGCTTTTCATAATGGCCTTTATTGTTCTGAGGTTTCTTCCATACCTATTTAGTTGAGAGTTTTAATCATGAAAGAATGTTGAATTTTGTCAAATCCTTTTCATACATCTATTAAGAAGATCCTATACTTGCTATCATTCTGTTAATGTGGTATATCACATTTACTGATTTGCATATGTTGAACCATTCTTGCATCATAATGATAAATCCTTATGATGTATGATTTTTTGAATGTGCTGTTGAATTCATTTTGCTAGTATCTTACTGCTGATATTTGCTAGTATTTTGCATCTATGTTCATCAGAGATATTGGCCTATAGTTTTTTTTTTTCTTTGTGGTATGTTTTTCTGGTTTTGGACTAATAAAATGAATATGGAAGTGTTTCCTCTTTCTTTTTTGGGAGGGAAAGTTTAAGAATTATTGGTATCAATTTTTTGAATGATTGTGAGAATTCATCTGTGATGCCATTTAGTCTTGGGCTTATCTTTATTGAGAAGTTTTTGATTACTGACTCAATCTCCTTACTTTTTATTGGCCTATTCCGGCTTCCTAATTTTTTATTATTCAATTTTGGTAGGATGTATGTTTCTAGGAATTTATCAGTTTCTTCTACGTTATACAATTTGTTGGCATATAATTGTTTATAATAGTGTTTTACGATCCTTTTTTTCTTAGACATCCTTTGCAACGTCCCCTCCTTCATTTCTGATTTTGAGTCTTCAATCTTTTATTCTTCATTATTCTAGCTAAGCATTTTGCATTTTTCAATTTGATCATTTCAAAAAACCACTTCAGCTTTGTTGATTATTTCTATTGTTTTTCTATTCTATATTTGATTTATTTCTGCTGTAATTTTTATTATTTTATTCCTTCTGGTAACTTTGTGCTTAGTTGTTCTTTTTCTACTTTCTAAGGTATAAAGTTAGATGTTTTATTTGCAGCCTTTTTTTTTAAATGTAGGCATTTATTGCTATAAAATTCTTCATTAGCAGTTTTGTGCATCCCATAAGTTTTGCTATGTCCTGTTTTCATTTGTCTTAAGACACTTTTTAAATGCCCTTTTGATTTCATTTTTGACCCAATGGTTGTTCAGGAATGTTTTGTTTTGCTTACACATATTTATGAATTCTGTTTTCTTTTTATCGATTTTTAGTTTCATTCCATCGAGGTCAAAACTTCACAAATTAGTTAAGACCTAACATGTGATCCATCCTAGAGAATGTTCTATGTGTGCTTGAGAAGAATATCTTATGCTGTTTGTGGAAAGTTCCGTATGTCTTTATTAGGTCCATTTGATAGTGTTGTTGAAGTCAGCTATTTCTTTTTTCATTTTCTGTCTGGATGTTCTTCTATCCATTATTATAAATGGCATATTAATGTCCCCTACTATTATTGTATCACTGTCAATTTCTCCTTTCAGATATATCAGTATTTGCTTTATATATTTTGATCTTCTGGCGCTAGGTGTGCATATATTCATAATTGTTAAATCTTTCTGTTAAATTGTCCATTTTATTATTATATAGTGACCTTCCTTGTCTCAACAGATGCTGTTTGACTTAAAGCCTAGTTTGTCTAATGTAAGTATAGCCATGTCTGCTTTCTTTTGGTTACCATTTGCATGAAATACCTTTTTCCATCCCTTTCCTTTCAGCCTAGGTATAGCTTTAAACATAAAGTGAATCACTTTTATTCAGTATGTCACTAGATCTTGTTTTTTTTTTTTTCCATTCAGCCACTCTATGTCTTTTGGTTAGAGATTTTAATCCATTTACATTTAAAGCAATAATTAACAGGTAGAGATTTACTACTGCCATTTTGTTAATTGTTAATTGTTTTCTGTCTGGTTTGCCATTGTTTTGGCCTTCTTTTCCTCTTTTGCTATCTTTCTTTTTAATTTGATAACTTTTGGAGTGCTTTGCTTTGATTCCTTTTTCTTTTTCCTTTGTGTATCTATTACAGATTTTGTTTTTTTATGGCTAGCTCAAGGCTTGCATAAAGTATCTTGTAGTTATAACCACTTATTTTAAGTTCATAACAACTTAACTTCATTTACGTACAAAAGCTGTATACTTTTGCAGCCCCACCCCAACACATACTTTGTGTTCTTGTAGTCAGAGTTTGCTACTTTTTACATTGTATTCTATTAATAAATTTTTATTTTCTAACTTCTACATTAGAGTTAAAAGTAGTTTATATACCTCCATTATGGTGTCATATTATTCTGTATTTGTTTACATATTTACCATTACCAGTGAGATTTATGCTACCATATACTTTCACATTGCTGTTTAGCATGTTTTCATTGCAATTTGAATAATTATCTTAACTATTTCTTGCAAGGCAGGTCTAGTGGTGATGAACTCCCTCAGTTTTTGTTTGTCTGATGAAGGCTTTATTTCACCTTCATTTTGAAAGGGCAATTTTGCTTGGTATAGTATTCTTTGTTGGCAGTTTTTTCTCTTTCAGTACTTTGAATATATCATGCCACTGTCTCCTGGCCTGCAAGGTTTCTGCTGAGCAATCCACTGATAGTGTTAGAAGGCTTCCCTTGTATGTGATGAGCTGTCTTTTTCCTGATGCTTTCAAAATTCTCTTCTCTCTTTGACTTTCAGAGTTTGATTACAATATGTCTTGGTGTAGTCTTCTCTGAATTGATCTGTTTCAGAGTTCTTTCAGCTTCATGAATCTAGATGTCAATTTTCCACATAAGATTTTAAAAGTTTTCAGCCACTTTTTCTTTAAATAAGCTTTCTGCCCCTTTCTCTCTCTGTTTCTCCTCTGGGACTTCCATCATGCACCATCACTTAACGGTGTCCTATAAATCCTATTGGTTTTCTTCACTCTTGTTTTTCCTCCACTGACTAGATACTTTCAAATGACCTGTCTTTGAGGTCACAGGTTCTTTATTCTGCATAATCAAATCTGTCATAGAAGTTCTCTATTGCATTTTCATTTTATCTACTGTATTTTTAACTCTAGAATTTTGTTTGCCTCCTTTACATAATTTCTATCTCTTCTAGTTTTGTTCACATATTGTTTTACTGATTTTATTGAGTTGTCTATTTGCGTCCTATGGAACTAGCATTTTATGAACACAAAAAATTTAATGTAGGCAGTTGCCTTTGGAATCCCAAAGGGTAGTTCTTGCAACATTGTTATACTGGTAAATATTTGACAACTATCTGTTTAAAAAGTCCTAACTGTAGTGTTTCCTATTTACAAAGTATAAATTCTCCTACCAGAGTCAATTTTATGATACTAACATTCCCCTTGTTCCCTAACTCGTTGGTTTTATGTGCAAACTGAATCAAGTAATATTTTCCCTCTCCTTAGAAAGATATCATATTGCTATCTATTTCTAAAAATGTTACCTTCACAGGACACCTTGGATTCTGTTCAATTAAAAATATAGTTCTTTGGAAATTAGTTACTATTCACAAAGTTATAAAATTCTGGCCCTTTAACCTTATTAAACTTCCTACATTAACAAATCCCAGCAGAGTGAAGAAGACTCATTCTTTCCTTACTGCAGGACTTCAGTTTTCTGGAGTTAGGGAACTAGAGGACTTGCCCATTGAGTGGTCCCTTACAGAGGCAGATTCCAAGCAGATCAAGTAGCTCCCATTTTCCAAAACATCTCACCAATCCCCACCAGGAAATACGCTTTCTGGATATTTTGCTTCCAACTGCATATCCTTGAAAGGGAAACAAAGTATCCTGTTATTATTAACTAGTACCTCACCTCTAGAGAATTTCATGACTCATCAATTTCACTGAGAACTTTAGACAACAGCGTCCTCTGGGAAGAGGAAATAGAAGAGTGAATCATTTGGGAGCAGTGGAAGGTGGGCTCAGGAATATGCCTGCAGCAAGGGACATGGATGAACACAGGTGTATGACATAGAAGCAGTATGAAGCTCCTCTGAGGAAGAAGAATTATAGAAAAAAAGGAGGATACAGAAAATCAGTGTCACCAATCTAAATGAGACCATCAGCAGGTGATCAGCAGGGGCTTGGAAAGATATTAAACTTCCTCCAAGGTCACACAAGTGACAGATTTTGGGGACACAAGCTCAAATCTAGGGCTTTCCTCTCTCTGTCTCTCCTCCCTCTCTACTAGGCTTGTCGAAACAATATTTTCCCCTGAGATTGTAAGCTTATGAATCATGCGAAAGGATTAAATCTTACTCATCTTATGTTTCCTGACAGCACATGGCATACAGGAGGTGTTAAGAGTTGTTTGTGGTGTAGAATTTACTTTTTCTTAATCTTGAGCATCCTACTCCTACTTGCAGCTGTGCATAACCTGTCCTGCCAGTTTTCATAAACACACACACACACATATACACACTCCTCATTAGTTCCAGCAGAATGCCCAGTTCTTGATTCATGGTACACAATGAACCATCCCAATTTGTATTTCTATTTTTTACTGACCCTTTCTGCATTTTTGATTGCTGGTATAGACTATTTTGATGTGAAAATCCTACAATTGCATCAATAGGCCAAAATTAGCCTATGTACATACACTGAGGAACTTTAAAAATGCTACGATGCTATTGCTCAAGCCCAGAGATTTATTTTTAATTGGTTTGAGATGAGATTCAGGCATCAAGATACTTATATTGTCCCCAGGTGACATTAATGTGTAGCTAGGATTGAGAATTACTGATGTAAAATTTACTGCTTTTCCATAGGGAAAACTCCACCCCAGACTAATGAAATCAGAATCTCTAGGGATGAGGCCCAGGCAGCAGTATTTTTTAAGCTCCCCCTGGTGACTACAATGTAGAGCCTGGACTGAGAATCTCTGTATCACAACAGTGGTTCCAGGCCAGTTGCACATCCAAGAAACACCCAAGGAGATTTGTAAAAGTACAAATTCAGGTAGCACCCTGGACTTAAATCAGGTTCTTTTAGTTTGCAAAACTCCCACTTCCATCTGCTACTGGCCTTAGAGGATAGCATTAATGGGAGCAGTCTACTAGGTTTGCTTTCTTGAAATCTTCACACCCCATTAAAGGTAGAGCATTCTGTCACATGGAGCTCCTGCTGCTGTGAAGAGAGAAAAAAAGATCCCCAGCAAGATTCTGAGGAGACTTCGGAGTGTGGAAAAGCAGATGGTGTCCTGCACATGGGCTGATGTGCTCCCAGGTGGGCCTATGCGTAGTGCTCGTGTCTGGGAGTGACATCATTGCCTAAGATGGGATAAAGTTCGCATCTGCACATTGCAGACCCTCAAAAAGTACTTGTTGGATTAATTAATCTTAAAAAAATTTTCCTGTGGACCTGAATCTCTGGCTTCTCTTGTGTGTATGTGAGCAACACAACTCCTTATGGAATTTATTAAAAAGAGTTTACTGGTCATAAACGGGCTAGACCGGCAGCTTCCAGTTACAATGAATCTCAGTTTTGACATTGAGTACTCTGCTGTTAGTGACAAATTAAGAGAATGTCAGCCTGAGTGTTCACTCTATCCGGTACCTGTCAACTCATTCACTTAACAGGTAGAAGGGAAAAGCATTAGGATTACGATGTGCATCAGCTTGGAAGAAGTATCACTGTTGCTTCTTAGTAGCATAACCTGCCCCCAAGCCAGTTAGCAAGAACTTTGATTTGTCTAATGCAGAACCAGTCCCATGTAATCTCAACAAAATCTCAAAGACATTTTTAAGCACTGCTTTGGGTGCTCAAAGAACATTCCTTATCTCTTTTGGAAATGGCACATTTTATTGGAAGTAGTTAGTTACCCCTTATTTCAGGTCTATTCAAAACTTTCACCTTCACCACCTAACTTAATGTTGACTCCTTGGCCTAAAAATACGGGGAAGTTCTGTTAAATGAGCTAACTGCTAGAAATACTATGGCTGCAAATGGAAAGAAATGAGGTGTGTACCATAGACCACATAAAACAATGAAAACAATTTAAAGACAAAACTTACTGAGTAAGAGAAACAGTCTTGCAATATCGAAAGCATATGAGTGACCTGCTGCTTTGGGCAATGCTCTGTAAACTTTGGCATCCACCCAGCACCTCCTGGGAGCCCCTCTGGATGAGAGCAGGCCTAGATAGCCAGCACCTTCCATCTTCAAAATCAGGTTTTCTGACCTCTCATAGAGGGCAAGGCAGCCATTACAAACCAGAACTCCCCAGCTCTGTCAATTTCCTGCTGATTCAGAAGGGGGCAAAACCTAGGGGTAATTTACAATTGATTAAGTGGCTGATGAACTGTTATTCCCTTTGTTTAAACTTGCCTTTACCCTTTCTAAAAAGCACTTTGTTGAACAAGAGCTCCATCTATGGGACAAATCAATTATGTGGACTTCTACCCTTAACACATCAAAGATTGTGGTTCTCAACTGAGGGTGGTTTTGCCGCGCAGGGGGCATTTGGCAATGTCTGGGAACACTTTTGGTTGTCATAACTAGATTGGGGATGCAACTACAATCTGGTAGGTAGAGGGCAGTGATGCTGCTCAACATCCTACAATGCACAGGAGAGGCCCTACAGTAAAGAGTTTTCCAATGGTAAGGACAAGATTGAGAAACTCTGCTTGTGAACAAGACAATTGGTAAGATTTATGCTTACAGATGTACTCTGATTCTGCCACCCAAGGTGAAAAATAATTTTTATTTAAATCATTCCATATTCCCTCACCACCACTTTAAGCTTCTCATCTCCCTAACTTCATCTATTGACCATGGATTTGGTGTTAATGATTTCATGTATTTATCTTTATTTTGGCTACTTGGGAAGGAGAATTAAAGAAAAAGGAGAATATTTAAGGCAAAGAGATGAATTTATACTGGTAGAGTTTTAGGTACCAGTCCCTAAATGGGACCAATACTTTGCCTTCCAATAGGTTGGTCCTACCCTTGTGGCTGGTTATATAAATAAAACTGTATCACCTGGTGTTCAAGCCATTGTAGTTGATGTTATTGTTGTAAAGGTCTTTACAATATGTACACAACACTGAGAAAAAACACAACTCCCTTAGACACTTCACTTAACACATACTGTTCGGCAAGTCTCCATTCAGTGCAATGGGCAGCAGTTTACTAAACAGCATTGTGGAAGACTAAACACTGAAAGTCAGCTTCTAAGAGGTTTTATTTCTGTCCACTGAGAGGCAGGTATACCCCCTGGAGTTTATAACAGAGCAGATTTTTATTAAAAATATAGCCCTGAGCCAGGATTTTTTGTCAGCTGAGGTCCCCTAATTGTGAACTATGAGTAAAACTTTGAAGACTCAAGATCCAAGATTATCACAACCTCAGGTGCTCTCTTGCAGGGACAAAGTCCAGTCCCCTGAAGAGGAATCTTTGTTTCAGCTGCATAGTCCATTGCAACCCCACTGCAGCCACACCAAGAACAGCAAAAGATCAGCGCATGTGCCTGGAAATATAACCATCTTTCTTTATATGGGTTTGTGTCACAGCTATCATTTCTAATGACTATGCATTAATTCATCTCATTAAACAATGAGCACCTACAATGTGATGTGTGTAGCACCAAGCCATGAGAATGCAGTGCTGAATGAGAGTCCCACTACATGAGATATCCAAGCAAGAGTATTTAATAAAAACATTCCCTGACTCCAGCCCTTTTTCCCATTGTAGTATGGCATAAGGCCTTGAACGTTGCAGTTAAGGAAAGCAGACATCCTTGAACATTATCTCCTCGTGTATTTTGTCATTAGCAACAGAAGACCAATTATTAAACCCTGAAGGTTGTTAAGATCTTGTCCAAGTTTTCTACACAATATCTAAATTTCTACACTATGTAGTAAGCAAAGTCCATAGTGAGAAGTATTTCAGCATCCTGAAAATTTGTATTACATGAGTAATGATTTAATAACTTTCTTCTTCAAGTGCCATCAGCAAGAAATTGTACAGTTTTATGGGAACCCTGGATTTATTGGTACTGAATATTGCCACAGCAAGCCACTTTGCCTCATAATTTGTAGGAAAGAAACAAGATTAAAAATAAATTTGAAGGGAAAAATGAGTTGAGAAAAATTGGCAACAGGGCTTGTGCAGTATTAATTGTAATTGAGAAGGGAATGTCTTTGCTGAATCCAAGGCATATTTATGCATCGTAAGCACTGATGAAACTAGTGCCCCTCAAACTACCAGATGTATGAGCATTGCTTTTAGTCACATGGATCTGATGAGTAGCAAATGTTAAAATGTTAGTTTCAGTAATTGTAAGTGTAAAAATATAAGACAGAAAAAATAATGCAACACCTACAAACACCATAAACTGTGAAAGGTATTGGGTGGCTCTCTTCCCAGGTAGGACTTGGTGAAATGGTTGGAGGAGTGTGACACGATAGAGGAAAATTAATGTAAATGAGATAGATATATAAATAAAATGAAATATTGAAACATTTTATCATATTAGTTCCAAGGACAGGAACTTTCCAGCATATTGAAACACAAATTCTACTACCTAAACATAGTAAACGGAGATGAACTAAGACAACCGGCTAGGGCTGTGTCTATTCCTAGGAGATCAGTTCACAACAATTTAATCAAAGATGATGGAGTTTGAAAAGGATAAAAAGTCTGAATGATATACCCATAGTTGTTTGTAACAATATTATTTGCTCAAAAAAGCTGTGGAATTTTGGTTTGCTGGAAAAAAATAGTTCACTTCTTTTTTCTGTACAGAGAAAAATGTTTTAATAAATATTAATACTGTGTCTAGATCATGCTTATATTACCAAGAATATGTAATTGCTTTTGTTACCAATAAATCAAGGTTAACAGTTATGCAGTTTGGGGCAATTGCTTAGATTTCTCATGTTCCATTCGAAAAAGTGAAGTTTATTAAATCATAACCCATTTGTTATGAGTTTATAAACCACTACAGTTTCAGTGCCATGCCTATATACTTCAAATATAGAAGGCCAGAATTTCTGCTCAGTCTCTTTCAAGAAAGACATAGTTCTAAGTTTTAAGAAATCATGAGTTTTATGATAGTTTCTGCAGAATTTTGGAGTTAGAAAAAGTCAAAGATAATGTGACCAGCCCAGACAAGGTCAAGGCAGCCATTACCAGATGGGAGTCCTCCGTGCTGTTCATTTCCTGCTTGTCCGACACCCATGCCTTTTCTTAATTGTCTCTGTTTTAATGTGCCCACTAATTGTTTATCTCATTGAAGATTTGGGGATTTCCTTAGGCCGTTCATTCTATTTGGAGGGCAGATTTAAATACTAAAACCAATGTTTTTTACATTGAGCCCAACTGTTTACCTTCTAGTAATGATTATTATCAACCTTGGTCCTAGACCATCCCTTAGGACCATATTAAAACGTGTGTGTAAGTTTGTGTGTGTGCGAATACTGACTTCCTCACAGACAACACTTGCAACATCTGTAGGCAGCTAGCCAGCAGTCATTGCCCACAGTTCCATTCCTCAGTTTGAGTCTTTCTCAATGGGCTAAATGACTCCATTTCTTCATATAACTGAGAATCAAATCTCCTCTGTAGCTCAGGATTAACTTTGGCAATGAGTTGCTTCCTCTCTTCTCTACATACTCTTTGTGCAAAGTGTGACATCCAGAATGACAGCAATATCCCAGTAGTCTTCTGATCTAGTGAGCAGTGATGTTACCTCCTCTTTTATTCATATTTTTAATTCACTAAAATTTTACTGGGCAGCTACTATGTGCTGTACTCCACACAGGGTGTTGGAGGTACAAAATGAACCACAAGACACAGCTCCTGCTGTGGTGAACAGCTTTGAATAAATGTACCCTGGTGGAAATAAATGACAACTCATGATAAGTGAAGTGAAGACAAAAATGTAGGTGTTTTAAATGAAAATAACAAGGAGAGACATGATTTAGATTTTGAGGTCACAGGAGGTTTCTCTAAGGAAGGAACATTGAATCCAAGACCAGAAAAATGAATGAGATTATTGTTGTAACTATGTTGATTAATATATCCTAAGACCAAATAAATTTTGAAGACAGCTATATCAATATTTGGATTCACTTTGATCTCATTCTCATATTATTCTTGAAATAAATACATACAAACATACACAGATATATGTTTTAAACATACATGCTAAGCTTCATGTAAGACTCCCTCTACTGGGATAGATGTATAACATAATAAAATGCCCACTCTTGACTTTATTAGTTCAGAAATTACCTTCAGACAAGTAGGGCAGTGGAAGACTGCATTACAAATCATTCCCTTAATGAGTCTTTCCAGGAATCTTGCCCAGGATGGAAGTCAATTGCACTGGCTGCTAGTTTTCAAAATCTACCTTATTCATCTTGTTGCAAATGGCATTAACATTTTCTCTCCTCTTTAATCTTCTCATATTCATTCATTGATTCATTTATTCTGCCTTTTGTCCAGGACCTCAAAATACTTCTACAAGAGTTAGAATGTTTCCACTTTCACGCAGAAGACCTTCAAAATAGACCCTCTCTGGGTAAACCAGAGGATTCCTTTCATTTGGAATGTCACTGCAGGGCAGTGACAGAGTTGGTCGTGTGTCAACCCTCACTAGACACCCTCTTTCTACCACCCTTGTGCTCTGTGTCCTACCTAAGGAGCACAATCCCTTTTTTTGGCAAGTCCTTGAAGATCATGGAAAATGATTTACCATTTTCATTTGCAGCTTTTTTCTGTATAATAGTTCAAAACATTGGTTTTGTCTTAACTTTCATCTTTGCCCCTTGGAACAGGTCATATGACCTCTCCGAGACTGACTTTTATCATATGTAAAATGAGGATATTAAAGAATGCCAATTCCCAAAGCATTTCTGTAAAGATTACATGAGATACTTCACATAAAACACTTAACACAATTCCTGGAACTTTGTAAGAATCTAACAAATCATAGTTATTATTACTTCTGGTCCCTGGAAGGCAGCAGTCCAAGCCAAGAAAGTAGAACAGCCAAAGTCTCATTTTCATTTCTTCATACATCCTGTATTTCAGTCCTCATCTACCACTGGGGTTTCCCTATGTTTAAAATGCAAATAAAACAACAAAAAATTGCCATTGAGGGTCTTGATTTAACTGCCATCTAGTAATATAACGCAATTATACTAGGTGTGCTCAAACAATGAATCAATGATCATTTTCTTCCGAAGAGAATTTAGAAAGCCACTGTTACGGTCTTTAGGGTTTTAGTCTCATTGGCACAATTCTTAAAGCTTTTTTCTGTCCTGGGAATACAACTTTGCTTTCTCTCAATTTTCCTCTGTGTTGGGGCTAAATGCTCAGAATTTGAGTTTTAAGAGCTCTCCAACTCCCTTGAGCCCTTTCCCCATTCAATTCTCATAGCATGCAATTTTATCCATTTCTTTAAATATAGATCCCACATCTGCCAGCCTTATCTTCCCAAGCAATCAAAAATTTTCCAAAGTGATATAGACACTTTATTCAAAGATTCCTCTAACTTCCTTCTCTGCAATTAAACTCCCCATGTTCATCAGAATTGAGGCCATAGGAGCAATTCTATTTATTTCTTCTCTCTTGGGGAAAATCAACTTGGAAGAAAGGCTGATCAAGAGTGTATCAGACATCTTGCCCCTTTTTTTTTTTTTTTTTTTTTGGCTTAAACTACAGAAATTTATTTTCTTACAGTTCTGGAGGCTGAAAAATCCAAAGTCAAGGTTCTAGCAGGGTGTGGTTCCTGGTACTTTCTCTTCCAGGCTTGCAGACATTCTTGTTATGTTCTCACATGCTGGAGAGAAAAAGCATGCTCTCCAGTGTCTCTTTAAAAAAAAAATCTTTTGGCTGGGCGCAGTGGCTCATGCCTGTAATCCCAGCGCTTTGGGAGGGCAAGGCAGGCAGATCATGAGGTAAAGAGATCAAGAACATCCTGGCCAACATAGTGAAACCCCGTTTCTACTAAAATTACAAAAATTTTATTGTTGTAGTGGTGCGCGCCTGTAGTCCCAGCTACTCGGGAGGCTGAGGCAGGAGAATCACTTGAACCCAGGAGGTGGAGGTTGCAGTCAACCAAGGTCGCACCACTGCGTTCTGGCCTGGTGACAGAGTGAGACTCCATCTCAAAAAAAAAAAAAAAAAAACCTTTTACTGTATTTTATGTATTTAACGTGTACAATATGATGTTTTGATATGCATATACATAGTGAAATGGTCACTATTGTCAAGCAAATCAACATGTCTGTCATTTCACACAGTTACCCTGTGTTATTTTGTGGCAAGAGCAGCTAAAATCTACTCTTTTGGCAAAAATAACAAATACAACACAATATTATTAACTAGAGTTTTCATGTGGTAGATTAAATCTCTAGACTTGTTCACCCTACATATCTGCAACTTTGTATGCTTTGACCTACATTTTCCCATTTCTTCTCCAGCCCTTCCACTCCTGGTAATAACCATTTTATTCTTGATTTCTACGTTTTCATTTTTTAAGTTTTATTGGTATATAATAATTGTGCATACTTATGGATCAAATGTGAAATTTTGATACAAACATATCATGTGTAATGATAAAATCAGGGTAGTTACCTCCCACTTATCATTTCTTTGTGTTGGGAGCATTTCAAATCTCTTTCAGCTATTTTGAAATGTACAATAAATTGTTGCTAATTATAGTCACTCTACTGCACTATTGAACACAAAAACCTACTTCTTCTATCTAACTGTGTGTTTGTGCTCATTAACCTATCCCTCTTCATTCCCCTCCTCCCATCCTTCCATGGTAACTATCATCCTACTCTTTACTTCCATGAGATCAACTTTTTTAGCTCCCACATATAAATAAGAACATGCAATATTTTTCTTTCTGTGCCAGGCTTATTTTACTTCACATAATGTCTCTCAGTTTCATTTATGTTGCTGCAGATGACAGGATTTCATTCTATTTTATGGCTGAATAGTATTTCATTGTGTATATATACCACATTTGCTTCATCTATTCATTCATTGATGGACAGTTAGGTTGAATCCAAATCTTGGCTATTGTGAATGGTGCTGCAATAAACATGAGAGTGCAGCTGTCTTTCTGACAGTGATTTCATTTCCTTTGGTTTATCCAAAAGAGGAATTGCTGGCTCATGTGATGGTTCTATTTTTAATTTCTTTAGGAACCTCCATACAGTTTTCCACAGTGGTTGTACCAATCTACATTCCCACCAACAGTGTTCAAGGGCTCCTTTTTCTCCATACCCTTGCCAATGCTTGCTATTTTTTTAATAACAGCCATCCTCACAGGTGTGAGGTGATAACTTATTGTGGTTTTAATTTGCATTTACTTAATGATTAGTGACATTGAGCATTTTTTTCAGATACTTGCTAGCAAATTTTACATCTTCTTTGAAGAAATCAGGCACTCTGCTTTAAGCCCAGTAATATTCCAGCAGGCAGTCTTAGGTTGAATTCCCTCAAAGAATTCTCCTCTAATCCTTACTTAGCTACCCGTGCCTGCAAAATACCTTCTATTTCTTTCACCTGGTAAAGCTATGTCTAGTATGCTAAAACACTAATAGTTTTATTATTCTCTCCCTTTATCTACTCCCATGTTTTTTTCTGATATGCTTCCATTTTATAGATTCCAAGCAAGCATATTAGATGTGATTCTTTTAGCAGAAGATGAAAAAAACCCAATTTGAACTAGGTTAGAGACAAAAAGGCCTAATTGACTTTTGTAAGCAAACTATAGGAAGTACAAGGATGTATAAAATCATGCTATCAGAACTCTCTTTGGTTTTCATTTCTTCCTTTATCAATAGCACTGGGACTCTGTAATGAATTCTGTGACATGCCACCTTTAGGAAAAAAATACTTCCAGATGCCCGACTGTCAGCCATCTTTAGGAATTTCTTTGACTAAAGACAGTCACCTAGCCCAAGTCTATGCCCACCTTCCAGTACAACCCACATCCAATCACTGGCCAGTGCAATGGTATAAAGATTAATTCTCTTAGCCTTCCTCATTCTGAGCCCCCGTGTAGTCAGCCAAGGCCATCGCTGAGAAGACATTTCAGCCCAACGTTGCCTGCTTCTCAGTCTTGCTTTCATCCCTTTCTTCCACAATTATTAATTGCAAAAGGATTCCAAAAAAACAAAACAAAACAAACAAAACAAACAAACAAACAAACAAACAAACTTGCAGCTAGTCTTTGTCTCAAAATCTACTTCCCAGGGTCCTCAACCTTCAATAGCTTCCATCTTCCCATCTTTGACAGCTGTGAAGAAAGGTGCATCTATTTGGCAGCTCTATTTCAACAAATCTTGAAAAAAGACTCTCCTTCGACTCGAGCACGGTCCAAGTTTGCACCCTGAGGGCCCTCTGTATCAGGGAGGCCATATTGGAAAGCACAACTGTGGGCCAATCACTGTGGCCTGGGGTCTGAGAAATTATGATTGGCTAACCCAGAGGTAGGTGTCCGCCTTTATCCCAATATCTTTAGGCAGGAAGAGCAAACTGTACCTCCCATTTGCATTAGAGTTGGGGTTGGGAGAAATGGTTCCCTATAATAAGTGAGAAGAATGGCACAGAAATGGCCAAAATGGCCCTGGGAGGACCCATGGGATCCTAACACTGTTCTGCCTTCCTTTCTATACCCCAGTTTCTGTTTAATAGGTGCCTCTTCTATAACCACATTTCAATCTTGAGTCCTATTCTACCCAGAGTGTAGGTGACCATAGCTCTCTATTCTCAAGCTCATGCTGCTTGTTACCCTTAGGCATACATTCCCTCCTATGCAGGTGCATATTTATTAGTTATTCCTCAAAAGGTATGGGAATTTCATTTTCATGATATGGCACTAGTAAAATAATATATTTTTCCTTTCTTTTTGAAGATGTCTGAGGTCTCACTGTAGACTTAGTACACAGACCAACCTTGGGACAGGCCCATGAATGTTTATTTGTAAATATGTGCCCCTTGGTGGTGACGGGCAACCTGAATTAAGAATGACTAGCTTACTGCTTACTGGTCCCATGTGTCTAATTATTATTGTAAATTTTCACCTGCCCCTCAGAGTTTAGCTAGACTATGTACCAAAACCTTTCCCAATAAATATGTCCAGGACCTAGGCACACAATCTCTTGACTATCACTAGAGAAAAGACCAGAAAAATAGGCTTAAGAGACTCTTCGATATTGAAAGTGCACTGTTCACACAAGAATGTAAACTGGAACTGAGGAGAGTTTTAGAACTAAGCCGGCCATCACATTCTCTGAACATTCAGTCCTCAATGTACTGACTGCTCTTTCCTAAATTCAAAGAGATCTCCAAAGCTTACAGAGTTTAAGATTGACCCTAAACCCAAATTCAAGAGGAATAAAATTGCATCTAATCTTCTTGCATCGTTTCACTCAATGGATACATTCCTTCCACCAACTGATCCTTACTCTCTCTGCCCATTTGTCAAAGTCCGCACTTCTGAATCCCATGCAGTGTACATTATTAATAGCTGCTAAATTATTTAAAGAGTAAATTTACTTTAACAGATCTTGAAAGCATAATAAGGGGGATGTATCTCTTATCTTATTTGAAAGGAAATTTGGTCATTTCCTCCTAAAATTATGTAAAATGAGACCAGCCCTGAGGAAAGCAAGAGAAAGGAAAAGAAAATGCCACCACAAATTATAGAACTTCCCAACTGCCTCTGATAAGTCAACTTTTTCAACAATAAAAATAAAAATATTAAACACCTTACATTTACAGAGTCCTTATTATGTGTCAAGGATGGTATAAAGCACTTCCCATGTATTATTGCATTGTTCCCTTAAAACAGCTCTCTGTGGTGGGTAGATCTTTTACTTAGCCTCATTTTGCATATGAGAAATTAACTAAGTGCCTAAGCCCCTCCCTCCCAACCTCAGTTAGTTAATAGCAGGAACAGGAATTAAACTTGACTCCAAACAGGAGCTCCTAATCATCACAAGTTGGGCTTTCTTTTGCCTTCCCAGGGCACATGGTTTGTTTGCCAGCTTTTCTAAGGGATTGCATATTCAAAGGGCCTTTTTTCTGTGTTTGGAAGGCTTTCAGCTCCATTAATTTAATAACTTGTTCATTAGAGGGCTGAGAGTTACAGTCCAGGCTGTGTGATGCAGGTAAGGAGGGCAAGTTTCCTTGAACAGGTTCACAATGTGGTTCATGTTTATGTTATGCTCATTGGACCATGACAGTTAAACTGAAATAGAGAGTAAGTCCTTGTCAGATTCTGTTTCCTTCTCTTTTATGTTTACTGATTTTATCCTTGAACTACTACAAATACTTAGACCAGTCATTTTAACCTTTTTGGGGTTACTGATCCCTTGGAGACTAGTGAAACCTTTGAAATCTTTTTCTAGAAAAATCTTTATATCCACATGATCAAAAAGCTATTAATATATGAATGTTGGAAGATTTACAGAAGAAGCCGGTCTGTGAAGTTTAAGAATCTGAGGAACCCATATTAAATACTTCTACTTTGGTCAAATAAATTCAGATTCCTCCCTTGTATTCAGCAAACACCAGAAATGAAAGACCCAGAAACCAAAGAAACATCTTCTCCTGGCTCCATCTCCTTGACTTCTCAGGATGAATCCTGGGAAGCCCCAGCCACATCACCAAAGCCACCACACTCAGGCATGCAATTGGAGCTCTGTGCAAATGTGGCTCATCAGGGAGGTGAGTGGGAACTGGAGTCCAGCTCATGTCCTGCCTGCCAGCCCACTGCTAAGTTGGGCTACATTCACCAAGAGTGAGTGTGTTTTCTAATTTGCAGAAAGGAGTCTGTGTATGGATCAGTCAGTGTCCTCCATGACATCTACCCCTGGACTATGTGACAGCCAGAAATGACCTATGGATAAAAGTCCCCCATTCCCCAAATCAAAAAGCCCCAGCACAGCTTACTCCCAGATGGCTCCCTGCAGGTTTAAGGCATGGCACTGGAATCTCAGCTTAGTCCAGATAGCCAGTTTCCTTGTGTCCAGTCTCCATTCTGCATGTGAGCAGCATCGAGATGGTCATACAGTTTTTTGTTGTTGTTGTTGGGAATCCAATTTCATAGACACGACTTGCCAATTGTTATTCATCACAATGCGTGTGAGATTTAAACAATAAATATTTCCTCTTTGCTTGCCCACCTGCTTATCCACCACAGCTTATCTATGCAATGTTTTTGAAATGTGAACCATATTCCTTTCTAATAAGAGCCAGACTAGTTTTCATTTTCCAGTAGTGGAAACTTCACAGTGAGGATTTTCTGCCTGGTTGGTCTAGTCTGATTATTATTATTATTATTATTATTTTTTTTGAGAGAGAGTCTACCTCTGTCACCCTGGCTGGAGTGCAGTGGCATGGTCTCAGCTCAGTGCAACCTCTGCCTCCCGGGTTCAAGTAATTTTTGTGCCTTAGCCTCCCCAGTACCTGGGATTACAGGCGTGTGCCACCATGCCCAGCTAATTTTTGTATTTTTAGTAGAGATGGTCTTCTCCATGTTTCCCAGGCTGACCTCAAACTCCTGGACTCAAGAGATCCACCTACCTTAGGCTCCCAAAATTCTGAGAATATAGGCATGAACCACTGTGCCCTGCCTTATAACCCTTCTTAATTGACCTTGTCAGCTATGTGGGAACAAAGGATATGCACCTGAGTCTTTTATTCATGCCCCAAATATTTCTGAAATACCTACTATGTGCCAAGCACTGGAAAACCCAATAGAAGATAGAGGTAAGAATAGGTGATGATAATCCATCTTGGAAATGCTACCATCTGGGGTCTATGCCATTAGATTAAAGCTTGCTAGTTAGATCTTCCTCAAGAAGACATAAGGCCTTGACCACATATCTGTGAGGGCCATAACTTCTCTGGTTTGATTTTTGTACTAATAGCTTCATATCAATATGAAGAATATTCTTGGGTGGCCAAGAGAAATCTGCCTAAAGGCACAAGATTAATCCACATGGCCTTTAAGGTCTCTTTTAAACATAATGTTGTAAGGCATTGACAGACAAATCAATCCTCTGAAGTTTCATCATATGCTTGGGTGAGGAGGAAGCTGAAGGAGTCTGAAGGAGTCTTATTTTTATTGAGCCCACTTGTTTGAGCTACAGAAGAACTAGGGTGTGGGATTTGTTCCAAGCCTCCCAATTCAGGACCTCCTATCCTTGACTGAAGAAGACACTGTACACCAAGCTTCAGGGGAAATGGGACAGCCAGAGTACAGTACAGCCAAACCACCTTATTCTAAACCCACATGTTATTTCATCTTTGCTCTCTCTGTATCTCTGCAAGCTTCCCTTTGCCTCCTGGTTTTGTTCGCTTACTTAACCCTTCAGATTCTGACCTCTCATGTTCTTGTGGCCTTGCACAAAAAGTGTTTTCTTTTCTTGACACAAGGTGTTCAGGACTCATTTGGGTGCTGTGCCTCTCTGATGTGCCTCACCATGTCCCTCAGGACCAGCACCAGTAAACAGTATTTCCCATTCCCAAATGCATCTTATCTTTTCTGGATCTTACGCCCAAAGGTTGGATATTATATTCTGGTACAAGTGATGACCAGAATGACAAAAATACATTGCATTTCTCAGAGGGCCTCTACCTGAACAATGAGTGACCTGTCCCTTCACTGAGCATGGCTGCAAATTATACTCTCTTGACTGTCTCCTCTGAAAGCATGATGGTGCTGAGTGCCTGTTACCACCTAATCAATCATTCTGTATAGCAATATCTTCATAGTAAGAAAGTCTTTGAGAGCAGTGAGGGATCTGAATGATTGGCCATCCCAGTGGCTTTTGAGTGAACTTTGAGCCTAGATCAGAGGCCCCCACTAGAGACAGAGTTAAGAGGGCTCCATGGAAACACTGTCAATTTTCATGTTGGAGGGAAGAAGAATTTTATCACAGTGTAGCAGCCCTCCTGGCAGCTCTTAGGAGGGTGTTGATGTGTCCCTGAGGTGAGTTTCAATGCCAATATTATGTCAGTTGGGGTGTTGGTGAATTGTTCCAGAGCAGGTCAAGCTATGCACACTTAGCATTATTTTTTACTATTAGGAGCAACCCAACAAAAAGAAAATTTTCTCTCATCCAGGGACATAACACAAGGGGAAAAGAAGACGGAAAGAGGTAGAGAAGCAAACCAACAGCTCCAGTACCATGGCGAATGACAAGAACACAAAGCTCCAAAAACACTCTCTTGGGTTATATACTTTAAATAATAACTGTGTCTGGGAGAGAGAACTATCAAGGGCCACATGTATTTACATAAATGCTCCCATCCAGAAGAAAAGATGACTAGTTGGAATGGGTTTTCAAAGATTAAAGCAACAAAGGCAGTTGGACCATTTCCATTATTATATTTTGTATGGAATTCATGTAACTCATTTGTGTTGTTGTTGGGTTTTGATAAAGAGGCAAATATACCCTGAGGTACATTTTGTGAGTGAAGAAAATAAAAAAGAGGATTTTGAATAGATTTAAGAATGATTAACACTTTTCAACTGAAAAGCCACTGTGCTTGCCTATAGGGATTAGTGAATCTGGGTTTCCTGAAGTCAAATGCTGTTTCTCCAATGCATAAAGATAACTATCTTTTATTTCATGTGAAGAATGTGAAGGTAGGATTTGCGAGATGTTAATCTTTATAATAAGCCAATGGTTGATTGAAAAGTTAGAAGAAAATGGGACAGCAGGTATGGAAAAGCAGTTTATGACTGATGAGAAGGAAGAAGAGGAAGAGAAGAAGAAGAAGAAGGAGAAGGAGGAGGAGGAGGAGGGAGAGGAGGAAGAGGTATGGGGTGGGAAGAAAGAACCACCACCACAGTAATGCCCTGGGTTTGTAGGCTGCTTTAACATTTATAAAATGCTCTCATCACTAGAATATACACTTCTTAAAGATAGAAATTTGTCTTAACTATCTTTGATTCCTCAGTTCTTAACATAATGCCTGACTAATGGTAATAACTCAATAAGTATTAGTTTCATGACTACACTAAAGAAGAGTTGAGTGACTAAATTTACTATTTTATTTAATTTTTACTATAATTCTATGAGCTTGGATTTATTATCTTGGTTTAATATATGAAGATTTCAAGACATATACAGAGTAAATAACTTATGCAAGATCACATAAGCCAAAAGTACAGCCAGAATTTCAGTCCAAGTTTTCTGTCCTTAGCCAGGGCCTTTTTACAGTAACAAAGCTCAGATTCTTGGATGACTTAGGATTGGAACTGATTTTGAAATGAAACTTATGTTGGGTGTAGAAAATAAAACAAGAAAAGAGATACTTTGCTTTACTTTTTAAGGTCAATTGCTATATCAGTCAGCAATTGCCACAATAAAGCTGAGTCCCTCAGACTCAGTGGCAGACAACAATAAGTGATTCTTTTTAGGATAATGGGTCTGTAGGTTGACTCAGAGCAGATGGATTAATACAGACTGGGCTCAGCTGGGTGGCTCTGCTTCTAGCTGCTGATTGAGTTGCCCTTGCTTCCTTCTTACATGTGGGGCTCAGAATTCTTCCAAGTGTATTTATTCTGGGACCCATAGAGAAGGGCATTCAGCTACCTGGGGAAGTTATTCTTATGGTGATGATTGAAGAACCAGAGATCAAACCATCCTTGCATGCACATTTCAAGCCTCTGCCTGCATGTCCTGTGCTAATATCCCATTGGTCAATGTGGTAGTCAGAATGACCTCCAAAGATGTCCATACCTTAATTCCTGAAACCTGTGAGTATGTCACATTTTATGGCACATGGGACTTTACAGATGTAGTTAATATTATGTATTTAATATTATAAACCTTAAAATAGGGGGATTATCTAGGATTGAGTGGACTCAATTTAATCATGTGTCCTTAAAAGCAGAGAACTTTTTCCAGCTTGAGTGAGAAAGATGCAGCCATAGAGAAGTCAAAGAGACTTGAAGTGTGAAAGGAACACAACCCACCATTGTTGGAAGAGGCCACACGGAAAGCATGGGAAGAAATGCAGATAGCCTATAGGAGCAAAGACTGGCTTCCTGGTAACAGCTAGCAAGAAAGGGGAGATCAGTCTTAGCATTACAAAGAACGGAACTCAACCAGCAATTTGAGTGAGGTTGGAAGTGGATTCATTCCTTGAACTTACATAAAAGATCCAGCCCTGCTGATTTAGGCCTTATGAGACCCTAAGCAGAGGATGCAGTAGAGATCACTGAACTTCTGACCTACAGAAACTATGAGATAATAAATGTTTTAAGCTAATACCTTTGTGATAATTGTTTTAAGCTGATACCTTTGTGATAATTTGTTATGACAGCAATAAAAAAAATTACAGACAATGAAAGCCACATAACCAATTCCAAAGCCCAGGGTCAAGGAAGGCCATTCTGCCTACTGTTTGGCCATGGCCAATGTTGAATGTCATACAGCAGGGCAGTGAAAAATTTGGACCAATATTTCAAACTTCTCCAATTAAACTGAAGTGAAAGGAGAACACTCACGTTCAGAGGAAGTTTAGTTAAAATGATTGGGATGTGGGGAGGCTATTAGAAAAACCTTTCTCAAAATACAAAAGCCTAGAAACAAGAGATATTTAAATAAGCTGTCAAACCAGAGAAGTTTCCAAGTGCTTTTTGGTTTTCATCTGAAACTGGGGTGGGGATGGGTAGGGTTGGAAAGTCAGGTTTGTATATTTCCCAAAAAACAAGAGAGTGTTTATGGTGCTGATGGGGAGTAGCTGTTAACATTGTAAGATCGATATGTTGGGTGAAATCCTAACCAATTAAGGCTCCAACAGTTATTGACCTTTGTAGAGTTTGTCCTTTGAGATTTTCTCAGCAATTTATTAATTCATGCTTGTTGTATTCCAGGGGCAGATTCTAAGTATGCATGACAGAAAATCTAGAACCTACAGGCATACCTCAGGGATATTGTGAGTTTGGATCAAGAATACCACAATAAAGTAAATATAGCAATAAAGTGAGTTACACAAATTCTTTGGTTTCCCAGTGCCTATAAAAGTTACATTTGGCAGGGTGCGGTGGCTCACACCTGTAATCCCAGCATTTTGGGAGGCCGAGGCAGGCAGATCACGAGGTAAGGAGATCGAGACCATCCTGACTAACACAGTGAAACCCCATCTCTACTAAAAATACAAAAATTAGCCAGGTGTGGTGGTGGGTGCCTGTAGTCCCAGCTACTCTGGAGGCTGAGGCAGGAGAATGACATGGACCTGGGGGGCAGAGCTTGCAGTGAGCTGAGATCAGGCCATGCAGTCCAACCTGGGCAACAGAGTGAGACTCCGTCTCTAAAAAAAAAAAAAAAAAAAAATACATTTACACTATACTGTAGTCTATTAAGTGTGCAATACCATTATGCCTAAAATGAATGTATATTAATTAAAAAATTTTTTTACTGAAAAATGCCAGTAATCACCTTAGTCTTCAGCAAATGATCATCTTTTTGCTAGTAAAGGGTCTTGCCTTGATGTTGATGGCTGCTGACTGATTAGTATGGTGGTTGCTGAAAGTTGAGGTGGCTGTGGCAATTTCTTAAAATAAGACAATAGTGAAGTTAGCCACATTGATTGACTTCTTTCACAAAAGATTTCTCTGTAACAGGTGATGATGTTTGATACATTTTACCCACAGTAGAACTTCCTTCAAAATTGAAGTCAGTCTTCTTCAACCCTGCCACTGCTTTATTAAATATGGTTATTGAATATTCTAAGTCCTTTGTTTTCATTTCAACAGTGTTCACAGCATCTTCATTGGGAGTAGTTTCCATCTCAAGAAACCACTTTCTTTGCCTACCTAGGAGTAACTACTTACCTACTCAAATTTTACCATGAGATTGCAGCAATTCAGTCCCAGCTTCACAGTCCACTTTTAACTCTAGTTCTCTTGCTTTTTTCCACCACAGCTGCAGTAACTTCCTCCACACTGAAGTCTTGAATCCCTCAAAGCCATCATGAGAGCTGGAATCAACTTATTCCAAACTCTTATTCATGTTGTTATTTTAACCTAATCTCATGATTCATGCCTGTTCTTAATATGGCATCTAAAATAGTAAATCTTTTCCAGAAGGTTTTCAATTTACTTTACCCAGATCCATCAGAGAAATCATTATTTATGGCAGCTGTAGCTTTACAAAAAGTATTCTTAAATAATAAGACTAGATATTTGAAATTACTCCTTGATCCATGGGTTTTAGGATGGATGTTGTGTTAACAGGCATGAAAACCGCATTAATCTCCTTGTATATCTCCATCGGAGCTCTTGAGTGACCAGGTGCATTGTTAATAAGGAATAGAATTTGGAAAAGAATCTTCTTTTCTAAACAGTAGGTCTTACCAGTGGACTTAAAATATTCAAAAAACCATATCGTAAACAGATAAGCTGTCATCCAGGTTTCGTTGTTCCATTTATAGAGGAAAGGCAGAATACATTTAATATAACTGTTAAGAGCCTTAGAAATTTGGGAATTATAAATGTGCATTAGCTTCAACTTAAAGTCCTCAGCTGCATTAGACCCTAACAAGAGACTTAACCTGTCTTCTGAAGCTTTGAAGCCAGGCATTGACTGATCTACATTGAAAATCTGTTGTTTAGTGTAGCCACCTTTACCAATGATCTTAGCTAATCTTCTCAATAACTTGCTACAACTTCTACATCAGCACTTACAGCTTCACCTTGTACTTTCATGTTCTGGAAATCACTTCTTTCCTTAAACCTGATGATCCATCCTCTGCTAGCTTCAAACTTTTCTACTGCAACTTCCTCACCTCTCCTCAGCCTTCATAGAATTGAAGACAGTTAGGGCCATGCTCTGGATTGGGCTCTGACTTAAGGGAATGTTGTTGCCAGTTTGATCTTCTTTCTAGACCACTAAAACTTCCCTTGTATTAGCAGGGAGGCTGTTTTCCTTTATATCATTTGTGTGCTCACTGGAATGGGTCTTTTAATTTCCTTCAGGAACATTTTCTTTGCATTCACAACTTGTCTAACTGTTTGACTTAAGAGGCCTAGCTTTCAGCCTATCTTGGCTTTCAATATGCCTTTCTCACTAAGCTTTTGATTTAAAGTGAGAGACATGCCACTCATTCTTTCACCTAAACATTTAGAGGCTACTGTAGGCTTACTAACTGGCATAATTTCAATATTTTGTGTCTCAGGGGATAGGGACGACTGAGAAGAGGGAGAGAGATGGGGAAACAGCTGGTCAGTGGAGTAGTCAGAACACACATTTATGGGTTAAATTTTCTGTTTTATATGGGTATGACTCATAATGCCCCAAAGCAATTACCATAGGAACACTAAAGATCACTGGTCACAGATCATCATAACAAATATAGTAATAATGAAAAAGTTTGTAATTTTGTGAGAATCACTAAAATGTGACACAGAGACATGAAGTGAGTCCATGCTGTTGGAAAAATGGCATCAGTAGACTTGCTTGACACAGGGTTGCCCTAATCCTTCAATTATTAAAAAAAATAAATAAAGCAAAGTGCAATCAAATGAGGTATGCCTGTATTCTGCCTTGCACCTATAATTCTGGCTGACTGATGCAGGCAGTGAGTCACCTAGCAACGGATGCCAAGGAACCAAATCCACCTATTTCCAAGGAGATGGAGTTAAGCTTCTTTAGGGAAGCCACGGTTAGAGATGACAGCTCACTCTGAATATGTGGCACATATTCTATGTACAGCTCTGCCCTAGACCACTCACTTTTATCAGATTTGGAAGACCTGGTGGAATCTGAGGCCATAGCAACCCAACCAAAATGGGTTCAATTTGTGTGTTGGAGAAATGTGTATCCATTTCACCTCCATGAAAAATGAGCTCTTGTGTCTGAGAAGCCATTTTTTGCCATGGGAATCTGAAGAACAGTGGTTAAGGGGGCTCAGTTGGCGGTGTGAATCTTCAGCTTTCTTCATTCCTAATTGTTTGACTTTGGGAAAAGTTCTTAATCTCACTAAACCTGATGCTACTAATCTGTAAACAAGGGCTATAATAGTACCCACCTCGTAGGCAGAGAGCCATTTTGAGGTTCAAATAACAGCTATTGTTATGATTCAGGGTCAAGCAGAATGTAATCAGCTGGATTGCAGGAGAATAGGTTTAGAGTTGACATAAAAAGGAATGTCTCTGCAGGAAGAGTTACAAATATTACCGTGAAAATTTATAGAAACTCCTTCCATGAAGACTTTGGCAATAATGCTGACTATAAAATTACGTGATGGTTGTTTCTGGCCACTCAAGATTTTACACAGTCAAGTAAGTGGCTGTCATCCCCTCAAAGTTACCACCTTGGAGATTTATACCCTGATTCCAATGATATTGCTTTTTAGCAAACTTTCTTTGGTATCTCATCACTAAAATGGCCTTCAGAGCATGTAATGTTTTCCCTTCAACATCCCTTTATAGAGTAAAACCGTCATCCTAGAGCTGATCTGACTTTTAGAAACAAACAAAAGTCATTCAAAACCAGTAAAGAGAAGGGACTATACAATGAGAAAGAATCATATGTAGCACTGAGATTTGCATTCACGCGTTCTTTACATGAAGAGATTAGAAACGAAAAGGACTTCTTTACATCTTATATATGATGCTTTAGCTGCAAATGCCCTGGAACCTGTTTTTTTCTTGGATAGTTGACACACAATTGTTTATCATGTTTTCTATCCTTTGTGGCGGGCCTGAAATATAATAAAAAGTCTTTTTAAAAGACTAATTTTTGAAACAAAAAAACCAATTGGGAATCTGGCTTCCCCAAAAGCCACTCCTTCTTAACTGCTTCCAGAATCTCATAATTTGCTTCCCTAACTCTCTCATGATTTGGTCACATCCAGAGCCTATTTAATGGGAAATATTTCTAATCTCCCTTAACAGATGGATTCTATCTGTTTAAGACTCACACCTGATTAGCGGAGAGCCTTATCTAGTGAGGATTGCCAATGATTAAACTTCCACTGCTTTTGCTACCAGAATCTCACATTTCCAACCAACTGCCACAGGACACACTCACATTCCTGGTGGATATTTAGATGAATACTAATGACTGATCCGTGTGCCAAATCACAGGTTGCTAACTGTCCTCTGCAACATTGGTGTTACTGCCATTCTCATGAACCAAGTTAGTTCATCCCAGAGGGACCAAACCCAAGAGTGAATTAGGCAGATGAGTTGGAAGGGAATGCAGAATCCACTAAGAGCAAAAAAATTGTGTGGAGAGTCCCCAAAGTTTCCTAAGCCAAGAATTTTATCCTTTTTTTTGGATCTGCTTCTCCAGCCTCCCTCCACCCCAGCACATTCACATTTTCTCTGAAATCCTCCACGGAGCAGTATCACCTCAGGACTTGTGTTCTGGGTAAAGAACTCCCCAATGCAAGCAAAGCCTGCCTTGATCATAATACCCAGGTCTTCTAAAATGTCTCTGCTAAGGTCACTTAAGGTCACTTGTCTGGACAAGTGTCTACACTATGACTGATGACCTGGAGGCTCTGTATGACTGTGCTGGCTGTAAAACTGTGGGGCAATTGGTCTGGCTGAGTACTGGGCCCTCTGTCCCTGTTGGGCAGAGTCCTGGCTACTTTCAACCTCGATCTGAAGCTCTCCTCAGGGACGGGTTCCCACTTGCAGCTCTCTCTCTGGTGAGAAAGAACAATGCGAGGAGAGGCTCTGGCCCCTAATATTTCTGAGTTTGGCTACAATTTGTTGATGGGTCACACAGGTGGTACCCTCCCTCACTCTTACCCCTGCATGGAAGTCCCTGCTAATTGATCCAAACTATCTTTCCTGGTGAAGATGGAGTCATTCTCTAAATTATATTTGCATAACAGTTTTCGAAACCACAATCAATCAATAGGTGTTAGCATGCAAAATGAAACATATTTGCTCTCAAGATTCTTGGCCAGATCCAAGGAGCTCAGAAAGCATAAGCTCTATGAGCTGCTTCCTCCCATATTTTTTTAAATGACAAGAAACATATTCATAATATGCATAAACATCTAAATGTTACTGCTGTAGAATCAGAACGTCTGAAAAGTTAGAACAACTTTGGAGACTTCATTTTGCAGAAGAGGAAATGGAGTCCTATGGTAAAGTTTCTCTCTCTCTCTCTCTCTCTCTCTCTCTCTGTAGCTATTGGGCATCTGAAGCCCTCTTACAAATGGGAAATTCCTCAGCTCATGAGTCTCAGTAGGAAGCAAAGCTTGATTTTCACTCTAGATGCTGAAAACCTCAAACTTTCACCTTCTCAGCCTCCCTTGCAGCTAAGTATGGGCACATGACCAAGGCTGCACTAATCTGAAGTACCTATTCCAAATTCTGAATTGGGAGCTTGAGATGTAAAAAGGTAGGGAGATTCCCTTCTGATGGTGGGCAGTGGCAGTCGTGATTTCAGGAGCTCCAGGCTTGATGCTGCAATGCAGTATTCTTGCTCAGTTCTGGCAACAGCAATGGTGTCCTCCCTGACTGGTTTTGTTGTGTGGTTTGCTTACAGTCCTAGTTGCTTCCAGGACCTCATGTTCCTGAGCATTTTCCAAGCTTGTCCTATGCCCTTCGTGGTTGTCCCGAGAGCTACTTCATGTCTTCTTAATAAAATACTTACCTGCTTAAGTCAGCCAAAGTTTTAGTTTTTTTGTTCTTATGCTTTTGTTTTTGTTTTTTAGTTTCTTGCATCCCAGACCCCTGACTCTTATGTGGCCCATGGGGTACAAATAATCAATAGGCTCTTGTAGCAGAGCTGGGGTTGGGGCCACTTAAACCCTAGCCCTTTGTGATTTACTCAGGGCACCAACCTTGCTCTTACTATGTTAATGTCATTTCTCATCTGATTCTCTACTTTCTGCTGGGAAATGCTATAATATCTCTGCCTTTTCTCTCCATTCAAAGTGAAGGAATAAACAAAGTAAGATAGAATATAGGATCAGTTTACATTTCTCACTAATATAGGCAGTCACTGTACAGTAAGTAAAAATTTAGGTGCCTATATTAGTGAGAAATAGATTGGACAAAGAGGGACCTTAAACTCAAAATACCCATGATCTAAGAAATTTAGAAGAGTGTCTCTCTTTCCCATAAACTAGAGTGGTGTAGAGTGGGGGGCTCCAGGCTGTTGGAGATCCAGGCTCTTTTCCTCTTATTTCTCTTTCACCATCAGCACTAGGGGTCTGTCTCATGGTGTGTTGTGATCAACATATGGTTTTAGACACATGGCCTGCAGAGCTGAATGTGTTTACCATCCAGCCTTTAAAAAAAAAAAAGAAGAAGAAGAAGTGTGCAGACACCTGCTAAAATTCTTCCCCACTCCAGTGTCAAAAATTTGAGTGGATGTTATTCTGGGTTCTTACAGAGGGTCTGGTGGGGGCTGGGCTCCAGCAGCACCTACTGTGCCACTCTGACCCTGCCGGCAACAACAGTGGGTGACGCCCTTTGGAGAGGCAAGGTCAGCTCTCAGTTAAAGTTATCAAGCTAAGGTGAAAACAAAGTCCTCCCTCAGAGTGATGTCCACATGGGCAACATAGATATGCCTCTTCTGTGGCAAATGCTGGTCACAGATGCCACAATGCCAGGAGACGGAAGCTTTCAGCTTAAACTTTTCCAGCCAAATTTAATATCTGATCAGATAAAATGATTGCATCATATTTCTTAAGTAGAGGACGAATTCTGACTAGCCTGGCCTTTATTCCTCTTGAGAATCATCAAAATTTATTCTGTAATCAATGTCACAAAAGTCCCCAGAGAAATAAAGGATATCACCTATTAAAAGGAGGAACATTATTTAACATCTCTCAAAGCCAAGATTTCACCTACTAATCATCTTCAACTCTTTCTTCATTTGGTCAGTGATCACCAATTCAAACAAGCAGAGATACCCATGGTAGTAACCAGTATTTTGTAATAGGCTACATTCTCTCACTCCAATGCACATACATGGTAATTATAAAAAGCCTTCTTTTGAATAGTTTATTACTGATGCTATCCTGTATCCAGAACAGGCACTCTAACTTTTAACTTTTAGTTGTCTTTCCTCCTTCAGATTCTGAAAGCAATTCCTTTAAGCTATGAAATCTACACTGACATCTATCATCTTAAAAAGCAGGACTCCCACCTCTTTGAACACATAAAGAATGTTTTTTTTTTTTTTTTTGACATTGGCTGGTCAAGGTTGACATGTAAGTGTTAAAATCATGGCACATTTCAGTAATTGCAACTTCCCCAGTCTGTGGAAGGTCTGATAAATGGTCATCGTGTGAACAACAGCAATAACAATTACTATTTGCAAAAACACTTGGACAATTTCAAAGTGTTTTTATATGAACTTTAAAAAAAAACTAAATCTTCCAGCCCATTTTTGAGTTGCTTCATCCAGCCAAAATGTCAACCTGGAGCAAATAATGATTATTACAATGATTATTACAATATTTTTCTTTAACAGAAAAACCAATTCTATAGCAGTCTCAGTAGAAGTTCAGCAAATATTCCTAAAGAAAAAAGGGAAAATAGCTCCAGGTCTGCTTGATAGACATCAAACTACCCCAAATTATAGACTGAGCAGACAAGATTACACAATGGGGATGCTATGAAAATCGAAAGCATTGATTTTTTTTTTTTAAGGCAGAACACAGATTCCCAATACTGAGATAACACCTAATGCTCTAGCTGGGAAACACAAAGCAACCACGGCCACGGTCGGGAGTGGGTGTGGGTTGCAGCTGCATGTCTAAGCAGGTGCTTGCAAGACCATGGGGGGCAATTCAGTTCCCATAGGAAAAACAAGGCCAGCTTCTCTCAGATGCTGCTCTACATGACATTACAGAGCCTCTCTGCTGGGTTTTAGACCAGCAACGTGCCATCAGATGATGACAGCCCTTTACATCTTTGAGTTCATAAGCTGGGATTAGCTCAGGTCAATGAACCATTTCCTGGAGTGCACTGTGCACTGTGCAACCCAGGAACTCACTGAAGAGAGATGGGGTTGGAGGACAAGTAAATCGGCATGAGCTGAAGTTTCCTTCTTTGCATGGTCAACATGATGGACAGTTCTCTCCTGGCCCAGAACAGTCTCTCAGCCACAGAGCTGCTGCTAGATGGAGAGGGCGGCTCCCTCACACTCACATCAGGAGGTGGCGGGGAAGAGAAATGCTGTAGAAGGCTGGTCTCGCTCTTCCTTTCTTCAGTAAATTTTAATCTGTTATATTTAATTTAGAAATGCCAGAAACAAACCAGAAAGACAAATTGAGTCCACCAAAGTTTCTCTAATATAATATACATATCATTCGACATAACAGTTCTGAAAATACTGATTTATCAATTACTGTTATTTATTTATTTATTTTTTAAATCAGTTTTGTGGTTTGTTGTAACCTGTCTTGGTGGTTGCGAATAGTAAATATAAATACTACGTGACTCTTGCTCTACCTTTGGTCTTCACTTACCATCTCACTTCTTGCCTTTTCCCCTTCCCTTCATGCTGCTCCAGCCACAATGAACTGCTTTTTCTCTCTACAACACTGTGCTCCTTCCTGTCTTAGAGATTTTGCATATTCTGTTTTATCTAGCTGTAGCCTCCCCTCCATCTGATCTTCAGGTATCAGCTTGGAAGAAAATTTTCTGTGGGAGGCATTTTTCACCCCTAGATAAAATTATATTCTCTTGCTGTGCAATTTTATAGCACCTTGAATGTCCTTTGTCTTCATCATAATAATGGTGACTACTTACACAACACAGGGTGCTAGACACTGCTCTAAGAATATGCACACGCTCATACACAACAGATATATTCATATACCTACATATCTATATATGTATCTAACTATCTATCTAGGTTCAGTTGAGGATTGAATGAGTATATAGCAGCAATGGAATAGATAGACAGATAAATGGGTATGTTGGTACGTAGGTAGTTAGGGAGGTAGGTGGATGGATGGATGGATGGATGGATGGATGGATGGATGAATGGATGGATGAATGGATGGATGGATGAATGGATAGATAGGTGACAGATAGATAGATAGTCTTGCACTTTCTGCCATTTCCCTGTGTAATATGAAATGCCCCATAGTAAGTATCCAACTGACAATTATAAAATGCCATAATGCTTCTTCAGACCATCAGCCTCTTCTGTGTGTATATTCTCAGGAACAGTGCCAGCATAGGTAAAAATAGCACAAAACACAATTTTGTGTGCATCCCTGGTAAGATCAGCTATCTCAAGAATTTTGCTCAGTGAGGGCCATGCTTGGCTTTGCCCAAGAAGGGTGAAAATAAATCTATCTGTCAATAAAAGAGTGATACTGTGGGTTGAAGAAAGCATGCATTGGCTGTACTAGTTAGGGTCACACAAATCACTGTACCAAATCAACCACGAAAGGAGTAACAGCTCACACGCAGTGGCAGTTTATTTCTTGCCAAGTACTTCTAGGTCAATAAGGCCTGTTCTTCTCCACACAGGAATTTCAGGGCCCAGGAAGCTCTGCCATCTTCAATGTGTGGTTTCTATGGTCACTGGGGTTTCCTCCATCCAGTCATAAAGGGTTTTAGTAGACCATTGGGGTAGTTTTTACAGATCTGGCCTGAAAGTCTGCCCAGTCTGGACACATTTCCTTGGCTAACACTCAGTTACGTGGTATATTAACTTCCTGTTGCTGCTGTTACAAATTGCCACAACTACCATGGATTAAAACAATATACATCTATTCTTTTACAATTTTGGAGGGCAGAAATCTGAAATCAGTTTCACTGGGCTGAAATCAAGATGCTGGCAGAACCGCGCTCACCCTAGAGGGACGGAGGAAAACCTGTGCTCAGCCTTCACCAGCTGCTGAAGCTGCATTGCTTACCCCTCCTTGTGCCTGCCCCCACCTCCATCTTCAAAGCCATGCTTTCTTTGGTGGTCACCATGCTACCTTCTTCTCTAGCAAATCTTTGTTAACCTCTCTCTTATAAGACACTTGTGATTGAATTTAGAGTCTACCATGACAACGCAGGATAAACCTTCCATCTAAAGATTTTTAACTTTATTATATCTGCAAAGTTTCTGTTGCTGTATAACAGTTACAGATTTCATAAATTAGGGCCTGGATATCTTTGGGAGCTATTATTTAGTCTACTATAGCCTGCTTTTTGGTCCACAAAAATTCACATATATCCCACATACAAAAAACATTCACTCAGCCAAACACCTTGCAAAGTCTTAACCCATTACTGCATCAACTCAAAGCCCCAAATTCCCTAAATTTACCACACGTGGACATACTGAGCTGCAAGAGGATTGGGGAAATGTGCTGTCTGCTCTGGTGACCAGCTGGCAGTCTCTGTTGCACAATCAATGTCTGAAGAGTAGCTCCAAAGATCTTGTTTTTGACCTAGCTGTCAGGATTGAGGCTAAGCCATGCCTAAAGTGGTCCTTACTCACAATTACAATTTGGCAGTATGGTGGGGCCCAGGAGTGGGTTTCCCTGGAACTGTACTCCCAAAATATTTCCCCTCTTACAGCCCTTTTATCTCATCTAGTTAGAAGTCACCACCACTAGCATTGCTCCTTCATATTCTACAGAAAACAGTCATCAAATGAGTCCCAGAGAGAGAGGGCACTTTTCTAATCTTCTCATTTCGTGTGATAATGTGGATTATGTGTCCAGCCAGCCACCAGTGGATAGGACATGTCAAGTAGTGATGGGGTGGGGAACAAGGACGATTGCTGGAGGAAGACAAGTTTTCCCTGCATTACTATTTTACTCTGTGAATCCTCTTAGATGCCCCTGGTAGTCTTCAATGCAGAAAAAAAAGAAAGAAATGTAGAAAAGGAAGAGAGATAAAGGAAAAGAGCGTGTACACTAAGACCATGGCCTCAGATGACCTTCATTGGCATTCATGCCAAGGCTCGCTCATCCCTATTCCGATATTGATGAGAGTAGTACCAGAAGAAGCATTTTATTCAGTGAAGATAACAGCAATGATGTACCAGACATAACATGGTATTTGGAGCCAGACAGACCCCATTGAAATGTCATTTCCATCACTTACGAGCTATGTCATCTTGGACAAGATTGCTTAAGTTTTTTAATCTTCAGTTTCTTTGTCTATAAAACGAGGATGCAAATGTCTACATCACAGGGTTTCTGAAAGTTAAATGAAATAAAGTATGTCAAAATGCCTTTTATGTTGTGGACACTCAATTCACATTAACTTATTTTCACATTCCCCTTGCTACCATCCAAAGTTCTTAATTGGAGTCAATCAGCTGATGAGGAAGGATTTTCTCCCAAAAAGCAGAGGTTTGCAAATGACCTGCTTTGTGGACCGACGTCATGGCAGCTTCTCTTTCCTGGCAGCTCGTGAAACATGCTATGTATTCTTACATCAGAATAGAGTCCTTCCTGTTTCACCTTAAATAAGCCAAGTTCTTAGCAATCTTGTATTCGAATTTTTAACCTAAGAGAAATATGGATTTTATGAACATACAAAATTCCTCTTTCTAATTCACCAAGTTATTCCATCACTGTAATGTTGCCTTAAAAATGAACTTGTTCCTTAATGACATCAAAATTGTTTAAATAAAATCATGCATATACATGTCTATTTATCAAGCACCCTTTATGATATAGTTTTATAAATATGGAAACTGTACCAAAAGATGCACATCAGGTGGATACCGCAGTGGTTTGGCAGGCAGTGGGGGTGTTGCAGGTAGAGTGGAAAAGGAAGAAGGCAGACGAGAGGTGAGCAAAAAAGAAGAAAATAGCACATAAATGCAATCACATTTAGGTATTTACTTACATTTGTGTATGTAGACTCATAGAGATATTAGAAAAAGAAGATAAAGTTAGAACTAAAGCTACCCATTTGGAGAAGTAACCATGAAATATTGCTAAATAACAGATTATTATTAAGTGGAAAATTGCCAAGTTTGTATGTAGCATGACCCCACTTTAGTGGAAATCAATCAATCAATAAAATCTGGGCATATGTGAAGTATTTGCGGAAGCAGAATAGAAAGGAATGCCATTAATATTTGTGTGTGTGGGTTACTGAGGAATAATTTGCTTTGCTTTTCTATATCTTTCTATTTGATTATACAGGCTTGTGTGGTTTTTGTAATTTGGAAAAAATCATTTTTTTGAATTAAGAAACAAATAAAGTTAAAAAATAGCATGCTTTATATTCAGAACTGATACTATCCACCCAGTGACTGGCTGGATAGGACACTGTCTAAGGTTCACTACTGCAAAAACTGTACAAGTTTTTGTAGTTTAGTATTAAAAGGACCTACAAGTAGCTTAAAATGTTGATATAGGCCTTGCTTTCTCCACTACTTCCCCAGCCCCCACTACATTACTCTAACCACCAGAATTAGACAGTTTTTTTCTACCCCCAAACAGAACATTAACCAGTATTGTCAGTTTCCAGGACATTCATGAATTCTCTTTCTGTTTCTAGAAGTGGCCCTTTTCAGGAGCTACATTCAAATGTGTGGGCATCCCCACTCCCACCTAGACAGGTAAGATAGGGCTGGATCTCAATATCTGCTTCCGTGCCTCTTGGGCCTAATTCATGCACATTGGATAGTCCTTTTCCTACAAACATGGAATTGCAGATTTGGGGTTGGGCTTGGAAGGTAAAGTGGCTTGTTAGGAGTTCTCCATATGGCTTAACTATATTATCAGCACTTCTCATTGGGGTTTGGTGACAAAGCCCCAGCCAACTACAGGGTTATTTCACCTTCCATTTGTAAGCCACTGCACTGGGACTTTTTCCCCTTGATACTCCTTAGGGAAAGTAATGAGTCTGAGGCTAAATGTGGTCATCATTGGATACCCTGGTAAATGATAAACTTAATTATCTCATGATAGCATCCAACAGTCATGAAAGCTGATATAGTTTGGAGATTTGTCCCCACCCAAATCGTATGTGGAAATGTAATTTCCAGTGTTGGAGGTGGGTCCTGGTGGGAGGTGTTTGGATCATGGGGGTGGATCCCTCATGAATGGCTTGGACCATCTCTTTGGTGATAAGTGAGCTCTAGCTCTGAGTTCTCGTGACATATGGTCATTTAAAAGTACCTCCCACTCTCTCTCTCTCTCTTCCCCGCCACCCAGGCTGCCTTGCTCCTGCTCTGGCCATGGCCATGTGATGCGCCTGCTCCTGCTTTACCTTCTGCCATGAGTAAATTCTCCCTCAGACCTCCCCAGAAGCAGATGCTCGTATGCTCCCTGAACAACTAGTGGAACCATAAGCCAATTAAATAATCTCTTCTCTTATAAATTACCTACTTTCAGGTATTTCTTTTTTCTTTTCTTTTCTTTTCTTTTTTTTTCTTTTCTTTTTTTTTTTTTTTTTTGAGACTGGGTCTTGCTCTGTTGCCCACTTGGAGTGCAGAGGTGCAATCTCAGCTCACTGCAAACTCCACCTCCCAGGTTCAAGTGATTCTCCTGCCTCAGCCTCCTGAGTAGCTGGGATTACAGGTGAGCACCACCACACCCGGCTAAGTTTTGTATTTTTAGTAGAGACAGGGTTTCACCCTGTTGGACAGGCTGGTCTCAAACTCCTGACCTCGTGATCTGCCCGCCTTGGCCTCCCAAAGTGCTGGGATTACAGGTGTGAGCCATCGCACCCAGCCAGGTATATCTTTATAGCAATACAAGAATGGCCTAATACAAAAGTATTTGACATTCTACCAGGGGTGAGGTTGGCATGATGGTGGCCAGAATCTGTGGTTCTCTTTTTTCTTCTGATTCAAATTAATTAGGGTGTATAGTATTATTTAAAAGGGAAAGAGAACATGGATAATGTGGAACAAAATAAAAGTCTACAAGAAAAAATGATGCCTTTAAAATAGGAACAGTTGTCAGATATGGCAGCAGTCAAGCAGAGGAAATAAGGACACGCAAAGTATAATATATGCAGGTGAGATTTTAAAAGCTTAATAAAATGAAGAAAGAGCGAAAGACAGAGCACTAGCAAACAGTGCAGGCTTTTTTCAAAATAAGGTAGCATCAGCTTCAGATCTGAGGATTTTAAAAATTGCTTTTCATCTGGTAACGTGAAAATTAGCATAAGGTTTTGAACTACATGATCTCTCCTATTTCTTCCAAGTCTAAGATCCTCTGTGAAATTCAAAATAGCCATGTCATGATATATTATTTTAAACAGCAATAAAAAAGTTTCAGCAACATTTCACTCTTTGTTCTTGATTTAAGTTGAGACATTTAAGCTAATAAAGCCAGGATCAATACATTCACATGCACACACATAGACACACACTCACATGCCCATACTCGTGCTCATGTGTGTTTTTCCTAAAACAGCTAGTGAATATGAAGACATTTGGCAAGCATAAAATAGGGAGAAGTTGGTTGATCAGTTAGTTACTGAACACCGCCCTTGCATATGAACAGGGTAAAGTAAAACCTTACATTTGGAAAAACACTGATACACTGACAATATCACTTGGAGAAAAATTTTACAGAGTAAGAGTCAATTAGTGTTATACAAGGTGCTTGAGAATGGAAGCATGTTTTCAATTATCCTTATCCCTAGAGTCAAATATTTAAAACATGATGTCACAGTTGACCAATGAGACACTAATGCTCCTCTGGTGCTCTGGCTCTTGTCTCCATAGACCCTTTGCCTTGGGCAAGACCCTGAGAGGTTCTTTATGCAGCCAGGAGAGCCAAAAATCAGGGGAAGTGAGCAGAGCTCAAGTCCAGATGTGGAAAGAGGAGAAACTGCATGATTTTCAAGTGTGTTTATGGAGCTTGTCAGATGCATAGTGTGTCTCTATTTTAAATGAACAGATTAAGCAAAATGTTCACTTAATGGAAGCATTGCCCTTTGTGTTAGTCAGAGTTCTCCAGAGAAATAGAACCAATAGGAGGTATATATAAATGAGATTTATTATAAGTAATTGCCTCACATGATTATGGAAGCTGAGAAGTGCCATGATCTGCTGTCTGCAAACTGGAGATCCAGGAAAGCAGCAATGTAGTTTGAAGGCCTGAGAACAAGAAAGCTGATGGCATATATTCTAGTCAAAGTCTGAAGGCCCGAGAACGAGGGGGGTCAAGGGCAGTAGATTGATGTCCCAGCATGAGTGGTGAGGGAGAGAGCAAATTCAACCTTCCTAGCCTGTGTGTTCTATTCCAGGCCCCAGTTGTAGGATGGTGCTCACCCACATTGGGGAGGAACATCCGCTTTATTCAGTCTATCCATTCAAATGCTAATCCCTTCCAGAAACCCCTTCATAGACACACTCCAGAAATACAGTTTAACCAGCTATCTGGGCATCCCATGGTTCAGTCACGTTGACATGTAAAATTAATGATAACACCCTTATCAGCATGTTAGGATTTTTAGTGTACTGAGCACAAGCACTGAACCTCCCAGAGTTCTGTATGGGGGTCTGTGTCTGGGTGCAGAAATCAAATAGGCAACTCAAAGCTTTTGGATGGATCAAGACATCATTGGTAGAAAAGCCAGCGGGGAAGTCTTTAACATACAGATATTGAATCCAATTCAGACACACAGAAGCAGCACCTCAAGTTCCCTGGTACCTGCTTCTGGGCTAGGCTGGACCAGTTCACCTGACTTTGGCTTTAAAGGTTCTATACAGTTGAGGCAAAATTATTAGTTGAATATCACTGCTCTGAGATTTAGTTACCCTTCTTTTTCCTCCATCCAGAAAATCTTTTCATGGGGCGCGAATATGGGCAGACTCATGATTTACATGGACACACGTGAAGGTTGCCTACTTTTGACACGTGTTGTTCCTTGGTCTCCAGAGCTGACTTGCGTGATCATTGCTGAAGGGGTGGGCAAGGAGGGGTCCTTGCTCTACAGGAGCCATCCACAGATAGGTGGCACCTCCAAGGGAAGATAAAGAGGGTTGTATTTTTCTTACAGAATCCCCCAAATTTTAATTTGAAATAATGTTTTTTAATTTGAAATAATGTGGGGATTTTTTGCCCTTGAGTATGGCACTTGGCATGTTGATAGTACCGGAATGTATTCTCTCATCCCCAATATTGCCTTGTTTTTCCCTAGCCACCTCTTTCCTTAAGACATGAATTTCATACAACAAAAAAGTCATTGCTAGTTAAAGTATTTTCCAAATTTTACATGATGATAACCCCTACTCATGACATCATGATGGATATCTATTAAGTTATGACATATAACATCGAATTAAAAGCATGGCCTCTGGATCCAGACAACCCGGGTTCAAATCCTGGCCCTACCCCTTGCTAGTCTGCACTGTGACTTTGGACTTCATCTCTCAGTGCCTGTTTTCTCATCTGTGACATCTACTTCATATAACTACTGTGGGAGTTAAGTGAGCAAACATTTGTAAAGTACTTGGAACAGGAACTTCATATGTGTTAGCTTTTGTTCTTCTCTTTTTTGCATATGTGTAGATGAACTATGTATGGCTTTAAAAATGTTTTCCTGGCCAGACGCGGTGGCTCATGCCTGTAATCCCAGCACTTTGGGAGACCGAGGTGGGTGGATCACGAGGCCAGGAGATAGAGACCATCCTGGCCAACATGGTGAAACCGTGTCTCTACTAAAAATACAAAAAATTAGCTGGGCATGGTGGCTCATGCCTGTAGTCCCAGCTACTTGGGAGGCTGAGGCAGGGGAATCGTTTGAACCCGGGAGGCAGAGGTTGCAGTGAGCTGAGATTGCGCCACTGCACTCCAGCCTGGGTGACAGAGCGAGACTCTATCTCAAAAGAAAAAAAATGTTTTCCTTTTCCTTAACACAAGGCTACTAACAAAAAGCTGAGCTCTTGCATCTATAGATTGTTCAGGGGAGTTTAGCCAATTTTTAGATTGAAGCATGAGTGAATCTGGTGGCAGGTAAGCCCCATTCACAAAAGCCTAGATCATTGCTTTGTTTTTATTTTCATTAGGGTACAGAACAGAAAAGGACTTCACTCTACATAGACTTCTCCACCTGGAATATATTAGAATATTTATTAGACATCAGTTACTCACTAGACGTGTCATTAAAAACTTCAGGAATAGCCCCACACGTCTATAAATTCTGAGAAAATTACAGGGAAGAGAGGTCAAGGAGAATGGAAGGTAGTTGAAGGAGAGAAGCCAACATACACTGAGAGCCTCGTATATGCCAGACAGCATAATGCACACTTCATGTGTACATCTCTTAACCTGGCAAGGGATTACTACTGCATCTTTTAGATGAAGACAATATGTGTGGGAGAGCCTGGATTTGAACCCAGGACTGTCTGACTCTGGAGAGTATGCTCTTTCCTCCTCTTGAATTTGCCTTGACAGTGCTGTGTGACACATATTGTATATGGTCACCATTCATAATTATGATCGCAAATAATCAAAATAAGATTATTTCTCACTGTAGGTTTCTTCCAACTCAAGTAAAGATACAGCATGTTTTCAATATTTTTTATTTGAAGCAGTTGCAACAAAATGAATTTTTATTCTTAAAGAGGTGACACGTATGTTTTGAGGAAAGGTCTCTGAGTTTTTTGGCAGTGCAGAATAAACAACAATGCAGCTAAACCAAGCAGCTGGTGGGTTGTTTTGGGGCCCATAGAACAGGAGGGAGCCTGTACAACTGTGCCCAGCTGTGAAGTTTCTAGAACACCCTCTTGGATTCCAATGCTTCTAATGATAGCCTGCCCCCCATGGAAAACGCAGGTCCTCTGACCCCTCTCCCAATCACCCAGAGCAAAGACACTGAAGAGATCCAGCCTCCAGTCTCTGACTGTTGTCTCAGCATGGCCATTCTCTCCTCACATCTCCCTAGGATGGCGCAGCAGGTCCAAAACTCACTCACTTCCAACCCAGGGGCAGGCAAGAGGGGACAGAGTCCCTCAGAGACATCCCCAAGACGCACCCCACTTCACACCTGCACCCACTCTCATCCCCTCCTCCAGAATGCATGGGCCACTTTCACCACGGGGGTTGTTTCCTCCCCTCTCAGAGGGCTATCTACAGGGGCTTTGGGAAAATTTGTCAAAGAAGGGGTTGAGGAGGAATAGGGTGAGAATTTTTATTTGCTTAATGAGGTGTTTTGGCACCATGAAATCCTCTGAGATAACACTCCTTTCTTGGATAAAGAAATATACTCTTGTTGTATATCCCAGCCTCTTGTCAGATGGCTCTCAGGAGTTTACTTCTAAATTTTAGTGAATATACTCTACATTGCAGCAGTATTTGCTGAGGCTGAATGAAAGATGAACAAATCTTAGATTGGAATAAATGTAAGATATTAAGACACTCTGTGAAGAAAATGAACATTCTTTCCATTACAGAGTATAAAAATGACAGAATTTCCTATCAACACTAGAGCTGCCTTGGGTAACCTGTGTTCATAGACAGAGGTCAGTAGGAATACCTGGTGGTCCAGAGTTGGTCGAAAGGTAGAGTGTTTTAAATTAGAAACTTTTTACCTAAATCCAATGCCTATACAACCTATCAGACCCCTGGAGATTGCCGTGAAAGATGGGTCAGAAGAGGATGCAACTGAGGATATTCATGCCCCACAAAATAATCAGGTTGTCTGTTGAAACACATATCACCAGATTCTCACTTTCAAACTAGATTCCTGGCAGGTGTGTGCACAGAGAAAACATTAGGGAAGTATAGCATTGTATAGGTAAAGAAGGCTTTGACCCCAAACTCCATCTGTTTTCTATTTTAGCAGCCTAAGATGGTTCAGGTGTGAGCCTAGAGGTAGATGTTTGCCCACATAGTGTTAAAAAAGACTAGATTCATAGAGCTAATATGCATAAAACTACATAAAACAGTGCCAGGAACATAATAATATACTCTATAAGCATTAGTTGCTCCTTTTATCATCCTATTATTTTAAGTGGTAGCCACCTTCCTCTCTTAAGCAATCAATATCAGTATCCTGGCCTAGACTTAATAGGTGCTATGCTTTGAATGTGGCCCCCAAAAAGCATGTGCTGGAAACTTAATTCCCAATGCAACAGTGTTGGGACGTGGGGCCTGATGGGAGGTGTTTAGATCTTGAGGGCTCCACCCTCATGAATGGATGTATTAGTCTGTTCTCACGCTGCTGATAAAGACATACCCAAGCCTGGGTAATTTATAAACAAAAAGAGGTTAATGGACTCACAGTTCCATGTGGCTGGGGAGGCCTCACAATTACGGCAGAAGGCAAAAGGCACATCTTACATGGTGGCAGACAAGAGAGAAGTGCCAAGCAAAATGAGGAAAAGCTCCTAATGAAACCATCAGATCTCATGAGAACTCACTCACTATCGTGAGAACAACATGGGAAAGACCCAACGCCATGATTCAATTACCTCGCACTGGGTCCCTCCCATGACGTGTGGGAATTATGGGAGCTACAATTCAAGAGGAGATTTAGGTGGGGACACAGCCAAATCATATCAACGGATTAATGTCAATTAGAAAAGGTCTGGAGGCTGCAAGTTTAATCTCTCGCTCTCTCATTCTTTCTCACCTGCTGCCATGAGATGATGCAGCAATGAAGGCCCTTGTGCGGCGCCAGCACTTTGATATTGTACTTCCCAGCCTCAGAACTATGAGGAATCAAGTTCTGTTATTTACAAATTACTCAGTCTTGGATATTCTATTATAGTAGCACAAAACAGACTAAGAAAATGGGAAAAACCTGGATTACCCAAAAGGGAAACACAATCATATTACAAAGTATTATCCTGCTAACCTATGGTTTTCAATATAATAGTTTTGTTGGTTTGTTGGCTTCTCTGGATTTTTGAAACACAAGAGAAACACAGTCACAACCAAAGACTGGAAAACTGACTCAGCCCTGCCTAGCAGTTAGGTTTCTTAAAATGTGTAGACAAGCCAGTTTTCAGAGTGGACTGTTCTAACTACTACCCTGAGAAATAATCTCGTATTTAATTCTGAGTGTACCAAGTCATAAAGGCATATGTGTTCTTAAGACAAATAGACTTGGGTTTTTGAACTACAAATAGATTTTGGAGCATAATGTAGGCACAGATAGAGCTATCTATTTCTTCACAGTGGGATTAAACAAATGATGACTTCAAGGGAAATAACATTTGAAGAAACCATCCTTTCACATCAAAGCCAAATTAGGGACATAAATTAGGAATCAAAGGCCAGATAAAACTACTGGTTTCATAGAGAAAAAGTCTAGAGGTTTACTGAAGACTACAAGTGCAATATTTCTTTCCAAAACAAAATGTCATTATCACAAGGGTTTGCTTTTGCAAGCAGCCACAGCTGTATATAATATGTAAATTCGTGTCACCGGCTCAAAAACCACATTGAAATAGAATTAAAAGCCTGGTTTGCATCCATCAAAGTTTGGTTGATATCAAGGTTACGCCAAGTCTCCCAGCCCCATAACGCTCCATGTTCTGCTATTCATCTGGCTCTTTATACTGTGTTGTTTGATCACTGATCATTTTGAGTTCCAAAGCAGAAGATCTGGAAGACAGAGGCTGGAGTTCAAGACTCAACTTTGGTTTCGTTTTCTTATCTCTTGCAGTCAGTTCTAAGTCTAGGAGTGAGCCAGCATTAATTTCTAATCCTTCATCTGTGGTGGACTTGCACTTCTAATGAGTAAGGACCAGGAGATGAAAATTGTGAATGAAAAAGAAGGGCGACATTCATCACTGTGCCTCAGTTGGAATTAAGAGGAGGCCAGATCAGAGCAAGGAATGTCCACAGAATGACATCATGGGGGTCTCTGTCTAAGGACTGTGGATTTGGAACAAAGGGCTACCTTTACATTATGTCTAAATAAATTCTCTCTTTGAAATGGATGTAGGGGTTTTCCTGTGACTATGGTAAGGAAGAGAGAAAAACATTTTGCTGTGGAGTTGTGTGTGAATAGATAGAGCTGCTGATGGAGGCTTCAGCTTTGAACACTTCATACCTTGTCTGAACAAGCGAAATAACAATTACATACTGATTATATAAGTATTCCATATCTAGATTTATCATGTCCTTCTCCACTTAAATTATGTAGGTGCAAATAACAGGAAACAATGTCTGCCCTGACGGATCTTTTAATTTCAGGAAAGTGACTGCATAATAAATTGAGGTATTAGGCCCTAAATCCCCCACGGTGAAAAATATTTAACATTTATCGACCTATTATGTTATGCTGGGTGTCAGCTCTAACCCCACCTCACTTCTGCTTTGTGACCTTGGGGAAGTAATAACCACCTCTTGTGTTAATTACATAGGGATAATTACCAGAGAAAATGATAAAAGTATGCCTATTTCTTCAGGGTCTTTGAGTGTCACCGACACTACCAATCAACATTTTAAATCATAATAAAGAAAATATGGCCTCTCCATATATCTACCAAACTTTCAAAAATAGACGTCGATCACAGTTTCAATATCCTGATATTCATGTAGCATCTTTATTACCGCACTCTAAACCACCATCTAGTTAGTCCCCTCACCTGATCTCTTCCAAGTTTCTATATTCTGTTTCTGCCTTTCAGAATGCTTCACAGGCCAGGCGCAGTGGCCGATGCCTGTAATCCCAGTACTTTGGGAGGCCAAGGCGGGCGGATCACCTGAGGTCGGGAGTTCGAGACTAGTCTGGCCAACACAGCAAAACCCTGTCTCTACTAAAAATACAAAAAATTAGCTAGGTGTGGTGGGGGGTTGCCTGTAATCCCAGCTACTTGGGAGGCTGAGGCAGGAGAATCGCTTGAACCCAGGAGGCGGAGGTTACAGTGAACTGAGATTGCGCCATTGCACTCTAGCCTGGGAAACAAGAGCGAAACTCCATCTCAAAAAAAATAAATAAATAAAAATAAAAGCTTCACATCAAACTATTCAATATAGCATCTACTCCATGCACGATACTGAATGCAAAAAGGAAACCTGAGGTAGACATATGTGTTTTAAAAAGGACAATTTTGAAAGTTGACACATAGGTTCAAGATTTATTATTATGTTAGCAAATATAATGAAGCATTCTTCAAAGAATTAAGACATGACTCCCATCCAAGTACTTACCAGGCCTAACCCTGCTTAGCATCTGAGATCAGATGAGGTCAAGCATGTTCAGGATGATATGGCTGTAGATGAGACATGACTCATTCTCAAATAAAAAACTGCATACGTGTGTGTTTCAGATCTTGGATGGGCAAGTTCTTCTCTCTGTATCTCTGTTTTCTTGCCAATAATAGCACCTAGCTTACTGTGAGCTAGAGTTGCTGTGAGAATTAGATGAAATAATATGCATGAAGAATTTAGAAAGGGAACCTAAATCAAAATGAGTGCTGTTACAAGCTGAATTCTATTCCCCCAAAACTCATATATTAAAGCCTCAGTATTTCAGAATGTGGATATATTTGCAGATAGGGACCTTAAAGAGGTAATTAAATTAAAATGAGGCCATTAGAGTGGGCCCTAATCCAATTTGAATGGTGTCCTTATAAGAAGAGGAAATTAGGACACAGAGCGAGACACAGGATTGCCACATGAAGGGGCGGCAAGAGTGGCCATCTACAAACCAAGGAGAAAGGTCTGGATCAGATCCTTCCTTTATGGTCCTCAGAGGAACAGACCTTACAGGTGCCTTGCTGTTGGACTTGCAGCATCAAGAACTGTAAGAAAATAAATTCTGGTTTTTAAGCCACCGGTCTGTGGTATTTTGCTATGGCTGCACTAGCAGACTAATACAAGTGCTCATGTGTGTTTGCTATACAGAGATGAGAAGTGCAGGGAGAGGAAAATGAAAATGTGCACAGGACACTACAGATGAATTGCACACGGCTGCAGCTTCCTTCTTGGGTGGATCTCCTTGGACTACCTTAGGTAGCTCTATCTTTGCTGCACCAGTGCAGTGTCGTCAGATTGTCTTCTTAAGCCAGGGAGGAAATTCTGGAAAAAATCACAGCTACTTGCAGACAGAGCAAAAGCAGAGCATCTCCATCTGGATTAATTTATGAATTCTGTGTGGAAGGACACTGAGTTTCGAACGATACCAAAAGGAACACACCAGTCAAAAGGAGCCCTGATTCCCCTTAAAGCTATTGTCCTTTCTGCAGGTATAAATCAATAGTGTGTTTTCAAAATGTGTTGTTTCTTTTGAATGTCTTGATTTCTCCAGGCAAAGAAATTTAGAGTCCAGAGTTAAATAGAACAACCCAGGACAATATGTATCAGCATCTATTCATAGAGTCCTAATCAGCGCAATCATGAACAATATGTTTCCCGTAAATCTCTCACACTGGGTAATGTATGCAAATATGCAATTCCTTGCTACGGACCCAGACTGCTAATGTGCCCTTCCCCAGTGAGGTCCAGGAGGCTAAAGGAGATCGTGCTCAGAGTTATATGTCTTTGCAGTGCCATCTCAACAATAATAATTTCAAAAATTCCACAGGGATCTAATAGCGCATTGCTGCCAATAGCTGGATCTTTTTATTGCTAAATGTTCTCTTTCTCCCTGACTTGTGGCATAGTTTTAAAATCACGTAGTGCAGCTTATATTTAGGAGAAACCAGATGATATCTCTATATCCTGAGGTCAGACCCCAACAGTCCATCAGTTAGTTCTGGAATGCCAAGGGCTATGTATGAGACGTTTTAAGTACTTCATTAGTCTGATGCCCTGTTCCCCAGAGCTCTCATCTAACAAAAGGTATTATGAGTGCTTTCCAAATGTTCAGTTGTTTTAAATCATTGCTATTAAACATCGGCAGGCTGTGTAAGGAAGAGAATCTTAGGATTTTGATGATACCTTTTTAAATCTTCCAGACCAGAGGTGGCAAATAGATTTTATTTCAACTGTTAATTCTTACTGATTGATGGTGGTTACTTAGAGCATGACACTGATAAATGTGCCAAGGTCAAGGGTGGGCTCAACAAGAAACAATGCTGGGACTGATGTTGATGTCTGAGGTGGGCACAAGATTAGGGAATGGCAGTAAAATGTGCTGAGGATGTGAAGTCCAACCCTTTCTTCTTATAGATGAGAAAACCAAGCTCAAAAAAATCTAAAAGATATTCACAGGATCACTTAATTAGTTACAAAAAAGCCAAAGTCAGAATCAATAAATCCGAATTCTCTTTTCTGCCACACCATTGAAAAAAAAATCCTAGCAACAAAAATAGAACTTAATTCTGCCCTCCCAGTGGTAATTCAGGTCTTCATACTCCAATGAAACTGTAATCCAGAAAATAGCACTAAAATTCTTCCTTCTGTAACACAAGTGTACCCCTTCTTCCCTCAAGGGCATGTCTACTTTACATTTACTTAGAGATGTTTTCTGCTGAGGCTCTTTTCATGTTAGAAAAGCCTATTTTCATGAGGCTCTTTTCATGCTAGAAATTCCGAGATGTGTGGCTTCTTGCCACTATTTACTTACCTGTACGTTTATGAGAGTAAAACCCAAAGTTGGAATTCTGCATGTTGAATTTAAGCCTCTAAAGCCCTTGGAGTTCTTTAGAAACAATTTTAAAAAATGCAAGTTTATTTAGTTATCAATATGCCAAATATAGATAAAAATATGAATGTATATATGTAAATGTAATATGTTCTGCACATAAATTGGGCAAACTGTAGGGGAAAAAGGTAAAAGTGATAGTGAACTTGTTGAAGGAATAAAAGCAAGGAGTTAAATTCTAATTCCTTGTAGCAATTATTTTTCCCCCTTGGGGAAGGACATTAAGAACGTTTTGCTGCAATGCCATCTATTTTTTATCGTGCCAATGAACATTGCACCTTTCCAAACTGCCACTATTCATCACTTTTAAATAAAAATAGATGAGTTCGAAAAGATATGAAGACTCATTAGTTCCAGCTCTTAATATTGCAGGTGAAATTATTTCCATCTGCTGCAGCCTACTGCAGACTCAGAGAACAGTCAAATAACACATTTGAAAATTATATTTCCAAATAATTTGTCCCTCTTTGGATAAATGCAGAGGCAGCAAGACATCAGCCCCCTGTTCACTAAACCAATCTATCATGCATTCTACCAGATAAAGAATAACTTTGATCTCCATAAGAAGGGGTCTTTGCTATGTATTGAGAAAATCCAAAAAAGCCAGGGGAGGGGGGATTTGATATTGATACGCTTTTTAAAATGAAACCTACTCGGTAGGGAAGTATTATTAAAATCCATTTCCTTCCAATCACGTTAACTTCCAGAGGACAATAACTGAGGAAGTATCAGCTCTTTGGAAAAAGCTGGCATAGGGTTTCGTTCATGAATTCTACTGAGTGCCTGATTGGTGATCTACATGTATTACCATATTAATTGTCATAGCTCTCCCAAAGGGTAGATATCATGCTCTGTAATTTATAAATGGGGATGTAGAGACACTGAGGGCTTGAATGGATTAGTCAGTGAATTAGTGATCATGTATTCATAATTCAGCACTCTGGAAGCAGAAATAGGAACTGAACTGTCCCATTGACTCCCACTAAACCAACTCGAAGTCTGTTCTGTGCCATATTTTGTGACCAAGTAGTATCCGTAGCATCCTAATTCCTCCCAAGGTCTTCTTTGAAAACAAACCAACCTCTACTCTGGCATTGCCACCTGGTTTACCTCTCCTTTGCATGCCTGACTCCCAGATGGGACTATCTAACTCTCCCATGCACAGTAAGAGCTGGCCCTACTTACTTTCTAAGGGTGGTGTTTTCAGCATGCCTAAAATGTGCACACAGATTAATACATGACTAGGGAAGGGTTACTCTACTTCATTCACGGCACTCTTTTCATCCTGCATTTAACTAGATTTCGTTACTTACATGACCAAGGGCAAGAACTATGCCATACATCCTGAATCCCCCACAGCCTCCTGCCTGGTGCCTGGCTCATAGTAGGTGCCCAGTGCATATTAGGAGAGTGACTGTTGGAATGAACCCATAATTCTCACTGATGGATTGTCCTTAGCTGCCTATTGGTTCCTACCTTTTCACTCATCTTCTACTGCATGAATCACTTCCTAGATAAAGTCCAACCCCCTCCCTCCCCTGCTGCTCACCTGACAGGCCCTTCACTGTCACCCACCATTGACTTACCCCAATGGAAGGAGGGCCCAAGGAGAGTGACTCAGCTCAGGAGGACATCTAGTCGACCATGACATTTTGTCCTTCATCATTTACCTCCTTGCCAGACTGAGTGACTCAGCTCGTGGCTTAATGGAAGTAGTGTTTATTGTGTACTTAAAATTTCTTATATAAAATATTTTTTCAGAAGCTCTCCCACAGCCACTATCTCACTTGACGGACACAGCACCTACTGGGACCAGCAGGATCCACCTCCTGGGTCTCATCTTACAGAGAGGAAAGAAAGGCAGAAAGCTGTCTTCCCCAAGGTCACGCAGCTGGTTGAGACAGTTAATGGCAGATGCACGTCCCGGGCTCTTTTCACAGGGCGTCAATCCCTTCAATTGCTGGTTGACCTGGTTTCCATCCTCAGGGCAAAAGCTTAACCTCAATGACTCCATTCCAGCTTAGGGCAATGTATGCTGCTGAACTTGACTGTAGCTCTTAAAACTGCCCTTGGATCGTATTTTAGTTCATAGGGCTTAAGGTACTTATGGAAACATATTTTTGTTATGAACAAAAAATTTACCTGAAATATTTAATATTTAAATATTTAAGTAATGCTACCTCACTGGAATCTCATCCAAATGGGTATTCCCCATTCATTCATTTGTGAGGATTTGAGGGGATAAAGGTGGCATAAGAAACAAGTATTATGGGAGCTTCTGGCTTCTTCTGTCCCAGTGAGGGCTCCTGAAAAGAATCCCACAGTCACTGTGGGTGGGGCCTCCAGACTAGGTAAGCAGCTAATGGTGTTCTGTTTTGAAAGAGGAGGAAATTTGTCCAGGAAGAAGTGGTGGGTAAAAGGATTCTTAGTGGGAGAAAGAGGAGGGGATGCCGCAGAGACACAGGTTGAGTGATGTCAAACTGCTGGGCCCTGGGCACTTAATTGCTGTGTGCGTCTGTGGGTACCATGTAGATCACAAACACATGCATTCATGCCTAGGTTTTTAAAATTTATTTTTAATTGTTTGAAAATTTTTTTCTCCTGAATCCACTTCCTTGTGGAAATGGGGTTAATTAAACGAGGACAAATTTACTACTTCTTGGCTATGTGAAACAGAACATTTATCTGAGCCTCATATTTCTGCTTTTGTGAAACAGAAAGACTTCAACCTGCCTCACAGGGTTGTGGTGAGGATAGATGAGATGACCTACGTAAGGTGTCTAGGACAGTGCTTGGCATAGAGTAGTTGTCTAGTAATTTATTTCCTGAGTGGTTCTTCGTGCACTCCTGTCCCTTATGCCTGTAGTAAACATACACATTTCCAAAAACTGTCTTGCTCCTCAAAGCCCAGGTGTCTTGGAAACACTCTTATGGTCATTTTTTTTCAGTCTGGAAGCATAATACATTAATTACATGAATAGATAGATGATAATAGATAGGGAAAGAGAGAGAGATAAATAGATACAGATGGACAGACAGATAGATGTTAGATACATGCATACATACATATGTGGCTGGAGATTAGATAGACAGACAGACAGAAAGATAGGTAGAAGGCCAAATAGACAGATACATAGAAAGAGAGAACTGAAGTATCATTCTTGACCCACCCAGACCTCTATGAGACAGTAGCATTTAATCTTGCTGAAGCCAAAGCCTGAGTAATTGCAAATGACATTTGGACTTAGGAGGTTTCACTGCAGGTCCTGGTTATTTATATTTCTTGTTCCTGGGTAATGAAACATCACAGGAAAATGGAAGTTACAGATAAGAGAGAAAAATTGCAAACCCCTACTCAGATACTAAAAATAAGCTCAAATAAAAATTGGAGAACAAAGAACGTAGATTTTCCCCACTCTAATTGTGCATTTTCATCCCCCTAACTCTGACATGACTTCAAGGAAGGCCTCCTCCCCTCACTTCCACGCCTCCTCGCCCCTACCAAAAGTGCCCAAAACCTCAGCTTTTACAATATAGCTGGGAGGAAAGTAAAATTACTGTTGATGTGGAATCTAGGAATGTGAAGGTTTAAACTGAGTGAATGGAGATAGGGGCTGCAGTGGGTAGGGTTCTTGGAAGAAAGATCACAGGAGGGAAGAGTCCCTCAGAACTGGATGTGCTGGAATAATCTGCCTATGTCTCATACACCTTTATCAAGGAAGATTCTCAGGCAATGCATCCTCGCTGATCATTACCAATGTATAGAGAGCACCAGGTAAGGAGTGAACATGACAAGATTGAAGAGTGGGCCCAGGCATTGCTGCCTTAGGACTGGGAAGAACAACTTACAGGATTTATGCCCATTGATGTAATTAACTCAGTTATTTCCAGCCAGACCCCTAGAAATAAAGTTTCACTTCCAGATTTTCTCACTGTCCGAACCTGTTTTTTGGTTATTTATTTTTTAATTGATACATAATAATTGTACATATGTTTGAGATAGATGTGATATTTGATACATGCATACAATGTGTAAAGATTAAATTAGTGTATTTAGGATATCCATCACTTCCAACATTTATTATTTCTTTGTGTTGGAAATATTTCAAATCTTTTCTTCCAGCTATTTTGGAATATACAATAAGGTATTTTTAACTATAGGCACTCTACTGTTCGATTGAACACTAGAACATATTCCTTCTAATTAACTGTACATTTGCACCCTTTAACCAACTTCTCTTCCTCCTTTCCCCCTTTCCCATTCTGGTAACTGTCATTCCACTCTCTACCTTCATGAGACCAACACCTTTAGCGCCCACATATAAATGAGAACGTGTGTGTGTGTGTGTGTGTGTGTATGTGTGTGTGTGTGTGAGAGAGAGAGAGAGAGAGTTGCTGGTGATGAAGCCAAGATCAAAAACTAGAGCCTGATTTCCACCCATGTTTTACTGTATAATGCCCCTTCTTCTGAGTGCCTATCTTCCAATAATCACCATGCAGAGGTGAATGCCAAGACAACTGGTAGAGCCCCAGCACTGATCAAACAGAATGATCACCAGTATAAACATCCACCATGACTGTAGCTAGGCATCAGGCTGACCATCAGCCATAAACTTATGTTCCAGAGACTCTATACCCTTACTACACCTATGGCTAGAGGGGAAGTACATGTGTTGTCTTGCTCTCTGTGTCATTAGACACAGATATCTTGGCCACAACAGATTGTACCAGAGATTTGCTTCTCAAGTAAATGCCACATGACTTATATGGTAGCCCTGTGGTTGACAAGGTGGTCAAGTCTGGATGTTTGTCTTTCTGCACCTGGCTTATTTCACCTAATATAATAACCTCCAGTTCTATCCATGTTGCTGCAAATGACAAGATTTCATTCTTTTTTATGACTGAATAGCATTCCATTGTGTATACATATATATATATATAACATTTTCTTTATCCATTCATTCGTTGATAGACACTATGGTTGATTCCATATATTGGCTATTGTGAAGTGCTATAATAAACATCAGAGGGCACGTATCCTTTTGATGTACTGATATCTTTCCCTTTGGATAAATACCCAGTAGTGGGATTGCTGGATCGAATGGTAGTTCTATTTTTAGTTTTTTTGAGAAATCCTCTTACTGTTTTTTGTAATGGCTGTGCTAATTTACATTCCCACCAACAGGGTGTAAGAGTTCCCTTTTCTCTGGGCAACATATGTTATTTTTTGTCTTTTCAAGATAGTCATTCTAACTGAGGTGAAATGATATTTCATTGTGGTTTTGATTTGCATTTTTCTGACCACAGCCCATTTGAATCCACAGAATATTTCATGTCTCCCCCTACATGATTATAACTGTAGCTAATGTTTTCAGAAGACCTATCAAGTGCCAAGCCCCACTTAAGTCCTTTCTGTGTACTGATTCTATTACTGTTTATCCCACCCCTATGAGGTAAATAATATCATGCTGTTTTACAGATGAGATACCAAGGCACGGGGAAGTTAAAGTGACTCCCCCAACATCACACAGCTGGTAAGGGGGAATTGAGGTGTGCACCAGGCAGGCCGGCTCCACAATCCCTGCTGTTCCTCCTCATGATAGGAGTGTTTTCACTGAAGAATGAGTCACACAGAACAGAAGGTTTCCACACATCTAGTACACTTTTAAATTCATCTCATACAGATGAAAAATAATATGCCTGTGGATTTAGCTATTCAATTAATAAACACACTTGAAGCAACACATGGGTGTCTGGACGTCTTATGATGGCCTCCCTTATCCTGGTAACATATGATTAGACCCCCTCCCCTCTGCCCCCACAGCCCTGGGGCCTACTGTTCCCCAGACTTCTCATACTGTCTTGGACATAGGCTGCCTGTTGGGTGTGTCCTTGCTGTCAGGGACTGTAACTTCTTCATTGCTGTAATTCATGTATCCATCATGTCTTGCCTATAATAGGTGCTCAATAAATATTTTTTTGGAATGCATAAATACATAGTTCTTTTTTTTTTTTGACAGAGTCTTGCTCTTTCACCTAGGCTGGAGTGCAGTGGCATGATTTTGGCTCACTGCAATCTTCACCTCCTGAGTTCAAGTGATTCTCCTGCCTCAGCCTCCCAAGTAGCTGGGACTACAGGCATGCACCACCATGCTAGGCTAATTTTTTGGTATTTTTAGTAGAGACGGGGCTTCACCATGTTGGTCTGGCTGGTCTTGAACTCCTGACCTCAAATGATCCTCCCACCTAGGCCTCCCAAAGTGCTGGGATGACAGGCTTGAACCACCATGCCCGGTTGGAATGGATAAATGCATAGTTCTGTATCTAGCTCCTCCCTTCTCCTACCAAAGATGTTTTCAAGTACAGATGATTTGGAAATGACTAGCCTAGGCTGTGAAATTGATAGTAATGCAAGGTCTTCAGAGAGAGGGGTACAGAGGAGAAGTAGGGCTCTAAGTGAGCTCCCCTAGAGGTGCCAGTATAAAAACACACAAGGTTGGTTTCAGGACACCTTTTCATGGGCTCTGATTGAGCAAGTTTTGGGGGACAGTCATGGACATTATGTTCAGTGTGGAGGGTTGAGTGGTCAGTGTAGGCAGAAACCTTCAGTGAAGATAGCGGGGCTTTGGCTAGTCCTTGCCTGAGGGTGCTGCAGGACATGACTTTCATGTGGTACCTGGGACAGAGTAAAAGGCACTATTCCCAACACTGTAAGGGCCACATTGGCTATCTGAGGATGAACCAGATGCACCTAGGATGTGGGCAGCCTGCCTGGGCTGCTGATCCCAAATGGCTGTATAACAAGGACTGGCTCCTTCAGCTCAACTTCTGGCCAAGCCACAGGGAGACTCTCCCTCTCAAGCTTCTTCTAGAAGAAATTTACTCATTGCTATTTAAACTGAATAAAAAGACACACTGGGAAATTTCAAGCCTATCATTGTGGATATGAAATTGGGCATTAGGGCACAAAAGGAGCCCAGGGCATTGGCCTTTTGAGAGTCTGGGGTTGCTTTTTGTTCACACATCTTGGGTCTACCAATCTGGGGTGTTGTAGACTTTTAGGCAGGCCCTTCTCATCCTAAGGAATAGTTAAGAAATCCTAGAGGGCTCAGTCTGAGCCCAGTATGGAATAAATAAGAGCTCCCCAAGGGAAGCAGGTTCTGACTTATGTTGTTGGAAAATGACCCATGAGTCATTTTCTAACTAATGATAGCAAATCATTAGTTTCGAGAGGGTCTTTGATCCTGAATTAGATCACATGTGTGAAGCTCATTCCTTCCTTTTCATAAAAGTCCCTGTGGCCCTTAAGCATTAAGGTGGGGGGTGGGGGCGCAGAGAGGAGGATACAGAGAACGTTCTCCAGTAGTTTGCCAATAAGGTAAACTTCTAGGAGAGAGGACTCCTAGCTCAGAAAGGTCATCCTGAGGCGATAACTTGGAGAATGGACAACTTGCTTGTCTCTGTCTGGTTGTTTGACATCCCTCCTGCTTTTGCACCATGGTTTGTGACCTTGACCTTGGATAGTTTTTCTTTACAGAATGGATCCTGATGCCCACCCTGTGCAGTCAACTCAGCAGTAAAATAAACAATGAATTAGCCATCACATGTTAACACTGTAAAGTTCTCAAAAATGAGAAATATACAAAAAGTGCAAGGTAATAGTGTGTCGGATATAGGCATAGAATCAACTTTTCTTGCTGGGTAGAAATAAATCAAAAACAGACACTTCCCTTGATCATAGATGAGGAGGTATCTGGGGCTGGATAACAGCAGGTTGCTGAATCTAAAATGCACATAAAATCCAATTGTAAATTGGCTGACTACAGAATGGGACTGGATTCACTTATTGCTAATTAGGATGAATAAAAGGAGACACTGTGAGATGTGAAGCTTGGGATTATGGGTAGGGGAAGCCATTTGATGGAGGAAATGTATTTTTCCTGATGTTTTGGAAAATCACTTCGTGTAATGTCTGGTTCATTACTTATGCCCTGAAATATGCACGAAGTAAGAACCAAGGATATTTCTGATAAAACCACATTCCATGAAACCCAATCCAAAGGGGCCTTAAGGATCCACGCTGGGAAAAGTGAGTGAGTTTAGCTCCCTATTTAAAAATGACTTTTTTGGCCTGGGCTGTATGGAAAGACATTTTTCCTTCTGCCCCAAGTGATAAAATACACATCACTGAGCAATGCTCTGGATACTGTTAGCTGAGGCTGGTGTGAGGTCCGGATAGTCCATTTGATTATTCATTTTATTTGTACCTCCTGGTACTAACTTGTCTGTCTTAGGGTGAACTCACTATTCCTTTACTCTATCTAGAAAGGAAATGAACTGCCAGGCTCATGCAAGGTAGGGGAGACTAGGGAGGTGTAAGGACAGAAGAAATCAGCTAGATGTTGGGCATAACATAGCAGAATCTTCTATGGAAATTCTTACTCCATAATGTTGGAACACCCCTTTTCCCCAACTTTCTGGCCAGAGGTAAGCTAGGAGAGTTATTTTAATCTTAACTCTATTTAGGGCATTGGAGTGTTCCAAACAGAAGATTATTTGCTGGGCATTTTAAACAATTGATTCCACATGGATTCCCTCCGCATCATTTTTGGAATTGTTTTCTCTAGACGTGTTCTAAAGATAGAATGTACATATTCACTAAAGATTGAAGGATGCTGAAATATTAAGCAGCCAGAATGGCAAATGTTGTCACATTCTGGTTTCAATCGGGCAAATGGCTTCAATTCTTGTGTTTTTCTTGGTGTTTCAATGAGGCATCTAAGACAGTAACTCTGGCAGAGTAGGGCCCACAGGAGGAATAATGAGGAAAAATTATCTATACCTTTGCTCAAGTGCATACTTTGAGAATATTTTGTGATAGTAATACATGACTTTTACTTCAAATTAGTTTTTGGAGAACTGGAATGAGAAATGTAGACTGCGTGTATGTGTGTGTGTGTGTGTGTGAGAGAGAGAGAGTTGCTGGTGATAAAGCCAAGACTAAAAACTAAAGCCTGATTTCCACCCATGCCTTTTCTCATGCCCTTTCTTCCAAGTGGTTATCTTCCAATAATCACCATACAGAGGTGAATGTAAAGACAACTGGTAGAGCCCCAGCACTGATCAAACAGAATGATCACCAGTATAAACGTCCACAATGACTGTAGGTAGGCATCAGGCTGATCATCAGCCATAAACTGATGTTCCAGAGACTCTATACCCTTACTACACCTATGGCCAGAGGGGAAGTACATGTGTTATCTTGCTCTCTGTGTCGTTAGACACAGATATCTTGGCCACAACAGATTGTACCAGAGATTTGTTTCTCAGGTAAAGGCCACATGATGTATACGGTAGACCTGTGGTTGACAAGGTGGTCAAGTGCCAAATACACATGCTCCTTTCTTTGGACAAAGAGCAGCCAACCCAATGAGAGCCTCTCTGTAGAGGAGTTGAATGAGTGACACAAGAAGTAGAGAAAAGAAATAGAGGCAGGGAAGTTGTTGTGAAACTCCAAGAGTAGAAAAAGAAGCAGCTAGAAAAGAGGTTGAGAATGACAAATTCACTAGAGTGGGTCCCAATAGGTGCTATTGACAAAGAGGACAAGAGGACATAGACCTCCTAAGGATCTGTAATGCTGCTTCAGTTCTCCAAGACAATGACTATGGGAGGTGGTCTTCTGAGCCTCCTTACTTCCCCAAGTCTTCACTGTTAACTTCCTATCACTTACACTATCACAAGACTGTCTCTCCTCCATGTAATGCAAAATAATAATAACTACAATAATCAAATGCTTTCTACATGCCAAATGTTTAAGTAGATTGTTTTAGCTAATTATTTCAAAAACTCTACGAAGTCAGTATCATAATTCTGATATCTATTTTACAGATGAGAAAATGGAAGAAAAAGGGAGTCAAGTACGATGGTAGCCTTCTTACTAAAAGCAAGAAGTATCCACAATTAATTAATTGAAAACGCCAATTAAAACTGGGAATTGTTAAAAGCTGATTTATGCAAATCTTAAACTTTTTTTTTTAAAACATATGAATGTACAATTTGGCAAGGACTTTTCTTTCAGTAGAGGGTCTGCTAATTGCAATTCAGCACTGCTTTTCTGGAAGAAACCACACACATAACATATGCTCACCATTATCTAGTTTTAGTTCCTTTAATGTGAAGTAAACCTGGAGATATGTGTAAAGAAATCTGATGCAGAATCCTTCTAGATTTCTTTTTCACTGTTCTCTAATATATTACAGTTATTTTTCCAGTGCCCAATTTGCATGGCTTGCTCATATCCTGTCCTTCCAATACATTCAGCCTAGTTTTCACTGGGGAAAAAAGCATTCTTTTCACATTCAGATTTCATCATTAGTTATCACATATAATTAAATTATGTGATGACAACTAGTATTAAGAGATCTGAGAACTAACTGTTAGACAATTCACCTGGTAAGAGGAGAAGTGTGTGAGTCTACCATAGAGGATGTATTCCTAACATAGTTGTAACTACCTGTAAGATCTCACATGTTCATCTGGAACTTTTTACTATAGAGAATGCATACTATAGAGTATGTATTCCTAACGTAGATGTAACTACATGTATGATCTCACATGCTCATCTAGAACTTTGCCACTCCTCCATTAGAGGTAGAATCTATGTCCTCTCCCCTTGAATCTAGAGGGGTCTTGGTGACTACGTTGACAAAGTATGGTGAAAATAATGCCATATTACTTCCAAGTTTCAATTATAAACATGCCATACACTTCTGCCCTGTTCTTTTACAATGCTGCTTCTTGAAACCTCTCTATGTGCTGCCAGAAAGCCCAAACTATAGAGATGCCTACATAGAGAGGAACCAAGGCCCATAGCCCACAGCCCTGGCTTGAGCTTTCAGCTGACACGAGAACCATCTTGCCAGCCATGTGAATGAACTAACTTGAAAGTAGCTCCTCTAGTCCCCAGTCAAGCCACTCTGCCATGTACCACGTGAAGCAGAGGTGAGCCATCTCTGCTGAACACTTCCTAATTAAAGATCAGTGAGCAAGATGAAAGGTAGATATTTTAGGCCACTAAGTTTAAATTGTTTGTTATGAAGCAGTAGATAGCTGGAATGAGTGCTTGGGGTATCATTGGATATGTTTTACCAAGAGAATAGAAAGCAGGTGTCAACCAGTGGGTCTGACAAGTTAAACTTCTACTGCAACTTTCCCAAGATTACACAAATATTAAGAGATAAAGCCTAGTTTTAAACCCAGAAGTCTGCAGAATTATGATAGCCCTGAAAAAATTTTAAAAGGCCCCTGCAAAGACCTACATAGAAGTTGATGATACATAATTATTTATGCATAATTATACAATAATTCCATGCTTACAGATATGCTCCTAATATTTAAAGGCTCCAAGGCAAGAGTACAAATTAATAAAGATATCTAATATTTAAGAGTTAAAAAATCAAGTTAAAAACTGTTAAAATAAGTTTTATCCTGTTGACTTTATAAATATCTTGTGAAATTTGAATGATCAGGTTTGAACTTAGAATTCTTGGACTCCATGTCTGTTCCCTTTCTCTGTTCACCCCTGGGATCCTTTCCTCACTGCAAAGGCTTTGGTCACATGTGTGTAACCTCCAGCCTATACTTCTAAGCTTCATTCACACATACTGTTTGATATGGCTTGCCTCTGTGCCCCCACACAAATCTCACCTTGTATTGTAATAATCTCCATGTGTCATGGGATGGACCCGGTGAGAGGTAATTGAATCATGGGGGTGGGTTTTTCCCATACTGTTCCCGTGATAATCAATAAGACTCACGAGATCTGATGGTTTTATAAAGGGGAATTCCCCTGCCCATGCCCTCTTGCCTGCCGCCATATAAGATGTGCCTTTGCTCTTCCTTCACCTCCTGCTATGATTGTGAGGCCTCCACAGCCATGTGAAACTATGAGTCCATTAAACCTCTTTCCTTTATAAAATTACCCAGTCTCGGGTATGTCCTTATTAGCATCATGAGAACAGACAAATACACTGTTTTGCCGTCAACTGCCTCTTGGCCAGCCCCAGATATTAGGGATGTCCACGCTGCAGGATGGTCAGCTCCAGGAGAACAAATGCAGAGAAGAGGCCCAGGTAGGCTCAGGAGGCTGACTCAGGCCATTTGGGTAGAAATATCGGAGATCCTGATGCCTGGAGCATGGTCCAAAAGAAGAAATGGGCTCTGGCAGGATTCTAGGTGGAAACATGCCCTTGGCCTCCAGTCTCCTTGTGCCATGGAGAGAATGCAGCTAACAGGGACTGGAGCAGCACCCTTTACTATAGGGCACCCATGACTGGGGCTCCTCTTCTCAGGTCTAAGGACATACTGGCCCTACCTCCCAGATGTGCTTCTCTCCAAACTCCCTCCCTCACCCTCTTCCAGGGTGTCTGGCACAAAATTGAGGATTGATAAATATTTTTCCAACAAAGTACCCTGGTTTCCAAAGGCAAGTTTTCCATTTTCAGTCTTGGGTGCTGCTGAGGTTTAAGGCTGTCAGCCCTGAGTGAGGCTGTGAAGCTGGGATGGGAGCCAGACATTCAGCACACCTCTGAGCACAGCTAGAATTGATCCTAAGTGTCTCTAAAGAGCACACACAATGGATGAGAATTAGATTTGACTCAATGGCTAGTGGCATAAAGCAAGCACCAGACATTTGAGAATGAAACCTTGAGAGCTCTTCCAACCTTTTGCCCTGATGATGATATTTCCACTGACACTGATAAACTGCTATAATCTCTCTCCACACTCATGCCCAGCTGAGACTTCTCATGTCCCTACCCAACTATACATATTGGTCTGGTAATGACTACCAAGTAAAGTGGATATATTGGAGCTAACAGTTGCTTTGCTGTTCTGTAGAATGCTGCAACTACACATTTAGGAGATTTATTTTAAAAGAACTACCCATTTTGATTATATCTCCAGATCAGCCTCTGCAGAATCACAGAACCTTCTATGCCCAACACCAGTAATGATAGCAATGCACTGTTATTTACCAGACCTGTAAGTCACAGGTCTTCCAAGCTTGTGTATGTTGCAGACATACTTTCTTACTTAGTTTAATGCTATATTTTCAGGTACACTCTCTGCTATGTCCAGAAAATTATTACTCATAAAAGCAGCTGTTTTCATTAATTGAAGCTAGGTGTTTTAATATTATTTTAGTCCAAATATAAAGGACTTGAGTCATAAAGTCCTATTAAAAATTTTACCTGCCATTTTGACTGAACTTATTTCTTTCAGCAGCAGCAGAAAAAGACCAATCTAAGTTATACTCCAGAGTGTTTTAAGTAAAGGTGAAAAGAAAAGTAAAAGAACAGGGTCATTCTGCATTTCTTTCAGTAAATTTAATTTACTTTTATTTGGAATGGAGTTAATGCAAATCATTCATAAACATGGCTCTGAAGATCTCCAATGAAACCGAGGCTACTGAGGCATAAATCTCTCAGGGTATAACTCAAAAATGCAATCAGAATTGTGTTTTCTGGAAGGCTATTGGATCTAGGCAAGCAACAAAGATTAAACCTATGAGAAATGGGTGGTGCATTCTCTCTAGACCTCCTTCTGACAGTTAAAAATTTCCTTGGCTTCAGATGAAATCCATCTCTGCCTAAACTCATCATTGGTTCTCTGGGAATAGATGTTGACAAAGAATTATATAAATTGATGTTTTAAATCAACCTTGTCCAACCCACAGCCCACAGGCTGCATGTGGCTCAGGATGGCTTTGAATGTGGCAAAACACAACATTATGAGTTTTTTTGTGATTTTTTTTTAGCTCATCAGCTACTGTTAGTGTTAGTGTATTTTATCTGTGGCCCAAGGCAATTCTTTTTCTTCCAATGTGGCCCTGGGAAGCCAAAATATTTGATACCCCTGTTTTAAGTGGTACTTTTATCTTTAGAGATTTTGAGAAAATTTGATAAATTTGGGGTTAAGAAAAGCAAAATGTGGAGAGGTAATTTATTGAACTACTAATTAATGAGTTTTTCCCCCTGTATTTCCATGGGAGACTTAAAAGCTAGAGAACAATTCTATATCCTCCTCATCCCTAAGTCTGTGTTTGCATATTTAAAAACTGAGGTTTTGTTTTGTTTGGCACATTATTGTTATTATTTTACTTTCCCTGAGGGGAATTACACTGGCTTCTGGAAGGGGATGGGAACTGAGGAATGCAGGGAAGAGATGTGTGAAGCAGAAGAATGGCCCCCCAATTATGTCCAAATTCCATTTCCTGGAACCAGGAAATATGTCACCTTACATGGCAAAAGGAATTTATAAAAGAAAAATGTTCAGAGTGAATAAAAAGTGGGACTCATCTACATGCTATTTACAAGAGATAAACTTGGCCAGGTGCGGTGGCTCATGCCTATAATCCCAGCACTTTGGGAGGCTGAAGCAGGCAGATCACTTGGAGGTCAGGAGTTTGAGACCAGCCTGGCAAACATGGTGAAATGCTGTCTCTAATAAAAATACAAAAATTAGCCAGGCTTGGTGATGGTCACCTGTAATCATAGCTACTTGGGAGGCTGAGGCAGGAGAATCACTTGAACCTGGGAGGTGGAGGTTGCAGTGAGTCAAGTTTGGGCCACTGCACTCCAGGCCAGGCAACAGAGCGAGACTCAGTCTCAAGAAAAAACAAAAACAACAAAAACAACCAAAAAAAAAAAAGAGAGATAAACTTTAAATATAAAACATAAATAATTTCAAACTAAAAGGATGAGATGATGTATACTGTTAAAGACTTAGGCACATTTGACTTGTAAAAAAGTTTATTTGAGCATTCAGCAATTCATGAGTTGGGCAGCACTAGACCACAAGTGCTTCATGACTCCTCAGAGAAAGTCCCTAGTCAGAAGTTAATTGGTGGTTTTTGATTAGTTAAGTTTAGGTTTTGTTTTACTGCTTACCCTGAGTGAGATTCGGTTTGCTTACACAGAAACTCAAGGCACTGGAGGCATTTCAGCCCAATGGTCTCCTGACTAGTTATTTTAACAGTATCAGGCAAAAAATAAACTCTAAGGACTTTCCACTTTAGACAATCAAATATTTTATTTGGATTGCTTTCATGAACACCTTATAAAAGTTTTCCCCTCATGCCCACGCTGATGTTGGCCTGGGGGCTGGCTCAGGTGGAAGTCCCAGAGAAAACTCCTATGGAAAAATTAATACTAACAAAGTAAGTTTCCATACCAGAGACAGAGAAGAACATTTAATAATGAAGAAACTCAATGTATCCAGAAGACATAACGTTCCCATATGCACACATATATATCTAAAATCAGAGCTTTAAAACACATGAAACAAAAACTTACAAGCAAAAAAGAAATAGACAACTCCATAATCATGGTTGAGTAAAAAAATATAGATTAAAAATCTAAGGATATAGATTTTAACACTATTAACCAATTTGTGGTCATAAAAATTTATGGAACACCATACTCAAAAATTGCAAGGGCATTTTTTCAAGACTCCAAATAGGAACCTTCATGGAGCCTCCATCAAACAGGGCCACAAATTAATTAGTCCCTCCTCTCTTCAAAGGGTACAGTTTATTTTCCCACCTCTTTGATGTGAGCTGGTCTTGTGACTTGTATGGCAGAATTGGTGTTATGCCACTTATGAGTCAAGGCCACAAGAGGCCCTGACACGTTGTCTGCACCCTCTTGGAATGCTGCTGCCACTATGCGAAGAAGCTCTGGCTGAGATGAAAAGAGCACATGGAGAGAGGCCCAGTCATGCCAGTGCTCCAACTGAGTCAGACTCAGCCAATCCTCCAGCTGAATGCAGCTGAATGAGTGTGATCAAGGGAAACTAGCAGAACAATCATCCAGACAGCCAACAGAATTATTAAAAAATAATAAACGGTTGTATTTGGGTCACTGAGTTTTGGAGTAGCTTGCTATGAAGCAACAGATTGCTGATACTTAAGAAAGACCATATACTTGGCTATAAAAAGATCTTAATACATTTCCATGGATCTAAATCATATGAAGTATCTTTCTGACTACAATGAGTTAAATTCTAAATACTACAAATCAATAATAGAAAGATCTAGAAATTCCACAAATGTTTGGAAATTAAACAACATAGTTTTGAATAATTTATAGGTCAAAGAAGAAACTGCAAGGGAATTTGCGAAGTATTTTGTACAGAATAAGGAAATTAATGTATCAAAACTTGCAGGATGCAGTAAAAACGACACTTAGAAGGAAACGTATAGTTTGAAGTGTTCAAGTTAGGAGAAAATAAAGCTAGGAGTGGTGGCTCATGCCTGTAATCCCAGCACTTTGGGAGGCTGAGGCGGGTAGATCACTTGAGCTCAGGAGTTCGAGATCAGCCTGGGCAACAAGGCAAAACCCTCATCTCTACAAAAAATACAAAAATTAGCTGGGCGTGGTGGCGTGCACCTTTAGTCCCAGATACTTGAGAGTCTGAGGCAGGAGGATCCCCTGAGCCTGGGAAGTCGAGGCTGCAGTGAGCCGAGGTTGCACCACTATACTCTAGCCTGGGTGACAGCGAGACCCTGTCTCAAAAAATAAAAATTAAAATTAAAAAAGGCTAAAAATCCATAATCTAAGATTCTACCTTAAGAAGTTAGACCAAGGGCTAGGGGTGGTGGCTCATGTCTGTAATCCCAGCACTTTGGGAGGCTGAGGCGGGTGGATCACCTGAGGTTAGGAGGTCGCGACCAGCCTGGCCAACCTGGTGAAACCCCATCTCTACTAAATTTACAAAAAATTAGCCAGGCGTGGTGGCAGGTGCCTGTAATCCCAGCTACTCATGAGGCTGAGGCAAGAGAATTGCTTGAACCTGGGAGGCGGAGGTTGCAGTGAGCCGAGATTGTGACATTGCACTCCAGCCTGGGCAACAAGAGGGAAACTCCATCTCAAAAAAAAAAAAAAAAAAAAAAAGAAGCTAGACAAAGAAGGTAAAAATTAAATCCAAATTTCATAGAAGGAAATAATTAGTCATTACGTACAGATGTAGACTTGATTGTGTGGGTAGAGAACATGAGAACATCAAGGAGTCAACAACAACAATAAAAGTCTGTGAGAATCATTAGTGGAATTAGCAAGTTCAACATAGAAAAGTCAATTTTGTTTCTCTGTACTAACAATAAACAACTTAAAATAAATAAAAATACAACACCATATACAAAAACATGAAAATATAAAATACTTAAAAATTTTTACAAAAGATGTAACAGACCTCTACACTTGAAACTACAAATGTGTACAAACACAATCTTCTAAATAAACACTGAACCTTTTGGATAAATACCTTTTTGAAAAAAACAAAAAAGAATTTTTAACCCTCTTCCTTTTTCTTCCCTTTTACTCAGAAGGCAGAAGGAAAAAGCGAGGAAGGGTTACATGATATCACAGTGATGGGAGAGGTGTGCAAGAAAGCTCATAGGCATTTTTTTGTAGTAGCCTCAAACTGGTAACAGTCCAAATGTCCATTAATGGGAAATTGATACACAAATTGTGATATAGTCTTTTTTTTTTTTTTGAGACAGAGTCTCGCTCTGTTGCCCAGGCTGGAGTGCAGTGGCGTGATCTTCGCTCACTGCAAGCTCCGCCTCCCGGGTTCACGCCATTCTCCTGCCTCAGCCTCCCAAGTAGCTGGGACTACAGGCGCCTGCCACCACGCCTGGCTAATTTTTTGTATTTTTATTAGAGACGGGGTTTCACAGTGTCAGCCAGGATGGTATCGATCTCCTGACCTCATGATCCGCCCGTCTCGGCCTCCCAAAGTGCTGGGATTACAGGTGTGAGCCACTGCCCCCGGCCGATACATTCTTATAATAGAATAGTACTCAGCAATAAAAATGAACAAATAACTGATAAACACAACAACGTGGATGGATCCCAAAAGCATTCCGAAAAGCAAATATTGTCAGATGCAAAAAGTATGTACAGCAGTATATGGTATGTACATATTTCCTTTACATGAAATTCAAGAGCAGCCAGAACGAATCTATCTCAATAGACGTCACAACAGCTTTTACCTCTGGGAGGCACAAAAACTGACTGAAAGGAGCAGAAAAAACTTTCTGGAGTGGTAAAGATGTTCTACATTTTGACTGGGATATTTGTGGCACATGCATATACATTTGTCAACTGTAGTTTAACGTGTGCATTTGTAGTCAGTACATTAACACTCAATAAAATTAGTTTATAAGAAAAAGAATGAATTTGCACATCAGTCACGGGAGGTTTCAAGGTCTGGGACAAGTAAATCCCATGGGGCAGACAGCTCAAAGCCTGGAGCTCATTGCAGGGTGAGAGTGGCAAGACAGGGTGAGACTCAGATGGTGGGTGGCCCACTGAGAGCCAAGATGGGGATGGCACAGTGGGGAGCAGATGGCCAAACTACTTTGGAGCAACCACCATGCAAGACGAGGCGACAGAGGAAGCCTTCGGACTACTGGTGCAGCAGATGCAATGAGGCTCAAAGCCTACGCCCAAAGACTGGGGGCAATTAGCTGTACATCAGACAGAGGTCAGTGGGGCCTATAAGATAGAATCACAAGGTGACCACCAATGTCTCCTCTCCCATCACTGTAGGATTATATATAACCCTTCCTCCCTTTTTCCTTCTGCCTTCAGAGTTAAAGGGGGAACAAAAGGAAGAAGGTTAAAAATTCCCTTTTAAGTAAGAAATTTACCCTAAAGATACAGTTTTTTATTTAGAACATTGTTTTAGACCAGAAGAAACTGAGTTGTCTTGACTGGAAAATTCAAATGCCTTGCCCCCACTCCAGCTACCACCTTCAATGAGGGTGGAGACCGCAGAACCACTGGAAGCCTAAGGCTACAAAAAGTAAAGTTCCTTTTTGTTTTGTGTTTGAATTTTTGGGTAACTGTGTGTAATTTTCAACTCAGATCCATGCTGGTTTTCAGTCTCCATTCTGGCTGGAGCATTGTGTGCTTGTGGGGTCATGGCAAGTAATGAAGCTGGGGAGATCAGAAGGGGCCAGGCCCTTGGGTACCATGTTAAGGAGCTTGGATTTTATCCTGAAGGCAAAGAGAAGGCTTCGAAAAATTTTAAGTCAGACAATAACATGATTAGATTTATGTCTTAGAAAAAATTTTCACAGAAATATGGGAAATAATTTGAAGCGAGCAAAACTAGAAGCTAGGAGAGTAGATAAGAGGCTATTGGAGAAAACTAGGCAGGATATCTGGAGGGTCGTTATTAAGGTGGTGGCAGTTGGCATGGAGAAAATGGGATTGAATTATATTAAGGAAGTAAATACACGGGAAAGGTGGAAGATAACAATGATGGGTCTATCCTGGCTTGGACGACTGGGTGGATTATGATGCCATTTACCGAGCAAAGGAACACAGAGAGTGTGAATTTGAGGGCCTCAGGGAAGGAAGATGACGATATATTACTGTGTGTATTAGTCTGTTCTCACATTGCTATAAAGAACTACTGGAGATGGGTAATTTATAAGAAAAAAGGTTTAATTGGCTCACAGTTCCACAGGTTGTACAGGAAACATGGCTGGGGAGGCCTCAGGAAACTTACAATCATGGCGGAAGGTGAAGAAGAAGCCGGCACTTCCTACATGGCTGACACAGGAGGACGAGAGAGCGAAGTGGGAAGTGCTACACACTTTTAAACAACAATCTCATGAGAACTCACTCACGAGACAGCACTGAGGGGTGGTGCTAAACCATTAGAAACCACTGCCATGATCCAGTCACTCCCACCAGACCCCACCTCCAACTATATATATATACACATATATATATATACACATATATACATACACACACACATATATATACATATATATACACATACATATATATATGCCTTCTCATCCATAATTTTCAAATTGTATACTTAAATTTATTATAACATTTACTATCTATAACAATACCTAATAAAAATTAAAGCAAGTGAAATTCAAAGAACAACATGATTCTACTTACAGGTCTCTCTGATCCCATTACATTGCCAGTGAATTCCATTGGGCGTCTTAATTCAAGAAATGATCCCTGGGAGCTCTCTGCCATAAAGGGATTACTATGAAACTGAAGCAGATTGCTTTGTGATGGGTAAAGCATAAGCAGGTAAGCAATTTGCAATTTGAGTAAAAGCGCAGAGAGCTGTGCTGTCAACACTTTGTCTTGGTAGTTGCAACAGTGGCTCTCAGTCGTGGGGATGAGGGCAGAGCAGGATTTTCCCACTTCCCACTCTTCCCTTGTTGGGCTAGTTGGTGACCTGGACTCTACTTGCTTCTAAGATTTAACTGTAAATAATTTGATGATTCAAATATAATAAAATAAATTCTCCAGAAATGTACCTTGTCCATGCAGAGAACTATGCTTGGCAGTATCCATGTCCAGCTAGGACTCAAGCACTTGGTAGCCTTAACAAAAGTTTAGAGACTCAGAGTAATGTGCTTGGACACGAGCTCAGACCAAATACATCTTTGGTCAGCAGAATGATGGCCCCACAAAGATGTCCTGGTTATGCCCCCCAAACCTGTAAATATTTTACCTTATGAGGCAGAAAAAACTTGTGATTAAGTGAATGATCTTGAGATGGGAAGATTATCTTTAATTATTTGGGTGGGCCAATCATAATCACAAGGATCTTATAAGATAGAGATGGGAGAGTCAAAGTCAGAGAGGTGAAGTGATGAGAAAGCAGAGGTTGAAGTGGTGTGCTTGAAAGATGGAGGAAAGGACCACGAGCCAAGTAACGTGAGAAACCCCACAAGCTGGAAAGATAAGAAAGCAAATTGTACCCTATTGCCTCCTGAAGAACCAGCCACATTGACACCTTAATTTTAGCCCCTTAAAATCTATTTGGGATGTCTGCCCACTGTAACTGTAAGATAATAAATCTGTGTTGTTTTATTGAGCCACTAAGAAAGTGGTAATTTTTTACTATAGCAATAGGAAACTAATACGAGACATTATCTTCTGTTTGTTTCATGGTCATGTGTCTCAGCATCTTCCTTCTCATCAATCAGTCAGTCTTACTTAGGGAGGAGGCCAGGTTGAAAGATGCTTCTTAAGTAACATTGAGCCATGAACTGCCACAGCTGCTGGTTCTTCCTGACCCTATCCCCCTGCTCGCTCACTCCTTACACACACACACCACTGACTCTCTCCTTTAGGTGCTGGGTCTGGGTGGTGGAGCATCTAGGTCGCCAGACATAGGTTTACAGGGTTTTTCTTCCTCATGGTTATTTGAATACCAGGAAGTGGTGGCTGCTCAAAATCCAGCAACACCCAATCAAAAGTGGGTGGGGCCATGGAAATCCAACCTGAGTCGAGATTCGTCCAAAGGATAGTCTCCATAAGCTACAATTGTCAAATGCAAACTTCTGACCCATACACATTATGAGTTTGAAAGAACATTTAGGGAAAAGGTATTTAAACACTGTCTCTCATACGCACTCAGTATCAGTACAGCTGACAGCCTGAGAAGTTACTCCATGTTAAAAAACTGTTGTAAACACCTTCTGTACCAAACGCTTCTAGGCTGACACTGAATCACTCAACCTGGCTCTTGCTAGACCCCTCATTTTTTCCCCAACTGGGAAGACGTCTATGTAATTTCATTTGACTCTGTTGATCACCAATATGCTACAGAGGGCATTTAGAGATTAATTGCATAGGCATTTTTGCAGCCCATAGAGAAGGCTTCAGGAAACTGTTACAATGAGTAATTGTTCATTCAATAGACATTACAGCAATTCCAGACATGCAGTGATGAAATTAATCATAGTCTAAAACATTCAACCAGGAACTTGTAAACAGCCTATCTTAGAGTATTTCCAACAGACCAATTCTTTCATCCTTTCAGAAAACTTTATTCAAATCACAAATGCCTGTAAGATATTTGTAGAGCCTTTCCAAGGATCTCAGCTGGCAGAATAACTATTGAAGAGATAATCTATTCAGGAAAGATAAAATGTTTTCCAGCCTTCATATAAATTGTATTTCCTCTTTGTTTCTGAAATGATGGCAGCCAGAAAGAGGTCTGCCTTGATAAAGAAGACGTTGAAGCTAATGTGGATTCTGATAATGGTGTGTTGGTGTTGAAGAAGAAAAAGAAAGGGAAGAAGGGAAAGAACGAGAATAAGAAGGAGGAGGAGAAGAAGGGTCGGGGAGGAAGGGAACTGGCAAGTGTCAGAGCTATAAGAAATCTTAGTGGTTATATAATCTGACCAGCACATGCACTGCAATCTCCTAGCTGGTGAATAATGGTGATTTATTTGGCTTTCAACATTGTCACATGATTCTTTTTAATGCAAACTTTGTCCAGTTAACACTGTACACAGTGTTGATCAGGGCATCCTTCTGCGCAAGTTAACCTACTTAGTGCAAGACTTTATACTTAAGCCCAGGAGTGGGTGCTCACATGGATGACCCTATAAAGTCACGGTTTCTGGTATCAACTGTCACCTTGCTGTTCCAGACAAGCCTTCTCTTTCCCAGTTCCCTTCCTTTCCCATCCTCCACCATATTTAAACTTTCAACAATCTCCTCTGACCCTAACATCTCCTTTCTTATTCCTAGCATATTCATTTATTGATTTTAAAAAAATATTTGTTGAGAGTTTACTGTGTGCCAATCATGCTGTGTGCCAGTCATGCTAAGCATCAGGGGAGCAGCATTGAACAAAATATAGCCCCAGCTCTCATGAAGTTTATGTTCTAGTGGAGGTAAAGAGTAGGAAATAAACATATACTACGTTGGATGCTGGAAAGTTTTCCAGGGAACATAAGGCAGAGGGAGGGAGCAGAGAGCAGGAAGAGAGCACCATTTTAGAGTGGTCCAAGAGGACTTCATGACAGGAAGGAAGCAAAGTGGTCCATGAGGACATGCGGCAAGTGTGTTCTAGGTAGACGAAGCATAGGAAGTGAGCACAGGAAGATGCTTCATATGTTTCACAGCTCGCACAAGCCAGACTGAGCAAGTAAAAGAGTAGTAGGAGCTGAGGTCAGAGAGGTAGATCACGTAGGACCTTGTGGGATATTGCAAAGACACTGACTTCATTCTCAGTGAGATGGGACCCCATTCGAGTGTGTTTAAGTAGAGGAATGACATGACTTGATTTACACCCTGAAATGATGACTCTGTTGCTCTCAGCTAGGACTATGGGGAGCAAGAGGAGTGTATTAGTTTTCTGTGGCTGTCATAGCAAAGTACCAATAGTTGTGTGTCTTCAAAAATAGACACATTATTTCACAGTTATGGAGACCAGAAGTCCAAAATCTACGTGTCAGGAGGGCCATGGTCTCTCTGAAGGCACTAGGAGAACATCCTTTCATGTTAGCTTTGGTGACTGCCAACAGTCTTGGCCCTCATGGCTTGCAGCTCCCTCCCCCCAACCTCTGCCTCTATCATCACCTGTCACCTTTTTTTGTGTGTCTTAACCTGGCTTTCTCATAAGAACACCAATCATTGGATTTGGAGCTTATCCTCATCCAGTTTGACTTCATCTTAACTAATTACATATGCAAAACCCTATTTCCAAATAAGGTCATATCCTGAGATTCCAAGAAGACATGAATTTTGGAGGAAACACCATTCAACTCAGTACAATTGACCTCAGGGAGCTATTGAGATAATCCCATGAGAGATGATGGTGGCTTATTTGAGCAAGGGAGGTGATGACTGGTAATTAGATTTGGAAAAAATGGTAAAGACTGAACTGATAGAATTCACTAGTGGATTGAAGATGGGATACAAAGGAGTGAAGGATTTAGGGATGATGCCAAGGTTTTTTGACTTAAGCAACTATAAGAATGCAATTTCTATTTTCAGAGATGACAGGGGAACAGGTTTTCAAGGAGAAACAAAGAGTTCTGGTTTAGAGAGGTTGAGTATGAAGCACCAGGTCTCCTACTTCAAAGAGAAAATGGAAGCCACCAAGCAGGGGTTCCCTAATTTCCTTCTAACCAAAGCTATGCACTTACCTGCATTACGTGCTATGCACATACCCCCACTCTCCTTCTTCCCTTCTGGTTGAAGTTGCAGCTCAAACACTGTGCAGGGCTCCAGATCCCACCCCCTCCGCCCTCTTCAGGGAGGTTTATGTTCCTCACTTATTTACAATGTCAACTCCCATTTAAACATGCTCAAGGAGTTCACATCTTGAAATGAAGGAAGGGAGAAACGACGAATAAAAAATTAAAAAGGAGGAAGAAAAGGAAATCCCACTTTGAGAAACACAGCCACCGCCTACTTGTCACTGTCATTCACAATTAGATTGCAGCTTCTCCCCCACCTGCAATTTCACTGAAACTGCTTCTGTCAAGAGCACCAAGGTCCTCCTTGCGTTAAATGCCACAGGCTTCACAGTCCTGATCTGACTTTTCAGGGACATTTGATACTCTTGACTTGTTTTTGAAGCAGTCTTTCCCCTTGTGGCTTCTAAACATTTAACTCCCTTGGTCTTTCCCCCCATTCTGCACACTCTCTCTCCCCCACTCCATCCCCACTCCTCCCACAGGTGTTGGTCCCATCTATGTCCCTGTCATATAAGGTTCTAGCAGCAATCTTGCTCCTAAGCTTTGGACTCACACATCTGACTGCCTATTAGTCATCTCCACGTTGCTGTCTTATGTGTGCAGAAACTCAGCGAAGCCACCAAAGGACGTAGGATCATTCTACCAACTCCTGCTGCCCTGAGCTCCCTGTCCCAGGGTCAGCACAGGGCTCCCCCATCCTGCAGACCCCAGGAGCCATCTGGTCAGCTCTCCCTCTCTCTCTGCGCCTCTGTATTAGTCTGTTTTCACACTGCTGATAAAGACATATCTGGGACTGGTAATTTACAAAAGAAAGAGATTTATTGGACTTACAGTTCCATGTGGCTGGGGAGGCCTCACAATCATGGCAGAAGGTGAAAGGCACGTCTCACGTGGTGGCAGACAAGAGAAGAGAGCTTATGCAGGGAAACTCCCCTTTTTAAAACCATCAGATCTCGTGTGACCTATTAACTTTCATGAGAACAGCACAGGAAAGACCAGCCCCCATGATTCAATTACCTCCCACCAGGTCCCTCCCACACACGTGGGAATTCAAGGTGAGATTTGGGTGGGGACACAGTCAAACCATATCAGCCTCTTACATGTAAATAGCCAAGTGTTCTGCTCCTCTCCAAATGTGCCTGCTTCCTGTGCACACTCTGTCTGCCTCTTAAGTCAGCCCCTGCTACTTCAGGTTCTCAGTTTAAAAGGTGACCTCCTTCAGGAAATCCTCCCTGAACCCTCAGTCTCAGTCACTTGTCCTTCCCATGTGCTCTTCCTTAAGTTCTTATTTCTGCAAGACAGCACTTACACCACTCTGTTCTAAATGCCAGTTTACTTGACTCCATCCTCCACACGACCATAAACTTGAAACCAGCCTGTCTCTTATCCTGTGGTCCCAGCAGCCTCCCCTCCTTTTCACCTCACAGGGTGACTTTTGGGCTCCTGGTCACTGTGTCCCCACCCTTTCCTCATCCCCTCCATGGCTGCCACTGCTCCTGGCTTGTTCCTCACCTCCTTGTGAAGGGAAGCCTCTCCAGCTCATCTGGGGCACTGATCCTCATTAACACACCCAGCAGGAGCAAGCTGGGTCCCACTATGAGCCTCAACAATGGCACTGTGGGGAGAACGCCACCGTGTTTGCCCAAGCCAAGATTAATGAATGAGGATGGGGCTATAGAGAAGGAAGCATCCTGAGAGCTGCAGCTCACAGAAGCGGACTCATTATAAAGGACTTAGTTGAAGAGTGCTTTTTTATTTCCTTCTGCTGGTCTCCTAATCCATGCTTTGATTCTTCCTTTTTAGTAAATCCTGACATTCTCAAGAGTATCATGGGAAGAGTGTCCTAGTGAGTTTCTATAGCCTCCACCCATTGTTCTCATTGCCACAGCAGCTTCTGTGCAGATCTCCACGGCCCCAAAGCCCCTGTGCAGCGGTGATGAAGAGCTAACTCCACTGCTGTAATAAGATGTTTCTCTCCATGGTTCCTCTTGCCCACAGCTGATGCCCCTTCTGAGGTCCAGCAGTTGCCATGAATATCCCTGTTTGATGGGTCCATAAGCAAGATTTTTAAATGCCCAGCTCACCATGACAGATGCATTAAACTCCCTTCTCTGTACATATTAGAGCAAACATTTTCCCCATTTGTAATATGAGAAAAAGATAATTTCTCCCGTAAAAGCCATGTTGCATGTAGAAAACTCAACAATATGAAAAGTTGCAAGAAAATTTAGTGACTGCTCACTTATTTTTGGAAAAGAAATAGAAACTTTATCACAGCACTTTGGAGGCTGAGGCAGGTGGATCGCTTGAGGTCAGGAGTTCGAGACCAGCCTAGCAAACATGGTTGAAAACTCCGTCTTTACAAAAATTAACTGGGCGTGGTGGTGGATGCCTGTAATCCCAGCTACTAGGGAGGCTGAGGCAGAAGAATGGCTTGAACCCCGGAGGTGGAGGTTGCAATGGGCCGACATCATGCCATTGCATTCCAGCCTGGGCAACAAGAGTGAAACTCTGTCTCAAAAACAAAACAAAAACAAAAAAAGACATGATTAAAAAACACACCACCAAAACTTTATAGGAAACTGTGCATTATTTTCATTCTCCCATTGGCTCCTACTGTCCTATATTTCCTAGGGAGAAAATGTCTTAAAACAACTTTTTTCTTTTTTTTAATTTTTTTCTAGATGGAGTCTGGCTCTGCCACCCAGGTTGGAGTGCCACAGCGTGATCTTGGCTCACTGCAACCTCCGCCTCCTGGGTTCAAGTGATTTTCCTGCCTCAACCTCCCGAGTAGCTGAGATTACAGGCGCCCGCCACCACGCCTGGCTAATTTTTGTATTTTTAGTAGAGATGGAGTTTCACCATGTTGGCCAGGCTGGTCTTGAACTCCTGACCTCGTGATCCACCCATCTTGGCCTCTCAAAGTGCTGGGATTACAGGTGTGAGCCACTGCACCCGGCCAAAACAACTTTAAGCTCCTTAACAAATTAACCACATAAACCCATGGTATATAAAATGGCACCTTTACGAAGGAAATCAATTAATCTCTAGGTACCACTGGGGACCAGAACTTTGAGCTTTGCTATAAATTATAGCATCTGCTGCAATTCTGTATCACCCACACATGATGGAAACATTTTTTTCTGAACTGATAAACTGGCACTAAGCTAATTGCTAAAGTACTTTTTAAGGCCTTTAACCTATTATTTTTTAATATGTAGAATACCAAATGATTTTTGTATAAATTATGTCATTTATATAAATAATATATATGTGCATAATGAAATAATTATATATTACATTATTATATATAACATTTTATTATGTATTATGTAATATATAATATTTATTTCATACATAGTTTAAAACAAACTTTGCCACATCTTAGTTTGTAAAAGGTTGAACTTGGAAAGAGAAGTTTAAAATATCAGCTATTTGTAACTTACTGCTATTAAAAGATATAAGTTAAAAAGTAAGCTATACAGAGACATATAGGCAAAGCAATACCTCTGTTTAAAAGTGACATATCAGGCCAGGCGTGGTGCTCACACCTGCAATCCCAGCACTTTGGAAGGCCCAGTGGGCACATCACTTGAGGCCAGGAGTTCAAGACCAGTCTGGCCAAAATGGTGAAACCCCGTCTGTACCAAAAATACAAAACACACACACACAAACTAGCGGGGCAAGGTAGTACATGCCTGTAATTCCAGCTACTCAGGAGGCTGAGGCACGAGAATCGCTTGAACCCGGGAGGCGGAGGTTGCAGTGAGTTGAGATCACGACACTGCACTCCAGCCTGGGCAAGAGAATGAGGCTCTGTCTCAGAAAAATAATGAATGATGAATGAATGAATAAATAAAAAAATACATTTTAAAAAGGGACACATCAATTGCTAGATGGCTAATTCTCCTCCCATACATAGGCAAGAGAGGAGGGAACATTTGTCCATCATCAAAAATAATAGGCCAGGCTAACATTGTTAACTTATGGGGAAAAAACAGAAAAGAGAAGCAGTCCCAGGCTGAAACAAAAACAACAGAGAGAGCTTGCTTTATTTTGGTTTTAGTTATTGGGATGTATAGAATAAAAAAAAAAAAACACAAAAAATGGGTGGGTGCGGTGGCTCATGTCTGTAATCTCAACACTTTGGGAGGCCGAGGCGGGGGGCTGATCTGAGGTCAGGAGTTCCAGACCAGCCTGGCCAACATGGTGAAACCTCGTCTCTACTAAAAAATACAAAAATCAGTCAGACGTGGTGGCGGCCACCTGTAATCCCAGCTACTCAGGAAGCTGAGGCATGAGAATCGCTTGAACCTGGGAGGCGGAGGGTGCAGTGAGCTGAGATCACACCACTCCACTCTAGCCTGGGTGATAGAGTAAGACCCTCTCTCAAAAAAAAAAAAGGAAAAAAAAATATATATATATATAGAGAGAGGAAAAATCAGATGATAACATGTATTTACTCTGGAAAGTGTTCGGGGCTCATTTAATAATGGAGAAACTGTCCTCTACTCCACAAGAGTAGAAGTGCTTTCCTCTTCACAATGATGCACGTTGCCATCTCCTGGGAGAGCGAAAGAAAGCAGCATAGCCCATTTGATGCCTTAGTATTTCTATTGCCTCATTGAATTTGCAGCAACTGGTGAAGAGAGAACATCCATCTCCCACAAACGATCCTGCTAAATCTTACCAGCCACTGCTTGAACACCATCTTCTATATGAGATCCAGACCTAGATACCTAAGGTGGGGTCGTGTCTTCACCTGTGGCCCACGGTCCCCTACAGGAAGCCTCTCCATTGCTGGAACATGCCTTTTACTCCACAGCTGTTCCAGAGTGTTCTCTCCTTATCTGATTGGCAAGTATTTATTCATGCTTCCAGACCCATGTCCTGTCAGTTCATCAGAGACACCTTCCCCAGCTGCCCTAGGGCAACTGACAACCCCTCTAGCCTGGCACCTCTCTTAGCTCACCTGTATGTTGATACATATGATGCAGTGCAGCCTATCCCCACACACGGAGTTTTCCTGACAACCTGGCTTATCCATGCCCTGCCGCTAACAGTGCCCAGCACAGAAAGTGCTCCGTGTTTCTACTACAAATAATTGAAAAGAGGCTGCATACAGCTTCTAAATCTGTATCATATTGAAAAAGATTTTGAAGATAATAATTTAAAATATTTCCAACTCATTTCCTTACCATAAATGTTTTTGACATGTATGGCAGCCCGAGTTTGAATGACGGCATTAACTCATATAGCATGATATTAAGGATTTTAATTATTTTAAAGCTCTATTATTTCAATTCTCGAAATGCACTCCCCACCTTTGGAGTGTTTCTTCTGGGTTTCTTTTCTTTTCTTTTTTTTTTTTTTTTGAGACAGGGTCTCACTCTATTGCCTAGACTGGAGTGTAGTGCAATCTGCCTCCCAGGCTCAAGCGATTCTCGTGCCTCAGCCTCCTGAATAGCTAGGATTACAGGCCGGGCACCATCACGCCCAGCTAATTTTTGTATTTTTAGTAGAGACAGATTCCCCTATGTTGGCCAGGCTGGTCTCGAACTCCTGACCTCAAATTATACACCTGCCTCAGCCTCCTAAAGTGCTGGGATTACAAGCATGAGCCACCACGCTCCGCCTCTTTTGAGTTTCTATGCAATCATTTTCATGAATGGTACATTTTGTTGAGTGGAAATTCTGCCAATTTCTTATTCCAACATTGATTCAGTGTGTGTGTGCGTGTGTGTGTGTGTGAGAGAGAGAGAGAGAGAGAAGGTGGGAGCTGTGAAGACAGGATGTAGACAAAAGGTACACTCAAAGAGCAAGGTCTTGGGAAATAGGGAGACTAGGGCGCGTGTTTTTTATTTTATTTTTTCTGATGGATATTTCCATCATCCACTCGCCTTTCCATCAAGCAGGCTTGTCTCCAGCCTTCTCCACCTCATGCACCCCATACAGTCATTACAGAAAGTGGGGTTCTCATCCTCTGTCCCTTTTTGTTTTCGAGTGAGTTGATATGAATACAAAGGTGTGCACTAATTCGAAGGGCAGTGGAGCAGTGATAATTTGTGTCTAAAGTCTCTTAGTCCAGTATTTTTAACACAATGCTCTAAATTGTAATGTCAATACTAACCACAATTATCCTCTATTAAACGTTACGCTGTTGATGATCTGCCTTAGTGATGAAACTGTTCAGGAATCTCACCCAGGACTGTGCTCATGGAACATCAGATTAAAACAAGCAATTAATCAAAGTTTGAAACACTGTTTAACATTCTCAACATCTGAATCTGCCCTTAAATAGCGGCTGAATTTTCCTTCTTTTATGATTCATTCTTCACGTTTCTGCAAATTGTCACATCCTTATCATTTGTGACACAGCTTTTGACTGGAAAAATATTATTTCAAGTTTTGGGAGAATTTGCTATGGAGGAATCACAATTCTATTCTGTGAGGTATTCCATTATGTAAACATGAACTATTCTATTATTAATCACCCAAGAGTTATTTTTAGAAAATAGAACGTAAAGCATTTTATTTTATATGATTTAAAATCTAGTCATTGATTACTTCAAACAACCAGCATGTTCAATTCATGTTTCTAGGGAAAACATCCTTCCTGTCTTCTCATCTGCTCTGCAGTTGTTCATTAAAATGTGCCAATTGCCTCCATTAGGTAGATAAGAAGGTAGAAAATCCCCAGGTACCGCTAGTTCGCAACCTGTTCCTGGGGAGTCAATAGCCTCATTTTTCATTTCCTCTTTTCATTTAAAAAAATACTCATCTAGTGAAAGAAAAAGACTTCTCACTGCTGGCAAACACATTTCATAGAACTTCATTAAACCAAGTAATAGGATTAGCTTTTAAATGATTTAAGAAGGTATGTAAGGTTTTACAAAAAGAAAATCTAATTAAGATGGTGCTCAAAGAATTCAAGACACTAATAATTAACTAAATTAATTGTGATAGGTCTATCGGAGGGCTATGCAAATGTTAGTCATTGTCATTATTGCAGGTACTAGGACACAACATTTTGGTGAGCTTTTGGGGTTATAAGTATGCAAGATGCCCTGCTTATGTAATATGTACTGGAGTAAAGCTATTTTTATTTCACTCATTTTTATCTTTTTACAAGCTCTCTGTTTCAGAAATTAGATAACAAGACATAAGTCCTAGACCATGCATTCCTGGTGACTGGTTACTTCAACACAGCAAAAAGTCATGCTTCAGTTTGCCAACCAGCACGAGGCACAAGAGCATCACCTCAGAGCTCTCTATGTTGCAGAACTGACAGGCACTTTGGAATCTGCCCACAGCATCCTAAACTCTTAACCATTTGTAACAGGTCTGAAAAATTACACACAGAGCGAAAGCTTTCATAAAAATATATTTAAAACAAGCAAGAAAAAATAGTTTTGGCCTTAAGGATAACTTTCATTATTCTTTTAACCAAGTATAGTTAAATTATATGTATAATGATTTCAAGTACCAACTTATAAAAGATGTGACAAACCAGACAACGAAGAACAAGAGGACTCTTTTTCTCAGAAAAATGTATTTGCAATTCAAATGTTCATATAAAAAGCATAAATTTTAAAAAGTTCATAGATGTGTTTTTAGAAGTGCTATGGTTTTGCCATTCACTGCAATTACATTGCAAAATGTGCAGGGTGGTCCACACTGCATCATCTTATGCTTTTGTCACACTGAAGTCACTCTCATCACAACCTCCCCCGAGCTGTTATCTTCTGATAAGTCTTCATGGGGCCTCATCCGATTGAACAGGTGCAATAACACATAGCCACACTGAAACCTTGGTGAGGTTAACTGAGTTGGGTGGACCAAGTTTCTGTTCCGCAGAGCTGTCAATGGCAACCACAAAGTCCTACTTGTGGAAGACTCTCCCCGGCTGCTTTCTTCGATGTCTGTGGCTTTGTCATAATTTAACACATCCCAGTGCAAATTCACAGCTCGCCAGCGCTTAAACACTCTGTAAACTGCAGCTCCTTCATGAACAATGAGACCTAAAATTTGAGAAAATAAAAAACCAAAAAGACTGGTGATAATCCAAGGCTGGGAGTGTTATTTTGTATACAAGTAAGGGATCCAAAAATAGTTATGTTATTCATCATCAGCAAAAATACAGTATTCTGTTTACTCAAATATTATGGCTAATGGCAAGTTACTACCCATATGACACAGAAATAATCCATTTTTGAAGAATGAGAATACACTAATATGTAGCGAATCAAGCTATTGTGGATATAATTTCCTTGCTCCATCATGGCTCAGATTTTGCTTTGGGAATTTATATTGCCTTAGGAGAATCATTAGGTTCATTTATGCATTTAACACATATTCTTGAGTGCTCATTGTGTGGCCAAGCAATGTGTTAGGGGCTTGAACCCAGCTGGCAGTTTAGTTTGAGAAAGAGACAGATGTTAATGTCATTACAGATACTAAGGTTACTGTTTCCCCAGTTCCTAAAACAATGCCTGACGCACAGTAAAAACCATGTAAATTTTGTTATTTGTACTCTCCTCAACAATTCAACAAAAATGTATTGAACAGTTACTTTAGAGCTTTATGAATATTATCCCATGTAGTACTCATCGTAGTCTTATAAATTTAAGTACTAGCACTTACCCCGTTTGGCAAACAAGGAAACCAAGCCTTGGGGATGTTCAGAAACGTGCTCAAAAACATACAACTAGTAGCGGTGGAGAGCAGGGATTCAAAAACAGGCAGGCTTGCTCCAGGGTCCTTGCTCTTTGCTGCTATAAAGTGAATCAGATCTTTCCACGTTTCTGAGACAGACTCTCAGGAAAATAAAGTAATACAGCAAACTTGGAAACCGTTAAGTCAGACAGGATGCACTAGCACATGTGTCATCTCCACTATCCACTCCAGATCTGTCACACACCCTGCATTTCACACATTTACATTTCAGCGTGTTGTCCAAAGGCTTTTGAATTCGTGATCCCTCACAAAAAGTAGTCCCTGGGGAAGGTCTCTCAGGTGAGGTGAAGTGAGGAAGAGCTCTTCTCTTTGAGGAGGCTGAAAGTCCACTGAAGTTGGTAGAGAGATCAATGAATATCCTTTGGTAGATGAAGTACGGCATGTGAGCAGAGCATGTCGGCTGGCACAACCATGTTTTAATGATAAATTTAAAAATGAGCAGATCCCACCTTTTAGCAGTTAGACCTTTGGGTATATGCCCTAGAGAAACTCTCACAAATGTGAACAAGGAAGTAAGTTAAAAAATGTTTACTACCTAATTGCCTGTATTTGAAGGAAAAAATTGCAAGGCATCTCAAAGTCTATCCTCAGAAGAATGGATAAATTGTATGTAGAACCAATGGATAAGAGTAATGAGATAAAATGAAACATAGTCATCTGCATTAATGTGGATACCTCTGAAACCATAATGACAATCCCAAAGTCACAATGAAAAAATTAAAGTTTCAGAAAGAAACAACCAGAATGAATAAATACTATACATTTTAATAAAGACACACACATATATATATGGTAGACATATAAAAGCATTGATGAGAATAATAACCACTAAATTCATGGTAGTGAAGAAGGAAGGAAAGAAACAAAATTGGGAAGTGGCTTCAAAGAGGGTTTCAACATTTGGGTGTCCCAAATGTTGCATTTTTTAAACTGGGTGGTGGAGATATTAATGCTCAACATATTATTCTGTGTATTTTTGGTGACTGAATAATTCAAAATTTCAAAAATAACAGAGAATTTATTAGAAAAGTTAATCTAAAGTGGATTTGGGGAGTTGGGGAGATAGTAAGGAGGTCACCGCATTTACATGAAGAGAAGAGTGATAGCAGTAAGGATAGGATAGAGAAATAAAGTAATAAATTCCCAGGGAAAACTGACAGAAACTGTAATGGAAGAAAGCGGGGAAAATCAGAGTCCCAAGTTTTTAAGGCTGGAGGAATGCGTGATTGAAAGATTGCTAGTAACCTTCCCATAGGTACAATGAGGTAAGTGTTTTGAGCATGTTTTTCTTGGACAGACTATTACCTTTTTCCATCAGATAAAACAATGCCAGGTGGTGATACAGCTACCCAGTCCTTGAAAAATGACACCTACCTGATGTCAAAACTTAAGTTTTGCATTGGTCCCTTACCAGGAGGTAAAGATACATGTGACTTACAAGCATTCCAAATATATTAATATAGGCTACAAAAAATGCATGTGGTCTAACAAGCAAACATATCTTAAGCCCAGTTACTATATATGACCAAAATAATGAGAAATGTAAACTTCTGTTCATCATAACAATTTCAAATAATTGTTTTTATCAACTTCTTTTTTCAAAGGAATAATCATAGTTGACCTAACCGATCAGATATTTTCAGGAAACAGCCAGAATGAAAAGTCAATACTACCAGATTTTAATTGGTGGTTCTATTATTAGCTTGCTGAATTCCCCATGGTCAATAATTTAACATTTCGGGTTCAATTTTTCCTCCTTAAAATGAAATCAGAACACCTAATCTTTACATTCAGCCAGGCAGTATAAAAATAAATTGGAATTCATCAACTATGAAGCCCTCACACTTCTTCTGGGACGGTAACTCTATAAATACAAGACATTATTATTAATTAAAAATCAATAGTGAATCTATGTGGTGGGGAACACACATTCGCACTAATCCCAAAACAATTACAGCCCGAGACAGGTTCATTCTGGGCAAGTCAGTGATGGAGGGTGCAGGGGCACAGCTTCACCAGAGGAAACTACTGACTTTGCAAGATCCTATTCTTTTCTTATTGATTTCCTTTGCAAGGCCAGAAATCAGATCACTTACTAGAGCTTAAAGTCACTTTCTGGGAATATATTCCTGGTAGCTCTTTTCTAAATACATAAATCTAACCAATATGCACAAACAAATCCCACAGGTCTTTATAGTACATTTTGAACCAAATTTAAAGAGAGAGAACTACTTGAAGTTTTCATGAAGACACAGTCCCTTTGAATTTCCAGCTCCCTAGGCTGCTTTTTAATTGCCGTAGGTTATGAACGATGTTTAGATTTTGTTTTATTCCCCAAGAGCATTCAGAATTAGTCCTTGGCCTCTGCAAGCTCAGATTTTACTGAAATGCAATGAATTCCATTCCCATTCCCAAGGCTGTTCTCTGTAACATGCATTTTTCCCCCTTTTTCTTTAAATGCTGTGGCGTTACGGCGAACACCTTTTGTGCTAGTGGTTATCAGGTGTGACTACTATGATCATTAAAGCCAGGGTAAGGATTCATTCAACTTTGGCTCATTCTGTTGAAAATCCAGCTTTTAAAAACTCTGTTAGTATGCTTTCTTACTGATGATCAAATGAATTGTCGCCTTGACATTTCAGTTCATATGCGAACAGGCTGACGTACTTTTTCATCTGAGTCACTAAGCTTACATGAAGCGAAAAGCAATGATCACTTCTATAAAACGTAAATACTGAATATTTTAGGATACTCACTACATTATTAACAGCATGGATATAAAAAATGTGATTCATGAGACTTTAAGGTTTTGAGAGTTGAGGAGTGTGTGCATGTGTATGTGTGGTTCGTTGGTTGGTTTTTGTCATTTTCTTACTAGTAATGTTTAACTGGACCATCACCTTACTGAAGCGCAAAGAAACATCTTTGTTAGAGATTAATCTTGAAAAAGCAGGCTTAAATAATTTCTGGTTTCATTGAATAAACAGTTTTTAATTTAAGCAAAATAAAATCAAAATTTTGAAGTAGTGTGTTACTTGAAATTCTTTCTAGTATTAGGCTATTTACCCAAATAAGTGATGGGGAAGGCTATCCAGGTACATATGGTCACATGCTCACATACTCGTGCACACACATACACATACCATTTGTCTATGTTTACTTTAACATGTGAAGTGTTATAATTAATAGAGACTTACAAAATGTATGATCAAATACAAACAAATTTTATCTGATTTAATTACCAAACCACTGGTCAAAAAATTCCATATTGTGTTACCAGTCTCAGCTTTTTTTTGGATAAGTTTGGTTGTTTTTCTGATTCATAAGATAAATTTGTATCAAGAACCTATTCTGTGCCAAATACTGTGCAAAGAGCTTTACACGCACAATTTTCATTTAATCTTGACTGCAACTGTACAAACAGGTACTAGTTTTTGTGTGTTTTTTTGTTTTTTTTGTTTGTTTTTTTGAGACAGAGTCTCGCTCTGTCACCCAGGCTGGAGTGCAGTGACGTGATCTCGGCTCACTGCAAGCTCCGCCTCCCAGGTTTACACCATTCTCCTGCCTCAGCCTCCTGAGTAGCTAGGACTAACAAATACAAACAGGTACTAGTTTTAAACAACCTTACAGTTGAGAAAATTCAGACCTAGAGAGCTGTCCAACATCATGAAGACAGAAGAATCAGAGCTGAGATTGGAACACAAATTTGTCTAAAATGTAAACCTTGAGTACTACAGTCCCATCCATCCTAAACCTCCAAAGTATAGAAGTCTCTTGTAATCACAGAATAATCAAATAAAAGAGGTTACTATGGACTAAACATTTGTGTCCCCAGTGAACTCATATGTTGAAGCCCTAATTCCCAGTGTGATGGTATTTGGAAGTGAGGCCTTTGGGAGGTAATCAGGGTTAGATGAGATTGTGAGCATGGGGCCTGCATGATGGGATTAATGCCCTTACTACAAAAAGAAGAGACATCAGTGCTCTCTCTCTCTCTCACTCTGTGTGTGTGTGTGTGTGTGTGTGTGTGTGTGTGTGTACATACACCAAGGAAAGGCCATGTGAGGACATAACAGGGAGATGGCAGTCTGCAAATCAGAAAGAGAGTCTTCAGCAGACACCAGATATGCTGCTGGCCAAATATCTGCCACAAGTTGTGTTATTTAGCTTTCCCAAGGGTCATTTTGATTGAACAGCACACAGAGTTTTGCCCTGCACTCCTTTGTGGTTTCATCAGGGGCTTGCATTTCCTGGGAGGGCTGGGGGTGAGTGTGGCTTCCCAGGCAAAGCTCTCATCATCTACAGTGTTGCTTTCAAATAAGCCTTGCCAACCCTTTTCTCCTTGTGGGTGGGAAGGGAGACGAGGGAGTGGATGCTTCACCTGCACTCCTAGAGGTATAATAATGTCAGTGACACACAAGGATGGTAAAGATAGAAACTAACTGTATAAACTTTGCTTAAATCACAAACTCCAGAACTTAATTTACTCATGTTTTAAACGAGGGTGATGCAGTTTACCTACAGTCCCAATACATCTCATATATTTATACACCCAAAATCTATAATACATAGATATAATTCCATGTCATTCTGAGAAGTGAGTGTGCACAGGAAGCAAATGAGGACTTTGGGCTCTGTTTAATCCCATGTGCTAGAAGAGCATTTTAGAGTCCATCTAATAAACTGGTGCCACTTTTGACTCCTTAATTTCTGCTGCTACTTGGTGAAGGCCAGAGCATGGTTGCTTCCAAGAGGATTAATCAAACGAGACTGTGGCCCAAGACATCCTTTGTTGTGATGATCTTTGCTAGAATATAATACAATGCATGAATCCTCCTGATGCTGTTTCTTAACCTACCCCAAACTTAAATGTCCAGGAGTTGTGGAAACTTAGATGTGAGTGTAGAGGTAATCACTTTAAAAGTCACTATCTATTGTTGGGTCTTGTTAATATGCATAAAAGCAATAACCATAAGTCATGGTTACTTCTGTAGGTACTGAATGTTTTTTGTTGGACTGAACTATATATGAAGCTATAGACATATAACTGTATATGAACTATATATAAATGTAATGTAAAGTAATATATAATATATAATAATATATATAGAACTATATCCAAATATATTTGCAAAATATGCAAAAGATAAAACGTAAAGATATAAAGACTGAAAAATACACATATGTCATCACAGAAGTCACTAAGCTCACAAAACATAGCTGTCATAAATTGATATCCTAAAACCCAGATATCTGGAAACTACAATGTCTTAATTATATATGAGCATTTTGTGAATATGCATCTCCACTGTTGTCCATATAAAAACAAATAATGTAAAAAAGTAGCCCACATAAAATGCACCTATAAACTGTACCCTAGAACAGATGGACTTAATAGATATTTCCAGAACATTCTACCCAACAACTGCAGAACATACATTCCGTTCATCAGCACATGAAACATTCTCCAAGATAGACCATATGATAGGCCACAGAACAAGTCTCAATAAATTTAAGAAAGAAAATGAAATCATATCAAGTAGTGTCTTAGACCACAGTGGAATAAAATTGGAAGTCAACTCCAAAAGGAATACTCAAAACCATGCAAATACATAGGGATTAAATAACCTGCTCCTGAGCGATCATTGAGTCAACAATGAAATACAGATCAAAATTTAAAAATTCTTTGAACTGAACGATAATATTGACACAACCTATCAAAACCTCTGGGACACAGCCTAAGTGGTGCCAAGAGGAAAGTTCATAGCATTAAATGCCTACATCAAAAAGTCTGAAAGAGAATAAATAGACAATCTAAGGTCACACCACAACAAACTAGAGAAACAAGAACAAACCAAACCCAAACACAGCAGAAGAAAAGAAACAACCAAGATCAGAGCAGAACTAAATGAAACTGAAACAAAAATACAAAAGATAAATGAAACAAAAAGCAGGTCCTTTGAAAAGATAAATAACATTGATAGACCATTAGCGAGATTAACCAAGACATGTTGGTTTTTCTACTGTTGACTATAAATGGTATAGAGCTTTGCTCTTCTCAGAATGACTGAGAACCATGTAAAATTCACAGAACCAGGTTGAGAATGGCACGTTGATCATCACAGCTCAAAGGCTCAAACACAGATGCATCATTACCACTGATAAAATAAAATCCTCCGTGCAAGAAACATAAGGACAATGAATTATTGTGAAACTTACCGTGACAATAAAACCCTTGACACAAAGGGGCTGGTTAATTTCTAAATATTGATGATCCAACCCACCCCCAAGTAGATAAAAGCACACATGAAGAAATGATTAGTGCAATAATGAAGATCCTAAATGAGGTCAGAGTTTCTCCAGGAGCACACACAAGAAAATCAGTGTTCATTCTATGACACTGACACTATGTCCCCCTGTCTGCTTCATGAAGTCTGCAGCCATCGGCCTGGACACAAAAAGCACATCTGTGCTGGATCTCCAATGCTGATGACACCACTGCCTGGAAGAACAAGATGGCAAAGCCCAATTGTCAGATGGAGTCTCATCTTTTACTAATTGGCAGTGAATGAAGCACACCCTTTTCTGAAAGGTTCTGACACAGGTTAAATTTGTCCTTATCTTGCCATCCCTGTTTTAGTTAATGACCATCCCCCACGTCAATTAAACCAGAAGCCTAGGAGACAACACAACTCCTCTCTGCTCTTGCACAAACTTCTGCTAATTCTGTCTTCTTGGCAAACCTGAGCTTAAAGCAGAAGACAGATAATTTCCTGGAATGCCCACTCTTACATTTGCACAACGAAGTATTAATTATGCTTCAAGATCCAGATTCTCTCACAATTTCTTCTCTGATGTACTCAAAATCAATCTTTCCCTCCTTCTACTGCCCACCACTCTACACAGAAAATATCTGCACTGATTTCCTTACTACCTGTACTATAATGATTTGCTTCTATGCCTGTAATCCCTAATCAGCTGTGTGCTCCCTGACAACAGAACCATGTCTTATTTGCCTTTGGGAACCTGTTCCTATCTCAGTACCCAGGTCAAAACTCAGTCTTTGCTGAAAGAGAGGGAGAGAGAGAGAGAGAGAGAGGAGAGTAGCTATCACTGGGATCTAAGGGGTCACAAGGAATGACTTGATCTAGTTGTGACTGCTCTATGAAAATAGAAAAGGATCTTGAGTATTGTTCTTTGAAAGGTTAAAGTAATATTTGCAGATGCCAAAGAAACTGAGACAGGCAGTTCAGGATGAGATTGGAAAAGAGTTTAGGGACTGGGGCCCATAGTTCACGAGTGGGTTTTGGTCTTTGGGGGTAACGGTGGTGAGGGGAACATATGGGCAGGGCAGAGGACATGGCCAGGGCAAAAGAACTAAAATTCTTTGAAAGGATCTGTGTTCAGCCCCAGCAAACTGTAGCTGTCTCCTCCACTGTCTTGCTGGCCAGGTCATCAAATGTTTGCCTGTATCAATCACAAACTGAGATACTGGGCTGTGCCCAGGCCTAAAACCTAGGAGACAGATATGGATTCCTCCCTGTCTTTTCAGGCAAAATAGAGAGAGTAAAAAGGAAATTGTCCATTCCTCTGACCTCTTGCTTTTCTAAGAAGCCAATGAATCAATCATTTAACTGATTTTTAAAATTCCTTGTAGATGGGAGTATCTCCTGATCTTTTAATTAGTAACCCTGGAGAACAAACCCACTACTGGCACATTCAAAGAATATTTCTCAAAAGCTGTGAAGGTTATATATTACAAAAAATATGGTATATCTTTTTTATCATTTTTTTTAAATGGATTAACAGAATTCACAGGAGAGAAAAATTGTTATATTATCTAAGTTTCTTCCCTACAGTGCTCAAGAAAATAAAACCATGGATATGTTTTTTCAATAAAAGAAATGAAAGAACAAGTCCAATACTTTTATAGATAATAAATATCATAAAGATATCCCAGAGTTCTCCTATAATTGGTAGAATGGACTGGAATCAGTTACATTTTAGTTGAATGAAGTTTCAGTTCTGTCTCTCAATTCTTGGACAGATGAAACACCTTGCAGCAAAGGGGGAGCATCATATATCACAGGGGTAAGAACATCAAGAGCCTGGTGGACAAGCACAGTCACCCAATTTCAAAATTAAAAAGTAGTGGATATAATTTAATCCAACCCTCTCACTTTGGGGAATAAGGACTCTGAGACCCAGAGAAGTGATGTAGTGTGGCTTGCTCAGGGGCCTGCACCTAGGAAGTGTCTGAGCCCAGAATCAGAGCCAGACACAGGATGCCCGTGTGCTTGCTCTGCAACAACTCAGACATCGGGAGCCATCCTCGGCCAAAGCCAGTCATCACCGGTGTCTCCTCAGCCTGCGAAATGGCCAGTGGCCAGAAGGGATATTACACTGACTATGAAGGAGATGACAGAATTAAATTAAAATCTCTTTTCTGTAACAGCAAAGGCTGAGATGGGTAAATTTTTCTCTGGCCTTTATCCTAAAGGGTACATTGCAGCGTTTGGATAGGATATAGGAGGATTACGGCAACCTTCACAATTTATGAATATAAATAACTCTGCAACCTCTGATTCAATGAAAACTGTATTTGGTTTAAAAAGCCTATCAGTGTCTATCTTCTGTGTTAATTTAAGGTTTTAGCATGGGGAATTGCTTTGGTAGATTTCCATTTGTTTCCCACACTCTAGTATATGGACTAAAGCCAGTTCTTAGAAAGAGACTTTCTAAGAATTTTTTCTAAGAGACTTGGTGGGCTTTTCCTAGTGGCAAGTGAAAATAAATACAACTAATTTTCTGTTTTTCTCCAACGGATAAACTGTCTACTGCAAACTCACAAAAAAAAACGATTTTAATAATTTTCACAGTAAACCATACATGTATTTGTTGCTCTGTTTTGGGGGAGCGAAAATAATATTTTTAAAGATCTAAATTGAAATGTCTAATTAAAACCTGTCTATCTTTGTGACTAGTAATAAGCTATTTCATTTTTGGTGGCTTCATTTTTCACTTCTCTTAAATCCTACAGGAAGAAGGCAAAAATTCCAAACAGAAACTACCATCTAAGTATAATTAAAATTTGTAACTCTTCTATTTCACTGCATGACATCAGTAAGATGCTTATAATTAAAACTATTAATGAAATTTTTAACCTAAATATAAAAATGCTCAGACAGTAGTTTTCTTAATATTCTATTCTATGTCCTAGTAAGAAAATTCAAGATTGGGATGTGATTCTTTACATAGATAATTCTTATTAAGAAATTGTTTCACTCAGAACCATGGGAAGAGAGAAATGGCTTTTGGTATGGTGTATTCCGTGTTTTCCATTCCCCTTAATAATGTTCCCTTTTGTTTTAGACTCTTTTGCACTCTATTAATTTAGAATAAATGAATGAATACTTTGGGCTTTCAAGGAAAATGTTTTCTCCATTTCTGATCTAAAATCAGTTCATCTATTATTTAAAAAGGTATTTACTCCCTATACCATGTCTTAAGTGTTTGAGACAGAAATTTAAATAGCTTCACTTTATTGTTTATATAGAAAACATTTCGTAAGTTCTTCAAGTTATTCAAGCTCAGCATATAAAGAGGGGTTTTTACCAAACAATAAATGGAAGTACGTGGGTCATCTTACTCATTACACAGGCTGTGGAGTGACAGGGTCTGGGTTCTTATTTTGGGTCCTGCTCACCATCTGTTTGATCTTGGGGAAATTGCTTCATCTGTGCCTTTGTTTTCTCATCTCTCAGATGAGAATAACAGTATCTGTGCCTCCTAAGGTGGTTATGAAAATTAAGTGGGAAAATCGAGGTAAAATGCTTAGAATGTTGCCCAGATCACAGTAAATACAATCTTAGATATTACTGGAGATGCATTTTTAAAAACCCTATGTCAAATTCTTTACTTGGAAGTGGCTGAAAACATCTATGGGCTTCATTTCTATGCTCAGCCGTGTGGTTCTCGATGGCCCAGAGTTTGTCTCCCCTGCCCTGCTGGTGCCCACGGTTCCACATCCTCAGTGTTCTGCATGGAAGCATCATTTAGAAGAATGGTCATGTTCACATTTCTTTGAAAGAAAGTTCTTTGGTGCAAAATAGTACAAATCCAACAGTTCCCCAGAGGGGCAGGGTTCGTTCTGAAGTACAATCTTCAGGTTTTCAGGTTAAGGGAGTGGCCTCCTCTGGGCCTTCCCCAGTGAGGGATGGGGACAGGTGGCTCTTCTTGTAATGGTGTGACCTCACTGCTGCACAGTCTACTTTCTGCTTTCTCTTCCAAGGAAAGCCTCCCATTCCCATGTTGATTTGGCCTCTTACATAAGCTCACTTTAGACTTCCTGGGGATACACTCAGATCTCTCTGAGGCTATGCAGTTGCTCCTGAGCCTCATGTGTTTGGAATTCCTACAGCCTCTCTTCTGGAAAGCCATGGAGTGACAGGGTAAAGCCACACAAAACACACACACGTGCACACTCATATATGGGATAAAGCCATGGGAGATGTGTCCTCCTGGCCTCTCAGCTACCCTCCATGGTGATGGATGGTTTGACCCCTGACTCCTGAGCCTGCTCCATCCCCCTAGACCCATGTGATTCAGGGTCCATGTGGATGGCTTGGCCTAACATACACAACCTATTGCCCTCTACTATTCATCCTTTGCCCCAGCCTGGGCCTTGCTCTTCCAGAAACCATTCCAATTCCAAGCTCTGAAGCTCTCCCATCCCATTGTTGACAACCTCCAATGCCTCCCACTCACCCACCTTCTTAATCTCAATGCACCCACTTCCACCTCCTAAAGACTTTGAGGCCCTAGACCGCATGATCTTTTCCCAATGCACCACCTTCTTTCTGGCTTTGGATCCTTCCCTAGCAGCCTAGAAAGCTAAGCCCATCCTGGAGCCCTTCTCTCCTCACTTGAGGGGAAAGGCAAGGTTGGTCTTGCTGCTCTGCCTTCCAGAAACTCTGGAGAACAAGACCCAATCTTAACCCAGTCTCACCACTTCACCTCTCTGCACTTACTCTTCATCCCTATTGGGCAACAGCCCATAGCCACATGGCCTTGTGGATCTTGTGGCCTTGCTCTGGCCTCAAGGAGGTGCTCAGTCATGCCCAGTGATTCTGCAGGGGGCTCAGCCTCCTCTCCCCAGGGCCCTCAGCAGCTGAGCATCACATTCATTGCTCTCCTCCGAGTCTTTTCCCACATTGTGCTTTTGTCTAAGCAGATGGCCACACTACCTACTTACTGAGAAATGAGGCATCTTTTGAAAGGAGGCCTCTCAATGTCTCATTCTCTCAGAGCAGAATATACAGCTGCCTCCAGCTGTGCCCACCTCCCCTCAGGACACAGGATCCCTCCTGTGCAAGGCAAAGCCCTTCCTGGGTGCTGGGCTCTCGTCTCTTCAGTCCCAGGGACATCAAGCTGCCCCTTCCCATCTCTGGATTTTCACTCTTTCTTCTGATTTCTTCTGGGTCTTTCTTTTCAGCATCCACCCACGCCTAACACTACTATTAAAGTAAACAAACAAAAACCTTTCTCGATTCCACACCTCCTTCTGGCTTCTACCCTCATTTAACTGTGTCCTTTGTCAGCTAAGATTTGTGAACTCACCTCTGAACCCCCTTCTGCCCATCCCAGCCATTCTCAATTCACTGCGGTCTCGCATCCATCCACGTTACCCCCACATTGCCAAGTCCAGTGAGTGATTGTTGGCTTGACTTCACCTAACCCTTGACAGAACATCTGGCACTGTTGGCCACTTGCTCCTCCTCCTAGAAGTTCCCTCCTCCTCATGTGCCTGACCCCACTCCTTTTCCAGCCACGATCCTCTCCCTCCCCTTCCTGTTTCTCCACCGTGTTCCCCAAACTGCTGCTCCTCTCACCAAAGCATTTCTCTGCAGACACTGGTTTCAACTACCAGATACAAATCTCCAGTTCCAACCTCTAGCCTGAGTTCCAGACCCTTAAATCTGGGTGCACACTGGCCACATCCACTTGGATTCCCCAGAAACTCTGCAAAAAGAAAACACTCAGAATGAGCCTATGACCTTTCTCTCCCTTAGCCCTCTTCTGATAGCCAGTGTTTTAGCAACTGATGGCCCATCTCCCAGTCAGCCTCTGTGAATGACACTTGAGGGTCTCTTGCTCTTAGCGCCCCCACCCCTTCCATCCTGCCTCCATCCAGCTGATCACCATATCTTGTGATTAATCCCTTTTAATTCTAGCAGCTTCCCAGCAGTCTTAATGCAGGCCTAATCAATTGCCTGGGTTATTATAATATTTCTCACTTTTTCATCCCTACTCTCCTTTATGTTTCCACGCTACCAAACACCTCTCTTTAATATTAATCTTGATCAGCCACATTCAGGGATCCTTCTGGGGCTTCCTGAGCATTCAGTTTGGTCTCCCTCCCGAGCTCCACCCACAGGCTCCTTTTCCTTACTGCTATGCCTCAACAAACATCTTTTGTTCTTCCCATACCAGATTTCATACGATGTCTTTAAAAATGACAGGACTTCATACGTTACTAGGTCTAGGCTTTTGCCTCTCTCGGGGCCCCATCCTAATTCCTGCTCTTCCTTAAAATTCTTCTCCCCCATAGACTGCTGGTCCTAAGTGTAATTAACCTTCCCCATTAGCTCTCACATACATTTCTCTCCTGGCACTTTCAGGCTATAATTGCTTATTTCCCTGGCTGTCTCCTCTTCCTCAGGTGGAAAGTAGGGAATTGTTATATTCCAGGGCTCCACAAACCTTTTCTGTAAAGGGCCAGATAGTAAATCTTTCAAGCTGTGCTAACCTTTCATTCACTGTCACAACTTCTCATCAACAGCACATAAATACATGGATATGGCTGCATCCCGGTACAACTTTATCCAAAGGCACCAAAGTTTAAATTTGCTACAATTTCCACATGTCATGAAATAATATTTTTAAAAATGTATTCAACCATTTAAAAACGTAAAAGCCATTCTTAGATCCCGGGCTGTACAAACACAGGCGGTGGACTGGATTTGGCCCTCGGGCTGCAATTTGCCAAGCCTTGTTCTATTTATACCACTATCCCGCACTCCAGGCTCAGCACCACGGTAAATACGCAATGAATATTGGCTCGACAGATTACTAATGCTGCTTTGTCTAGACTGCCCCCAGTGAAAGAGACAACTGACAGTGTCACACTATCTCCTATGGAGGAGACGAAACTCAACAATAACATATTTGGTCTGCTGTTCTGCTAATTATATTAATGTTTATCCATAAGAACTTGAATTTTACAGAGTCAAATAAGAGCAAAGTGTTAGGTTGGGGTGTTTTCCCCCCTTGAGGGGGCCTTAAAGGGTTAACTAGCCTTGAGAGGCCATTCCATGCACAGCACTAAGGGGCAAGCAGCAAAAACAAGTTCCCTTCTATGCTATTTCCCAGGATTTTAAAGGCAATGGTATCACTCATAACCAACTATGATAATAATCTTTAGAGACATCAGTGAACATCAGTATGATTAAGGCATAGAAAAGCCCATAATTTGTACCTCCAGAGAAGAGAAAAAAATAATGGCCTACTTCTCAAAGCATATAAAGGATAAAGCGTTGTTTCTCCTCTGACAATTTCACATCACAAAGGGCTGCTCTGCCTCCGCTTTCCAGGGGCTTTCCCAGTATGTGCTCAAAGCATGAAGGATCCGAGGCAGGGACTCCTGTTGGAGGATAAGCTGCTGCTTGTGTTTCAGGCTCATCACGTTGAATCAGACTCTCTCTAAATGAAGCTGAGGCATTTCCTGGGGCGCGAAGCATGCTAAGATAGTCTGAAGCCAGGAAATAATGATCTGTGCTTGTAAAGGAATTCTACTCAATTTAAGAAATGATTCCTAATGAGCTACCAGAACATGCCAACCTGCAACAGTCATGTCTGTGTGAGTAACAGACACCAGGCACGGCCAACCTCACAGCCCAGGGCTCCTCCACTTGGGATGAAATTTGAAGGGAAACTCACAGGGGTTTGGGCAAGAGGAGAAGAATGTTCCTGTCCTTCCTGCAGAAGCAGTTGTGCAAAGGTCGCCTTAGTAGTCAAATTGTGGTGCTCAGGAAAATGTAGTTCCCAGATCAAATTATAAATCAGGAAATGGAAGCATTTCCTGCAGCAGAGGCGGGTGATATACTTCTGTCTGGAGGGAAAATTGCAGTGATATGAAGTCTCCAAAAGGAAATACTAGGCTAATCAACTCTCCTGGTTATTAAGCTAAATAGTGTTTAAAGTGAGCTTCATTCTTCACGTGCCCCATGATTTATGCAGACACATCCACGTTAATACTTCCCATGAAACTCAAAATGAGATAGACACAGCAAAACCACCTCCTATAACTCGCCTGCCATGTAACCCAAAGTGTCAGCCTCAGCAGGTAAGCAGCCTTCTGCACCCCCACTCCATGGGTGAATGCTGGCTGACCTGTCAACTTCCAAAGCTCGGCTATCCTCAGTGACCCCAGGAGCTCAGATTCCAGGCTTGGTAATGGTGGCGGTGATTGAGTGGTAATCAAATGGTTGGATTTGGGCTCCAAAAGTCTTGTGATGAAAGTCTTTTGATGAAAATTGATGACACTTTTGAATGGTGTGCAGCTGCTCTGCTTGTACAGCTCTGAGATGCACGGGGCTGTTGGTGGTTGGCAGCTGTGGTCTCCACTTCCCGTAGAGAAAGTATCTTCACTGTGCAAGTGGTCCCGAATCAGACCACACTGGATTCTGGTGGTCTTGGCTCTCCACAGGGAGACCAGGAAAGAGCTTAGTCTACTCAGACATCCCCAAACCACATAAGCCCTAAAGTCTTCAGTGGACATTTTGATTGTTCTCTTGGTAGTTTTACATTCTTCACTTGAAACTACCTGATAAATTTCATATTTATTCATAAATATTTTACAGCTTAAGAAATCGCTACCTATCGACAACAATCCAAAGGCCTTACCAACAATTACACTTTCAAGCATGCTCGTCTATGGTTCATGAACCTGTGTGGCAATGAACTTAAGGCTCTCCTGCGGTCTTGGGCAAACTCATTTTTTTCTGCTGTAAATTATGGCATATTTCAACTTCTAATGCTAATTTCTTTCTCTTTCCTTACACTAGGTAAGTTTTTAACCTAAAATAATTTAAGAAATCATTGTCAACTCCTGAATCATGCTGAGAGATACCGGAGGGCATGAAAAATTTTTTAAAGGAGATAGTCTAAAAGTCATGTGTATTTTGTTTGAAATGGATTAGAATTTTTTTCTTTAGCAGTAGATTTATTTACTTAATTATGCTTTCCTTATTCTAGCTGGTTTATATTCATAGAAAGCAAACTACAAGGAGGACGACGATGACCTAAAGGCATCATTTTAGGGGGAAGCAACACTGGTTTTAAATAGACAAGTAGTCATCTTCTATGTGGGAAACTTATTTGTGATCACAGAGTTTGATTATCCTGAATTTCGTTTTCAAAATTCTTCACCTTTATTCATACAACACAGAGTTAGTAAATGTATATTTTAAGTTTCGTGTCAATAAAATGTTAGATTACGTGAAACTTTTAGCTACTCCATCTGGAAAAAAAAAGTAGCAAAGTTAAGCAGGAGAAAAATATTACCCTCACTTTAAAAAATGTAAATATATGTCCAATATAATCCATCTAAAACCATAATAATACATGGTATTTATTATGCTGAAATTCTATAATGAAATGTGAATGTATTACCAACTGGTAATTCAAAGTAGTTTTCTTGTGCATGCCAAAGTAGCTCTAGCTAGATATATTATCAAATAGGACAAACAGATTTTTTAAAAGGCTATAATAATAACTGTAAGAATTTACATAGGCCAGGTGCGATGGCTCATGCCTGTAATCCCAGCACTTTGGGAGGCCGAGGCAGGCGGGTCACTTGAGGTCAGGAGTTGAAGGCCACCCTGGCCAACATGGTGAAACCCCGTCTCTACTAAAAATACAAAAATTAGCCAGGTGTGGTGGTATGTGCCTGTAATCCCAGCTACTCAGGAGGCTGAGGAAGGAGAATCACTTGAACCCAGGAGATGGATGTTGCAGTGGGCCAAGACCACGCCACTGCAATCCAGCCAGGGTGACAGAGCAAGACTCTGTGTCAAAAAAACAAAAAAAAAAAAGAATTTACATGGATTTAAAGAAAAATTATTTCATTTCAAAGTACAGGAAAATAAAAGTTTGTTGGAGAGCATGAACTTTCTGTAGAAGGAGCAGTTTTTTTTTTTTTTAGTATTAAATATAACTGGTACAATAAGAAGATATTTTTATCTGATCCTCATTCTGGCATATCTCAGGTTATTTTTAAAAATTCCCTAATCTCTGTAGCTTTCAAAAGAAAGACAACATAAACAATTACATTATACTTTAATTCATTATTTCAAAAGAGCCTCAAGAGAGATATTTTTGGTTCCTCATGGGTATACATCAGGGATCAATCAGGGATCAGAGTGAGTGTGTGTGTGTGTGTGTGCGCCTATATCTCTTCCATTGTCCATGCTTGTGCTTTGAGAAATAAAATAATATGAAGAACAGGCAATAACAGGATCAATACTTTAGCCACAGAGAGAGCTATTTTTCTTGAAGCAATTTCAGGAAGCACTTTCTACACTAAAAAGAGACAAACTAAGAAATAAAATCCCCGTAGCGTTAAAATTATAATAGATTTTTTTTTTTAAAGTGATCCAAAAACTCCTAAAGTGTGCTGAAGAAGGCAGGGATTTTGAGAGGCAAAGGTCTCTGATCTTGATCAGTTCTTAGTGTTTACAGATTAGAGCTCGTCTATGTCCCTGCATGTCGCATCCCTGCGATCCCAAAAAACATCAGGCAGGATGTGCTGCACATTGGCATGACCTATGTGAGCCATTTTTATTTTTATTTTTTAGATAAAATTGTCCCACAAACTTAAATAGCTATGGAATTAATTTTAAGAAAACTACTCGAATGGTTAAGTGTAGTTAAATCCACTGATTAAAATGTCAAACAAGTGATGATATCCATAGTTGGCATGGTATGAGGAAAAAGGACCTCATATGTATCGGTGGGTGGGGTCGGGGGGGGGATAAACTGATAAAGCCTTTTTAGTTGGCAATGTAAAAGGACTTATCAAAATTTACATAAGCTTATTACTCCGCCGGGCGCAGTGGCTCACGCCTGTAATGCCAGCACTTTGGGAGGCCAAGGTGGGTGGATCACGAGGTCAGGAGATCGAGATCATCCTGGCTAACACGGTGAAACCCCGTCTCTACTAAAAATACAAAAAATTAGGTGGGCGCCTGTAGTCCCAGCTACTCAGGAGGCTGAGGCAGGATAATGGCATGAACCCGGGAGGTGGAGCTTGCAGTGAGCCGAGATCGTGCCACTGCACTCTGGCCTGGGCGAAAGAGCAAGACTCCATCTCAAAAAAAAAAAAAAAAAAAAAAAAAAAAAAAAAAAAAATCTTATTACTCAACCCAGACTTTCCACTTCTCAGAATTGTGCTAAAAGAAATATTCATGTAAAACGATGTCCTTTACAGCATGGTCCCTAAAGGCAAAAATTGGTAACAACATACAAATTCATCAGTAGAAAAAAGTTTAAATACATTGTTGTACATCTGTCATAACAGGGAAAGATCTCTAGATTATATCGTTGAGTGAAAAAGACTATTTTCTCAACACCATGTACAGTATGATCTCACTTATAAATAAAATGCGGAAGTATCCATTTACCTAAACCCACGTAAACCTAATGAAAAAATCTGGATGATAAACATCAAAATGCAGAAAGGGGACATTTCTGCAAAGGGAGTAGCATAGCAGAATTGGGGGTGTGAGTTAAGTGGTCTTTTTTTAACTTTATAGATTTCACAATTATAAACACAAATTTCACATGTGTTTGTATATTATGTGGACAATTAGGAAAAATTTTAAGAGACCAAAGCAATCCGTGTTTTTAAGTGTTATAAACATAATCAGTATCTTCCTATAGTACTTGAGGGAAGATCAAAACATTTCCAGACTTGGATTTGCCATTAACTTGCGGTGTTGATTAGAGCTGGTACAAGCACTACTATCTCTATTTTGCAAATACCACTGACGATAACAGAGTTTTGGTTTGCTGCTTCTATTAACCAGAACTTGAACTCACCTCATCTGGTTCTATCAGATGCTAAAGTGACTTGGTGACAGCCTTCACCTTTTAGATGCAAGTTAATCAAATAAATCCTGTCATCACATGGCCCTCTTCTGGTCCCTCAAACTTTTAGTCATTAATAAACATATTCTTCTTGTGGCACTAGCTTCCCTTGAATCAAAGGGTCAATGGAAATGATGGTCTTCTATTTTTTCTCAAAGTGTCCAGGGTGGAGTGAAGAAGCAAATCCTCTGCCCAAGGCCTTCTGCCGGGCAGGTGTACTTCATTTCTGAGTTTGCTCATCTTCCTTTGTCCACTGTGCAAATCTTTTTTAGTGGGAAGCCAACATGAGCTTCCTCAGCTGTTACTTCTCCCTAAATTACTGCCACTAGCTTAAATCCTAAAGTGACTTAAATCCTTTCTATTAGTTTTCCTGATTTACAATCATGCCATCTATTTAAACAAGTAGAAGCACTCCCCAGATATAATCTCTTTACATTCTAATTTCCTTAAAACAGATGTGAACTTTGTAATAAGTACAGATTGAAAATTAAATTCACATTTGATCCATAGAAGTATTCTTAAAAACTCCAGTAACAAAAAGAGTCATTTGTCAAACATGTCTCTCCTTTATCACTGTCTAACTCTTGGCAATCACACATACTTTAACACCCTTCTCTTAATTCTCAAACTCATTTTCACTTTATTCACCTCTCTTGGAAAAGAATTCCTTTATCACTTAGGAAATGCAACCCATTTATAGAGACAAAGGGAAACCTGTTATTCAAGCTCTTATACACTTACCATTCCACTATGTAGAATCTGTGTCTAATATAATAGTCACTAGCCACTTGTGGCTATTTAAATTAAATTGAAAATTAACTGCTCAATCTCACTAGCCATATTTCAAGTACTCAATGGCCAAATTTAGCTGCTGTCAATAGAATTGGATGCCACAGATACAGAATATTTTCATCCTTGCAGAAAGTTATTTTGAATAGCCCTGATCTAGATGTTTCAACTATGATAGCGGCTAGACCCTTGAGCGAACTCAAAACGTTAATAGCAAGAAAAAAAAACTAAATATTGGGAAAGAAGAAACTGTATTAATTATGAATGAAAGCAACAAACAAATTCACTGTGCCTAGGAATAAGTAAATAAATTTCCCCAAGTAAACAAATGTTCTCCAAATCTTAACTTCTATTTAGCAATCCAACTCTCCCAAGCATTACATAGACTGGCTGGATGATAACATTTTTGGATTCTGGAATAATCTTCTACAGATTTTCAGAATTATTTTTTCAAATAATATTTATGAAGCTGCCAACCTGTTTCTTCTACTTAGGTAGAACCAAGTTTGGAAAGCTTGGACAGACAGGAAAGAGGGATGTCTCCAATTACATTAAAATCCTTTGAATGGGGAGCCAATCTCACATCTTCCCATGGCAAGTAGGAGGCCAGCTCTCTATTTGCCAAGTATCTGTTCATCTGCTTGGCTATTGCTTCCCCATGAAATCGGCCTGAAACCTTCCTCTCCCTACACACAGCACCGCAGAGTTCATCCCTCCTGGTGTTCAACTACCCCTTCCTGTGCATACGTCCACAACTGTGCACATCCCACTGTATTCTAATCACTTACTTACCTGCCTGTCCTCCTCATGAGCTCCTTGGGGAAGGAAAGTGGGTGACTCTTATTTTTATTCACAGAACCTAGCACTGTTCAACACATAGAAAGTTCCTAGGAAATATTTATCAAACTGAGCTGAGGAAATGGGACACAAAGTTGTAAACCTACTTTTCACACTAACACTGCCTCTAAATCTTCCAGTCGGGAGTATTTAAGGAACAATCAATATAATCTTTGTTACTGTCTGCATTTAATTTGCAGACATGTGAATTAATTTGAAATATTAGCAGGAGATCTTCGGGGCTGCAATCCAATTGGCTATTGTTAGACTAGGAGTATTTTGCTTTCTTTACTATAATAGTTTCTTAATTTACTGGGGAAAAAAATTAAGATATTCTCCAAGCCAGAACAGACTAATTAGTGAAACTGCCAAGTAAAATAAACAATGTTCAATCAGAATTCTTTAATTTTTTTCAAAATATACAAATAGATCATGGAATGATAAAATTAGGATTTGATGAGCCAAAACACAATGAAAAGTGCCGTCAATATTTAAGACTCAGATAAAATACTCATTCTCCCAAGTATCTCCAGAAAAATGGCAACTGTTTTTGTTTCTAAGAAATTTGACTTTATAAAATGGGCAAATGCTCAAATTTCAAAAGAGAAGCTTGAAATTGTCATATATTACTAAAAGATTATTTGTTCATATGTCTCTGCTCTTGAAACCAGAACTGTAATAATCTTGATCAAAATATTAATATTAGTCATCAAAATTTAAGACATAATAACTCAGCACTAAATGCAAGTTCTGAAATTAAAAAAAAAAATCATTTCCTGACCAGGAAATGCATGGTCTTTTTGAGTGTTTATACTGAGGGCAAGAAAGTCAACTGGACTTTTTTTCCTTTCCAGGTTGGATTGGGAGCTAACTGGCTCTTTTATTTTGCATCTCCCCTTTTAATATCAATGGAACACCTCATTTTATATCATTCATGCTGAAAGACAGAATAAACACTGTCTTTGAATGTGTTAAGGGATTCAATTTGTGGATCAATTTTGTGATTCTTCTTTATTAGAGCAATGCCCTAGAGATTATATTTGAATAAAGATTTAGAACTTCCAAATGCTTTCATATGCATTATCACATTTCATGCAAACTGTTCATATACATGATTAGCTCAATTATTCCGGCAACATCTCTTCAGTTTATATATTATTCAAAACATTTCATTCTTTTATTTTTTTCTTTCTGGCCTGAAATTTGATCATTTTCTTTCCTATTAGACTTGTACTAGTGAGAAAGGAGGAAAGAAAAAAGTAAAAAAAAAAAAAAATCATGCTGACAATATTTTAAACATTTATAGAATTCTTTTAGAAAAAATGACTGAATATATTAAAATTGCTAGTCAAATTAAAGCTCTAGTAAGTAGAGGCATTAAGTTGAAGTGATCTCAAAGTTATTCAATGTTTCCAACTTAATCAAATATACTTAATCTACAACTTCTAATTAATAACATAATTGTTTTATAATCATTATTTCCTTTATTTAGACTTGCATGGTTGGAATTATCCTTTGCATTTTTATAGGTGAGAAAACAGAAGTATGGAGGGATGAAGGTGACCTGCCCTGGCAGAGGCCCAGATTGGAAACCAAGTCTCTTGATCCCAAGCTTAGCATCCATCCGCTGAAGCTGGTAGTCCTCAAGCTTCAGCATGCATCAGAACCTCAGAGGGGCTGTAAAACCCAGATGGCTGGGCCCCACCCCTGATGTTCCTAATTCAGTAGATCTGGGTGGAGCCTGTGCATTTCTGCCACATCAGAGCAGGAAAATGCTCCCAATGCCGTGGTACCTCCCCACAGCCACCCACACTGCTCTACCCCTCGCCGACTGGTCACCATCGCGATGCCTGTGCACCTCACACACGCCACATAAATGCTGCATGATTGGCTTCCGTTTTCTCACAGTACTAGGGAACAACAGATGGGTCAAAGGAAACACCGAAGTAACGTTTTTGTAGGGTTTATTTTAGCTAAAATGTTCGATACTTTTTCTCTTCTAAGTCACTGAGTTTATTAAGTAAAACAAAGAGACACAGGCCAGCAAGGAAAACTGTTCCCAAGTCCCTAACCTTCCAAGGGGTCCCTTTCTGCCCTTAGAGAATCTGCACAGTCATCATGATGTAAGACATCGAGATGTCTGTCCTCTCCCCAAACGCACAATACAGTACCGCCATTTGCATCAGCCAGGACTTCCCCAGCTTTGTAAAGGGAAACTGGTTTGCTCTCATTCCTTAGAAATAAATTACTATCCTTATATCACTCACTCCAAATAATTTATTCAACCCTTCCTCCTTTCTTTAAGTTGCACAATATCTCACTTTAAATGGGCATTATCCTGTTAATTTTTTTTCAAACTACACGGGAATATAGATGCTATGCTTTCTTAGAAAAGCAGCCCAATTGTGACCCGCAGCTAATTCATTAACAGGAGAACTGAGATAAGTCAATCCACAACATTCTCTATTAGATCCGAATGGTGAAAACGTAATCGCTGAAAGAAATGGATTACTGACAGTGTGTTAACGTTGAAGGTCATGGTCTTACCTATGCACACTAGATCCATAAAACCATACATTCCATAGCAGATCTGAAAAAGGATGTCCTTCCTCTGCCACACTGCATAGGGGCTGAAGGCTGACCAGAGGAGCCAAGTCACACTGGCTATTAAGAACAGGGATCCTAGGATTACAGCAATCATCTGAACTTTCTCAACCAGTGTTATAGAAATGCTCTGCCACTAAAAGAAAAACAGAGGCATGTAAGAAAGGAGCTGTGTATAATTAAAAAAGAAAAAAAAACATTTTCAGTCCTGTGTTTCTTTTCATAATGTTAGACCCTTTGAAATCTGATGAGACCCCAAATGAATTTTTTCATTTCATCCAGGCTATAAAAAATAGAGAAGCAGATAAAGATTAATGACTTGCCTTAACTTCATTATTTTCAGTAATTCACCATTCTGTAAGTTTAATCTAGTTTGATTCCAGATAATAGTACTGAGTGTGAATGGCTAAGGAATATTTAGTATCTGGAAATCACATTATTATCTTTCATGCATGCACGAAATTAAATACACTCTGAACATACATGGTGAGAACTTCTCTATCTGGTAATTTAGTTTGCTCTTAATACATTTGGCTACTGCAAAAAGAGGGAACTGTCTCTTGTTTTTGTAGAAAAAAATGTAAAAAGCAAATAAGTTATATAAGAACATCACTGAAAAAGTCATTTAAGATAACACACTAGAATAATCATAAGAGAAGTATAAAATTGTACATTATCTGTTATTGGTACATTCCATATACTCAGATATTACTGACTTTTTATTATCTAATGGGTAAGCCATGAAGTATTTTTGTCAAGATTTAGAATTTGTACCTACATGAAGTATCTTTGAAACTCACAACCATTTTCAGCATGTACGCTTCAGTGGGGCAAATAATTTGGTGCCCTAAGTATCAATATTCAAAAGAATTTACAGTACAAATGATCAAAAATCCTTCAAGACTGCTATTGACTGGAGAGAATTAATTAATCATATTCTCACTTTTGCATAATTGAAGCAGAAACGAAACAAGAATTGTTATTAAGGTTTGCCAGTAAACCATGAAACTCAAAACAACCCGCATAATTTACTCATCCTGTGTGGAAGAGCTCTGGCTATGGCAACATATGGCTTCTCAGAAGAATTCTTAAACAGTTTTTTAAATCTTTAAAAAAATGAGCTTAAGCAGCCAGTGTCCATCGGATCAGTCTGAAATTTCGTCAAACCCTTTACTTACCTTCAATCTGAACTTATGCATCCCCAAATGGCAAGTTTATGACACTGATCCTCTCTCCCTCATTGTCTGTCTCTCTGTCACTCTCTCTCTCTCATACACATACCATAAATAAATAATTTACATGTAACATTTTTAAGTATGTATGTGACCTTGCATATTCATGATACTATTAAATTCTACATTTGTTAAAGATTAAATACCAATGTACATTTGAAATATTTCATTCTCTAAAGTCAATTACCTTATTTTTGTTTTAAATAACAGAACCGAACAACACTGTTTGGTGAAATACTGTGAGAAAGAGATTGCCATTCATTTTAATGTAAAGATTAATTTAGTGAGAAATGGTTTGTGCTTTTACAATTCCGAATGAATAATAATTAAACTATTTCATAAGTGGGAGTTGAACAATGAGAACACATGGACACAGGGAGGGGAACATCACACTGGGGCCTGTTGGTGGGTGGGGAAAAAGGGGAGGGAGAGCATTAGGACAAATACCTAATGCCTGAGGGGCTTAAAACCTGGATAACGGGTTGATGGGTGCAGCAAACCACCATGTATACCTATGTAACAATCCTGCACGTTGTGCATCTGTATCCCAGAACTTAAAAGTAAAATAAAATAAAATAAAAAATAATTAAACTGGTTGATATTATTTTGTCATTACAAATGAATCAAGGCTGTATTCCAAGATGTGTCTGAAGTTGTTTTGTTCCTAGTTTACTGACATAATTTTAAGTACATTTATTCCAAACTGCCAGGCCTTCATATCTTTAACCATTTTAAATCTGGTGTCACCAAACAGATATGAAGTGTCAGTATCTCTTGCTCTTGTTCAGTTTTGATACTCACTAAAATTTGTTTTGAATGCAATATGGTGAGCAACGAAGAAAATCGCTATCAACCATCCTAAATGGGCGCTACCATGTCTATACACGTTACTTTACCCTTTAGCAATTTATTAGTCACATCAGATAGATGAAAAACAAAGCATCCTTTAAGTCCATGAAGCGTGTTTGTGTGTGTGTTTGACTTTCATATGGTGGGCCGCATGTTCGAAATGTGTATGCCGGAACTGGAGGAGTCCTAGGTAACCAAAGGGGAGTAACAAGGATTCACCAAGAAGAGACTTTACTGATATCTATTTTCTGTTTGGCAATAAGTCTATGATGTAATCTTAGGGGAGTAAATTTGAATAGCTCAAAACTGCATAATGAATTATATTTGGCTTCAATTAGGCCTACTAATTAATTGATCCAAGCCTCCTTGCATGATAATTCACCGTGGTGTCTGTAGACATAGTGTGGCTAGGCCCTACTGAATGCTTGGATTTGGCAGGATGGAAGTGATGGTTGGATGCACTGGCTGTAGTGTTTCCTGGGACCCAGGAAATCGAGTGGCCATGCACTGACCCTGAGGTGCCATCCTCTTCCATTTTCTGTATGGCATGCTTCTGACACATGAGGTGTGGCTGCTTCTAGGTGAGGAGGGTGAATGAATGAAGGGAGAGGCTCACCAGAAGCAAGAAACAGGGACGCTTCACGCTTGTTTTGGTGACAGCAAATTTAAATTTGTGTACAATTCAAATGCTTGGCAGTTTGGAATGAATGTGTTTAAGATTATGTCCGGAGGCAAGGAAAAAAAGAACAACCTTTGATTACAGTACACTGGGAAGCTTAACTATTCACTATCATCATAGAAATTATTTTTGTTGTAAATATAAGAAGTAATTTGGGATTTTTGAAGATTATTTTTTAAAGAAGGTTAAATTGTACAAAATCTATAGTGAGCTCCCTGAAATTTTTTTTGGTTTTATATCTCTCTGCTAATAATGCAAATATGCAAATGTGTTTACAAGTAAACAGACGTTCCTCATATACTGATGAACCTTAAAATTAACATCATTTTTGAATAATTAATGAAGACACATCATTACTGAAACCAAAATTACTAAACTCAATTATAAACACAGGAATTTCCCTTTGAAGACAGCTATCATCTTGGTAATTTCTCTGCCCACTATATACGGTGCTTTCTTACATCTACCATTATGTGCAAAAAGGAGGGTTGTTCTCATTCTTCCGCTAGAAGAAATAATTCTGCCTTCGACCAGTAGAAAACACTCACCCAGTGTCCTTGTCCTTGGAGGGTGTGCATTATCTAATGGGTTCAGCCTGAAGGAGCTGTGTTAATGGGCCATTTGCTTCGATGATAAAAGTAGAAAATAAGTCTCGTGGGACTTCTCTCTCTATCCCAATGTTATATCCATAAGTTTTGGAAATAATCCAAAGGCCAGGATTTAAGTTTGTGAGATTATTTCCAAAACTTTTCAGTGAAATATTTCACTGTCTCCTCTAAAGAGATACATAGGAGTGTGTGTGTCTGTGTGTACGTGTGTGTGTGTGTGCGCATGTGTGTGTGTTGCATTTAACTTTCTTCCCACATTTGGAAAGAAAAGTAATATAACAATAGCCAGATTGGCTCTAAATAGTTGCTACTGCTTTCTTTCTTTCCGTAATAGTTGAATATGTGTGATTCTTTCATATTCCTGAAAAGCTGTTTACTTCTACAAAATAAACAATTTCATGTACTGTTTCCAGCAAAAGTGGGACCAACTGGCACCTCTTTTGAAAGCTCACCCTCATTTAGTGCACTAGAAGAAGTAATTTAGTAATTTACTAAATTTAATAATTTAATAATTATAGCTTCTATTTGTACAGGACTGATACAGGCCAGGCACTTTTCTAAGAGGTTATTTATTTGTATTAAGTCATTTAATTCCCACAACTCATCTATGAGGGAATTACTATTGTTATCCCCATTTTACAGGTAAGTAAACTGAGGCAGAGAGAAGTTAAACAACGTGCCCAAGGTTACACATCCAGTGAGGACTGGAGCTGAGGTACAAACCCAGGTATTCTGGCTTCCAGGTTCATGCTTTTACCACTTATACTAGACTATGTAATAATTCCACCAAGAGCTTTGGTAACAATTAATGGCATACACCCTGCCTCTGCAGTGCCATGACAGTTCTCCTGATGAAGCTTCCCAGTCTGTCTTCTCTAGGCTATTGAAAGAGCTTTCTAGCTGAACTTGAAGCTGTGAGTCATTCCCTGCTCCTCAGAGTAATTCCCCGGGGTTCATTCCTAATGCAAGGGGAGATGTCCCTCTAAGCTTCAGCGGGGAGGGCTAAATGTTTGCAAGGGGAGCTGCCCCTCTAAGCTTCAGCGAGGAGGGCTAAATGTTTGGTTCAGCACATATCCTCAGTGTCTGGAAGAAGGATCAAAAAGGGATGGAGGGCGATTAAGAGGAAGAGAGGAAAGGAGCAGGGAAGGAGGGAAGGAAGGAAGGAAGGAAGGGAGGGAGGGAGGGAGGGAGGGAGATCCCTCAATTCAGCTTCATATGACTTCTTTTTATTCTCCCAAATGCACTGTTTACTTTGGTCCCTCTGTGTCTTTGAGCACGCTCTTTCCTCAGCATGCAACGTCTGTCTCCTCTTTATTCAACTGATCCATCTGTCCATACCTGGCACTAATGCCACCTCTTGTAAAGAGCCATCCTCTCTTGCACTTCCTCTCCTAAACAGGATTCTTCGATCTGGGCCCCCACTGTCTACTATTTATACTTCTGGGGAAAGCTGGCTTCCTTCCTTCACACTCAAATCCCAGATAGCCGTGTCCGTCCCCATTGTCCCTGGACTGCAAGTTTCCCGGTGGCAGAAGCTGAGTCTCATGCCCCCTCCTGTGCACCACAGAGCTGAGCACACCCAGGAAATGCTGGAAATACACGGAATTCTGACTTTAGTTTCCACCACTCATCCAACTGCCAGATTTGCATTCTCTGCATCCATCCCATCAGTGCCTATGGGATAAAGATCCACTCTGGCCAAGCCACCAGTTAGTCAAGAAGTGAGAACTCAGATCTGTCTCCAAAGCCTCAGTTCTTTCTAAAATGCCCTTCTCTCTGCCTACTCTCTCTGCTCTCACTCCTTAATTCCCTACTTAAACTGACACATCCTGTATCTGAAAGGAAAAACAACACGGGCTCAGTCATACCTACTTGAAAGGTGGCTGTGGCAATGGAAGAAATTCAACACCTGCAAAAGCAGTCCAACAAAGTTCCAAAATCTGACTCATACCTTTCTAAATGGCATCTCCAAATATTTCTTGAATCTGAAAGCTGCAGTTTGTTAATTTTAACACGAAGACGACAAACTCAAGGAGTTATATCTCTTTAATTTTAATGAAATTTTGGGAGAAATTAAATAACTCACATTGGATATTATGTAATATTCTCTTTACATGTAAGTGCCCAGAGATGTATCAATAGGGTCCACCAGTCCTACAAAGGTTCTGAAAATGTACATGGCCCAGAATTGGGTATCTTTGTGTGGGAGGTTCCGTGTTAGTGGAGTATTCTCCATGAGAAATTAGAAAAGCACTCCAATAATTTCCACAGATTGCTGTGAAACCAGGCAAATACTGTGTTCTTATCAATGAAGTATGACTAATTAATGGAGGTTTATTACTGCCTTCAGCGAATAAAGGAGGGAAGAGAAAGCTATGAATTTTCTTTAAGGAAATGACAGGATACTCCAAGTCTCTTCCTGTACAAATCCCTTCCAACCAGTAAGCTAAGCACTTGAGAAAGACATACACTCCATCAGGTCTCTAAGAAGCTATTTAGAAAAAGGTGGACCTTTCTGTTGTCTGAAAGAGTTAATAAACCTTCTCAATTTAGGAACCAATTTCCTCTCTGAAAATAGCACATGCGCAGAGGGAATTAGGCTGAACTCTGAGGGAGAGAAGACCTGTTCAGGGTGCCTTAAATCATTTAGTCTCGGGTACTGTTTCATCTTTGTTTTTACAAGGCAGGCCAGAATGAATCATTAGTTAATAGATTTATAGTATGATGATTTATACTGTGCGCTATGACAGGTGGGATCACTCAACAGTGTCACAGGAGAGAACACCTGCTCTTAAGAGGTGTCCTCTTCAGAAAATGAATTTAGCTAAAACTTACATTCAGTCATCTTTAGATGGTGTACAAATTGCAACACTAAAGTTGGGATTTGAAATGCTGGCAGAAAACATCTCAATGTGTAATCAAGTTGACATGTAGATAGAAAATTCAGTTAATTATACGCCCTTTCTTTGTAGAGCTGTATTTATAGGCTGCATATTAAAAGTGATTTTCATGATTTGGTATGAGTCTTTTCTGCTAGAAAAGCATTTTCACAAACTTATCAGAGCTGAGCTAAAGATTAGACAAAAGGAATTTGCTTTGCCTAAGAAAGAGGAAATCTAAACAACCTAGAGAAAATCATTAGAAAACATAGAACCATTTCTCTGGAAAAACTGTTAACAGTTAGTTAAATGAAAGAGGAATATAATAACTGATTCTAAAGATGGAAAGAGCAATAAGGAGATACTACAAATAGCTGTATGCTCATTAATCCCAGAGCATAAAGGAAATAGGTAACTTCCTTGGAAAACTTAATTACCAAAACTGACTCAAGAAGAAATGGAATGTATGAATAATTCTACATAGAAACGGAAGTTGTCATCAAAAGCCTTCCAAAACAAGATAACAAACACCTCCAGGACCAGTTTCACCAGATGTTATAAAGCATTTAAAGACAACATTTTATCAATCTGACATAGTCTGTCTCAGAAAACAGAGGAGGACAGAACATTTTCCAACTCATTTTATAAGGCCACACAACGCTGATACCAAAACCTGACAAAAACGTTATAAGAAAAGACAAATTTCAGGCCAATATTCTTTATGAGCACGGATGAGAAGAAATCCTCTACTAGATATTAGCAAATTGAATCCAGCAATATATAAAAACAACAGTGCAGCATGAGTGAGTGAGGTTCACCCTAGAAATGCAAGGTCAATATAACATCCAAATAGCAATCAATGCAACAGACCATATTAGAAATAAAAATATCCTCTCAGTAGATGTGGTAAAATCATTTGGTATACTCTCATTCATGATGAAAACTAGGAAGAGAAAGAAAACATCCTAACCTGAAAAGGGCATCTAAAAAACACTTACAGATGGGATCATACCTAATTGTGTGGAGGGGAAATGCTATCTTTTCTCTGATCAGGAACTAGGCAAAGATTTTCACCCGTTTTACTTCTATTCGACCTTGCACTGGGTGTCCTACTCAATGCAATGAACCAAATAACAAAAAGAGAAAAGTATAAAGATGATGAAGGAAAAACTTTAAAACTGTCTCTCTTTTTAGATAGCATGATTATCTGCGTAGAAATCCCAGGGAATTTACAAGAAAACCTGTTAGAATTAGTAAATGAATTTAGCAAAGCCTCAAAATACAAGATAACAGGCAGAGTGTGGTGGCTCACACCTGTAATCCCAGCACTTTGGGGAGGCAGAGGCAGGTGGATCACCTGAGGTCAACAGTTCAAGACCAACCTGGCCAACATGGTGAAACCCTGTCTCTACTAAAAATACAAAAATTAGCCAGGTGTGGTGGCAGTCTCCTGCAATCCCAGCTACTCAGGAGGCTGAGGCAGGAGAATCGCTTGAACCCAGGAGGCAGAGGTTGCAGTGAGTTGAGATCATGCCACAACACTCCAGCCTGAGAGGCAGAGTGAGACTCCATCTCAAAAAAAAAAAAGAAAAAAAATACAAGATAACAATGATCAATTATATTTAAATATCAGCAGCAAAAGGTTGAAAAGTGAAATTACAGAAACAATACTACATGAACAACAAAAATCATAAATGACTTAAGACTAATTTTTTAAAAAGATAATCTACAAACTGTTGTTAGATAAAATTCAAAAAGAACTAGATTAGATTTATTTTTTTAAAAGTTGGCATGTTCTTGTTAAATGATCCTCCAAACCTCTTCTTCCTTGTTTCTACTCTTTTGATGTACACACTCACTTTTTAAGCTTAATAAAAGCCATTTTCTTTGTAAAAAGAGGAAAAGAAAAGAAAAATATAGATGTGAACATTAAAAAAGGAATGCACACCTATTAGAAATGGGTTTACTAATGGAAATTTTTCAAGGAAGATGATCAAATTTCCAAGAAATACGACCCACTTATTTCTAAGAAAGAAATATGAATTTGGGTTATGACAACTATGAATCAGGTCCTGTCACATCAGCCACATGGCAGAAATTTGATACTGTATGGAGATATATTTAGTGTTTCAAATTTTTATAGAATCATTATAACCCATAAAAGAGAGGGAGAAAAAGGGTTCCTCAACTGTTTACATATTATAATGCAAACTATCACTTTGTTGATTTTTCACTGATGTAATTTCATTAAAAACATTTTTAAATGCCAAAAATAAATAAGACTCATATAAATTACAGTTGTGGCTAAAAAGACTCACCATTGTTCATATAGTCATTCTCCTCTATTATAACTTCAAAAGTTAAAATAGGAGCAAAATAGTAACAGAAAAAAAAAAGCTTCTTGTTTTGTTTGGTTTTTTAAAAAGTTTTTTAAAAGAGACCACTCATTTGAAGTTAATCAGTATAATTTCAATTCATAGAAATCAAAAAAGAAAATTGTTGGTTGCTATTTCCAAAAGAATTAGGCATGAGAAAATGCTCCAGACTCACTTTCTTGTGTGAAAAGATCTTTCCTCCACTTCTTCAGCTATTGGTAACGCACATCCTTTGAGGGATGGTGTCTTGACAAGAGATCATCATTTCGTTCATTAAAATACCTTGAACTCAATCATGCCACGAACAGAAAAGCAGAGAGGTGGGTGGGAAGCTCCCGATGTGTACTCGGGAATGCTGTCAGGATTTCATGTTATTGTATGGAATTTAGAATGTCAATAAAAATTCTCTTCCAGAAACCTGGAAATCCCAGGGGGTTTGAAGGGCCATGACCCAGGACTATGGCAATGTGCTCAGTATGATTTGCTGCTCAAGAGGAAGAAATTAAGCACCCTGAGGGATGGGTTACACTGGGGGTTCCTGGGATAAGTGTCCAAGACCATGTGCCTGGGTCCCAGAATTGCAAAGGAGGAGAGAAATTTTCTTTCCCCAGAAAACAGGCTGTCCCCTGGGAGGAGACAGCCTCTAGGAAGACTTCGCTTTACTAAGGAGATTCTTCCCCACCTTCCTCGGGGTACAGGACTCAAGTGAAGTGGACACGGGAGTAGGCGAGGCTGCCCTTTAACTCCAGGACCAGAAGAATAAAGTTCTAGATGAATCAGAACAAAGGTAAAACTGGCCCAAGGCCATGGAGGCAGCAAAAGGAATACCAGACCAGGGCCAGAGTGACCAGATGAGCCTGGGAAGTTCCAAAATTCAATTCCAGGAGGAGGAAAATTAATACAATATGAAGGTTTCGTTATCAAGTGAGAATCACGACCAGTAGAGCCCAGTGATGTGGAGTGGAGAGTGACTCTAAATGGCAGAGGTAGCTGTAGGTGGCCAGGGAACAGGACATGAGCAACATTAGTGAGATGGGCCTTACAGGGAAGTGTCTACCCAAGAAAACCCTTCCATCAAAGGCTGCCCTCTACCCAGGTGCCAAGTCTTTGGAAACAGGAGTTGAATCCTGTTTCCAGAATCTCCTACCTGTCTGTCTCCATTCACAGGAGGAAGGTATATCAGAGCAGCAGAAGGTGTAAAAAGTTTTCTTAGAAGGAATAAAGATGCTTAGTGGGAAGGTTATGTCTAACTGAGAAGTTAACAACAGCAACAACTATTTGGACTGACTAGCAAGCATTAATTTAGCAACTATAGGGTACAGAGTAATTTAGCAACTACAGGGTAAGCATCTTACAAAGAAGGTTATGTCTAACTGAGAAAGATCCCTGAATAACTGAGTATTAACAGGAGCAACAACTATTTGGACTGACTTGCAAGTATTAATTTGCCGACTACAGGGTACAGAGTCCACAGAAGAAATACCAAAGATTCTGTATCTCACAGGAAAAAAAAAAAAGAATATTTATTCCTTCATTTGCATTCTCTAATTCTTCCAGAACCATCCACATCTCATCTCTCCATGTTATCTCCTATTTGACTGTTGTAGATTTTCATATTTGTCAGCAGCTTATTAGTCCAGATTTAACAGTCTAGAAGTTGAAATAAAAATGCATTTTAGGCTCCTGTAGTCCCAGCTACTCAGGAGGCTGAGGCAGGAGAGTGGCGTGAACCCCGGAGGCGGAGCTTGCAGTGAGCTGAGATCGTGCCACTGCACTCCAGCCTGGGCAACAGAGCGAGACTCCATCTCAAAAAAAAAATGCATTTTAGCTTTTCAGTTTTCAATTTATGCTGCCTTCTCCTTCTCAGTTTTAATTGTGTCTCATAACAAAAGCAGGTGCTAGCTATTATTTAAAATCAGGGAAATCTTCCCCAAGTGTCAACTGTCTAATATGATTAGGCTTAGTAACTAGATTTTGCCCCATATGAATTAAAAGTGTGTGTCTGCATGTGATGCATTTTTATTTCATTACTCCTCTCAATATTCAGTATTAATTATGTTTAAATACAGACTCCCCAGGGGAGCCCTATCTAACTAATTAGTAGGCGGTCATAACTAGATTTACTTGTTCTCTCCACCAGGAGTTGAAAGCTACCTTTGCTAAAGGAGCTTATTTAAACTCTCAACAGGCTATTGCTGTTTTCAACCTTGCTTTTGGAGCAGAATTTTCATTGAAAGCAATGACCTTCTCACTTGAAATATTTCAGTTCATGTAGGCCAATGCAATTTCTCCTGGTAGTCAGAACAACACTGTTAGTAATTAGGGACCATAGCATGAGGCAGATTAGCCCTTGCATGAAATTTATGCAGAATCTTTTACAAAGTGGCTTCTCTTAGCTACAGGGAGGCAGCATACTATGTTGGGACAAGCAGAGAGCTGTGAATTGGCACTGCTACCAAGCAAGTAATTCTTCTCATAAGGACCTCAATGTTCTTTATAAAATGACATTTGGTATATCTTAGAACAATTGTATGTTGATGCCTCCATGCATTGGTCTCCTTCCTTAATTGGGGTTCTGAGGAATGAAACAATGGCTATAAGATCATAAGGTGGCTGAGTCAGTAACAGAAAAAACACAACCCATTAAGCTGAGTTGAACGTGCAGTGTCTGCTACTACATGGAACTGGGCTTTGCCTCAGTTCTTGGTTAAAGTCACACTGTAAGATGACACTGATACGTACAGGAGGCAGGGAAATACTGGGTAGAAGAGGGTGGGGTCCCTGGAGAGGGCTTCACCCTCAAGCCTGGACTTGTGATCCTAAATGAGAACTTGACATCCCTGTTTGCCTGCCTGAATGTTGCCTTCTGTTCTACCACGCCCTCTGTCCTGTGCCCATAAGAACCCCAGACCCCAGACTCAACACACACGCACAGAAGAGAGAAGTGTCTGAATGTCTAGAGAAGCAGCAATTGGACATCGGAGACTATGGCCAGAGGAGAGTTCAGCCACTGATAGCCAAACTCCAGGGGAAGACTGCCTTCCCACTCCAACCCATTTCCAGCTCCCCATCCCACTGAGAGCCACTTCCATTGCTCAGTAAAATCTCCACATTCACCATATTTCAAGTCTGTGTGACCTCATTCCTCTTGGGCACTGGACAAGGACCCAGGTGCAGGTCAAGAGGCTGTCACACTGACTTTCCACTGAGCTGTTTAATGGTTGCTGTGGGCCAGTTTGGGGTTTGTTCCTGCCAGGACCCAAAGGCACTTGCCCTGGCTCCTGGAGCCACTCACCTGCATGCTCCCCCTCTTGCAAGCGGTTTGAGCATTGTTGGCTGATTAAGGGAGCCACCCTTTCACAAGTTCCATGAAGGGGTCAAGGGAACTATCTTGTCTTAACACCACCGATGTAAAAATACATATGGAATTCTGACCCTTTAAGCATCTAATATGTATAAATGTATTCATTCAACATGCAACTTATCAGATGTCTGGTACATGCCAGACCCTACAGAAGTCACCATGAGATCACTGCCCAGGCAGAAAAAAAAAAAACAAAACTCCACAAAAGTCTAAAAATCACAATACAGCTTGGTATGCACTCATAGAGAAAAGTGAATATGGTGCTTGACGAATGGAGAAACTGCATCTGCTGTGGTCATCAAGTCATCAGCACTTGAGCTGAGTTTGACAGGATGGGTCAGAAGAGTTGGCTAGGTGGAGAGACAGCAGAGGACCTGGAGAGGTGAAGGACAGACAAGGAGAAGTATGTGCACAGGACGGTGTGTTTGGGAAATAGTGGGGTTTTATTGTTGCTAGAGAGTAGAATCCACGTGAGCAAGCTTGAAGGGGGTTTCTGGGATTAACTATGGAGTTTCAATTTTATCCTACAAGGCAATGACGATTACAAAATCACAAGAAAGAACCAGGTTTAAATGCGGAAGGATGTTGCAGAGATGTTCACCTGCCTAGTCCTGTTCTTGCTTCCTGTATTTTCCAAAGATGGTTAAAATAATACATCCTGTCCATGTTCTCTTTTGCCATGTGGCTCTTGCCATTCCCCATCAAGAAGCTGTGCCCATTTCTCCACCCCCTAGAATATAGGGGATGCTTTGACCAATAGCATATGGCAGAAGTGGCTCTGTGTCAATTCCAAACACAGATTTTAACTGACCTGGCAGTTTCTGTTTCCCCTCTTTTAAAAGTCATGCCGCATAAGAATTACTGAAACCACCAGGCCATGAGAATCTCAAGACACATGAGAGAGGCCCTGGCAGATGAGACGCCATGTGGAGAGGAAGACCAAGGGGCACCGAGGAACTAGGCATGTAAGCGAAGTTCTCATGGAAGTGCATCCTCCTGCCCAAGAATCCTAGGCAGATGCCATGTTGACCACAGACAAATCACCCAGCAGAACCCTTTCGGACCATAAAATTGTGAGCAAAAGGAAAATAGTTGTTTGAAACCACTAAATATCTTTGTGTCATGGTAACTGCAGGAGAAACAGGCCAAAGTTCAGAAAACCAGAGACTTCGTGTATCACCAACTCAACTGAGCTGCCCAGCTTCTCGACCCTTTCTCTTCCTCATCTTTAAAATGAGGATTTTGATTAAACCATCTTTAAGGCCCCTTTCCGCTCTATAATTCCCTAGAGTACTCACTTCGTTTCATTATTCAACCTTTCTTTCCTTCCCACCTTTTCCCCTTATCCCTCCTCCTCCATCTCCTTTTCCCTACAACTAACTTGGGAATTCTGTAACAAAAAGCCCTTAAAACAATGAGAAATGTTTTGGGGGTGATAAAATATTCTATAACTGTGTGGTGATAAAAGTTGAACAAGTCTATAAATTTACTAAAAATTATTGAATTGTACACTTAAAATGGGGGAATTTTATAGCATATAAATTACATCTCAATAAAGCTATTTTTAAGGCCCTGGAAGAAAAGTCCTTAAAATAGCAAAATGAATAAAATCTTCTTTCAATTATTTGTCCGGTTGGTGTGTGTTATCTTCAATCGTAAAATACTTGAAATACACTTAATTTTTAAAAGTAAATCTAGCTCCTGGCATAACCCAACAGAGAGGGAACCCCAAGGAAGGCCATTTACCTCAAAAAAAAAAAAAGTTCAGGTTTTTTTGTTTGTTTTTGTTTTGTTTTTCTTTTTTTGCTTCCTGGAAGGTTGTAGGCTGGCTAATGAGTTTGGACTCTGAGGTCAGATTTGAATTGAGGGTCTGTTACTCCATCTCTTTGCTGTATGGCTTTGAGCAAAAAGAACCTATTTTCCTCACCTTTAAAATTGTATAATAGTAATTATTACATAAGGTTATGGTAAGGACTAAAGGAAACACACACACACACACACACACACACACATCCCACATCCCACAGTGCCTGGGCACATAGTGGGTGTTCACATAGCTGTAACTTTTCTTCAAAGGTAACAGAGCGCTAACTGATAACTTCTCTGAGTAAGGCAAATCCCCTAGCCCTTCACTTCTGGAGGCTTCTAGACGAAGTCTGATGGAAGAATAATCACCAGTGTGTCTGGGCACTGCTGCCCCACCCATCTCCCAGTTAAACTCCAAATCATGTCTCCTTTCCTGACATCCTGCTGTGGCTTGCATATCACATTGCTTGAAGTGCAAAGAAATTCTTTCCACTGACATAAAGAACTGTAAATCTCTTATGTGAGATTTGGCAGCTCATTAATCCTCAGTAAGGAATGGAGAAAGGGAGGGATAGCTAGGATACCTTCTCATATTTTATCCTTTACTTTGAATAATATTTTAACATAACAAACAAACAAATGCGTTTCTATGAGTTCCTAGAATTCCTCGCAGTCCTTTAGTTTTCCCATCAATAAGGGTTTTATGGTATTAATAAAGAACAAGCTTTTCCTCACTAAAGAGATCTTCCCCTTGCTTAAACTTTAGGGCAATCATTCATATTTTGATTGAGAACTCACTATTTGCCAAGCCAGGCAGAAATGTACTGAGATACCCCAGCCCTGGCCAGAACACCTGACAGTCCAGGAAGAGAGGAGACACTTGGCCAATGGCTGCAGGGGATCCCCCAGTCACCTCAAGCCACAGAAAGCACAGAGAAGGTAACATGGACTCTGGGGTTTTGAAGCATCTATAGAAGTTCATTAGGCAGAAAGGAATGTGCCCATCAGAAGGCCAAACACCTCTCAATCTCTGGCTTCCTGTTTTTTTTTGTTTTGTTTTTTTTCAATTTCATTTTATCTTTCACTTGCCTTCCCCATACTTTTGAGTTCCCCTCCCATCTCTGGTTTTGCAAGTCAATGACAAATAGTCAAACAGTGACTTGCTTAGCCCTTTTATGCAAATAATCCAGTATAACATCTGATTTTTACCTTCAAACGGCTCACAATCTACTTGATAAGATCATGGCATGGGAAACAGAGGGGACCAAACAACACTGCATGTCGAGCCATAAACTGTGTAGAAGAGACCATGAGTTTCATAATGGGAGCTGGGTGGACAGACATCAATGCAAGCTAAAACAATTTAGAATGGCTTCCTGTAGGAGGCAGACCTCCCTGTAAATGGCAGGGCGTATTGGGAGATATAAAAGTCTGACATGAGACCTTCCAGGCAGGAGCAACCTGAATGAGGCTCCAAGAAGGGGGAATGAGCAAGCGGTGTCTCTGTGGCACCCCATTCAAAATAAGCCTATGTCTACCAACCCCAGAGGGGTCATTTGAAAAGTAGAAAGTGTGTTCGGCAATCTGATAGCTCTATCTACATAACATCCAACAATATGACCAATTTTCTCCCTGTAAATCCTGTTAAAATATGATTGTTCTTTGACATATCTGCTTCCCTGACCATACTGTGAGCTCTCTACAGGCAGGATGTCTGAGTTCTGTGACTTGGCCCAATGCCATGGTAGCATCAGAACACAAGACACATTGGGCCCATGCATGAAGCGTGGTTTTGTTTTCTTTCTTTACATGAGTGACTTGTTGTGACAGCATGAAAGGATCCCAAAAACCACTTTAGCTTCTAATTCTAGTCCAGTCATTCTCAACCAAGGGTGATTTTGCCCTACCCTACCCTACCCTATCACCAGGAGGTGTTTGATAATATCTGAGGATATTTTTTGTTGTCATTACTGGAGAAGGTGCCATTGACATCTAGCGGGTAGAGGCTAGGGATGCTGATAAACATCCTACGATGGACAGGACAGACCTTGCAACAAAAAACCCTTCTGACCCAAACTGTCAATAGTGCTGAGGTTGAGAAACCCTGTTCCAGTCTATCACACACAAAGACTAAAACAGGTGCTGTGTTTGGATTGTGGGTGTTCTGATTCTCTCTGGGGTCATATATTCTCACTCCTACTCATTCTTAATCTTTCTTGTCAGTTCAAGGGAGGTGGCCCATTACTCATGGAAATGGAAGAAACCACCTGCCCCATGAACGTCAGATGTGGCTGGGCCCTGGCTGCAGGTGAGGTGTGTTACGAAGCTGCACCTGTACTACCTGTACTTCTTACAACATTTTCAATTGTCCCTACAAACATTCCAAAATAACAAACATTACAGAAAAATGAAGATGACAGTATCCACATAACAGCTGAACCACCTTATAAGCAACTTTACTTAGGACCAGGGCTTATCTGATATAAAATGTGCAGGCAAATTTTCTAGAGTTTTTCCTCTCCCAAGCGTTGCTTAAAGTGAAGAAATAAACTAAGTAGTTTGGAAAAGAGAGGAGGGCTTGATGGAAGCACTATTGTTTTTTTTTTTGAAAATCAGATTACCATATGATTGCTTTTTAGTCAGTTATGTCCCTACTGAAGCATAATTTATTCTTCAAAAAACGTCTTTGACAAAAATTTTGTGATTGGGAGTACTAGAGTTAAGCATGTTTTGCAAATAGTAAATTAAGGTGGCTTGTATCTCCCAAGTAATTAACAAATTATTAAAGAGCTACAACAATATTAAATGTGATACAGACAGGAGACAGGGAAATACTGGGTAGAAGAGGGCGGTTCCCCAGCAAAGGCCCAGCTTAAAGCCTGGATAAACTCAGCCCTAAGTGACAACAGGCATTCTTGTTTTTGTGCCCAAAAAGTTGCCTTTTGGCCGATCACGCCCCCCTATCCTGTACCCATATAAATACCGAACCCCAGGCTCCAGGAGCAGATGAGGAGATGAGGAGACAAGCAGACAAATGGCAGAATGGCGTGGCAGAGAAACAGAGAAGGGAAAGAGTGTCTGAGCACCTAGAGGAGTTTGGCTGGGGGTGGTCAGAGAGGAGTTCGGCCGCTGGATGGGCAAACTCCAGGGGAAGATCATCTTCCCACTCCATCCCCCTTCCAGCTCCCCATCTATCCTGTTGAGAGCCACCTCTACCACTCAGTAAAACCCCCACATACATCCTTCAAGTCCATGTGTGACCTGAATCTTCCATGACGCTGGACAAGAGCTCAGGATACAGAAAGCTGTCATACTGGCCTTCTGCCCTTGTGAAAAGGCAGAGCGTCCACTGAGCTGGTTAAACACTCAAGCCATTCGTGGACGGCAAAGCTGAAAGAGCACACTGTAACATGCTTCCTTGGGCTTTGGGAGTCACAGGCACCCACCCCTAGACATAATCAGAGCTGGAGTGGGGCTGGGGCCCAAAGTGCCCACCCACCAGAGCTGGGCAGGGCTGGAGCCCAAAGCACTCACCCAGGCTCCAACACCTGCCTGTCTGCATGCTCCCCCTCCCGTAAGGGGTTTGAGCTCAAGGCAGCCAAACAGAGAGCCACACCCCTGTCGCATGTCCTGCGAGGGGGGCCAGGGAACTCTCCCGTTTCAAAGGTGCCCTTTATTAAAAGAAATAAGCTTATATCTGGACATTTTTAAGTTAAGAAATAGGAAAGCGAGGGCAGGTATGGGTTGCAGTGGTGGGTACAGAACTTGGAAGGTCATGTCTTGACATCTGCCAGGGAGAGGAAGGGATTGTGGGAGGCAGAACTGTTACCAGGCTCACATAGAGAAAAGATGAGGCCCAGAGGACCAGATATGTTTGCTTCCAGACGCCCCAGCTGGCCTGGGGCAGGGGAGAGAGAGAGTAAACAGGAAGCTGCAAAGCCACACACCAGGATCTTTGGAAGCTGCTCTGGCCTTAGATTACAAGGCCAGGCGGGTGGGAGAGTGGACAACACAGAACAAGACCAGTTTATCTCCAAGTAGCTAAGTTACCTGAGGATGTTGTGCTCCAGGGTATTTTTCTCCTGCAGCCACAGAAGCAGAGCTCTGCTTGGAGTGCTTTATGGAGACAACATTTGTAAAGTGCATGCATGCATGACTCTGCCTACGTTCTCTACCTGCTGGTGATGATGGCCAAGGTCACAACCTTGAGATGGAAAAACCTCGATGAGGGTCCTAACTGCCATTTCCTATATAACCTTGGAAATTCACTTGACTTTCAGATCCTGTTTCCTTATCTGCAAAATAGGGATAATAATACCTACTTCAGGGATTATGAATTGCTTGGAGCATCTGTGACATAAGAAATACACACACACACACACACACACACACACACACACACACGTTTGGTCTTTGACCTATGTCCTGGAACACAGCTCCTAGAACCCTTGGAATCTTCAAAGTGCTAAATGTCTTCTGTACACTAATAAGATGACTGGTGGCTCCTGGATGGACTCAGGATGGGGGTTGGTTGCCTGGGGAACCAACCTCATGATTACAGGGCTAATGTTTTTAGCCCCGCTTCCTGAACTCCAGGGAGAAAAGAGGAGCTGAAGGTTGAGTCCGTCACCAATGACCAATGATGTAATCAATCATGCCTATGTAATGAAACCTCCATAAAGCCCTAAAAGGACAGAGTTCGTAGAACTTCTGGGTGGGTGAACGCATGGAGCTGCCCGGAGGATGGTGCCCGGAGAGGGCATGCAAGCTCTGTGTGCTCCTCACATCCCTTGCCTTACGGATCTCTTCCATTTGGCTGTTCCTGAGTCGTATCCTCTATAGCAAAAGGGAAAACATAAGTAAAGTGTTTCTCTGAGCTCTGTGAACCATTCTAGCTAACAACTGGACCCAAGGCAGGTGGGGGGAGGCATGGAAACCCACAACTTATAGCCAGTCATTAGAAGCTGAGGTGACAACCTGGACTTGGGACTGGTGTCTGAAGTGGGGGCAGTCTTGTTGGACTGAGCCATCAACCTGTAGAATCTGATGCTGACTCCAGGTCAACTGTGTCAGAATTGAGTTGTGCACACGGAATTGAAGAATTGCTTGTGGAAAATCCCCCACATGCCTAGTGCCAGAAGTGAAGTGTCGTGAGTATAGAGAAGAAACAGCACTAGCTTTTCTAATTCAGCATCACAGGAGGTAATTTTCATAACACACGCAGCACCATCTCTAGAACATATGTGCTCAAAGAATGGCTTCTAGTTATTAATTGTTAAGAGGGTCAAGTTCCCAGAAATTCCTCCACCGTGCTCTGATAGAAAACAATCCCAGTAATGTTTTATCAAGTGGGCAACTATCGTAACTGCCACATTTTTGTCCAGGCCCATTAGTGTAACATACAAGTGAAGTCTCATTTAAGGAATATGTTTTTCTCTTGGTTCTCTAGAAAAACTGGGCAAATTATATTCAGATTTTTTAAAATTTAGAAAATTTTATAATATATACAATTTTAAAGGTCCCCTTTAAATCACAAAAATCATAATGCAAAGAGTTTTGGGTTAGGGCAGTGAGACATCATGTAGTGTCTATATTCATAAAATTGTTTTGCACAAATAAATTATTAAAAGGAGACCGGATACAATGCTGGAGACTGACCAGTCCACCTACTTTTGCATTTTTGCACTGCTGACTTACAGGCTGCTACTCATGAGCAAAGAGCAGCATCTTCATATATGAAGGGCATGATCACAATATAACACAACAAAAACATAAAAAATGGATATTTATTTGAATTAGAAGGTATTCAGGTTTCTTTTAAATATGTTTTTTAGAAATGATCTGGTCCAAACTCCTATTTTAGAGAAACTGAGGACAAAGGTAAGATGATTTACCCAAGGTCAAACACCTAATGGCCAACATAATAAAAATTATAGGTCTTTACATTATCATTATTGATAGCAGATTCAGACAATAGTGTGGATTTATATTTCTAATATCCAGCCTCCAAGTCTAACAAGATAATCTGTATCATATCGAAAACTACCAAATTATAAAATGACACTACCTGACATGGTTTGGCTGTGTCCCCACCTAAATCTCATCTTGAATTGTAGCTCCCATAATCCCCATGTGTTGTGGGAGGGACCAGGTGAGAGAGAACTGAATCATGGGGGTGGTTTCCCCCATACTGTTCTTGTGGTAGTAAATAAGTCTCATGAGATCTAATGGTTTTATAAGGGGAAATTCCTTTCACTTGGTTCTCATTCTGTCTCTTGCCTGCTGCCAACATAAGACCTGCCTTTCACCTTCTGCCATGATTGGAACCGTGAGTCCATTAAACCTCTTTTTCTTTATAAATTACCCATCTTGGGTTTGTCTTTATCAGCAGCATGAAAACAGACTAATACAGTAAATTGGTACTGGTAGAGTGGGGTGCTGCTGTAAAGATACCTGAAAATGTGGAAGCGACTTTGGAACTGGGTAACAGGCAGAGGTTGGAACAGTTTGGAGGGCTCAGAAGAAGACAGGAAAAGGCAGGAAAGTTTGGAACTTCCTAGAGACTTGTTGAATGGCTTTGACTAAAATGCCAACAATGATATAGACAATGAAATCCAGGCTGAGGTGGTCTCAGATGGAGATGAGGTACTTGTTGGCAACTGGGGTAAATGTGACTCTTGCTATGTTTTAGCAAAGAGACTGGTAGCATTTTCCTGCTGCCCTAGAGATTTATGGAACTTTGAACTTGAGGGAGATGATTTAGGGTATCTGGAGGAAGAAATTTCTAAGCAGCAAAGCATTCAAGAGGTGACTTGGGTGCTGTTAAAAGCATTCAGTTTTAAAAGGGAAACAGAGCATAAAGGTTCAGAAAATTTGCAGCCTGACTACTCAATAGAAAAGAAAACCCATTTTCTGAGGAGAAATTCAAGCCAGCTGCAGAAAGTTGCATAAGTAACGAGGAGCCAAATGTTAATCAGCAAGACAATAGGGAAAATGTCTCAAGAGCATGTCAGAGACCTTTGGAGAGCAGCCCCTCCCATCATAGGCCTAGAAGCCTAGGAGGAAAAAATGGTTTCCTGGGCCAGGCCTAAGACCCCCATGATGTGTGCAGTCTAGGGACTTGGTGCCCTGTGTCCCAGCCACTCTAGCCATGGCTAAAAGAAGCCAAGGTACAGCTTGGGCCATGGCTTCAGAGGGTGCAAGCCCCAAGCTTTGGGAGCTTCCACATGGCATTGAGCCTGCAGGTGTACAGAAATCAAGAATTGAGGTTTGGGAACCTCCACGTAGACTTCAGAAGATGTATGGAAATGCCTAGATGTTCAGGCAGAAATTTGCTGCAGGAGTGTGGCCCTCATGGAAAACCTCTGCTAGGGCTGTGCAGAAGGGAAATGTGGGGTGTGAGCCCCCACATGGAGTCCCCACTGGGGCACTGTCTGGTGGAGCTGTGAGAAGAGAGCCAATATCCTCCAGACCCCAGAATGGTAAATCCACTGACAGCTTGCACTGTGTACCTGAAAAAGCCGCAAACACTCAACACCAGCCCATGACAGCAGTCAAGAGTGGGGCTATACCCTGCAAAGCCACAGGGAAAGAGCCGACCAAGGCCATGGGAACCCACCTCTTGCATCAGCGTGACCTGGATGTGAGACATGAAGTCAAAGGAGATCATTTTGGAGCTTCAAGATTTGACTACCCCACTGGATTCTGGACTTGCATGGGGTCTGTAGCCCCTTTGTTTCAGCTTTTTTCTCCCATTTGGAACGGCTGTATTTACCCAATGCCTGTACCCACATTGTATCTAGGAAGTAACTAACTAGCTTTTGATTTTAAGGCTCATAGGTGAAATGGACTTGCCTTGTCTCAGATGAGACTTTGAACTGTGGACTTTTGATTTAATGCTGAAATCAGTTAAGACTTTGGGGGACTGTTGGGAAGGCATGATTGGTTTTGAAATCTGAGGGCATGAGATTTGGGAGTGGGCAGTGGTGGAATGATCTGATTTAGCTGTGTCCCTACCTAAATCTCATCTTGAATTATAGCTCCCATAATCCTCATGTGTTGTGGGAAGGACTTGGTGGGAGATAACTGAATCATGGAGGTGGTTTCCCCCATACTGTTCTTGTGATAGTGACTAAGTCTCATGGGAGCCGATGGTTTTATAAGGGGAAACCCCTTTTGCTTGGTTCTCATTCTGTCTCTCGCCTCCCCAGCCACATGGAACTGTGAGTCCATTAAACCTCTTTTTCGTCGTAAATTACCCAGTCTCAGGTATGTCTTCATCAGGAGTGTGAAAACAGACTAATACGTAACCAGAAAGCATGAATTTTATGGTACTCATGATAGGAAATTGCTAATACATTGCCAATACCACTAGTAAACTGAAGACCAAGAAATGCATGATATATTCAAAATAAACTTGGCTCCAGCAGACCTACTATTTTTTCCCAAAATCACCAGTAGATGCCATGATCTATAGAAAGCTCTGTATACATTGGATTGACAATATTCATTGTAACATAATTTTTTTCAGCATTGGAGAGTAGAGGATATTTCCATTCTAAAGGATGCAATCTATATCTCAGATTTGTTCACTATTTCAATAGTGTTCAATAACAACCATAATTAATATTGACTAGTGATCACACGAAAAGTATGACCAAAGTTCGGCAGAATACTCCTGAACATACTGAAGAGACTCAATGTTATTATTGTTCGACTTTAAAAACTAGGATTTTACATAGTCTTATTAGATCAAAGGCTACCTTCCCTAAATGAAACATGCATACATGGCAAAAACCACAATGACTTTTGCAGGAAGCTAATATTTGAATAAGGCTATTAAAGGAGAATAATTGAAGAATGACACTTCTTAGAATCTCAACACTATAGTGCCTTTTAAAAAAAATGTAACACAGTATTTTTATTGAAAGATAATATTTATAGATATATATGGGGCATGTATTTTGACACATGCATACAATGTGTAATGAAGAAATCATGATATTTAGGATATCCATTACCTCCAATATTTATCACTTCTTTGTTTTGGGAACTTTCCAAATCTTCTATTTTGAAATATACAATATATTGCTGTTAAGTACAGTCTCCCTACTGTGCTATTGAACACTAGATCTTATTTCTTCTATCTAACTGTATGTTTGTACCCAAACCTATCTCTTTGGGAGGAAACTCACCTCTTTTCAACTCCCTCCCCACCTTTCTAAGCGTCTGGTATCTACCATTCCACTCTCTACCTCTATGAGATCAACTTTTTCTAGCTCCCCCATATGATTGCGAAAATGTGATATTTGTCTTTCTGTGCCTGGCTTATTTCAGTTAAAATAATAACCTTCAGTTCCTTCCATGTTGCTGCAAATGACAAGATTTCATTTTTTTATGGCTGAATAATATTCTACATTTTCTTTATTCATCTGTTTACAGACACTTAGGTTGATTACATATCTTAGCTACTGTCAACACCAGGATATCTTTGGGAAACTGTTAATACAATCCTCCTTCTTAATTCTAATATTTTATATCGAGAGTATTTTATTTTCAAAAGAAGGCAATGGTCTTACTTTTCACAGAGCTAGTTTATAATGTAACAATTTAAAGTAACAGAAACCTTGGCTTTAAGATGAAAACTGCGATTACAAAACTAAAGAAAAAATACAGAAGTCTAAAATCTGAAATTTTTGAGTTTCATTTTTGCAGAGATTATGTTTGCAGGTAAATTGCCAACATGTCCTAAATGTTTTTATCTTTTTCTTACTTCCAGCTTGTCTATCTCCCAGAAAGCAGCATTACCCTTGGTGCAGTGGTAATCTTCCCTTTTTGTCTAGAATCACTCGATAGCCCAACCAGTAGGATCAGAGGATCCACTGCCTGTGTGTAACAAGGGTTGATATTCTTAGAAGCTTTACTTTTTTTTTTTAAGAGATGAGGTCTCACTATGTTGCCCAGGCTGGTCTCGAACGCCTGAGCTCAAACGATCCTTCCACCCTGGCCTCCCAAAGTGCTGAAATTACAGGCATCAGCCATCATGCCTGGCCAGCAGTTTTACTTTTATAATCAAGAAGAAACGGCTACCATAATTATTAATATAGAATGAAATATAGTATAGTTTTTGTATTTTTCCACTGATTAAATTTACTTTGATTATTTGGATGGTTGTTTAAGAATTAAGAACTTGTGATGTGGAATCAAAAACCATTTACTTAAGTTCTTCTACTTGATGGTATTTACTTACAGCATTTAACTGCACATCGTGTGTCAGGCTGCTACGATTATTTCATCTTTTTGCGGTAAAAAAAAAATGTCTTGCCTTCAGTGAGGTTCAGGAATTAAATCATGAATCTTGACTGCAGTATCATTTGTAACGGAAGCTGAGGGACTTTGTAAAGGGCATTTTGCAAGAAGAATAACTTAAAATGAAGTATCGAGCCAATTTACGTAAGATAAAATTTGTGAGTCTAATTTAAACCATTATTTTGTAATAAGTGCCTTCTCAGTCCTTAATTCGTCAATTTCCTTCATAACCCTTGCCCTAGATATGCACTTAGCACCACTTCTGTGCGTCCGTGAATCTCACATTGTGGGTGCTGGCTTCCTTCTCAGCTGAGGACGACTGTCAAGTGAGCCTGATATCACAGCCTCATCAGTTTATGAGAAAAGAATGAACTCATCAATAAATTTGAATCAAGAGTCCTGGAAGGTGGAAGAAAGGATAGAAGCAACAGTGCGCAAGGATAATTTTTATTTTAGCGTAGCATATTCAGAAAGCTTCCATGGTAGCAAGCATCTGGTACTTTTAATACATTGAGTAAGAGGGAAGGAATAAAAAGATGTACACAAATTTTGCACCAGTTTAATTGAAACTTGGAGCTTGTTTGCTTTTTTTTTTTTTTGAGATGGAGTTTCACTCTTGTTGCCCAGGCTGGAGTGCAGTGGTGCAGTCTTGGCTCACTGCAACCTCCACTTCCCAGGTTCAAGAGATTCTCCTGCCTCAGCCTCCCAAGTAGCTGGGATTACAGGTACACGCCACCATGCCTGGCTAATTTTGTATTTTCAGTAGAGATGGGGTTTCACCATGTTGGCCAGGCTGGTCTCAAACTCCTGACCTCAGGTGATCCACCTGCCTCGGCCTCCCAAAGTGCTAGGATTACAGGAGTAAGCCACCATGCCCGGGTGCTTGTTTACTTTTTTAAATTCATATCTTTCTCTAGGAAAGTTTCAATGAAAGTGACTTTTGGGTTGGTATGCATTTTGTGAGGTAGAGAATCATTAGCAGTGAGATGGCAAACGTTTAGTGGCATGATTCTAGCCTTTGGAACATGAATGTACTTATTTATGACCACCAGAAGATACACTGCAGGTAACAAAGAAAATCATGCTCTTTTTGTTTACCAAATCACCAAGTCAATGAATAGTATTCTTGAACTTATTAACAGTATCCTCAAATGAAGCATTTCAATCACACAAGGCTTTCCGTCTGTCTGTCTAACTCTGTACAGGCACAAAATTGAATCAATTTCTGTGAAATCAAACTGACCACACTTCAGTGCCAGGGCCCAAGGGATTCTCTCTCCCCAGGAAATAGACAGCATCCACTACACTACCTCCAATCCCATGCTCTATCTAACAAGGAGTTGAGATTGCACAGTTTTCCATGCCTACAATTTCATCAAACAACTCTGAATATTTCAAATAGCTTAGTTCAGTGTTACCCCCACCCTCTAATTGCAGAGAATTGTTATTACAAGTGATTTAGAAAATCGTTTCTGCTACTATATGAACTTCTAAAAAAAGAAATGCTGTGCTATTGGTTTCACTCTGTCTACTTTGACAGAGTAAAAAGATGCCATAGTGACTTTAGAAAAATTAATCTTAGGCTACTGGGATTAAAAAAAAAAAGTAAAAGCTGCTATTTGCCTACCAAGCATGATGGCACTACATTTTGGAATATCTGGAAAGAATGCAAAGATCTATCATACAATGATGAACAGCTGCATAAAAATATCTAAACCTACAAATGAACGTTTAAGAAATGGGATTTGGGGAAAATGCATGAACAGCATCTTTATAATAGAAGTTGCTTTCTCTGAAACAGTCCCTCCATCCCATGTATGGTCAGAGAGTGGGAGGTGCTAAGACTTATTTCAAGTACAGGGAATAAAAACTCAAAGAGAAGAGTAAACGCTGCCCAGATGAGACATTTCAAAAGGACAGAGATAATGGGAGGGAATTTAACACTAATATAAATCATGCTGGAGATTTTAATTTTAGAGCTATTACTTAAGTGACAAGTTGGAAACACACTGAGAAGGACAAACACACCGATACTGCAGTAGTAACTGCAGCAGGAATTTTACTGATTAGCAAGAAGAGGAAGAGAATAGATGAGTTTGGCAGTAGCTCTATCTGAGAAGAACAACCTAACTCCACACACAGAGGAGGGGGTCTAGCTAAGCACCAGGATTGCTCTGGAAATTTTTCACATTGATTTTCTTCGATACAGAGATAAATAAAATATGACTGAATTGGCTGTGCTATAATAGGGTTCATTTGGGATGCTGTGAATTATTCATTCTTATCTATCCATTCGGCATGTTTTCACTAACCTTTTACAGCCATCTGATAAAATGGTGCAAACTTTTCTTCAATTGATTCATTTGGGTAGACATGTTTAAGGACCAGCTTCCTTCTTTGCACTCCTGAACTAACTTTCATTTACACCTCTGGAGAAAAACAGCACACATGTAGGTAATGATTTGCAAAGCAACATTTGGTCTTGAGCCTACAGGAAGGCCTCACAGGAAGGCAACAGGCCCAACAGAAGTTGGTGACTGCTTTATTTAAACTCACCTGTCAGCTGGTTGTGGTGGCACACACCTGTAATCCCAGCTACGCAGGAGGCCAAGGTGGGAGGATGGCTTGAGCCCAGGAGATTGAGACAAGCCTGGGCAACATAGCAAGACCCAATCTCAAAAAAAGGCAAAAACAATTCAACTGTCTTCCAAAATAACCTACGACATAAAATTTACTCGCTTATCCTATAGTAACTTAGTGTTCAATTTTTTCTTTATGCTGCTCAGACACTGCTGAAAAGACAGACAAGTTCCTGTTCATGTGGTACTTGGAAGATGCAGTTATTAAACCACAAATGGCAAAAAGGGAGTACGCATGCTACTCTACATCGTGACAAGTTTTATGAGAAAGCACAGGCTGCTCTAAAAGAGGGAAAACAGAGGAACTATGTTTGGGAGTTGAGACAGGCTTCTTTGGTCAAAAGGCATTTTATCATGACAGCTAAAAGATGGGTAAGAATTCACCTGAAGAAGAACAGGGGACAGGTGTGCCTGGCAGACAGAAGAGTGCCAAGCACCTGTGGCAATCCTGAGGAACACACAGAACCATAGATGGGACGCGCGGGGGGAAAGGATGAGCTATATGAAAGGAGCTTGAAGCAGTAAGCATGGCCGAGTCAGGCAGAGCCTGTGAGTCCTTCCAAAGGGATTTGAAGTTTTCTTCCAAGCTAATCGGGGAACCAATCACAAATGGGTTTTAGGGTGAGAAGTGATGTCTCCTTCACTGCTGGATGCAGACTGGATGTGAGCAAGGGGGAAGTAGAGAATCCATTTAGAAGGTCATTCAACTGGTTCCAATAAGAGGCAGGGGGGGAATGACTTGAACCAGATGGTGGCTTGCAAAGGCAAGTGAACAGGGGTGCTATGCACTGAGACGAGGAGATCGGAGAACAAGAAGGTTTCAAGAAAAAGACCAAGAATTCTTTTATAGACATATTCAGTTTGAAATTCTCATTAAATAAGCAAGAGACAACGTCACCTAGGGAGTGGGATTCATGAGCATGAAATAATTGCCACATTTGATAGAGGAGGAATCAGGATTTAAGAAATCTAAACTACACTAAGCCGTCAGCGAGATAAAAGGAACCCAAGAGAGAGGAATCAGGAAAGCAAGTGGACAAAGGAGGATGCCACATACCATGTTCAGAGGCGTCTTAGGATCTCTCTCCCAGGTCATGATTGGCTTTGGCAAGAGCAGTTTTGAGAAAGCACTGGAGTAACACATCAGCTTGGAGTAGACTGAGGAAGGACAGGGCAGTGAAGAGGTGGAAGGAGTGAAGTGTGTATAACACTTTTAAGGAGAGTGGCTGGGAAAGGAGACTATAACAGTGGCTGGGTCAAGGGAAGGTTTGTCTGTTAGGTTCTTGCTTTTTCTGCTCTATTTCTTAGAGTGAGGGGCTGAGAGGCTACATAACTCTATGTAATGAGTCTTGGAAATAATCCAATAGCGAGAGACACTTAAGAGTCAAGGAAGAGTGACAGGGCGCAGTGGCTAATGCCTGTAATCCCAGCACTTTGGGAGGCCGAGGTGGGTGGATCACTTGAGGTCAGGAGTTTGAGACCAGCCTGGCCAACATGGTGAAAACCCATCTCCACTAAAAATACAAAAATTAGCCAGGTGTGGTGACTCACGCCTGTAATTGCACCTGCTCGGGAGGCTGAGGCAAGAGAGCACTTGAACCCAGGAGGCGGAGGTTACAGTGAGCCAAGATCGTACCACTGCACTCCAGCCTGGGCAACAGAGTGAGACTCCATCTCAATTAAAAAAAAAAAAAGTCAAGAAAGAGAAGAAACAACTGAGGAACAAAAGCTCTGAGCTTCCAACAGAGCTGAGCTCTGGAGCAGGAATAGAAGGATGTACCCTGAGGAGGCTGGCATTTCCTCTCTGGTACCTCATCTGGTACCTCCAGATGCCTCTCTGGGAGAGACATCACCCAGGGACCACAGCCCTGACATGCTCCACAAGGGATCTTTCAGGAAGAAAAAACATTTTAATTTTTCAAAATCTCCAGAGCCATGATAATTGGAAGCCTTATAGGTTTTAAGATGTTTAAAAAAAAATGCCTATTCATGAACACTATATGTTTTGGGATGCTGAGGTCCTATCAGCTAACAAAACAACTATGTTTACTGATTTGCTGACAATACCATTTAAGAGCCCTCAAATTATTCCTCTAAGGCAAAAAACCCCCCAAGGCTCTGTGTTTTATTATTTCTATTTATAGTAGTAAAAACTCAATCCACAGATTCAAATAAACAATGCAGAATGCAATGAAGTCAAATGAATGCGCTTAAAATGCATTACTAAATAACCCTTCACAAACGAATTCCCATAGGCTTTATGTCTGTACATATGCCGCTAAGTGCTTACTTAACTCAAGGACACTCCCATCCCAGCAGACAGTCCAAGGACATGAGCAGAGGCCTGTATCTGTGCAGCAGGCCAGGAACAGCCCGGAGCCAGAGGGGTCTCCTAAAGAGTTTCTGAGAATGGGACTGTATCTGGTTTCTGGAAGTTAATGTTGGAAATGTAAAGCTTCACAGAAGCATTTGCTCCTTCTTTAACAAATATGTACTGGATATCTACCATGTGCCAGCCATGGCTCTAAGTGCTGAGAACATTGCATAATAAAACAATCCTTGCCCAGAATGAGCTTCCACTCAAGATGACTGAAAGAGTGAATCAACAGAAAAGGGCAGTCAATGCATGCCTGGAAAGTGTTAACTTCTCACCCGCTTCATGGCTACCTCCCCTGTACAAGTCTCACTTAGATTGCTACCATAGCCCCCTCTACCTAGTCATTCAACTTCCACTTGGCCCCTCTAGGGTCTCTTCTCCACAGAGCAGCCAGACAGTTGCTCTTCAATTATTAAGTCATATCTTGCTAAAGCTCTGCTTCACACGCTCAGATGGCTTTCCAACTTATATTTACAATGGATATTCTGAACAAAATGTAAACTTACATTCACACCTTACAAGGCTCCACCACTCTCTGACTTCATAACCTGTCACTTTCCCTGGGGTAGACTGCAAAACTGGCCACATGAGCGGCAGCTCCTCCCATCAAGAGCTGGAATCTATTTCCCCACCCCTTGAATCTAGGGTTGGCTGTGAGACTGGCTTTGACCAGTATAATGTGGCAGAGGTCACCTGCCATGTCAACAAGCATGAAATAACTTCTTGGAGGATGAGAGGCCAGTGTGGACCAGAGATAAGCCGCCCCACTTGAGATCTCAAAGACCAGTCAGCACTCAGTGTCCTGGCAGCTTCTAGAGATATGCACGAGCCCAGTCAAGACCAAAAGAACTGCCCAGCTGAGCCCAGTCAACTTGCTAACAGGTTAGTGAGCTAAATAAATGGTGGTTGTTCTAAACCATTAACTTTGGGATGCTTTGTTATGTGGAAAAGCTAACTGATATATCCCTCTTTATCCACTTTGTTCCCCGCACACTGACTTCCTTACTGTTAAATAAATACAAGTATATTTTGCACTTTGTGCTTGCTATTCCTGATAATAGCATCCCTCACACAGACAGCCAACATGTATCACTCCCTTCAGATTTCTGCCCAACTATGATCCATCAGTGAGGCCCTCCCTTAATACATTCATTATACAGAAGTACAAACACAACTCCAGCCAAGCATTCCTTTGTTTTTTTTGCCTGAGGTTTGTCACCGTGTGACGTACTATATTTACTATTTATTTATTCATTTTTAATATGCCTTGCCCATTAGACTGTAAGTCTCATGAGAGCCAGGACTTTCTTTCGTTTTATTCATCCCTATGTCTCCAGTAACTAACACAGTGGTTGGCATATGGTAGGAACACAGTATATACTCGTTACGTAAACAAGTAAATAAATGAATGAAACAAATCAGAAAATATAAAATAGCAATAACTACTATAGAGAGATTTAAAATAAGGTGAATGGGTAGTAGGAAGCAGGAGCCTACTCTAGATTCGTTAGTGACAGAAGGCATCACTGAAGAGGTGACATTTGAGTGGATACCTGAATAAATTCAAGTTCTTCTAATTACAGAAGGGCCAAGGTACAAGTAAGTGTCACACTAGCAGTGTTGCTGTTCTCAACGGCAGCTAACTGTGCTGCAATGGCCCAGTGAACAGTCTCCATTCATAGATCCAAAAATCAAAGCTAATGTGTTTATGCTCAGTAAAATAAGCTTACCTCTCCTGAAGCAGGCAGACTGTATCTTCACCACTCCATCAACCCTACCATCAATATTATTGTAGCAATACTATCACAGCTGTCCATAATAACAGTGCTAACACTTTTGAGCAACCGCACTCTGCCAGGTACTAGTCTATGTACAATACAGACTGCAGCTCATTGGTGCTATTATGATGCTCTTTTGAGTACTCACTGGTGCTCTTTTTAATTCTCCTAGAAACTAGAAGACAGAGAATTTAGGTACTCTGTCCAAAGGCACCTGGCTAAAAAGCAGTAGGGTTGGATTTACATGCAGGCAATTTGTCTCTGACACCCCTACCCTTTCTCACCCACTGTACATGACTTCACATCAATCACCCACACCAATCACCCAATGCCTTATTCAGAAATTTGACAGAAGGAAACTTCTGGGCCTTGGTCCCTAAGCATCACACTTTCCCAGGGAAAGCATGCACACGTATAAGCATGCACTGGGTCTGAGTCTGGACAGAAAAAGGAGTTCCTCCAAGGAGAGAACTGAGATGCTTCTCCATGGTCTTCATTATGAGAGCCAGTCTTGCCATGCCACCTACTGTCCAAGTTCCAGTATCCTCCTTTGGTCAGCAATCTGGAATACCAGTGCTCATCACATGTGTGGTCTTTGTGTTTACTAGCTTAAAGCCAAGCAGAAATAAGTAATACTTATATTTTTAGGACAAGAAGAATTCAACAAATGTTAACAGTGTACAATGTGGCTTTCTTGTCTCCATGCCCAATGACCACCTTGTCTTTCTATCTTAAAATAATGCTCATAACAGTTTTGATCCACACCATCTGGATCCCTTGTGCAATCCTGTGGTTTTCCCTTCCTCGTCTCTAGCCTCCTGTCCCAACACCACACGTGCTGCAGTGGCCCTCAGCCTCGCCACCCACTCCTTCCTAGTTACAGATTAAACCCCTGTGGTAGTAAAGTGAGGAGTCGGGTGAGATGAAGGTTTGCTGGCCTCATTTCAGAGTGGAAAGCACATCATCAAAGGAGAGGGCCACAGAGATGTTTAAAAACCATCAGACCCCACACTTGTGCCCATGTTCTCTTAAAAGATACCTCCCCAGGAGCCACACTTTGCTAAGCCAGAAAGGCTGGATTATACTATGTTAGTTTCGCATGTATTGCCCAGACAAGTCTTTCTTTCAGTGTTGATGCTGTGAGGCTGTAAATGCAGTGGGATTTCCTCATGAGCTGGCCCTTGTCCCTCCCACTGAAAAACTACTTATTCTTCAAAGTCAGCTCCTCCAGCGCAAGTCCATTCCCTCTTCCGAACCCTTTGCTTCTTGTCTGTTCAATTTATTGCCCGCATACAGTATGTTATGGGCTGAACTGTGACCTCTCAGATACTTACATGTTGAAATCCTAAGCCCCGGTACTTTACAATGTGGCTGCATTTGGAGATAGGGTGTTTGCAAAATTGATGAAGGTGAAATGAGGTCATTCGGGTGGGTCCTAATCTCAAATGACTGGTCTCCTTATAAGAAGAGGAGATTAGGATATGGGTACAGAGGGAAGACCTCGTGAAAACCCAGGAGGACAGCCATCTGCAAGCCAAGCAGAGATGCCCTGAACAGACCTTCATAGCCCTCAGAAGGAAACAATTTTGCTGACACCTTGACCTCTGATTTCTAGCCTCTACAAGTGTGAAACAATAAATTTCTGTTGTCTAAGCTGCTCAGTTTACTTTGTTACAGTAGCCCACACAAACTAATACACCATACATGGTTTTGAGATAGTCCTGTGTGGCCTTGTCACTGAACTCTTAAGAGTTTTATTTTATAGCTTGATTTGGTTGCATGGTGATGTTGCAGTGATTGTATTATTATTTAAACTGTGTGGGCTCATTTCTATGACAAGCTATAAGGCCAGAAGCCACGTATTCATATACTGCCTCATAGATACCTGCTGCAGCATCTCCGATCATCATAATGTCAGTGTTCAGCAGAATTTGCAGAATGAAAGATGGATTTGCAAGAGACTATTTTTAACATGTGCTCCCTTGCTATATTAAATATAAGTCACAGCCTTCTTTAATTAATAGGTATAGAGACCCACCTTTTACAATTCAATATGTGGCATGAAAAATACACAGATACATATGGATCAATGGGATAGAACATTTAAATCAGGACTGTGTGGGGGAAGTCCAGCACACTACCTTCCTCCAAAAAAAAACAAGAATTGCAACATATCAGGTTTTGTATGTTTACAAAGTTATCAAGCCGAAATCTTTAAAACAGGCTAATGTTTGAACTCAGGAGACAACGAGAGTGACGTTGCAGGCCTGGGAAGTTCATTTTAAGAGCTTCTGAGCATGGAATGACCAGGATGGGAAGCAGCATGGCCTGGGAACAATGGAGTGAATTTACGAGAAGTTGTAAGGAAAAAAAGATGGAAGAAGAAAATGAGGAACTGCTACCTAGAACCTAAGGGTTCTGAACACCAAGAATTATCTATGTAAAGTGACTCACAGGAGGGACTATTAGCAAGAAGGACGAGGCAGGACTGGATGACCGGGATTGTTGGATAAACTTTTGAAATTGATTTCTGTTATGGAAAAGGAAGAAAAGTTCACACACAGCTCCAGACAACGGTTCAAGGGTATCACTTGTTAGAATGTAGTGGGGACAGGATTTCAGGGAGTTTAGTTCATCCTGAACTCAAAAGTAAGACACGGGAATCCAGGCAAAATTGGCCTTTCTTCATTACCCCAGGAGAAGACAGAACCATCAGTCAGGATGCAGACAGCCACCAATGAAGTTTCTACATGGGTCTGGGAAAGGGATTGCTTAATAGACTTGCAGAGAATACAACAGTATGTTTTCTAGAAATGGAGTCAAAACTGGAGGCATGTTCTATTTCCCACAGAGAAGGGTAAAAGATGCTATCTCAAGGAACTTTACTTCCATTCATGTCAGTGATACCTACAGAGAGAATTCTTAGACATTCAGTCACCAATTCAGGACAATTAAAACCTCAAGATAAAATCTGAATTTGTATCATTAGTTTATATCTTGAACACAACACACTTAGGGGCAAGATTCATAATTAACAATAGAATATGTAAATCCATACTTCTAATAACCTCTTAGTCGTTTCTAAGTTTTTGGCTGGCATTCTGTCGATCTGATTAGATTGTCATTATTTTCTCTAGAAACATGGCTGCACTAGTGTCAGGAATGTTGGCTTGGCCACATTCTTATTGTTTGATTAGGTTTGCATTATTATAATTGCCTTCAATCTGAGGTTTCTTCGCAAGAATATTTTTCAGACTCTTGGCAGTTGTGTGACAGCAAAGTGGTGTTTAAGCCATACATCGTAATTTGCAATTCCAACTCAATAGCCCCCCGATAACTGTGATATGTCACTCTAGGCTGAAATGTAACACATGAGGGTGACACTGCTGATAGCTTATTGATGGCCATCTGATGTTTGAACTGAATACTGGGCCCAAAGCCAATCTGTATATTAAACATTGGGAAAGCTGCTGTGGTATGAATTGAGGATAATACATGTCACTATCCAGAACCGAGATATCTCACAGTTCATGTTCAACACATCCTATTATCATCATTATCCTGGAACTCTCTATGCGATAAAGAGTCCCCAAAATGGCCCCCTGCAATGTGGGTTTTAAAGCATAGAATTAACTTCCCAGTAATGTTTGGGGCTGCCATGAGGAATCCAGTCTCAAGCCTAGTCCCCAGGAATGGACTTGGAGCTTTTAAAGGCAGCCAAGACCTTAGGACTAGGTCCTTCATGGTCACCTCTCAGCTGGTGCACCCTGGCACACTCTCTGTGTGTGTGTGTGTGTGTGTGTGTGTGTGTGTGTGTGTGTGTGTGTGTGTTCATATTGACCACTGCTTTATTACAATATCAAAGGGGCCCATGTCAAGAAGCCAAGAATAAGTGGCCCAATTGTGAGGAAATCCAACTACATTTGTTCTATGAAGGAAAGAAAAGCTACATAAGAAAGGCAGAGGAAATGTAGTACAAATCCCTTATGGGTTAACTTGACACACACCAGTAGGTGTGCAAAGTAAGCTGCACTTGTACTTTTATCCATAAGAAAGGCACAGCAAAGAAGTGTTTTGCCTGAAATCTGTAGATACTACGTCAATGTAATGAGAATTTCCTCATTTCGATTTGTGAACATAACTTCTTGCTTGCCAGCTTTAAGAGACTAATTCGAATAAGTGTTCACTGTAAGGGATTCAGATGAATCCCTTAACTGTTAGAGTTGTTAGTGTTGGTTTCTTAAATAACATCACTCTGGCCAACAGTTACTGCTCACAATTAAGTACTGTAACCTAGTACAGTCAAGCAGTCATTGTTAATGAAGGGATAAAGAATCCATCACTGCAACATAAACTACAAATGGTTTTAAGCTGGGGTAGTGAGTGAAAGAGGCAGAGATCATCTGACATAGAAAGAAAGGAAAGAGAATTGAGAATTAAGATAAATCATTTTCTGATTAGCATGGTGCTCCCCAATTCCATGAGGCAACATGCCAAGAATGTATCATATAAATGCCACTAATTAAAAACAAAATAATTTACTAGAAAATGTTGGCAGATAAACTAATTTTTAATTTTTAACACATGAATTATTTTGTACTTTATTCCAAGTTATAATACTTTGCATCTGGAATTAAGCTTAAGTTCTTAACTGCAAAGCCCCGATTTAATACTTCTCATTGTTATAACAGCTACTTCTTTATGCCCTGCATAGACATTTTATAAAGAAGAACTGACTGCTTATAATGATAGGGAAAAACTATGAGTATATGGTGGTTCTAAATTCGCTAGGGCAAAAAAGCTAAAAGATACTATATTCTTTCTCCAGTCTTTGGTCCTGTGTACAGCATTTCAAATATTTCAAAGTTTCTCATGCAATGGGACACACAGGGTTAAGATTCTAATGAGTGCTGACATGAAATCAGTTCACCCTATGAACTACTCACCATAATAAAATTCATTGTGTGTTCCAACCTTAAGGAACGGTATTTTCAAAAGCTCTGCTTTTGTTAGCATCTACCATTACTAGGTGTTAACATTTTAGAAGAAGTCAAATTAACAACTTGATTCAGGCATTAAAAATTGGGGGAATATTTTTAAGGGGTCATAAATTTTTAATAACAACATAAATCTACCTGCTTACATCACCTTAGCTCAGTCAGAAAAAAGGCATCTCCCCAGTGGCTCGTCCAAATAATGAGTTATGGTGATAAAGTAGCATATCTAGAGTAATATAAACTATTCAAGTTTCACAGGGTTAGGTGGACAACAGGACTTAATGGATATGTGCAGTCACAGAGGTTGAATACTCAACTAGCATGTGTTAAGGAGGCCAGGCTTACTAGACGTTATAGTCATTGCTGAGTTTCAGGCACAGAACAGGGACTGCCAATGCTCATCAAACATCCTGCCTTTTCCTGCAGTCAGGTTGGTGCAACGTGACTAAGTGGTCAGTCAGATGTAAGTGACCAGATGTCGGTCACACAAGGGCAGGCCATAAAAAACATCTTATGTGATCCTCTCCCTCGTGGTGACCTTGGAGGCCCCAAGTTCCAGGGGGGATATCTACAAGAGGGAGGAAGACCTTGACTCATACGGAGCTTGAATGTGAGCAAACGGAACTTTTTACTGGATTAAGCCAGTGAGACTTTGAGATTTGCCCCCAAATCAACACCTAACAAGGCATATCTGAAGAGATCTGGTGAACCGCCTGGGTCAACACAGTAGAAGTTTATTTGTAGCTTCAAATAACTTCTGGATAAGGAATCAAGGACCACAATTACAATCTGCCATTGTTCCCCAGCAGGGAGGGACCGTCCTAACTGTAGTGAGGCATCTGCTTTGAAGATTTCTACTCCAACCCAGCTCCTAAGGCACATGCCTAGTATGTTGTAGGAGAGAAGAGGGGAGAAGAGATGTGCCAAATACTCTTGATTAGGCCTCCAGACCTCGTCTGTCTTTCTCTGCTTTGTTCTCAATCACAGGATCTGCCCGCCCCTCTGGCTTCTGGTTGAACGGGGTCAATGGAGAAGATTTTAGACTATCACACGGAGGAAGTGGAGTGAAGTCAGGGTAGCTGCTCCACTTGCTTTTTCCCTTTCTGGCCATGAACTTGGCAATGGCTACATTCTCCTACATGCTGCTCATCCCCTCTTTCACAGCTACAGCCTCCAGGAACTCTGTGCCTGCCCCTCCCAGGTGCTAGTGCAGTCCCTGAGTGCCTGCCATCTCTTGCTGCTGCTTCTAACCCTACTCATACCACCCACGAAACCTGCTGAGGGTTCCATCTGCTTCCTATCAGGGCTGATGCAGGCTACCTGTATTTTTATTGAAATTTCACAACACAAGGTAGCACTATTTATCTGGTGAAGCACCACCAAACAAGAAAAGGCAGATATCCTCCCTACTCTGACTCAAGGCTCAGTGCAGCTTGGCTATTTGAAGGCTCCCAGACACACACTGGCACCTGTGAGTGACGGAATAACACTCATATCTCTGGAGGTAAAAGGACCCAGCAGGGATCACGTTTGTCTGCAAGCAGTTCAAATGCAGGCACAAAAATGTGGCTGGGTACTTGTGCACAGCTTTGCAAGTTGCTGAGGAGCTATCAACTGCCAAGGTATGCCCAAAGCCACTGAGATAACCCCTAGGGATACCCAGAAATAGATGGGGAAGGGTTTAAAGTTGATCAGGGTCCCACTAAAAGAAGGACGGGCAAGAACCAGGGAAATAGAATTTAACGTTCTTCATTACCACTTACGTGATTCTAAGCTGGTGTGACCTGAGAAATAATCCTTTTTAGAAGAAGCTGCTATGGGAAAAATCATTGAACATAGAAAGTGTCTTAACAAAAGAAATAACCTCTTTGGAGTGGATTTTAGTTCACTGTTTATATGCCAAACTTGACTGTTTGTGTGTGTGTATGCATGTGTGTGTGACAACACCATTTCAAATGTGTCATTCAAAGTCCATAATAAAATGTATTCAATATTCAAAAATTTAGAAGAAAAATGTGAGCAAGCTTGGCCATCTGTTCATGCCAGTAATTCATAAACCATCAATTGTAGACGAATATTTAAGCCTTAGACATTTACTTATTCTGCCCTGTTGTACTTATTTCCATGTTCAAAACTGTCTTTTATTTTGCACATATGGCCACATCCTTTTCAACATTTATATTTTTATGCAAAGAAGTCCCACTAACCCTTGATTAGTGAGGGTTGGTCAGAAGACAAGCTTACTGCTTGAGTGGCTCTAATTTTAACAGCATCGTTCAGTCCTTCTACGTGGCAATCAGAACTTACACATCGTTCACTGTAGTTCATGCCATTTGCATGAAACTGACATAAGCTGACACTCTGCTGTATATCTTGGCACAATATTGCTTTCATCTCTGGAGTCGGGTGTCTTACAAATTTAACATTGTCAGTTGGGACCGTCCAAAGATATTTACAGGTATGTAAGATTGTAGAATGGCTGGAAATGTTTTCTGTCATCTTCTCATGATTAGCAGTGTTTGTTTGGTTATATTGGCATTGCTCAGGAAAGCTTTTCCCAGAATAAAGCGTGTCTTTCATTTCTTTCTATCAAGCAGTATATTAAAATAAACCATTTTTAAAATAATCATTACAATGGGAACAAATTCTTTATTGTTAAGTCAATTGTTTTATATTGAATTAGCTATGCCAAATTTAATTTAACTTAAAGATGTTCACATAATATTTATTTTAGAGTTATTTTATATTCTTATTATGCCTTAAGTAAATTATATTTCAAACAACTTGTTGGCTCAGCGATATTTTATTTCTACATTGAGTTTTAGCAACTCTAAAAAGGCTTTGTAAAAATTAACTGTAGGATGGAATAAGATATTTGCAATACCCTTCTTGAGTTTGTTTTCAGGTATTTCAAGAAGACATAGTGATTTCCAATTGACATTTATTCCAATAAGTTACAAAATTCTTTTGTTTGAAATCATTTTATGACATCTGGACCAACTTACTTTTATCTTAAGTGGCACTAGAGATATGTTACCAGAGCGAGGAAAGCCTATCAATGAGATCAGTGTCAAAAAACATAAATAAAAAATTTTAAAACGAGGAAGGAGTCAAATTTATGCTATGAAATCTGAAATTGATAAAGTTACCATCTCTTCCATTTTTAACATTTCAAGATAACATTTTCAAGAAAATCAATAGATGCAAATTATTTTAACAATTACAGAGAAATGAGAGATAATTATTTATTGCCACTAACCTTCTGTCTAACTTCGTTGGGTAAATACAGGTAAAATCTCATTTTAACATATTTAATAATTATATCCTGATTCATTTTGGAAATTTGGTCCACTTCTCAGCTAACAATTCATAGTAACTCTTGTACTGATTAAAAGACCGTAAATTCCAGGTACATACACACACACACACACACACACACACACACAAAAGATGTGTTCATCTTTTTTGTTAACCTTTACTCTGTCTTACTAGCCAATAAAGGTTATGAGCACTTCGATAAGATTCAGATCCTTAACTTGAACACATTTGCTAAGCTAAATAATTGTGAAATTGTGATTTAAAATGTGCTGGTGATATGTGGGCATTATGAATATAGTTTTGTTGTTTTGTGCACTTCTGTAAAGATTCTGGCTGGGCAGTTACAGAATATAATTACTGCAGGGTGCTACTAAATAGAGAGGATAAACTGTTCTTGGAAAAGAAAACTTCTTGGTTCTGGTAAAAATTCTCTTGGTGATGGCATACATGAAAGGAGCAGACATAAAAGGACAAACAAAAATAGCAATTTTATCAGTGTAAACAACCCAGAAGTGTCATTGAATGGAGTCAGGAATGCTCAAGGTACACTTCTAATTTGTATTGTCATTTTTGGGGTAGAAGACAAATGCCATCACAGGTTAATCTTAGCACTACTGCCAGGGATCAAACCATGAACTGACGGTCTAACCCCAAATATGTTTATGTAATTTTTACTAGACATCACATTTTCCATTCTCATTGAAATTAGTTCACCTTCTAACTCTTTTTGTATCTGACACAAATTATTTTAATGCATATGCCTGAAGGCTCCTGTTAATTTAACAGGCAAATATGATCTGATATCTTCTTCATTTTAAGTTGATAAGATAATGTTGAATATTTACACGTGCCTTTAAATATACATGTGAAAGCCAGCAGTACCTTGAATATTTCAATCAGCAGAGGATAGCCTGAATAATAGATAGAAGGGAAAGGTAAATTAACACAAATCAACATGTAATATTAAGGAAAGTGCTATAACAGTTCAAAGTAATTCCTTAAACAAGTTCAAAATTCTGGTTCTGATGGCAATGACTCCTAATTAATGTTTAAGGAAGAAAGCAAATAACCATCATGAAGAAGTAACATGCAGCAATGCAGTTTGGTTCAGTAAGCAGTCACATAATCCCCTTTGAATTACCTTCTATGGAGAAATGGGAGTAGAAAACAATTACCTAATAAACTAGTTTGTTATCTGTAATTTTCTAGACAACAAGAAATCAATTATGGAAACATATTCAATCCATTTTGAACTAGAATAAATATACAAATGTGTAATTATACTAAAAGAAGGGTGAAAAACATGTGGACCTTGGTATTAGAAAGGAAAGAAAAAATGCAATCTAAAACAAAATGTAATGTTATCAGCAAAGCAATGAGAAGAACTGGTCGGGGGTGGGAGTGGTGAAGAAAAAGGCAGAGGATTTAAGAGACCTGGGTATGAGACCTGTCTTTCAATGACCAACTCTGGAATCATAAATGAGCCGCTCAGCCCCTCTGGGATTCGGTTTCCTCTGATACAATGACGAAGTTGAACTTGGTGGTCTCCCAGATCCATTTCAGCTCAAACATTCTGGGAACATTGCCATTTCATGATGGACAGCTTAAATGGAAAGATCACTACTTCGTGCTTAAGAACTGGACCATATGTCCTTTTGTTTTTCTAAATACCTACTCAGTTCTAACTTTTGCTGGTGTCTGGTGTCAGATATTAAGTAGTGGTGATGTGGCATCATTTAAAGGGAGACACAATAATTAAGTAGCAGGTGCTCTGTGGTAAAGTAAAGTTCACTAACGTAGAAAGAACGAAAAAGGAAAGCAGTGAAGAAGCCACTGACTGCAATCCATGAGTGCCGTTCAGAGACTGGCTACGGGGGATTCATTTCATCCCTGATCCAGAGCCCCATGGCAAGGGCTCAGAGCATCTACCAACTGTGACTGTGGAGACTGACCAGATGGTGCAGGGGGATGCAGGATGTGTATAAGACTATAAACAGGTTTACTGCCATGTTCAGAGCCAAGTACCAAATTAGATATTCTCCAGGTGTTTAAATGGCCTAAGAGCAACAATAAGAGGAAATAAGTATACAGCTGAGAAGGAGAAGGGACACGGTGTGATGAGTGGCCAGCTGGCTATGTTCCTTTTCGTCTGATCTCATCAACCTTCAGGCCAGCCAGGTGGGTCCCAACAGTCCGACTTAGTACCTGTGCCAGGGTTCCACTCTTTTTGGTCTAGAAGTTTTCACTTCACTTTTGTCTTTAGCTTCTTCCTCCTTAACATGGACCTCATGACCCTTCTACAGTGCCTGACATGGCACAGTCAATGATGGACAGTTTGTACACGGACCTCTAGTTGTTGAAAGAATGTTGTTTAAAAGGCAAACTACCAGGATAATGCAAAAACATTTGACTGACAAGCAAACAAGGGGTTGTATTTGGATATGGATGATTTACATACAAAGTGCTGGGGGAACAAAATAGGGTGAAGTGTTGGCCTGGACACCAAGAGTAAGAGAGCTAATGTTTTATTAAAGAAAATGCAAGGACATTTTGGAAAACTTCTTGGAAATCTAAGAAAGTATGAAGGAAGCTATGCTTTATAAGAAACAAGAACAGAAAATAACATGGAGAGAAAACTCTTCAAATGAAAAGTTAGTAGGAACAGAGGAAAACACAATTGGCTGCAATAGAAATAAAGATAAATAATTGCAAGAAAATAATAAAACATAATAGGCAAATCAAAATTCACACTGCAGTAAGCAACTGACATAAACATGAACAATAGGAATGGATGCAAAAAATAAAGACGTAGTGAAGGAAATCTTCATGTACTTAATCAGAGTAAAATTAATTTTAAAAAAGTTTATTTGACATATCTTAGAAAAAATAATCAAAAGGATGAAGAGATATCCTAAAATGATTTTTTTTTAAGTTGCCTACTGTGGAAGATTGAAAAAAAAGTGGCCCCAATTATTCACTCTTCCTTGATCTATGCCCTTTGTAACATACAAAATTTGCAGTTCCTCCCACTAAGAAGTAGAGTGTATTTCCCCTTCCCTGGAATTTGGTGTTCATCTCTGATTTGTTTTTCCCAACAGAATGTGTCAGGAGTAGCTATGCACAAGTTCTAAACCTTCCTTGGAACCCCATCATTTGAACAAGCTAAGCTTACTTGCTGAAGGAGAGAGAGCCCAGTTGCCCTAGTCTAGGCCATCAGAGATCAGCCAGCCGCCAGTGCCCAAAATGCAAGAGATCTCAGCTAAGATCAGCAGAAGTATCTCTTCACCCCACATCTGACCACAGAGGCATGAGAGAATCCAACAAGACCAAAAGACCACATAGATACATAAAAACTGACAAATAATAACAAAGAATTATTGTTGTAAGCCACTGAGTTTTGGATCTTTTCTTACACAGCACTAGCTAACTAACTTACATAAATAGAAACAAAAAATGTTACATGCACATGCTCTTGCATAAACACACATACACATGCACACACACACACACACATTTGCAAAAACATGAAAAAAGTTGAAATATTTAAAACAGAGTGTCCAATCTTTTGGCTTCCCTGAGCGACAATGGAAGAAGAATTGTCTTGGACCACACATTAAATACACTAACACTAATGACAGCTGATGAGCTTTAAAAAAAAAATCTCATAAGGTTTTAAGAAAGTTTATATATTTGTTTTGGGCTGTATTCAAAGCTGCTCTGGGCTGCTTGTGGCCCGCGGGCCATAGCTTGTACAAGGTTGGTTTGAAACGTCCTTAAGGGAAATAATCAAAACTCTAATACCTGCACAGAAAATTGGCCAAAGGACCTGTTCAGAAAATTTTCAGAAGAAATACAAATGACTCATAAACATCATAAACTAGTCAACTCTATTGATAAAAAGAAACAATCGTTAAAGCAATGGAGTGTCATTGTTCCTATATTAAGTCGAAACAAATTTAAAAACTCATGAGGCTCAGTGTTGAGCCTGGCATGGAAAGGCAGTCACTCATAATACTGGTGGGAATGTAAAATGACACAGGCGCTCTCATAAGCCATCTCCTATTATATATTGCTGTGGTTTACTGTGTTCCTCAAAAAGCATGTGCTGGAAATGTAATACAATCATGTGGGACGTGGGACCTAATGGGGAAGGTTTAGGTCATGAGGGTTCCACCCTCATGAGTGGATTATTGCCAATTATAAAAGGCTTGAGGCTGCAAGTCTGATCTCTTATTGCCTTCTCTTTGCGTGCTGCCATGCGATGACACAGCAAGAAAGACCCTGCCAGATCAGCTCCTCAATCTTCAAATTTCCAGCCTCCAGAACCATTAGCCAACAACTTTCTCCTCTTTATAAATTACCCAGTCTGTAGTATTCTGTTATACAGGCACAAAATGTTAATGCCTGCATTATATAGCTATACATGCAGTATTTTGAAATAAAACAACAGAAGAAATTATCACCAAAAAAATTATCATGTTCTTTCACCTATTAGCCATACTTCTCAAACCCTATCTTAATGAAATAGTTATAAATAAGGACAGAATTTGATAATATAAGAATTTCAACAATAAGAAAGTGACTAAATAAGTTCTGGCATATCCTTATATTTAAAAGTTATGCAGCCATTACAAAATCCATATGTAAAGAATATTTACCAACATGAGAAAGCATAATACAAAGAGAAAACTTGATAAAAAATTTAGGTATATAAAACATGAGTACAATTCAATAAAATTATATGTGTGCATGTATATTTAAATCTAGAAGGAAACACAAAATCATGCCAACTAGTCTCTATACCTGCAGGATTATGAGTGATTTCTCTCTCTCTCTCTCTCTCTCACACACACACACACACACACACACACACATGCAAACACGCACACATAGTTTTGAGTGAACTTAGAGGTCAGTTCCTGGCCAGCTCATTTTAGAATATTTTTCATCAATGACTGCATAATGGCAGAACATATAAACTTAACAGCTTTGGGCCAGTTACTAAACCAGGAAGCTGTATGAATTCAGACTGGCATTGTTAAGTGCTGAGGTGAACAGAAATAAACAGGATGAGATTCAAAAGGGGCCCCTGCTGGGTCATTTACAGAGGATAAACCAATTACACAAGACAATGTAGAGAATGATTTGCAGATGTGTCTGACACAGATCTAGGAGTTAGTGGGCCAAAACTGGACATGAATTGGAAAGCTGGTGCATAAAATTAAGTACATTATTGAAACCAAAATTGAAGAATTAAAGAATTTAAAAAATCAAAAAAACAAAATTGAATAATTAAACATGAGATTAATTCCCTCCACCCTATTGGCCATCTACAGTCTCTTCTGAATACTGCCTACAGTTTTGGGGTCTACAGTTTAAAAAGAAAGGCTCAAAGAAAAACATTACAAATAATAGTACCTTTTAAGAAATGAGATCATGTAGCTCAAGAAGAAAACACTGTTGCAAAAATTTTCAAGTGTTGATATAGATGAAAAGCAATCATTACATAGATGGCAATGCCAGATGGTCTCCAGGCCTACTGAGAAAATACCAAAAAGTATGAGTAAATCATACTACGTAATACATACATAGCTTTATTTGGAACACTTATTTGGAACAGCCACACTTTTGTTTGGAACGCTCTCCTCAATGCAAAGATGTGGAAAAATACATCAAAGACCACAGGAAAGAAAGGAAGGCGGGAAGGGAGGAAGTGAAAGAGATTTAAAAAAAAAAAAAAAAAAGAAGGAAGGGAGGGAAAGAGAAAGAAATAAAAAAAAGGAGAAGGAAGCACAGAGGGCGAGAAAGAGCAAAATGATGTGGGAAGATCTTCAACAGGAATAAAGGCATTCTGAAAAGAGGGAAGGCAGACCAAGGCTTGATTCCTAGCCATTCCTGTCCATTACTATGCCTCAGTTTCTCATCTACAAATTAAGGAAGATAATAAATTAAATATGCTCTTAAAAATTCAGGAAGAAAATGATAGTAGTTAGAGAAGGAGATTCTATATATGCATAAATGGTGTCCCAGAAAAAGAAAACAGAACAAATAGGACTAAATAAATAAACAAAGTGTAATTCAAGAAAATGTTTGAGTAATAAAATATTCAAGGGTACATTGGGTACCAGAAAAAAAAAACTGATATGTAACAATAAACATGAAGTAAGTGGACTTCAGTGACAAAGAAAGATCTTTCTGGCATCCAGACAGGATAGAAAGATAAATCTATCTTGAAGGGAAACACATAAGCAACTGTGGGCTTCTCTGCAGCAACATTCAGTATCAGGACATGACAGAAGGCATCCCAGGTCCACAGGCAAAGAAAGTCAGGAGACAAATGAGAAACAATAGCAAAATGACTAGCAGTGATTACAGAATGCATTCAAACAAAAAATGAAAAGTAATGCAACTGTGAGAACTATGGTTATAGAATAGAAATGGGCTATGCTATGACAAATGTAGAAATGGGGTAACTAACAAAACTTGGAGGTACACAGGAAGAGAAGTGGAGAATGAAGTACCTTAATTGACTCATCTTTTATAGCCAATGTAAAACATAAAATTTAAATCTGGTAAAGGAAAAGCAATTTAAGTTTATTAAAAATATAAAAGTAAATAGCAGGATAGCTAAAAATATATATACTACAATCAAATAAAATCAGAAAGAAAGGATGGAAGGTGGAAATATGCTCAAAAATGCTTATTTCTTCATGGGTCTAAAGTGATATAAGTAGCAGCTAAAGAAACATAATGAACTAAATAGATCTGTGAAGCTTTAATTACAAAAGTTATCTAATCTAAAAGAGTTACAACATTACATGACCTTTCTAAATAACAATAAAAAATATAAAATCAAATCTAGACCATGTAATAAAAATTAAATAATAAAACAAATAACATAAAATATGGTTACAGTATTAAAACTAACACATCTATTATGTAACTAAGCCCTCATTATGTTCAAAACTCAGAAGAAAAAGGCCCGTAGATTGGCTCCCCAAGGGTGAAAAATCGGTATACTGATATGGTTTGGCTGTGTCCCCAACCAAATTTCATCTTGAACTGTAGCTCCCATCATCCCCATGTGTCATGGCAGGGACCCAGTGGGAGGTAATTCAATCATAAGGGCAGGATTTTCCCATGCTGTTCCCATGGTAGTGAATAAGTCTCATGACATCTGATGATTTTATAAAGGGCAGTTCCACTGCACATGCTCTCTTGCCTGCTGCCAAGTATGATATGCCTTTGCTCCTGCTGTGCCTTCTGCCAATGATTATGCAGCCTCCCCTGCCATGTGGAACTGTGAGTCCATTAAACCTCTTTCTTTATAAATTACTCAGTCAAGTTTTCTTCATAGCAGTATTAAAATTGACTAATACAGATATTGGTACTGGTAAAGTGGGATATTGCTATTAAGATACCCAAAAATGTGGAAGTGACTTTGGAACTGGGTAACAGGCAGAGGTTGGAATGGTTTGGAGGGCTCAGAAGAAGACGGGATGATGTGAGAAAGTTTGGCACTTTCTAGAGACTTATTGAATTGTTTTGACCAAAAAGTCCAGTCTGAGGTGGTCTCAGAGGGAGATGAGGAACTTATTGGGAACTGGAGGAACAGTGATTCTTGCTAAGCTTTAGCAAAGAGATTGGTGGCATTTTGCCCCTGCCCTAGAGATCTCTGGAACTTTGAACTTGAGAGAGATGATTTAGGGTATCTGGCAGAAGAAATTTCTAAGCAGCAAAGCATTCATGATGTGACTTGGGTGCTCTTGAAAGCATTCAGTTTTCTTCTTTCACGAAGATATGTTTGGAATTGGAACTTATGTTTAAGAGCGAAGCAGAGCATAAAAGTTCAGGAAATTTGCAGCCTGACAATGCAATAGAAAAGAAACACCCATTTCTGAGGAGCAATTCAAGCCAGCTGCAGAAATTTGCATAAGTAACAAGGAGCCAAATGTTAATCGCCAAGACAATGGGGAAAATGTCTCCAGGGCATGTCAAAGGTCTCCATGGCAGCCCCTCCCATCACAAGCCAGGAGGCCTAGGATGGAAAAATGGTTACATCAGCGGAGCTCAGGGCCCCCTACTGTGTGCAGTTTTGAGACTTGGCGCCCTGCATCCCAGCTGTGGCTAAAAGGGGCCAACAAACAGCTCAGTCCATTGCTTCAAATGGTGCAAGCCCCAAGCCTCGGCAGCTTACACGTGGTGTTGGGCCCGCAAGTGCTCAGAAGTAAAGAAATGAGATTTGCGAACTTCTCCCTAGATTTCAGCATATGTATGGAAATGCCTGGATGTCCAAGCAAAAGTTTATTGCAGGGGTGGAGCCCTCATGGAGAACCTCTGCTAGGGCAATGCAGAAGGGAAATATGGGGTCAGAGCCCCCACACAGACTTCCCACTGTGGCACCACCTGGTGGAGCCGTGAGAAGAGGGTCACCATCCTCCAGAACCCTGGATGGTAGATCCATTGACAGTTTGCATCACATGCCTAGAAAAGCTGCAGACAATGCCAACTCGTGAAAACAGCCAGGATAGGGGCTGTACCCTGCAAAGCCACAGGGGTGGAGCTGCCCAAGGCCATGGGAGCCAACCTCTTGCATCAGCATAACCTGGATATGAGACATGGAGTCAAATGAGATCATTTTGGAGTTTTAAGATTTGACTGCCCTGATGGATTTTGGGCTTCCATGGGGCCTGCAACCTCTTTGTTTTGGCCAGTTTCTCCCATTTGGAACAGGTGTATTTGCCCAATGCCTGTAGCCCCATTGTATCTAGGAAGCAACTAACTTGCTTTTGATTTTACAGGCTCATAGGCAGAATGGACTTGCCTTGTCATGGATGAGACTTCGAACTGTAGACTTTTGAGTTAATGCTGAAATGAATTAAGACTTTGTGGGGCTGTTGGGAAGGAATGAATGGTTTTGAAACATGAGGACATGAGATTTGGGAAGGGCCAGAGGCAGAATGATATGGCTTGGCTATGTCCCCACCCAAATCTTGCCTTGAATTGTAGCTTCCATAATACCCCCATGTTGTGGGAGGGACCTGGTGGAAGGTAATTGAATCATGGGGGTGGGTTTTTCCCATGCTGTTCTCATGATAGTGAATAAGTCTCATGAGATCTGATGGTTTTATAAATGGGAGTTCCCCTGCTGAAGCTCTTTATTGCTGGCCACCATGTAAGATGTGACTTTGCTTCTCATTTGCCTTCAGCCATGATTGTGAGGCCTCCTCAGTCATGTGAAACTGTAAGTCCATTAAACCTCTTTTTCTTTATAAATTACCCAGTCTCGGGTATGTCTTTGTAGCACTATTAAAATGGACTAATACATATGCTATATGTAAGGAACATCTAAAATAATGTGACTCAGAAAAGTTGAAAATAACAGCTTGGGCAAAAGCATACCAGACCAGTACCAACAAAAAAATCAAGAATCTTAATCTTATTATCAGACACATTAAATTCAAAGCAAATACCATCCAATAAAAAAAGCTACTTTAAAACTGTAGAGAGTATAATTCACAATGAACATCTAACACTATAAATATGGTATCAATATTTACATAGCAAAATCTATCCGAACTACAAAAGTATAAAAAATATAGTAATGTTGAAATTAATCTCTTTCCTGACAAAGAATGATCAAGTGAGTAAGAAATAAGAATAAAATTACCAAGCCATTCTAATTGATATATAAATGGAATTACATGTCTTAAAATAGAGAATGCAACTTCTCTACAAATTTTTATGGGATGTTTTCACTATCAATAGAAAAACAAAGCCTCAATAAATTACAAAAGTAGAAATTAAATAGACAATACTTGCTGTTGACAATGTAATAAAAATCTATAACAAATTAGAAAACCAAAACACCCTGCCATCTGTAAAATTTTAGTTCCCCAAAATAAACTTTGTGTCAAAAATGAAATCAAAACCAAGAATACAGTATTTGCAGAAAACAGTGAAAATAGAATGTCCTCTATTGGAATCTCTGTATACAGCCATAATGGGCTGAGAGGAAAATTCACAGCCTAAACTACTTATACTAGTAAATAAGAAAAAAATGCATAATTATTTTAGAAAATAAACATTCAATTCAAGAAATGTAAGGCCAATAAATGAGATAAACCCTTAAATAACCAAAATAAAGAAAAAATATAAAAGTCAGAATATAGAAACAACCACAGATTATTCACAGACTATATAAATCATAAAAGCCCCTTGGCTTAAAAATATTATAATAAATGCAAAAACCTGAATGATGGGTCATTGTATATATAGCTAATTGCCACAAATGAAACTGCAATAAATTGTCAAAGAATACCCCTCCCGAAATGCACCAGACAAAATCAACTTCACACAAGTGAATTCTATGAATTCTTAAAGAAACAGCTCATTCCAATGCTATTTACAATACATATGGAAAAGGAAGGAATGGTTTTGAACCTTTCTATGAAATCGACATAACCTCTACACCAACCCCCTACAAAGACAGCACATGCACACAAGGAAACCACAAACTTCCCTTACGTTCTCAACATAAAAAATCTTAAACTAAATCTATGCAAACAAAATTGTGCAACACTGTTCAACATTTTAAAATATGTCCATATAATTATTCATATTAGTAAGTACAAGGAGAGAAATATTTTCTCCATTAATGCTGGGACGGAATTTGACAAAATTTATTAAAATGTAAAGTTTATACATTCTTGATTTTTCAGAATTCTTAATAAAATAGAAAAACTTGGAGACATCACTAAGATCATAATACTAACATTTATATAGTGCTTATTATGTTCCTGGCACCCTAAGCAAATGTGTGCCTATTCAAAAATTGTTCTTTCTTTTTTCCTAAAGTAATGCTGAGGTCAAGCAATGGCAGTGGAACTGTACAGGATGTGGGGGCTGGGCCAAAGCCGTGGGACTCCGGATTTATTTTGTGAGTTGGAGAATTGTCTAGTCATCAGACCAACAGAGGAGCAAACCTCTAACAGCATCTCCCTGCTTCTTCCCACCCTCTCAACAGGAGGCATTGGAGAAGGTTTATCTAATGACTGACATCTGACGCATAAGGTGCAGGCACACTTACTCAGGGTGCGAATATTTACTGAGTGTCTCTGTGGGGCCATACACTACTCTAGGCACTGGACATACACCAGTAAAGAGAAGCTGTCCTCATCTGTCTTATTTTCTGGTCTTAAATCTAAAGCCAAGAGGCATTTAGCAGCACAAATCCTCTTCAGCAGTCAACACTCCCAAAGTTTCAGGCACTGAGGAAAATAAAAACAAAACTGTGGCCCTTTCCCAAGAAGCGCACAGTGTCCACAAGAATGTGAAAGCCATCTGGAAACTGATAAACTGCAAAAAGCTCAGCCATCTTCTGTTGGCAAAATAAAAGAATGGATGTCCTTGGAAGAACGATGTCCTTGGAAAGTCATCAAATAAAAATGTGAGAGAAACACAGCCATTAGAAGCTAAACAGCTTGGGACACCCTTGTTTACACAGCACGATCACTGTAATATTTTGAAGTAAATTGTTGTTTTTAAAATCCAATAAAATCTACTTTCCATTCACCTTGAAAATGTGAATTGAAACTCAAGAGCCAAAAACAAAAACAAAAACAAAAAACACATGAGAACACTACATGCTGACCCTGAGTCTCCAAAACATCTATTTTGTGCAAAGCACTTTGCAGTATCCAAGTACTTCACATTCATTGCCTCACGGCATGAGGACCCCCTCAAGGCCTTTAACCATCAAGATATTGCTGCATTCGTGGGGGGATCTCCTTCCCATTTTTCTGGAAAATCACTTTTCAAACAAAGATTTTAAAGGGCAGAACAGAGCCAACCCATGGTTTCCACATAAGTCACTGCCAAAAATGTAGAAGACAGACTTGTGATCATTTTTAAGAGGAAAACTAGCAGATTCTATCTTAGTCACACAAAGTTATCAACTCAGGCCAAAATGACAAAACACTTGAAGGGCTGGCTTCACTATTTCCAAAATCAAAATAGTCATCAACAAGTGGTTAAAATCGGGGGAAGGTTGCACTTATCATGTTTTAGAGGCAAGCCATTTCCAAGTTAAGATTTTAAGAGGCACAAGCAACCAAGAACTCACAATCATGATACGGTTTTCTCTTCCACCTAGGACCTATGTCCTCACCTCCTCCACTCATGTTCACCTTTATTGTAAAAATAGCAACGCTGGAAGTAATGGCACTCTAGGAGCATTGGGACGGATTTCAAAAATCCTTCTTCTGAGCCCAATAGTGTCTTAAGCCAAGTAGACAGCTCGCAGGGTAAACACATAGCAAAATATATTCTAGAGCACTACCATGCAGGCTGGTTTTGCCCTAAGGAATCAAACTACCTGCAAGTTCTGGATCCAGGTTTCGAGGGAGTATGGTGAGCTGTACAGTCTTGTGAACTAGGGGACTCGCACATTTCTGGCTTCCACTACCCCGGCCTCCCTCTTTTTTGTTAGCTCCACTTAAAGGGAAAGCCCTGTGTACACTTCTTATATTTTATCTTTTTTTTTTTTTTTTTTTGAGATGGAGTTTCGCTCTTGTTGCCTAGGCTGGAGTACAATGGCGTGATCTCGGCTCACCGCAACCTCCGACTCCCAGGTTCAAGCGATTCTCCTGCCTCAGCCTCCCGAGTAGCTGAGATTACAGACATCTCCCAAGTAGCTGAGATTACAGGCATGCGCACCACCACACCTGGCTTTTTTTTTTTTTTTTTTTTTTTTTTTGTATTTTTAGTAGAGATGCAGTTTCTCCATGTTGGTCAGGCTGGTCTTGAACTCCCGACCTCAGGTGAGCCACCCGCCTCAGCCTCCCAAAGTGTTGGGATTACAGGCATGAGCCACCATTCCCGGCCATATTTTACTTTTTAATGGATAAAAGCAAATAGTATCAGATCTTAAACAGGGCAGAATACCCTAGGTCCATTTCTCCTCCCCTCCTTTCTCTGTTCCTTCATTTCTTTACTGGCCCTTGGCTCTTCATTCTGTTTGAAGCCCTTGTATGTGACCCCTCTGCTCTGTCTCTAGTTCTGACTCCTAAAATAGCCTCGTATAGAGTCAGAGACCTCCACGGATATGCTGGAGTCAGGGAGGCAGAGTCGTGTGGGAAAGGACAGTTGACAGGGAGACAAGTCTTGACCTGGCCTCATTTCCTATTTGCCAGTCATTTTTGGTCCCTCTAACAATGCTAGATCTGGCCCGTTGGGCCAAGGCAATTCAGCTGCCCTGGCCCACTCTGGCTGGCCTGTTCCTCCTCATTGTGTCCCAGGTGCTGGTTCACCAGGCCACTGGATGTCGATATTTTCCCCATCCAACAGGAACTCCTTTCGACCTATTTATTTCAAGTTCCATTAGTGTAACAGCTAATCTGATACACTGTTCAGCCGGAATGTGCCCTTGGAGGAGACCTGTCCTAAGCAAGGGCTAGGCCCTGGCCTGCATTCCAACTAACAAAGGCATTTTTTCCTCAACTCTGATTCTGTCTTTCTGCCTAAACCAGAGAGACTAGTTGAAAAATTATGCAAGGTCAAAGAGCAAAAGGCAGATATTTGAGAAATTTTTGTCTGGGTCCTGGGGAGTGTGGCATGGAGCAGAGGTACAGCCAGAATCCTGGCCTGGGTTTGGGTTACACCCCCAGAGAGAGACTCTGCTTGGACAGCCCTGTAGCAAAACCTCTTCCAAATACTGGCAGGACTTCAGAGTAGTTTAAGTGGATTATGCTTAAGAGTCTAAGGCCTGTAGTCAGTAGATCCCACAGGTCCAGCAGTCCCTAGCCGTGATGATGCTCACTCCATCTGTATTAAAATCAACTGAATTTCATTGAAGCCAGCTGAATTTCTTTGTGGTTTATCTCTGATCAAGTAATCCAGAATAAACTGCTTACCCTCCCTAAGCCTTAATGGACCCATCTTTGAAATAGGACTAATAATAAAACTAACAGCACAGATTTTTGAAATAAGGAGTTATTGAGCTAACACATATGAAAGCACTTTATACACAGAAACACAGTAAGCAAATCTTTATGATTATTTCTCAGAGAAACTCAGAATGAATGCTGTGCAGCATTAGAAAACATAAAAGTCAAGAATATGTCCTTGAATAGCCTCTAAATATTAAGATAACTGTTAGTGCCCTTGAAAATGGATTTTAACAAATTGTTCCTTGATACCCAGACCATGCACACTCTCCCGGTGTGTTATTCGTCGCGATGTTCAGCCATCAGCAGGTCCTCCCTGCCCTCCTCTCTTTCTAACAGCATCACTATGCAGAACTTCTATTCTCCCTTTTCTTTAATCTCCAGGACTAACCATTCAACATGTGCTCACTGATGTCTCCTATCCCATCACCCTCCCTCTTCATCAGCTGGTTTGATGGATTTGGGGGTTTTAACTTTTCGTTAAGGCGTGCATTCTGATTCTTAATCAAGGAATGAAATCTGTGTATAAAACACACAGAGGAATGTACAGATATGAGTCACATGGCTCCGCACCCAGTGAAATTATACCAAAATGTATTAGCCAAGTGAGGAAGTCATAGTACCAAAGTAAGTATATCACTTCACAGTGCAAACACTGTGATTAAAAAATAATTTTCAGTTCATTATCTGAATTTTTAGGCCGTTAAGCAAACACTTAAATTAAGTAGGAACGTGGGGATAGCTAACTTGATTTTTCAGTCTTAATCTGGGATTTAAATGCCATGTGCATGCCACAGAACACCAGCAAAATGAAAAGTGACAGATGATAGAAATGAGAAAAAGAGGTTGTAGGTGGAGTTTGTGGGAAAATCATTAGACAAAATCTTCTCATTAGGATTAGGATAATGGATAGAATTGGGATTCACTTAGACATTACGGGTTAGTAGAACAGAGCTGAATACATTCATTTTTAAAGTCAAAGATCCTCCACCCTTTCTGTGTGGGCTGCACTTACTGTGTAATTTCAAAAAGCAGATTATGGAAAGAGGTGGGAGGGAAGGAATAATTTTACAGTGGAGAAATCTGCCAAACACTACCTTGGCCAAGATGCTATGGTTTGAATGTGTCCCCCAAAATTCATGTGTTAGAAACTGAATTCCCAACACAGCAGGGTTGGTAGGTGGGGCCAGGTGAAAGGCAGAGTGCTCATGAACTGGTTAATACTGCTACAGAATGGGCATTCAGGAGGGGAGTTGCTCTCTCATTTGCTCTTCCACCATGTGGGGACCTTTCTCCCCTCTGGAGGACACAGCAACCAAGTCACCATTTTAGAATCAGAGAAACTGGGCTCTAACCTGACGGTGCCTTGATATTGGACTTCCCAGCCTCTAGAACTGTGAGAAATACATTTCTATTGTTTAAGCCTCCAGTTTATGGTATTTTATTATAGCAATCCAAGCAGACTAATAACAGTTCTTTATGGAAGAAAAAGTCCTTTTAGAATTAGGGACAAAATATATGTATGCTATATAATAGGACACATGTGTTGAAAAGACCAGTCTCAATAATGATAGAAGTGGATTCTGGAAAAATATAAATAAACAATGTCCCTTTTTTCTCATTCCAGTACAAGATTTTATGAAAAAAAAATACAAAAAGATGTGCTACTTTTCACAGAATCACCATCTCCATATTTCAACATAGGTATGACACACGGCCCTCAAATGGGTGTCCTGGTAGTAAACTTTCTTATGTTTCTAGGTAAGATTTATCTACTTTTGTCCAAAGTGAAGAATTAGATACAACTTCACCTTTTTTATGAACTGAACCTCTGAGAGGGTTTTATGTGAAAGCATTTCAAATCCCTTATGGCCAATGTAAACACCGCCCCCAACACTCACAAATTCCATAAATGGAGTGTACCATTCAGTGTCACTGATTTAGGGAACACCTTAAACCAAAGCTCATAATAATTTTCAAGAACAGAAGAAAATGTCTTGATTTTGTAAATAATCTAAATAACTGAGACATCATGTCAACCTCTTCAGTCACGAGTGGGTGATAATCTTGTGAATCTCCCTGTCCAAATGTCAGGAACCTTTTTGCTTCTATTCTATTAAAATAAAGGAGCAGGCAGTGTCCCTATGACCTCTCGCAGTGGGCTTCTTTATATTACACCAAATCATTCAAATACATGGAAGTCGACACCTGTTACTCATCAGTTAGCTCCCACTAAAACCAAAAATTAGCAAAACAAGGTGCAGTTAAGCAAAGCCTTTCTCCTTTGCTGAAAGCATTCTATTTCTTCCCTTTCCACGGATGGTTTTGAAAAGAGTATTCATGTTGAGGATGATCTCAACTCAAAAGTGTAGAGTTCTCTCTGATTCATCACCACTTGGAGAACAGTAGAAAGACCCTGGGACTCAGGGACCAGGACTCTACGGCTCATTTACTCCTCCAATTCTATGACCTTGGGAGTTTGGAGTATATGATGTCTAAGGTACTTGCAGCTCCAAGGACTGAAGACCTGAAAATAATTCAAAGTTTTGATTTGAAAGGCTGTGAGAAGCCAGATAATCTGTTTGGAGTAGGTTGTTTCCAAATTTTTAAGTCGGTGGCACAGTAGTTAAACTGGGAGGACAATCAACAATCTCAATTTAGCTTTCAACAATAACACACTTTGAAGGCAGGCCAGCTAGTGCAGAAGCAGATATACAGGATGTAGCAGCCACATGTCTTAAGAAAGAACAACTCTTTTCTTCTATTATGGTACTTTGTGGGAGATGAGATAGCAAGAGGCATAACCAGAGGTCTTAGATTAGCTATCCTGTGCTAAAAATCTTAAAGAGACTGAGATAGAGACTCAGAGAGAGATAGAGAAACATGCTCAACTAACTGCATTTCAGTTTACCAGGATGAAAATACTGGAAGTATTTTCTCAGATAAATTTATCAAAAGAAAGGAATATTTCAAAAGACTATCTTTTATTTGATATTGCAGTAGATGCCATCTTTGAGGTGACTGCATTTAGAGGCAGGCACAGCCACAATAGAACAGGTTTTGACTGGTGAATCTGTAGAGAGTTCCAAGAACACCTTGAGAATCAGTGCTTAGTCTCTATGCTCAAACTATACAGCCCTTTATTTAAAAATCACTGCTAAAGCCAGCTGACATTTACTCAGTGCTTTTTCCATGTGTCACTCTGCTAAATGCATTATGGGCTTCATTTCATTTAATCTCCCAAAACCCCGTGACGCAGTTACTACTATTATTATCTCCATTTAATAGCTGAAAAAAACTGGGACACTGAGAGGTTAAAATACTGGCCCAAGGTTACCAAGCAAGTAAATGCAAAGAGACTTGAAACCTGATCTGTGGGCTTATTAAATCATGCCCTCAACTATGAAATCACTTGTAAGATAATAGTAGGTCCTAGTTCTAGACACGGCCTGGGCACTATCTCTGGGAGCTTGGCTACCTCATCTCCTCTATGAGTAAAGAGGCTTGGTCTAGATGATCTTGAATGTGCGATAGAAATATCAAATTGGGATTTCTCAGATATGTTGAATGACCATGAATCTGTCCTCAGTTATTCCACGAGTCATTCCTGGACAGTGGGATCTACCGGACCTGTTTATGCAACCAAATACTGTATAGCATACGTAGCAATACTAATACACTGCACACTGGTTTGCAGTTATTTGGGTCCATTGCCTAAGTACTACTAGAAATTCTTCAAGACAGAAAACATAATTCATCACTGTACTCCTCCACACTGGCTAGCCACTGCCTTACCTATTCTATGCATTCAATGAGTACACTTCCAATGAGATGAATGAAGGAGAGACTGCTTGTTCATGGTTCATACAATTGTATATTCCAGAGAATATCTATGTCACCAAGTAGGCTACATGACACCAACACATCATGGGGGAATTTCCATAATTCATGTTTTTCTTCATCTTCTGCCTCATTTTTATATTATGCACTTTGGGAAATTTTTAAAAAATTTAAGGAGAGTGCAATCTATAACTTTCAACAGCATATCCATTTAATAAATGATCGGAGGAGGAATTAAGTATACAAACTGCTAGGAAACAGAGGGCATGAATTTACTTTATGTTAAAAGAAAACCAGCTGGTAGGATTAAATTTATGAAAAAAAGTACCTATAATGTGTAAAACCATATAGACATCATAAACGGAACATATTTCATAATCCTACTTTTAGATACCCCTTAGAAATTAACCAAATTCAGTGGCTACATGGGATTTTCCTCGTCTCTTTCCTTCTTTCCTCACTGGCCTAGAGACCCACTAACATCTGGCAATCTTTCCCTGGTACCAATTTCCAAACCTAATCAGTATTGATCCTTGTACAAAAGCAAGTGCAGAATGGCAGGTTTGGTGATGAAGACAGAGGAAGAGGGAATAAGCATCTGACCCTTTCATTGCCTGTCCCCACCCGACCTATGGATCCTTCTCCAGCCAACTGTTAGCCACCTGTTAGCAGTTTGCAGGCAAGCCAGCTAGTGCAAAAGCAGACATACAGGCTGTAGCAGCCACACTTCTTAAGCAAGAACAACTCTTGCCCTCCATTATAATGCTTTGTAGGAGACTAGCTAGCAAGAGGCATAACCAGAAATTCTAGCTTAGCTATTTTGTGCTAAAAATCTTAAAGAGACTGAGATAGAGACTAACAGAAAGAGAAAGACAGAGAGAGAGGGACAGACAGGCATGCTCAGCCAACTGCATTTAAGTTTACCAGGATGGAAATACTGAAAGTATCTCAATAGTTCTCAGATAAATTTCTCAAAAGAAAGGAACATTTTGAAAAACTATCTTTCATTTGATATTATAGTAGATGGCTTCTCTGAGGTGACTGGATTTAGAGGTGGACACAGCCACAATAGAACAGGTTTTGACTGGTCAATCTGTAGAGAGTTCCAAGAACACCTTGACAGTCAGTACTTAGTCTTTCTTTATGCTCAAACTATACAGCCCTTTATTTAAAAATCACTGCTAAATCCCTTCTCATTTCCTTGCCCAGTGTCCTCCTTACCCAGTGTGGCACTACTCCCCACTGTAGCCCTAACTTCAACTTCCAAGGCCTTCCTTTGAAATGTGAGGTCTTCTCAGAAAATCACCACTGCATCTTGTTTTAAAGATCTACGGCCTGAATTAAATGAAGAGGAAGGGGAATGGAAAGTTGAGATGAGAAGGGAATCCTTTTACATTATGGATGTTTCCTGGCTGGTATGGTTAGAATGAAAAATCGTAAGAATTCAATACCTAGTGTTGGCGCGAATGCAGAGCTACTAAAGCTCACTTACATTGCTGGTTGGAATATGAACTGGTAGAAGCATTTGGGAAACTCTTTGGTAATATCTACTAAAGCCATACACACATATACCCTAAGACCCATTGTCATTGACTGCTTGATGGCCCAAATTCTTCACTTCACCCTGTGTTCATGCCCTTGGCCATAAAACCCTGCAGTTTCTCCCACCTCCATTGAAGAAATGCATTTCCCTGCCTCTTGACTTTGGACCCAGCCATGGAATTTGCTTTGACCAGTGAAATGTCAGCAGATGTGTACTTGCTTGCTTTGTTATGTTCTCTTGTGCTTCGACCATCTCCTTATGAACAACATGCCCTGAGAAGTCCACTGGTCCCAGGAGAAAGACAGCTGCATAGCTGACCAGTGGACCTGCACCCGTGGTACATCCATACAATGGAATACTACACAGCAATAAAAAAGAGCAAACTACTGCTGCACTCAACCATGCAGATGAATCTCCCAAACATAATGTTAATCCAAGGAAGCCCAAGACAAGACAATAAACACCATGAGATTCCATTTATACAAAGTCCATAAACAGATAAAACGAATCCATTTTGATAGGAGTTACCTTTGTGGGGCTGTCTACTCGGAGGGAATACATGGAAGCCTGTTGGGAACTGAAACTTCCTCTGTCTTGATCTGGGTGGTGGTGACACAGGTGTACATGTATAAAAGATTTATCAAGTTATACAGTTTAGATTTATGCACTTTATTCTCTGTGGGTCATTCCTTAATGAAAAAGTACATCACTACAAATAGATTATATAATTCTTAGAATTTATAAGGGACAGCAGGGAGTTATGAGAGCTAATTCCTGCTGCAGTCTGTGCTGCTCAAAACTAGTAAGTAGTGTGAGAGTCTTGTCTTTCCAGGCCCTGGTAGCCAGTCACAAAGCTGGAAAGAGCAGAATTGAGGATAAATGTGCTCCTGCCTACCTAAATCCAAAAATCAATCCACCTTAGAAACATAGTATGTGGTTCTACAGAACAGGCAGGGTAAATGGCCTCCATGGGCAAGCCTGAGAGCCCTGCATTGTCTCTGTGAGTGGGAAAAGTATTGGGATCTACAAACAGGTTTAACTCATTACCTGTTAGTGAGTTGGAGGTGGCCTTTTGTAACAGTGTAATGGTCAGGTCTGCGGTACATTCATGGTTTTTATCCGGTATTAGTTACTCTCCTATAGCTAGCTCATCCTCTGAATTTCCTCTCATGCTCACCTCTCTCCATACAATCCCATGCCCTCCACCTCTATTCCCTATACCGAAGGCTTAGGTAAGTTCCTATTTTCAGGACTCCCACAGTGCCCTGGGCACATCTTTCATGGTGCATTTTCCACACTGGATTATAATTTATGAGCTTTTATTCTATAAGCTTCTTGAGTCCATAACTTATATTAATTCTGAGGACCAGCTTCAAGAGAACATTGTGGAAAAAAACGTGGTTCCCCATACCTAAAATGCTGTTCCTGCCTCTACACCCATTCAGATCCTAACTATGATAAATGAATCAACTCAAGTGCTTCCCACTGCATGAGCCCCTTCTTTGATCTTCCCAGTTAAATTTTAATTGCAAATGTCAGTATTCTAGTAAATGTCTTTTTCTAGCTATTGCTCTATATTCACAGAAATGCTTAGATATATAGAGACAGATAAACAGCTATCTATTCAACTACTAAGAGAGGTTAGAGCATATATGTGTTCCATAACCTGATTTTTGTCCCTGAACAATAGGATGTGAAAAATCTTTCCAAGTCAATAAGTTTGATTGGCTTCATAGTAACCCATTGTATTTGGCTGCCATAATTTACATAGTCATTCACCAGCGTTTATGGATGAGCATTTAGGTCTTTTCCAATATTTCTCTATCACAAACAAGACTAAAATCAATATCCTCATGCATATGTTATTTCAAACTTGCACAATTACATCCTTAGCATGAGCCCCCTAAGGTGTCATTGTCAAGTCAAAAAGTTGCACATTTTATACTCACACAAACATTCCTAGACCATCTCCAAAAACACAGTATCAGCTCATAGGCCCCAAATCCTTTTCCCAGAAACCATTCCCTTGCCACATCCCACACTTTCAGGCTGATCTTTTTTTTTTTTTTTTTTTGTCTCCTAGCAGAACAAAAACCTGACAGCTTATAGTTGTGTATCTTGGCATCAGGAGCATGTCTGTGTGTGTGTGTGCATGCGTGAGTTGAATGTGTGTGTGTGTGTGTGTGTGTGTGTGTGTGTGTGTGTGTGTCTGGAACTATTGAAAGCTGATGTCAATCAGAATTCTTCCTTCCCTATTTCCAGTTATTGCTGCAAGTAAACATTTCATATCTCACTCTTAACTTCGTCAAAAAATCTTTGACAAGAAATCCAAGCTCCCATTAAGCAAAGGAATGCAAATAAAATAATGAGTTTTTTAGTTTTGTTTTTGTTGTTGTTGTTTTGTCATTTGGGGATGAAGACAAAAGGTAATATTCTTTGTCAACGCAAGTGTGTGGAAAAAGAACTTATACCCATTTTTTTGGTCTCTTTCCTAATTTGGTTAGCTAGCACTTTCAGAACAATTTCAAATCACAGTGAGGATAGCAGAAACTCATGTTTTGATCCTAATATTAATAGCTATATTTCCAGTATCTCACTCATTAAGAACGAAAAGGTTTTTTCAGCTGAGCTTTATATTTTATTTCTATTTTACTCTCAGTTATGAACAAATGACTTCTCCCAAATGCATTTTTTTGTATCTCTCAAGACGAATATGTAACTGGTATAACTCCTGATGGGTATGATATAAACCAGACAGTTTCTACCTGCTCATCCATCTGTCTATTAAAGAACTGTTCCCATTTCTAAAGCTGAGATTTGTTCCAAGTTTCTGGGACAAGCAAGGCTCAAAAATATAGTTACAACACATGTTCTAAGTATATCCATAATATGAAAGTAATAACTGTTATCAATATCCATGTTACAAACCATATCAAATCCTGTTAATTAATTCATCTTAAAGAAACTAAGCCAAATTTTGTCAGGATCCAGTCTGATGCAAAGAAAGCCTGACTAAGACAAGAAGGATAGGTGTAAGAGCACAGGATAAGATTATCTACAAACGGTTTTCACAGCAAAATCAGACATCCATTTCTTACCCTGATTTAGAGACACAAATGGAGCCCAAGACGTTTCATCACTCCCTCCCCAAAGTTTATGAAATAAAGTGCCCTCTGATGAATCCAATTGCAGGAATTGGCATTGTTTCTAAATTCTGCTTCCTCTATTTGGCTAAGAATAAATCTCTTAAAATATTAAGATATGCCAGTAAGTGGCATCATGTGTTATCTCACCACCTGCAGCTAGTTATGCTGTCTTTGGACTAAATGTCTCTCTCTACTTATTACTATGATTAAGCACCAATAATGTCATCTGGACTACATAGAGTATAAATTATGTTAATGTAATATGATAACTTAAATGGTATAAAGTAAATATTATGGCACCAAACACACACATTTTAAGAGCAATAAATCATTCACTTCAACTTCCCTTATTGATGCATTGTCCAATGTTCCATGTATAGCAAGGCACTGCAGAGGATGGAAACAGATGTCAGGCACTGATCCTACCCTCTGCTTCACAATGTGGCAGAGAGATAAAAAGTTGTCCATAATGGCAGAAGCACAGAAAAGGTAAGGGTCATGGACATTCCAAGAGGGAGAAGATTACAGACAGGTAATGTGACGTGATCAGAAATGGCTTGGAGGACAAGTGGCTTGGATTAGACATGAAAAGCAAGAGATTTATCCATGTAGAAAATAGAGAAAAGGCTTTCCTAGATGAGAAAAAAGTGCTTCCAGCACAGGAATTAAACTGGAAGTCCGGTTTGTGCTGTGAAAACAAGGACAACTGGTTTGGCAGGATCACAGGTTACAGGAAGCACAGGAAGTGGGCTTATATCTAGTAACTTCAAATGTGGCTAACTCAATGAAGCCTCTGACTACCATGCTAGGAAGCATGACTGTCACTGTAGGCAACTGGGAGCTGCCAAAGAAGCTCTTAAGAAAGAAACAGCATGTTCAGTGTTGTGTTTTAGAATGTAGAAAAGGTGGAATTCTAATTATTTTAACAAAGATCACATGCAGTTAAGCGCAGTATTCTTTACATGGCAAGATATTTGTATTCAATAAACTATTTATTGATGGATGTACATATTGATAGAATTGGTTACAGCAGAGAATGCTAATTGTGGCTTAACATCTATTTATCCTTTCCTTAGTAAAAACAAACAACAAAATCCTAAAAGTAAACAGTTCACAGGCTAACTAGAATAAATATGACATTTTCTAGCTTGCCTTACAGTTTGATGTGATCATATGACTAGGTTGTGGTCCATGCTATGTAATCTGAAGTGCTGTCTGCAACTTCTGAGAAATAACCTGTAGACTTTTCTAGACATCTCTAAAGTGATGTGCCTTCCCCTCTTTTTCCTCACTCCATGGGGAATGTGGATGTGATGTCTGGAGCTAAAGCAGCCATCTTGGGCAGACAGATAAACTTAGGAATGGAGGCCACATGTATCAGGACAACGAGATAGGAGAGCCTGGACTTGATAACACAGAGCACTTCACAGCCGTGGCGCACCTTACCTGATACTGTTATGAAAGAAAGAAATTCTGACCTTTTCTGAGCTTCAGATATTTTGGATTTCCACCAATAGCATCTAAACCAAATCCCATCTGGTATTTTTGGGAGAGTGATGCCAGGGGTTTTCTGTAGCTACACGTCTAGCAAATCTGTTAGGTTCACCTTGGGAACTCACAGAATTCTGTAAGGAGTAATGTGAGCCATACTGGACAATCCAATTAAACTCAAAAAACTGCATCCAACCACTGAAGAGAACAAATTCTTTCCAAGCACACAGGCCACATTTACATAAATTATCCAGTTATTTGGCCAATATTCAAGTCTCAGTAATACTGAAAGACTGAATTCATGCCAAGTATATTTTCTATTTTCTAATCACAAGGCAATTAAGCTAGAAATTAGTAATACAAAGGTAATCCTCAGATGTTCAAAAAGTAACTGTGTGATGATCTGTTCATGTCTATCTCCCAATTACATTGTAAGTTATGTAACAGCAACTGACAGACCAAGCTGCCACCTCCCAAAAAGGGAGGGGGGGGAGGAAACTTTGTAATGATGTGAATATACATTTAAAAATTAATGTCTGATTTCAATCAAAACCAGGCAAATAATATAAACATATAATTCACACATACACAGATCTGCAAATGGTCAGCAAACAGAAAACAATGTTCAACCTCACTAGTAATCAGGGAAACACAAGTTTAAAATAACAACATATCATTTTTATGCCACATTCATAATTTATTAATAAAAATTCATAATTTCTGTATTCCTGAGGATGGGGAATGGGCACTACCCTGCAATGCTGATGGAGGCTCATACCAGCACACTGTTGATGGTGGACAATTTGGAAGTATCTATCAAAAGTTTAATGGCTCATATTCAAAACCCAACATTCCTACCACATCTGACCCAACCCCTACAGTGATACGCCTGATGTGTCTGTAGGGTTTGACACATCATTTTTATTACAGAGGAAAATGAGAAACTATCTAATGTTCCTAACTAGGAAAACTGTTAGATAACTGTTAAATTCATTCTAAAGAATATAATGCATTGGTTAAAAAAAGTAGAGAGCCATACACACTAACTACTAGACTATTAAGTGAAAGACACTATAGAACAATGCAGGTAGAAGTTTCTCATTTGGTGGAAAAGAAATGCTATAAACACAGAAACATATGTATATACATGTAAATGTATTTTTCAAACCTCTTAGAAGGTCACAGACTGTTTTGTTTTTCATGGCGATTACCACCAGGAGGCAAAATGGATTGGGGTGGGGCCTGAGGGGTAAGTAAAAGAAGGGATTTTCCATTTTTACCCTATTGGTATCTGTATTACCTGGATTATTTAAATTTTAAAATATATATTAACAATATTGTATTTTCCTAAGTTATTTATGTAGTTAAAACAGTTGAGTAAATTATTATATTTACCCCCAACTCCCACAGTGTTACACAGTGGTGCGTGAAATAGGATTCAGGCTCCCTAACTGATTGGACAGAGTTCTTTCCATTTTCCTAAACTGATTTAAACTTTTCTGAATTTCAGAGGTCTGACTGATCTTGTAAATCTTGGTACAACCGAAGCACCTAAAAGTAAAATACAATTTTCCTAAACTGCTTGTTCTTGCCCGATTTTTGGGAATCAAGTCAGGCATTCCTACTAAGCACTTTGCAAGGAGCCTGATGTGTAAGAGCTCAATAAATGGCAGCTATTATTGTCAGTAAGTATTTCTAGAAGTAGCCACTGTATTGTAACACAAACGATAATAAATGTGCTTCTTTTCTGAGCTCACCAAAAGTTCAGCCGTAGTCAGCCTGTGAAACTGCACTTTCAGGGAGAAAACTCCCGAGCATACTCGTAACTTCCTACTCCAGACGGCTCTCAAACATACCTAATAAATGTTTCAGTCCTGGAAATAACATGTTGAGATTAGCTTAAAGTAAATGCTTGTCTAATCTACATCATCTTCCACTGCAGTTTGCTATGCTATCAAGTTAGTTTTAATCCATGAATATCTATAAGTCTGTAAAGAAATAAATTCTTTGTACTGAGTTCTGAATGTATTTATTGTAAACTTAATAACTCTATAATTTAATCTCTGCGAGATCACTTTGTTGACCCTGCTTGGTTTTGATCAGACATCTGAGAGAAATTCCACTGTTAGACTCTGATGTGATACAAGAAATGAGCTCTCTTACTTCTAAAGTACTGGCCAAATTCTGACTCACAATTGATAAGAAATTCTGTACTACTTTTCATATCACAGAACTGTCATCCATACATAGTTAGCACCTTATTTTAAGTTAGGACTTTGTCTTCAAAATACAAACTATAACTGCCTTTAATAGTGCCAATATTCATGTAGTTCTTTATAACTATCCTAATCCTTTGTCAGTGAGGAACTACTAGGAAATGATTCAATGAATATATTTTAGTACAAGCATGCAATTCAGGTATGTTAATGTGAGCATGTCTTTCCTCACTCTCAATGACACTTTATGCTGTTTCATTGGATATTGTCCCAGTTTTGTACCAATCCTTTGCTGCAATATTTAATAATAATATGGTCATTAATTGCTTAATGATGAGGATATCTTCTGAAAAATGTGTCATTAAGTGATTTCGTCCTTGTACAAACATCAGAGTGTACTTACACAAACTTAAATGGTATAGCCTACTACACACCTAGGTTATATGGTATAGCCTATTGTTCCTAAACTACAAGCCTATACAATATATTACTGTACTGAATACTGTAGGCAATGGAAACAAAATTGTATGTGTGTATCTAAAATAGAAAAGCTACAGTAAAAATACAGTATTATGCTCTTATGGAACCACCATAGTCTATGTTGTCCATCGTTGATGGAAACCTTGCTAGGTAGTGCATACTGTAATTATTTTATTGTCATACAAATTAATATGCTCTACATTTTGCTAAATGTTTAACTGCTAAAAACATGTTATTGACCATGCAAAACGCAGTGAACTATTTGAAAAGAAATCAATAAAACAATCCTATTTACAATAGCTACAAAAAAACTTAGAAATAAACTTGACCAGGGAGGTAATGTGCACTGAAAACTACAGACATTGATAAAAGACATTGAAGAAGACATGAGTAAATGAAATCCCGTGTTTGTGGATTAGAAAAATTAATATTGTTAAAATGTCCATACTGGACAAAGTAATCTACAAATTCAATGCAAACCCTATCAAAAGTCCAATGTCATTCTTCACTTAAATAGAAAAAAAATCCTAAAATTTGTATGGAACCATCAAAGACCCTGAATAGCTAAAGCAATCCTGAGAAAAAAGAACAAAGCTAGAGGCATCACACTACTTTATGTCAAAATATAATACAAAGCTACAGAAATCAAAACAGCATGGTGCTAGCATAAAAACAGACATGTGGATGAATGGGACACAACAGAGAGCCCAGAAATGATACGTCCATGATTAACTGGTTTTTGACAAAGGTTCAAGAACACACAATAGGGAAAGGACGGTCTCTTCAATAAATGGTTTTGGGGAAAGTGAATATCTCCATGCAAAAAATGATGTCAGACTCTTAGCTCACACTGCATACAAAAATCAACTCAAAATGATTTACAAATTAAACATAAGAACTCAATCTGTAAACCTGCTAGAAGAAAACACAGAGGAAAACCTCCAAGAGATTGATCTTGGCAATGATTTTTTTGGAGATGATACCAAAAACACAAGCAACAAAGTAAAAATAGACAGGAATTACATCAAACTAAAAAGCCTTTGCACAGCAAAGTAAACAACCAACAGAGTGAAGAGACAACCTATGGAATGAGAGAAAATATTTCCAAACCATCTATCTGATAAGGAGTTAATATCCAAAACATATAAGGCATTCAAACAACTCAATACTAAGAAAACAAATAATCCAATTAAAAAGTGGGCACAGGGCTTAAAGAGACATTTCTCAAAGGAAGACATATGAAACAGGCATATAAAAAATGCCCAGCATTACTAATCATTAGGAAATTGCAAATTAAAACCAGAACGACACATCGCCTCACACCTGTTAGAATGGCTATTGTCAAAGAGACGAAAGATAAGTGTTGGCAAGGATGTGGAAAAAAGGGAGCACTCACACACTGTTAGTGGGAGTGTAAATTAGTACAGACATTATGGAAAGCAGTATGATGGTTACCCCAAAAATTAAAAATAGAACTGCTGTATGATCCATAGATATCTGCACTCCCATAGTCATTGCAGCATTATTCACAACAGCCAAATATAGAATCAACCTGTGTTCATCAACAGATGAATGAATAAAGAAAATGTGGCATCTATGCATAATGGAATACTATTCATTTGCAACAACATGTATGAACCTGAGGGACACTATGTTAAGTGAAATAAGCCAGGCACAAAAAAGACAAATGCCACATGATCTCACCTGTATATGGAATCTATAAGTCAAACACATGAAGCAGAGGGTAGAATGGTGGTTACCAAGGGCCAAAGGTGACAAGATGTTTGTCACAGAATATAAAATAAGGGTTAGACAGAAGAAATAAGCTCAGGAGATCTATTGTGCAACATGTTGACTATAGTTAATAACAATGTATTGCATTCTTTTTTTAAATTGTATTTTAAGTTTCAGGGTACATGTGCAGGATGTGCAGGTTTGTTACATAGGTAAAAGTGTGCCATGGTGGTTTGCTGCACTTATCAACCCATCACCTAGATATTAAGCCCAGCATGCATTCGTTATTTTTCCTGATGCTCTTCTTCCCGCACCCCTCGACAGGCCCCAGTGTTTGTTGCCCCCTCCCTGTGTCCATCCATGTGTTCTCAACAATGTATTGCATTCTTGAAAATTGCTGAGAGTAGATTTTAAGTTGTTCTCACCCCCAACAAATGATAAGTATGCAAGATAATGGATATGCCAACTAGCTCAATTTAGCCATTCCACAGTGTATGCATATTCCAAAATATCATGTTGCACATAGCAAATAAATACAACTTCTATTCATCATTTTAAAGTAACTATTTAAAAAAAACCATATTGACAAACTTCTCATACTCAGTAACATTAAAATTTGATGATCTATCTTGAAAAATTATATAAATGAATAAAATAAGTTTAATAAGTTTTATGGACACACCATCATACAACAGAAGCTTCCTGCTCCTAAAGTCAGTTTCAGAAGCCCCAGCTCCACCTGAAAGACACTTGAAACCCACAGTTAAATTGATTTTCCCTGATAGAGCATAGCATTCCTTCTACCTTTTGCCACACTTTCAAATAGTTCTTGGTGTATGAGTTAGATAATAAGGCAGAGACAGTACAACAAACCAAGTTCTTTATAGCTACTTGCACACCATTCATTTTCAGTAACTAATAGGTCATATTCTCTGTGCATCAAACCAAGAGCAATTTTGGCCTCACTGATCTGAAACGATATGCATGTGCTTCCAGACAAATAATGTTTGACTAATACCCATTATTAATGTTCTTGAATTGCTTTATACCTCTGAAATGAAATTGTATTTCCCATTTAGAAAAAGAAAATTATTTCTATCTCTTCTTTTATTTCTTTTTTATTTTCAGTTATTTCCAGGGTACAGAGCCATTTTCAGGGATTCACAGCCTGCCAGAGAGGCTCATTCTCCATACATCCTCCCATCAATGATTGATCCTCAGGAGATGGTCGGTGCCTCAATAGTTACTGCTTAATTAATGTTCCTCTGGTTGTTAACTAAGAACTTAAGCTGCTTGGAAAAAAATTTCTCCCTCCAGCAAGATGGCTTGCCATTAGTAAAATAATCCTTGGTAATTAAAAATCTCATTTTCAAATATAGTTCATAAGTTTTACATCATGAAATGGTTTCTCATCTAATTCTCTTTAAAAATGTTGCCCTAAGCAAAATAAAATACCATCTTCGAAAATCTGAAGCCAAACAAAAGAAGCCAAAACACAACCACTGTTTCTTTTACAAATAACAAAACTTCCCCTATAACTGGCCAGTGGCTGCTTTCAGATACATTAATCCAAATAAGTGATATTCTCTAAAGAATTTTTTCTTAGTTGAGAAAAATATCTAAAATATTTGATCATCAATATATTACAAATATTTTGCCAGAGATGTTATAATTATCTTTTATATTTTATATCTTTTATAATTTTATATTTTAATATATTTATATTAAATATTTAATATTTATATTTATATATTTAATATTTAATATAAACATTTAATAATTTAATATATTAATTATATATTAAATATTTAATATATAAATATTAAATATAATAATATAATATATATTTATATAATTTTATAATTTTATATTTATAATAAAAATATAAAATATCTTTTATATTTTAGAGATGTTTGCCACTAGATGTTATAATTATCTTTTACTTAAACTTGTTGCACCCAGCTATACATTGGACAATCAACATTTGAATGTACTATGATAACTTTAAATGGATTTAATATTATGCCTGAGATCACATGCTTTATATTCTTAAGATAATTTAGAAGTAGTTGTTTCAAAGTATCTGAACAGAGTAAAGATTTAAATGCCCAGATTACAAAGTGGAATAAAGAAAATGGAAAATGATTGATTAAATCAAAATCTCATCAAATAGAGAGACACCTTGGTTTTAAACAAATTAGGTGAGCAATAACAAATGGCAAAGCTTTTTAAGTAAATGGAACCTGGGTCGAATTTATTTTCCAAAAAGGTGAAAAAAAAATACATAGAAATGTCTCTAACCTAATGGAGCTCTGTGCACTCTGGGTCAAATTCCAAGAACACAACCGTAGTTCGTGTGAAACACTAGAGGGCAGAGTTGCACAGTAAAGCTCTTCTGACGTCTAACTGAGGACATGGATACCAACACTTAGGATGCTTGCTCCTGTAAACCCTCAGAACACCCTGGTTTATTTGGAAAGGTTTTAAACTTTTTTTAAATTATACTTTAAGCTTTAGGGTACATGTACACAACGTGCAGGTTTGTTACATATGTATACATGTGCCATGTTGGTGTGCTGCACCCATTAACGCTTCATTTACATTGGGTGTATCTCCTAATGCTATCCCTCCCCCCTCCCCCCACCCCAGAAAGGTTTTAAACTTTTAACAGATGATCTAAATTAGTCCACTATGAAAGCAATCAGCCAAATTCAGGAAACCCAGACAAGGCCTCCATGGAGAGTACTTACCCTAAAAATGATCTGTCTTCCTTCCTGCATGTGTTCATAAACAGCACATCTTATTCCTCATGAAATGACCATCGCTTTTCTCCTGAATAAAGGATTCTTAATAACCCACTTATGCTTACGGACTCTGAGAGCTAAAGGTTTTAAGTTATGGATGACATTTCCCATCTTATTTGGGAAACGGATTATTCCATTTTGGTTGACTAAGTACCATAAGCTCAAACAAAATGTCTCCATATTGTTAAAAGTTTTGCAGAGGAAAGAATCTTCACCCTTCAAAACTCCTTTATATTCATATTCATTGTCAATGGCAAAGATTCAAAAAATACTGGCTTCCCAGCATCTTACCACACTGATAAATGGAAGCCATTTATTTCAAATGGAGTCTGGAAGCCCAAATATCAATTTGTGTAGCTCCAGGAGCAACATAAAAAGTTATTTCCCCTCTTCAAGCCATTGTGTGTCTTTCCCAGTGGCCAAGTCATGTACAAGCCACTTCAATATCTCCCAATTATATTATCTTGAAAATTACAGCCTCAAATATTCATTCTCCAAATAGCCAGGTTCCTAGAGGGCATTCAATGAGATGATGAAGCGTCTCTTCAAAATAATCCATCTCAGAAACTGTGGGCTTTTAACAGAAAAACTGTACTTGTCCAAGGAGAACACAGGTCTAAAATTATTTTTCACTTGTTGTATTATCACTGTATTTATAAAAATCGATATTAAAAATAATTATAGTCCAGGTAGACGCAATTTATCATATAGAGAGGTTTTTGAAATCCTAATGCTTTGATAATTCTATAAATTAAATGCTTAAAATGGCAACATAAATAAATATTTTAAATAACTCAGGAGGAGCAAACTGACCACCTGTTTCTCAGAATCCAGAATCCATTTTCACTATTCTTTTTCTCTGAATGTCTATCTGATTGTACTCATTTTTTCCATGCCCCTAAAACCAACATCTCACTAGAACATGCTAGATATAAAATAGATTGAGAAAACTGAGCCTTTATCAAGGCTTTTTACATATTGATATAAGCTGTAAATATTGACCTCTCCAGTTCACTCATGGAAAACTAAAACCCAAAGTGAAATATACTTCAGTAGGAAAACAAACCATAGTAAATATTCACTAGCATACCCTATTTCTAGAAGGCAATATATTTTTTAAAATCTGTCAATCAATTCAAAGATCATGGATTGGTAGCCTTCACTGACCATTCTATCTAAAATTTTAACAATATCTCTCAACAATTCATAGCCCCCTTCATTGCCCAATGTTTTTTTCTTATGATTAGTTCTTTTACTTGGAATTTCTACTTATATATTATCAGTCTGTTTGCAAGGTATGAGCCTAATGGCTGAGATTTTGTCTTTTTTGTTTACTTTTATTCATTCCCAGTGACTAGAATACTGGTATCTAGTAGGTAATTAATAAATATTTGTTGAAATATTAAATGGATGAACAAATAAATGAATACACAGCAAATCCAAAATATAACACAATTTTATGTATTGCAAGTCCTGTTCTAATAAGACTAGGAGTCAAGAATCAATAAGAGACCATCAAATGCCAAGCATTTTGAAAATGTTACTTGATTTCATCCTTCCAACAACATTAAGAAATGAAACATAGAGTAGCGTTGTTGCTTATACAGCTGAGTAAGTGGCTGAGCTGAAATCTGGATTTGGTCTGCATATTGCCAAAGTCCATGCTTTTTTTATTATATTACACTGATCCTCATACTATCTCAACTCTTCTAAAAGATGTGTAACAAATGTTTAACAGTAGGGCGCTTAAGTTACAAAAGCTAATTGTGTCAGCATAACTTCATAATCAAGACGCTCTGGAGGTGCAGAAGAAGCAACTGACTATGAATGGCAATAAGAACTCCGGTTTACTAGAAAAGAACAGGTTTCCACAACTCCTTGGTTGCTCACAACAGGTCTCAGGTGGTGGCGGAAGGAGAAAATAGGGAAAAACAAAACAGTTCCCTCAAAAGTTATGGAAGAGGACAATTGCATAAATTCATAGGTTAACAGAATACTCACAGCAATTCCATCTAGGGATTAAAAAAAACATAATCTCAGACAGCACATATTCACCATGATTAGGGAATCTTAGACTGTGCTAAATTGATAACATCACAATCAGAAAGCAATTCCTACAATATTTGCTGATTTTCATAAGGCTGTATTCCAGGAATAATATCACACAGGTCCAAAATCCATTACCCTGTAATCCAACTATATGCTTTTTGTAAGAGGCACACTTTATATGCAAAAATCAAATAGGTTGAAAGTAAAAGGATGAAAAGATAAATCATGCAAATAGTAAATAAAAGATAAGTTGAGTAGCTATATTAACATCAGAAAGAATAGACAGGAAGACAAAGCTTGTTATTAGAGTGCTATGATTTGAATGATGATGTCCCCTCTAAAATTTATAGGTTAAAACTTAATCATCAATGTGATACTATTAAGACGTGGAGCTTTAAGAGGTAATTAAGTGATGAGGGCAAAGCTCTCACAGATGGGATTAGGGCCTTTATAAAAGGGTTAGGGGGAGTATGTTTGCTTTCTTCTGCTCTTTGCCATGTGATAACATGGCATTTATCCCCCTTTTGACTTTGGGTCCCTTCCATTAAGTGAGGACACAGTGTCTGTCCCCTCCAGAGGATGCAGCAACAAAGTCCCACTTGGAAGTGAAGGCTGGGCCCTCACCAGACACCAAACCTGCTAGGGGCTTGATCCTGGCTTGCCAGCTTCCAGAACTGTGAAAATCAATGTCTGTTATTTATTAAATTATCCAGTCTGGTGTAGTTTGTTATAACAGCACAAACAAACTATGACATAGAGACAAAGGACATTCTGCAATAATATAATGGTCAATCCCTCAGGAAGATATAACACTTAATAAACATATTTGCACCTAACAACCAAGTCCCAAAATATGTGAAGAAAAAATGGACATAATTGAATGGAGAAACAGACAACTCAACAGTAATAGTTGTAAACTTCAATACCCCACTTTCAATAGACAGAAGATTAACAAGGAAATAGAAGTCTTGAACAACATTATCAACCACCACACCTAACACTATAAATCAACTACACCATACAGACATGTATAGAGCACTCCACTCTCTAGGACAGGCTGTGTGTTAGGCCAAAGTCTCTTACCCAAAACACTTTGGCCCATATGTGTTTCAGGATCCTAAGTTGTCTGGATTTTAAAAATATAATATGGTGCATTTTCAGTAGATTATAAAACATCCACACCACCATCAGGATTTAGGTCAGCACCCTGCAGCCAATCACAATATTTCTACAGCAAAATATACAATAATTATTGATAATAAATGAGATAAAGGCTATAAATAACTTGAAGTTAAAGTCCACATGTTTTTGCCAAAAATAAATTGTAAAACGAAATTAAAAACCTATTGCTTCTACTTTAAAGGCATCTTTCAAATGTATCCATTTTTCTTCATCCCTGCCATCATCCTAGCACAGCCACCATTTTGTCCCTTTTGTCCTTAAAGGAACATTTTAACAGCATCCATGCTTCTACCCCTGCCTCTCTCCAGTCCAGTCTCCACAAAGCAACTGAAGGCATCTATTATTATTACTATGTTATTTCTCTACCTGAGACTCTCCAATAACTTCCCACTGCTCTTGAATGAAACTCCAATTCCTCATGACATCTCCTACGCTTCATCACTCAAAGCTGTCCAGCCACATGGTCTTTTTATTCCCTCAAACACTCAGTCCCTTCCCTGCTTAGAGTCTTTGGTGTCACTCTTCCCCTTCCAGAATGCTCTTCAAATAATTTTTCAAAGGTAGGATCATCATCAACCTTTAGGTCTAATCTCAGACGTCACCTCCTCAGACTTTCCCTATCGCTTCTACCTGTTCTTGGCCTTCCCTACATTATTTTTGTTTGTTTGAAGACACTTCATTTTAGAGTAGTTTTTTATTTACATAAAAGTTACAAAGGTTGTGCAAACAATGGCCATACACTCTGAACCCAGTTCCCCTATTGTTAATATCTTACATTGCTATAGTCTTATTTGTCACAACCAATAAACCAATGCTGGTACATTACTATTGACTAAGCTCCATACTTAGTTCTGTCTCATGACCTTTTTCTTTCCAAGATCCTATATCCAGACGACCACATTACATTTAGTCATCATATCTCCTTAGTCTCTGGTTTGTGACAGTTTCTAAGACTTACCCTGTTTATTCTTCAGCTTTGAGAAGTACTCCTCAAGTTATTTTGTAAATTGTCCCCAATTTGGTTTTGTCTGATGTTTTTCTCACGGTTAGACTATAGTTACGGGTTTTAGAGAGGAAGACCACAGGTGAAATAATCTCATCACATCATATCAGGGGCAGATGCTATCAACATGACTTATCAGTGATAATGCTATCAGTTATCACTGATAATGTTAAACTTGATTGCCTGGCTACATAGAATTTGCTAGCCTTCTCGATTGTAAAGGTATTTCCTCATCCTTTCCACTCTATTACCAATCTACTCTTTGGAAGCAAGTCACTAACTACAAAGATGGGGGAATTGAGCTCTACCTCCTGGAGGGGAGATTATATACATAAATTATTTGGGAGGCGAGAATTCTACCATTGAACCACCAGTGCAATTATTTGGAATTCTGTAAGGGAGACTTGTCTTTTCTCTCCCATTTACTTATTTGTTTGATGATTTATTTATATTGGTGTTCACCTACAGATTTTTATATTATAGTTCAAGATACAATCCAAGCTAAATTGTTGCTCAAATATTTCCAGCTTTAGTCACTGGCGGTTCTTCCAGGTTGGCTCTTGTGTCCCTTTGATGACTTATACCCAATCCTTTTGTTTTTTGAGCACTTCTTTACAATCTGGCACTACAAGGAGCTCCAGTCTCATATTGCATGTGACTATTTTTTTAATTGGAGAATGATGTTAGAAACTGAGGTCTGGTGCCAGGTGAGCTTATTCTCACTCAGGTGCCACTAATACTGAACCCCCTCAACAGACAAGAGCTAGAAAACATATATATGTAAACTAATCAAAGCATAAGCACATATGTGTAAATATTTCTATATTTAACCATGTCTATCAATAGAGATAAAATGGATCATGTGATACTTGATTAGAGTACATTGATATAAACTCATGCTTTGCTTAAGCCTGAGTTTATATAAACTATATAAACCATTTCTATCAACACAGAAATGGTTACATACAGAAACATTTACAAATACATATAGAAATTTCTATATGTAACATTTATATATATTTCATAGATATGTAAATTTCTATACGATTAAATGTATTTCTATATGTAATCATTTATATAGAAATGGTTACATATCTATGAAATATAGAAATGATTACAAATGTATCATCAATATAGAAATAGTTACAAATGTATAGTTTATATAAACTTATGCTTAAGCAAAGCATGAGTTTATAAGAATGTACCCCACTCTAATCAAGTATCACATGATCCATTTTAGCATACTCTTTTTAATCATCCAGTATATTTGTCAGGTTTCACCAGAGAAACAAAACCAACAGGATGTGTGTGTGTGTGTGTGTGTGTGTGTACATATGTGTGTATGTATACATATGAGTGTGAGGAACGTACAACGATGTTCATTTACTTATGAACATACAACGATGTTCATTTACTTATGAACATACAACGATGTTCATTTACTTATGTCCCAACATTACCCCATTGTAAGCTGAGGAGCATACTGAATGCATATCACTTTCACACCATCATGAAATTGAAAAATTATAAGTCAAACCATTGTAAGTTGGGAACTGTCTGTATACACACGTGTGTGTGTGTGTGTGTGTGTGTGTAAGAGAGTAATTATAAGGAATTGGCTCACACAACTGTGGAAGCTGACAAGTCCCAAGATCTGCAATCAGCAAGCTGGACACTCAAAAGAGCCAAGATTGTGGTTCCAGTTCAAGTCCAAAGGCATGAGAATCAAGAGAGCTGAAAGCACAGATCTGAAAGCCTACCAGTCCAAAGGCTGATACATTCCAGACCCAGAAAGATCCAGTGTTTCAGCTGAAGTCCAAAGAAAATAATGATGTTCCAGCATGAAAACAGGTAAGCTGAGTTCTCTCTCAGTCAAGGGAAGGTCAGCCTTTTTGTTCTAGTCAGGCTTTGAACTGACTGGCTGCAGCTCTCCCACATGAGGGAGGCCATCTGCTTTCGAGTGTGCTTTATCGGTCTACCAACTCCAGTGTTCATCTGCCCAGAAACACTTTCACAGACATACCCAGAATATTGTCTGACCAAATACCTGGGCTCCCCATGATACATAAAATTAACTCTCACACCCAGTTTATTTCCATTAGCATCATTAACGCAATCTATAATTAACTACTTTTTGTATTTATTTGCTCACTTGCTTTTCTTCCGTTCCTTACTATTGATAATTTAAGTTCTAGAAGCAGAGGCCCTGCTTGTTTTACCAACTCTGTAACTCTTCGGCCTAGAACAGTGTCTGCTATGTAGTAGTGGTTAACGTGTTGAATAAATGAAAAAAGAATGAGAAAGTACCAATTATCAATTAAAAAGTAACAATTTCTACTATGAGTAACATACTAGAAAACAACAAAGAATACTTTGAGGCTACCTGTAGAACATGAGTAAAATCATCTTCCAGACCAAAAAATAAACACACACCGATCTGTCACTGTGTCACATTATATGAATAATCATGCATCCATCATCACTTCATACTGGAATTCTCCCCACAGGCAATTCAAGGGATGGTTGGTGTTTTTACCTGAAGCTTACTGTGGTAGAGCTTTATCATGTCCAAAATAAAGAAGCATATTTCTCTTTCAAGTTTTCTTTTCGGTAACAAATATGAGTTTCAGTCTTAGTAGTATTCAGGTTGAGGGCAGCAAGTAGACAGGAGGCAGGGAGATTCATCACCCATCCTTATATGTTTCACCAAATCAAAATTTTTCCAATATCAAAGCGTCTTTCACCCCATAGCTTAGGAACCATGTCACCCACAGCTACCCAAAAAATTCTGGCACAGTTAGTTGTAATCTTGTTGGCTTCGCATGTTTTAATGTCTTTCAATTACTTCTCAAATTGCTGAAAACCTTGTCCAGATTTGAAAATGAATTTAATAGAAGCGATGGTAGTATGACTGAGAGAGACCACTGTGAAAGCAAAGACTGTTTAGGAGGAGACGGAAAGGTGGTTTTGCATTCAAAATTTCTTTCTGCTTCCAGGGGAAGAAAGCGTGGCATGGTTGGTCCAGAGAATGCCATGCAGGCAAAGACTTCCACCCTATTCACTGTGCCCTTCTCCTTCTTTCCATGGGGCTGGAGGTCTCACTGGAAACCTCCCACCTACTCATTCCCACACAAAAGATGAGAGTCAGATGATGATAGAAAAAGGAAGAAAGAGATGGAAGAAGGATAAGACAGATATTTACTGAATGCTCAATACAGGCCTGGCAAATCCTCTGTTCTTGACTACTCTAAGATTTTTATTTCCTCTATTTAAAAAAAATAGGGCACTTGTATACATATTTATGTTTTTTAAAAAATCTACAAATATAACATAGGAAACAAGTTAATACTAGGGAGAGAGTTGGGGGAAAGAGAACAGGGCCAAATTATTTCCTGCAGGCTTTGGAAGATTGGTTAGTAAGAATATAAGAAAAATCCCCTCACATTGTGTGAAAGATGCTTCCTTCTTAAAATCTTTTCTAACAGGTTGAACAAACCAAGGCAAGCCCGTGTAAGTGTTCTGAAACAATTCTTCATTCATTTGAATGATTCTATAGCTCAGAGTCATGACACAAATGGAGTAAGGAGATGAAATCTTGGACAATCACAAGACCATATCAAACAAAGGAGTGCCAGGAGGGTTCCTGGAATAAGGGCTGGATACTTATGGGCGACATCCTCCTCACCCCCGACACCCCATGCCCAAATTAAGCACTTGGCCACCTGCACCAAATCAGTATACCGAAAAGAGAAGAAAAACTAAAAGGCACACTAAGGCAACAATGGAACTCTATCGTTATAAGGAAGGGACATCCATTGTACAGGTGTCATCAATAAAAATGAACCAACTCAAAGAGGTAAAAACTAGAGAGAAAGCATCTTTTTAGATGGTAGTTTTCAAAGCATTCCACTCCTAAGGGAAGGATGGAATAAGAAATGTGTCCTCAATAAGTTCCCTTATTGACTTTGCTGATATAGAAATGTTTCTGGGTTCCTGTCATGTCTTATCATATAACAGGTTCCAGTCCACCTCTTCTTACATCAAATTCACTTGGCTAAATCATGTGGAACAGCTTTTGAATTATGAGTTATTCTCACAGGGAAGATGTTGTCAGATATCCAAGGATACAGAAAGCACAAACCACAGTGCAGTTTTTCTTGGCCAACTCCTCTGTGTCTGCCATCCATTTACTTGTAATTGCAGGTGATTATCTACTCATCAGTCCATTCCCTGCTATTCTGAAGGGTCGGAAGTACTCTCATTTTGCCCTCAGAGTCATCCCATTCTACTCTCAGAAGGTCCCAAAATAGAAAGAAGCCGAGTTTCCTTTATACCAATCCCTTTAGCAAAACATCAGTCACATCACAGCACAGCTACATGCCAAGGCAACGCAGGAAATTAGTGAGGAGGAAATAGCCTGTTGTCTGGCTACATCTCCCTGGGTTTGAGTATTGTATTCACCGGTGGAAAATCATTTTTGAAGTTATGTTACAACCGTGCAAACTGCTCATCAAAAAAGTCACCTAGTTTTCAGCCAGGTGGCAGATTTCACACCAAAAATTTATATCCAGTAGACGCTCTTAGCAGCTCATCTATATCCATGATCATACAGTAAAATTTCCAACAAATTATTCAAATTCCCTGAACAAATGCTAGAAGAAACCCTTCAAACAGTGACAATCTCAAGAAAGTGAGGGTGTCACACATGGGTAATTCCACATTCACAGACTTTTTTCATGACATTTTATTTTTTGAAAAGAGCAGATATGTCTCACTGGAAGCTTTTATAAAAAAAAATTCTGGGTTTTAAAAAATAGATCCCGTGTTACTATCAAGGCTTTTTTTCTATGGTCTGAAGAACTGAACATACTTGCCCAGGCAACTTGAGAATAGCATTATTGGAAGATCAACTTGAGATACAAGTTGAAAATTAACAACTATTAGATGGCTAATGTATGAGTAATGAATGCGATTTGTTTTCCCTAAATCATACTCTCACTCAGAAATAATATAACCTCCATGGTTCTTGCCACCTTACAAAAACACTCAGGTATGCATCTATTAATTCATACCATAAATATTCACCGAATGCCCACAAAGTGACCAAGAAAATGAATGTCAGCAATATTGAGCTGTGTTATATAATGTGCTCTAAAACCTGTCCCGCTCATTGCTATGCTTGTCCCTCAGAATACAAGCCCAGAAACTCTAAGCAAATTAAAATAATCTCATTTCAAGACATTCAGAAGGGAATATTCCAAGGATATTTACTGCACTGCAGACAGCCTGGGGTGGGGTAAGACCATTCTTTGAAATGTATTCCAGGACTCACAGAGAGGACAGTGGCCTCTTCCAAGGACACTTATTCTGAGATGCCCCTGCTTTCCACTCCTGACTTAACCAAAGCGACTCCTCAGAATTAAGGATTTGAATCTGATACGACCAAGAAACTGTTTCAAAGAAGCAATGGTTTTAATATTTAATACGGAAAAGTTAATAGCATTTCTTTTATTTATTTATTTATTTATTATTATACTTTAAGTTTTAGGGTACATGTGCACATTGTGCAGGTTAGTTACATATGTATACATGTGCCATGCTGGTGCGCTGCACCCACTAACTCTTCATCTAGCATTAGGTATATCTCCCAATGCTATCCCTCCCCCCTCCCCCAACCCCATGGAGCTAAGTTGCCACCGTTTTCTAAATAATGTAAGTTTATAATAAGTTCATTCAAAATTACAAAGAAACATAGAAATTTAGAAACATCCCACCCATTGAATTTTCTAAGAGGTTGTAAAAACCTAAGTCCAAATCAATACTCCATATGTTTAAATTACTACCAAATGCAGCTGAGTGAACCCAGCTCGCTACCTGTTTTTGTGTGGTCCATGAGTTTTTACATTTTTACATGGCAGGGGAAACATTGTTTAAAAAAAGAATACTATTTCCTGACACATTAAGATGATATGAAATTCAAATTTCAGTCGCTATAAGTAAAGTTTTACTGGAACACAGCTATGCTCATTTATTTATACAGTGTCTGTGGTAGCTTTCATGCTAGGACAGGAGCTTATAATGGCCCTCCTAGCCTAAAATATTTCCTGTCTGACCCTGTAGAGGAAAAGCCTTCTAACCACTAATTTAAATAGTAATACAAATGTTATCAAGTGAAGACAGTTTGGAGCCATGACAAGGCTCCTCTACCCAACAACTGCCAAATCTTCTTGTCATCCTGACTTGCTTTAACCCATAAGTCGACCCATTTCTGCCTAGGATGTTCTTTCTTCTACAGGAAGCTGTGTGGAGGGGCAAACAAAGCACAGAAGAGGAAGGTGTCCAAAGGGAAATGCACTTAAAAGGGCTGGAAAATGTAGAAAAGTCGAAGGTATGTAGAGAAGAAAGTCCTGAAGGGTATCACCTATAGGGTACATGTTGTCCCCAAGCCTCGTTCTAAATAGTTTAAAAGCAAATACCATGGCACAATGCCCTAAATGACCTTTGGCTCCTTTTACCAGTGTTTCAGAACCATCTGGCTTAGGAGAAATTGTAAAATCACTGTACATGTAGTCTGTACAGTAAATAAGATGGTTATAGTAGTATACAAAGTAAAATTTACATATTTTATTCAGCAGAAAATCATTCATTTCTCCTAGTGAGTAAAATACGGATTCTTATGTTTTGAAAATTAGTAAGCAAATGAAACAAAATTAACTCCTAAGGTGAGAAAATTGCCTCGTGATGTGCCGCTCATTTTGACATTTTTAGTTACCTACAAAATATGCCAGGATAGACATTTAAATATATCTCAGCATTGTTTTTTAGTTATTCAGCCACGGTAATAAAACACGTCTCCCCTCAGCTTGTCATTTGCTATTAAATCTGCAAAGAATGGAAGTAAGAGCAGCACTTAGAGAAAAAGTCAAAGGGGTGGCTCACCGTGTCACAGGCTGGACATATGCAGACATTTTTAAGCCATGAAATGCAAATGTCTTGAATGATTTCAAATGACAGCATGCAATGCCAATACAGTTCATGCTCTGATGTTTTCTTGATACATTTTCAAAACCAAAGTCAGTTTTCAATGGTAATTTTTCAGCTCCTCCTAGTGCATCAGCTACATCCTACTAACAATCAGTTCTGAAGGTGGAAATGCCCCTTTCATGATGGAGCCCCATTTAGAAAAGTAATGACCATGGGTTCCTCAGAAAGTTAATTAAAGTTCTATGTATGTATGTCTTACAAGAAGGTCTGGAAGCTGTACCTAAGAAGGACAGCCAAATAAACCCACCTGCTATCTAATTCCCCTCTGATTCAAATCCATTATGATGAATCCCAGGGTTTTAAGAACATGGATAAAAATCAAAAATAATCTCAAGTCCTTCTTGCTAAGAGATTTCCCAGTCATTCTTACTGCTATAAGAAGATCTGCTGCTGACAGCACATTAGAAGAGTTTAAAGGAAAACGAGTAAGGGAAAGGCTAATAAAAAACAGTATAGGCCAATAACAAAGGCCAAAGCCTAATCCCTGAAAAGGTCTATGGACCACATGCAAGTTTCTAACCCTTCCCAAGTAGGCAAGGCAGGCCTTCGGTGCTCCAAGCAACAAAGGAGGAAGAAGGAAAGTTGGTGAACATCATGATTCCTTTTGACTCCCTTTGACTGATGCTCAGCCATTACCCCTTCTGTGACTGTCCCCCAGAAATCTCAGACTTCTCTGGCCTCCTGCCTACTCACAGGTTACATGCACCCACCTGACAGGGGCTGTTCTAAAGCATAAACAAAGTATGGCTGCCTGACCTTGAATAGTGCTGTCCTGTGCTTGGCCACATTTAAGAGCATCTCATTGCTCCAATTATGAGTAGACTCCAATAAGGACATAAATAAGACCTACAGTGAGGGACATCTGGAGAGTAAATATGCTCACTGCACTGAGATCATTATATCTCATTACACCTGCTTTTAAAAATGCTGATTCATTCATCATGGATGTCAACTGATTTGCTCAGAAACTGAGGTGGGATCCCAGAAAAAGCAGGGAATAAAAATCCAAGAGTAAAGAAGGATATGGAAAGAGAAGCCATGAACTTCACTTTGGTGACACAATGAGAAATAAACAAGAAGGACCTGTGGCAGTGAGCAAGTGAAGGTCCCATCCCTTAGCTGACTTAACAGATCATAATATCCAGAGCCAGCATTTAAATGGCACCTGCTATGGGCCAGGTGTCATTCTAAGCATTTCACACATATTTATGTGTCTAATTCTCAAAATAAGGTATAAGACAGGTAGCATTGTCATCTCCTTTTTGAAGATGAGTCAATGGAGATGCAAAGAGTTTAAGTAGCTTGTCTAAAATAACAGATATTACCTTCCATTTACATAGCTTTTTCTTTGTTTAGGCAGTACAGTCTGTCTTTTATAGAAAGTTTAAAATTTCACATACAGTACTTTATCCCATAAATGTTATCTCTTCAAAGATCCATCATGCCTCTGGAAAAAATACTGAAGCCATTCATAAACTGGAATATGGCTTAATTAATGTATAATGCTCCCAACATCTCAAAGTAAAATTGATCTTATATGTCCACGCATTTCACTAATTTTAGGTCAGATTCAAAACAGAACTAGGCTTTACTCTCAAATTGTCCTTAATGCATCATCTTGGATATGTTAATAAATAAAATAGATTCTGCCAGTAGATAGGAAGGTAAATGCATTTTAATTACCTCAAATGTCTTAATTAACTCCTACTGCTAATGATACGGCAATTAAGGTTTAACTACGTTGTACAGGATACATCTGCTAGCTTTCTATTGGGTCATGCTGCCGAGCATCACTGAAATCCAATGAAATTGGGAGGTTAGACTCCAATTCTCAAAGAATTCAAATCTCAATGAGAAAAACAAGTGAAACTAAGGTGTTAGGCTCACTGCAGCGTGTTTTCCTCACACACACCTGCTTCCTGATAACTGCTCTTTGCCCTTCTCTGTCCTCATCTTCCTCTGAGCACAAGGAAATACAACACGGTAATACTTGCTTGTGAAAGTGCTTGAGGATATACATCAAGCATCACTGGTGAGTTCTTGCATACATGGTTTTAAGCTCCTTTAGTTCAGAGTGCTGGAAGGGAAGTTATGGTGATATGTGCTGATCTACCCGGACTTTATGAGGACCAAATGCAGAGACCAGGTCAGGAAGGCATGGCCATTTTGGAAGCTAACTCCTATGGGGGATAAAGATGGCCACTCTCTTTAAAAGAAGGGCCAGACTCCAGAAGTGGAGTCTATTTCCCCTTCTCTTGAATCTGAGTTGGGCCTCTGTCTAGCTTTACACAAAAGAATGCAGTAGATGGTGAACCACGTCACTTCCAAGGCTATGCCTTAAGAGATTTGTAATTTTCACTTTCATGGTCTTGGAACCCAGCTATCACAGTGAAAAGCAGCAGCCACATGGAGGGAGAACTGACACACCAGGTGGCAGCCCCAACTGAGCTTCCAGCCAACAGCCAGCACCAAAACCAGGTCAAATGAGCAAGCCTTCTTGGATGTTCCAATCTGGTTAAGCCTCTGGATGATGATAGCTTCAGGTGATGTTGCATGCAGAGAAAGACATCTCAGCTGACCTCCATCAACCCATTGACTCTTAACAGATCATAAATGACAGTTGTTGTTTAAAGCACTAAGTATTGAGGTGGTTTATTATGCAACAGTAGACAGTCAAAACCTTCCCAAACCATCTTAGAGATCCAGGCTGAAACTATTTCCTGCTTGCTACAGCCTTTTCCAGGACAAGTCCTGACAGATCCAGAAACATGAAGGTGGCTAGGATGGGATTGAGAAGCACACTTTCCAACAGGGCGGCTAAGACAGTGGACCCTGGGCCAGACTGACTAAGTCTGAATCTTGGCTTTGCCTTTTACTAGATAGGTACCTAGTAGAAGTTACTTAACTTTACTGTGCCTCAGTTTCCCTTTGAGTAAAATAGAAATATTCCTCACCTCATAGATTTGTCATGAAGATTAAATATCAGTATCCATATATACAAAGCATTTAGAACAGTGCGTGGCAAAGTATTTGTGAATATTAATATTTGTTCTCTGTTCTGTTCTACATCCAAGAAACCACCTATTCACAAGGGATTGGCCTCACACAGATACATGTGCATCTGACGTAGTCCTGGAAAGTTATTTCATCTCCAGCATGTTCTGAGCTATCATCATCACATTCATATCAACTTTGTTTCTACGTATGATTTGGTAGGTCACTACAACAATCAGATCAGGTTACAGATAATAGTAGTATTTACAGATGTCATAATAAAATTAATCCTAAATATGCTAATAGTACCAGATTAGTTTTTGGGTTTTAGTTCTTTTTGGGGAAAAGGAAAATCATATGCACAGTTTGGGAGTTACTTTTTAAAAATAACTATTGAATCTTTTTTAAATGAAGCAAGAGACAGTAGTAACCAATTCTTTTTGCTATAGGATTAAAATTAGTAAATAGTATTTTTTTTTTTTGCCCCAGCTCTTGATCTCCTATTTTAAAATGTCCATCAAGTACTTATCTCTATTTACTTCAAAATTAATCATCCTAAATGAATTAACATATAGTTGCCATAAGTTCAAGCTCTTGAAATAGTCTTCTGTTTCAGCCAATGAGTGTCTGACCATAGCTCTTCTCATGGAACTTTTCTCTAGAGCCCAAAACTCTCTCATTTCTTATTTTCCCACATACTTCTACTGATAAAACTGTTGTAGATCCAATTATACTACCTATATGCTAGTCTTTGAAAATGGTTTCATCTGTTTTTCAAGACAACTATGATGGATTCATAAATTGATACCCAAGTAGTTCAATCAGAGGTTCTTGGAAAAGGTGTCAGGTTTGTGCCTGTCTTCAGCATGATAATATCACTCATCCATATTATTTATGCTTTCTCTTTCCAATTATTCACAAGCCCTAGGTCAGCTTGAGAAATACATATTTTCATTTTGTGGTTGCTAATCATGCATTAAATGGAGACTATCAGATATGCAAATTAATTGCAAACTATATAAAGGATACAAAAATTTTAAACTATGAAATTTAAATTATTAATGCACTAGTAATTCAGCTTGCAGGTTCCTTCTGCAAACACTGGTAGTTCCACCTATATTACATTGCTGAATAAAAACTAAATTGGGTGATTTAGATAGCAACAAGGAACACGAGAATTTATTACTTTTCCCCCTCCCAACTTTGCAATTCCCTATTCTTTTTATTTCTATTACTCCTTTGTCTCTGTTTTGAACCCTATTCTTTTATGTCTACTTAACTTCAGCCTACCAGATAACATTAATTACACATTATTCTGCTTTTCCTTAAGATGTCATTCTTAATATTTTATATTCTACCTGTCTGTTCAAAGAACCTGAATCTGTTTCACGATAAATTTTAGGCCTATTTTCCAGGGCATTTGTAGATTTATGTGTATTATGTTATTATGTGATTATACACAAAAAGTTTAAGAATATGTAAGAATACTAGTTCAGTAGTATTATTGAGAGTAACTGTTGGGAATACTTCTGCATCCACTATGTAGTTGAACACAGCAAAGAAGAAAATCAGCCAAAATTTAACTGCAAAAGAACATCACATGATAAAGAAAGCCTGGTTAAGTGGAAATAACATTCAGATTAGAACTAATAGGTTCAACCAAAGTTTTCATACCAGTGAAGTTTTGTTTTACTTGTATCTGTTCTCCATAAATGGAGCCCATTAGAGCTTAAATGCTTAAGTTAACAAAATATTAATAAAATCAATTGTGTAACATTTCTAATGAATAAAATTGATTTAAGTGTGGTACAAGTCATTTTACCAACTTGCCTTTTTAGAAAAAAGACTGGTATCATTTTATCAATAAGTAAAAAATTAATAAAGGAAACCATTCGATTAAAATGTCTTTTGAGTTTCTCAGATAAAATGTCATGGCTTTCTCAAAAACACATGTTTACAAATTCTAAATCTTGGTTTTAGTGTAATTTTCACAAAATGTTTTTAAGTAGCATAAGTAAATATCCTTAGTAATAACTAAGCTTAAGTGCATTCATGTTAACAAAATTATTTCAGGAAAAATAAATGTTGAAACTGCTTACCTGGCAAGGTTGTTTCATTTTAATGGCTATAACATGGTATCTATAACAGCAAAGTTCACAGGTCCAGGAACCTCTCTCACTGATCCATTTTAGCAGGCACAGCTGATGTGTATACCGAACTGACCCATCACATCGGCAGGGGTTCAACAACTCACCCTAAAAAGAAAACAGCTCAGTGTGAATATCTGTGTCTGTGTCTCTATTTTAAAAACCTAATGCTTCCTTTCTTTTCTTTCAAAGCCATTTACTCAGGATACAGCATCAGGCTCTATCATAGGAAATGAAATTAAAATTTTATACCTCTGATGGGAATGAAACTAAGTCTTAAAACTATTTCAAAGACATTGCTTAGAGTTATGACATAAATGTTCTACCAACATACAAAATGTCTGCAAGATATAGCTCCCAATACCCGTGGGGGAAAGCTGTACTATTAAATCTCTTTAATAACTTTTAAGTGGATGGTCAGATGCATTTCCTCTGCAGTTATTCTTAATCATTGCTAAAGAAGAAACGCATGGCATCCCAGAAAGCGGCATTATGCTTTTTTTTCTAAATGTAGCATCATAAATATTGTCTTAGGGCACTATATTCCTGAAAGCCTGTATATTCTTATGCAATTTCCTTACTTTTAAAAACATTACACCTAATCTTTTCTCAGACCACACATTTGTAAGGGACATATGCTATCATTTCCTCTGCATGATTACTCTCATATAAGTTTGCATGCACCTACAATGGTGTTTATAATTTTAGAATTGTGTTGCTGTCAAAATATAAATTGTTGGCATAATAGCCTTTCTTTCAAAGTCCATTCCTATTTCTCTTGTAAAAACTATCACATGCTTTTCACATCCGTGAGATTAAGTCACCCAAATTTGCAGTAAGGAAAGACTCTGCCCTTTCTGGTTGTGATATGACATCTGTCTCAAGATACATCTGTAGAAAACGGACTTCACCTTACATCTGACAGGTTTGCTTCTAAGCATAAACCAAAATCCATCGAATAATTCACAAAAGCCGCTTTTGGCATTATCACTAAAGCACCTGAGGAACATGTAGCTCCTAAGCCAGGAAGGAAAAAGGAAGTGTAGATGAAATTAAACCCAGTATTCACCACTGGGACATTTCTATTTGCCTTCACAGGAAGGGAAAGGGGAAGGCATATTGGAGCCAGCGCTCACAGGGCAGAACCAGACGAGCCTCACTGGAGGCAAACTGGGAGGTAGGCGTGCGCTGTCCGTGGTGCTGAAAGCTTGACCGGCGCGAGCTGGAGCCGCCACCGGCTGCCTCGGGGTCTCGCCGGGCCTTACCTGCTCCGCGCCCTGGAAGCAGATCTTGCAGATGGGCTGGTGGTGCTGGTGCTGGTGCCCAGCGCGCTGGTCGCCGCCGCCACTGCTGCTGCTGCGGCTGCTGCACACCGAGCGCGTCTCGGGCTGGTCTCCGGCGCCCCGCCGCTCGCGCTCGCCGCCCGCGCCGGCCTCAGACTCCCCGGGGCCGCCTTTCGCTGCTGCCGCCTCCGGGAGGCGCCTCGGACCTTCCCCGGAGTCGCCGGCCGCCGCCACTTCCTGGCCGGCGGGCTGCAGGGGCAGGGGCGGAGGCGGCAGCTCGTCCGCTCCCCTGCACCGCGGGGCCACCTCCCCTAGCGGCTCGCTTGGCCCCGCGGCGCGCTCGGGGGTCTCGGGGGACGCGGGCAGCGGCGGCAGGTAGCGCGGGGCCGCGGGGACCGGGGCCGGCTCTCCCGGCGGCGGCGTCGGCGGCGGCGGCGGGGGAGGTTGCGGGGGAGGCTCGGCGTCCCCGCTCTCCGCCCCGCGACACCGACTGCCGCCGTGGCCGCCCTCAAAGCTCATGGTTGTGCCGCCGCCGCCCTCCTGCCGGCCCGGCTGGCGGGCCGGGCTCTGGCTGCAGGGAAAGAGAGCGCGGAGGGGGCGGGAGGGAGAGGGGAAAAGGAGGGAGGGGGCCCGGACGCCTGGGGCTAGGGGGCGGGACGGGGAGGGGATGCGGAAGGTTCTGCAGCTGCGGCGGCGGCAGGCGCGGCCGTTCGGTGGAGCCGCCGGCTCGGCTCTGATGGAGGCGGCGCCGAATTCGGCTGCGCGTGAGAGCCGCGCCGCGGAAGGGGGGGCCGGAGAAGCGAGGGGGCGGGAGGGAGGAGCGGCGCGGCGGGGGTGACGGGGCGCGGGCGCGGGGTGGGCTGGGGGCGCGGATCAGTGGGACGGAGTTCGGGGTTCGGCTCCGAGCGGGCGGGCTGGAAGTGGGGGATCCCTCAGCCGCCTCCACGGGCCGGCCCCGCGCTCACGTCGGTTCCGGGGCGGATGACCCCTCTCCAAACGGCGCAGCGCTGCGGCTCTCGTGAGCTGGGAAGTAGGGGGCAGGGGAGAGGCCGCGGGTCCAGAAACCGTTACTGGATGGGCCGGTGGGATGTGGCGCGGGCCGGGTGGGGCGCGACAGTCTGAGCCGAGACCCGCGTGGGCTTAAGGGTGCGCGAGGCGGGTGCCCTGGGCGCGCCCGAACTGGCTGAGCAGTGGAGCGGGAAAGGGCGCGGGACCCGGGACTGTAACCGCCACTTCCAGGCCCTCGCTCCCCGCGCTTGGAGCCCTCAAGGGCACTCTCAGGGATCCTCGAGAGCCTTAAAACAGAAGTCTCTGGAACCTGTGTCCTCTCCCTGTCTGTCCCGCCCTCGAATCCCTGTGTCCTCCTCACCCGCTCCCTCCTGCAGTGAGCATCCCGGGTTGTTGGTAAAGATCTTGGTGCCTGGGAGGTCGGAGCTTCGTCTCCTGAAATGGTTTATACTAGTGAACCCTGGCGCCACGTTCTGTGGCTTATAATCACTTTCGTCGTTGCCGCATGAGGAAGCAAATGACACCGCCCCTTACCCTGGAAAAGTGGCTGCAGCCTTCCCCGGATCTTAGTTTTACTCACCCCGAAGTCAATTTCTCGGTAACTCCACCCTGCAAAACCTCTGTGGGACTCATCTTCAGGGCAGAGCTAACAGTTTTCTTTCTGGAAAAAAAAAAAAATCCCTCACCTGCAGGGAACTAGGCTGAGAATCGTGCACATGCAGTAGTTTCCAAATCCGTGCAGTGTGAGATCATAAAGCACCGGATTTATATGCGGCAGTGTGTCTATCCGAATTTTCACTGATGTGACGCTTTCAGTCTTTGACACAAAGACACAGAGCAGTCATTTTTGGCAGCGTTTCATAGCCGAAGACCCAGGATCAGAAAGGCAAAATAACTTGTTCAAGGTTATAGAACTATTAACAAAGAACTTCTGTGTTCCCTGACCAGATTTTCTGGTTCAAATGCCAATAATTTTTTCTTCCAATCCTTTCTTCTGCCTCCTAAAATAGTATTGTAGTACATTGTGTGTTTGGCGCCATTGATTCCCACTAATAGATACTCTGTAATGGCTGAGATAAACTACTAGCTTAAGTTCGTTTTTCCATTTCACGTTTTGGCAGTAAGAAGTATATTTGATTCATAAAGAAGACCTACCTCTTTTGACAGAAATTGGTTCCATTTGCCAGAGAGAGAAGGTAGTGAAAAATAATTCAAGAATGTTTTGTCACAAATGGTCTCTGATGAACTAGTTTCCAGGAATGTCCTCTAACACTTAGCCCCTTCAGACTGGCTATTTTTGGTGGCAGAGTGGCAGGCAGCAAGCACATTTTTAAAACAACAATCTCCAGGAACTTACCACGTTGAAGAAATGTGGTTGTCGATATGCTTTCATTTTTGGTCTTCACCTGTCAGAATGACAACGCAAGTTTGTGTATTGCCACAGTCAAGATAATCATAAGCCTTATGATCATCATAAACCTTCTTCATAAGTTCTCGAGTTAAAGACTGTCTAGATTTGTACAGAATCCCCTAAATAATTCCATTTATGACTAGTAAATTTCTACCAGGTGTGATAAAGTGCATCGGTACTCGAAGGACAGCATAAAAGCTATGGGTTTTGTATAAACGGTGTAGAATAATTCAGACAGCGAAGCGGCATGGATAAAGGAGAAAAGGGCCACAAGGCTAGATGTGTCCTCTCAGTTAATTGTTTCTGAAAAATAAAAAAAAAAATACATTTGCTTGCTAAATTGGGTAGCCACGTAAGATTCCTTCCCGGTTTCAATGACCTCCAAAGCTGACCAGTCCCTGAAGGGAAACTTGCTCGTGATCTTCAGTTAACCCAATGCATTTTCAGTGGGTCCAGGAAAAACACCTTCTTTCTAACTTTGGCTACATCCTCTGTCATAAAATTATAAAATAATGGAATGCAGAAAGGATGAATTCCTCTCAGCTGCTGGCAACCAAGTGGAAGAGAGATGGAGACACAGACATCAGATAGAGCAGTGCGCCGGTGGCCACTGACAGCCATCAGTAGCAAGGCGCATCTGCCAACTGAAAATGAATGAGGGGAAATGCAGGTTTATCAAATTTGAGCAAATATTGAAAGGATGATCAAATCTTCATGATGCCAGTAAACCAGTTGTTCATTCATTTAGTTGTTTAAGCCAAAATCCTAAGTGTCATCCTTGACTTCATATCATACATTCAGTATACAAAAATTTCTTTCAAATGGACTTTCAAAATATTCACCAAATTTCACTACACCTTTTCACCTCCATCCCCACCAACCCAATTCAAACCACCATTATAATGCACGAAACTGTCAAAACAACTTCCTGTCTCCCTGCTTCTCATTCTTGAGCTTACACCCTACACCAGCCAGGATGATCCCATTCAGGTGTTAAGTCTAGTCATGTCATCCCTCTACTCAGTACCCGCCAATGGCTTCTCATCACACTTAGTGTAATACCAAAAATTTTAGCAGCCTCTGCAAGTCCTCATTGTAGCCTCTGGCTGCCTCTCTAAAGACCTCTCCATACCCTCCCCACCAGCCTACCCTACCCTCCTTGCTACTCATTTCTGCTACACTGGCATCCTTGCTGTATACCAAGTACATCCCCTCTACCCATCTTCAATTATTATGGCTCACTCCCTCACTTCACGCAGATTTCTGCATTTCATAAAAAACACCTTCCGGCCAGGTGCGGTGGCTCACGCCTGTAATCCCAGCACATTGAGAGGCCGAGGTGGGTGGATCACCTGAGGTCAGGAGTTCCAGACCATCCTGGCCAACATGGGCCAACATTGTGAAACCCTGTCTCTACTAAAAATACAAAAAATCAGCCGGGTGTGGTGGTGGGCACCTGTAATCCCAGCTACTAGGGAGGCTGAGGTGGGAGAATCACTTGAACCTGGGAGATGGAGCTTGCAGTGAGCAGAGATTGCACCATTGCACTCCAGCCTGGGTGACAAGAGCAAGACCTCATTTCAAAAAAAAAAAAAAAAGACCTTCCATAAATTTTCCATCTGATATAGAATTTTCCACTCTCATTTTCCCAGTTTTACTCTTTTTCATCTCACCTTACTGCTCGACATTATATATGGATATATTGTGTGTATTTTGCTCACCTAATGGTGTTAATTAGTCATTTGTTGCCCTGTGTAAGTGAGGTCGATGTCTTGGATCACCTTGATTTCATGTTCACCAAAGACATGTCAGAAATTCCAGCATTTGTCAATTCTACCCTTAAGTTTGGTACCATTTTTCTGCCAATCTTTCTAGCTTTGCCTCCTGATTCTCTCATTGTTTTTGGTAACTGCTGGTTCTTCCACTCATATGGGCTTCCAAATCTAAGTCAGCCGGCCAGTCCTCTCTCCTTCCTTATTGGGTGCCTTGGTCCTCACCAACTTATATTAACCTGGCTTTTCTCTGAGAACCTAGTATCTTCTCTGAAAGCTCACTAATACCTAAATTCTAGATACAAATACCATTCAATACTCGCTAAGTCCTACCAAAAATACTTATTTCAACCTCCCACAAAATGTTTTAAGACCTTCACAACAATAAAATAGTATATTAAGAGCATGTTTGATTTGTAGAGGATCATATTGCATTTTTTTAAAGTAATGACCAAGCATTGTTTTCTTCCCTTAGTCGTCTCTGCCTTGAACCTTGGAAACAAGTGCTTTCAACATAAGCGATGTGAAGGCATTAAAACATGTTGAATGGCTGTGTGCACAGGATATCCTACACCTGCCTGACATCTGGAATGCAGGTGAAGCAACCTGACCTGATGGAGCCACCCACACTTTAGAAGAATCTCAAATACAGCCAACCCTGATCTTCCTCAGCTGAAAATCATCCATCTACCAAACTCACAAATTAAACATAACGTAAATATTATTACGTTATGCCTTGTGTTGTGGTGTTAGGCATGCACAGATCTGGGTTTATCCCCTTGTGCTAGACAGTAAGTCACTTGGTTTGAGTCTGTCTGTTTCAGTGACCCTTTTCTCTAAAGCATTTAGTTAACATGATGGCTGACATCAGCGAGAACTCAGTAAATGTGGATTAAATGAGAAAATTCAAAAGAATGATTACTTACCTTTTTAAAGTTATCAATGAATTCTATACAAATAACAACTTAAAGGTCACTATGTTTCCAGGAAGTTTGGGTGGAGAGCAGAGGATTGGTTTTCTAGACAGAGAACTTGTTAGACTGAAACAAATCTTTCTGTGGAAAGTGTTGGGTTGCTGGCCTGAATCCTGGCTGCTATAGGGTCCCTGCCTCTTTCTTGGGCCCCTGACCTTAGAAGAATCTTCCTTCAGATAAGAAGAGGAGGCAGCTCCAAGTTTACGGCAAACCACCAGCCTCACACACCACTCCCAACCCACCCTTTTTCCAGACTTTAAAACATCCCAGAAAAGGATCATGGTTGCTCCAGCCTGGACCATGAGCTGCTGAGCAGTCGCTGAAAATCCCTTCAACAAAATGACATAGCTGATGTGAGTAAATAGTAATTCCTTGAAGGAAGAGAAATTCTATTTCCAGGGGAATGACTGCTTGACAGATAAAAAGAGACACAAGTATCCCCACATCTTGGAATTTGACCTCTAGCCGCCACAATTGACTATATTTGTCATCACCTTCTTCTTGTCCAGCTGAACTCCTAAACCTGCCACCCCACCCCTAGCTAAGCTAATAACATGAAACTGTGCCCCAAAAGATAGTGAATATTTACTGAAATGCAAAACCAAGAGTTATAAACTATAGCCACAGACAAGACTTCTTAAATGCAGGAAGTTTTGAATAAGTGGGCACAAGTTAATACAATCAAAGAAAAACAATATTTGATATTTTGGACATGAGCCCAATGTGCTGGCGTATATGTGTGTGTGAGTGGGCAGGTGGATGGGGGAAATCTCACTAATGATGGGTGTCATCAGGAAAGAAAATCCAAAAACAAAACTACCATTCATTTGTACAATTAACAATTAGAAAGTGACAAATGTTTAATAATACACTTGGAGTGATACATGGTTGTACCTGACCTCAGAAAACTCATGGCACAACTAAGAAGACAGAGACATAGACATAAACATGTCACATAGCTTGAGTTCTAGTTGGAGGATTAAAAGTATTATACAAGTACAGAGATCTAAGAGTTCTGCAGAAGAAAGATGATGTTTTATAAGAAAGTTCCTCGGAGTGGGTCATTTGAGCTGGGATTTGAAGGCTAAATAGGAGTATGTCAGGTGTGCTTCATATCAGCAACTAACAAAATCAAAGAGACAGAGAAACTGCTGTAGTTGTTAAAGTGACCCCATCTCTACAAAAACTACAAAAGTTATCCACGGGTGGTGACACACCCCTGTGGTCCCAGCTACTTAGGGGTGCTGAGGTGGGAGGATGACTTGAGCCCAGGAGGTTGAGTGTTCAGTGAGCTGTGATTGTACCACTGCACTCCAGCCTGAGTGACAGAGTGAGACCCTGTGTCAAAGAAAAAAAAAAAAAAAGAAGTGACAGAAAAGTATAAGTGATAAGTAGGACAAACCTACCACATATTGAAATAATAGAAGACAAGCACCTTTTGCTGGAAAAGCATCACTGCGGGAAGAATTCCTTCCATATAATTACCAAGAAGTCACTATTCCATCAAATGCAACCGAGAGCCACCGAAGTACCAAGAAATAAGCAAATCGGCCTCTAAAAGACCACCACAGCCCACCCCACACAATCACATAAAAATCCAGTTACTAATGCTTCCACTTTCCTCTCCAGTGAGACTGCTAGATATGCTTATATCTGACTTTAAATATAATCCTAATAAATATGCTCACCTGATCTTCCTGTCCACAGCAAATGGCAAATAACAAATCTGGAAATGTAAGCAGAGTAGCAGCATTATGAAATAACAGCTAATATTCCTGCCCTGACCCCAAAGAAAGCAGAACCAATAGTTTTAAACCTCAGCAGGAAGCATTCATTTAAGAAGAAACAGCTCTATACACAGCTGAGTAGCCACTGGAGGTGTTATTTTGCTTTGTATCCTGATATTCATCAAGCATGTGAGTCTCCAAGAAAAGTTTAGACCTTGTTGATTAAACAGTAAAGGATGATGAGAGGCTTATTCAGAAGATTCCCTTTCAGTATGGTTAATTGCAGATTTTTACCATGTAAAATAACCAGATTAAAAAGTCTTCTCATACCATACTCCCCTCCTTCCACCTCCAAGCTTTGGTGGGTGCACCTGTTAGGCCTTGCAGTGCCCCTGTGAGCATGCACCCTCACCACCCTCCTCCAGCTGACCGTAAGTCACTTGAGGGCAAGTCATTTATATTCATGTAACATTTATAGTTTGTCCCCAGTGCTTAGTTCAAATGCCTTGGCACATAATGGGTATTCAAAAAGGGTTTATATAATGGACAAAGGAAAATGAAGTGATTGTAACACTTTTAAAGAAGATTTATATTAAAAATGAATGAGCTTCCCACTACACGAACACTTCTTTTGCACTCACCAATGAAAACTAAAATTGATTGATCATTTACTAGGTCAGGCACTGTTCCAAGCGTTTCACACATGTGAATTTAATCCTCACCACAGTGCTGTGAAGCAGGCACTATTATGTTCCCTATACCAAGGAGGACAGTGAGGCCCAGACAATGTGCTGTGCCCAGGCAGGCAGCCGGTAAATGACAGAGGCTGCCTGCACACTCTGGCAGGCTGGCTCCCAAGCCCATGCCCTATCCACTCTGTCATATACCTCCAGTGTTATATTATTCATAGAAGACCAAAAAAAGAAACCTATGCGACTCACTGCTGCTAAAAGGGGTTGAGAACGTCAGTGTAGCTTCCCCGGTTTACAAAAAAATCTTAGTGGTTGCACAACGTTGTGAATGTATGTAATGCCACTAAGTTGTACACTTAAAATAGTTACAATGGTCATTTTCATGTTATGTATATTTTACCACAATAAAACATTTCTTTTTAAATCCTGCAGTGTATTTCTGTAATGCTATATCCAGGCCCTCCCTGCGTGAGTGACTGGCGTATGAGGAGCACCTAGAGTCTAGGTTCCTAGGCACCTCCTGAAGCTTCTTTGTATTTGCCTTCCATGAGAACTACGTTTCCAGCACTAGAGCCATTTTTTAGGTTGAAAGTGTTACAGTGGGGCTCACCCTCCCTCATTTTCCACCTGAGTCCCAATATGATCGCCTGGATTCTGGAGTGTGGGTGAAGCCAATGACCACTCCCATATGCAGAATTTACCAAATCGCACACCTAGACTTGATGCTGCAACCCTGGAATTCACTCCCCCATCATTAGAAAGGCAGGATTGAAGGAAAGGTTTCTTTATACAGAGATGTTGGCACTAGAAACGAAGCCATCGAGAGGCAGGGGTTTGTATTCCCAGCACCTGCAACCAGGATCGTCTAGACACAGCAGATTCTGAATAAATGTGTGTGGAGGGAATCATGGATATGCATCTGCTCTTCTCCCTGCTTTGGAGGAAAGCTGCTTTTCTCGCCCCAAACCTTACCAGTGGAGCTTTGTGGGGACCCCCTCCATTCAGGGAGCCTCTTGGCAATTTGGACACACAAAGGGCTAGCTGGTGACTGACTGACACTTGACAGATGTGAGGTAGATGGTGAACTGGGTCTACTCCTGCCCGGGAAATCCTGAGGGCCACAGGCATTGGTGCTAGAGGCGAGAGCCTGCTGCCGTCTTGTATCTGCCTCCCCTTTCGGTTTGCACATCAAAGGATCCTGACTATTGATCATCACTCAAACATGAGCCATGCAGGAGAGTGAGTCAGTAGGGTGTCCTCTTGGCTGCCGCCCAGCTGGGTCCTTTGTTAGAGCAAGTAAACTCCAACAGTAAGAATGTAGACATGGAGGGGACGTGGTAGCTCACGCCTGTAATCCCAGCACTTTGGGAGGCTGAGGCGGGTGGATCACTTGAGGACAGGCGTTCAAGACCAGCCTGGCCAACATGGTGAAACCCTGTCTCTACTAAAAAAAAAACAAAAATTAGCTGGCGTCATGGCGCACGCCTGTAGTCCCAGCTCCTCAGGAGGCTGAGGCAGGAGAATCGCTTGAACCCAGGAGCTGGAGGTTGCAGTGAGCTGAGATCATACCACTGCACTCCAGCCTGGGCGACAGAGCGAGACTCTGTCTCACAAAAAAAAAAAAAAATGTGGACATGGACTGCCCAGTGGCCACAAGCTAAGAAGAGAATCATTAGGAACTGTCCAACCTAAAATTCAAGGGAGCAATCAGCCAAGCAGAGAACCTCCAGAGAACTCAAAAAAGTAGGAAGGAGTCAGCTTAGATGAGTCACACTAGGGTACCCCCAGCTCTAAGCACACATCAGGCCTAGAAGGACAAACTCATAAAACAAGTGAGAGCTGCTGTCTATCCTCACCTCTTCTCTCTTCTCTCCCACTTTGAGTCAGGGCACTGTCTGGGTCATGAGAGAGCTGGGTCTTGGGTGAAGAGGGGAGCAGGGAGAGAGCTGAATGCAGCGGACCCCACCTCCCCTTCCACATGCAAACTTCCTTCTGGCAGTGTACCCACTCAAGAGGGTAGAGGACAGCTTGGGTAAATGGGTTTGAATTTTGTATATACTCATTTGAATTTGAATTCTATATACTATATATTCATTTAAATTCTATATACTCATTCGAATTTTCCTGAACTAAGACAGTGCAAATAAAAATAACTGTAGGGCAATTACCTGAAAACAAGCAGAGAAACTGTGAGGCCTGTCCACGTCTTCATCCAGGGTGTAAACCACTCACCAACCCTGCCCTAGTGTTCAGGGGAAGTGAAACATGAATGTGTTCATCACAATCCATACCTAGAACTCTGCAGGCATTTTTTTGCCTTACGTGCCAGCTACATTTACAAAAAAAATAATAATAATTTTCTAGAAGATAGACAAGTTGATATGGGGTCTTGTAGGGGAAAATAGGGTTTCTTTCTCACCCATGACTAAGTTTATGGCCAAGACCCCTATAACAAAAGACAGGCTAACAAGAGAAAAACACACAAATGTATTTAATATAAGCTTTACATGGCATGGGAACCTTTAGAATAAAGGCCTAAAGAAACATGGGAAACTGTGTTTTATGCTTAGGTTGGATGAAGAGGTGGATAGTTGTGGAGAAGTATGATTGGACAAAGTGCGTAGATCTAATGTTAATAGACTCAGGGAATTTAGCAAGGCCTGTTTCTTTAGATACTCCTCTGCCTTCCTGTGTCTTCAGAGATAAGGCTACTCCTGTGAATAGTGCCACAAGAAACAAAAGACTTGGAACCAACCCAAATATCCATCAGTGATAGACTGGATTAAGAAAATGTGGCACATATACACCATGGAATACTATGCAGCCATAAAAAAGGATGAGTTCGTGTCCTTTGTAGGGACATGGATGAAGCTGGAAACCATCATTCTGAGCAAACTATCACAAGGACAAAAAACCAAACACCGCATGTTCTCACTCATAGGTGGGAATTGAACAATGAGAACACTTGGACACGGGAAGGGGAACATCACACACCAGGGCCTCTCGTGGGGTGGGGGGAGGGGGGAGGGATAGCATTAGGAGATATACCTAATGCAAATGACGAGTTAATGGGTGAAGCACACCAACATGGCACATGTATACATGTGTAACAAACCTGCACGTTGTGCACATGTACCCTAGAACTTAAAGTATTATATATATATAAAAGAGAGATAAGGCTGCTCCTTTCATCTGGGTGTAGGGAGAGCACTTCTCACATGAGAGTCTTATGACCTTCTTTAGAGGAAACTGAAGAATTATTTTATGGGCTGCTTCTGGGGAGAAGGTTGGGAGAAGGACAGAGACCTTCCTGCTTCTGCTGTTTTCTGAAATGCCAAGGTGCCATAGTTTGGGGTAGGGTATCCTGAACCCCATCAGTCTGTATTACCACCTGCACATGCTCACCCAGAAGGGAAGCCAGGGTTTGAGCACTGAGACACAGGACCCTGTAATTGGATGCCAGTACCCAAGGGGCGATGACAATAGTGTACTAAAACCTCTAAACCAGAATACGTTAAATTTTAAAAGACTTGCAGGAGTGGATGAAACAACAAAAAAAGAATAAGCAGAGATGGTTTGTGGCCTCCAAAGTGTAAAATATTTACTATCTGGCTTTTTACAGAAAAGGTTTGCTGGCCCCTGTTTTAAACAGCCCTGCAAGATGTATATTAGTGTCCCTAGGTTACAAAGGAGGAATCTGAGACTCAGGGAGATTAACATGCCTCACAAAGGAAAATATTCCATTTCTGAGCCAACCTAGCAAAAGGAGGTATAATTAAGACCCAAGAGAGCTAAGCGGTAGGAGAAGGACCAGAACCAAAGGGGAAGGAGAGTCAAGAAGGCTTCAGAGGTCAGCTTGGCTTTCATCCACATTTTCCCTTTCTACCCCTGAATAACAGGGAAAGCTAGGATGGAAAGAGGTGGCAGTGGGGAGAAGGGGTTCCATACCTGACCTTTTGAGATTGATAGCATGAAATATCATAGCTCTACCCTTTCAACATTGTCTTTGGATGGCCCTGGCAGACAGAAATAACAGGAGAGGTGAGCCATTGACTTGAGAAACTAATATTTCCTAGGCTTTTACCTGTGTACTGTCTGAAAACAATACCCTACTGTAAAAGGCCTGTTCAGCTTCATGTTTTAGGCAATAATTTTTTATAAGTAATGATGGAAAACGATAATATAACCTAAAGCTCATCCAAACTCTGTGCTTCCTATATGGTAGTGGCTTTGCTCACTTTTACCCCATCACTCCCAGCGGACATTTCACCATGTCTGGAGACATTTTTGGTTGTCACAATTAGTGGGACGGTTCTTCTGACATCAAGATGGGTAGAGGCCAGGGATGCTGTTAAACATCCTGAAATGCACAGAAAGCCCAAGGTAGAGAAACTCCACCCTGAATAACAGCAAAACTCTTACCAAGATATGAGTACAGGAGAAATAGTTAAAATTTTTTTAAAATACCATGAAAGGGGTAAACTACACAAAGAAGATTATTCTGAAAAAGAAAAGTTTCAGAAGAAGTGAAAAAAATGTAGCAATGAGAATTTGAATATTTTTTAACTTGATAGAAGTAGAAACAATTAAGAAGTAAGGACAGTGCCCAAAACTAATTGGACAGGCTATGCATAATACAAGAACATAATATTAAAAGCTAACTAATATGAAATAGGCTAAAAGTAATGCATATGCAAGAGATAAGCCATCACAAACTGGTGACAGTCACTTTCTTTGAGCTTATTTTTCATTTTCTTTAATGCTCTATGAACAGACTTCCCACTGATTTTAAAGGATATTTTGGTTTTGAAACTAGCTTTATGAAAGCTAAAAATTAGACTTTAAACATTATGAACCCCTAGTCATTTAGATTTAGTAACTCCTAGGATATAGGGACAGGCATATATAATTTATGCTGAAATCCATGTATTAAAAAAATGAAACTTTTCATGATAGCGATGGGAATGATGCCTGCATTTTTAGGAGAGGTGACGGTGAAAAGAACAAATTTGAATTATATAGGAAAATGTGATCCTAATCAAGGAAGTTTAAAACCAAAAATACATGCAGAAGAAATTCCCAATAGTCAAAGAGGTCATGGATAGTAACTCTTGACAAAGATTCTTTGCTTGACCAAACTTTAATCAGGCTGCTGAAACTTCTCCTATGCCCATCTGTGCACTTCCTTGTAAAATCCATTTTTAACAACAACAACAAAAAAACCCTGCTAAGTCAGTTCAGTGAGAACCTGCTTTGGATATCTGATCACTTCCATGTCTGATCAGGTTCCTCATCTTCCACCCCCTCCCAAGGCCAAGCAGTAGTAAACTGCCGAGAAGTTATAACTGCATTAACAAATAGAAACAGTCAAATTTAAAAACAAGCTGCAATTACTCTTTTGAAACACCAAAATGAATAAATAAATAAAAAAGAGTCCTCCTTTTCAGACGGTTCCCTTTTTAATTCCATTATAGCATTTATAGTGTCATTACTGTTGTTCCTCAGGACTCGGACTGTCTTTGCTCATCACCCCTTTGTTTATGACATAACAAATTCTATGCCCTTAACTTCCACATTTGTTTCATTACACCTCACCACTTCATCTCCTCTTGCACTATTGGAATCTGTGCTTTTTAATGTGCTACAATTGGCTTCACCCTGACCTTTGAATTTCTCAGCATCTGGTAGCTGTACTTGCTGAGATGTATCTTTGCTCTTGGCTTCCCCAAAATGTAGAGGTATCTGAAGCTGGGCTCTTGTAGACATCTGGCCTTGGGATGACAAAGAGGGTATTTTTAGGTTTCCTAATGGTGATTGTAGTAACCTCTATAACGGCTCAATGACCTAATTTGGACATGGTCTACCACTCCATCTTGTTTCACTTTCTCAGCTGATTCTTCGTCTGCTTTCATTGCTGCTGCTGGCGGGGCTCACTGTGTGGAGTCCTGTGCCCTCCGCTCTGCTACTGATTCAGCGATGTCAGATTCTGTTTCCCACCTTGTCTTGGCCTGGGCTGTAGCAACTCCTGCTCTGTGGCAGGGGCAGTTTCTATGGCTTCACAGGGCATTTTGTGAGAGGGACTGTAGAATCAAGATGTCTTCAAAATACCTTGGGTATCATCCTCTTTTTTGGTTTTGGTTTTTGTTTTTTGAGAAAGGGTCACATTCTGCAGGCTGGAGTGCAGTGATGTTATCATAATTCGATGCAGCCTCAAACTTCTGGCCTCAAGTGATCCTCCTGCCTTGGCCTCCCAAAGTGCTGGGATTACAGACATGAGTCACTGCATCAGGCTGAATACTATCTTTTTTAAAGCTGCAAAGTTGTCCATATTATGAATATATCTTAATTTAGGTACATCCAAAATAATTTAGGTTCTGCCCATTGTTTCTTACAGGATGTTTCTACTTATATATCTGAGTGTGACTATTTTCATACAAAAGGTTTCTAGAAGTGGAAATCTAAAGCAAAAGATGGGTGGTATGGTTTAAATTTTGATAGATGCTGGCCAATTGCATTGCAAACATTTTTATTAATTTGTCTTTCACCTAGAATTTTTTTTCCTCCACTTTCAACAGAACAGGATATAATCAATCGTTTGAATTTTTGAAAATCTAATGTGGGCAGGAAGGCATATAAATAGGGTCTTTTTGTTTTAATTTGCATAACCCTGATGACCAGTAAGGTTTTCTACTTTCTGTAGGGGAGATAAAGTTGTATATTCTCCTAACCATTTTAAGGCTCATGGCTGAAACCTGTGTAATAAAAGACAGATAAATAAGAGGAAAGCATAGCAAATTTATTTGATAAAAGTTTTATGTGACATGAGAGCTTTCAGAAATGAAGGCCCAAAGACCCAGGGGAAGTGTATTTTTCTGGAAAGTTGTGCAGAAGTATGATTGGAAGTCAAATGGAAATAAATGGGAAACTTAGCAAGGCCTATTTGTTCAGATTCTATTTGGCCTCTCCACTTCCCTCCAGTATGGGGCAGAAAACCCCCTCAAGAATCAGGGTCTTATGATTTATTTTCAGTGGAAGAAGGTCAGAGAATTCTTTTATGGCCAGCTTTCAGGGGAGAAAGGTGGGAGAAAGTCAGAGCGTGACTGTCTTAGTTTATTTGTGCTGTTATAACAAAATATCTAGGTAATTTACAAAGAACAGAAATGTATTTTCTTACAGTTCCGGAGGCTGGTAAGTCCCAGGTTAAGACTCCAGCAAGTTCAGTGTCTGGTGAAGGCCTATAACTCACAGATGGCCCTGTCTAGGTGCCCTCACGTGGCGGAAGAAATGGAAGGGGAATACATGATGGAAGAGAGGAAGAGAGTGACCTCATTTCTTCAAGCTCTTTTATAAGAACCCTAATTCCATCCAAGACTTAATCACCTCCTAAAGGCCCCACCTCTTAATACTATCCCAGTGGCCATTAAATATCAACATGTGAATTTGGGAGGACACATTCAGACCATAGCAGTTACCTTCCTGCCTCTGCTGTTTTCTTAATTTCCAAGGTGCCATATTTGAAGCAGCACTTCCTGCACCCCATCATTTCCATCTGTTTGTTACTTATTTTTTCCCTTTTCTGTGAATAGCCTATTTACATTTTTTCAGGGCGCTTTGTCTAGGTTGGATACTAATCTTTAATGCTATTTATATAGCAAGTATTTTTTTGCTGTCTCTCTTTGTGAAATAATTTCAGTTATTTCAGTTTTTATCTCATCTTGATTTAATACTGATTATTTGTATTTTATTAGAAAGTTGGCTTTCTGTTTGCTTTTCTTTTTTTGAAACAGGGTCTCACTCTGTTGCTCAGGCTAGATTGCAGTGGCATGATCAAGGTTCACTGAAGCCTTTACCTCCCAGGCTCAATTGATCCTCCTACCTCAGCCTCCCAAGTAGCTGGGACTCTACAGGCAAGCACCACCATGCTTGTGATGTTGTCACACACACACAAAGTAACTATGTGAGATGATAGATATGGTCATTTGCTTTACTAAAGGAACCCTTTTACTATCTATATGTATCACATGACATCATGTTGTAAAGCTCAAATACACACAATAAAATTTATTTTTTAAAAAGTTGCACATCTTGTTTTTAAAATATTTATACTAGGGGGCCAAGAGGGCTGATTAGAAGCAGTTGAGGTGTGTGGCACTCATGAGAGGGATAAAAGAGGTGAGTGAATACAGCATCTTCAACTGAAATATCCAAGTACTCTCATTGGGACTGATCAGGAAAACAACTCCACCCATGAAGAATGAAGAAAAGCAGGGTGGGGCAACGGCCCCCCCAAAAGCAACATGGAGCCAAGGGAACCCCCACCCCCAGCCAAGGGAAGTGGTGAGTGAATGTGCGACCCTGGGAAACCATGCCTCTCCCACAGATCTTTGCAATGGTCAGACCAGGAGATCCCCCCATGAGCCCATGCCACCAGGGCCTTGGGTCCAACACATAGAGCTGTGTGGAGTCTCAGCAGAGCAGCTGCTCAGGCATACACAGAGACTCAGGAGCTTTACATACTTCAACCCTGGGAGCCCCAACAAAGGTGACTGCAAGTCAGGCAAGGTAGGAGGTACATTCATACCCTTAGGAAGGGGGCTAAATCCAGGGGGCCAAGCAACATCAGTCTGTGGATCAGCAGCATCAGTCTGTGGGCCCCACTTCCATAGCACCTCATAAGATAAGACCTATTGGCTTAGAATCCTAGCCAGCCACTGGCAACAGGGTGGAGCCTTCCTGAGATGGGACACAGCCCCTGGGCAGAGGGGTGGGCCAAGATCTTTGTTGTTTGGACAACTTAGCCATTCCAACCTGCAGGCTTTAGAAAGTCCAAACGGTCCAGATGAGGAAGGGTCCCGCCAGCACAGCACAGTGATTTTTCCAGAACCTGGCCAGACTGCTTTCTTTAAGTGGGATCCCTATCCATTCTTCCTCACTGGGTGAGATCTCCCAGCAGGGGCCTCTAGCCACCCCCACCTGCCCACATACTTCGGACAGAGCTCTGATTGTTGCCTGGGATGGAGTGCGGGCAGTGGTGGGGGAGGGTCGGGCTACCATCTTTGTTGTTTGGACGAATCAGTTGTTCCAGCTCATGGGGTTTGGAGAGCCCAAGCAGACTGGGGAAAAGGTGGTTTCCCAGCTTGGCATCCAAATCTCATGCCCTCACATTTCAAAACCAATCATGTCTTCCCAACAGTCCCCCAAGTTTTAACTCATTTCAGCATTAACTCAAAAGTCCACAGTTCAAAGTTTCATCCAAGACAAGGCAAGTTCCTTCCACCTATGAGCCTGTAAAATCAAAAGCAAGCTAGTTACTTCCTAGATACAACGGGGATACAGGCATTGGGCAAATACAGCCATTCCAAATTGGAGAAATTGGCCAAAGCAAAGGGGCTGCAGGCCCCATGCAAGTCCAAAATCCAGCAGGGCAGTCAAATCTTAAAGCTCCAAAATGATCTCCTTTGACTCCATGTCTCACATCCAGGTTACGCTGATGCAAGAGGTGGGATCCCATGGCCTTGGGTGGCTCTACCTCTGTGGATTTGCAGGGTATAGTCCCCCTCCTGGCTGCTTTCATGGCCTGGCGTTGAGTGTCTGTGGCTTTTCCAGGCACATGGTGCAAGATGTCAGTGGATCTACCATTCTGGGGTCTGGAAGACGGTGGCCATCTTCTTACAGCTTCACTAGGCTGTGCCCCAGTAGGGACTCTGTGTGGGGGCTCCAGCCCCACATGTCCCTTCCACACTGCCCTAGCAGAGGTTCACTTTGAGGGCCCCAGCCCTGTCGCAAACTTCTTTCTGGGTATCCAGGCATTTCCATACATCTTCTGAAATCTAGGCGGAGATCTCCAAACATCAATTCTTAACTTCTGTGCACCCACAGGCTCAACACCATGTGGAAGCTGCCAAAGCTTGGGGCTTCCACCCTCTGAAGCAACAGCCTGAGCTGTACCTTGGCTCCTTTTAGCCATGGCTGGGGTGGCTGGGACGCAGGGCACCAAGTCCCTAGGCTACACACAGCATGAGGACCCTGGGCCTGGCCTATGAAGCCATTTTTTCCTCCTAGGCTTCCAGACCTGTGATGGAAGTGGCTTCCGTGAAGGTAACTGACATGCCCTGAAGACGTTTTCCCCATTGTCTTGGGGATTAACATTCGGCTCCCTGTTATTTATGCAAATTTCTGCAGCCAGCTTGAATTTCTCTTCAGAAAATTGGATTTTCTTTTCTATCACATTGTCAGGCTGCAAATTTTGTGAATTTTTATGCTCTGCTTCTCTTATAAAATGGAATGCCTTTAACAGCACCCAAGTCACTTCTTGAATGCTTTGCTGCTTAGAAATTTCTTCTGCAAGATACCCTAAACCATCTCTTTCAAGTTCAAAGTTCCACAAGTCTCTATGGAAGGGGCAAAATGCAGCCAGTCTCTTTGCTAAAACATAACAAGAGTCACCTTTGCTCCAGTTCCCAGCAAGTTCCTCATCTCCATCTGAGACCACCTTAGCCTGAATTTCATTGTCCATATCATTATCAGCATTTTGGTCAAAGCCATTCAACAAGTCTATAGGGTGTTCCAAACTTTTTACATTTTCCTGTCTTCTTTTGAGCCCTCCAAACTGCTCCAACCTCTGCCTGTTCTCAGTTCCAAAGTCACTTCCACATTTGCAGGTATCTTTTCAGCAACACCCCATTCTACTGGCACCAATTTACTGTACTAGTCTGTTTTCATGCTGCTGATAAAGACATATCAGAGACTGGGAAGAAGATAGGTTTAATGTGAGGCTAGGGAGGCCTCACAATCATGGTGGAAGGCAAGGAGGAGCAAGTCACATTTTACATGGATGGTGGCAGGAAAAGAGAGAGCTTTTGCAGGGAAACTCCCATTTGAAACGATCAGATCTCTTGAGGCTTATTCACTATCATGAGAACAGCACAGGAAAGATCCAGCCCCATAATTCAATTGCCTCCCATGTGGTCCCTCCCACAACACATGGGAATTCAAGATGAGGTTTTGGTGGGGACACAGCCCAATCATATCAAGCCGACAGCCAAAATAGCCAGTATAGAGAGGAACATAGCTGCCCTAATAGGCCTGAAAAACACACTGCAAGAATTTCACAATGCAATCACAAGTACTAATAGAATAGATGAAGCAGAGGAAAGAATCACAGAGCTTGAAGACTGTCTTTCTGATAAGACAGGCAGACAAGAATAGAGGAAAAAGAATGAAAAGGAATAATAAACCCTCCTAGAAATATGGGATTTTGTAAAGAGACCAAACCTACAACTGATTGGGGTACCTGAAAGAAACGGGAAGAATGGAACCAATTTGGAAAACCTATTTCAGGATATCCTCCAGGAGATTTTTTTCAACCTAGCTAGACAGGCCAACATTCAAATTCAGGAAATGCAGAGAACCCCAGGAAGATACTGCATGAGAAGATTACCCCAAGACACATAATAATTAGATTATTCAAGGTTGAAATGAAAGAAAAAATGTTAAGGACAGGCAGAGGGAAAGGCCAGGTCACCAACAAAGGAAAGGCCATCAGACTAACAGCAGACATCTCAGTGGAAATTCTGCAAGCCAGAAGAGATTGGGGGCCAATATTAAACATTCTTAAGTAAAAGAAATTCTAACCCAGAATTTCACATCTGGTCATACAAAGCCTCAAAAGAAAAGGAGAAATAAGATCCTTTTCAGACAAGCAAGTGCTGAGGGAACTTGTTACCATTAGACCTGCCTTACAAGAACTCCTGAAGGAAGCACTTCAGGAAATGGAAGTGAATATGGAAAGGAAAAACTGATACTAGCCACTGCAAAAACACACTGAGGTACACAGACCAGTGATACTACGAAGCAACCACATAACTCTGCAAAATAACCAGCTTGCATCATGATGACAGGATCAAATCCACACATAACAATGCTAACTTTAAAAGTAAATAGGCTAAATGCCCCAATTAAAAGACACAGAGTGGCAAGCTGGATAAAGAACCAAGACCCTTCAGTATGTTGTCTTCAAGAGCCCCATCTCACATGCAAAGACACACATGAGCTCAAATAAAGGGATGGAGGAAAATTTACCAAGCAAATGAAAAACAGAAAAAAGCAAGGGTCATAAATCTAGTTTCTGAGAAAACAGAGTTTAACAAAGATGAAAAAAGACAAACAAGGGCATTATGTAATGGTAAAGGGTTCAATTCAACAAGGAGAGCTAACTATCCTAAATATATATGCACCTAACACAGGAGCACCCAGATTCATACAGCAAGTTCTTAGGGACCTTCAAAGAGACCTATACTCCCACACAGTAATAGTGGGAAACTTTAACACTCCATTGAAAATATTAGACAGATCACTGAGACAGAAAATTAACAAAAACATTTAGGACTTGAACTCAGCTCTGGTTCAAGTGGACCTGATAGATATCTACAGAACTCTTCACCCAAAAACAACAGAATATACATTACTCTCATATACATTACTCTCATTGCCACATGGCACTTACTCGAAAACTGATCACATAGTCAGAAGTAAAACACTCCTCAGCAAATGCATAAGAACTGAAATAATAAAAAACAGTCTCTTGGACCAGAGCACACTCAAATTAGAACTTGAGATTAAGAAATTCACCCAAAACCATACAACTATATGAAAATTGAACAACCTGCTCCTGATAGACTTTTGGGTAAATAATGAAATTAAGGCAGAAATCAATAAGTTCTTTGAAACCAATGAGAAGAAACATACAATGTACCAGAGTCTCTGGGACACAGCTGAAGCAGTGATAAAAGGAAAATTTACGGCACTAAATGCCCATATCAAAAAGCTAGAAAGATCTAAAGTTAGCAACCTAAAATCACAAATATAAGAACTAGAGAACCAAGAGCAAACAAAACCCAAATCTAGCAGAAGTCAACAAATAACTTATATCAGAGCTGAACTGAAGGAGACAGAGACATGAAAAACCCTTCAAAAAATCAACAAATTCAGGAGTTGGATTTTTGAAAAAATTAATAAAATAGAACACTAGCTAGACTAATAAAGAGGAAAAGAGAGATTTAAATAAACACAATCGGAAATGATAAGGGGGATATTACCATTGGCCCCACAGAAATACAAACAACCATCAGAGAATATTATAAACACCTCTATGCATAAAAACTAGAAGATCTAAAATAAATGGATAAATTCCTGGACACATACACCCTCCCAAGGCTGAACCAGGAAGAAACTGAATCCCTGACTAGACCAATAATGAGTTCTTAAATTGAGGCAATAATAAATAGCCTACCAACCAAAAAAAGCCCAGGACCAGATGCATTCACAGCTGAATTCTACCAAAGGTACAAAGAGGAGCTGGTACCATTCCTACTGAAACTATTCCAAAAAATTGAAGAGGAGGGACTTCTCCCTAACTCATTCTATGAGGCTAGCATCATCATGATACAAAAACCTGACAGAGATACAAAAAAAAAAAAAAAGAAAAACTTCAGACCAATATTTTGGTGAACATCTATGCAAAAGTCCTTAACAAAATACTGGCAAACTGAATCCACCAGCACAACAAAAAGCTTATCCATCATGATCAAGTAGGCTTCATCCTTGAGATTTAAGTTTGGTTCAACATATGCAAATCAATAAATGTGGTTCATCATATAAAAATAGCTAAAGACAAAAACCACATGATTATCTCAATAGATGCAGAAAGGCCTTCAATAATATTCAACATCCCTTCATGTTAAAAACTCTCAATAAGCGAGGTTTGAAGGAACATACCTCAAAATGATAAGAGCCATATATGACAAACCCACAGCCAATATCATACTGAATAGGCAAAAGCTGGAAGCATTCCCCTTGAAAACCAGCACAAGACAAGGTTGCCCTTTCTCACCACTCCTATTCAGCCTAGTATTGGAAGTTCCGGCCAGGGCAATCAGGCAAGAGAAAAAAGTAAAATGTATTCCAATATGAAGAGAAGAAGTCAAACTATCTCTGTTTGCAGATGATATGATCTTATATCTAGAAAACTCCATCATCTTAGCCCAAAAGCTTCTTAAGCTGATAAGCGACTTTGGCAAAGTCTCAGGATACAAAATCAATGTGCAAAAATTGCTAGCATTCCTATACATGAACAACAGGCCAGTGGAGAGCTAAATCACAAATAAACTCCCATTCATAATTGCCACAAAAAGGCATAAAATACCTAGGAATACAGCTAACAAGGGAAGTGAAGGAGCTCTTCAGGAAGAACTACAAATCACTGCTCAAAGAAGTCAGAGATGACACAAAGAAATAGGAAAACATTCCATGCTCATGAATAGGAAGAATCAATATTGTGAAAATGGCCAGCCTGCCCAAAGCAATTTATAGATTCAAGGCTATTCCCATTAAACTACCATTGACATTCTTCACAGAATTAGAAAATACTAATTTAAAATTAATATGAACCAAAAAAGAGACTGAATAGCCAAGGCAATCCTAAGCAAAAATAACAAAGCTGGAGGCATCACACTACCTGACTTCAAACTATACAACAGGGCTACAATAACCAAAAGAGCAAGGTACTGGTAGAAGAACAGACACATAGACCAATGGAACAGAATATAGGACTCAAAAATAAGACCGCACACCTACAACCATCTGATCTTAGACAAATTTGACAAAACAAGCAATGGGGAAAATATTCCTTATGTAATAAGTGGAGCTGGAAGAACAGGCTAGCCTTATTCAGAAAATTGAAACTGGACCCCTCCTTACACCATATACAAAAATCAATTCAAGATGGATTAAAGTCTTAAATGTGAAACCCAAAACTGTAAAAACCCTAGTAGAAAACCTAGGCAATATCATTCAGGACATAGACAAGGACAAAGATTTTATGATGAAGATGCAAAAAGTAATTGCAACAGAAGCAAAAATTGACAAATGGGATTTAATAAAACTAAAGAGCTTCTGCACAGCAAAAGAAACTATCAACAGAGTAAACAGACAACCTACAGAATGGGAGAAAATTTTTGAAATCTATGCATCTGACGAAGGTCTAGTATCCAACATCTATAAGGAAGTTAAACAAATTTACAAGAAAAAAAAAATAACCCGGATAAAAAGTGGGCAAAGGACATGAACAAACACTTCTCAAAAGAAGACATACATATGGCCAATAAACATGAAAAAAAGCTCTACAACACTGAACGTTAGAGAAATGCAAATCAAAACCACAATGAGATACCATCTCACACCAGGCAGAATGACTGTTATTAAAAAGTCAAAAAGCAACAGATGCTTGCAAGGTTGTGGAGAAAAAGGAACGCTTCTACTTTGTTGGTGGAAGTGTAAATTTGTTCAACCATTGTGGATGACAGTATGGCAATTCCTCAAAGATCTAGAGGCAGAAATGCCATTCAACCCAGCAATCCCATTACTGGGCATATATCCAAAGGAATATAAATCGTTCTAGTATAAAGACATGTACATGCATATGTTCTGTGCAGCACTATTTACAATAGCAAAGACACACAATCAACCTAAACGCCCATCAATTGTAGACTGGATAAAGAAAATGTGGTATATATACAACATGGAATACTATGTATAGCCTTAAAAGGGAATGAGATCGTGTCCTTTGCAGGGACATAGATGGATCTGGAGGCCATCCATGGATAACTTAGCAAACTAACACAGGAACAGAAAGCCAAATACTGCATGTTCTCACTTATAAGTGGAAGCTAAATGATAAGAACACGTGGATACCATGGGGGAAACAGCATACACTGGGTCCTGTCTGAGGGTGAGGGGTTGGAGGAGGGAGAGGATAAGAAATAGCTAATGGATGTCGGGCTTAATACCTGGGTGATGGGATGAGCTGTGCAGCAAACTACCATGGCACGTGTTTACCTATGTAACAAACCTGCACTTACTGCACATGTACCACTGAACTTAAAATAAAAGTCGGAAATTTAAAAAATCATGTAAAATACTTATAAAAATATTCTTCTCAAGCCTAGTGTGTTTTATTTGTGTTATCTTACTTGCCACTTTTCAAAGATTGAAGTTTTGATTTAATTGCCCTATTTTAATTTACATATATTTAGTTCTATTTTTTAAAAGTGTAAATCATCTCTGGAGTACTACTTTGGATGCACCTCAGTGAGTATTTTTATTGAATTCTAACTAGAATGTAATTTTATGTTTTTTTCTTTCACTCATACAGTATTTTTTAATGATTCAAAAATTTCCAAGGATGAAATGTTTAGGAAAATACCCTACATTTTGTTGCTTGTTTGTTCTTTAAAATGTAAATATACATGGAGAATGTAGCCAGCATAGTTCCTGTATTTCCAAATATGAAAGATTTTTTAGGCAGCCTGGTATTTTCTTAAACATTTCATCCTTGGAAATTTTTTAATCATTAAAAAATACTGTTTTGACATGCTGATATTTAAGTTCGCTATTAAAATCTCCCCATAAGTCTGTTGGATTTCTATTCATTTAGCTATAGATTGAATCTCGCTGAACAGACTAATTCTTATTATTAAGCTCATTTTATTGGTACTATTATATTTATATTTTAAATTTTATTTAACATACATATAAGTTATTAATTTAAAGCAATATGTGTTATACAATTGTATGTGGAATATATATGTTTATATGTACATTTTATTAATAGTAACAAGATGAAAATAACAATAATGTGATATAAATATATTATGTATAACATATAATTTGATATAAATTGTATTATTGTTATGATTAAGCTAATTCTATTTCCTGTAGGAATTTGGGTTGGGATGGCTTTTGTTTGTTTAGTTAATTTTTTCTTTCCATGTTGTTACTCTGATATAGTTTGGCTCTGTGTCCCCACCCAAATCTCATCTTGAATTGTAATCTAAATGTAATCCCCACATGTCAAGGGAGGGTCCTGGTGGGAGATGATTGGATCTTGGGGGCAGTTTCCCCCATGCTGTTCTTGTGATAGTGAGTGAGTTCTCATGAGATCTGATGGGTTAAAAGTGTGTGGCTTCCTCCACTATCTCTCTCTTCTGCCACCAGTAAGGACGTGCCTTGCTTCCCTTTTGCCTTCTGCCATGATTGTAAGTTTCCTGAGACCTCCCCCGTCATGTGGAACTGTGAGTCAATTAAACCTCTTTTCTTCATAAATTACCCAGTCTCAGGTAATTCTTTATAGCAGTGTGAGAACAGAATAATACGTACTCTGACTCAAATATTTGGTGTTCTTAGCTGTCTGTTCACCCTCTGAGATGAAGATTTGGATGGATAGCTTTGGCAACACTGCTTTGCAGCCCAGGGAAGAAGAGCTACCTGCACACAGATCACACAGGGCCAGGCTTTGGTAGCTGTACTGGATGGGTGTGGGAGAGGGAAGAGGGCAGAGCCTGGCATCGGGAGCTTGTGAGCCTTGCATCATGGGAACTTCAGGAGCCTTGCAGCTCCAGCCCAGGACCCACTCCCAGGGCCTCCTGGGTCAGAACTGGCACTTTTTACCAACAGACTGGAAATTAACTCTAGAGCCAGCTTTCTCTAAGGGTGAGGTTGGAGAGAAAACAGTTCTTCTTCAGCCATTTCCTCTTCAGTACCTGGCAGGCCCCATAGTCCATGCTTTCTCCCAGTGCCACTGGTTCCAGAATTTCTCCAGAAGAAATCATTGTTTTTGGAGCTGAGGTTACAATGTGGTGAGGTAGTAGGTTCTCAACTCTGTTAGCATTTGCTATCAATCCAACTGCTTTCTATGTTCCAGAATCTGCTGTTTTATTACACCACTGGCACCCCACTGACTTCCAATGTCTTATAGATTTACTTAGATAGTTCTTATTTTATTTAAATAGGACTTGAAAAAAGAAAGTGATGACCATGCCTTTCATTATTTAAGCTACTAGAATTTAAAAACTCTTAATATAGTGAGATTGCCTAGGTCCAAAATGAGGCTCCATCACTTTCTAAATGTATGATCTGGACAAATTAATGTGCCTCAGTTTCTTAATTTGTAAAATGTAGATAGTAGTACATAGTCCCTAGAATTGTCATACAGAGGGCTACATTAGGATACTCCATAAATGCCAGCTGTTATTGTATGTCGTGTATTGTTAAACCTTAATATTTTAAAAGTTGTCCTTTACTTGTGATACCATATGCGTATGTGTGTGGAGATACAGAAGTATGTGTGTGTGCATGTGTGTGCATATTTATTTTTGTGCTTTTCAATAATAAAAGCTAGCACTTACATCGTGCTCACCATCTGCCTTTTAAGCACCTCACCTATATTAATGCATCCTTCAGAAGAAGTCACAATGGAAATTAGAAAATATTTTGAACTGATAATGAAAACACAACATGATAAAACTTATGGGGCACTTTTTTCATTATGTTTCCTAATTAGCTATTGCTGGTGTCTTAAAAATGTTTTAGTTTCTGTTCATTTATTTTGAATTTAATTTTAATACTGAGAAAAGCCTCAGGCAGAGGGCTTATGAGCTATTTCTTTATTGGGAATTACCATCCCAGGGAGCAGGAATGAGGTGCAGGGGGAGTGAGGGAGGCAGAGGAGATGGGAGAGTGGAGAAGGCAGAGCCTCGCTCACCACGTGTGGGCGTGGGCTACGGGGATAGCTTCTGCCATTAGGTCTGCTCAGTGGATGGGACCCACTTTGAGGAGCTGTATGAACTGCACTTTTAAGGGTGGTTTACAGAGGGGGTGTACACGGCAAGGAGAGAAGGGAGGGAAAAGAAGGGGAATATTTTATCTACCAGCTTCCATTTTCTTCCTTTGCTCTGGGATATCATCCCCTCAATTCCCAGCCTTGCAGAAATCCAGCTCAGTAAGGTCATTTCTAGGAACTTAGCCCCTCAAGTCCAAGCTGCCTCAGAAGTTTCTGAATTTTCCAGTGTATGCAGCTTTTCTGGTTGTTCACGCTGAGGCATTGGTCAGTTATAAAGTACTCCATTGAGATCAAAAGTGAAAGCTCACCTCTAGGTTTTAATACGTGATTTTTTTCATTGCTTTTTTTTTTTTTTTTTTTTGCTAAATAATCAATACTTTTAGTTTAGCTTAAATCTTGACCTAAGAATCATTGAAGTATGTTGGCTTTTTTTTAAAAAAAATAGTTTTCTATTGCTGCATAGAAAATTCTCTAAAACTTACTGGAATAAAACAATATTATCACACTGTTTTTGTGAGTTAGGAATCTAGACACAGCTCAGCAGGGAACCTCTGGCTCAGGGTCTCCCAGGCTGCAATTAAAGGAGATAGTCGGGACTGTAGTCACCTCAAGGTTCGAATGGGAATGGATTTACTTCCAAGCTCACTCATGTGGTTGCTGATAGGATTCAGTTTTTCCTCAGAACCCTGGGCTGAGGGCCTCAGCTCCTCCCTGGGTATTGGCCTCAGGCTGCCTTCGGTTCCTTGCCACATGCTTCATCAGCACGACAACTCACCTCATACACCCAGCAAGCCAGAAAAGCCAGAGAGAGAGTGCAGCAGGAAGGAGCCGGTCTTCAGTGACCTCATCTCAGAAGTGGTGCCCCATCCCTTTTGCTGTATTCAGTCTGTTAGAAGTGAGTCCTTGGGTCTAGCCCATACTCAAGGCTTTTTCTGTGACAGAAGACTTCCCCTTTGAACCGGGAAGAGCTCTTGTTCCTCTACAGAAAGTGGAAATGACAGGTGCCACCCTTTCATTGCCCGCCTAGCAGCTGGGATACAGTCACTTAATCTACACTTGCCCACTTGACGATACCACTGCAGACCGAAACGAAAGCCACTGATGAAGGAAGCATGGTGCAGCCGCATCCAAGCCCCAGAGTGCAGTGGAGATGTTCCAGATTCTGCATTCATTGTTCCTGTGGTCCTAACTGAACGCCTCTGTCCAATTATCTGCCTGGTTCCTGCCAACCTAGACTCCACACATGATTCTGCTGGGACCTTCTTGGAGACATTGTGAGCTAACCAATGGTTTCAAGTAAATTCCTTTTCTGGTTAAATTAGCCAGAGTTGTTTTCTGCAGCTTGCAGCTAAGAAATTTGAATGCTGTAATGTTCTCATTAACGTGTTAACTCCATTTTTTCCCTAGTGTCTTTTTAAAGGTCAGCAGCTCTCCATCTCTGCACCCCATTCTCTGTTTTCATTTTCTTTTTCTCATCTTTATCATATTTCTGTGATTTTTGTGCATTTGAAGCCATTTGTGATAGTCTTTCACCTAATATTTTAGTTTTTTGCAGTATCAACTAGTCTTACAATGGCTACCTGACTTCTGTAACTTTATCTTCATATGGTTTTTAATCTTTCTTATTTCATCCAGTTATCTTTTTATTTCTTACTTACCCCTCAGATGTATGCCTATTCATGTAATCTTCACCACATCATCAATCTGTAATTTCATAGAATTCACTTACTCTTGAATTTTATTGAGCATGAAAGCAAACGTTTCTCCAAATTTTCTTGTTTTCCAATATAAATATTTTTAAATGTAGACTCTTATATCTTTAGTGCTATGTTCTTTCTCATATAAGATGCAGAATTGTTTCAAAGATCAACTGTTTTGAGGCTCAATTCTACTTGAGAATACTCACTGTCTATCTGATTGCTGCTAAAATCTTCTTCTGAGATGTAACCTAGAAAACGTGTTGGTATGTGTGGCCCCTAGCAAACATTTTTTTAAATGTGTATTAATTCTAAATTCTCAGGATAAATATAATATATGTATCCTTTATTGTTTTGACTCTCAGACAGGAAACTTAAAGGTAGAATTGGTTGTTTATAAAATAGGTGAACCATATTTTGAAAATTCTACAGTGACTTGAATAAAGTCAACTGACAAAGAGCAAACTGCCAAAACCAAACCAACCAAGCAAACAAATAAAAAACTGATAGTATTCATGTGGAGCTTAATGCCCTCAATTACATAAACATACAGTGCTTATGATAGGGTTCTGGACTCACTAGTATGGCATCTTGGCCTAGGGGATATTTTAAGAGGAACAAATTTAAGAAATGGCATGTACAAGGAAGGGCTCTCTGACCATCCCCTGAAGCACGTCATAAGACTTTCATTTGAGAAGAGGCCTCCCTAGGCCCACGGGAAAGTAACATCCTTATCTCTGAAGACGAGCCATGATGAGAGGAATCTGAATGATAAGGCCTTGCTAAGTTTCCCTGGGTTTACCACCCTCAGCTCAAAACGTTTTGTCTTGTCATATTTTTCAACGACTTTCCACTCTTCATCAAACCTAGTATGAAAACACCCAGGTTTAACCATTTCTTCAGATCTTTATTTCCTTATGAAGGCTCCTGTGTCACATAAAACTTACATTAAATAAATCGGTATGTTTTTCTCTTGTTAATCTGTCTTTTGTTAGTGTAATTCACAAGGCCTCAACCAATGCATCTAAGATAGATAGAAGGAAAACATTTTTTCCTCCTCTACACTTACGATAAATATTATTGATTTGTTATAAATTATCAATAAGGAAGAAATCAATAATATTACTGATGAGGGCAAAGGTCATGAATAGGTAGTTCACAGAAAAGTAAATATAAATATTTGTTATAGGCCAAACATGTTGGTCCACACCTGTGGTCTCAGCTACTATGGAGACTGAGGTGGGAGAATCAGTGAAGTCTCAAGTGAGCCATGATTTCACCACTGTACTCCAGCCTGGGCAACAGAGAAAGATCTTGCCTCTTAAAAAAATACCGATAGAGAGATAGATAGATAGACAGATATTATATATATAGACATATAACATATATTAATATTTTTAAAATATATCTACATCTATACATAGATATATATGATATATCTATTATGAAAAAATATTAACCTCAAAATAAGAGAACTGAAAACTGAAACTATAATAAAATACTAATCTTTACCTATCTTATTGGCAAAATTGCATAACACACTGGGAGGGCAAGAGTTTGGAGAAATGGGACATCACACATTGCTATTGGTGGTGCAGTTTTTACACAACCTCTATCAGGGTTGTCACTATCTATTAAAATGTAAAATGCATATAACATTTGCCTCAGCAATTCCACTTGAGGACTTTTATCCTATAGATATCCTTACATGCACCCTTAAAGACAATGTACCAGACTATTAATTCTAGCACTTTCTATAATAGCAAAAGATTAAAAACAGCCTAAATATCTATCTGTAGGGGAATGATAAAATAAATTAGTACCTCATACAACAGAATACTACACAACATTTAAGATGAGATAACGAGTTGTTCTCACGTAGAGTGATTGACAAGTCATATTAGAAAGAATGGGAAAAGAGGCCAGGCATGGCCGCTCACACATGTAATCCCAGCACTTTGTGAGGCCAAGGTGGGCAGATCACTTGAGGTCAGGTGTTCAAGACCAGCCTAGCCAAGATGGTGAAACCTCGTCTCTACTAAAAATAGAAAAATTAGCCAGGTGTAGGGTGGGCGCCTGTAATCCCAGCTACTCAGTAGGCTGAGGCAGACAACTGCTTATACCTGGGAGGCAGAAGTTTCAGCGAGCTGAGATCGCACCACTCTGGTGCAGCCTGCATGACAGGGCAAGACTCCGTCTCAGAAAAAAAACCTGTCCAGTCAAGAACATGTAGGCTCACACATACAGATGGAGATCCACAACCTACATCTGGTACCTTCTTTGGCTTCCTCACAAAATGTCAGGCCTTTGCTCTTTGTTCCAAAATAATTTCACCTGTATTGTTGTTGGCACATACGGAAATGATCTTCATTTTAATTATGTATTTTCTTTCACTCTTTTTTTTTTTTACCAGTTAAATGTAATTGCAATTTTTTTCATTCAAGTGCGAGTTTTATCTTCATTAAGACTGGACTGAGTTAATAATATGCAGTTAATCTATGGCAGTCTTTAAAATAATATGCCAATATCTTGAAATGATTGGAATTTTATGAGTGAGAGTGGCTGCCTTATTTGTAATATTGTATCTCAGAAAAAATTAAAAAGGCTTTAAATCATTTTTCTCTCTCATACAGTAAGAATCAATTACATTTTAAAAACAGATACACATACCGTGGATCTAATACAGTGGCCATGTTCACATATTTTGGAAATAGTTTCCCTCAGAATAGATGAAACAATATTGACCATGAATTTATAATTATTAAAGTGAGAAATCAATTTTCAGAGGCATTTATGAAATTAACCTCTCTACTTTTGTGTAGTTTAAGATTTTCCACTCCATTAAAAAATTTATTACATATCTTTGAGGTATACAACATGTTATTTTGATTACATTTACAGTCCGTTGGACAGTTGCGTGTAGGCCGGCTGGTCTCAGAGAACCCCATTCACTTGTCTGCCTCTTGGCTTGCGTTGTGGACTAGGACACCTCTGTTCTCCTCCCTGTGGCCTTTCTAGCAAGCTAGCTCAGGCTTACTTAGATGGCAGTCTCAGAATTTGAAGTGCAGCAAATGAAGACAAGCCCTGAGGCTTGAGGAATTTTAAGTCTGTGCTTGTGTCATAGTTGTTATTGCCCTATTAGCCAAGGCAAATCATTAGGCCAAGGCCAAAGTCACTGTGGCAGGTGACTGAGAAAACAGACACAAGGAGGGTATTTTTTGTAGCCACTTTTGCCAAAAATATGCCATGTGTCCTGTGCCAAGGATCTCAGATTCCAGCATTTGGGTTCAGGTCGGGAACTCTGACTACCGTGGAGCCTGCTGACATTTTGCTTCCACGTGTCTCAAAGTACATTTTTTTAAAAAAGGAAACGTTTGCTTGCTAATTGGAAAGTGGTTCGTTAAACAAATCTAAACATTGTTATTATCATTTTCTTTATTATTATTATTATTATTATTATTCAGGGGTTCTTAGGGAGTTTAGTATGCCAATGTGTTACAGGCATCCCTATAAGGGAATCTCCTATGTAGTATTTCAAACATTTTTTAATATAATGTATCTCCCAAGGCAGACAACCCAACTCCAAACACTTATTGCCATCACGACTGTAGGTCCAGTGTTTCCAGAACTTCCAATGTGTTAAGAGAGGAAAGAAAGTTTTTTCATTTTATGTAAAATTTCCTAATTTTTAGATATTATGACCTGTTTAAATATTTTTTAAAGATTCCCTATCAATAAACTCTTTTTTAAAAAGCAATATAAGGGTCCAAGGATTCTCTTGGGAAAACATTCCTGCTAATGAAAGGCAGAGTGGAGCTCAGAGGTTTGATGAAAGGATGGCAGGACCAGGTGGAAGAGCAGGGAGAGGGTGATTTTGAACACTGAGGTCATCACTCAGGTTGTTCTCAGCCTAGTGGGCAAGTTCTCACACCTGAGTCCGGGTCCTGGGAGGAAGACAATAAAAGATTGAATAAGAACTGATCTCCATGGGCACCCTAAGCTCAGGGAGTATCTCTGGTGAAGATGCTGGTGACCTCAGCTCAGTGTTCTCAGCATCATTGAAGATCACAGGCCTTGGTGTCTCAAGGGACCAGCAGAAGGAGAAGTTTAACTTTTCCCAGTGGGTCCACCCATCACTGATCTGTTGCTTGTCAGTTGGACCAGAGATATGAGAGAGGCAGTTTTCCCTCTCAGTTTTCCTATAAGAAGGGAGGATTTTTCTATGATGCATGTTGACTGGACTCATCTCTTTTTCCCAACTGCATGTTACATATATTCACGATTCTGGCCTTTCTGCCATTAAATGTTTTTCCCTTCTTTCCCTAAGACATTTATTTTATGCTTCCATCCCTGTTGTGGTAACTGATGTTTTCCAAAAATATGCCATCCATATCCTGTACTACAGTGTGACCTTGCCAGTCACCCATCAGGAGGTGAATTACAATTCCCTTCCTGGTGACTGTAGACCAGCTTTGTGAATCTCTTGTAACCAATACAATTATGAATCTCTTGTAACCAATACAATTTGGTGGAAGTGACTCCACTTGACTTCGAGAAGGCCTTGCAGCTGCTGCCTGTTTCTTTTGGACCACTTGATCTACCGCAGAGTTTCTCATTAACATTTTTTGTTGGCAGTTAAGCTGGGCTTGTCCTGCACATCGTAGGATGTCTAGCATCATCCCAGGCCTCCACCCATGCATTGAGAGTAGCACTCTCCCCCTGGGTTGTAACAACCAAAACTACTTTTAGGTATTGCAGTTGTTGTCTCCAGGGTGGGCAAAATCACTCCTTGTTGAGAACCACCACTCCACAGGAAGCCAACAAACATTTAAGAATCCCAAGTACTCAAGACTACCATGCTGGAGAGTCACATGTAGGTGCTCCATCAAAAGTCCCAGCTGGAGCCCAGCCTTCCAGCCACTGTCTCCAAGGTGTGAGATTCATGAGTGGAGCCACGTTGGATCCTCCAGACCAGCACATTTGCCAGCTGAATATCATGGGGCGATATCAATCAATGCCACCAAAAGCAGAAGAATTTCCCAGCTGAGCCCTGCCTGAATTCCTCACCAACAGAATCTGTGAAATTTTATATTTAAAAGGCTGCTGTTTAACCCCATTAAGTTTTGGGATGATTCATTATATAACAATAAGAACTGGGGCACCTATTGAGATGAACAGTGAACTAATAATATTTTAATACATTTTTTCTACAAAAAATAGTATTTGTTTCTTACCCTTTGATGCTTATTTTAATTTTTGTAATTTGCCATAGAGCAAATGACTTTATAAATGCATTCATCTTCTCATTCATTTAACCAATATTTGCTGAGGACCCATCTTTGTACCAAGAACCATGTTGGATCCTAGATACACATAGCTAAATATGACATTTTAAAAATCATTATATCTGTGAAGTTTTCTTTATGTACTCGGTGATCTAATCAACATTTCTCATTTTCGTGAGTTACTGACCTTAACATGATCTCTCTTCTCTGGTTTTTGCTTCTGCTTATGATAACCTTCCTCCTGAAACTTATTCTTTTCTCTTTATTTTCCTGAATTCTGCCTACATTAGCACTAAATCCAATACCACCTCCTCCACAAATCTTTGATGCTTTAGTCAGAATAACTTTTATCCCTTCTTTGACATTTCACTTTTTTCTCCCCTCTCCCCAACTCCTAATTTGACATATTATCATCCTTACTCAGAATCTGGCATTTCCTCCTACTTTGTACAGAAAATAGAACCCATGAGCATTGACTACCCAATTCACAGATATGTTCATCAACACCCATGAACATGATGCAAGCAACCCTGCCTTACCTTCTTAACTCCATTTGCATTGAACAAGATGTTCCTTCTTCAATTGAAAACCACTCTGTATTAGTCCATTTTCATGCTACTGATAAAGATGTACATGAGACTTGGCAATTTACAAAAGAAAGAGGTTTGTTGGACTTACAGTTCCATATGGCTGGGGGCACCTCACAATCATGCTGGAAGTCAAGGAGGAGAAAGTCACATCTTACGTGGATGGCAATAGGCAAAGAGAGAGCTAGTGCAGGAAAACTCCCATTTTTAAAACCATCGGATCTCCTGAGACTCACTATCGCAAGAACAGCATGGGAAAGATCTGCCCACGTGATTCAATTATCTCCCACCGGGTGCCTCCCACAACATGTGAGAATTATGGGAGCTCCAAGATAAGATTTGGGTGGGGACACAGAGCCAAACCATATCATTCTGCCCCTGGCCCCTTCCAAATCTCATGTCCTCACATTTCAAAACCAATCATGCCTTCCAACAGCCCCCCAAAGTCTTAACTCATTTCAGTATTAGCTCAAAAGTCCACAATCCAAAGTCTTATCTGAGACAAGGCAAGTCCCTTCTGCCTATGAGTCTGTGAAATCAAAAGCAAGTTAGTTACTTCCTACATACAATGTGGGCACAGACATTAGGTAAATACAGCCATTCCAAATGGGAGAACTTGGCCAAAACAAAGGAGTTACAGGCCCCATGAAAGTCCAGAATCCAGCAGGGCAGTCAAATCTTAAAGCTCCAAAATGATCTCCATTGACTCCATGTCTCACATCCAGGTTATGCTGATGCAAGAGGTGGGTTCCCATAGTCTTGAGCAGCTCTACCCCTGTAGCTTTGCATTGTACAGCCTCTCTCCTGGTTGTTTTCACCAGCTGGTGTTGAATGTCTGCAGCTTTTCCAGGAGCACAATGCAAGATATTAGTGGATTTAGCATTCTGGGGTCTGGAGGATGGTGACCCTCTTCTCACAGGTCCACAGGTGGTGCCCCAGTAGCGACTTTGTGTGGCGGCTCTGACCCCACGTTTCCCTTCTGCACTGCCCTAGCAGAGGTTCTCCATGAGGGCCCTGCCCTAGCAGCAAACTTCTGCCTGGGTATCCAGGCGTTTCCATACATCTTCTGAAATCTAGGCAGAGATCCCCAAACCTCAATTCTTGACTTCTATGCAACCACAGGCTCAACATCATGTGGAAGCTGCCAAGGCTTGGGGCTTGCACCCTCTGAAGCCACAGCCTGAGCTGTACCTTGGCCCCTTTTAGTCATGGCTGGAGCAGCTGGGACACATGGCACTAAGTTCCTGGGGGGCATGGTGCCTGGAAAAGGCATGGGAGTTCTGTGCCCATTCCCACATCCCTTGCCCTATGCTTCTCTTCCATATGACTGTTCATCTGTATCCTTTAGCGTGTTCTTTATTAAGAAGCCAGCAAACATAAGCAAAGTGTTTCCCTGAGATATGTGGGCCACTCTAGCAAATTAATCCAACTCAAGGAAGGGGTTGTGGGAAACCTTGTTGTTGTTGTTGTTGTTGTTTTTGTTGTTTTTAAGATGGACTGTCTCTGTCGCCCATGCTGGAGTGCAGTGGCACAATCTCACTTCAACCTCTGCCTCCCAGGCTCAAGCGATCATCCCACCTCAGCCTCCCAAGTAGCTGGGACTACAGGTGCGTGCCACCACACCCAACTAATTTTTGTATTTTTTGTAGAGCTGGGGTTTCACCATGTTGTCCAGACTGGTCTCAAAGTCCTGGCCTGAAGCTATTTGCCCACCCAGGCCTCCCAAAATGCTGGGATTACAGGCATGAGCCACTGTGCCTGGCAAGAGCCAAATAATAGCCAATTGGGCAGAAGTATAGGTGACGACGTACTACTTGGGGCTGGCATCTGAAGTTGGAGGAAGTCTTGTGGGACTGAATCCTCAACGCATGGTGTGTCTGATGCTATCTCCAGGTAGTATCAGAACTGAGTTAAATTATAGGACATTCAGTTGATGTCTGCTAGAGAATTGCTTAGTGTGTGAAAGAAAACCCCTAAACATCTGCTCACAGAAGTGTTCTGTATGTTGAAGGACTGTGTGAGAGTAAAGAAAAAAAAAACTGTTCTGTTTTGTTTTTTTCTCACTAGCTCTACTCACTCTTCTTGTTTTCAGAGTCCAATTTCTTGAAAGGGTTATCTCCAAACACTGTCTACACTTTTTTTTTTGAGATCAGGTCTCACTCTGTTGCCCAGGCTGGAGGGCAGTGGCACGATCTCAGCTCACTGCAACCTCTGCCTCCTGAGTTCAAGTGATTCTCCTGCCTCAGCCTCCCAAGTAGCTGGGATTACAGGCAAGTGCCACCACATCTGGCTAATTTTTGTATTTTTTGTAGAGATGAGGTTCCACCATGTTGGCCAGGCTGGTCTCACACTCCTGACCTCAGGTGATCGGCCCACCTCAGCCTCCCAAAGTGCTGGGATTAAAGGTGTGAGCCACTGCGCCTGGCCCACTTTTTGATTCTCTCATTTATTCCCTAACATAATGTTGTAATCTCCTCCTTTCTCATCACTAAACACAGCTCTCTGCCTTATCCCATCTTACATGCATTCTACTAAAGCATCACTGGTGAAGGTGACCACACACGTCATAATTGCTAACTAGCAGGGAATTTTCAGTTTCCATTTCCCTTCTCTCTGTTAAAATCGACATAGTTTGCTGCGTCCTCCTGCTTGCAACTCCTGCGGCTTCCCAAGATACCTTTCCCCTGCAGCTAGTTCCTCTTCGGTCTCTTTTGGGTGTTCTTCTCTCCCTCTGCACATAAATGTTAAGACTCTCTTCTCCCTAGTTCCTGTTTCTCTCCTTGGGGAGAAAAGTTATCTCAAAAACTCCCACAGCTTCAGTCACCACAGGTACCTCCTGACTCAATGCTTCTCAGTCCCAGCCACTCTGGGGAGCTCTGAACCACAGATTCCACTGCCGCCTGGGTATTTGCGGTCAGACGCCGCAAATGCTCTGGGTGCAGGACCGGACTCATCCTCTGCGTGTTTAAGTAAATCTCTCCTGTGGTCTCTATCTTGGAGGAAGGCACCACCCCCACGGAACCACCCCAAAAGAGCCACCAAGTCTATGGACTCAGCCTCCAGTTATTTGGTTCATGCCCTTCAACACCGGCTCTGCCTCAGCTCAGGCCCTCAGCATTTCTCCCCTGTCCCTGGCAGCAGCCTTCTAACCTACTGCCATCTCCAATTCGGCCCTCCTTCCTGGGCTTTATCCACTCTGCTGCCAAATTCACCTTCCTAACATACACATTTGATCAAGACTAAGTCCCACTGGAGAACAAAGTCAAGGTTCCTTGAGTTGGCAGCCAAGGCCTCATGCTCACCTTTTTCATCCCATTTCTGGCTACGTCACCCCCTACACAATGGCCACACTAAATACATTGGCAGATCCTTGGGCACATTATACTCTCTCACACCTACAATTAGACCATGAAATACTTTGCTCTATTATTTTCTTTTTCTTCTTTCTGGTATATCTTTCTTCCTTCCAATTCCTTTCTTAGTTGGCTAATTGTGCTCAATCTTAAAACACTCAGCCCAGGCCAGGAGTGGTGGCTCACGCCTGTAATCCCAGCACTTTGGGAGACCGAGGGAGGCAGATCACGAGTTCAGGAGATTGAGACCATCCTGGCTAACATGGTGAAACCCCATCTCTACTAAAAATACAAAAAATTAGCTGGGCGTCATGGCACACACCTTTAGTCCCAGCCACTCAGGAGGCTGTCAGGAGAATCACTCGAACCCAGGAGGCAGAGGTTGCAGTGAGCCAAGATCAAGCCACTGCACTCCAGCCTGGGCAACAGAGCGAGACTCCATCTCAAAATCAAAAACAAAAACAAAAAACCTCAGCCCAATTGTCAAGTCTTGGCGTAGCTTTCCCTGATACTCCCAACAGATGATAGAGTAAGGCCCCTCCCCCTTATCACTCAGCATTCCCTGTGGTTTTTCTCTATTACAGCACTTAGAAAAGTGTATTGTTGCTCTCTGTAGGCCCGCCTGTACACAAGCTCCTTGAGAGCAGGGATTTCACCTCTTCTGTCTGTAATTACAGCTATATTGTAGCATAGTGCCAGGCATATAGTAGTTGTTCAATAAATGTCTTAAATAAATAATCCCCTTGAACCTTCTATAAGAGCAATTTGCATGCATTCTTTGCCTCCTGTGCTGGCCTGAAAACACTTTGAGAATAAGAATTCTTTTTAAAAAATCTATCTCCCACTGTCTACTACCACGCTGTTCGCATTCTAGACATACAATAAATGTTGAATTATATCACCATTTGTGTTTCGTATGTTCAGATAAACCTAAATGGTGTTCATCAAAAATAACAAAATGTTCATTTTTACAATGCTGACCAACGACATAATGCCATGATATTGAAACAGATGGTTAGTTGTGACTTTTGTAATTATATGGGATACATCCTTTCAAACAGCAAATTGCTGCAGAGCCTTTTAGCATCTAGTCCATACTTAAAAGTTTGCATTGTTTTCTGTTAGGATTTTGTACAAGGTACCTGCTATCTTCTATCAGGGCCTCCTAGGAGGATAATTTTTCATAGCCAGAGTGTCCAGTCTACCACAACTTGTATAAAATAGCTTACAGAGTGATTCAACTCTTTGCTACAATTGTTTGCTCAGTAAGCCTATGCATTATTTATCTGTTGGGTGATAGAAAGTAAAAAATTTCCTTGCTGTACATCCGGGATACTGTTTACTTAGCCCTGAAAAATTCTGATTCTGAATTTTTCCTGAGATTTCACATATCTTTTAAGACATTATCCATGAACTGCTACAATTAGATGCATTAACATTTATTTCATAGCAGCTATAACTTCATTGTCTCAGTATTTGATGAAAGCCCTAGATTGAGATTTGGGAAACAAAAAGTGTTTTCATGTGATTTTGAGGGCAGATGGCTTCAGCTGTTGGATAATTTCATCTAATTTATGTCTAGTCTTTTATAGTGTCTAGTAGATATGAAAACATGTTTGCTTTTACTAATCAAAATGATATACTGAATTTGTGTGAAGAATATAAATTTCAATCACAATACAGTTGTATTGTACCCCAATTGGGTTCTAAAGTAAGCTTTTTTGGCAAAAACCATGTGTGAAAAAAATGATCCTTGACAATCACCCAAACAAAAGCAGACCTTCCTTCTCTCCCAAGTGCAATACAGCCAAATTTTTTCTCATGTTACCACAGATTTCTGTTTTGTTAGTCTGACACCAAGTGAAGTTGCCGGCTTGCATTTAAGGGCTACTTGATATGAATAGCATATATCTATAAAGCAAGACATTTCCAGTAGCCTGAGATGTTCACACAACCAAAGACACACAGGATCACTGGAGTTGACAACAAATTCCCCCCCATTTCATTCTCACTTAGGAGTACATGGTCTTTGGTGGAAGAGCATGTAGAATCACCACGGTATTCCCCATCTCTCTCTCTCTCTCTTTCTCTCTCCTCTCCACTCACTGCCCCAAATTGGATAATTCATAAGAGTCAAATGTGCATGTTCTGTGACTACACTGGAACTTTTCTTTATTGTTCTTAATAGCTTATCACAAACACAGCTGAAACCAAGAGCATTTCTATCAACTCATCCCATTACGACAGTTCTCAATTTCTAACCACCACAAGTCTGATTTTGGTTCTGGAGTTCTGAACTTCCAAATTTAATTAAAACTTCATCTGCATCCAGGTGTGCCTAGTTCTTATTGACAGAACCCCTGCAAAAACAAAAGAAGGAGAAGTTTTTTTAATGAAAAAAGGTAAAGGAAAGAAAAAATGGATAAATGGATTTTGGGAGCCCTGACAACCGAAGCAGAAAGAAAAGGGAGATAACTAACATATGCTATCTCTTTAATTATCTCATCCACCTTGACAAGTGTTATTTTTGCTTCATTTTATAGAGAAAGAAACTGAGGTTTAAAGATATCCTGTAACTTCCCCCAAGGTCACAGAGATGTTAAGTGGTACCGTTGGGATTCAAATACAAATGTGTCTGGCTCCCACACTCTCATATTTACTGACATAGTTTGGATCTGTGTCCCTGCCCAAATCTCATGTTGAATTGCAATCCCCAGTATTAGAGGTAGGGCCTGGTAGGAGACAATTGGATCATGGTGGTGGATTTCTCATGAATGGTTTAGTACCATCAGCTTGGAGCTGTCTTCATGATAGTGAGTGAGTTCTCGTGAGATCTGGTCATTTAAAAGTGTGGCACCTCGTTCCCTATCTCTCGATCTCTCTCTCTTGCTCCTTGCTTGCCATGTGATTTGCCTGTTCCCCCTTCACCTTCTGCCATGAGTTAAAAAAAAAAAAAAAGGCTTCCTGAGGCCTCCCCGCAAGCACATGCTGCTATATTTCCTGTAGAGCCTGCAGAACCGTGAGGCAATTATACCTCTTTTCTTATAAATTATTCAGTCTCAGGTATTTCATCATAGCAATGCAAGAAGAGCCCAGTACATTTACACTATACCATATGATATGGTTTGGCCTTGTCCCCACCCAAATCTCACCTTGAATTGTAACAACCCCCATGTGTCAAGGGGGTGGCCAGGTGGAGATAATTGAATTATGGGGGCGGATTTTCCTATACTGTTCTAGTGGTAGTGAATAAGTCTCATGAGATCTGGTGGTTTTATAAGTGGGCATTCCCCTGTACAAGCTCTCTCGCCTGGTGCCACCATGTAAGACATGACTTTGCTCCTCATTCACCTTTTACCATGATTGTGAGGCCTCCTCAGCCATGTGGACCTGAGTCAATTAAACCTTTTCCTTTATAAAATACCCAGTCTCCATTATGTCTTTATCACCAGCATAAGAACAGACTAACATAGTATGCTATTAGCATTATTCTCAAGTTCTATTTTTCTCCTTCCCTTTATTATAAAGCTACTATGACATATTTTATAACCATTTTTTTCCTAATCATGCTAGAAAATTTGTGACTACTGATTCCTTTAAAAGATTTGTATAGAGTTAGATTGCTGTCTTGCTCCAGCTTTTGAAAATAACTAGAAATCTTGGATAAAATATAAAAAGCAAGATATCAATTCTCAAGCCGGGAACTGAGATCAGAAGAGCACTAGATCCAGCTTTGCAGTGGGGTCTGTTACTAAGCCAGGTGTACTTGAGTTTTAATTTTCACAGCCTCAAGGGGTATGGGAAACAGAATGCCCCAGGGTCAGCCCCAGGTTGGATGTCACAGGTGATGGTTCAGATGAAGATGGGATCCCAAAGGGTTACAACCTAATATAGGATAGGAAAAAACAATAAATAAATACTCCACCCTCAGACTCACGCTACTGCAGGGAAGATCAACTGTCTCAACCCTTGACTCTGGGCAGATTGTGTAGGAAGAATGCCCTGGAGAATTTGGAGCCCACCAGTTGAATCCTATATATAAAGCCCTAATTCAAACTCCTCATGAGGTCCAGAATGCCTCAAGCCAAAAATTTAATTTAGAAGAGGGTTTTCATCCAATGAGGATACCACCTAACACAGGAGGTGTTTGGAAATGTTTTGGGATGTTTGGGGGTTCTCACAGTTACTGGGTGCACTACAAACATTTTGCAGATGGCAAACAGAGACAGGAAACTTCCATAATAAAGAAATGTCCCATCCAAAATGCTAACATCATACTCCTTGAGAAACACTTATTTGACATAAATGGGCCTCACTCCTAGGCACCTGAGAAAGCACAACTAAATTTGCCCAGAGAAACCCACTTTTATCTCAGATTTAAAACATTTTTACAATTCTCAAAGGAAAATAAGAATATCATAGTCAAAAATAAACAATATGGAGTTTTTTCTCAAATAACTAAAAATACAACTACCATTCCATCTAGCAACCCACTACTGGGTATCTACCCAAAGAAAAAGAAATCAATATACCAAAAAGATACCTGACTCATATTTATCGCAGCACTATTCACAATAGCCAGAATACAGAATCAAGCTAAATGTCCATCTACAAATGATTAGATTAAAAAATGTGGCATATATACACAATGGAATACTACTGGGCCATAAAAAGAATGAAATCATGTATTTTGCAGCAACATAGATGGAACTAGAAGTCATTATCTTAAGTGAAAGAAGCAGGTACAGAAAAGCAAATGTCACATGTTCTCACTCATCCATGGGCGCTAAAAAATGCATACACATGGATGTGGAGAATGGAGTCCATAGACAGTGGAGACTAGGAAGGGTGAAGGGGTAGGAGGGTGAAGAATAGTAAATATTTATATTATTGAGGGATGGATACTCTGAAGCCCTGACTTGACCATTACACAATCTATGCACATGAGAAAATTGCACTTGTACCCCATAAATATATACAAATGAAAAAAATAATAATCTAATAAAATAAGGAAATAAGGCGCAACCCACAGTAGACATGAGACTGAGAGATGACAATTTCTGCACTGGTACCTGAAGGGTTGGTTAGATGACAGGTTCTGCAGAGTCACCACTCCCTCCAACATGACACAGCACTGCCAGCACAGGCCTCCTCCCCGGCCCGACCCTCTTAACACCTGCACCCAGGTCCCTGCTCCAGCTGGAGGGTGGCCTATCCCAGCTGACGCCATGCAACTCAGTCCCTAGTGAGGACAGCAGCAGGTGTGGGGTATAGATACGGTGGGGAGGCTGAATGGGGCACAGAGGCTCAGAGAACCTGTTCTGAGCCTGAGTCCACACCTGAGTGGAGGCTCCAAGCCTATAGTGCATGCTGCATTGTCCCATTGGCTCCACTTGCAAAACACAAATTCACATTAATTAAGAATAAAGAATTTCAAGATGGCAACTGCATAGCTCTAAAACCCTAGTGAGGGGCCTTTCTGTGCATGGGATCCTGTGTGACCACCGTAGTCACACACCACCCAGCTGGCCCTGGCTCTTGGCCACACTGACAACCTGCTGATGTGGCCAGGCCAGCTCTCAGCTGCCAGGAACTGCTTTTCTCTTTCTTAGGGGAATAAACCTATCTGTAGGAATTCTAGAGCTAGGTATGGAAAGGGAGTTAGGAGGTCTCATTGTTTATATAAAGTTTGCACAGTGTTTCATTTAATGCCCTTGTTTTCGGTACCCAGTTTCTCAGCCAGGAATTCTCAAGCCTGGATTTCTTCTGCTTCAGATTCTTCATAGCATAAGCCTCCAGTCTTCTGCCAGGGAAAGAGAATCCAGTCTGGATTCAATCCGGAATCCAGATTAAAATGGAATGAGGGAGGTGTCTGGGGTAGTTGCTTCTCGTAAAAACTTTCAGACAACCTTTCTGTGTCTAGCCCCACACCCCATTGTCAGAGGTGTATGATACTTTCCATTTTCAGAAACTTCCATTTCAGGGGTAATGGGTGCACCAAAATCTCACAAATCTCCACTGAAGAACTGACTCATAATCAAACACCACCTATTCCCCAGTAACCTATGGAAATAAAAAAATTAAAAATAAATAAAAATAAAATAAAATAAACTTCCATTTCAGGACTTTCTGTGATGTAACTTGACTTGGCTTCCCCTCCTCAGCTTATATTTCCATTTCCTCTGCATTGCTAATTCATTGCTAATTGTGTTACTGTTCTCCTCTTCACTCTTATGCTCTTTCTTCTATGGGATTTTGGCTTTTCAAATCTCTACAGTTGTCATCTTAATGGGGTTTGGGAAAGGTCAGAATGGTACATATGTAATCAATTCTACATGTGTAATTGTAGGTCTCTCTTTTTATTTCCTTCTCCATTTGAAAACAGAAGTTCTCTTTCTCTTTTCCCCTCTTCCCCAGTGGTTGCATATAGGGAATACTGGTCATGGTTAGATTTGCAATTTCAGCCTAAGATGGGAGATCCTGAAAAGCCTGGTCTCAAATAGGGGGGATACATTGACATTGTGTCTACTGAAAGAGGGTGCATGGGGGCTGGACGACCAAGCAATAAAACATATTAAATACCTAATACCTAATTTAACAGGAGCTCCAAAAGCACTGTGATTCCTTCTTCTCTGGAAACTGCAACTGTCACATGAGGATGAGGCTCCAACAGCAGCATCTCTGCCATGGATGCCCTCAGTCCTGAACAAGGAACACAACTGGGCCAATCAGATTTTCTCCCTTTGGAGTTTCAACTTTGAACTGAGATGACAGAATTAGGAGTTATCAGTAACAGTGGCAAGTAAATGGCAGCACTCTAGAGGGGAGGCCCTCAAATTCCGTTGCAGAGGCCCCAAGAGCCACCAAAGTCCCTGCACATCACAAACCCCATAGGTGAGCTTTTCTTTATGTACCACGAGATACCATCATACACCATAGCTGCCCAAGGAATCCTTCCCTTTTCACTGAAGGTGCTGCACTCAATTACCAGGATGCAGTGGTGTGCTGAGCTGAAGCTGCAAGAACCAATCATGCACATATCTTTCCCACTTTATGTTCAGTGACTTCACACTGACGAGTTGAAATCAACCATAGTGAGAGTATTTACATCACAAGAATTGGCAAATACCACAGATCAGAGTTCAGGGGTCAACCCCCTTCCCTCACCGGGAGACCTGGTTCTAAGCATTTCACGCCACAGCACGGATTGTAATCCTAGTTTACTTTTCCCTGGCCCTCAGTTTGCCCATCCCTAAGTGGGCAGAATACTTCTCCTTTCCTTTCTTGTCACAGATGTTGAGATTTAACTGAAATAAACAGAAAATAAAATGAAAATTTTAAACTAGTCAAATGTTCAGTATTTTTAACATTATAAATGTCAATTGATTTCAATTAAACAATGATTATTAATGACATATTGTTTAATGTGTTAATAATTTTATGAGAATAGAACATAGATTAGACATAGATTTGACTGGTTTATGCATAACTTGAGGAAATAAAGGTAATACAGCAGTATTTAGAATATATTACGGATATAAGTATATTTTCCATCTATTTTCTTTAGCAAGTTACAACAACACCAACGAGAATCAGAGAGAGGAGAAAACTAAGTTATCTTTTAATGCCTTCCTCCCATTCCACTTGGTAGAAAATTTGAAGCATTTTTCTCTGAAAGATTAAAACAATCAGTTAGTCTGAAGATGACAAAATCAACTGTCAGTATAATACATTATTGCTTTATATTTGTATACAAATATTTTTTATAAAGTGAATCTATAATCCTTCTTCAAGTCTATTAATGTCTATTTTTATTTTACTTTAGAGTCTCAATACAACTCTCACCTTGCTTTTTTTCTTTTACTTACATATAAGATAGAGGTCCTCAGATAAAATATGGCTTGAATTTCAATTTCAGGTGCAGAGTAAGAATGTGCAACTACTACATTTAGATCCGTATCTTGAGTTTTGTGTTCTGTGCTCTAAACAATTGAATTACCATTAACTCTGCGTCCCTCACTGAAAATAGATATTGAATCAGGAAAGTGTGGACATTTATCATTGTGAAAAAATATGTGTAAGGTAAGCAATTCAGATAACATTAGAAAACTACAACAAAACAGGTGTGCTTATTATTTATAGGGTGCTTTTGAGAACATAAAGAAGGGACAGCCCTTGTCCACTGGGACCATGGTTGAAGGACAAAAGAGGAAACAGGCTAAATAAGCAAATCAAAAACACGAGTCTGAAGGAAGGCGAGCTTCCCGGATGAGATATTACTGACATTCAGTTTCATTTATCTTCTTCCTTGAGCCATCTGTCATGCCTTCTCCTAGGGGGAGAATTTTATTAGGGGACTGCATTGAAAAGATTTGGTGAAACATAATTCTGAAAACAAATTTGCAAGCGAGGGATTTTGCTGAGAAAAGCCTAAGAGAAATATGTTTTTCACACATAGGGAGCAGCCTACGAAAATTTATAGGGAGAAAGGGAATATCAAGATCTAGAGAAAAATGAAGAAAATAAAATATATAAACAAGAGAGAAAAAAACTTACTAAGACAAGGTAAGGAAGGGACTTAAAGACAGTTATGATGCATAACATAGTGTTATATCTTTACTTACAAACAATTCCGAATTATACAGCTCTCAGGACTCAAGTTTTTACTTCTACACCAGAATAAAGTTGCAAAGGAGGCTCCACGCAGAAGCGATTTTACTTCTTGTCCTGCTAGATGGCCTCTCCCTTCCCCCTCCTTAGGTGCCAATTGTATGCTTGCCCACCAAGACCTCTCCCAGGTCTTTTATCTTTAAACTTTATCTCTGATTTGGAATGAAAAGCCTTGCCCAGCGAAAGCAATTTCAGGCATCACTGAACAGGAAAGCTTTTTCCCCAAGCCTATGGAATCTATCATATACCATCACTTGTGTATATTCTACACATTTTTAATTATCTTGTAGTTTTAGGGGCAGGCAAAAATTATAACTTCACAGTGCTGATAACTTATCCATATTAGAATTCAATAAATGAAACGTTCAGGATGGTAAGAGTATAAGCGTATTCCAAAACTGAATAACATCATGGCCACTAGCAAGCGGAGGGCTACAGGAAATCTTCTCAGCAAAAGAAAGGAAGGTGGTCTGCACCTTGGTGATCTTTGGAAACCTCCGTAAATACAACATGGTAACAATTCCTTCAGCTCTTTATGTATTCACACCTTCAACAAATACTTACTGAGCAGCTACTCTGTGTCAGGCCATGTTTATAGCATTTGTTCTCTGAACTGAGCAAGACCAAAAAAAGGTACCTGTTTCCATGGGCCTTCCATTACAGGTGAGAAAGGAAAGCAAAAACACAAATACACAGGAAACATGTCAGCTGGTGATAAAATGCTATACAGAGACCTGATGCAATAGATTAAAACTAGGTGGCAATTTTAAGTTATGTGGTCAAATAAGGTCTCTCCAGAGAGGTAATATTTCAATTAAGCAAGTATGCGTGGCAGTAAGAGGCACCCAAGTAAAAATCATGGAGGGAGAACATTCCCAGCAGAGGAAATAGGTGCCCTAAGCAGGGAAGGAGGCCCATGTGGTTGGAATGCAGTGAGTCAGGTGTGAGGGCATGAGGTGAAATTGGAAATGTAGGCAGAGGCCAGATCATAGAAAGCGGGTAGTGTAAGAGGAAAAATGATTGGATTTTATCCCGATTGCTATAGAAAGCTCTTGCAGGCTTTTAAGAAGTGGAGCAATTAGATCATATTTAAATTTTAAAAGATCATATTGGCAGCTGTGCACAGGATGGGTCATAAGGTGTCAAGGGGAAAAGCAGAGAGACAAGTTCAGAAGCTAACACAGCCGGCAAAATGAAAGCTGACAACAGTTTGGATTAGGTCAATAGAAATAGAGCTATCCGGAAGTGGTCAGGCTCAGGACACACCTTACAGTGCCCTCAACAGATGTTGTTTATGAATTGGATAGAAAGGACCGAGAAGGTGGGGGAATCAAATCATACATTTTTGCTCAAGGAACTGGGTGGATAATGGTGCATTAACTAAAACAGAGATACCGGGAAGGAACAAGTTTGTTGAGGAGATGTAGGGAGATATGAGTTCTCTTTGGCTACATTAAGTTTGAGATGTTTATGATATATCCAAAAGGAGATTAGATAGTTAGATATGCCAGCCCAGAGCTTAGGAAGATGTCAGCGGTAATTACGTGAGACAGAGTCGCTGGTTTACAGATAGTATTAAATTGCATGGAGTAGATGAGATCTGTAGCAGTGTCTGTGGCAAAGGAGATGGGAGAGATTCCTGGGGATCTCTGAGAACTTGTTGTCTGAGAAGGAAAAGCTTCTGAAAAGAACTCAAACCAAGAGAGAGTGGTATCATAGAAGCCAAGAGAAGAACATGTTTTAGAAAGAAGTAGTCAGCTGAAAGATAAAGGAAATTAAAAGATAAATGTAACTATTGGACATGGCAATATGGTAGTCATTAGTGACCTTGGCAAAATGAGCATCAGTGGAGTAGTATTGATGAAAGTGCAGTCAGTATGGGTTGAATATTGCAGTGTGATGTGGAGATATCGTATCAGCATCAACTGATAGCCACTTAAGGTGTGGAAGGGAAAGAAATGAATAGGTAACTGGAGATGGATGTGAGGTCAAAGCATTTTTTTAGATAGATGATATTGGAACACTGTTTCAGTAGGAAGAAAGATACTGATGAAGGAGTTGGATGTGGATAACAGCAGGTACAGACTGCCTGTGAACTCAAAAAGTGTTGGGATCCAGGGTGTAAGTAGAGAAACTGGCATTAGATAGCAACAAGAGCCTTTAGTCCACAGTAAAAAGAGGGAAGTCAGAAAATACAAGAGAGATGGAAATAAATTGACAGATTTGATGGTGGGAGGAGCAGAATTCCCATCTGAATTCTTCTGTTAATAAATTATAAGATAAGGTCATCTGCTGAGAGGCAGAGAAGAACATGTAAAGAGATTAAGGGGTGTAAAATAGACATTTTGGATAATGAGAAATTAAACATGCTAGGGAAATGCAGTAAGATCATGGGACAATATTGACTATTCATTGAAGATTTGTTGATAATTAGTTGAAATCATTTACAGTATGCCAAATCAACATCACTGTATAATTTTCTCCAATAATGTTTAGCTGCTTGAGTTCAGCATGGAGAAAGTAAACAGCTGAATTGGAACTACATGGGAGATTTGTAGATAAGAGCAACATACAGAAGTAAGAGTTTTTGATGGAGTAATTAAAATGAAAGGTCTGAAAGCAAGGGTGGTTAAGAAGGAAAGTGATGGCATGAGGCTTGTGATATGGTTTGGCTCTGTGTCCCCACCCAAATCTCACCTTGAATTGTAATAATCCCCATGTGTCAAAGGCAGGACAAGGTGGAGATAATTGAATCATGGGGGCAGTTTCCCCCACGCTGTTCTCGTGATAGTGCATGAGTTCTCATGAGATCTAATGTTTTTATAAGGCTTTTGCCCTTTGCTGGGCACTCATTCTCTCTCCTGCTGCCCTGTGAAGAGGTGCCTTCTACCATGATTGCATGTTTCCTGAGGCCTCCTAGCCATGCAGAACTGTGAGTCAATTAAACCCCTTTTCTTTATAAATTACCCAGTCTTGGGTAATTCTTCATAGCAGCATGAAAACAGACTAATAGTTTGTAACTGGTCATGAGAATTTTTTGGAATTCCACATGGAAGAATTGAGATAGAAAAATAGCTCAAGTGGAAGGAATAGAGAAGGTTGGCTGGAAGGTGGGAGTTACAAGTCAGTGCTTGATGTCAAGGTTATTAAGTAATCTCCTTATTGACGATGACTATGTCAAGAGTGAAACCATAAGAGTGAATTGCTGGAGTGGATGGAGAAAAAGTAATAGAGGTGAATGGCTAAGAAACTAAGAAACCAAAACATGGGGATAGGTCCTAGACATGGATGTTGAAGTCATCAAGAATGGTGAGGGGTTGAAATGAAGAGACAGTCTGGTAAAGTCATCAACAATTCAACAAAATGGGATGTAACCGGATACGGGTTGAAGGTAGCAATTAGGAGGAATGCAGGTAGTACAGTTTAATGGCAGAGACACAAGGGAGCTGGAGACTTAGAAGAAAAGGAAGGAGAAATTGTGTAGAAGCAACAACCAAGAAAATGCAAGATATTCCTAATGCCAAGTCCAAAGTTTTTTAGGATGTGGATGACTAAAAATCTTCTGTTCAACATGTTTACCAGAGAAGCAGTGTTATGGAGCAAGAAGAAGATACAGAAAAGAGGTTAAGAAGGAATACCGAGGAAGTTTTGATGATAGATATAGATTATTTTCCATATCATCCAAGAAATACTCATTGGTCTGGGCAGAGTTCTGGGTACTGTGTGTGGGTACAATGATGAACAAGACAGTCAAGGTCTCTGCTCACAAGGAACTTGCATTCTGGATGGAGGAGGGAAAAATGAACAAATGATAGAGAAAACAAATCAGGTACCGTTTCAGGCAATGAAGGGAATTTAAACAGTGTGATTATGATCTGACCAAACAGCTTCTATAGATCAGGGACTGATGAGGGACACTTAAAACAGGGCCCAGCAGAAGGGTTGGGACAGGCAGGGGTAGAAATGCATTCCAATTAGCGGCTGTACAGGGAAGTGTAGGGTGCATAGGCCATGGGATGCTGGATCACTGGGGGTGGACTAGGGCATAAGATGTGTTAGGAAGGATTGCAGCTCCAGGTGGCATAGCAACTGTGTTAATGTCCTAGGACTGTTGGAACAGAAGTCCCACAAAGCAGGTAGTTTGAAATAACAGAAATGTATTCTCAGTGTTCTGGAGGCCAGGAGTCCAAAATCAAGGTATCAGCAGGGTTGTTTCCATCTGGAGGCTCTGGAGGAGAATCTTTCCCATGCCTCTCTCCTCGCTGCTAGGGCCTGCCGGCCATCCTTGGCTTTCCTTGGCTTGTGGCTGAATTGCTCTACTTCTGCCTGCCTGCATCTTCACATGGCTGTCTGTGTCTTCATGTCCCTGTGTCTCTATCTCCCTCTCCTTATAATGACACTAGTCATGGGATTTAGGGCCCACCTTACCCCAGTATGACCTTATCTTAACTTGGTTACATCAGCAAAAAAACTCATGTCCAAATAAAGTAACAGGTTCCCAGGTTCTGGGTGGGCAAGAATTTCAGGGAGACACTATTCAACCCAGGACGGCAGCCAAGGGGTGTCGCCCCAGACTCATGAGGCTAAGGACTGCCTCACATCTTCCAAAGCAGGGCATTGCAGTGTGGTGGTAAGGAGAGCTAAGTACACAGACACTCTGGCTCCTAGCCCTGGGGGAGTGGGGGTGTGGCTTGAGCAATAGCAAGAGGTGAAAAGAGGGGAAATAGAGCACATCTAAATTGAGATTCCAGCTCAACTGTGGAGGAGACAGGCAGTATCAGCAAGTGTGATAAACCGATTATGTTGTGGGCTAGGTTGAATTCACATGTTGAACCCCTAATCTCCAATGTGACTGAATTTGGAGATAGGGCTGTTAGGAAGGTAATTAATGTTAAATGAGGTCATAAGGGTGGGGCCCTAATCCTATAGAAATGATGTCCTTACAAGGAGAGGAAGAGACACCAGAGAGCTCTGTGTCTCCTGCAGGCACAGAGAAAAGGCCATGTGAGGACAGGGAGAGGCTACTATCTACAAGCCAGGAACAGAGGCTTCACTGGAGTCCATCTCTGACAGTGCCTTAACTTGGCCTTTCAGCTTCCAGAACCGTAAGAAAATAAATTCCTGTCATTTAAGCACCCAGTTTGTGGTGCTTTGTTACGGCAGCCCTAGCAGTCTAAGACATCAAGTCTTCACTTTAGGTATAATAAATAGAAGTCAAATGTCCCACAGAGATAAAGGTGAAAAAGGAGATAAAGGAAGGAACACCTTTAATATGGCAGAGTTTCTCATTTGCTTATAAAGGATTTTTTATTAAACAAATATTTATTGTGCACTTATTATATACAAGCCACTTAGTTGCATTGCTAAATTTCAGACACCTGTCAAAATCCATTGGAAATTAATAGGCTTTGATCTCATGCCAAAGAGAGAATGACTGTGTAGGGCCATTGTGTGCTTCACCATTTCTAGGCATCAAATGGAAATAATGTTCACCTTATGGTATTGTGATCTCAAAGAGATGAAAAATAAACCTGTGCTGTGAAAGTCATATGATATTAATTATTTCTTAACATTGGGGAAAACATTATTTTAAAAAAATATATCCTGGCATTATAGACGTTGTTCTTCATGTCATCTCTGGCAGCAAGAGCTGAAATTGTTTCATCCACTTCCCTGTGTCTTACACTTCTAACTTCATGTTCTATTCTCGCTATCCCAAGCCATTTCCATTTGATTGTCACATGGGGAATTATTTTGACCCTTGATAACAAGTTTAGAAGCTTCTTGCAATCCAATTTTACAATTTGCATTCACTTTCAGCTATTCATGGTCTCCCTGAAAGAGCATACAAATAGCAATCAAAGGGTCACTCGGAAGGTCTGGTCTGGTTTAACATCTTTATTAGCAATCTGGAAGAATGCGAAAACACCACTATAATAAAATCTGATTCTAAGCTGGGAGTTGCTGCAATGACAGAGGAATAAATTGAGGAGAAAACCACAGAGTAACTGAAATTCAACTTGGCAAGTTACAATCTAATATATCTTGGAACTAAAAAAGAATTCAAAACATGGACTGTCAATAGATGAGTGAAGTCAGTCAAATATTAATGTCCTAGAAGGCCTAAGGGTGATGGCAAAGTTTATTGTGCATGTTAGCAGAAATGAGATGGGCTAGACAATGATCAATGCTATTTTGCACAGCAAGTAAGGAAATAAAGTGAAGAAGGAAAATGTAAAGGATTGGTGAGATGGCATCTAGAATTCGATATTGTACTGGATGTGTTATTATTTGAAAACTTGCTCAATTCTAGAGAGGTTAAAATCATTTATCAAAGGAAGAGTGGAAAGAGAGGACTGACATTGGCAAAACCATGTTGAATGGAGGATTGAAGTAGATAAATATGATCTGGCTGCTTTAGCAATTATTAAAGATTGCAGAAAGCAGTGTAGCATAGTAAGAACGAACTTCAAAATCAGATTGGCTTTGAGTCTCTCGTTCTGCCACTTACTGGTTGTTTGACCTTCAGCAAGTTATGTAACTCTCAAAGTCTCAGTTTCTTCCTCTCAAAATCAGAAATAGTAGGAGTAACTAATTCTTAGTGTTGAGAAGTGAATGAGACAGAGCATGCTGAGATAAATTAAATTCTCAATAAATGTTGACTAAAACAAACAGCCATAATGATGGCCCACACGTAATTGGAAAAGTTTTTATATTAATATACATACATTTTGGTCAAAATTTTACTTTTAATTAGAGATAATTTTTGCAGAGGAATTTTTCTAGGTGTGACATTCAACTTAGAGTTTCCGCCCAACTATTTGGCAGCTTCTCTGGAAGCAGAGTGTAAATGATAAGTAGTTCACTGTCCCATCAGTTCCTCCACCACCTAATTCTACCATCTGTCCTCCCATCTCTTCCTAATCAGAATAGCCCTAATAGGCAGTCCTAGATCTAGTGGTTTTTTTTAAAACCAAGAGAATATGGAATGAGAACCAGATGGTAAATTTGAGCATATCTAGGACAATCACTTTATTTAGCTACAAAAGCAAACAAACAAAATTAAACAGTGGTTTCTCCTTTTTATATGTTGGTTTCCCTGGCCAAATATCTTCTTGAACTTTTCTAGATGACAAAAAAAAAAAAAAAAAAAAAAATTCCATCCACTCTTCATGTAGCCCTATAATCTCAAAACATAGCATATCAAAATTAGAGCATATTTTGGTTGTGTCATTTTTAAAAAGACTCAGTCATGTATAGTTGCTTCCTGTTGCTTATGTCAAGTCTTTTGTTCTGTGATTCAGGCTGAAGGACAAATTGAGATATTCTTTTCTTAAAGGGAAATATTTCTCATGAACTGAAGGCTATAAGGATGGACAAAGTGTGAGGATTCCAGCAGGAAGATGTTGTAAATCACCTCATTAGAGACAGTTTCCCTCTTCCTGGAGTTTGCTTGCAGATTTACATGCTTCCCAGAGACAGGGGAGGTGAAGTGTGTTCCTGTAAAGGTCATTTTCTGATGCTAGAAGCCTGGCTTGCCCATTGTAATCGACTCTGCTGTGTTAATTAACAACACTGGACACATTCCTTTTTCAATTGAAAATTTGTGCTCCAATGGCTTGATCAATCTGATAACACAAAAATAAAAATAATTCTGCTCCCAAATACTTTTTTTTTGAGAAAATAGGTGAATGACATAATACTTCCAGACATAGTCCAGACATATCAAATTTTTTTCCCAAATTGAATGTTTTTGAAGAGTTAGTAAGAACTATCAAGTAGATTCTGGCCGAGATATTACTTTGAGATAACAGATCAATCATCTCAACCCTTTCTGCATCATCTTGATTTTAATGCCATTGAAATAACTTACTGTACTTTAGGCTATTTCCAAGTAGGCGTAAAACCATATTTTATAAATAATTATTAAGAAGATATGGAGCTTTTTAAAAAAAAAAACTTAATTAGCTTGACAAATACCTCACTTCTTCCCTTAACATTGTGACTCCACACTGTGACAGAAACAACAATATTTCAACGTTTATAGTACCTCTTATCAAACATTCCTTTTTGCCCAAAGGAAGGATCAAGAGTCTTCCTCAAGAAATGGGAAAAGTGGTGCTCTACTTTTGTGTAAACCTGAGCACCAAAAAGATATAATGTTCTACTTTAGAATTCAATGATATTAAAGACACCTTATTATTTGGAAAAGTATTTTTCCAAAAAAAAAAGTTGCTAATATAGTCCAGACATGTATCAATTAACCATCCAGCTCCTGATCTGCAACTGAAAGTATCTTATCTTAGTTTTGTTTGAGACTGATATTTTTCTAGCTTACTGAAACAACAGTGTGCCTATTTACTTTTCACTTGTATGCTATTATGAGAATCGAACAATTAGGAGGCATACTGAATTTTTTTCAGCTTGGGGTGTCCGTTTCATGTGTTTTCCTGTCTGAGATAAAGCTGTGTAAAACACAAAGTTGAATCCAGTGGGTTTTATGGCAGTTTCCCACCTGCTCTCCCAGTATGGCAAATAAACCCACACTTTGGTGAGCTGTTTTATGTTGATTTGGCCTCAGTTTTGGGTAAATAAGTGTTCTTTGATAATTTGATGATCAAATTGTCTATATCTGACTAGCGGTAAACACACTCACACTTTCGATTAGCTGTTAGCTTTGACTAGATATAACTAATTCTTGATTTTTCCTAGACAAATTTTGTTAGAAAAATATTTTGTTGCTAAAGCGTCCTTTAGACTTCCTTTGGTAAAAAATAAAATTTAAAAGCTGATTACTTGGAAGAAAAGAATAGACCTCTTGTAACACCTGCCTTGTGTTTCTGTCTCCATAATGATTTGGATGATTTCATCTCTTCAGGAGCATCAAAAAGATAATGCCTATCCAATCTGCCTCTAGATGATCTTGTCTGAGACAGTTTAGAACATTTAACAACTTTGCCTTGTACCAATCTGAGTAATTATGCCCCATGTGATTGAATCACATATTTCCTGCTGCATCAAGGTTATCCAGATATCTGGAGCAAATTCCATTTTGTTGTAGGTAAAAGCAAGCTGTCCTGCATTAGGCCCAATAGCACAGTATTAAACGTCTGCTACCTTAGGCGTGTTCTTCACTTTTCAGATTAAAATGTCTGATAAAGACATTTGTATCTTTTCATTTGCCATTTATTGCCTATGACTTGGAAGTCTATTCTCTCAAAATGTCCTTGGTTATGAAAGGGAAAGGAGGTTGGAGACAGTTCTCCGTCATATACTACAGAAAATGAGTTCTTTCTTTATTCCACTAAGCCCCTTCTTCTGTCTCTCTAAATTGCTCAGCTGGTAATTGATACATTATCTTTTAAATGCTTTTACATCAAGAAGGCTGTGTTGCTTTCAAAACAGTCAAAAAATTGAATCTTGAAGTCAGATGATAATGAAAAAAAAAAGTTAAAAAGTCCTTATGCACTTAGAATTCCGTTCCATAAGAAGGTAAATTAAAACAAAAAAGAAGGAGGAAAGAGAAAAAAAGCTGGTCCTCAAAGCATTTAATGCTCAAGGGTTAAAAACAAAATGAGATGAAGAAAAATAGACCAATGTAAGAAAATGTATAGTAAATGTTGAAATTCAGAGTGCAGAGTTAACTGGACATCCGAGAAAGCAAAAATCACAAGGAACTGGAAAGTCTTTCAGAGAAATGATTCAGGGTTTTTCAGAGTCCGTGAACCTTACCTGGGTGCTTTTAACAGTGCATGCTCCAGGGCCTCACACCATTCCTACCGAATCAAAAGAACTAAGGAAGAGACCCAGGAATTCGCATGTTAACCAAGTCCCAGAGGATTCATGTGTGCAATGAAATCTGACAGCCGCTCATATATTAAGTCCAACGCATTGAAAAATAGCACTGGCCTGACCCCTAATGGTCTTGATGGCCTTTAATTTGTCCAGTAACATTACCAAATATTTCTCTTACTTATTCATTCAGTTATCAAAATACTTGACTAACTCCCTCTGTCTGGTAGCATTCTCTTCAATATCTCCCATCTCTCCCTGCAATTACTGTAACAGTTGCCTCGCAGGTCTGTGCTTCCACTCTTACGCACTACTGCCCATTCCCCAGAGTAGCCAGAGGTTTTTAAAAAATGAAAATAAAACTCTATTATTTTTCTTCCTAAAACTCTCCAGTGGTTTCCTAGAACACTCAGAGTAAAATTCAAAATGCTTCTCCTGGGCGGCAAAGCAACTGGACTTCACCCCTGTCCCGCCCTCCCCTCCAGCCCCATCTCCCCTTTCTCCTCCTTGCTTTCAGCTCATTCTTTTTCTCCCATAGTCGCCTTCCTTCAGATCCTCAAATATAATGAACCTGCTCCTCCCGTAGGGCTTTCAAACTGGTAACTGGTCTATTGAATGGGCTAAATTTGGGAGGGTTCCATCAGGAGAGAGTTTGATTCTTCACCCACCACTGTTCTAAAAGACTCTGTTGAACCTCTCCTCCCTTCCCTTTCAAGCTATGTCAGACAGTGCCCTTAGCTTTCCACTCACTTTCTAAATAGAAAATGTGGTCTCACCCCCAGTGTAAAGAGTGTCATCTCCCCTCAAGCTCAGGTCTGGTCCTCTGCTTGGGAACCAGCAGAAGGGGGCAGCTCGGGTCCCCTTCTTTCCCTCTCCTTGCTTTATCTACTCCTTTCTAGCATCTGGCTTCTCTTGGATGGGGAGAATGAGGAGAGATTAGCAATAATAGATGCCACAACTGGTTACGTACCTGGAACTACTTGAGTTATCTCTTGCTTTCAAATGTGCTGTGCCGAGGCTGACACCTAAATGCCAGCTCTGCCTTGTGTGGTTACCATGAATTCTTCAGAAACACCCTCCACCCCATTGCCACTACTGCAGAGGCACCTGCTCCACACCATTCCCCAGTGTGAGCAATGCATTCCCTGGCTAGCTATTCAGTCCCACCTCCACCACTTATCCATCTCATGGCACTTGCTTGGGATCCTCCCCCTCAGCAGGCAGGCTTTGGGTGGGGTCCTTTCAGGCAGCCTCCATAAAGCCTGTATGACTGTTGGGCACATTCCCACATGTGTGTCCTTTCCTCCCCTAGACATGCAGAATCTTTCACTGCTGCACACTCTCCTCATCCTACCATTGCCAGCCTCTAGCCAGGCTCTATCTTTAGACTTTTCCACTCAAAAGGTGGGCAACAGCCTTGTAGCCAACCAAATCTGATTCTCCAAGAATTGCCTTTTAGTTTGTGCTGACAGCAGTAGGGTTGGGTCTCTCAGCTTCTGTAAGCAAGCTCTGTGAGCGGAAACAAGAGTCCGGTCTCCCTTGGGCCCCTGGAAGTTACTCAGTTGCTGCCTCCTGCATATGACTTAGAAAGGGAACCAGGATTTGTTCCTTCCTCTCCAACAGAGAAAGGTAAGTGAAACACCACTGCATTTTCTTCCCTACAAATACACTTCAAAGCATGCTGTACAACTTCTTGTCTACCTCCTGGCAAGTCATATAGGGAGTGTTTCTAGAACCTCTCTTCAGAACTTGAGGAGGCCTCATTACTCACTGCTTTCCATTCTAAGGATTTAGTCAACCTAAAAGGAAAGTCCCATTCCTTTGGCTGTTCTGTTCTGATTGCTTCAATTAGTCATTGCTGTATGAAAAACCAACCCCCAAAGTAGTGAGTTAACAAGTTACTTCTCACAATGCTGTGAGCTGACTGGGCTCAGCTGGGTGGTTCTTATCCTCAATAATGATTATGTTCACTCACATGGTTGCTTTCAGTTGGGATAGGCTAGAAGGTTTGTGAAGGTTTCACCCACATGTCTGGCAATTACATGTTGCTCCACATAGCCCTCCTTGTAGCTTGGGCTTCCTGACAGCATGGCAGTTTCAGAGTGGTTAAACTTTTTCACAGGCAGCTGGCCTCAAAGAGGGAAAACAGAAACTGCCAGGCCTCTAAACATACAGGCCTGGAACTGGCACAGCTATATATCTGCCAAAACAATTCATAATGCCAGTCCAGATTCAAGTGAAGGGTGAAAAAACTCCACCTCCTGATATGTAGAATAACATGTCCATATAGGAAGGGAAGGACTTGATGCAAGCCATCTTTGGAGACTTTACTACACTGACTCCTCTGCCTGAAATGTTATTAGTATTTCCAAAGGTCTTGACATGGTCCCTGGCCTTATTCTCACTATTCAGCACTCAGCATAAACGTCATCACCAAGGCCATCACCAACCCCATCTATCTCAAATAAACCTACTGTCACTTTGAATTTACTTTCTTCATTTCTGCATTTCCTGATTTTTGTTTATTGCATATTGCAATTACTTATTGCATATTGTTTATTTTTTGTTTATTGTCTATCCTTAACTCTCCCTATTCCCCATTGGAATGTAAGCTCCCTGATAGCAAGCAACTTGGCTTTCTTATTCTCTACACACTCTTCATAATCTAGAAAAGAGAGAGGACTCAATATTCTTTCTGAATGAATGAACACCTAACTCAGTTCTCATATGACCAAAGCCAGCACTAGTAAATGTGGTTGGTGAAAACAAATGTCTTTTTCTATCCTAGGTGAGAATAGTATTTTTAGAACATTTTTATTCATTTATTTTTCTCTCTAGAATGACAGATTTCTTGATGAACATATAATATAAAATTAGTATTTCTGCTTCCTAATAACATTTTGGATTTCTTCTGGATAAAATAATCTCAGGTTTCATGAAACTTCTCAATTTCGATAAATGACTAAGCAGAATTTTATTTTCCCTGGGCAAAGTCAAGGGATAATATTCACATTACACCCTTGATTTTCTTTCTGTCAATAGTGTAATGTTATAGTAAATCAACATCCTTAAAGAAGTCATATCTTAAGGTGGTAATAGGCAACCCAGAGATTTTATGCCATTATTTTTATTGGGTTAATAATGATAATAGCTAAATGTCTTAAGCAGGTGCTTAGTGCCGGGTCCTGGGCTATGTACTTCACATGGACCAGCTCAGGGGTTGTCCTAAGTCTTATGACCAAAAGAGTCTTCTGCTGCCTTTGAGCAAGTGTTTCTGACCCTCGGGAATATGCCTTTTACAAGTATCACCATTTAAACAACTTCCCTCTTAATCCTCTTGAATATCTAAAAGAAGAGAGAGAGGTGCTTTGATACATTACTTTTCAACGGTGGCTGATCTCTTCCCTGGGACAATCATGTTATAATGTACCACCTTATCAATTTAAACATGAAATTCACAGCATTTCTTTTTTACTTTGAGATGTTGGTCAGCTCTGTTCCCCAAAATAGGATACTGCTGACTGCATCAAAAAATATCAATTATGTGAGTTTTAGCAGTCTCTTTTAAATTGCATTTGTATTTAATGACCTCTTTCCTTAAGGGAATAAAGATACCTGCAAACCTGATACTTTATACTTCTTATTAGGTACATCTGCCTATACCTTAAATAAATAACAATTTTTGCATACAAATATGTAATCTTATGGTAAATGCTATTCTAAAAATTAATGTTTTGTTAAAATTCTTCCAAGATATGTGAATGTATTTTGATTTCTTTTTTTTTTTCAAAATTGACAGAGTTGCTTAGGTTTTCTTCTTACAAATACTTTCCATAAAGTATCCAACTAAAATGCTTGGAAATGTGTCCACCCAGTGGCTACTCCTCAGTGCTCACAACCTAACTGACTATTCCCTGTTGAAAACTCTGGTCTCAAAATCACTGTTCATTTAATTGATGGCCACTGTCTTCATCATGCAGCTGTTAGCCTATCAAGAAGATAGTTAATGAACTTGGCAATATAGCTTGCATTAACTTTTTCACCCTAAGGTTAATCATGGGAAATATTTTTAAATGCACTTCTGATGTGCTAAACTTCTCTAATAAATATGATTAAGTAAAATAAGTTGAGAGGAAGAATATCAATTCAATGAAGATTGCTTAACATTAGGCAGTGGATTTACATTTGAGTAAAGAGAAATTTAGTGTCTGTACGTTCATGGCTATTAGAGATAATTTGGCTGAGATCCAAACACCGAGCTCTGCCTTCATTGAGCTAAGCCAGGAAAACACTGATTGCATGTCAAGATGATGGTTATTAGTAAAGTCTTCTTTAGGAATTTAGTTTTGCATATAGTATGTTTTTTTCTTTTCTTCGTATCAAAATAAAATTACAACTCCTTGCTAGAATAAGAATATTCTATGACTAACTCTATGAGGATAGTAAACAATGTTGAAATAATAGACTCCTAGGAACAAAATGTGTTTCATTAAAAAAAAATTCTTCTAAAACATATAAGTAAATTTTATATTAAATATTAATTCTTTCCAAACAAAATCTATTTACTCACTTTTTAGAAAAAAAAAACAACAACAATGTAAAAGGCCCTTGCTGCTGCTGTTACTGCAACTACCTTGACTATAGCTATCCCTCTAATATCCATCCTTCTGAGTGCCATCAGTTTAGCCTTTTTTGGCTCATTTGGTACTGGACTAAACTCTAGGAATAACAAATCAGCTATATGACACTTAGAACAACAAAAATCATACAGGTCAGTAAAAACACTTTTTATGATATAATTCTTATTTTAGTTTCTAAGCTTCTGCACGACAAAGGAAACAACGAAGTGAGGAGGCAACCCACAGAATGGGAGAAAATAATTGCAAGCTATCCATCTGACAAGAGGTTAATAACCAAAATATATAAGGAGCTCAAACAACTCAAAGCAAAAAAAAAAAGCAAACAAAAAACAATAACATAATTCAACTAAAAATCGACAAAATATTCAAATGGATACTTTTCAAAAGAAGACACACAAATGGCCAACAGCTATACAAAAGAAGGCTGAACATCACTAATCATCAGGGAAATGCAAATTGGAACAATGAGGTATTATCTCACCCCAGTTAGAATGACTGTTATCAAAAAGACAAAAAAATCACAAATGCTGGCAAGGATATGGAGAAAGGGGAACCCTCAAACAATGTTGGTGAAAATGTAAATTGGTATTGTCATTATGGAAAACAGTAAGGAGGACCCTTAAAAAACTAAAAATAGAACTACCATATGATCCAGCAAACTCACTGCTGTCTATATATCCAAAAGAAAGGAAATCAGTCTATTGGAGAAATAACTGCACTCCCGTGTTCATTGCAGCATTATTCACAATAGCCAAAATATAGAATCAATCCAAGTGTTCATCAACAGATAAATGGATTTTTAAAATGTGACATATATGGACAATAAAATATTATTTACCCATACAAAATAATGAAATTCTGTTATTTGCAACAACATGGATAAAACTGGAGGTCATTATATTAAGTGAAATAAGCCAGGCACGAAAATATAAATATCATGTGTTCTCACTCATATGTGAGAGCTACAAAAGTTATCTCATGGAGGTAGAGAGTACAATGGTGGTTACCAGAGCTGGGAAGGGAAGAGGGAAGAGGAGGTTGAAGAGAAGTTGGTTAACGGGTACAAAGACACAGTTAGATTGAAGGATAAGTTCTACTATTTGAGAGTGCAGTAGGGAAATTATAGCTAATAATAATTTATTGTGTATTTCAAAATATCCAGGAGAATTGTAATGCTCCCAACACAAAGAAAATAAAAATGTTTGAGGTGAGGGATATCTCAATTACCCAAATTTGATCATTTCAGGTTGTATACAGACATCAAAACATCACGTCTATCCCTAGAATAGGTACAATTGTGACACATCAATAAAAAAATTTATAAAATACAAATAAAATAAATAATTACTTTGGATTTAAACTTTTCCTCATTCATTCAGGTCTAAAATAATGCTATTTTTGAACATTTTGATATAATTGAGTTAGTCATTTTCTCCTATGCCATTTAAAAGCACAAAATGGCTATAATGATGACATCAATTTGGGGATAATGGCAACCACCATTGAAGAGAGGATATTAATTTATATTTGAATGGGATCCATTTTCTTTCAGGCACAAAATCATTACTCTCTTCCCTCTTAGCTCAAAATATACATACTGGGATAGAAAAATCCCATTCAGGCTTCCTGTGCTCAGCCTTCCATCTGGTTTAATCTTAACTGAAGGTGGGAATCACAGAGTAGATATGAGTGAAGGAGGAGCAGCTGATCTCTCCACTGAGCAGAGATGGTAGCTGCTACTCTAAGTGGTCTTCTGCTCCAGTCATAATATCTGTTTAGCTCCCTGCTCCAGTCATAATATCTGTTTAGCCCCTTGCTTTCAGGACATGGCATCACTCACACAGAGGTTTCATTTCTTCATTGGATGACAGATTTTAAGCTTCTAAAGATTATTCAAAGAATAATTTTTACTTTTATTTTTCGAAACAGCTGCACAAAAAAACTCTTGAGCCAAAGTACTCTTTATTTAGATTTCTACAAGAAAAAGGCGTGGAACTAAGATGGTTTTATTTTCAAAACTCTCATTTCAAGCTAATAAATATTTACTAAATATTTACAGTCTATAAGGCAATGTATTAATTGGAAGATAGGGATTAGATCCAGTTGCTGATGATCTGGTCGGGGAGAGAGAAACATGCACTAATAATCTGGTATACACCGAACTGTGCCAAGTGGTACCAAAGAAGCTCAAATCCCCTGGGGGTGGTAGGGATGTGGAGCTTTCTGGAGAGGTGGTGATTCAGTTGAAGCTGCAAAGTCTTCCACGAAGAGAAAAAGCACTATGGACCCAGGAAGAAACTTGAACAGTCCCAGCAACCTGAAGGCTCAGGTCTCATTCTGGGAAGAAGACTACAGTGAAGGATGGATAGAGGATGTGATGTGATGAAGTGAGAGATGAAACTGCCAAGGATGAAAGGTCTCATCTTTGTGTAACCCCTTTTGTCATCACTATTTGGAAGTGCATAAACGTCTAGTCCATCTCCAGAAGGTGTCTTGCTACTGTACCACTGTGCAGAATTCAGAAGTTGATGCCAAAGAGTTTGTGCATTTCCTCTTGATGACCTGTCACCTGTAACGAGACCATTCAGGGAGTCCCATGGCAGTCTCCTTTTTGTGGCTTCTGATACCCTTTCTCTTTACCATGGTTTTATAGATCAGGGGCCAGTAAACGTTTTCTTCAAAGAGCCAGAAAGTAAACATGTTAAGTTTCACAGACCAAACAGTCTCTGTCACAACTACTCAACGGTGCTGTTGTAGCACAGAAGCAGTCATAAACAATACATAAAATAATGGTGTGGCTGTGTTCCAATAAAACTTTATTTAAAAAACAGATGGCAGCAACAAAGCAAAAATAAACAAGTGGGACTACATCACACTAAAAAGCTTCTGCACATCAAAGGAAACAACAAAATACAAAGACAACCTAGATATTGGGAGAGAATATCAGCAAATCATATATCTGATAAGAGGTGAATATCCTAAACATATAAGGAACTCACGCAACTCAATAACAAAAGTTGAGCCCCAAGATAACTCTAGCCCCAAATAACACAATTTAAAAAATGGGCAGAGAACCTGAAAAATCATTTTTCCAAAAAAGATATACACATGGCCAACAGGTATATCAAAATGTGTTCAACATCACTAATTATCAGAGAAACGCAAATCAAAACCACAATAAGGTATCACCTCAAACCTGTAAGGATGGCTATTATAAAAAAAAAAAAAAAAAAAAACAAGAGGTAAGTGTTGATGAGGGTGTGGGGAAAGGGGAACACTTGTACCCCATTGGTGGGAATATAGATTAATACAGACATTATGGAAAACAGTATAGAGTGGCCTCCAAAAATGAAAAATAGAACTACCATACCCTCCAGCAATTCTACTTCTGTGTACATGTTCAAAGGAAATGAAATCAGCACCCCAAATAGATATCTGCACCCCCATGTTTACTGCAGCACTATTCACAATACCCAACATATGGAAAACTAGCCTAAGTGTCCATCAGTGGATGAATGGATTTTTAAAATGTGACTTATATCCACCATGGAATATTATTCAGCCATGAAAGAAGGAAATTCTGCCATTTGTGACAGCATGGATGCACCTGGAGGTCATTACACTAAATGAAAGTAGACAGCCACAGAAAGACAAATACTGTATTGATTTAGTTTGAATATTTGCCCCACTCAAATCTCAGGTTGAATTGTAATCCTCAGTGTTAGAGGTGGGGTCTGGTGGAAGGTGATGATATCATGGGGGCAGATTTCTCATGAATGGTTTAGCATTATCCTTTTTGTGCTGTCTTCATGATAGCGTGAGTTCTCATGAGATCTGGTTGTTGTAAAGTGAAGCACCTTCCCCCTATACTCCCTCTCTTGCTCCTGCTCTGGCCATGTAATGTGCCCGCTCCTGCTTCACCTTCCACCATCAGTAAAAGCTCCCTGATGTCTCCCCAGAAGCTGAGCAGATGCCAGCACCATGCTTTCTGTACAGCCTACAGAATCATGGGCCAATTAAACCGATTTTCTTTATAAATTACCCAATCTCAGATATTTCTTCATAGCGATGCAAGAATGCCCTAACACATATATGATCTCACTTATATGTGAAATCTAAAAATGTTGAATTCATAGAAGTAGAGTAAAAAGATAGTTTCTAGGGGCTGTTGGTGGGTGCCAGGTGGGATGAGGAAATGTTGCTCAAAGGGTAAAAACTTTCAGTTCTAATGTGAATAAGTTTTAGGGATCTAATGAACGGTATGGTAACTATAGATAATAATACTGTATTGCTTACTTGGAATTTGATAAGACAGTAGATTTTAAGTGCCCTTGCCTGCCCCCACCCCCACACACACCCACACAAATGGTAACTATGGGTGGCAGTGGATGTGTCAATTAATTAGACTGTGGTAATCAGTACACAATGTATATCAAGTCATCACATGTTACACCTTGAATATATATATATCGTTTACTTGTCAACCAAATATTGTAAAATTAAAGAAAATAAAACAGATGGCACATTGGATTTGGACCATTGGTTGTGGTGTGTGAACTCCTGTTCTAGGTGTATGGACTTCTCTGTCTTCTTCAAAGAATCCTAGTTGCTCCTACTCTCTGACTTCAGTCCAGACTGTTAGTTACTTAAAAGTATCACATCCCTCCCCATGCTCTCCACTAATGAATCTGGGACAGGACCTGATTTTGAAGGCAAGGATGAAAAAAAGTCAATCTTTTCTAATATGATCCCAAAGATGAAGCATCTAGCAGACAGAGCTTTTATCATAGCTGTAGGGTGTTACTGTGCTTGAAGTATGGCTCTTTATTTCTGGTTTTATGAAACACATCTTTCTGCTAACTTAGCTTCATTTGGGCTGAGGATTGAGAATGGAGCTAGGTGAGTCCCGTGTCCCAGAAAGGAGCTCAGTTAGGAGTGGAGGAATAGAAGATGAAGAAAAATACCATTTCACTATGTTAGTAATCCTCAAACCACGTTATTGCATGCCAACTATTTGTCAATACACTGACTTTAATTTAATTATTGTACCATAAGGACAAATAATGAAACTTTGCAACTTAATTTCTATGCAATGAAAAATCATTGACATTTTTATCAGGAGATAAATCTGTTTAAATTTTTTTTTCTTGGGAAATATAATTCTAACAACAAAGTACAATACAGATTAAAGAAGATAAAAAAAGAAGGACTGGATGCAGAAAGAAGAGTCAGCATGTCTTAATTACAAAGTCTCAGTGGTTGCCAGGACTTGCAAGAAAGGAAAGGATGAAGAAGTCGAGCACAGAGGATTTTTCCGGCAGCAAACCTCCTCTGTATGATACCATAATGTGGATACATGTCATTATATGTTTGTCAGAACCCAAAGAGTACACCACCAAGAGTGAATCCTAATGTAAACTCTGGATTTTGGGTGATAATGATGTGTCATTGCTGGTTCATCAATTTTAACAAGTGTACCTCTCTGGTGGGGGATGTCGATAATGGGGGAAGACTGTGCATGTATGGCAGGGAAGGATACATGAGAACTCTCTGTACTCTGTGCTATTGACTTAAATCCGCTGCAAAAAAATAAATTCTAGTTTTAACAAAATGTCTCTGGCAAGGAATAACTTCAGCCTTAACTTGTCAGATGGCGTATATGGGTGCCATTTATGGCCTGAGCAGACATAGGTCCACAAAGACAAAATCTCCCAAGAAGGCTTATGGGATAGTGGGGTTGGAAGAGATGTAAAGCACTCGCCTTAAGACTGTAGTCTAGACAGAGCCACTCTGTCTGTTGGGCAGTATGCAAATGTTATTTTCCAAAACGGCTGCAAAAAGAGCTCCCATCCCACATTTTTTCTTCCTGTGGATGCTGACACACCTCCTATAAAGAGGTGGGGTTTTGTCCCTCCCGCTTGAATCTTGGAGGGTCTATGATGACAGCAGAATTGATGCTCTGGAACTTCTGAGAGTAGAACATAAAAGGCAATACAGATTTCACCTGATCCTCTCAGGACACTCGTTTCTGGAACCCAGCCACCATGCTGTGAGGATGTGGCAAGACCACAGAGGCCAGGTTTCCGGCCTAAAGCTTCAGTTGGAATCCCAGCCAATAGCCATACAAGAGTACCAACATGTGAGTAAATGAGTCCCAAGATAACTCTAGCCCCAGACACCATTTGCTGCAACATCATGGGAGGTACCCAAGCAAAAACTGCCTAATGGGGCCCAGTCAACACCCAGAACTGTGAGAGGAAATACTAAAGTAATTATTTGTTTTTTCGTTGTTGTTTTGGTGCAATTAATTACATAGCAATAGATTTCCAAGTAAGTACCATGAGTACAAAAAGAAGAGCCCAGGCGGGTGGTTGTTAATGTTTAATAATCAAATAGAAAGGAACAGTTAATAATATCATGCTATATCTTATGCTAATGTTTTAACATTTCGAACAAGTGGTCCTAGATCTCATTCAGGGACCACACTATCACCCCCCTTTCCTAAATGTGCTACCAGATGGACAGGATCCTGCTTTCTTCAAGGCAAATGGCCTAAATGAGCCAGATGGGTGAAAAAAATACATCTTATGCTCAAATTGCTATCCATGTGTTTAATTTTAAAATTAAAAAAACCACTGTTTATCATTCCATGTGTCTAGGTACTAGGCTAATAGAATTGGGTCACAAGATATTAAATCTAGAGATACTATTCATTTTTAGGAGTAATCTTACAAAATTACCTCCTTATCTTAAACACATTAATTCATCATTTGTTTTTTTATAGATGTGGTCATTTATCTCCTGGGACTCATACAAATCTTGATAAGGCCCTGTGGTACGTACTTGAACCTAATAATAGCAACAAATCCATGGACCTGTCATTCATTTGGATACAATGAAATGCATGATTTAACAGGGCCACATTCTTGGGCTAATTCCACTCTTCAGTCAGCCAAGAGGCAGCTGCTTGAGCACATTCAAGGATGCAGAATGTGGCCACTCCTGCTTCCACTCCAACACTCACCCCTTCCATTCTCCAAAACCAAAATTCTCTACCACTTTAGGGCAAAGGATAATATCATCAGCTTTCTGGCTTTCACTGTCCATTCTGTCCTCTCACTTGTATAAGCCCACTTCTGACCTTTTCCTCTCCAAGATCTGAGAATGCTATGTCCTTGTTCTTCAAAGTCACCACCTTCTTCTTTCTTCTTAAGCCTGCCCCTTCCTACTTTCCAGAGAATTTCCCCATAAATCATTCTCTCTCTGCTATATCTTCTGCTACTCCCTCTTCCATAACTCTTGACCCCACCTATAAACATTAGGAAAAATTTTCTCATTCTAAAAATTAATTATTTCTTCTCCTTGCATCTCTTTAGATGTCTCCCTATCTTCCCTTTACAACCAACCTCCGGAAAATGTTGTCAATATTTATTTTCTCTTGCTCAATGCCCACTTGTTCCTTGTTCTACCACCAACTGGATATTGCTCAAATGGTTTCAGCTGTTAGAGTTACCAATGAGCCTCTGCAATTATTTCCATCCTTTGTAAATAATACTCCCTCATGTTCATATCGCTCTCTCCTAATTTAACTAATTTCCTTCCTTCTTTCCTTCCTTCCATTCCTTTTTCTTTCTTTCTCTTCTCTCTCTCTTTCTCTCTCTCAACAATGTACAGGGTATAATTTGTTTCACAAAAAGTAGGTGGAGACCAACAGTTTCAGGTTTGCTCAACAAAACCCCTCAGATGCTTCCCTCTTCCTCTTCTGATTTCCTCAGTGAGTTGTTGGCTTTTATTTCCGGGCCTGCTACTTCAGAATCTCAAGAGGGACGCCATAGTCATAACAATCTCATCAGATATGTTCCTTGAGAGACTGAAAACAGGAAAATCCTGTCCTTGGTCTATTTTCTAAGAGCAAGAAAAATAATGGTAGCCCTCAGATTTCCCCTTATTTCTTCCTGACCAGGACTGCATCACATGCTCCTGGATTATCAATCCTAGCAAGGTGGAATGTCTGTGATTGGTTTAGTCTATGATTAGACTAAGATATTGATTATCCACCTCCCCAGGGATGATGGAAAAGTGTTATTCCAAAGCATACAGGGTTCTGTCAGCCATGCAGGCAGGCGTAGAAGACAACATTCACTTCTATCTTTCTGAATGTCCTTTCTCAGCCTTCTTCTAATGTCCACTTACTTCAATTAGCCCTTAAATTTTGTTTGTTTCCAGGATTTCTTTCTCGGACTAATATTCTCCCTGTCCCCTTTTCTTAGATAACCTCACTCATGTCCATTGTTTGCATTATGCCTTAAACATTATAAATCTCCAAATCATTTTCTTGAGTTCACCTCTTTTTTCTTGGCTATGGTGAGATATATCTCCAAAGGTCTTCCTAGCATTTCTACCAGGATTTTCCACAGTAAATTCAAAGTCAGCATGTTAGAAAATGGAATTCACTGTTTCTGTCCTCAGTGCCACTCATTTTTAAAACTCTTAGCATCTTGTCTGTTGATTGGTGACACCATTTCATAACCATCTACCTAAAAATACAAACACATCACTTCCATCTTAGACACCTCCTTCTCCCTTACCTACCACATCCACTTAGTTACAAATTACGTTGTCTATTTCCTAAATACCTCACAGATCTGTAGCCTTTGCATCTCCACTGCCACTGGTTTCTCCTCTACCTTTATTGCCTATCACCTCCTTTTTATCTTATTACAGTGTTTAATCTTGGACCTGTTCATATTAACGCATGTAGTGCATTAGATTTTATGTCTTTGTTTGTGTACCTTTTATCTCTACCAGACTTTAAGGTACAAGAGGGTAAGGACCTTCTCTTTTTTATTTTTGGAACCCACTACAACTACATCAACCTGGCACATGGTAAGCCTTGTGAAACTTAAGTTTAATTCAGCTGACCAAACTCATGTATATAGAAAAGACAATAACACCTTCCTGCACTAGGCTTTCTTTCTCATCTCAGAGCAAGATATTCGAAGCAAGAACCTCTGTTTTCACTTCCTTTGTTATTTCCCAAGATACTGAGTACAGTGCTCTCTACCAATGATGACAAATGTATTCAAAAATGTTAAGAGGCCAAATAACCTGTGATATGTTCTATAGTCATGAGTGAACATGGCATTTATTTATTTTTCCATTTTGTATTGAGCCCCCTTCCATCTGTATTGCATATGGACCCCCTAGTGGGTCACCATCAGTGCTTAATTCTGTAAAATGCAATCATGGCTCCGATGATATCCATAATGTCTTCTGGATCTTATGTCTTATGATTCTGTGACTTTGAGATAAATAAGCCCATTAAGTAGGGGAAGGAAAAGTTCTATCCCTGATGATGTCCTATTCAGCTTACAAATGTAAATAGCTTATTTTTAACATGAGGCAAGTCTCAATCTTTGAAGGTTTCAAAGTATAATTGCTTTTTTGGAAAAGGCTATTTGAGAGCAGGAAAATGTTCTTTTGAATTTGGGTGAAAACTTGAAGGCATAGCATCTATGATTTATTAGAACTACTGGAATAAATTATAACTTGAGATATTCCTTTCTCCTATGAAATTTTTAGTGTAATAACTATTTCTAGAATACACTCCCATAATTAAAACTAAAATAAGATTAAAGTACTATAAAACAATTGATCACACCAAATTTAAACATTTTTATTAGACTGAGGGAAGTTTTCTTGCTTCTAAGAGCACACAGTAGTTTTCAATTAATTTACAAACAAAAAAATGTTATCCCTTCTAAATAAATTTTTATTTCCATTCCATTATTGACCTTTTTACCTTGAATGTTTTACACTTTAAATGTTTTACACTTAGAAAAATTGTCATCTTTTCTCATAAATTTGGCTCATATTTCTTAAGGTATAAGGAACCATGTATTTTATATTTATATAATGTTTTATGGTCTACAATCTTCTTTTCAATCTATTTAACTACATCTAAGCTACATATTAATCTCATGAGGTAGATTTCACAGTTGAGGAAACTGTCACATTTATCCAAGATCAGATGATTAGTAAGCAATAGAACCAGGACAAGACTCAAATCTTCTGATATTTAGTCCAGTGTTCTTTGAAACTCATCAACCATTCCAAGCTCAAAAAGTAAATATCCCCTTGCTTTTTATAAATCAGCACTTGGATTGCACTGGGATGTCCAGAGTATAAAATTGCTTATAGATTCTTGGTTACTCCTTCCTTTTTGCCATTTCAGTTTTGAAAGGGCAAACCTTGGGAAGGTGTCCAAGTTTTATGCAGTGAAAACTGTAGTTCCTGGGACTTGAGAAAGTCTAGTCAATTTTGTCAAAATAGAGAAAACTGTTCTTCATGTAACATTCATAAGACAAATGAATTTTTAAAATTTGCAAAGATGGCTATGTTATAACCTCACAAGCCACATTTCAAAACATATTAGCGGTCTTCTGCTTGTGGCCATCACTGAGTAACTTATACGAGACCAGCCCTCTCACCATAAACAACAATAAAACTGGACAAAATATATGAAATTTTTTTTAGATGTTAGAAAACAGGGAGCACAGATCTGTGATCCCTAAGAAAAGTAAATGTAAGATGATTGCCACAGTTACCCCAGCTTCCTTCCTGGAGGCACTGATAAATACAGTGGGGTGGAGGGCAAGAAAGGGCAGAGGTCTCTGCCCTGAGGATGCAGATATCACACCTTTGGTGTCCTGAGGTAGATAGATAGATATTGTGGAACAGAAATGGAGACCTGTGCGGAAAAGGAACTCCAGGATTCCAAATGTGGTTTTCCTTATTGTTGGATCCAATACAAAACTCTCCATGCATGGAGCAAGAATCCATAAAATGGGGCCAAAAAAAAAAAAAACAACTGCCGATGAAAGAAAAACTGCTGAGAAACATTGAATTGAACAGCTACTAGAAGACACCTAGGCTGAGATATATTTGAGTAATAACTAGTCAGAGTGGAGACATCTTATTAAATAACTCTAACATTCAGTAGAGACCCAGGAGAGGTTATACTAGTCTAGTCCTATGTAAAAACTAATCTGAAATTTCCCTAGCATAGCTTAAACACAAGGTTTGAATTAATTAAGCTTAAGTAAATTAACTGTCTGCTGGAACAAAACTTGACATTCTATTAAGGAAGAATAAAAAAGCCAGGTATTCAGCAACATGGCATTCATAATATCCAGCATATAATAAAAAATTACTAGACATGGTGAAGAAGCAGTAAAATGTGATACATAACAGAAAGAAAAGTCACTCCATAGTAAATTTAAATAGTTAATTTTTAGCAACATGAGATAAATCTCAGTCTTTAAGGATTTCAAAAAGTATGACTGCATTTTTGGAAAAGACTATACTCCAAAATAGATAAAGTGATAAACAAAAAAATTCTTTTAAAATGACTTAGAAAAAAAAGACACATTATTTACAAGGGAGCAATAGTAACTCTAATATCATTAGATAGACTGCCAACCTCACTAGAAACAATGTAAATCAGACTACATTAGAATGACATTTTTAAAGTACTGAAAGGGAAAATCCAAATCTCAAAAAACTATCCTTCAGAAATGAAGGACAAATTAAGTCATGTTCAGACAAACAAATGCTAACATAATCTGTTACCAGCAGATAAGCACTATAGGGTATATTAAGATATGGAATCCTCAGACTAATGGAAAACGATATCAGGTGAAAATTCAGTCCACATAAAGGAATGGAAACTTCCAGAAAAAAATAATGTGTAAATAAGTATGAATAATTTATTTCATTGCTTAATTCCAGAGGCAAATGAAAGTATACTATTATATGCTTGTATTTTATATTTATTTATTGTATTTTATTATATTTTTATTGTTTACCTTTAATTGTATACTTTCCTTTCTCAGTAATAGAATAAGCACAAAAACACTCTGTATGGATATAGAAGACTTGAACATCACTATCAACTGACTTGACTAACACAATTCACCTTTTTTTCCAAGTAATCATAGAGCACTTACCAATACCAACCATATGCTGTACCACAAAACAAGTTACAATAAATTTTAGCAATTAACATCATATAGACAACAAAGTTAACTATTTTGATTTTATTTTAAAACAGAAAATCTCCAAATATTTTGAGATCAAGCAATCTATGTCTTAATAACCCCTGGGTTAAATAAGAAATTAAAAAATATTCTTACTTGAATGATAATTAAAATAAGACATATCCAAATTTTTGGAATGCAGTGTTTAAGGAGAATTTTATATCTTGACTTTCTTATATACGAAAGAGGAAAGGATTAAAATAAATGGTCATTGCTTCCACCTTAAGAATCTAGGGAGAAAAGTAAAAACCCAAAATAAGCAGAAGAAAATAAATAATAATGGAAATGGTAGATGTCAATGAAATAGAAAACAGATGAATAATATAGAAAACCATGAAACAATTTTGATTTTTTGAAAATATTAACAAAATCAATAACACCCTACCTAGATTGATCAAGATAAAAACAGAAAAAAACACACAAATTATCAGTATCAACTATGAAAGAGATGTTATCACTAACAATTTATAGACATTAAAAGAATAATAAAGTTTATAGACATTTTCTATCAAGACTTAAAGGGTTAATTACTTGAATGATATGAATTACTAAAACTGACAGAAGAGGAAATAGAAAATTAGAATAGTCCTATAATAAAGACATATATTTTTATTTAAAACCTTCCAAGAAAACTCCAGGCACAGATGGCTTCATACATGAATTCTATCAAACAATTAAGGAAGTAATAATATCAATTTTACAAAATGAATAGAGTTCAAAGTATTTTTTGTCTTTAGGCTTTGATATTTTTTTTCTCTTCTTTTTTTTTTTTTTCTTTTTTTTTTTGAGACAGAGTCTCACTCTGTCACCAGGCTGGAGTGCAGTGGCATGATCTCGGCTTACTGCAACCTCTACCTCCTGGGTTCAAGCAATTCCCCTGCCTCAGCCTCCTGAGTAACTGGAACTACAGGTGCACACCACCACACCCAGCTAATTTTTTTGTATTTTAGTAGAGACAGGGTTTCACCATGTTGACCAGGATGGTCTCAATCTCCTGACCTCGTGATCTGCCCATCTTGGCCTCCCAAAGTGCTGAGGTTACAGGCATAAGCCACCACACCTGGCCTTTACTCTTTGATTTTAAAAATAGCACTAGGTTTAGAGAGCAGCTCAATCTCTAAATGATATGACTACTATAAAAAAATCTTTAAAATTAGGTTAAGGAAGCAGAACTAAATCGAAACAAGAACTCTAATTTGAAACATCAATGTTGGTGATTCTTTCCTGAGCTGAGAGATAGTGGGCTGAGGGTACCACTGCCTCCCAGCTCAGGAGGTCAGAGAGTTGAGATATGTTTTACTGTGCTTTGTCACAAAGTTATAGTATGCTGAGTTGAAGTTACATAATGCTAGTTACTGCCTCATTTTTCTGTTCTTTCATATGACTTAACTTGCTATTTCTACTTCCTCTTCTCCTATTTTTCTTGATCTCACTCTAATCAAGCTTTCACCCCACTTCTTCACTGAAACTACCCTTGATAAATTTACTAATGACCTCCTGTTACCAAACCCAATTGTTATATCTTTACACTGAATAGTTCCTTCACCTTGAAACACTTTCTTCTACTGGATTTGGGGACATACACTCTCTTGGTTTTCCTCTTACTTCAATGGCTATTCTCTGTCTCTTTTGCTAGCTTTTCTACCTGTTCCTACCTCAAAATACCAGGACATAAATTTTTTAATGCAACCTAGTACACAAACCAGAAACAGAAAATTCTCATAAAATGATATTTATACTTACTACATGAGATATATGTTGACAATTGCCTATTCTAGTCTAGATTTGTCTAATCTGTTTTAGTCTTGTTGATAGAAAAGAGTCAAACTCTTTAAAATATCTAAAGAAATTTGTTCTGAGCCAAATGTGGGGGACCATGACCCATGACACAGCCCCAGGAGGTCCTGAGAACATGTGCCCAAAGTGGTCAGGCTGCAACTTGGTTTTATACATTTTAGGGAGACATAAGGCATCAATCAATGCATATGGGTTATGCATTGATTTGGTCCAGAAAGGCAGAACGACTTGAACCATGGTGGGAGTTGTGGGGTTGTGGGGGCAGTTTACAGGTCATAGTTGGATTCAAAAATTTTCTGAATGGCAATTGGTTAAAAGAGTTAAATTATTATCCAAGGACCTAAAATCAATTGAAAGGAGTGCTCGGGTTAAGATAAGGAATTATGGGGACCATGGTTCTAATTATGCAGATGAAACCCCCAGATAGTAAACTTCAGAGAGACTAGATGGCGAATGTCTCTAATCAGACCTAAAATAAATGCCAGACTCTTAGTTAATCTCTCCTGGATCAAAAAAAGACCTGGAAAGAGAAGGGAATTCTCTACAGAATATAGATTTTCCCCACAAGAGACAGCTTTACAGAGCCATTTCCAAGTATGTCAAAGAAATATATTTGGGCATAAAATATCTTGATGTCTTTTAGGGCCTGCTGTCTGTCATGTGATGTCACTAGAGTCAGATTGGGATTTGGTATCTTATTGCTACAAAGAGTTTGTTTTATCAGTCTTAAGATCGCTGTTTTAATGTTAATGCTGATGAGTTGTGCCTGAATTCCAAAAGAAAGAGTGCATAATGAGGTATTTCCAACTCCTCCTTCCCATCATGGCCTGAACTAGTTTTTCAGGTTTACTTTGGAATGTCCTTGGCCAGAGAAGATGGTTCCATTCAGTCAACTGGGGGGGCTCAGAATTTTAATTTTTGGTTTACAGGGTATTTACTACTTCTTTTTATTTCTTGTTGCCACCATTAAATTGATTTCAGGACCTCTACTGGTTCACAACCTGTCTTTTGAAAAATATTACTCTGATGGTTGTAGTGCCCCAGTGCTCAGGTTTTGAAACTTTTCTCTAGTCACATTCTTTTCTTAGGCTAAGCCATCCAATTTCCCAATTTTTAAAAGCATTTACACATTGGAATTTTTCAAAGCTATATCCCCAGCTCTGTAACTTCCAGGAATACTAGCTTTTTATAGCTGACAACATATTCTAAATTTGAATGTAGATGTCCACAAGAAAATTTAAATGTAATTTGTCTAATGCAGAACTTATGATATGCTCTCCCAACCTTGCTCTTCAGCCAATCTACCTTGTTTTAGTTGCTGAGGGTAAAAATCTTGGCACTATTCTGAGACTTCTCTTTTTCAAATCCACAATCATATCAGCAAAAACATCCTGCCAGCTCTATCTTTAAAATATATTCTAAGTCCTACCATCTTTCATCATCATCTCTCACCTGAAGTATGACAATAACCTCTTTACTGGTCTCCCTGCTTCCACTCTTGTCCCATTAAAATCCATTCTTCATATAGTAACCAGGATGATCCTTTTAAAATGTAAATCACATATCCCTGCTCAGAAGGCCACAATGGCTTCAGATCATGCTGGAATAAAATCTCAAATACCTTCCAGGGCCCAAAGAGCTTTGTGATCTGGCCTCTGTCTACTCTCTGAATACTCTTCCATTTCAGCCAGGCTGGGCTCTTCATTGTTTCTCAAAGCCTCAGGCTTTCTCTTGTCAGGAAGACTTTGGACTTTCTGATTCTTCTGTCTAAACCTCATTTCCACAGAGAGCACAGTTCTCTGTCCCTTCTGTCACTCAGATTTTGATAGAAGTTCAGAATTAAAGAGGTCATTGCTGATCATCCCACAAAAAAGAGCAAAACTTTGCCCTTGTCACTTTACCTGCTTTACTTTAATTCATAGCATTTATCATTACTCAACTTTATATTATACATTTGTTTGCTTATGGTTGGGTTCCTTCTAGACTGTGTCACAAGAACATGAGCTCTGACTATTTTGTTTGCTGCTGCACCTGCAGTCCCTGGCAAAAAAGAAACATTCAATATGTATTTGTTGTGTGAGTGATTGACCATTTGTGCTCATACCCAAGGCCTTGGAAGCCCACCTCTTGCATCAGCATGCCCTGGATGTGGAACATGGAGTCAAAGGAGATTATTTCAGAGCTTTAAGATTTAATGACTGCCCTGCTGGGTTTCAGACTTGCATGGGGCCTGTAGTCCCTTTGTTTTGGCCAATTTCTTCCTTTTGGAACAGGAGCATTTACCCAATACCTGTACCTGCATTGTATCTTGGAAGTAACTAACTTGCTTTTTATTTTACAGGATCATAGGCGGAAGAGACTTGCCTTATCTCAGATGAGACTTTGGACTTGGACTTTTGAGTTAATGCTGAAATGAGTTAAGACTTTGGGGGACTGTGGAGAAGGCATACATGGTTTTGAAATGTGGGGAGGGCATGAGATTTTGGAGGGGCCAGGGGCAGAATGATATGGTTTGGCTCTGTGTCCCCACCCAAATCTCATCTCGAACTATAATCTTGAGTGTTGGGGGAGGGACCTGGTGGGAGGCGATTGGATCATGGGGGTGGATTTCCCTCTTGCTGTTCTCATGATAGTGAGCAAGTTCTCACAAGATCTGGTAAGACAGAGCAGGAGAGAGAGAGCAAAGGGAGAAGGGCTACACACTTACCCCCATCCCCTTCATCTTCTGCCATAATTTTGAGTTTCCTGAGGCCTCCCAGCCATGCTTCCTGTACAGCCTGTGGAACTGTGAGTCAATTAAACCTCTTTTCTTCATAAACTACCCAGTCTCAGGTAGTTTTTTATAGCAGTATGAGAAGGGACTAGTATAGCTCATGTAAATATTAACTTCACATTTAATTTCATTATCTTTGGGACCCAAAGGTGGTGTATTTAGCAAGCATGAGGATATGAGCAGGTGGAGCCAAAAGTCCCCTAGAGGAAAAGAAAAGATGCCAAAGGGGAGGTGGTCACACAGAAATGGATGAGAGGAGCTTAGAAGGCAACATCTTCATCTTTGCTGTATTGCCTAGAGTCAATGCTCTCAAGCACCTCGGAGTATTCTGAATGAACTAGCGTTTTGCAAATGCCACAGGGCTTTTAACAAGTCCTTTGAATGTCCGAAGAAGTTGCATGGTGGCATCAATACAGGCTCATGTCAAGTCACTTCTCCAATACCGTTTCTGGTACATAACAATACTCATTCTTCCTTTCATGCATTTAACAAAAATGTGTTGACTTGCCTATGTGGCACTCATCAGAGATTTTGAGGTTAAGGACAGGAGCTGATGGCCTAGTGAGAGAAGCAGACATGAGAATAGGTATAACAGAGATTGATTATTGCTGAAATACTGGTGCACACAGATTGCTAAGGAAGCTCAGCAACAAGGCACCAAACTCAGCCCGGATGTGGGGAGAAGCAGGGAATCTTCTATCCAGGGGCAATGCCTATGCTGAGCCCTAGAGACATGCTCATGTTGTATGCAGAAGAAGTAGGCAAAGAAACCAGGAAAGGCAGCCATGGCCAAAGGCATAGAAATGAGAAAGCTGGTGTGTTAAAAACCGCAGAAAGCTCTTTCATATTGAACCAAAGAGCAACAGGAGGAGTACATCAGAGGCCACATCATAAATGTGGCATGCTCTTGAGAATTTTATATTTAAAAATGGTGAACTATTGAAGAATTGAAAACATGATCAAATTTACACTACTGAAAGAATACTCTAATAGTGCATTGGAAGGACGGTAGACCTGTTCATAGGATGTTGCAAAGGTTCAGGGCAAGATGTTGTGGGCCTGATCCAAATTAGAGGCAATGGAGAGAGAGAGAGAGAAGGGGATAAATAATGGATACAGGGGCAGAATCCATGGGTCTTAGTTGTTCATCAAATGTCAGGGCTGAGGAAGAGGAAGGACTCTGGCCGATTCCAAGGCTTCCTTCTTAGGTGACTGTGTGGATAGTGTGTCCTTCACTAAGAGAGGGATCCCAGTCAGGGAGGCATTAGTTACCATGCTGACAGTTGTGAATAGTGAGGTTTGGGTGGAATGTGGAGGTATAGAAGACATCCATATGTATCTGGAACTCAGGAGGGAAGACTGGAGACTGAGACCTGATCTTCCTCAGCACATGAATTGAATGTGCAACCATGGCATATGTATGATGAGATAAAAGATCTATGCATTGTTGAAGAATGTGAATAGATGAGATCTATAGGAGATATAAAATGACATTACATAAAAGTGGCAAAGGCAGTTTCACGTAAAATACGTATACATAATTTTCATGTAAGCAAACAACTTTCCTTGCTTCAGGCCCAAGTTATACATACCTAACTTCTCACAGTGATATTAAGGATGACTTCATTTAGTCATGAGAGAAACTATTTTGAACAACAATTTAAAAAGAGCAAATGATTATCTCTTGATTGTGAAATTCTAGGGGGAAAAATCCATTCAACGTACATGTACTAATGGGGTAGCGTCATATGTTCAGCAAGAATCAATTCAACCACAGTCTAGGAATTTTACAATAGGCTCTCTCTCCTCTGACAATGACATTCTCAAAACCTTATTCTTCTGTTCTTTCATTGTTGTAATAATACTGTACTAAGTCCTTTAGAGCTGTAATGCAATCTTATATCTACTCTTCAGCAAGACACCTTCACTAATCTGATGCTAAAGCCAGAGTGGGATTTACGGTGAAGCTGTTGACACTTAACCTTGTGTTAATTTTGATTGTACAGTTTGCCAATAGTTGCAATGGAAGATTTTTTATATTGCTTTCTTAAAGATTTCCCTAAATTATATGAGCTGCAGGCTGTACACACCTGGATTTGCCCCTGAATAAGAACTACAGTTCAAATGTTACAGACAGCAGACTAATAAAATCAATTTGATATTTTTAATCCATTAAATTAAATAAATAAATCAGAAAATTGGTTCTGACATCCAGGCCATCTGACATCAGGGGTCATGCCTTTTCTACTACAGCAGAGATTCTCCACCCTGGTGTCATGTTTGAACCACCAAATGGGCATTTGGGGTTGAGAATCAGTGAATCATACTCTCTGTTAACATTTCTTATTAAATGCAGAGTTAACAAATCCTTACATTCTCAAGGAAATTTTGCCAAATGGCAAAATAGTGGGACAAAGAGGTGGAGTTCTTTGCATTTATTTGTAAATAATCATTCACTGATGATTGAATTGTGCCAAATTCTGTGAACAGTTACTCATATAAAGATAAGTTGTTTTTCCTTTTCTAAAGAAATTTTAATAGCGCAAACAGACTATATTTGTTCTGCAATCAGTTATTGATCATTTTTTTGACTTGGAATACTTCATTATATATCTAGCAACTCTCTGTATTTTTTTTATTTTTATTTTTTGAGAAGGAGTCTTGCTGCGTCTCCCCGGCTGGAGTGCAATGGCGCAATCTCAGCGCACTGCAACCTCCACCTCCCAGGTGCAAGCAATTCTCCTGCCTCAGCCTCCTGAGTAGCTGGGATTACAGGCACTCACCATGACGCCCAGCTAATTTTTGTATTTTTAGTAGAGACAGGGTTTCACCGTGTTGTTCAGGATGGTCAGGAACTCCTGACCTCTGGTGATCCACCTGCCTCGGCCTCCCAAAGTGCTGGGATTACAGGAGTGATCCAAACTCTCTGAATTTGAATCTACATATATGTGAATCAAATTATTTTTGTTCAAGTTTTATTCGTCGCCCTGGGAACCTTTTCTGTGAAGAATCAACCACCTCTATCGGCATCTTCACTCCATTACTATGTTGCCCCTTTCCCTACATCCTAGAAATGAAAGAGAGAAATATTTCCTCCATTAGTTTAGCTTTTTAAGTTGCTACTGCCTAATTTAAGCCTTAACATTCCTTATGAAGACTATTATTGTTGCGCTCACACCACTGCACTCCAGCCTGGGTGACAGAGTGAGACTCTGTCTCAATAAGAAAAAAAAAAAAAAAAAACGATTTTTGCAAGCTAGCATTTCAACAATTAAATTCTATCTCTGTTAAGGGCCAGGGAAGCAATATAAATTATATGTGAGAGAAATCATTTGACTACTTTCAAATTCCCTGGGATTCATTGGGCAAACCATCCATCTTTGCTTTGTTGCTCTCTTTATCCGTTTATATAATATGGCATTTCTTACCTTCCAAATCTACTTTTTTTTCTCATTTTAGGCAACTCAGAAGAACCTATTGTGTAGGGGACAGAGAAATGAGTGAAAGGCTTAGATTCTGGTCTCAGCTCAATAGCCGTGTAATATTGGCCAAGGTACTCAAATTCTCGAAAACTCAGTTTCTTCTGTAAAATTAGGATACAAATATGGATCCTGTGTAATGCACAGTTGGTCAATGACCAAATGTGATATTTCTACCATGTTTTATTTGACAGAAAGATATTTTACTCATGAGTGTCTTTGACCCCCAAGATCTTTAACTGAATACATGAAAACTTGGGAAGCTGTATCATAAAGTGTATTCCAAATAAACAATTTAGCCAACTAAGTCTTTCACCCGAGTGTGGTAAACCATAAGAGACTTGATGCATTCTTCATGAATTGCAAATGACTGCAGACATTCAATATTTTCTTTCATTTCGAAAATATCCCCCTGGAAGACACTTTGCTATAATTTGAGAATATGATGTTTCTGAAGCATTTAGAATCTGATTGACATTGAACAATTTCAAGGGCCATTATTGATTACAAAATACGTGTATATGTAAAATGATTTCTTGTATAGCATTATTTCTCAACGTTACTTCAGTCAGTATAAGCTCCCCAAACATGTAATGATAAAAATAACAGCAACAGCTAAATGTGTATTTAAATATGAGAGCAAAGACTGATATTCATTTTGAGTCATTGAACTGAACAGGATACACAGATATTGTCTGGTAGACTAAAGCCTTCATTTTACAGATAATGAAACAGAAAGTATGTGGCTTTGTCAATAAGCTGTTTTGTTGCAGAGTTGGGACTAGAACCTAAGTTCCCTAAATCAAAATCTAGGGTTCTTTTAACTACACACTGACATGAATATATTCACTCAATTTTTCATACTAAAATAGTCAGTACTAAAAATTGCAGAGGGTGGGGGTTTAGAATGTAAGATTGTAAAGTATTTAGATTTCTATCAAAACTTTAACAAAGTTTTCCATGTTATAGTTTGATACCATATAAAAGATGCTCAGTTTGCATAATAGCTGAGTTCTTTGTTCAGCTGGATTTTTAGACTTTTAGGGCCTGGTTAAAATGTATTTAATTTGGTTGCTCACTCATATTTGCAGTACTAATCTTAAGTTGAGATTTCATTATAGAAAGCATTATACTAAATTAATCTCATTGAGTTCATTTCATTATTCTTATGCAGCAAATTTCAAAAAGTTAGCTTAAAGGAGTCAAACAAACAACAATTTTATATAAACTCTTAAGTGGTAGATCGAACCACTTTTAAAATCCACTAAATGTTCTTATGAGGCAAACATTTTCCATAATTTAGACCAGGCAGTTAGGTGTATACTGTCAAAGTAATGATGACCAAGATGCTATCATCATTAAATATCGTCAGTTCTTCAAAATTATGTGTAGGGTGTTCTGGACACATTTAATCTGGACAAAATATAAGGCCAGGGAAATACCTAGAAAATGTAGTGAAGATAGTGTTGGCTTTGCCATTAGAGTGAGGGAAGAGGCATGACATGCTCTGGTCTTATGCTACAGCTGTTCCCAAATTCTTATATAACAGTTGCAAATAGGAATGCTTTCCTCATAAATGTTTTAAGTCCAAGGTTATGGCCCTTTCTTTAAGAAGTAGACTTCATTCCAGTTGCTTGCCTTTAAGAGAGGATTGTAGTAGGTGGATAAATACTTAAACATCAAAATAGAAAATTTTTTCCTGATCCCAACTATCACCATAGAAAGAGGGCCTGAGTAGGCTGTCATCCTGGTTCTACTGCTAACTAATATTGGAAAATTCTCTTAACCTCCCTGGGACTTAGTTTCCTCCTGTGTAAAATGTTGATCCTTATTCTATGCCAGCTTCAAATTCTCCCAAATGTCCAAATCCTTTGTGCAAAGCAGGCTGCTAATTCTTCACCAAAGGCTGAGATGACTTCAGAAGTCAATAGTTCATTTTATTGAATTCGGTGCCACAACCTTTTCTCAGTTACTGAACGAATAAATAAGTGAAGAAATGAATCAAGGGCAAATAACGACACTTATGTGGGAGACAAGAAATGAAGAGCCTGATATGTATTCATTCATTGCTAGAATGACTTCTAACCTACATTACCATAAGACTTCTCAGATATATCAATAGAGTGAAGTAACAGCATGTTTTCTAGGGAAAGTAGAATCTTCCCATTTGAGGTGAATTATTTTTGTGGGGTATATTGCTCACTGCTCTCTTTCTGTTTTATATTTACACGGAAAGAGAAAGCTATACTTTCATATCCACTTTACTAGGAAAACAAAATTTATGAATTCTGAAAAGTGTGAAGGGAGGAATTTAACTTTTACCAGTAGGATCCGTCTAGTGAAAGTTCCCATTCCATTCAGTTTTCAGAGAAAAATCATCCATTTCAATCACTGTAATATAGTCTAGAAAGCACAGGATCAGGAAATGAGAAAACCTGGATTTGTGCCCCCTGAAAAAAAGAGATGATCTTTTTGTTGTTTTGCTGTGCATTCCTAGAGCTTAGCTCCGTGCATGGCATATAGCGGGTGCTCAAAAATAAGGACTTGCTTCTACTGCTGGCTCTGCTGCCTCCCAGAAAAGTGTCCTAGCCCAGGTTTTCTTGGAAACAAAAGTTGAGGCAGAGCTGTGTGCTAAGGCTTCCTTGAGAGGCACAATCCCAAAGCATCAGGAATTGGGGAGAAAGGGTAGAAAGCAAATTGAAGGTGGTGTGCTCCTGAGAGAGCCAGAGCATCCAAGAAAGACACAGCTGGTTCTCAGCACAGGATGCTCCCTAGACGCACCATGGAGAAGCCCTGAGCCTCAGAACCACCCATCAGGGGCGAGGAATCCGCTTGCCAGTTCTTACCTATATCTCTTCTCTCAATCCACCCCATGGGCTGTGGCTCCCACTATCCCTTTAGGAGGCAGTGGCCTCTCAGTGCAATGGAGCTTCCCAACAGCTTCCCAGCAAGGCCAGGGAACACCACTTAAGTGGTGTTAGGAAGCCCGATTGCATTGCCTACAGCACAGTGTCTTGCAGGAGCCTAGAGGTGGTTGAAGGATGTGGAACTTACTGCTAAGCCAGGTTGAGCATCACAAAGGAGCAGCTCTTCCCTCAGAGGCATGATGGAGGCCATGCCAAAGACCAGCACCCCCTGCCCCTCCAGGCTCACAGGGGAGCGGTCTCTCCACTGAGTGAGATGTCACATCCCTGGACGCAGGCAAGGCTAGGTGAATCTGCACAGGTGATAAACTGGGTCAGGGACAGTGTGGTATTTTAGAAAATCATTTGACCCAAGTCCCAGTTTCTTCAGCTGTAAAATGGTAATTACCTGGAGATAAAATGAGAAGCATAACTTTAATTTTCTCATCCCTCTTCTACCTCTCTTGCATCTACCCAGTAAAACTCTTATGCAGGAAGGATGCACCCGCCCACCTTCCTCTTCTGTGCCTCCAGTTCTTACTTTAAAAAAAAGAAAACCCCACAGCCATATTGGTGTCACCAAGCTCAAGTCAGCAGTTACCATTCTCAATCTTGGTGCACTTCCCGCTGAGCTTCCTCTCTGTCTGGGCCTCTCCTCACCTTCCCCTGCCCCTCTACCTGTAGCACACAGCCTTAGCCAGCAACAGCAGCAGGTTTTGTAAGTCCTGGAGGTTAGACGATATGGAGAGTCCCCTTTAAGAAAAAATTTACAAGTATAAAATTTGGTACAAAAGTGAATATGCACTTAGAATGAGCAAACAAAACACCAAATACTAGAGTCTTGGCAATCCAGGGCCTTTCTTCTGAGATATCTTTGGGCAATTTACTAGAAACGTTTATGGACTACAACCTGGTGTTTCTTCCTAACCTAGAATACCCAATAGCAGTGCTTCTCAAACCTTAAAATACATATGAATATCAGGTAACTTATTAAAACGTAGATCCTGATTTAGTTGGTCTGAGAGGCACCTGAGATTGTACATATTTGATAACACCCAGGGCAAGCCTGGGTGATGCTGGCGTTGCCCAGCCACAATCCACACTTCAATAGCAAAGCTCTCGACTCCTGGCACTCTCTGGGGCAGGTGCAAGTGAGCAATGGTGAGGCTTAACCTCATTAGCTTCACTGCCTTCAGGCATAATACCACTCTCCCCCATGCCAGGCAAAGGGACAATTCCAAATGTTATAGGTGTGGAGAAAGGGAATAACTGCAGTAACTGGATAACAGATCCTTTTCCAATTATTACTTTTGCCACAACTAAAGGAGAACCTCATTCTTTTGTCAATCAATGGTCACTTAATGATTCTTTATAATATACACTCTGATTTGTGCCATATACTCAAAGGCGTTTAAAGAATTGAATGGGCTGGATGAGGTGGCTCATGCCTAAAATCTCAGTGCTTTAGGAGGCCATGGGGGAAGGACTGCTTGAGCCCAGAAGTTTGAGACCAGCCTGAGCAACATAGTGAGATTTTGTCTCTACAGAAATAAAAATTAAAAAAATTAGCCAGCTATGGTGGCATGTGCCTATAGTTCCAGCTACTCAGGAGGCTGAGGTGGGAGGATCTCTTGAGCCTGGGAGTTCCAGGCTGCAATGAGCTATGATCAGGCCACCTCAAGCCTGGGTGACTAAGACTCTGTCTCTAAAAAAGTATTTTAAAAAATTTTTTGAATGGCGTTACTAGAAGTCCTCCTGTTCTTATCTACTTATTTGTGTGGAAAACTTTCTCAGACAACATTTTTAAAAATTTTTTTCAACTTTTATTTTAAGTCTGGGGGTACGTGTACAGGATGTACAGGTTTGTTACATAGGTAAATGTGTGCCATAGTGGTTTGCTACACAGATCATCCCATCACCTAGGTATTAAGCCCAGAATCCATTAGCTATTCTTCCTGATGATCTCCCTCTCCCATCCCACCCTCCAACAGGCCCCAGTGTGTGTTTTTCTCTGCCGTATGTCCATGTGCTCTCATTATTCAGTTCCCACTTATAAGTGAGAACATCAGACAGCATATTAACAAAAAGTAGGAAAACATTGATACAAAACTGTCTCATCCTTGCAAAAAATAATATTGATCCTTGAATACTTAAACTACTTTAAAAACTCTATCTCATTAACAGATGTATTTCCAATAACTTTAATATGTTTAATAATTATTTATCATTTTATAATGCACTATATTGTTTTGACCAATTGAATGCAAATATTAATAATAACAAATCCAGTCCAGAAAAAAATACTGAGTACTTAAAATTTATGGTCAGAAGACTTTTTAAAATTTAATTTTAATTTCTACATTTCATTGCATAGATTGCTCAAAAAAAAAGATTTCCAAACATAGACACATATTACAATGAAATTCTATAGAAGAAATCAGATGAAAATAAGATTACAAGGAGAAAAAATGGCATAGAATTTCCAACTGTTTAAGAACTTGTTCATGAATATTTTAAGTGAATTATTGGATATCAGATGGTGATTTTTTTATTGATTCCACTAGGTATAGTTTAAAGAAGCATATAATAGTTTTATCTGAAAGTTTCAGTGGTTATAATATGCCAAAATGAATAAATTTTGAAATTACTTAAAGTTATGATGCAAAAAGTTATCAACTTACAACTGTGTTGGGACACACAGCTCCCAGGTCTTCTTAGAGCTGATGTGAGCACACAAAGTTTGGGGACCTCTGCTCTACAGAGACAGCCTCCACTTGCTCACCTGTCTTTGTTCACTGTTCCACTCACTCCGTCCTGGCTCAGCCTTATCTTCAGCGAAGCCACTCTTGCTCAAGCCCCTAATGCTCAGCGTAATATTACTCTAATGGGCATTTGCCTTCCTTGTCTTGCTGGATTTGAAGCCGGAAGCAACTTTACTGGCTTCCTAGGGCTGCTGCAACCACACACTGAGTGGCTTAAAACCACAGAAATGCACTCTTACAAATGTGAGGCTCTGGGTGGAATCCTTCATGCCTCGTCCTAGTTCATGATGGTGGCTATCCAAATTCGGCATTCCTTGGCTTGCAGTTACATTGCTCCAGTCCCTGCCTTTAATGTCACATAACATTCTCCCTGTGTCTGTGTTTTCATGTGCATTGTCCTCTTCTTATAAGGATGCCTGTCATATTGGATTAAGGGCCCACCCTTCCAGTATGACCTCATCTTAACTAATCACATTGGCAACAACCTTATGTCCAAATAAGCTCATAGTCCAAGGTACCAGGAGTTAGGATTTCAACATAACATTTGGGAGAACACAATTCAACCCATAACAGTGACTGAGTTTCAGTTTTCTTTGATAAACCCTCAAAACCCACTCTCTTCTCTAGGTTCTCTTCCTACCTCAATAGGTTCTTGCTTTCTCTCTCCTGTGTTGACTGTTCCTCCTTGACCTGATTTCCCAGTATTGGAGCACCAAGGTCTCCATTCTGAGCACACATCTCACTCTGCAGTCCCTCCTTGTTGAGGTCAACTAGGCCCAAAACATTTCCAGTCAGTCTGCCAATTATCCCTTATTCTGCCATCTCCTTTCAAGCCCCAGACCCAAATTTCCAACTGTCTACTTAAAATAACCTCTTGATTGTTTCATAGACATCTTTAACCTGCTGCTTCCCAAATTCCACCCTTCACCCCCTCTCCATCTGCTCTCCCTCCAGTTCTATCTCAGTAACTGACACCCACATACCCCAGTCACTCATGCCAGTAACCTGACAATCATCCTGGATATATCTTGAATCCACAGAGAATTCTCAGTTTCCCTTGCCAATACCCTAATCTAAGCTACCACCATCACTGTCTTGAAAACATTGCACTTTGGGTAAAATCCAAAGTCTATACAAGGACTTTGAGGCCCACGTGTCATTCTTTGACAGGCCTACCCAAGAATTAATTATTTAGGGAAATGCCCCTGTGTGAGACTTCACTGTTCACTATTTGATTAAAGGATAGACATTATGAAGTTAGAATTTTATTTGTAGATTTCAGTCCAGTAGAAAACATAACTCCAGTTATTATACTTGTATTGTCTTATAGGACACTAACCAATTTTGTGTCTTTTAGGAAATAATTTCTACATTCTTTTGACTTTCTGATTATATAAATCTTTGTTCCATGAATCCTTCTTTGAGTTAGCCTTATGATCCTGCTGGTAGTCTCATTCATGAACAAAATTGCAATTTTTGATGTGTGCTTATTCTATATTTGAAGGAAAATAATGTTTTTGACTTTTCAAAGAAAATAAAATTTGCTTTGGAGATAGTTCAAGCTGCCCAGGTGGAATCCCATGCCAGAGCCAATTAAACTGTGTTGTCCAAAAAGTGTTCCCCCGGGCTTGTCCTCTCTAGGACCCAGAGTGACTCTCAAGCAATGCTAGAACCTTACTTTTGCTGTTTCTTCTCTCTCTCTCTTTTTTTTTCTGCTTTTTGTTTGTTTGTTTGTTTTTTGAGACTCAGTCTTGCTCTGTGGCCCAGGCTGGAATGCAGTGGCACAATCTCAGCTCACTCACTGCAACCTCCACCTCCTGGGTTCAAGCGATTCGCCTGCCTCACCTTCCCAAATAGCTGGGATTACAAGCATGCACCACCACACCAGCTAATTTTTTTTGTATTTGTGGTAGAGATGGGGTTTCACCATGTTGGCCAGGCTGGTCTCGAACTCCTGAGTTCAGGTGATCTGCCCACCTCGGCCTCCCAAACTGCTAGGATTACAGGTGTGAGCCACCATGCATGGCCTCTCTCTCTCTCTTTTTTAACCTGATGCTGTCTGTATACTTCCTTTTGTTTCCAGTTCTTGGCCAAATTTGGTTCTGTTTCTGGTTTGTGCAGAAAGCTGCAAGCCTTCACTGTGTCTATGTGGCTGTGTGTTTGCACATAGCTGATAAATTACTCCCTTTAGGAGAATAAATATTGGGAATCCAGTTTGAGGTTTGACCATTTGATGAGCTGTAGCTGGTGAAAGATGACAGAGTTTCCAGTTCATTGGTCTTTTCTGTTTTCTTATCTATATATATCTCAAATCCAGAAAAAAAATTGCTCTGTGAGACCCAGACAGGTGAGTCTTCACATTTCTGTGCTCACCCTGACCTGTGAGCCCTTTGGTTTTATGACCGCAGCCACAAGCTCTTTGGATACCGGGGTGTCTGTAACTGAGAAAGACCTTCACCTCTTCTTAAATACCCTCCTACTTCCAGAGGTTATTATTAAATTAGATTGTAACACCTCTTAAATTAAAGGACTTCTGATTGGTTTATAAAAATAGGTACTTACATAAATTAGTTATTTGCTACAATTCCCAAAAAATAAAGAGATTGAGTTTCTAATATTTTGATTACTTAACTATTGAAAGTAAAAGAAATAACTCATGTCAGAAACTGCTGACTTAGAAGCTATTCTGAAACAAGAATCCAGGTTAACATATTTAAGGTGAACATTTGGACAAGCCAGACTGATGTAATAATTTTGGTTTGAAAAAACAAAGAAGGATACAAAATTTCAGTTCCTTGGTCTAGGTAATAGAAATAAGTTCAGGAGATCTACTGTACAACTTGGTGACTATACCAATAACAATGTATTGTATCCTTGAAAATCACCAGGAGAGTAGATTTTTAAGTGTTCTCACTACAAAAAAAATTAAGTATATGAGATAATAGATATGTTAATTAGCTTGATTTAACTATGCCACAATATACACATATTTCAAAACCTCATGTTGTACATGATAAATACATACAATTTTTGTCCATTTAAAACATTAATTTTAAAAATAGCAACTCTATATCTTTTCTTTGGGGTTATCAGTGTGACATGTAATTCAAGTATATGTTTTATTTTATTTGGTTTTGTTTTCTCATGCAGAGACTAATCTTATTTTCTAAACTATTAATATTAGTCTACTGATTACATAGCTAACATTACTTCTACATAATACTTAAGATGTGAAAAAACAAAATCATGTGTTCAAATAAATTTAAACAAAATTCTAACAAACATCCTTATAGCAGTAATAGTATTTTGTACTATGTCAGCTTGAACCTAATTTCCAAGGTCCCTAGATAGATTTACACCTTAGACTACAATGAAACTGAGTTAATTAATGGAGAGCCTCTGTGTGTATATAAATGCTTTTACTGTTTATTTTATTTATATATGTGTGAGTCAGGAGATATAGAGAGGGAGACCGGGACAGTCAAGATATCCAGGGATCTCTTTAGGGCAGAAGAAGCAAAAAAACTTCATGAAAGCAAATTACTGATCCAAGATTCTAGAGAATAAGAATTGATTACAAAGGACTGAATGAATTCATGAGTAAATAGGGTTAGTATTGATTTTAGTGTTTTGGTTTTTTCATGGATATATAATAGGATCTGATCTATTTCTTCTTATGCTGTCCAAGTTCAGGAAAAAACAATTGTTCTGCTAAGACTCTCCCTCCCCACTACCAATTTTCTTCCTATCTCTAAAAGATCCCCTGTTTCCCGCCTTGCCTATTCATAATGCCAACGGCCAATAGGTATTGACCAAGTCACAGCCAAGCTTGAAGAGAACCCAAGCGTGGGAAATTCCACTGTTGAGGCTCTGATCCTCGTGCTGATGTCTGTTAAGGAAAATTGTCTAAAACTTTGCTGATTCCTAGAAGCATTGACCTTAACCTTCTACTCTGCCTATAATCAATCATTCACTGCATTTTTGTTCTGCTTGATGTCAGTGGATTCTTTTGAACCAATAATGTCTCAACATAAATTGTTAAACTCTAATTCTTTTTTTTTTTTTTTTGACAGAGTCTCACTGTGTCTCCCAGGCTGGAGTGCAGCAGTACAATCTCGGCTCTCTGCAACATCTTCCTTCCAGGTTCAAGCGATTCTCATGCCTCAGCCCCGCAAGTAGCTGGGATTACAGGCATGCATCACCACACCCTGCTAATTTTTGTATTTTTAGTAGAGACGGCGTTTCACCATCTTGGCCAGACTGGTCTCAAACTCCTGGCCTCAAGTGATTCGTCTGCCTCAGCCTCCCAAAGTGTTGGGATTACAGGCATGAGCCACTGTGTCCGACAAGCTCTAATTCCTGTAGGAGAATTATAATACTTTTCTCTGTTTCCATTATCTTGGTTGATTTTTGGGGGGAATTGAAGATTTAGAATAACATTTCCAAGAAATGTTGTTGAGGAATTCCCACATGAAAATACTACTTTCAATGTCACATATAATTGGCTCATAAAAAGATTATTTAATTATCTCTGGGGAGTGCCTACATTTGACTTTACTCTTTACTATTAATTAAGGGCTTAGGCTCTGTGAAATTACATGTGTACTTGTTGACTTTATTCTGGTAGAAAAGATCATCCTCAAGGTTATGACTTTGCTGCCCTGTAGGACATTAACCAGTTTTGTATCTAACCTACTCATTACATTCTAACATTCTTTTCTCAGAGTGCCTATAAAACCCAATTCTTCAAAATACTCTTTGGACCACCTTATTCATCTGAGTGCATCTGAGTGGTTCCCTCATTAATGTGTTAATAAACCTCTGATTCATGCTATTCTATATTTGCATGAGAATCCTGAATTTTTTTAATTTTTGAAAATTATGCATAAATACCATCATTTGGAAGTACTTTGTATTATTCCTATTAATTACATAACACCCACTTCATTCATAATTTTCTGTGCCACACATTTTGTTAAACTATCAGCTCTTGAAGGGCAGGGCCCCAGAAAAATTCTCCTTTGTATTCTCTAGAGACTCTATACAGTGCCTTGCAAAAGGTAGATACCCAATAAATAAACAAATAAAAATGTGACAGGAAGTGTGAAGGAAAAACTGCTTCTTTTTTGTAGATAGTATATTAAGAAGTAGTTTTAGTTGGCAAAATTATTTTAGAATATTTCTTCAAAAACAGATTTCATCTTCATATTTTACTAGGAACAACACTTCAGAAGCCTTCAATGAGCATGTTAGCTTTGTTATATTCTTTTAATTTAAAAAAGTTTGGGATCACCTCAAGTTAACGAGCTTCTGCACAGCAAAGGATACAATCATCAACGTGAAGAGAAAACCCACAGAATGGAAGAAAATATTTGCAAACTACCCCTCTCGCAAGGGATTAATAACTAGAATATATAAGGAGCTCAAACAATTCTATAGGAAAAAAGTCTAATAATCCAATTTTAAAATGGGCAAAAGATTTGAATAGACATTCAAATATTTTTCAAACAGCAAAGAGGCATATGAAAAGCTGTTCAACATCATTGATCATCAGAGAAATGCAAATAAAAACTACAATGAGATATCATCTCACCCCAATGTAAATGGCTTTTATCCAAAAGACAGGCAGTAACAAATGCTGGCAGGAATGTGGAGAAAAGGGAACCCTTGTACACTGTTGGTGGGAATGTAAATTAGCACAGCCACTATGGAGAACAGTTTGGACGTCCCTCAAAAAGCTAAAAATTGAGCTTCCATATGATCCAGCAATCCTACTGCTGGGTATATAACCCAAAGAAAGGAAATCAGTATATCAAAGAGATATCTGCACTCCCATGTTTGTGCAGCACTGTTTACAATAGCTAAGATTTGGAAGCAACCTAAGTGTTCATCAACAGATGAATGGATAAAGAAAATGTGGTACATATACACAATGGAGTACTATGCAGCCATAAAAAAAATGAGATCCAGTCATTTGCAACAACATGGATGGAACCAGAGATTATTATGTTAGGTGAAATAAGCCAGGCACAGAAAGACAAACATCACATATTCTCACACATTTGTGAGGTCTAAAAACAAAACAATTGAACTCATGGACATAGCAAGTAGAGGGATGGTTAGCAGAGGCTGGGAAGGGTAGTTGGGAGGTTGTGGGGGAGTGGAGATGGCCAAGAGGTAGAAAAAAAATATGAAGAATCAATAAGACCTACTATTTGATAGCACAATAAAAGGACTATAGTCAATAATAACTTAATTGTACATTTTAAAATAACTTAAAGCGTGTAATTGGATTGTTTGTAACTCAAACGATAAATACTTGAGAGGATGGATACCCCACCCTCCATGAGGTGATTATTTCACATTGCATGCCTGTATCAAAACATCTCATGTACCCATAAACATATATACCTACTCTGTACCCACAAAGATTAAAAATAAAAATTAAAAAGTCTAAGGAGGCTATGCTTATTACTAAAGAAAAAGATCCAGTATCTTCATACCTTAATATTTGTTTTTATAAATAACTAATCAGGTCCCTCAAAATAAAATAGCTATAGAGAGAGTAAATTGGAGAATTTACAACATAATTTTGGTAAACACACAAACTAATAACTCTGATGAGTGTATAGAAACAATTAAGGCAATAATTTAACATCGTAGTTTTTTTAATTTCAGTTTTTATGAAGTGCTTGAGATATAAGACCACCTGAATCAACAAAACTCAGCCACTGGGACTGAGAACAGGGACCACCTATGTCAATATGACCTGATTGTTTCAGGTAATTCATACCCAGGAAGATAAGACTGTAGGCCAATAATTAACTGCACCATTTGCTTCAGGAAATCCTTGCAAGCCAATTTATCAAGACAAACAGTTGGCTCATCTGGGCAAACAGCTCTCCTATCAGAACAACAATGCGCTCACCTATGCAAACAGCTCGTCCTCAGGACCTGGCTTTGTTCTGTTCACCAAACCTGTATTTTTGCGCCATTGACATTGCCCAATTAAACCACTTGGCTCAGACCTCCAAACCCTATTTTAAAAAAATTCTTCCCTAACTTCCTCCTTTTAAGATAAAGTGAAAATGTCCCTTGCTGCAGGAAGTTTAATAAACTCAGCTTCGGGCAGAAGTCAGTCAACATACCATAATCCAAGATCACAAAATAATTATCTAGTATTCATAAAGCTAGTGTTGTAGCACACTTTATGATAGTTTTGAAATTATTTATTGAATACAGCATGTTATGAGTTTAAGAAAAAAGACTGTTAAAAGTTACTTGGAGTTTATAGATATCAGGATTATAAAAATCTAATCACAATTTTACCAGGCAAGTGATACAGCTTCCTTATTTCTCTATATGACTATTCAGTGCCACCTACAGAGAAGATTGAAACATGTGTGAAATGTCTGGACAATCGTCTTACCTGCTCAATAGTAACTGCTGAGAATTGGCCCCTGGAAAAGTTTTGAAATAGGCAAGTTTGTCTTTGAAATTCCCATTTTCTCTTCCTTATAGTTGTTCTTCTTTCTACTCTTTCAGGAAACCAAAATCATCCTGTAGGCTGCTGGCTTCTATTGCTTATAGAGTTGGGTTTTATCAGTCATTCACATCTTAGTATGATTGACTTTCCAACATTGCTCTATCTTCTCCATCCCCCATCATCCCCTGCTTTAAAATCAAGCCATTTATTCATGCTATCTCCTCCATTACACTTTCTCCCAAGGCATTTTCATACTAAAACTTTTGTTGTTATTAATAAATTGAAAAGACCTAACACCAGTTAAAGAAATCTCAGAGAAAAACTAAAAAAAAAAAAATTGGCAAGACCAGAGAATTGCCTATATTCATTCCATTCAAACTGTCCTTTTAGTCTATAAGAAAGGTATTGAGATTTTTGTAGCAGAATGAGCAAAAATATTCAATAAAAAGAATACGCTAAAATACTGCAAGAAACAGCCAAAAATCCACAAGATGGGGCATTTTGACGGACAACTGGCCCAGACACATCAACAATTCAGTGTCATGAAAAAGGAAGACTGCTCTAGGTCAGAGGTCAGCAAATTTTTTCTGCAAAGGGCCAAGACGTAAATATTTATGACTTTGTGGGCTACACAGCCCCCGTCACAAGTACTCAACTCTGCCTTTGTAGAGAGACAGCAACCATGGACAATATTTAAACAAATAAGAGTGCCTGTGTTTTCAGAAAACTTTATTTTCAAAAACAGGCAGCCTGATGGATTGGGTCTGCAGCCCTTGTTCTAGATTGCAGACAATTAACATGATGACAAGAAACAATGTATGGTCTTGAAGTAAATTCATCTTGGAACAAACCAGCTGTAAAGACATTTTGGTTATAATTGGGGCGAATGTAATATGATTTGTATGCTAGATGGGACACAATTTTATTTATATGAAAAAATAGAAAATATTAACCAAAAAGCAGATTACTGTACATTATGTAACATACTATTTCATTTGTTAAAAAATGTTTATGTACAAAATTTTAAGCTACATTTACTAAAATGTTATTCATGTTGGAAATGTTTTAATTTTCTAATTTTTGATTTTTAAGTTTTTTATAATGTACATTCACTGATTTTATAGTAGGCAAAGTTCATTTTTAATTTTAAAAAATACAGAAAGAAGTTATTTACCCAAAACCTTAAAAAAATGACAATAAACTTCAGCGATTAAAATGAAGAAAGCCTTAAAATTACACCTTTCATTTTAGTAAACTCTTTATGATGGGAATGTAAACATAAATTTTATTTTAAAATATATTTTGTAGAACTAAAACAAAGATGATTCAACTAATAAATAAATATTCAATTCTTTTTAACATTTTTTCTAATTTTGGATGGTTTTTGAGACTGTCCTCAATAGAATACGAAATAGACTTCACACTAATTTGCAACTTATAAATCACATTTATTATTGCCCACAGGAAAGTTCATGCTTAATGTATGCAATGAATTATGGGTAGCAATAAATGTGTGTCTTTAAAATATATATAGCTATTAACTCTGGATTTTACATTTTATTAAAAGAATTCTGTAATGCATTTCTAAATGGTTGTCATTTAACATATCTGAGACTAAATTTACAGGAGGTAACTATTTTTTAGAATAGTATGGTATATTACTAAGTTAGCATTTGATTTTTTCTACTTTATTTTGATTTTTTTTCCTACAGTAAAATTTGAGACTGTAAATGAAATATTTGCATAGATATATTTGCTTGGGGCCAGGTATTCTTTATAAATATCCAGTAAAGAGTTAAGGGAAATCTCCAAGTCAGTTAATGACAGTATACTGAACAAGCACTGAAAGTTTCTTTCCAACACCATGGAATATTGGCTTCCATACCAATGCAATGAGCCTTCCTGGGTAACACTTTTGACCTCTGTGGACTTCCCATTTCCACTTTAAAAATGAAGGATTTTGGATGACTTCTTCATTAAAGGCCCATTTGTTACTGATATATCTTACTAATTGTTATGTCATTCATTGTTCTTTCATCTTCCATCTTTCTCATCATAGGTGAAAAATGCTACAATAAGAAAAGGTAGCTGGCTCCTTCCTTCTTCACCCCAATGTCCTCATATCTTCTATTTTTTCATGACCACTTTTCTCAACCCTAATGTTCCTCTGCCCTCAACAGCCACGATTGACTTTGTTGTTGCCAGGACTCCGGAGCCCACACAGTTCCTACATTTGTAGACCTACTCTCATGATTAATTTTTATGTGTCAACTTGACTGAGCCAAGAGAAGCCCAGATAACTGGTATGATATCATTTCTGGATCTGTCTCTGAGGGTGTTTCTGGAAGAGATTGGCAGTTGAACAAGTAGACTGAGTAAAGAAGAAGCTGGAGTGTACCTGTAGTCTCAACTACTCAGGAGGCTGAGGCAGGAGAATCACTTAAGCCCAAAAGTTTGAATCCAGCCAGAAAAATATAGTGAGACCCCATTTCTTTTTTTAAAAAAAGATCACCCCTGATGTGGTGGGCCTTATCCAGTCCATTGAGTGCTCAAATAGAAAATGTGGAGAAAAGGCAAATTTGTCCTCTGTGCTTGAGCTGGATATGCATCTTCTTCTGCCCTCAGACATTGGCACCCCTGCTTCTCAGCTCTTCATATTTGGAATAGAACTACACTAGCAGCTTTCCTGGGTCCCCAGCTCACAGATGGAAAATCATGGGATTTCTCAGCCTCCACAATCATGTGAAATAATGCCTCATAATAAATCTCTTTTTATATACAGTCACATGCCACATAACAATCTTTCAATGAAAATTTGCATACATAATCCCATAAGATTATAATACTATATTTTTACTGTGCCTTTTCTAGGTTTAAATATCTTTTGACACACAAATACTTACCATTCTGGTACAGTTGCCTAGAGTATTCAGCGCAGTCACATGCTGTATAGGTTTCAGCCTAGAAGCGAAAGGCTGTCCCCACATAGCCTAGGGTGTGTACTAGTCTATGCCATCTAGGTTCATGTAAGTACACTCTGTGATGTTTACACAATGATGAAATTGCCTAATGATGCATTTCTCAGAACATGTTCCTGTTGTTAAGTGACACATGATTGTGTATGCATATATATTTTTTATGTATATTGATTCTGTTTTCCTAGAGAATCCTGATTAATACGCCTACATACACAAGAGAAAGATGATTATGAATTTCCTATGCTGTACCCTCTTCTGAAAAGTCTCTGTGCTTGGTTGAACTCAGTGGCATTTAAATTTTTGTCACAGATGCTATGGTCAGATCTTTTTGCAAGGACAGCACGTTGGGGTTACGCATCAGGTTGGCCAACTCTAAAGCCTGTCCTGTAAGGTCTACACAGCAAGACCTTACACACATTTCACACACTGCTGAATTCTTTGATGCTTCTCTCGACTCTCCATTTTCCAGCTTGTGCTCCTCTTTCTGTTTTGTTCTTTTGACCTTGCAGGCTGTAAGCAATTCACATCCAGCTATTTGACATTCAGACCAGACACTTTTTTTTTTTAATTTATTTATTTTTTATTGATAATTCTTGGGTGTTTCTCACAGAGGAGGATTTGGCAGGGTCATAGGACAATAGTGGAGGGAAGGTCAGCAGATAAACAAGTGAACAAAGGTCTCTGGTTTTCCTAGGCAGAGGACCCTGCGGCCTTCCGCAGTGTTTGTGTCCCTGGGTACTTGAGATTAGGGCGTGGTGATGACTCTTAAGAGCATGCTGCCTTCAAGCATCTGTTTAACAAAGCACATCTTGCACCGCCCTTAATCCATTTAACCCTGAGTGGACACAACACATGTTTCAGAGAGCACAGGGTTGGGGGTAAGGTCACAGATCAACAGGATCCCAAGGCAGAAGAAGTTTTCTTAGTACAGAACAAAATGAAAAGTCTCCCATGTCTACCTCTTTCTACACAGACACGGCAACCATCCGATTTCTCAATCTTTTCCCCACCTTTCCCACCTTTCTATTCCACAAAGCCGCCATTGTCATCCTGGCCCGTTCTCAATGAGCTGTTGGGCACACCTCCCAGACGGGGTGGTGGCCGGGCAAAGGGGCTCCTCACTTCCCAGTAGGGGCGGCCAGGCAGAGGCGCCCCTCACCTCCCGGACGGGGCGGCTGGCCGAGTGGGGGGCTGACCCCCCCCCACCTCCCTCCCGGACGGGGCGGCTGGCCGGGCAGAGGGGCTCCTCACTTCCCAGTAGGGGCGGCCAGGCAGAGGCGCCCCTCACCTCCCGGACGGGGCGGCTGGCCTGGCGGGGGGCTGACCCCCCACCTCCCTCCCGGATGGGGTGGCTGGCCGGGTGGGGGGCTGACCCCCCCACCTCCCTCCCGGATGGGGCGGCTGGCCTGGCAGGGGGCTGAGCCCCCCTACCTCCCTCCCGGACGGGGTGGCTGCCGGGCAGAGACGCTCCTCACTTCCCAGACGGGGTGGCTGCCGGGCGGAGAGG